>NC_000003.12:28760000-30010000 GCF_000001405.40 Homo sapiens
TCACTTCTAAATGGGATCCAGGTTAAGCCTACCTTATGCTGAATTCTACTTTCTATTTAGCAGTTTGAGGTTTCAGTGTATCATATCCAGAGAAAGTCCTAATGCTTGTGAATGTTGAGCCCAAAAGCTATATGACAGGTAACTGAGAGAGTACCAAACTAAAAGAGAAACAATATTAGATTCTTGAGCAAAACAATGCCGACTCTAACCTTAGTTCCCAAAGTCTTGATCAAAGGATGTCCCTTATGTCAGACTGAAATAACCTTTTTCCAATTCCCTCCAACAGCTTATCCAGAGGGTGGTAATATGGTGTATCTGTTTGAAGGACCACTGGAATTGAAAGCAGGTTACATATTTCCAAGCAAGTTGTAGCAGCTGCAACTGGCATACTGTCCAATTTTTTTAGGGCTTCCTTTAACTGGGGCACCTTTGTACATCATAGGCCAGAAGTGCTAGGGCATGTATTCCTTGCCCCACCTGAGACTAGCCCTCAACCAATGACTGAAGACTGTTGGGATGTAAATACCCCAGCCCCTCACCCCTTGGTGGACTGAAGGAGGCATGTTCTATACTGGCTCTGAGTTCTTCTGTGAGGTGATGCTCCAGTTGTCCATGGTGTTAACTAGTTGCTAGCCTACTTTTGTTGGCCACCTTTCGTTCTCTATCTCACACTGTTCTCAACTCTTAACCATTGCTTCCTAGAATCACTCCCCCAGTAAGTAATTTGCACAAACATTCCTATCTTAGAGTCTGCTTCTGGGAGAAGCCCAAGCAAATTCAAAGTTCTGGTGCTGGTCAATTATAGATGTAATAATGCACCAGAGGAAATACAACAGTATCATTCAATACTTTAAATAGTCTCTTTCTTTGTCCTTCTACTGATATTTTGCTAATATCAAAGGGGTTAAGAACAGGAAGGGGGACCTTAAAACCTGAGACTCAATTGCCAGAGAACAATTTCCTTCTTGCAAAATAGGCACCTTCAGAAGTTATGAGATACTTTGGGCTGGGCGTGGTGGCTCACGCCTGTAATCCCAGCACTTTGGGAGGCCAAGGCAGGCAGATCACGAGGTCAGAAGATCGAGACCATCCTGGCTAACACAGTGAAACCCCGTCTCTACTAAAAATACCAAAAATTAGCTGGGCATGGTAGTGGCGCCTGTAGTCCCAGCTACTCTGGAGGCTGAGGCAGGAGAATGGGATGAACCCGGGAGGCAGAGCTTACAGTCAGCCGAGATCGTGCCACTGCACTCCAGCCTGGGCAACAGAATGAGATTCCGTCTCAAAAAAATAAATAAATAATAAAAAAAAGTTATGAGATACTTTTTCTTTAAATGAAAGACTGAACTAACATGATATTAATACCAGGCAAGAATCACCTGATGGCAAATCAAATTACAATTCACAGGCTAGAACAAGTAATTAAATATAAGGGGGTAATGGGAAAAGGAGAGAGTCACAATCCCAAAGCCCCTCTCTCACCTCTCAAGGACTCCTATTTGCCTTTGAATCACTTCTGCTTCAATTAACATTGATTGAACTTGCCTAGAGTGCCTGGCTCTTGTCAAATCCCATTACAGGAGACTCCAAGATGCTATCTGTCGCAAACCTTTGTTGTACTGGGACATTTTTGTGGGAATATTGAATATTGTGTGGAGTAGCTAACACATTGATCAGGCATGTAATACAAGAGGTTTGTTTTTTCTAGTATGGCAGTATTATAAATGGGATTTCATTTTGCCATTATTATTATCAACTAGAACCAATTCTCTAAGTTCAAGTTATGATGCTCTAGAAAGCATATCAGACTGACCCACTACTGCTTTTAGAAATAAACATTGAAAATGTCAGCCCTGTAAAGTGAGAAAATGTGACTGAATCTTCTTTATAGACATCACACACTGAATTTACTTGTTTTGTTGGAAGGAGACACACCAAGAAACATGTTTTCTCCATGGGGTTCTCAGTAAAGGAGTCTCTGTTTATTTTATTGGTGATGTAAGAGGAATTAATAGTATTTATCAGTCTGCCTTAACTCTTTTTGTCTCACTCTTGCAAACGTCTTGAAGGGTGGGGCTATATTTTATGCATCTTTGTTTTCACTATGTGACTGACAACAGAGCTTTCTTCATGTTAGGTGTCTACTCCATTTTTACTTGAAATAATTAAACTAGATAAGGGAAACTATTTTATAGATTTCCAATGGAATTTTAAGCCATTAGTAGTGTGCACCCAGCCTTATGCTTACTGGAGGAGGCAAGGAAAATCAAAATCCCATCCTTGGATGCATGCTTAGATGTTCAGGGGCTAGATTCCTATGAGGAAAAAAAATCAGAGAATAACATTGTTTCTAGGATGTTTTTATGACCAAGAACATTTTATGCAGGGAAACACTATTATAGGTACCTTTTTAATGCTTGCATTTTAATCTTATTAATTTTTAATTTTTAGAAAAACATTTAAATGCTGTTGCTACTAATAAAACACATCTTATGAATGGAATAATCTTAGATATTTAAATGCTGATTACAAATTTAATTAGACAAATTCTCCTAAGTATTTTAATAAAATACTTACCAATTTCATTAAGTTTCACAAACTTTAAAAGCAGATGGCACCCACATGTGCATGCACAAACACAATCAAAATCACAGTCACAATGGGATTCAAAATTTTTATTTCTACACTTAAGCTACTAAGTAGCATTTATACAATGGATTTATGTCTCCATTATTCACAAACTTGTTTTATACCTTCCTTGTTTTTTTATACTTAACTGTTTATACTTTCCTAGGTTTCAGTAATCTTGGAGACTTGAAAGAAAAAGAATGTAGTCTCGGCCCCGTTGGTTTTGCAGATTCTGGGTTATGAACCACATGATTTTTGGTCGATACATGGGATTTTATTGGATCCCTTCAAAGTTGATACAGCCAGTCCTGGGCCAGTGTTTTCCAGCTTGAGTTTTTTTCTGAGAGTTAGAGTTCAGTTGCTATGTCAATGGCTGTTGGAAGCTCTTGTCTTATACTAGAAACATGGAACCTCTTCTGAAGGTTCCCATGTCCATCAAATCTTAGTTCCAGGCAGTAAGCCTTTACTTCATGATGCTTTAGTTTCTCAGTATTTTTGATAAAAGCATCTAGTGATTTCATTATCCAAGAGATGAAGGGATGAGTCTGGGCAGCAGATTCTCTTCTTGTGATCACTGCATCATATGTCAGTTTCCAACACACCACTGGAATTTTTCTCCTAACTGTTATGAATGACCATAGGAGCTGATAACTCATCTGGTCTACCAAGATAAATCCACAAGTTTTCTTGAGTTATTTGACTTAACATTCACTGTAGATTTTTTTCCTATTTCTTGAGAAAAATATAGATATTGAAATATACATCAAATAAAGAAACCGAACATCTGCACATGTCAATTTTCTGACATACTTATTAAAAATATTTTAAAAATAAATATATCTTTCTTTTTGTTTTTCAATGACCTCTTTGTACATCTACTGTTTCATTGTTAGGTACTTTTATAGACTGAAGTATGTGAAGGCTTTTCACAGACATAAGTTATTCCAATAAATTATAATTATTCTTGTTCAAATTATTATACTGTGAGCACCCCCATAAGCTGTCTCCATTGTCTTTTCAGCATTACTTCTGAGACATTTTTGAAAGTTTCTTGCTTAAAAGTGACGAGATTTTCCATATCCATATTGTTTGCTCTTTATTGGTACCTAAGGTTTTAGTCCCTGAGAAGCCCTGGCTCCTAATAATAAAGAATAGCACTAGGATTGTGTATTAGCTTTATCCTCAGGAATATGGCGATAGTCAAAATATTACTTCTTTTTGTCACTTTAATGGAAGTGCTTGAAGAAAATAGTCGTGTCCCACATAATGATGTTTTATATATATGATGGTTGTCCCATAAAATTATAATTAGACTGAACAATTCCTATTGCCTAGTGATGCTGTAGCCATCATAAGGTTTTGGCACAATGCATTACTCATGTGTTTGTGGTGATGCTAGTGCAAACTAACCTACTCCTCAAGAAGAGCCTGGGGCAGGTTCTTCAGGAGGTATTCCAGAAGAAGGCATTGTTATCATAGGAGATGACAGCTCCTTGCTTGTTACTGCCCCTGAAGACCTTCCAGTGGGACAAGATGTGGAGCTGGAAGACAGTGATATTGATAATCCTAACCTGTGTAGGACTAGACTACTCTGTGTGTGTGTGTTTGTGTGTGTGTGTGTGTGTGTGTGTGTGTGTCTTAATTTTTTTTAAAAAAGTTGAAAAAGAAAAAAATAATTTAACAATTTGAAACAGAAAAACTTTAAGAATAAGGATATAAAGAAAGAAAATACTTTTGTTCAGCTGTACAATATGTTTTAAGCTAAGTGTTATTACACAAGAGTAAAAAGTTAAAAAATTAAAACATTTATAAAGCAAATAGTTATAGTAAGCTACAGTTAATTATTACTGTAGGACAAAAATGATTTAAAATAAATTTAGTGTAGCCTAAGTGTACAGTGTTTATAAAATTCACAGTAGTGTACAATAATATCCTAGGCCCACATTCATTCACCACTCATTGACACCCAGAACAACTTCCAGTCCTTCAAGCTCTATTTATGGTAAGTGCCCTACACAATTGTACTATGTTTAATCATTTACACCTTATTTTTACTTTTCTATGTTTAGATACGCAAATAACTTTCCATTACAATTACCAACAGTATTTAGTATTATATGGTTCAAACCTATACAATAACATGCTCTATATGTTCATAGTCTAGGAGCAGTAATATATACCATGTAGCCTAGATATATAGTAGGCTATACCATCTAGATTTGTATAATTGTGCTCTGTGGTAGCACGATGACAATCACCTAAGGACACATTTCTCAGAACATAGCCCTGTCATTAAAAGACACATGACTCTATTTTAAGATCAAAAGTTTTCATTAACATTTCTTAACATGAATGGTAATTTTTTACATGTCCTAAGTATTTATCTAATATTAATTGTGAACATTGAATTTCCTATACCATGCCATCTTGGATCATTAAACTGGAATCACATTCTTATTTATTAGCCTTATATGTTTTATTGATCACCATTTTGTAGTTCTTTTATTGACAAATATAAGACACCATCCAATTGGAGAAAGCCATGAGATACACCAGAAAGATCAGTTTTATCATCTGGAAATGATATGAACTGATGAGATTTAGGATAGAGATTTTCATCTTATGGGTGATGAAATGCTCCTTGGAATTTTTATCAGTGGTCTAAGGCAATGGTTCTCAAAGCACGATCACCAGGAGGGAGTGTTAAAAGACAATTGTTGTGCCTACCTCAGAATTATTCCTAAATCAGAGGTGGGGGCTGGAAAATTTGCATGTCTGACAAGTTCCTAGGTGAGACTGATGTTGCTGGCAGTGAGACCACACTCTGAGAACCAATGATCTAAGGAACATAAAATGAGGCTTGTTGGCTATGTAGAAATAGCCTTTGTTGCCTTTAACTTTGAAGCCATTAATCAAGCTGAAGATTAAGTAAGAAAAAGAAAAAGTAACAACTTCTAAAAAGACAAGTCTTTGGGCTATAAAAATTGATATTATTTTGAATCTTGTGTATTCCATCATGTCTACCCTTTCCTCATAGTTTCCATTCTCTTCTGGCAACTGACCGCTTAGCAGCTGTAGATCTCATGCAGAGACTTAGAGACTGAAGTGCAGAGTGGTATAAAAACCTTAATAAAAGCCGAAAAGAATTATGTAATTCACGTAGAAAATTCCCTTCATGTAGATAAACACTAATGAAATTGCTTCCAAAAAATTCTTCGGAGGAAGGGAAAAATAATTCACACAATCAAAGGAATTTTATGCCTTTAAAACCAGATCCTAAATCTTAATTTTATTTTTTAAGTTTGCAATGTACATCTCGTTGCCCTTTATATGACCTGTTACAGAAGGAAGTCTATCTTCCTAAATGTTTAAGCAAGTGCTAGGTGTGCTGTCACTTCAAGATGAATAATAAATAGCCATAATAAATGGATGTTGTAGGTGATATTAATAAGACATTTTCGATCCTGCAGGAAGAGTCATGCTGGAAGATAAATAGATGCATTTATTTATACTATTGTTAGGAACTTGAACTTTTAACCCACAGAGCAGGTGTTCAATCTATTTTGGAAACATCTGAAAAAAACCTCTTGTTTTCTTGTTCCTCTGTCTGACCCCAGAAGGTAGATGTTCCTAAAGGTTCTGCCTTTTGTCTTTGTCTCTTGATCTCTTTATTTTTCTCCTAGTGAACTCTTCTACAGTTTAAATCATTATTTCTGTAGGGATTGATTCCACAATCCAAACTCCCTTCAAAATTGAATCTTCATTTTTAACTACCTATAGTACATCTCTGTCTGGATGTGCTTCAAGCAACTCAAATCACCTGCCTGTAAAAGAACTGAGTTCTTCCTCTTCCCAACCCAGCTTATCTGTTTTGTTTTTCCTTTTCCTGAATATCAGTCACATTATTTGCTTCATGAAAATTTCTCTTTTATTGTCCTACACATCCACATGATTAAGCCTCCAGTATGTCTCTCTGACATTAATATCTTTGTTTCATCTTCTGACAAAACTATATCTTAGGCACCTAATGTTGCCATTCAAATTATTGTTATAGCCTTTTAACAGATTTCCTCCTTTTCAACCTCTCTGCACTGCAATCCATCTTAAATATCATTGCAACAAAAATATTCCCGGGTATAGAAGCTTTCATGATTCCCATTATGTAATGAGAGATATATTCAAGCCCTCTTTATCCTGTTATTCCAGAACTTCCAATATATAGCCCCAACTTTCTTTCTCATTTTTCTCTCCCACTATTCACTTATGAACCCTCTCACTCACTCCATTGACATAATCTCAATCTTCCAACATGTCTTTAAATTTAATCATTTGTTTGTGTTATTCTTCTTTCTTTTCTTTTCTTTCTTTAATTTTTGTTTTGTTTTGAGACAGGGTCTCATTCTGTCACCCAGGCTGGAGTGCAGTGGTGTGATCTTGGCTCACTGTAACCTCCATCTCCCAGGTTCAAGTGATTCTCATGCTTCAGCTTCCTGAATAGCTGGGATTACAGGTGTGCACCACCACACCTGGCTAGTTTTTGTATTTTTTTAGTAGAGATGGGATTTCTTATCATGTTGGTCAGGCTGGTCTCAAACTCCTGACCTCAGGTGATCCGCCCACCTTGGCCTCCCCAAGTGCTGAATTATAGGTGTGAGCCACCATGCCTAGACTCCTCTTTTTTGTGTGTGTCATTTTCTTCTTTCTTTACCTATTGAAATCCAACATAATCTTCAAAGATGCATAAGAATTGCTTCTTCTCTGCAGAATGTTGCTTGATTCAGCCCAACTGATATTAGCTTTTCTTTCTTTTCTCCCACCTTACTCTGTGGAGCTTTCACATTCTGACTTGTGCCTTATCCCTAGTAGTTCTGATGGTGTGGAACATTATTTGTTGGATCCTGGAGTCCCAAATCCTGTTATGTATCTATGTGTGGAAATACCAAGATGGACACACTCCTAGCAAATGCATGCTGTTTATAATTCATCAAATATTTCAGGGCCCTGTCATGGCCCAGCACAGTGCCAGGCATTGGACTCACACTAAATCTGGACTCTCTTAGAGCTTATGTTCTATAGGAGGGACAAAGACAAAAAATAAACCAACATATTGTTATTGTGCATATAAATAAACTGACAGATAGTTATTTGTGCTAATAAGAATACAAGACAGTGATGTTAAAGAGAGTTGTGGGTGTGAAATACATGTAGTTAGGGAAGGTTTCTCTGAGGTGATATTTAAAGTGAGACTTGAAGAATGAGAAAAAGCCAGCCAGGCAGAGGTCTCCGGGAAAGTGTTCTAAACTGAGGAACAGCACATGCAAATCCATGAGACACGAATGAGCTTTGTATGTTTAAGGATGAGATAAAATTTGACCACTGGGATGGTCTAAATCCCATAAATGAAAGTTGTATGAGATAAAATCTGAGAAATTAGATCATGTTGGGACTTACAGACTATCAGATAGAGTTTAGATTTTATTCTAAGCATTGTCTTAGTCCTTTCATGTTGCTATAACAAAATACCATAGACTGGGCAATTTATGAGCAACAGAAATTTATTTCTTACAGTTCTGGAGGTTGTTAAGTCCAAGATAAAGACACCAGCAGGTTTGGCATCTGGTGAGGGCCCAGTCTCCACTTTCAAGACTGTGCCTTGTTCCTGTATCCTCCAGACACATGTATCCATGTATCCTCACATGGTGGAAAAAACACATGGGGAAGAGAGTGCTCTTTTTAATTTCAAGCACTTTTATAAAAGTGTGATTCCCATTCATGAGGGCAGAGCTTTCATGACTTAATCACCTCCCAAAGGCCAACCCTCTTAATATTGTTGCATTGGGGATTAAGTTTCAGCATAATTTTGGAGGGGAAACCATTATTCAAACCATAGCAGCAAGATGAGAAACCATTAAATAAGTTTAAAGCAGGAAAATGCCTGTGGGTATGAAGTTACAGTGGCACAAGAGAAAAAGCAAGCCGACTGTTTGTTTTCCTAAGGTGTTGACTCCAAAGTGATATTTGGAAACTAAGTTGGGTGAGCTGGCCAGCCTATAGTTAGGTCTCAAAAATGCCTTTTCCTCTGTGGTCTAGATTAAAAGCAAGTTAAACAACCTCTTTGGCTTCCTTCCCCATTGGCCACAAACTACCTTGGCATTTGATCTTTTAAAATTCTATGGAAAAAAAAAAAAGACAGGAAAGAATAAACTAAAAGATAAAGAGCTCAAGGACTGTTTTACTTTACCAGTAGCATGAGAAAACTTTCAAAATAGAGACATTCTAAAAAGACAGGAAATCCAAAATGTGCAGTTTACGTGGACCTCATAGTTTTAAATGTCTCTGCTCATAACACTGTAGCTTTCATGACTACAGCAAAGCTCTGTGCTCTAGCAACAAGGCCAAATAGTGATGTTGACCTATGCCCCGTGTCAGCATCTTGTGTCAAACATAGACAAAAGAGGTCTTGAGTTCCTCATAGAGCTATTCAATTTCTTTTTTAAGAATGACAGGTATATAATACAATGGGTACACAATATAAATTTTCTAAATAGAGCCAATTTTTTCTACCATTATTATAAAGAACACAACTCCTCTTGACACAGACACAAACACTCACACATTTCAAAGAGAAGTCCATTAAAAACAACAACAGAACTGGGGAGAACAGTGGGACATTATTTAACACCAGTCTGTGTACCCCCGATTCAGGGATTACTGGGAATGTTAAGCCAATTATTTTTTTAAGCCAATGTATTTAATCAGAGACTTAGAGTAAATAACACTAGATTTTTACAATATTAGTAGAATTCTCTTCCTGCTGTCTTTTGTGCTCAGCCATTTTTTTCTATAAGTGACTGACCTTATTGTGCAACTCACTGGAATAATCCCTGTAAAAAATGTTAAAGGATAAACACTATTTGGAAGCTTTTTAATAATTTTAGAATCCTTTAAATCCTTTAGAACTTCTGCATAACATTTTAGGCTTTACTTGGTCTGACTCTTGTGACTGCTGGGACTTTCTATGTGACTAAGTAATCAGATAAGATTATTAATTTGTTGATAAATGACAAAAACGTAACATACCATTTTTCTCAGATTAAAAATTTTAATTTAGCCACTATGGCCTTAAAACACAGAATAGTTAATGAATCATAGTATTATTTGACATAGTATATGTGTATTTTGCCTCAAACATATGCTGGTACCTATGCTAAAATCAAAGACAAGTGGGTAATAGTCTATGACTTTAAAAGATCACAGTCTGAACTCCAGTAAAGTCTCAGGGAGGAAATTTTAAGAATTGTCATTGACCACTTAATTCCCTCTGCAGAGTTTTTCCCAGTGGTGATCCATCTTCCCTTAGAAATCCTCAGTGCCACTGTACTTGTTATCACTCATGGCAATCAATGCCATCTCTGGAGATCTCATCCTTATAGTCAGGTGAAAATCTATGTCTTGATGAGTTTATCCATGGATGGTATTTCTAACTTAGGAAATTCGAATGTCTACAAAGGCTTGGCAGATAATTTACATGAGCTAGGCAAGCCAGGTATTAAAATTTAAAAGTTCAAGTATTATAAAAAATGGCATAAGGCATGTGACCAGAGCATGGTGAAGACAATAGTTGTGTGGTAGGGACTGTGGTCAAAACTGAAAAGCATGCCATCTTTCACTGTCATTTATTGTTTTTTTGAAGAAATGTGGGCCAGATATTATAATTTTTTTCAAGAAAACCGGAATTTGGCAGCTTTATTTGGCGTCTCCTGATTTTTAAATTGGCAACTGATTCAAAACTTTTAAGACATTCTGGGGGACAACATTTTGAGAGACAAGCACATATCTACAGCTAGATTTGGCCTGTAGGCTATTAATTTTTAAAACTTTTCTAAACGCTACAGGTATAAGAAATAAACCTATATTCTCCTTCACTTGAAAGATTCTATGGTTAATACTACGTGTCAACTTGATTGGATTGAGGGATGCCTAGATGTCTGGTAAAGTATTGGTTTTGGGCGTCTTTGTGAGGGTGTTGCCAGAGGAAATTAAGTTGGTGCCCTGGGAGAGGAAGACCCGCCCTTAATGTGGATGGACACCATCCAATCAGTTGCCAGCATGGCTAGAACAAAGCAGGTGGAAGAATGTGGGATAAGTTCTTGCTGAGTCTTATGGGTATCTTCCTTCTTCCTGTGCCAGATGCTTGATTCTGCTCCTCCTGCCCTTGGACATCAGTCTGCAGGTTCTTTAGCCTTTGGACTCTGGGACTTGCATTAGCAGCTTCTTTGGGACTCTTGGACCTTTGGCCACAGAATGTTTGCTTCTCTGGTTTTGATGCTTTCAGACATGGACTGAACCACTATCAGCTTCTCTCTTTCCCCAGCTTGCAGGTGGCCTAGTACAGAAAATTGGTACTGGGTGGTAGGACATTGCTATTAAGATACCTGAAAATATGGACTTGACTTTGGAACTGGGTAATGGGCAGAGGTTGGAAGAGTTTAGAGTGCTCAGAAGAGGACAAGAAGATGAAAGAAAGTTTGGAACTTCTTAAGAAACTGGTTAAATGGTTGTGACCAAATTGCTGATAGTGATAGGGACAATGAAGTCCACGTCTCAGATGGAAATGAGGAACTTATTGGGAGCTGGAGAAAAGGTTTCACATGTCATTCCTTAGCAAAGAGCTTAGCTGCATTCTGTTTATGCCCTGGGGATCTATGGAAGTTTGAACTTCATAGTGAAGATTTAGGGTATCTGATGGTAAAAAAAACTTCTAAGCAGCAAAGCATTCAAGATGTAGCCTGGGCACAGTGGCTCACACCTGTAATCCCAGCACTTTGGGAGGCCAAGGGGGGGCGGATCACCTGAGGTCAGGAGTTCAAGACCAGCCTGGCTAACATGGCAAAACCCTGTCTCTACTAAAAATACAAAAATTAGCCAGGTGTGGTGGCATACACCTGTAGTCCCAGCTAGTCAGGAGGCTGAGGCAGGAGAATTGCTCAAACCTGGGAGGTGGAGGTTGCAGTGAGCCAAGATTGTGCCATGACACTCCAGCCTGGCCAGCAGAGTGAGTCTCCATCTTAAAAAAAAAAAAAAAAAAAAAATATGTGGCCTGGCTTCTTCTAACAGCCTATACTCAGATGTAGGAGCAAAGAAATATCTTAAAGTTGGAACTTATATTTAAAAAGGAAACAGACATAAAAATTTGGAAAACCTGCAGCCTAGCCAGGTGGCAGAGAAAGGAAAAGCTTTTTCAGGAGAGAAATTCAAGCAGGCTGAGGAGCAACCACTTGCTGAAAACATTTGCATAACTAAAAAAGGGAGCCAAGTGCTGATAGTCAAGACAATGGGAAAAAGGCCTGGAAGACATTTTGGAGAACTTCATGATGGCTCCTCCCATCATAGGCCCCAAGGCATAGGAAGGAAAGAATGGTTTCCCAGACCAGGCCTGTCAGGACACTGCTCCCTGCATCTTAGCTACTCTGGCTCCAGACCTGGTTCAAAGGGCCCAAGATACTGTTCGTGCTGCCACACTGGAGAGTGCAAGCTGCCATAAGGCTTGCTAGCTTCCACATGTTGTTAAGCCTATGGGCACACAGAGTGGGAGAGTAAAAGAGCTTGGCACCATCTGTCTAGATTTCAGAAGATGTATGGAACAGACTGTGTGTCCAGACAGAAGTGTGCTGCAGGGGTGGACCCCTGACTAGGAGTACCCAGTGGGTCACTGCCTGGTGGAGATGTGAGAAGAGGGCCACTGTCCCTAGATCCCAGAGTGTTAGATCCTCTCTGCCTGTGTCCACAGTTCTGTGCCAGGTCTTATGATAGCAGCTGTAGGGGCTGCATCTTGCACAGCCACAGGTGCAGAGCTACCCAAGTGGGCGAAGAGCCCACTTCTTGCACCAGTGTTCCCTGTATGTGGGACATGGAGTCAAAGAAGATTAGAGCTTTAAGATTTAATGACTGCCTTGTTGGCTTTCAAACTTGCATGGGGCCTGTAGCCCCTTTATTTTGACTGGTTTCTCCCTTTTGGAATGGGAATGTTTACCTAATGCCTATACCCAGATTGTATCTTGGAAGAAATTATCTTCTTCTTTATTTCACAGTCTCATAGATGGAAGAAATTTGCCTTGTCTCAGATGAGACTTTGGATTTTGGACTTTTGACTTCTGAATTGACAAGAATGAATTAAGACTTTGGGGGACTGTTAGGAAGGCATGATTGTATTTTGCAATGTAAGAAAGACTTGAGATTTGGGGGGGCCAGGGATGGAATAATATAGTTTGGATATTTGTCCCCACCCAAATCTCATATTGAAATGTAATCCCCAATGCTGGACATGGGCCCTGGTGAGAGGTATTTTTATCATGGGGGTGGATGCATCATGAATGGCTTGGGCCGTCCCCTCGGTGTTAAGTGAGCTCTCATTCTGGGTTCACACAAGATCTGGTCATTTAAAAGTGTGTGCCTCCCTGCCATCCCCGATACACACACACTATCTCTCTTGCTCTTGCTCACTCCTGCCTTCTCCATGTGATGTGCCTGCTCCCTGTTCAAGGGTGATATTTGGAAAACATTTGCCAAACTGTGTTTCCTACCTGTGTAAAGAGCTACTCTTCCAAAAGACTGTCAGAGCACCAGTATAAACCCAACTCTTACTGAATAGTGGAAATTTCAGACTGAGACAGAAAATATTTGGGGAAAGATTTCCCCAAATCACTCACCAATTATATCTACATATGACTTTAATTAGATAAAATGCCTAGTCCAGTGTCATCTTCTTACATGAATGTCCAATAAATGTTTATTTCCATTGCTGGTTGTTCTCCATTTAACTCCCCACCTAGACCCACTATCTGCCCTTATGCCCCTGATTTGGAACACTGAAGGCTGACTCCTCTGCACTGCAATATTTGGGTTCCCTTGCCACATGGCTTCCAGTAGGGTATGGCCAAGGGAAGACACCAGAAAGATATCAGAGAGCAGAAGGAGAGAGAAGCCAGGCTATTTATTCCATGTTCCCTCCCTACTTTAAATTTCCATCTCTAATAGTAGCTGCATCTCTGTATGATTTCAGATTCTACTAGAGAGCCTGTCTGCCATAAGTCTCTGGTAGAATCTGAGATCATACAGAGAGATAGAAACACATCTCTCATGGAGCCCCTGAAATGTTCATTTTAACCTGTTACTTCTTTGACTCCAAAGATGGTAACAGATTCCCAATGTTGCTAATGTCTGAGTGCCTCAACTCTTGCCAAGTACCTTTGTCTCTTGATTAGAAATGTTTGGGGTGAATTGTTTATTCTGCAGTGTTCTCTGGGAGACACATTCTCCTTCCCTTTCTCCTTAGCCCTTATAATGCCATTTCTCCATTTATCTCTGTGTCAATGATAGCAACTTGTCTTTAATGAAAGGTGTTTAAATATGTGGTTAGTAATATTCAGTCATATTTTTCAGTTTCACTGTCTTGATGAGTGTCAGGATCTTCTTGGATAAGTCACTCTCTACAGAACCATGTTTAAAATTACAAAAAACTACCCTGTTGATCCACAGAGCACAAGAACATGTTAATTACTGTATAGAGGTAGCCTGCTATTTCCAGCACGCTCAAGTGAAGCCTCTGAGCCTCCAGAAGCCTTAGCTGTTTCTATTTTCTGAACCAGATTTGACCACCTGGGATGTATTGGAAGCTTTATTCTCACCAGCAGGATAGGTGTGGAACTAGTCTTATTCTTCTTACCCCTGTTTTCAGTGAGCTTCAAGAGATGCCTATGAAACCAAACCTAACTACAATTTCTACATTATGGGTCTGCCCCTTTATAATTTCAGTCATGCCTTGGAGACATTTTCCAGGTTACACAAACTTCTCAGAACCATAGCACTGCCAACCTACCTAATCTCAAGTATTTTGATCTGGGTGAATTTTTGATTCATGTTTCTTAGAGTACTTTGGAATTTGGTCCTCTGACCACCTACCATCTTAGTCTCACTGGCTTAGGCCACATCCAATCTCTTATTTTTTTCACTTTTTCTTATGTTCTCATATCAAGAATCCAGTATGGCTTGGGGAAGAATCTGAATGAGTTATGAAAGTGTAATATAATAGGTCACCTTTTGCAAACGAAAATTTTATGAGCCTTAAACATCAAGTACCAATAAATATAGCACTACAGCCAGTCATACATCTGTAAAATCCACTAACAAGTAATTAGGGAGGGATGAATAGAGGTTTTACACTTAGAAATTCAGAACATCTCTTAGCAAAATCCATTTCAAAACAATATGGGTTGTAAAATCTTCACTAATAATTTTAATATTAGTCTTATCTTTTTTTTGTTTATTTTCATTTTTTTATTTTTTATTTTTTTAATTTTATTATTATTATACTTTAAGTTTTAGGGTACATGTGCACAACGTGCAAGTTTGTTACATATGTATACACGTGCCATGTTGGTGCGCTGCACCCATTAACTCGTCATTTAGCATTAGGTATATCTCCTAACACTATCCCTCCCCACTCCCCCCACCCCACAACAGTCCCCAGAGTGTGATGTTCCCCTTCCTGTGTCCCTGTGTTCTCATTGTTCAATTCCCACCTATGAGTGAGAATATGCAGTGTTTGGTTTTTTGTCCTTGTGATAGTTTGCTGAGAATGATGGTTTCCAGTTTCATCCATGTCCCTACAAAGGACATGAACCCATCATTTTTTATGGCTGCATAGTATTCCATGGTGTATATGTATCTTTAAGGCACTTTCTAAGTACTAATTCCCCCAGCATGTGTCAAAGTATGTATCATTACCAAAATTGTGTGCCAGACTACTTTTAAAACAAATTAGTATAGTGAATAAGCATTCTTTTTTACCATAATATTTAAATTGGATTTTTGGTTATCATTTAAAACTACATAATCAAGGTAATTAAAGTTTTATTCATTGTTTTAGGATGGAATAGGTTATATGTACACATTTTATAATGTCGTAGTCTATGTCCATTTATTTTATGTTGTATATTCCCAAACAGTGATTCCTTAGAGCAGTTAGTTGCTCAACCAGCAACAGTTTTGTCCCCCATGGGCTATTTGGCCATGCCTGGAGACATTTTTGATTGTCACAACTTGGGTGAGTGTGTGTGTGTGTGTTACTGATATCTAATGGATAGAGCTCAGGGATGCTGCGAAATATCCTACAATGCAGAGGACAAGCCTCCACAACAAAGAGTGATCCAGTTCAAAATGCCAATAATGCTGAGGTTCAGAAACCTTACCCCAGAGAGGAAAATGTTCCTATTCACTGATTCTGCAGCCTATCTGCCCCTGACCCTCTCTAACCTCCATGCTAGGACTACTACAGCTTACAACCTCAGGTCATTTCAACTAAAGGAAATTTTTGCTCAGAATTTCTTCAGTTTTACTAAGTAGTTGCTACGCATATGATGCTGTCTGCACAACAGAATGAAGAACTGCACAATAGAATGAAGAACTGAGGTATTCTTCAGGATCTCTTAATCAAAACATATGTGTATTTGAGAGAGGAAATTGTTATTTCCTCTCTCAAATTGGGGAGATAGTAGGTGAAACTGAAATTTTAAAAGCTTTTTCAATTCTTCTTTGTTGCTGAACACAATATCTGCACAGACAGCCTTTTTGTTTAACTGAGACAGTGACTATGAGACTCATTGAATGAGGGTAATTTGTTCAGTATAACAGAGTTGGGTGTTCGCTTTCTGGGTAGGGTAGCCTAAGGCTGAGATATCAGGAAAATAAGAAAGCTGGAAAAGGTGTAAAAGTCTAAAGGAGAAGGAAGAGCACCAAGCAATATAGTTGGGAATAAAGAAAGGTTGAAAACAGTGACTAGTGGGAGATTTCTCTTCAAATTAAGGACTCTAAATGGCTTTTTTAAAACAGGTATGTCTAATAATCAGTGATGGTTATTTGTTTTTTCTGTAATATAAAGCCCCTTTATAACTTTAAAACTTTAGTAAACTCAGCTATATGCACAGGCACATTCACGCACACCTTGTGAGTGGTTTCTGGTAATGTCAAAGAAAAGGAGCTGAATTCTCTGGATGAATCAGTGTGGCATAAAGAGAAGTCTACTTGGGATGATCAGGTTTCAGCAGATTTAACCTAAGGACCTAGAGCTAAAGGCAAGGAAACTGTAAATTCCTGTCAAGTTGCAGTAATCTTGCAGTAAAACTCCTCCCAAGTTTTACAGTAATCTTGGGAAAGTTCAATGAATTACTATAGAATGGAGGGTAGGTGATACAGATAAATTTTAGTGAGATTTCAAAGGATGAGATTACTTCAGCTGATTCTCGGCCATACATAATATATTAGAATATACTTGATTTTACATAACAGAAATCTAAGTTGAACTGCTTTATGAAAAAAGGGAATTTACTGGCCTAGATAACTGGGAAACCCAAGGGGTTACATCTAGGGGTGCCAACACAGTCAACAAGACTCTGACTCTCTTTATCATGTGGCTGTCTCTGAGACAACTTCATTTTCACAATAATTCTTTTCATGTGGCAGCAGAGATGTTGCTGCTTACTCCAGGTTTCCAAGCACTTTGGTTATAACTATCTGAAAAGAAGAAGGTACTTCTTTTTCCCAGCATTTACATAAATCTCTCCAAAAGGACACACTAATAATATTATTCGGGTCATGTTTTCTATTTCAGATCAATTTCTGTGTCTAGGGGCTGGCCATGCTGGGTCATGCGCTTACTCTATTGGCTGGGAAATCACAATCATGTGACTGGAGGGCTGGTGGAGGGCCTGTTCCCCAAAGGCAAAGTTACCAAAGAGACAAAAATGTAATGGATATCCACTGAACACAAATCGCTCGGATTACTTGATGACGTTGATAATACAATTTATTAAAGTAATTCTGTTTTTAGTATCTTGAGTGTTGTAGAGCCAAATATATCTGCACTGAAACTAGATTCTTTCTTTTGATAGAATCCCATAATTGGATAAAATTTTCCCCTTTCATATGTTTCAATCTGTGATTCTCCACTTTTACTATGCATCATCATCACCTGTAGGGAGTTAAAAAGAACAGATGCTAGACTCTATTTCAAAATATTCTGATTTAATTACTTGAGAGTAGAGCCTAGGCATTGGAATTTTTAAAGACATCCTTATTACTTGGGGTTAAGTGGTGGTGTCCTAGGATTCTTATGTTAGCCTGCAGATGATTCTGAAAGATGTAAAGACATTTAGCCACTAACACCATCTGAATTTGATGCACATGTTTTCCAGTGGAACAAGTATATGAGCAGTGTGTTGGCCAAATAAAAATAGAATAGAGGACAGATAAATGTTGAAGAGGTAGAGTGTGTGGGTAAAGTTTTGACGTAGAGCTGTACTGCAGAGAACAGTAGTCCTGGAAGTGGTGGCACACTTCCAGGGGAGGAACCCATAGGGCAGCCGATTAGATCCGGGAGGGCATTCATGCTCCAGTGTTCCTTTGACCAGCTTCTTACCTCATATCCCAGTTCTTAAAACAGGCTTGTCAAAATATTTTGCATTGCACTAAAATAAGTAAGTCTTTATGCCCCAAACTTTCTCGTTCACCAAATGGAACTGCTTCAGGAAAAGTGTCACCTTAGGCAAGGCAGCTCTTTGCAACTAAGGCAGCTATTGACGGTACTAACAGTTCATGCAGCTTGGCAGCAGTTCTTTTCTTAATGGGGCAAAAGGGCATATATTGTTGACTCTGATATGCTAATATCTTTTTGCATACGAGTTCATGAGAGATACTAGTACTTTTCTCCCCCTCCCTTTTCCCTTTATTTTCCCTCCTCTCCTCCTTCTTCCATTTCCCCTTCTCCTTTTATCTTTGTCTGGTTCTAGAATCAGGGTAACACTGGCCTCATAAAATGAATTGGGAAGTATTTCCTCCTCTTCCATTTTTTGGAAGAGATTTTGTAAAATTTCTGTAAATGCTTCTTCAAATATTAGGTAGAATGCTCAAATAAAACCCTCTCGCCCTGGAGATTTGTCACTTGGGAGCTTTTTAATTATAAACTCAAATTCTTTGATGGCTATAGACCTATTCACATCGTCTAATTAATATTGGTTGAATTTTGGTAGTTTTTAGTTTTCAAGTAATTGGTCTATTTCTTCTAATATTCCCTTATTATCTTTTTAACACTGCAGGATCTGTAGTGATATCCCTTATTTCATTCCAGATATTGATAATTTATGCCTTATTTCTTTTTAATTTTTGTCAGTGTTACTAAAATTTTATCAGTTGAACCAGCTTTTTGGTTCATTGATTTTCTCTCTTTTTTCTGTTTTCAATTCCATTCATTTCTATTTTCATCATTTTTTTCTTTCACTTGTTATGGGCTTCTTTTCTCATATTGTAAGTTGTTTTCTTCTTTGTGTTGTTCTGTTTCTTCAAAGTTTCTAGAGTGTCTATCATGATTTTTATATTTAGAAAAACAGCTTAAGGAATAATACCGATAATGTTATCTAGGAACTGAGAATAATGGAGAGTAAGACCTATGTACCTGAGAAGAAATTTGGAAAACTGACTTCTTCCTAGAACTTCAAAGCCATTATACCAATCACCAAATGTTACAATTAAAAAAAAATTTTGAGGTAAAAACTTAGATTCGACTTTTCTAAATAGAAACTAGATTAGATTATATTAGATTAGGGAGTTTTCCTTGCTTCCAATATAAGCATTTAGTGCTATAAGTTTCTCTCCCAGTACTGCTTTAGCTGTGTTCCATAAAATGTAATTTTATGTTTTTATGTAATGTTGTACTTTTGTTTTTATTGAGGTCTATGTACTTTTAATTTTTTGAGACTTTTTCTGCTTTAACTTGTGGATTATTTAATAGTGTGTTGCTTAATTTTCACGTTTTTAGAGATTTTTCAGTTGTCTTTCCGTGATTGATTTCTAATTTGATTACATTATAGTCAGAGAGCACACTCTGTATGATTTCAATTATTTTAAATTTGTTGAGTTTTTTAATGACCTTCATATGTCTTATCTTGATGAATGTTCCATAAGTACTTGAAAAAAATGCAAATTCTGCTGTTGTTGGGTGAAGTGTTCTGTGTCAAGTAGATGCTGTTGGTTGACAGTGTTGTTCATATATTCTATATTCTTGCTGATTTTCTGGCTAGTAATTCTATCAGTTGCTCAGAGTGGATACTGGGCAATTTTTCAGTAAAAAATGCATATATGGACATGCACACAAATGTTTGCACACCTTCTAGATTTCCCTTTGTTCTTAGAAGGACAGTAGTCTCTGGGTAAAACTCTGGTTTTGATAGAGCTGTTCTGCCAACTCTTTCCTGCCAACAGAGATTGTCTGATTAAGTCTTTAAATATGTTCATAGCTGAGGGAAAAGAAGACTTCATCACAGATAACTGATGAAATGATGTTGCCAATTTGCATGTTATACTTCACAGTTTTGTTCATGCTTGGGCATTACCTCTTTAATATTAATAACAGCATAGGGTATCCATGAGTTGTGACTAGGGATTGTGATAATCATAAAGGGTATAAACATCCCTCCAAGTATAGCAATGCTGTTAAGGCATCACAGGTGTTGCTCCAAGTATCAATTATCAGTTATAATGTAACAGGTACAAAGTGTATGTCCAGGATCTTGGTATGTATCAACTCCATTGAAGTTAATAAATGTCAGGTAAATCAACTAATCAAGTGGTTAGGAAATAAAGATAAGGTCTGTATCAGTTAGATATTCTGTATAATAACCCATTCCAAAACTTTGGGGCTTAAAACAATAAACATTTATCATGGCTTAGACGTCTGTAGTTCAGCTGGATAGTTCTTCTGGTCACAGCCGAAATAACTCAGGTGTCTGGGGTAAGTTGTGTGTTCGGTAGGAGGCCCCACTGATATTGCCTGGACTCTCTCATATATTTGAAGAGTTGGCTGAACATTTACTAGTCATTGTTATTGTTCTTAACTAGGACAATGTGGATCTCCACATAGTCTCTCAAATCTTCCAGTGAGTTAACCCAGGCTTATTTTGTGACAGTGGTGAGGATTTTGAGATAGAGAGTGCAAACATGTAAAGCCCTTAACGCTCAGAACTGACACACTGTCACTCTTGCCATATTCTTTTGGGCAAAGGCCAGTCCAGATTAAAAAGGAATGAGCACACAAACTCCCCGTCTTGATGCAAGGAGCTGCCAAGTCACATTGCAATGAAAGATGCAGTATGATCATTAATGCAATCAATATTCTACAAGGCCCTTTTTGCAATCACTCTCTCCCAGATACCTTAAGCTAGTATATTTGGAAGTAATTTGGCTTTCAATTACTTAAGCCTCCTCTTAAAAGCTTTCCACTACTTAAAATGATAAAGAACTCTGTGAGGTTTTGCTCTGTGTCTTAAGTAAATTGGATGCTATTTTCTTTACTTCAGATAATTTTTGTCATCATATTTTAATAGGAATAAGACTACAAAACAAAAGGGAGGAAAGGCAAGAGGAATAGATGGACATATGGAGAGAGGGCAAGAGGAAGGCAGAAAGAGAGAGAAAACAGCTTTTTATTATAAAATTCAGATGCTTCATATGGATTTCCAGGACACTTGCAATAGTTGTTTATTCTGTTAGACAGAATGCCCCCACCTTGTTATTTTAAGATAATCCTGTCAAATGCAGTGGCTCTGTTGGATGTCACTGAAATTGCTATTCAGCTTGCTAGAATCCTTCATGTTTGCAAAGTACTTTATAATCTCCATTGTTTTTGCTTTTTGATGTGTAGCTTGGCATTTTTACTCTTGTTTTATAGCAGAGTAGTGGTGGTTAAACTTTCTCCCTACTGCCATCCCTTTTATATCATCATAGGGCCAGAATGGCCACTGAGGGGTCATGAAACAAACCTTGGGGCGGGGGGTGGGGGGGTGTTTCGTTTGGGCGCCACATAAAAGGTCTGGATACTCTGAAATGCTGCTTGGGACTCTCATTTCAATGATTTGTCACTTTTTCCTCCTTCTTTGTGTACAACCCTAATTTCTTACAATTTCTTCTTGTTTAGTCTTAGGGTCATGTCTCAGTATCCTCCTAAGAACACCATTAACAAAATAGATATTGCCATAGGGCTCTGATTGGAAAGGGAAACATTTTCTAAAGTTGTTAGAAATTTCTAGTGATAGTTTCTTAATACAAAAATCAATGTAAGGGCCAGAGCAAAACAGTATATATAGGTCAGATAAATCAGGTTGAAAAACTAGTGTTCATTCATGTAGTTATTCAATGAATCAAATACCTTCTATGTGCCATGCACTGTTCAAGGCCTTCAGGTGATAAATAAGACACATTCCCTCTCTCGAGAGCTCACATTCCAGTCCAGAAGAAACAGATTTGTAAATAGATAAATTATTCTGTCACAAGTAAACAATGAGTTACCATACATTCTGTCATCCACATTGTTTTTAACTGCACACTCTGAGGACAGACAGGGGTTTCAGATATTTGGACTTATTCAGATTTTCCATTTGCTCTGGTTAGATGTCTTGGGTCCTCTTTGCATGGAGCCACTGTCGGCTTTTTAGGCCAGAATTTTCTGTTGAGTTCTAACTTCTCTAGTTTAGGAACTAGTAGTGGATTTGTCAGAGTTTACCATACTAAAAAATAAAATTATTCACAGTTTCTAAAAAAAAACAAAACACTATTTTAAGAGGAATGGAAGAGCGTGCCTTTGAGGAGTGACCTACCAAAAGTTTTAGAATTCATAAATCAGGTTTCCACTGATAAAAGAAAATGGACAATTTGGTAATAACCTGGCTTAACTGGGCAGTTGGCAGGGAGTGGACTGGGATGGAATGGGGTTGGATATTTGTGGACTGGGGTAGGATGCGGTTAGCTATTTCCGGCAGAGGGGAGACTGGGATGGGATGGGGTTGGGTATTTCAGGTTCTAACTGAAGTAAAGTTTCAGATGAAGAAGTCTAAATAAATGACACAGTTCTTTCATAAAATTTTTATCATGTGCTTTGTGACTGTGAAAAGCCTGTCATTAAGAGGGTACTTAAAACAGTAAAAAAATACATGAGCAGAGATTAGGTCAAATCATTAATCAAATTTGCTAACTCTGCCCAAGAAAACCCTGCAAATGGTATCACAGAAATATAAAGCAGAGATGGTCATTATCAAGTAGGGATACTTGATATTAGTTCCTTTATAAAACAAAGGAAAAACTTATAGAGGAAATTTAGTGCTTTGGATGAATTTAAGTGGATAAAAGAAACCACTCAAACCCAGATCTTTCATCACTTAATAAAGAGATCTACTTGGGATGCTTTGTGAAAATATGTTCACTTATCATCTTGTCTCCATCATTTGGAAGGATGATGGTCAGTACCTGGGATTAAAGTTTTGTCAGTGGGGACACTGACTGGGGGGTTTCTCGACCCCATTTACTGCACAGCTAAGAGGCGTAGGGTGTATATAAAAAGCAACATTTAGGATTTACATGTTTGTAATTCTAAATTATATTACTTAAAATATTAGATATTACCATACTCTGAAGACAGTGTGAGCTCTAATTTGTTGGCCTATCCTAGAGAGTGGTCCAATTTCTGAGTGTATCAGTCAGGATTGGCTACGTTATGCTACTGTAACAGCAGTCTTCCAATCTCAAGAGTTTAGCACAAAAAATATTAGTCTCTGCCTCACTTTTGTCATGGAGAAAAGAAGGTATAGTAGTTTTTCTGTGGGAGTCTTTCCAATCCTCTAAAGATAGTTAACATGCAAAAATAAAATTTAGCAGAATTGCAAAAATATGTTTTCATTTCAGCTTCCATTTTGGCAATCTTAGTGCTACATATAGGAAGGTACTTTTGGTTCTCCTCCAAAATAGAAGGCACATTCCTTTGACAAGCTTTTCCATTCTTGTACTTTAGCTGAATGAGGTTAGAAAATAGAAAACTGTTTTATTTATTGCATCTAATAATAATTAAAGAGGATCTTGCAGCTTTTCTTGAAAAAAGTTAAAAATAAAGTTATGGGAGATTAAACTTCACAGAAGCAAAGCACATGACCATAAAAAAAAAATGACTTGTTCCTAGTAGTACTCATCAGCTCAGAAATTGTTAAGTGTGATTTTTTATTACATTGTAATATTTAGAAACCCTTAATATTTTACTATATTGTAATATAGTGAATAATTTGTCCTGGTGCAGTTGACATAAGTCATATAGCTTAATGTGCGTTAATTGAAATAAACTTGTTTGTACATCAGGTTGAAGATCTCATTCCCCACCCTCAAAATCTTTGTGAACTCTGCTGCAATGAGTCCAAGTTAATCCAGGATTTCCCAACCTTAGCACTATTGACATTTTGGGGAACATAATTCTTTGTTGCAGGGAGCTTCCTTGTACACTGTAAGATGGTTAGTAGCATACCTTGACTTTAGAAACTAGATACCAGGAATAACTCTGTCTCTTGGCCCCTGCTGGGACAACCAAAAATGTCTGCAAGTAGTGGTAAATTTATCCTTGATGGAAACTCCATCCTCTCCCCCACCCCCTCAAGTTTGAGAACCAGGGATGGGTATGCAACTGGGTTGAAGGTATCCAAAATATAACCTATTAAATTTTATTTTTTGATGGGATTCTCATTGATAAAGAACAATTAGAATTTTTCATTATAGGTATAACAGGGTAGTTCTTTTTAAAATACATTTAATTTCCCAATTCCATGTAGCAATTGTTTGTAGTGAAGGAGATATAATTCATAAAATATCACAGCTAGAAAGGACCTGATAATTCATCTATTTTACCCCCCCCCTCCCTTTTTGACAAATGAGGAAATTGAGGCTCAGAGAGGTGATTTGCCCAGGAAGAGGCAACCCATTGACATTGACAGCACAAGATAATAAGTGCTGTCTTTCTAATGCACTTTGAAAGAATGTTTAGACCTAATGATTTTCTCTGCTGTGTAATTTTATGCTGATATAGTTTCTACAGAAACAGGACCATAGTGCATCAAAATAACCTAACACCATTCTTAAAGAGGCTCTGGAAAAAAAAAGAAAAAGAAAAAGAAATAGGGAAAACCAACGTGGTTTTCATCAAAAGTCTATTCTTGCAGCCACTTCATCTGGATCCAGTGACAGTGGTCACAGGGCTGCTGCTCCCTCCCACTGGGGTTTTGAATCCATCTGCCCCATGCAGGTTTTTTTTAAGCAAACAAAGATGTGGCATGGATTATTAATGCTACTTTTTATGAAGTGTTTAGCAGACACTATATTATTATGCATTTGCTGTGCACTTTAATGCTGTGAGCTGCAGTATTGTAATATTCACCTGAGAAAAAATGGGCCCCAAGACCCAACAGGAGGAAAAGAAGCAGAGAGTTGACCCTACAAGAGAAATAAATCTAACATCTTAGAGGTAAATATATGTTTGGTACATTCATATTAGAGATAATAACATAAAATCATAGAATTAAGAATTAGAGGCCAGATGAGGTGACTCACACCTGTAATCCTAGAACTTTGGGAGGCCGAGGTGGGCAGGTCATGAGGTCAGGAATTTGAGACCAGCCTGGCCAACATGGTGAAACCCCATCTCTACTAAAAATACAAAAATTAGCCAAACGTGGTGGCAGGCCCCCATAATCCCAGCTACTCTGGAGGCCGAGGCCGAGGTACGAGAATTGCTTGAACCTGGGAGGCAGATGTTGCAGTGAGCCGAGATAGTACCACTGCACTCCAGCCTGGGCAACAGAGCAAGACTCCATCTGAAAAAAAAAAAAAAAAAGAAAAAAGAAAAAAGGAAAAGAAATATAGGGGACCTATGATAGCATTCAATCCCCCTGTCCCCTTTCCATGCCATGACAGACATTATCAACCCATCATTGCACCCTTGATGGACACAGGCTCATTATCCTTCTCTTGACAGCACTCTAGGAAGTCACCACATTGATTGGCATTGGCAAGTAAATCTATCTGTAATGTAGACACACTTTCCACCTTATCAATAAAACTGGGCTTCATTTTTTAAAAGAGTACCCCAAATCATGCAACTAGTCATTAAAAGTATGAGGAACTATGGTTTGCTTTTTTTTTTTCTTTTTTTTTTTTAAACTCTCTAGCTGTTATTTTCGCAGGCCTTAACCATGCTGGGAGGTTATGCTGGCAATTCTTTATGACACAGATTGCTTTCCATGGAGAGGGCATATGACTGGGGAATCACCATGTGCCAAGTACCTGTCAGGGCAACAAACTGGAGAAATTTACGGTTGCATATGGAGTCAACTGGTTAGCCCCAGAGGATAGGGAATGGCCTTGTCCTAAGGAACCTGATGATCTGGCGTGACTCTGCAACAACCTTACTTTGATGAACAATGCTAATTTCCAAGTCTATGGACTGCGCTACTAGGATTTCATAAATAGGATAGATGATTGAAAAATGTTCGGGGCTTCTCTCCTGATCATGTGGAGCCCTTTCTTTGAAAGAGACAGATTTCTTATTAGGATTCTCCAGAGAAATAGAACTGATAGGATATATATATATATTTTATATATAATAGGATATATATATATATAATTTATATATATATAGGATTTATATATATATAAATCCTATATATATAAATTTATATAGGATTTATATATATATAATAGGATATATATAAAATATATATATATCCTATTATATAGTTGGTTCAAGCAGTTATAGAGGCTAAGTTTTCTAATCTGCTGGCTGCAAGCTGGAGACCCAGGAAAGGCAGTAGTGTAGTTCTAAGGCCTGAGAGCTGGAGAGCCAATGGTGAAAATTCCAGTCTATGTCTAAAAACCTAAGAATCAGAAGTGCTGAGAGCAAAAGATTGATATCCCAGCTCAAGCAATCAGGTAGAAAGGGACAGGGGTAAAGTACTCCTTCCTCTGCCTTTTTACTCTCTTCAGCCCCTTAAGATTGGAAGATGCCCACACACATTCGGGAGGGCTATCTAATTTACTAAGTCCATCAGTTCAAATGCTAAGCTCATTGAGAAACATCCCCACAGACACGCCTACAAACGAGGCTTAATCTGGGCACCCCATGGTGCAGTCAAATTGACACAAATATCAACTATCACAGTTATCACATCTAATAGGGCAGGGAGTATTGCAAGGACATTCACAAGAAGTCAGATAACCAAGACTAAGAAAGTAGAGGAATCAGAGTGTGCTGGTTCCTTGGAAATGGTAGAGGCCTTGTCAGGAGTTTTCTGGAGTCTTTGTGCCCATGCCATGAAGCTCTC
The DNA here is from genome assembly GCF_000001405.40 of Homo sapiens. Lineage (NCBI taxonomy): Eukaryota > Metazoa > Chordata > Mammalia > Primates > Hominidae > Homo > Homo sapiens. Next base: position 28,786,865 of record NC_000003.12, read on the forward strand.
TCAGCACCAGTGCCTTTGCATGGTTTCTTTGGTCTGTTTTGTCATCAATTGCCCCATTCTTTCTCTCTGTTCTGAAAACCATTCCTGTGCCACATTGTTTTACCTATTTACAGTTTCTCTTCCTTTATAAATCTAGACTGCCATAATTCCTCATAGCTCTTATTAATACGCTCTCTGTGTTTCATTTCATTTTCCTCTTTCGTTCTTAAGTACCTCATGCTCTCAGAATTTTCAGGTTCAAATTTTGAAGAAAGAGAATCTGATTGTCTTAGCTATCCTGTAATTTAAGAGTTAGTTTGCTCCCCTGACCAACAGCATCAATATCATCCAGGAACTCATTAGGAATGCAAATTATTAGGTCCCACCCCGGACCTACTGAATCAGGAACTCTGGGGTGAGGCCCTAGCGATCTGATTTATCAAGGCTTCAGGTGATTGTAATGCACATTTAAGTTTGAGAACCACAGTATCCTAGGCCTATGCAATGGTGACTCATAGTGAAGTCCCCACCTCTGGTCCAGTGAACCATCGAGGTGGTATGGGGTTAGGTGGAGCAAAAAGAGAGAGCAGATAATGACATAATATAAAACATGGTCACCCAGGGCTGTCATTGGTGGCTATCGATGAAGCAGGAGTGAAGTTTGACATTTCTGGTATATCTTCTAATACAGCACATAATTTAGAAGTAAAATCCTATCTTAATTTTATCTCTGCTACTTGGAATCTTTCTGACCATAGTCAAATCACTTTTCCTATGTAGCCTCACTGTCTTAGCCTGTTTTCTGTTGCTTATAACAGAGTACATGAAAGTGGGTAATTTATAAAGAAAAGGAATTTCTTTCTTTCTTTCTTTTTTTGAGACGGAGTGTCGCTCCTGTTGCCCAGGCTGGAGTGCATTGGTACAATCTCGGCTCACGGCAACCTTTGCCTCCTAGGTTCAAGCAATTCTCCTGCCTCAGCCTCCTGAGTTGCTGGGATTACAGGCACCTGCCACCAGGCTCAGCTAATTTTTTGTATTTTTAGTAGAGACGGCGTTTCTGTATGTTGGCCAGGCTGCTCTCGAACTCCTGACCTCAGGCGATCCACCTGCCTCGGCCTCCCAAAGTGCTGGGATTACAGGCGTGAGCGACCGCACCTGACCAGGAATTTATTTCTTATTGAATAATGGAGGCTGAGAAATCCAAGGTCAAGGGCCACATCTGGTGAGGGTTCCTTTACTGATGGGAACTCTCTGCAGAGTCCCAAGGCAGTGCAGGCCATCACATGGTGAAGGGGCTGAGTGTGCTAGCTCAGGTATCTCTTCCTCTTGTAAAGTTACTAGTCCCACTCCTGTGAAAACCCACTGATCCATTAATCCATGAATGGATTCATTCATTAATGAGGGCTCTGCCCTCATGACCCTATCACCTTTTACAGGCCTCACCTCTCAATACTGCCACACTGGGAGTTAAGTGTTAGTGTAAGTTTTAGAAGGGACAAACATTCAAACCATAGCACTCGCTTTATTTATAGGTAAAGGTAGACAATGATACTCATGCTTGGGAATCTGTACAAATCAAATTATGAAGATAACTAATATTTAAATACACTTTGCAGCTTAAAGCACACTTACATGTTTTTCAATTGGTCTCTGAGTTAAACATATATAAAAGTACTTGTAAACTTCAATCTGCTGTAGAACTTTATCTGTTATGGTTACTTTTTTTTTTTTCCAGGAAGGCTTGAGGAGGAAAGATGTTTCCTGTAGTCCAGACTGGCCTACACACGCAGTGACCATGGACTTGTCCTGTGAATCTTGTACTGTAGGAGCTGATCTTGTAAAGATAATTAGAATCTTGATTCTAATGCTTGGGGAAGCCTGAATCAAGGCAGTATATAATACCCAGTTATTTGAGTTTACTTAGGAACTGGTTTTTCTTTTACAAAATGTACATTAACCACATGCAGTTTTCAGAGAACCTTGTGTACCTTGAAGTCATTACTTTGGGAACTTACCAAAATTTTATTCATGGTCTGATTTTAATCTCCATAAATGAGTATCTCTATGCTCTGAGTTCCCAAGGTGTTTACTGCTGTCTCCCTTGGGTCAGTAGTTCTCAAGATGTGGTCCTTGAACTGGCAGCATGAACATCACCTGGGGCCTGTTAGAAATGCAAGTTCTCAGGATTCACCTCAGACCTAGTGAAGCAGACACTTTGGCGTGAGACTCAGCAACCCGACTTTTTTTTTTTTTTTTTTTTTTTTCTTGAGATGGAGTCTCGCTGTGTTGCCAGGTTGGAGTGCGGTGGCACAATCTCAGCTCACTGCGATGTCCACCTCCTGGGTTCAAGCGATTCCCCTGCCTCAGCCCCCAGCAAACTGACTTTAACAAGCCTTCCAGGTAATTCTGGTGATGCTAATGTTTAAGAGTCATTGACACAAATCTTAGTGGTGCTATTTTTTGAAAGCAGAGGGCTGTGCCCTTGATTCTTTCCATTATCTTCTATATAGTGCCTTGTACATAGAAAGTACTTAATATCCATGGGCAGATTTCTGCAATGGTGGGGTAAGATGTGGGAAGTGCCAAAGTGAGGGGTTCCAGCCCTCAATCCAAGCCATGAATTGCTGCTTAACAGTTGCTAGTGCCCTTGGAAAGTTCTGGTGTCAATGTGTCAAAGTTGGGACATTTAAAATTGGTTACTTCCAATGAGGCTTCTTGTTTTAGGGATTCTTGATGAATGAATGAAAAGCCACCCCCTCTAATCTACTTGAATCCTAAAACCTGACCTTTTATCTTCTCTCAGTCTCTGTCACTTGTGTCTCATTGTGAACAAATAAACCTATATTTTCACACTTGCCACTAAACATTCTCTTCACTCTTCTTATCTAAATGGAACCCTGGTTTTCCTTGGTGCTGCTTCTTGCCTCACAGCATTCTTCCATAGAAGCTGCTCCTTCTTTCCTGGCTCCTCACTGCCACCTTCACATCTTTCCACATTTAGGTAAACATTAAAGACTGCTTCAAAGTGCATCCTATCCTCCTAGCAGCCATTCTCTACCACACTAAAAGTCTTCTGTGCTAAGCAGACCTGTAACACTGGAACTGGTTCTAATCCTCGACCTCATCTCAAATCTTGACATCTTCCTAGAAGCTTTCAGTGTCCCCATCCCCTGTCTTTCCTTTTTCCTATTTTGAAAGCCTCAAGCCAACACAGTCCATGATCACAGAATAAATGCTCAGTAATTTCTTATTGGGTCATATTGAAGGACTTTTTAAGGATAGTTTAGAATCCTACATGAGAAGAGTTTAAGAGTTCTCAAACAAGGCCATGGAATAGACTGAATTCTAAAACAATGCCTTAGTCTATTGATTTGGGGCTAAGTCTGGGTCTTTTTCTGTACTGAGGATTATTTCTCAAGCTCCCATATTTACCCTTCTCATTGTTCTGAGAGGAATTTTTCAGACAGATTCTGAAACTATTATTTTTTCTTATTAAATCTCAGACAAAAACATCATAAGAGTTCAAAATTAGAAAATGTTCCATATAATTGGAATGTCACCATAATTCCAATGATGACGTTGGCTGTTGTTTTGAGATACTTATTGTTTACCCATTATAGAAGTATGCTATTTATAAATAGTTTTTTTCAATCAGTTTTTTCTTTATACCAAATGTCCTTTGGCATTCAATAAGGTTATGTAATTCTTCTTCCTTCATCTAATGATGTAATGCATTTTGTTGACAGATTTTCTAATATTAAACTTCTATTACATCTGTGGGATAGACTCTAGTTGGTCATAGAGGATAAAAAATTATTAATGTATTGATTCCATTTTACTATAGTTTCTGCGTATGGATTTGTATTTTAATGTTAAAGAGATTCCATTTTAAACTATACTTTTTCAGAGAAACATCTTTTCAACTTTTTAAATATTGTTTTTAAAAATTTATGCTCATGATTTAAAAACGCAAACAGTACAGAAAGATACAAAATGAAAATTGAAACTTTTCCCATTTCAAGTATGCCCTAGCTCTACCCCCACCAATATAAAAACAACTTTTAATGAATCTTTCTAGAACTTTTTACACACACAAAAGGATATTAAATTATGTGTAATCCATTTAAAACCAATGAAGTCATTCATTTTATATATACTGTTATTTTTAATGAATATATTATAAAGATCTTTTTACTTTGCCAAAATGACTAAGAGGTGCATAATTCTCCTTGCATGACATATCATCATTTATTTAACTAGTCTCTTATTGATGACCATTTGGGTTGTCCAGATTTTCAGTATTATAAATAAACTGTAACACATATCTTCACACACACACATCTGTGTATGTCTTATAGACAAAATTATTTGAATTGGGATTGCTAACTCTTAACATGATGGATATCCCCAAGTTGCTCTTCAAAGAAGTTGCACCAACTTGCACCAAGAAGCGATTTGTTCTTGACATAGAAAGCAAGTCCATGTTTGACATTGTTGGGTAATAGTCTTATTTAAGGTTGGGAGAGCTCAGATCCAGCCTCCATGAAGCTCCCTGGCTGGCACCTGGAAGGCCTGTCTTTAAAACTCTTCTTGGCTGCTTTCCCCTACAAGCTCTGTCTACCTTTTCTCTCCAGGATCATAATGGAAAAAATTAGCATTCATTTCTACTAATCTTATGGAAGAACTCTACCTCTGAGAGCTTTTAATTTTAAAATTCTCCTTCACAACCTCAAATAAATTTTGAGCTCTTTAACTTTTAGAGGGAAAAGCATTTCCGGAAAACATTAACGAAAAACTGGTAGCAAGAATTCACACTGAGTGCCCGTACAGTTGTGCTTTTAATAAACTCTAACGAAGTGCCCCCAAGTTGCTCTGAATTGCAGTCTCTTTTCTTGCTCCCCAGAGGACAGTGTCACCAGGCAGCCTTTACCCTGCTAACTTCTGCCTGTTTTCCTGTCTCTGTTAACAATTAGGATGTTTCTTTTCTCTTTCACTTTGCCCCACCGTGCCCTCACTGCTCTGTTGACATGCTTTTTGTCTCCTCTTTTATCCTAGCCATTCCCTGTGGCTTTCTTTTATGAGTGAGACACAGCCAGCCTCTTCCCCTCCTGGTGAAATTTACCCAGGCCATGTGTCCAACTGTTCAACCATGGATACAAGAGCTATGGCCAGGGCGTTTATAAAGTGAGTGAAGCATCTATCTATTTTTAACGTTAAACGTCGGATTTTTCCATTTTAGTCCTGCGGTGTCTCATTTCAGCTGTTATATTTTGCTTACATGTCTGTGTCAAGTTGGTCAGGTTTCTGGGGCTACCCAAGAAGCACAGTCATAACAGCTTCAGTAACTACTATCCATAGACTGCCATGGTGGGAGAGACAACATTAAACTCTGAGTCAGACAGTCCTGCTTTGAATCTCAGCTCTTTCTCTCATTAGCTTGTCATGTAACCTAACCTTATCTTCACCTCAGTTTCCTCATCACCACAATGGGAATAGTTATAGTATAGCTATCTCATAGCCTCATCAGAAGCATTATGTGAAAAAAAATGTATGGAAAGTGCTGAATAGTACCTTGTACACAGAGCTCAGAAATTCCAAAAGTGGCTGTTACTATTATTGTTGATGATGTTATTTACAAATGACTCTTTTTTATATTTTTAAAATTCTCACAAAATTCTCACAAATCTGAGACCATGAGGTACGTTAAATGACTGCCCAAGTCACTATATATCTTTCTCTTTTAAGTATAGTCTTTCATCTCTTCTCTCAAGTTTATGGATTTTATTGTTGAGATTAACATTTATAAATGGAAGTCTAATTGAAAAGAAATATGTATTTGTATGTGTGTGTATTTTTTTTTCAGTATACAAACTGCCTTCTCAAAGGGGATGAAATCACCCTTAGAGTCCTATTTCACACTGAAATTCCCGGAAAGTGATTATAAATTGCCTATGTCAACAACCTGTGTATATTGACACAGAAATATTTTTTCATTTTCTTCTAGCTTCTCCTTACCATGAACTAGGTCGCTGTGTTGCTCTGTTTCCCAAGTATGGCATACCTATGCCTTCTCTAGTCTAACACTGATATTTCCTCCATCACTGTCTTCACTGATTTCTCCTTTGTGAATGTTTCAAAATTAGAATACTGTCTCTCACACATTTAATTCAAACCCTAGACCAGAATAAAAAGTTATAAATTCTAATCAATCTCTTATAATCCCAAACTGGAACAAGCTTGGTCTATATTATTGAATAATATTTGCATGTGATTTATACAGAATGGCCCATCCATCTTCAATTTTTTTTTTGTGGAAAAGCTTAATTAGAACTTCTCTCCTTCCTTTCAGTTTTGATTTTCCCTCTTATTATTTTCATTATGCCCATCCTAGACTTTGCTCTTTTCAGAAGCTCCTAGCAGAATGAATTTCAAGAGATGCCTTGAACCATATAAAGTACATGCTTAAGATCTAGCTACTGTTTGTTGAGATATTGCTATATTCCAAATAGCGTACCACATTTCCTTTACCCTCACACCAATACTGTGAAATAGTCATTTTTATGCTTTTTTTCTTTACAAATTAGAGAAAACTATGGGAGAGTAATGTTTAAGATAAGAAGAAAGAGGTAGGTACAATAACTTTATTCAAAATACAAACCTCATTAGGGTTGAGCAGAAGTACAAAAATAAGTGGATCTTATTTTTATGTCATTTTTATGTCATAAAGGATGCACAGCAGTTTCACAGACAGGCTCAGGGGCACATTGCTATCCTTTCCTGTCTACTCCCAGTCTCAAGGGAGCCCTTTTTTCTTCCCTGACCCTGATGATCTCTTCCTAGGGCTTTTGCGACCAAAGTGCTCCTATCCTTATGGAAGCACCTCAGACCAGTGTGAGAACTTGGTGGTTTAGAAATAAAATGGACAATATCAGCTAGATGTAGGGCTGGATCAAGGTTCCAGAATAAAGAGGACATGACCAGGGCACCAAACCTGGCTTCAAAGGTTAAGTGATAATGGGAAAATACTACCTGGTAAGCTAATACAGCAAGACTTCCTAAGAGGGTTGAATATGAGCCACAATCAATGCAAAGTTGGAGAACACAATCAAAGCAAAGGTGGAGAACACAATCAAGGCATAGATGGAGAACAAGGGTAGGGATACTCAATAGGTCATGATGAATTACTTCAGCACATCTGGGGAGCTTGGGACCCCACCTGAAGTCATCGCATCTTGCCACTGTGAGTTACCTCTGTTCTCCTTTTCCAGCTTTTTCACTAAGTCCTTCTAGGGAAAAGAATACCCACTGGACACTGACTTTTCCTTGTATCATGTACCTTAGAGAGACAGGGATGGGAAGAGCATGGATGTTAGACTCCAACAGAACCGGGTTCCAGTCATATCACTTGCTTACAATACAACTCTGAAATATTTGCTTCTGTATTTTTAGCTTATTTTCCCTTTCAGCCAAATGAGGATAACATCTAGTCTAGTTACTGTGAGTACTGGAGCTAATATACTACATAATTATCAACTGATGAGTGTCAACTCTAGGTTAACATGGATGCAAAGATTATACACAATGAAAAACTGAGATAAATGTAAAGGGATTACTCATCAATATGATACAGAAAGAAGTCAGCACATTCAGGAACAGAGAAGAGAGACTGACATCTCTCAATTCCAAGTAGAGCTATTTGTTTCTGGCTTACTGCTAGCATGGTGTCAGCAGTAGGCATGCAGTTGAGGAGAACAAGTGAGAAAGGGTGAGCTAGATCTTGCTGCCTGCCTCCACGTCCAGTCTATGTACCCAAGACTTCAACAGTTCTGTACTTACATTAATCAGGACTGGTGCCAGGCACCATTTCTCCAGACTCAGAATCATAAATTTTTTACCAATGGCCACAGAAAAGGGACGAGAACAGTGCCCTCAGGCACTATTATAGCCATCACCTGTGGGCCTGAAGCTCTCCAGGCCTATTTCATGCACTTTCCTTAATGAGAGCTGCCAAACTGGAATAAGAGTCAATAACCCCCGTGCCTCTGGTGTCATCTCAATAGGCCCTTAGGCTCGGGGCCTGTTATACATTAATGTAGAGCACCTGTTACTGAGTAGTTTTAACATCATAGCAGTTATCATCATTGTCATCATCATCATCATCATCGCTATTATTATTTGTGTCTCTCTTTTTCTTATTGCATGACCATTGGCCTCTTAGTGACTCATTCATCAAATGTTTTTTGAGTGTTTACTATATACTATGTACCACACCAGGCACTAGTGATCCACTGTTGAAAAAGATACAGCACCCGCCCTCATGGACCTAAAAAGATCATTTTTGGTGCAACGTGATAATTGTCACAATGGAGGAATTACAGGGTGTTTTGGGAAGACCTAAAAGGAGCACTTCACTCAGATTTAGAAAAAGTTTCCAAAGAAACAAGAGCCAAATTTGGAAACTGGGCATTTCTCTTATTCATTTATTCAATTATTTACCTTTACTCATTCAACAAATATTTATTAGACAGAGCTTTCCAATAAAAATATACATGAGCCACATACGTAATTTAAAATTTTCTAACAAATTCTAATGCGAAATTGGCCAATATTAAGAAAAATAAAAATAAACAGGGAAAATTAATTTTAGTAATGTATTTTAATCTAATATGTCCAAAATCATATTAACATGTAATCAACATAAAAATATTGCAGCATTGTATACTTTATTGTGCTCAGTCTTTAAAATCAAGTGTGTATTTTACATGTACAGCACACTTCCATTCAGACTTGGCATATTTCACATGTTCAGTAGTCACTTATGACTAGTGGGCTTCCATATCAGTGTGGTAGGTACCAGGCACTGTACTAGGTGCTAAGGATATAGTAATGTGTGCAATAAACACAGTCCCTGTTCTAATTGAGCACGTAAGCTGCTCATGAGTAGTTGTTAGCTAGGTACAAAGGGACTTGCAGAGGAGGAGAGAATGTTCGGGTCAGAGAATCAACATGTGCCAAAGTCCAGAGGTGAAAGAGCATGGTGAGTTTTGGAATGGAATAAAGTCTCAGGGATAAAGAGGGAAAGTAAAGTAATTAGTGAAAGAAGAAATGACAGAAGTAACTGGAAGTCAGATAATGAAGGCCCTTAAGCCATATTTAAAAATTCAGACTTGGTCTTAAAGCCAACAGGGAGCACTGAAGAATTTTCACTAGGTGAGTGACTTAATCAGATTTGCATTTATGTAAGATGATTCTCCCTCTGTCCTGTAGAATGGATTGACGTAGGTCAAGATCAAAGGCATGGAGATCATTTAGGCCACTTTCACAATAAATGTGTGCTGAGATGATGCTGGCCCAGACTAAGGTTGAGAAGAAGTGATGAGAGAGAGTCTTAGAGAATGCACGGGACTTGATTATGGCCAATTATATAATGAGTGTGTAGGGAAGGAGTCACTCATGATGTCCAGGCTTCTGGACATGTCTGGAATGTGTCACCAAGACATTCACTGTGAGAAATAGTACAGAAGAAGGGGCAGGTGAATGATGCTGAGAATGGGAAGATGAAGAGGTTAAATCCAGTTTTGGACAAGGTGAATTTAAATACAGATGTACACTCAGAAGGTATAATTGAAGAAAGTTTAACAAAGTTGTGGTCAGGGTAAAAAGAAATCTACAGTGGATAGTGAAGTGCTGTGATATCAGCAATGATAGAAAGTCATTACCACTATCTATAGGTCTAAGATCAAAGAGAAGTGATTGTTTTCAGAGTTTACTGTAGCAATAGGAAAGAGCCACCCAACAAGAGACGGGGACTTAGGTAGTGTATCGTGGACTTGTCAAAGCATAGGAAACTAGGGGAATAAAAATCTCAACCTCTCTTCTCCCCTCCTCTGAGCACCTGCCAGTGACTCTCACTAAACACACCTAGAATTCAGAAGGCTGAGAAACCAGATTGTTAAAATCCATAGAGTCAGTCTCCTGGGGCCAAGAGCAGAGAGAAGAGGGGTGAGGAATGTGTCTGGGGAGACAAATAAAAATTAAACAGCTCAAAGTACCTCCAAGCCATCCAAATAGAAAAAATATGATAGGTTAGCGCCTAAGCGAGTTCTGTACTCAAAGGGATAGTTTGGACTAAAAAAAGTCAATATCTTAAAGTGGAAATGCAATCCATGAAAGTGGATGGCATATCCTAGGAAGAGGGTGTAAAATTAGGACAGAGCCCAGAGGACCACTAGTATCTATGGTAGGAACCCTTTCCTGAAGGGAAATTATTTTTCTTCTATTGGCCTTTGGAAGAATGACTAGGAACCTGCATTGTGCTTTGGTCTGTTAATTTTTTAAAGGCCCTTTCAGTTATGACTCAAACTGCTTGCAAGTCATTGGCTTCACAGAATTGGCCAGTCAGTGATTATTTTTAATGCTTTTTGCTGTACGGTTTTCAGGCTTTCCATCATTATTTCTTTAAATGCCTAATCACTTCCCCTGGGACCAGCTTGCTTCCTGCTAATGATGTGTACATGCTGAATCTATATTCTCTTTCTTTCTTTCTTTCTTTCTTTCCTTCTTTCTTTCTTTCTTTCTTTCTTTCTTTCTTTCTTTCTTTCTTTCTTTCTTCTTTCTTTCTCTTTCTCTCTCTTTGTCTCTCTTTTCTTTCTTTCTCTTCTTTCTTTCTTTCTTTCTTTCTTTCTTTCTTTCTTCCTTTCTCTTTCTCTCTCTGTCTCTCCTTTCTTTCTTTCTTTCTTTCTTTCTTTCTTTCTCTCTCTCTCTCTCTCTTTCTTTCTCCTTCCTTCCTTCCTTCCTTCCTTCCTTCCTTCCTTCCTTCCTTCCTTCCTTCCTTTCTTTCTTTCTTTCTTTCTTTCTTTCTTTCTTTCTTTCTTTCTTTCTTTCTTTCTTTCTTATCCCATCATCTAGTTTCCCACCTCAAACTGGCAGGTAAACAGGAAGGGCATGGGTCTTCAACCACTGGAACTCCCTAACAGAAAATGAAGACAGAAAACATAAATTTTGGGAAACTAAAATACTATGAGAGATGCATATTTTATTGAAGAAAGGACAAAAACAGAAGGAATGACAGATAAGGGCAACTCTAACAGCTTGTTGCCAACTGAACTTGATGCTAGAAATTCAATGGAAAAGAAGTAGAGGCTAGAAATTTGTACAAGAGAAATGGCCTTTGGCAGTGAGATTGAGGGAATTTGCCATGCAAATAAGTTAGCCCAAACCCTTTGTGTGTATTTTTGTGCTGGGGGGTGGTCCTAGTATTGCTGCAATATTTGAGTAAATAATACTGAAAGCACAGTCTAGTCACTTGGGGATGGAAACATGACAACACCTAAGGGAAGAGTTCAGGGCCCAAGTTAGGGGTTTTTCAACAAGTATCTAGTGACCTACAGGAAAGTGGGCATCACAGCCTGAGCAGAAGCCTAGTGAGTTAGGCTTACTGTAATCAGTTGGTGGATATTAGAGAGTGAGGCTGTAGCCTGATGCTCACATAGGTGCCTGGACACCAGGTCACAATGGGCACTCTGGGTGTAAGTTTCCATTTCATCTTTTGAACTATTAAGGGCACAAACCAGAAGCTTCATTACGTTAGCAAGTGGAAATAACCTGTTGCCCTCATACCATCACTTCTAAAACTGTTATTGATGCTGTAATAAGGGTAAGTGGAGTGTGATGGGAGCACTACAGCTTGCTACTAACTGAGCCTGGTAGAACCTTGAAAGACGAGGAGGATTTGGTTTGGCACAGAGGAGAAAGGTTACAGGTGAAGTGATGACCTACGGAACAGAATAGTAGTGTGAGTAGGTATTGATGAGGAAAATTCATCTTTATAAAAAACAGAACTTTGCATCACTTATCCTAGAAGTTAAAATCTCAAAAAAACCAATAAATCTTAATGTAGCTCTTTAATTGTTTAGTAATAAAATGGCACAACATTGTTCAAACATATTATGAGCATCTCATTAGCTTTCTTGCATTTGCTAACTCACGACTATATTACACTCTACAATAATGGGATGTTTAGGGAGTTATAGAAACTCATAGGAGGGACATGGAATCCAGCCTTGAGGAGCCAATGGCAGTTTCCCAGGAAAGTGACAAGGTAAATGCAAAAGGTGAGTAAAAGGTAGCCAGATGAAGATAATGAAGAGGTGATAGGGAAGAGTTTTCCAATCAAAAATGAGGTAGATATTATGCATGATCTCAATTCTTCTCTGTCCAGATGAATCAGGTCTGCTGCAATGTAACTTTACAGTGTCCCCTCACCCAGACTCTAGCCATGTGACTTGCTTTGGCTAATGAAATATTAATGGACATGATGCAAACAGAGGCGTGAATAAGCAATTTTGCATTTCTGCTTGTCCTCTTCTTGCACTCTTCCGTCATCATGAGAACATGCCTGGGTGAGAATGCTGTAGGATGAGAGACTTGAAGCAGAGCCTAGCTATTCCAGTCATCCAGCTGAGGGCATCCTAGACCAGCCAATCTTTAGACATGTGGCCGAGTCTAGCCTAGATCAGCAGAGCCACCTAGGCACCTACCTCAGAGGTATGACTGGTAAACACTTATTGTTGCATGCCATTAAGGTTTTGTGGTTGCTTATTATGCAGCATTATTGTGGCGATAGATAACTAATACAAAAATATGAAACCCAAGAATGAATGGAGTACTTAAATCACTGAAAGGAGTACAAGCAGTATCAATTCCCATTGGTTATCTTATATATATCATATATATATATATATATATATATATATATATATATAGTCTGTAGACTTCTCTGAAACAGTTTAAAAACAGATCCTATTGTGTGATCAATACCAATAGAAGGACTATTGAAGAATCTTGAGGCATATTCTGATGTGGGTCCTATTGGCCTTATCAAGGAAATTGAAGCTGGCTTTGCAGAGTCTTACAACCAAAGAGCTTAGGGTAGTGATGGAGGAAAAGTTTAATAGATTACTTATTTAGTATCACTGAATAAAGAATTATAAATGATCAATCATATTCCCTTTTGTTATTTCTCCAAAATTAGAATACATCTTGATATTGCTGGCACTATCAGATGTGCCATTTAGACACAAAAATCTATCAAGTGACTGAGGCCTATGAAAAATAAGCCCAGTAATAACTTGCTCCTATGTTAACACTTTTCTTCATAATCGAAAATGTGAGCCTAATGGTCTAGTCCAGTGGTTCTCATGCTCTGGCATGCATTAGAAATACCTAAAGGGCTTGTTAAGACAGTATTCGTGGACCCCATCCCCAGAGTTTCTTATTTAGGAGGTCTTGGGAAGTCCCAAGAATTTGCGTTTCTAACAAGTTCCCAAGTGATGCTAATTATGCTTGTTGATGATTGCACTTTGAGAACCACTGGAACCACTGCCTCAGTAACTATAATGGCTAATTATGTGTCAGCTTGGCTAGGCCACAGTACACAGTTGCTTGGCCAGATACAAGTCTAGGTGTTGTTGTGAAGGTTTTTTTTTTTTTTAATGTGATTAGCATTTGAATTGGTAGACTTTGAGTAAAGCAGATTAGCCTCCATAATGTGGGAGGGCCTTGACCAATCAGTTGAAGGTCTTAAGAGCAAAGGCCGAGGTTTTTAGAAAAAGGAATTTTGCTTCAAGACTGAAACACAGAATTCCTGCCTAAGTTTCTGAACTGCTGGTCTGCAGTTTAGACTTGGCATTGCAACAACTCTTAACCTGAATTTCCAGCCTGCCAGCCTACCCACAAATTCTGCACTGACCAGCCCCACAATCATGTAAGTTTCTAAAAATCAATCTCTCCCATCTTTCTTCCCTTCTTCCTCCTCCTCTCCCTTCTACATACTCAGGTAATTAATTCAGGTATATGTATATATTCAGGTAAATTCTTTCTTTTTGTCTCTATGTATATAGACTAGAGAGAGTAAGAGAGGAAAGAGAGAGAGAGAGATCTCCTATTGGTTCTTTTTCTCAAGAGAACTGAATACAGTGACACTGCAATGAAGTCTCCTCAAAAAAAAAAAAAAAAAAAAAAAAAAGAAAGAAAAGAAAAGAAAAGAAAAGAAAAAGCCAGAACTTTGAACCTGTTGTCTCTTTATCTAGAGTGCATTTCCTCATTTTTTCACCATTTGAAGGCCTCTTTAGCCAGAAGACCCATTTCAAATACGCCACATTCGATAAAACTTTCCTGACTCCCTCTGGACAGTTTCCTTGTTCTGTAGCCTGCATTAGGGTAGCATTATAAGCTCTTAAACACAGAGGATGATGTTCTGGAGGCCTGGGCATCATTTTAACCTTATCAGCCTCATAAAATTCTTCATAAGTCCTGGCCCGTAGTTGGTATTTCATAAATATTTTCAATGTATAAATGAGTGAATTAATGACTTCTGTTTTTATTTAAATTCGCTAATGCATTTATAGACCATAAAGATCTACCAATTAGCCTTAAGAAATTATATAAATGCAAATATATATTTTTCACCTTACCAAGCATACTGAAAACATATGAATACAATAGCTACCAGATAGATAAGCTTTTACAGTGTGAATTGAACAGTATTCTGATTCGTGCATGGGCATCAGTCATGTAAATGTATTAGGCTCTTTCATTGATTCCAATAAGCAATTATTCAGAGCCTACTTTTTGGCTGGCACTGTGTCAGGTGATGTATACATTACTTATGATTCATTATGGCACTTTTCCTCAATGTTTTTAAGACATTTTAACAAGGACTCTTAAGACAATATATCTTCACACATCTAGATAATTGGATGTTTTTCTTATATTTTAGAAATTAAAAGAAAATTGAGCAAATGGCACTAGAATTAGAAAGAATGAGCAATTCATTAGGCAATAAGAATATTAACTAGAAATTAGGAATCTATTTCTTATTTTAATATGCACTTGAGCTTAATTGGCTAAGTTTTGAATATGGGGTGATGAGTTGAGTTGTTAATACAAATCACACACCTTTTATATACTTAATAAAATCCAAGAGTTGGAATGCATTTGCGTTGCAGACAATTTATCTGGAGGAGTCAATGAGTTGGGTAATAGAAAGGGATAATAGGAAATCAGTGGCTGAGAAACCTATAAAGTAAATTAACATGTGCCTTACTTTATTAATTTATAACAATAATGTAATGGATAAATCAATGAGGAGTGCTTTGAGAGAAATGGATGGAGGGAAGAGTTCCTCCTTTTTGCAATTTGTTGGAATCATTTCCTCTGCAGAGGAAATGTTGGCCAGAGGTAAAGAATGTCTTGCTCTTGATAAAGAGGAAAAAAAGTGTAATGTAGCGGAATCTGTGCATGCTCTGTTCATATCCATGGGCCTTAGGACTTCAGAGAACTTCTATTGACTTCCAAATGCTAGTGTTTGAATCTCTCTGCCTGAGGACATTTTTTCCCAAAGCCTCTAGGTTGGCAGTGCTCAGAAAATAACTTATTCACTGGTCCTCAGCAGCCCCCTACCAATGGCTGACAGAAGTTGGTATATTAACACCCCAGCTTCCTAGTTCCTTGGGTGATATAACTCTTAAGCATTATTTTGCGCAGTTTTCTAGAGTTTGCAGTCAGGATTCAGCTCATTTATCCACAAGTGAAGCTGGCTTATGGGCTGCTTTCTCTTCCCTGTTGTCACTTCCCCACTTTCTTAGTTATGCCTCTTGCATCTCTCACAGAAAATCCTTGCACTTGAATGCTTGCTTGGGGTGGGCTTCTAGGAAAACCCTAAGACATGTACAAAGACTGTTGACTCTTTGTGGCTGTTGTTCTTTGTGGTTCTGGGGAGGGGCCTGATTTTTCAGGTTCAGTCCTGGCTTGGAAGTACTAGCTACAGAATCCCATTGGCTAACACTGAAGGCTTCAGAGTTTGGAGGAGCTGGTGTGGGTAAGAATCTGCTTACAGAGGAGGATCTTGGACAGATGAGAGTCTTCTAAGACAGTTTAGCTGAACTCTTCATTGCTGTTCTCTCTCCCCATCAGTTGTGTCATGCAGCCTGCTCATCAACATACACGTGTGGAAGACAGATTAGCACTACTTAGACTGAGCTTTGTTCATTTTCTGTTGCCAGTCTGCATTTGAGAGAGTAAACATTTGTCTCGGTAACTCTAAAAGCGAGCATTTTTCTCCTTTTACTCCTGCATTGCCAGGCTTAATTAGCACTTTGCATAGACTTCATAATGCCTTTTGGCTATACTCTATCTCTGTTCCATTTTGAGAGAGATTGTTCCTTTTGAAAACTGTGTATGTTTCTGTGTGGAGGGAGTTTGTACAATATGAATATTTCCCTCAGCCAGCATCTCCCACCTTAACTACTATAAATAGTCTTACTCGTCTCCTGCTTCCTCTCTTAAACTACAGGGGTCTATTCTCCAACTAGCAGCCAGAATGGGCTGTTAAAATATAAATTTGTTCTTGACCTTTTTCTGTAAAACCCTCCAAAGGCATTATTATGCCCTCCCTATAAAATCCAAACTTTGCCCTCATGTTACAAGGTCCTTTGCTCAAATGTCACCTTCTCAGAAAGGCCTCTCTGGGCCTTGCGAGTTCATCCTTAGCATTCCCTGTCTCCCTTCTCTGCTTTGTAATTTTTTATAGAACTTATCACTGTGTTATTAACTGCATGTTTTGCTTCTTTGCTGATTATATCACTATTACTGTGCTTCCTTCATGTAGCGAAACACGTTTGAGATTCATTCATGTTGTGTGTCTCCGTAATTCATTCCTTTGTATTGGTGGGTAGTAGTTCACTATGTTGACATATCTAAATGTATCCATTTGCCAGCTGAAAGACTTCTGGATCATTTCTAGTTTATGGGGCTTATGAATAAAGTTGCCATAAATATTTGCATCTGGGTTTTTGTGTGAATATATTTTTATTTCTCTTGGGTAAATACCTAGGAGTGAGATCACTAATTCATATGGTAAGTATATGTTCAAGTGGTTGTACCATTTTGCACTCTCACCAACAATGCATGAGAGTAGTTCTAGGTGTCCCAAATCTTTGCCAGCATTTGGTATTGTAGGTTTATGAGCATGAGGGGTTGGTGGTGGACTTCAAAAGAGTCCTTGAGATTCATTATTATTTTTAATCAGAATTTCCAGGTGGGGCCCAAGTGCAGGTTTTTCTTTCTTTCTTTGGTCTAAGAGCTGTACCATTTAAAAATTATTATTTAGTTTATTTTTTAGAAAAGTTTTAGGTTAAGCAAAAAAATTGTGCAGAAAGTACAGGGTTTCCATTTTCCTTTCTGTCCTCTGCGGTTTTGTCTATTATTAACATCTTAGATTGGTGTGTATATTAGTTATAATTGATGAAAGAATATTGATGTATTATTATTAACTAAGGTTCATAGTTTACATTAGGGTTCGCTCTTTGTGTTGTACAGTTCTATGGGTTTAATGCATAATGCCCTGCACCTACCATTACAGTATCATACAGAATAATTTTACCACTGTAAAAATCCTATGCTTCACCTATTCATCCTTCTCCCCTACTCACCCTGAAATCCTGGAACAACTAATCTTTTTTGTTCAGTATAGTTTTGCTTTTACAGGATATTGTACTGTTGGCATTACAGTATGTGGTCTTTTTAGACTGCCTCTTTTTATCTAGCAACAGGCATTGAAGGTTCCTCAAGTCTTTTCTAAAAGTTTCTCAGGAAATTGTAACAGGCAGCTATGTTTGAGAAGTCCCAAATTAGAATACAAGCTCCCAGAGGATCTTTCTCTTCTTCAAACATGTTTTGTGCATTTGTGTACCCTCAAAGCCTAGAACAGAGCCTGGCATATAATAGGCTCACAATAAATTTCAAATGAGTGAATGAGTGAATGGTAAGGTCAGACCAGATTTACGGAAACCTAAACATTCCTCACATTTGATAATCCTCTCAATAAGCTCTGAAATTGGTTTCAGACCAAACAATACATTGATCACTCTTGACTGCAGTTTGCCACTTCCTATTTGCTGTACCCATGCTCCGTCACTCTTTAAACTCCAACATACATTGAGCTTCCTCCATAATGCCTTTATTACCTTCATTTGGAAACCTTCTCCTTCACTCTGCTTTTTAAATCCTTCCAGAATTTCTATAACTAATTCATCTTTGATCACTTGCAAAAGACCTACCAAATCATTTCAAACTCTTTTCTGAACTCTTAAAATAATTACTGCTTTTAGATTCATTGGACATTGTGACGTGCTACTTGTTTTTTCTAGACGTTTGCTCTTGTGAAGTGCTTTTTGAACTTGATTGTGTTATTTTCATGTGTTTCTCCCTGGTGCTCCAACTAGAATCTAAGTGCCCTAAAGACAGATATTACATCCTTACTCATGTTATTCAGTCTTGAGTCTCTCCTAGCACTTAGCATTGTCTCAAGCTTGATAAATATTTATTTATTTATTTATTTATTCTAGTTCAGGAAATGATGAACTATGGGGAATGAGAATGATGTAAAGGAAATAGTGTAGGTCCAGGCAGCCAGAAATTGTAATACTAGTCATTTAGCCTCTCTAGACCTCAGTTTCCTCATTTGCATAATTATTTGTACTAAAGTCTCTAATTTCTTCTCTGTTTGTACCATTCTGTGTTTTGATTACCCATAGCAACAATAGGGTAATTGGACAAATGACATAATTGGCCTAAACGGACATAGCTGCTGTTAGGATTAAACATCAATCTTTGATAACAACAAACAAACTGGAATAAAGCTGTTAATTTGAGATCAGTTCTAATTTTTATGTTTACATTGGGTTATTTTCTTTGCACCTGCACTCTGTCCTTCACCTGGAATACCTGCTTTCCCTCTACACTTTCTCAGTAGGTACATTGAAGTTCCACTTCATATAGCCTTTCATGGTTTGTGTCTTTTTTATTCGTTTGCTTTTCCATTGTTTTTGTATTTTCCCCCTGCTATCTAGTAGCTCCGTGAGAGAGGAACCATGTAGATCATCTTCATCATTATATTGGTGACTGATATGTAATAGGGCTTCAATAAATATCTGCTAAATGAATATATGATCTGAAAAAAACGTATTTTGTTAACAAATAAGTGCTGGAAACACTGCATATTCTACTTTTCCTTCTTGGAATGTCACAGTCCTAAATGCAGGAAATCTGTTTACTTTTATCACTCTAGGATTTGCCAAACTTATTTGATAATGGGCCTCCCCCGACCACCCCACCTTTTTTTTTTTTTTTTTTTTTTTTGCTTGGAACATCCATTTATGCAACAATCACACCTACATTATTAAAAAGTAGTTGCTCTCTGGTATCAAACTACTCCCATATGTCCAGCATTATTCTAAGTGCTGTATAAATATGATAACCAGAACAATCCTATTTTTACTCTTTTTACTTGAGATTTTTGAATGAGGAAACAGAAGCTTAGAGACTTAAACTATCTTCCTAAGCCACACAGTTCCTTGAGGAATCAGTATACAGATAGCTCAATGTGAGAACTGCTAGTCTAATGAAATTCACAGGTTCTGGAGCAAGACCGACCAACATTTGAATCTGAATGGAGTGGGTTCTGGAATGGATCACTGCTTTCTAAATGTGGGTCTGGGCCTCACTGTCTTTTTCTGTAGAATGATGATTATATTAATTGCAAAGAGTGACTTAGAAACTAGATGAAATAATGTATGTAAGGAAGTTAACATTGTACATGATAAATGCTTAGGAAATTCTAGTTACTATGAGCAGAGAGGCTGACACTAAATAGTACCTGATGAGCATTATTTATCTTTTCTGACACTTTGGTTTTTCATCTTGGAGCCTTTCGTGATTTGGTTTACCTTAAAACTTCTAAGAGTAGTGTATTAGTTAGGTTGGGCTAAAAACTGTAACAAACACCTTTAAAATATTATAACTCTACTTAGTAAAAGTTTATGTCTCAGAGAAGTCCAAAATGGATTTCCTTGATTGGGAAGTTCTCTTTAAGGTGTGACTCAAGTCCTCCACTGTGTCCTCTTCCTGTAGTATGGAGAAAAAGAGAGGAGTTTTAAAAAATTATGAATATTACATTTATTTATTGCCCAGTTGTTAAAACATTGGCCATGGATGAATACTCAGAATCTTCCTGTACTTTCTAGTTATATTTAGGTCATTGAACATCCAGGAGTAAAATTTCCAGTGTCCTATAATTAACAAAATTGTAAGCATGATTTGAAAGTAATTAGTGTTCCTATCTATACCTAGAACCTATGGCAGGTGGTCAGTTTGAAGTGGTAAATGGTGGATACAGTCCTTAAGCCTTCTTTATCATCTACATCCCTTTTTACCATTCTGTAATTTTTAAAAAACAAAATAAATTTTTTTTATGTTAAGTACATAACTTGATAAATTTTCTCAAAATAAAAACACCTGTAAACCATGGTCTTCACTGCGAAACTGAACTTTACTGACAAGCCTGAGAGCTCCCTCAAACCTCCTTCCAAACAGTATTCCACTCCCCACAGTAATGCCTACTTGACCAATATCATCAACATTTAATCTGGAGTGTTTTCATATTTATGTCAGTAAAATCATACAATCTGTATTCTTTTGTTCCTAGCTTCTTTTCACTCTACGTATCTGTAAAGTTCATCCATATTTTTGCAGATAGCAATAATTTGCTCACTTCCATTGCTATATAGTATTACATTGTGTAAATATCCACCACTTCATTTTATTATTGAAATAAATTTGAGTTTTTTCCAGTTTTCTAGTTTTGGGTCACTCTGAAGTGTTGCTATACACGTTTTTGTACTTTTCCTTGGTGCACATCTGTACACATTTTATATGTATTTACCTAGAAATGGAATGGCTAGGTAATGGCATATGTATATGTTCAGCTTTAGCAGATACTGGGAAAAAGTTTTCCAAAGTTGTTTTACAAGTTTATGTCTATAAAAATTCTATTTGCTCCACATCTTTACCAACACTTGGCATTCCCGCTTTTTTTTTTTAAATTAACTATTCTGGGTGGCTGTGTTGTGATATATCATATTGTGGTTTAATTCATATTTTTATCATAACTTATGGAATTCAGCATTATTTTCTGTTTATTGGCTATTTGGACATCATCTTTCTCAAAGGGTATGTTTAAGTGGTGTTGTTTGCCTATTTTTCTATTAGATTGACTATCTTATTGACTTGTGGGAATCTTCTGGTTATAGGACCCTTGTCAACCATACGTATCACCAATATCTTCTGGGAATGCATGGCTTGCCTTATGCATTTTAAAGTTGTCTTTGAGGAGTGGAAGTTCTTAGTTTTAATGTAGTTTAACCTATAAAACTCTTTCTTTATGATTAGTGCCTTTTGTATCCTTTTAAATAAATATTTACCTATGCCAATGTCATGAAAATATTATCCTGTGTTATCATCTAGAAGTGAAACAGGAGGAGTTCCCTTATAACCCTCACAGAGCATGAGACAGAGGTGTGGCTCGCTTCTTTGGTGCCCTGCTGCTCAAACCTCTAGTGGAAGCATGCAGATTGGCAGGTTGTGGGGAACGTTTTTGGGCTCTGACCCCACAGCAGCATCTAGGGTTGAGTGTTTACAGCTCCCGAAGGCCCAGTGGGTGTGTGTTACAGTGTGCTCTTTCAGCTTAGCCGTCCACAGATGGCTTGTTTTAATCAGCTCTAATAGACCCTTTGCGTTTTCTCAAGGACAGAGGGCTTTCTGTATCCCAGGTTCTTGCCCTAGTGTACCAGAAAAATCAGATCCCATGTGGGCTTGGAGGATGGGTGCAATGTTTTATTGAGTGGTGGCAGTAGTTCTCAGTGATGTGGATAGGGAGCCAGAAGGGGGTTGGAGTGGGAAGGTGGTCTTTCCCTGGAGTCAGGCCACCCAGCGACTGGACTGTGCTCCAACCACCCCCGACCGAATTCTGCATCGTCCCACCTCAATGGCCTGTTGGTGTCTGTTAATGTGCTCTTCTGCTCCTCTTGATGTCCAGCTGCTTGTGTCCGTGCCCTCTATGGTCTTGGGTTTTTATGGGCACAGGATGGGGGATGGTGGGCTAAAGTGGTCTTGGAAAATGCAACACTTGGGTGTGAAAACAGAAGTTCCTGTTCTCACTTAGGTCCGTGGACACAGGCCCAAGGGTGGAGCCCTTGCCAGGGACCCTGCCCTTCTCTACCCAGCACTTCCCTGCCCTTCTCCCATATCATTTCCCTGCTCTTAAGAGGTACATCTAACTGCCATTAGAATATGGATGACAACTGGTCTTAGCTACTTCCGGCTCACAGGGGGCATTTTTTTTGGGGGGGCGGGGTGGGGGGAATGGCAGTCATATTCCTTCCAGAGGGGGTTCCTGGCAAAGGGGAGCCATTATCCGAGGCTCTGGTTGCCTGGCCATTTGGAGTTTGATGGCCTCTAAGTGTGAGAGAAAAAAAAAACCAAAAAAACAAGTTTTATAAAGTTAAGTATACGTGGGTTAAACATGTGCATTATACAAGGAAAGAATTCAGGGCCAAATATTACAGAGATAAGAAGTGAAATATACTAACAACAACATTGTACTCAGAGCTGTTTCACTCTGGTGAAAGAAATTAAACCTTTTATGGGAGCAGTTAAACTTTAGAAGACAGATAACTGTTCTTGCCATATCTGTAGCAGTTAACAGGTGCACTCTGGGAATTTTGGGGTTTGTGGGCTTTCCTAGCAGCCATTAAAGCCTCTCTCTCTTTCCTGTATTTCCTGTCTCTCTATTATAAAAGACCATGGTGGCCACTTTCAGTAGGTCTTCTAATGTACTATCTGGTCCCAGGGCCCATTTCTGCAACTTCTTTCTGCTATCAGGGGCTGCCTGAGTAATTAATTTATCCTTCAGAATTAGTTGTCCCTTGACTGAATCAGGGGATAGCAAGGTGTGCTTTATCAAGGCATCTCTTTAGCTTTTCCAGGAAGGCAGGGGGATTTTCATCGAAGTCCTGGTCGATCACCGACCACTTAGCTTGATTCTAGTTCTAAATGAGCCTTCCATTAGGCACACCTGAAAGTGTCTCCTCTTCCAATCTCCCATTTCATCACTGGGATTCCATTAAGGTCATTCACTGGTACCATTTCTCTTTCAGTTGGATAATTTTCACCCTCTTCTTCCCTGATGCTGTATGTAACACAAAGCTCATCCCCAAATCTCTCTGCTGCTTGCAGAGTGGACTGCTTCTCAGTGTCTATCAGGGTCTGATTCAAAACTAACAAAACATCTCTCCAGGAGTGCCCAAATATTTGGGTGAAATTCTGGAAAGCCTCTATATATCTGTCAGGGTCATCTGAAAACTTGCCAAGATCCCCCTTAATTTGCTTTAAGTTCTGCAGAGAGAAGGGGACCTGGACCTTACTGGGGCCAAATTCACCAGGCATCTGTTGGAGGGGCAAGTGTGAGACTGGGGCTTGTCCAGGGTGAGGATTTCTAGGAGGGGGCAAGTGAGAGGCTGAAGCTGGATAGGAAGATCGGGGTGGACCCAGAGGAGCAGGGCTGGAGGGAACTGGGTCCTCTGCTGGAAGTGCCTCTGGGACTCGAATCTTTCATTCCCTGGGCTTGCTTCTTGCAGCCTTCCCTGAGATGGCAAACAGGAGGGCTATCCTACACTGTCGACAAAGGTCTGGATTGCCTTGCAAGGTATAGAAAGCCTGCACATATGGGGCCTCAGACCATCTGTCTTCAT
This sequence comes from Homo sapiens, assembly GCF_000001405.40. Taxonomy (NCBI): domain Eukaryota; kingdom Metazoa; phylum Chordata; class Mammalia; order Primates; family Hominidae; genus Homo; species Homo sapiens. Next base: position 28,810,492 of record NC_000003.12, read on the forward strand.
TTACAGAAAAGTTTCAACTGCTGGATGGTATGAAAATGAATGGTTCCTTCCTGAGGACAAGTCAGTCCTTGCTGTAAATTACAATTGGTACTCAAAGTCCTCCAACCTCATAGCCGTGTCTAGGGTTGAGTGTTACAGCTCCCAAAGCCCCAGTGGGAGTGTGTTACAGGGTGCTCTTTCAGTTTTGCCATCTATAGGCCGTTTGTTTTAATCAGCTTAATTAGACCCTCTCCTTTATCGCAAGGACAGAGGGCTTTCTGTATCCCAGGTTCTTGCCGTAGTGTACTGGAAAAATCGGATCACATGTGGGCTTGTAGGATGGGTGCAAGGTTTTATTGAGTGGTGGCAGTGGCTCTCAGTGAGGTGGATAGGGAGCCAGGAGGGGGATGGAGTAGGAAGGTGGTCTTCCCTTGGAGTCAGGCCGCTCAGCGGCTGGATTCTCCTCCAACCACCCCCAATCAAATTCTGTGCCATCCCAACTTGATGGCCTGCCGGTGATGGCTGGAGTCTGTTGGTGTGCTCTTCTGCTCCTCTTGACATCCAGTCACTTGTGTGTGTGCCTGCTACAGTCCCGGGCTTTTATGAGCACAGGATGGGGGGCTTGGCATGCCAGAGTGGTCTTGGAAAATACAACATTTGGGCACAGAAACAGGAGTGACTGCTCCCACTTAGATCTGTGGGCACAGGCCTGAGGGTGGAGCCCTTGCCAGGGACCCCATCCTTCTCTACCCAGTACTTACCTGGCCCTCTCCCATATCAGAAACTATAGTTTTTCAAAATTTTATACTAGCTATGTGATCCATCTAAAATTAATTTCTGTGTATGATGTGGGATAGGGACTGAGGTTCATTTTTTTTCACATGGATATCTGATGACACAGCACCATTTAATAAAAAGTGCATCTATTCACAATGTGCTACAGTTGTAAGTTTGCCAAAAATCAAATGACCATATATATGTGGATTTGTTTCTGGAATCTGTATTTATTTCAAAGGTCTGTTTCTCTCCCCTTGATTCAATAAGCCTTGATATCTGGAAATGTTTGTGTTCTCATTTTCTTCTGCTTCAAGGTCATCTTTTATTCTTGAATCTTATGATTTTCAAGTAAATTTTAAAATAAACTTATACATTCCTGTGGCAGAAATCCTACAAGAATTGTCTTTGTGATTTCCTTGAATCTACAGGTCAATTTAGAAAGATTTAATAAGTTTACAATGTTAAGTATTCTAACTCAGAATATGATATAATCCTCTTTAGAATTTCTTTAGTTGCATTCATTATTAAAAACTTTTAATATAACATAACATACATGTATCAATATGCATAAACATAACTCAATTGCAATTTTGCTAACAATTTTTTACTCTCAATATTAACAGTTTTCTCCAGCTGTATTTCACATCTTTTCTCAGGCTTAGTAGTAAGTATTTTTTGTTACTATTGTAAATAAAGTATATTTTATTTTATTTTTTAATGATTTATTGCTTATATGCAGAAATAGAATTGATTTTTGTTGCTTAACATTGTATACAATAAGTTTGTTGAATTCACTTGTTAATTTTAATGATACATCTGTAAATTGAAAAGAAATTATGGATTCGATCCTGCTGTATAATTTTATTTCTATTTTTTAATCTTGATAACTTTCATTTTCTTTTCTTTTTTTATTTCTTTGACTAGGACTTTCAATATGATGTTGAAGAAAAATGCTGATAGCTGATATCCTTGTCTCAGTCCTAATCTCAGGGGATTAGAGTTTCAGTAATTCAGCATTAAGGATGATATTTGTAGTATAATAATAATAACTATTATTATCTGGAAAACCTTTATATATTAAGGGAGTTTTTACTTCTATCTAGCTGTTTTCAAAAAAATCATGAATGAATGTTAAAAGTTATTAAATACTTTTTCCTTAACTATTGAGTGCATTATATAGGTTTTTTCCTTTGAAATTGTTAATGTAATAAATTATACCAAATATTAATATGAACTAAATATTAACACAAACTACATTCCTCGGATAAACCCAACTTAGTCATAATGTATTGTCCTTTTTAGACATTGCTAAATTGGATAAGGAATATTTTGTGGATGACTTTTTAAAATCATGTTCATGAGAGATTGGCCTGTGATTTATCTTCCTTTTAATTCCTAATCAGGTTCATAAAATACATTGAAAAGAGATATTTTCTATTATATAAAATTTTGATTAATTTTGATATTGTTCTTAGTGAAATCATTGGAACAATTCACTATAGAAATTATCTGGGCCAGTAATGTTCTTTGCCAGAATATTTTTAGACACTGATTGAATTACTTTAATAAATACAAGACTCTTTTCAAATATTCTGTTTCTTCTAAAGTTGGAGAAAGTTTCTTGTTAGTTTGGTAAGTTTTATTTTTCACAAATATAATTTTCGCCTACATTTTCTACATTTCAGCTTAGTGGTGTAAATTTTTTCAGAGTATCACCTGTTTTCTCTAAATATCTGTAAGATCTATAATGATACCATTTACCTCTTTTTTCTTGATTAGTCTATATAAAGAATCTACTTTTAGTTTTGTTGCTTTTTTAATATTGTAGGTGTGTTTTTATTAATTTATGGTTTTAAAATATGTTTTCAAATTTTTCTTGTTTTTTTCTTGTCATAACATATATACACTAAAGTACACTAATTTTAAGTGTGTAATCTGATGAAGTTTTACATATTTATGCACCCACAAAATAACCACCCAGGTCAAGTTAATACACAGAAGATTTCTTCTTGGCCATTTCTAGTCATTTTCAACCCTCTCATGTTTTTCTTTAATATTACTTCTATCAGCCAATTAATCGTTGATCATAAAAGGTGCCTGTTCTAGAATTCCATGTAAACTGAATCATACAGATTCTTTTGTGTCTGACTTCCTTTGCTCAATATATTGTGAGATTCATCCATTGTAGTGAATATAGCCATAATTTAAAAAAATTTCCCTGAGCTATTCCATTTTATGGCTATAGGCATACATCAGAGATATTGCAGGATCAGTTACAGAATACCACAGTAAATCAAATACTGCAATAAAGTGAGCCAAATGAATTCTTTGGTTCTCAGTATATGTAAAAGTTATACATACACTATACTGTAGTTAATTACTGTAGTTAATTATGTCTAAAAAGTGTACTTATCTTAATTTAAAATAATTTTTATTCATTTATTATTTCCATAAATTAATGGGAACAGGTGGTGTTTGATTATATGAGTAAGTTCTTTAGTGGTGATTTTCGATATTTTGGTGCACCCATCACCCAAGCAGTATACACTGCACCCAATTTGTAGTCTTTTATCCCTCACCCTCTTCCCACCCTCTCTTTCTGAGTTCCCAAAGTCCGTTGTGTCATTCTTATTTCTTTATATCTTCATAGCTTAGCTCCCACTCAGGAGTGAGAACAATGTTTCGTTTTCCATTCCTGAGTTATTTCACATTGCTAAGAAATGCCAACAATCATCTGAGCCTTCAGCAAGTCATAATCTTTTTGCTGGGAGAGGGCCTTGCCTTGATGTGGAGGTCTACTGACTTATCAGAGTGGTGGTTACTAAAGGTTGTGGTGGTGGTGGCAATTTCTTAAAATAACACAACATTGAAGTGTGCAATATTGAATGACTTCCTTTCACAAAAGGTTCCTCTATAACATGCAATGCTGTGTGATAGAATTTTACCCACAGTAGAACTTCTTTCAAAATTGGAGTCAATCCTCTCCAACATTGTCACTGCTTTATCAACTAAGTTTATGTAACATTCTAAATCACTTGTTATAATTTAAACAATGTCCATTGCATAATTTATAAGAAGTTAATTCCGTCTAAAAAAATCACCTCCTTTGCTCACCTATAGGAAGCAATTCCTTACCCATTCAAGTTTGATCATGAAATTGCAGCAAATAGTCACATCTTCAGATTCTACTTCTAGTTCTCTTGCTATTTCCATCTCATCTGTAGTTATTTTCCCCATTGAAATCTTGAACCCTCAAAGTCATCTGTAAGGGTTAGGATGAACTTCTTCCACATTCCTGTTAATGTTGATGTTTTGATTTCCTCCCATGATTCACACATATTCTTAATGGCATGTAGAATGGTGAAGTCTTTTTAGAAGGTTTTCAATTTAGTTTTCCCAGATCCATCAAAGGAATCACTGTCTATGGCAGCTGTAGCCTTATAAAGTGTATTTCTTAAATAACAAGACTTGAAAATTGAAATTACTCTTTGATGTATGGGCTGCAGACTGGACGCTGTGTTAGCCAGAATGAAAACAACATTAATCTCCTTGTACATAGTCATCGGAATTCTTGGGTGACTAGGTACACTGTTAATAAGCAGTACTATTTTGAAAGGATCTTTTTTTTCTGCAAAGTATGTCTCAACAGTGGACTGTTAAAATATTCAGTAAATCATATTGTAAACAGAGGTACTGTTTTCCAGGCTTTGTTGTTCCATTTATAGACCATAGGCAGTGTAGATTTAGCATACTTCTGAAGAGCTCTAGAGTTTTCATAATGGTAAATGAGCATTGGCTTTAACTTAAAGTCACCATCTACATTGGCCCCTAACAAAAGGGTCAGCCTGTCCTTTGAAGCTTTGAAGTCAGCCATTAACTTGTCTCTAGCTATGAAAGTCTTAGATGACGTCTTCTTCCATTAGAAGGCTGTTATGTTTACATAAAAAAAAATCTGTTGTTTAGTGTAACTACCTTCATCAATATCTTAGCTAGATCTTCTGGATAATTTGCTGCAGCTTCTATATCAGCTTTTGCTACTTCACCTTGTACTTTTATGTTATGGAGATGATTTCTTTCCCTAAACCTTGTGAAACCAACCTCTGCTCATTTTAAACTTTTCTTCTGCGGCTTCTTCACCTCTCTTAGGCTTCATAGAATTGAAGAGATTTAGTACCTCCTTGCTCTGGATTAGGCTTTGGCTTAAGGGAATGTTGTAGCTATCTCGATCGTCTATCCAGACCATGAAAACTTTCTCCACATCAGCAATAAGGCTGTCTCACTTCCTTATCATTCACATGTTTACTGGAGTAACCACTTTTAATTTTCTTCAAGAATTTTTCCTTTGCATTCACAACTTGCCTGTTTGGCACAAGAGACCCAGCTTTCAGCGCATCTTTGTTTTCAACACGCCTACCTCTCTAAGCTTAATTATTTCTAGCTTCTGATTTAAAGTGAGAGACATGAAACTTCTGCTTTCACTTGAACACTTAGAGGCTATTGTACAGTTATTAAATGGCCAAATTTCAATATTGTTGTGTCTCAGGGATAGGCCTGAAGAGAAGGAGAGAGAGGGGGAATGGCTGGTTTGTGGAGTAGTTAAACACACACACACACACGCACACACACACGCAGTATTTGTTATTAAGTTTGTGTCATATTATGGGCATGGTTTGTGGGGTCCCAAAACAATTACAATAGAAAAAGCAAAGATCACTAATCACAGATCACCATAACAGATAAAATAATCATAAAAAGTTTGAAATATTACGAGAATTGCCAAAATATGACACAGATTTGAAGTAAGAACATGTTGAAAAAGGGCACCAAAAGACTTGCTTGATGCAGGATTGCCACAAATCTTCAATTTGTAAAATAAAAAAAAAAAAAGTCTGAAAAGTGCAATAAAGCACAATGTATACCTGTATACCATGACTCACTCACTGATCTATTCTTTTGTTTATGAGCATTTCTTTCTAGTGTGATGCTGTTATGAATCAAGGTGTCATGAACATTCTTGTACATGTCTTACAGAGGACATATGTACTCATTTCTTTGAGGTCTATACCTTAAAATAAGATTACTGGGACATAATTTAGGATTATTTGTAGCTTTATTTGCTATTACTAAACAGTTTTTGAAAGTGATTGAGACAATTTATGCTTCTAGCAATGTATCAGAGTAACAATTGCTTTGCAATCTTGCCTATATTTGGTTTTAAAAGTATTTTTATTTTTAGCATTGAGGTGGTTTAAAGTTGTATCAAGATACAAAATTATGATTTTAAATTAACCAATGAGTAATGATATTAAGTATACATTTTCATGCTTATTGGCCATATAGATATTCTGTTTTATAAAGAGCATGTTCATGTGTTTTACTGTTTCTAACTGGGTTGTCATTTTATTATTAATTTTAGTAAAAGCAATTCTATTTATTTTCCAGATGTAAATTTTCAGCAGATGACTGTGTTGTAAATATTTTCTCCCAATTTTTAGCTTGTCTTTTTAATTCTCTTAATAGTATCATTTGATGGACATATATTTTTAATTTTAATTATATCTAATTTTTCTTCTTTTTTCCCTTCTATTATTAGTGTTTTATATGTCCAGGTTAGAAAGTATTTGCCAACTGACAACATTATGAAGGTTTTTTTCCATGCATTTTTTGGTAGGATCTTCCTTATTTCACTTTTCCATTTAGATATATAATCCATCCTGAATAAATTTATGGTATGAATTAGGTGTACAGGTTTATTTTCTTCCCAAGTTAATGTCTATTGCTTTAGCACAATTTATTGACAAGACTATCACTTCTCCACTTGATTCCTGTAACACCTTTGTTGGAAATCATATATGTGTAATTTATTTCTCAACTTCCTATCTGTCTCGACTTCCTATTCTGGATAGATCTATATGTCTATCCTTGCACTTGTACCACATTATCTTATTAAATGTAGCATTGTAGTTCTTATAATAAATCTTATAATTTAGTAATTTAAGTTCTCTAACTTTGCTGTGATCTTCAAAATTATTGTGATTTTTCTGGGTTTATCTGCCTTTTAATTTTACTTTAGTGAAATTTTGGCAGATATACTCTCAATTTTTGTTTATTGTGATATGTATTATTTCACTTTAATTTTTGAGGTATATTTTCACTGGTATAGAATTCTAAGTTGACATTTTTTTCAGCACATTAAAGATGTCACTTCATTGTTTTCTTGCTCCTTCATTTTAGTTGGGAAGTCAGCCGCCAGTCTTATTGCTACTCATTTGACAATGATGCATCTTTTATTCTCTGGTTACTTTTAAGATTTTGTTTTGCTTTAGTTCAGTTTTACCATGATGTGCCTATGTGTGGTTTTCATTGTATTAATCTACCTTGAGCTAATTGAGCTTCTTTTACCTGTGGGTGACATCTTTCATTTGTCTTGGGTCATTATTTCTTCAAAAATTGCTTCTACCTCACTCTCACTCCCTCCACTACTGGGAGTCCAGTTACATGTGTTATATATTTCCATTCTCTTCCACATGTCTTTTATATGCTTTCTGTGCATCTCATTCTTAATCCTCTCTCTTAGTCTGGATATTATTTACTGACCTAACTTTAAGATTACTAATCCTTTCTTTAATGTGCCTATTCTGTTGTAAAATTATCATATTTTAAATTTCAGTAATTACATTTTTTAAAAAAATCTAAAATTCCCTTAATTTTTCATAGAATCAAATTCACTGGTAAAATTTGTTTGTCTTTATTTTCTTCAGCATATTAATCAGTTATTTTAAAGTCTGTGTCTGATAGCTCTGGATTACCTTTAGGTCTGTTTCTGTTCAGTGCTTTTTCTCTTCTGTCTCTTGATATATCTGGAAATTCTAAACTGAATGCCAGACATTGTGTTTAATAAGTGTTAGAGACTATGAATGATGTTATGTCTCTTCAGAGAGGGTTTTGTTTAGCATCTGGATAAAGGATTAGGGTTGATTTGAAGTTATGTTTTAGTCCTTGTAAGGTCTAGTTCACTTCTGCTTCATTGTAACTATGGTGTATAATCTTGTGGAGATTATGCACCTATGTGGGCCCTGAACTCCTGATTATATGCCCCCGATGTGATGTAAGGTCAGTAGGTCTGCTAAACTTCTCAGTTTTTTAGCAGCTGATTTTTTTTCCCTGTTTCTCCATATTTGATCTATTTGTCACACACATTAATAGGTGGTTAGATGGATAAAAGTGGTATAGAAGCCAAAATTATCTCAGTGATTTTTTTTTTGTCAGTAGCATCATGACCCTTCAAGTTCCATCTGCCTTGCTAACTCTTCAGTACCTTCAAATATCTCTGATGCTTTCAAACAGATGTTTTTATTTTGTGTTTCATTTTGGCATTTTATCTAATTTTTCTAGTTGTTCTTAGTAGCAGCACTGGTCTGACAAAAGCTGGCGCATTGGAGCCAGAAGTGGAGGATTTAGGGGGTCAGATCTAGAGACAGTGTATATCACATTCTTCTAAGACATGAAATACAGTCACCTGTTGTGTCCAGAAGGAAAATAAAACGTTTTAGTGAAAAATATAGCATTTTATTTTCCTGTTATAAGCAATCAGTTGTGGGTTTACTATGTACTTTGTAGGTTTCAATCAGATCTTTATGCATTTTTAGCCAAATTTTAAGCTAACACTTGAAACATAGTAAAAGGTTCATAAAACAAACTCTGTATATGTATTTTAAATCTAAATACTTATTTTTTTTTTGGTTCTGGGCACTATACTAGGCACATTTACACCTGTTCTATTCTTGAATCCTCACATATATCCTACAAAACAAGTATTACTATTTTCTACATTTTTCCAAATGTAAGAAATTTTTTTCAACCTCTGAGACTAAAGCTATTGTTTAATTTTGTTTTCTGATGCAGACTAAAGGCTGATTAATTTATTCTATAACTTTTTAATTATCATATGTTGTTATAACATATAGGTGCAAGAAGATATAGTAATTGAAACCAAGAGCTCTGGAACTAGGCTGCTAGGTTTTAATTCAATCTTCACCACTTCCTGGTGGTTCAGCCAGCAGGCAATCTACTTCATTTCTCTGTGCTTCAGTTTCCTCTTTTGTAAAATAGATATAATAACATATTGTTATACTAAATGCATTAATCTTTGAAGAGAGTCTAGAAAAGTGTCTAGTACATAATGATCACTCAATAATTATTAACTATTAACATTATGTGGAAGAAGAAGAGTCCAAAGCTATTCTATAGCAGATTTACAAAATGTTTTATAGTTTTATAACAGCTGCACTAGAATGTAAGTTCCATGAGTTTAGGGAGTTAATCCCTCAGTACGAAGTATGTTACTTGGTACCAACTAAGAGTATAAGATATTGAATTTCAAATTATGAAAGAAGAGTTTGGTTCCCTTTTTTCACCTATCCTTGTCAGTTACAGCTAATAATATCTGTCATATATTTTGCCCTCTTTCGTTTGCCCACTTTTTTTGCAAAGAAAGTTTTTTCTTAAGATAAAAGTTCTAAATTGTTCTGAATATATAAGTTACCATCTTATCTTTCTTGAACTGGAGATCACTGCAGAACACGTTTAAAATGTAGGAAGGACTATATATAACTTGGATGAATAAGTAGTCGATATTTTTTTCTAACTTGATAAAAAATTTATGCATTTACTGTCACAAACAACTTGTGCTGTGACTTGCGTTTCACAATTTATGTACTTGATATCGTGTACCTTTGATGGTCCTTTTCTGTTTCTGACAGATTTTTTATTTTTTTGAGAAGGAAGAAAGGCATACATTTCTGTATTTGTATTCATTTTGTTTTTCTTTGGTAGTATCTCACTTTTTGTTCCAAAAAAAAGTTATCTGTCAATCAATGTTTACTAAGCATTTATTGCATCTCTGTGTGCACTTTCCTACTTCAAGTTCTGTCTGACAATTGGAGAAAGGCTGTGTAAGGAAAAAGAAAAGAATCTTAAATTGTTAGAACTTAACATATTCAAAATCACTTTGAAAATAATTGAGGTATTACTTTCTTGCTCTTATCTGTGGTATTAGTTTCCCAGGACTGCTAGAAGAAGTTCCTACAAACTGGGTGGTTTCAAGTAACAGAAATTTATTCTGTCTCAGTTTTGGAGGCCAGAAATCGAAAACCAAGGTGTCAGTGAGATGGGTTCCTTTTGGAGGTTCTGAGGGAGAATCTATTCCATGCCTGCCTCCTAGCTTCTGGTGGCTGCCAACAACTCTTGCTGTGCTTTGACTCATGGATATATCACCCTAATCACTGTCTCCAAATTCGCATCACCTTCTCCTGTGTTTCTCCTTTACGATTTGCATCCTTTCTTATAAGGACACTTGTCATTGGATTTAGAGTCCCCTCAGGTAAGCCAGGATGATCTCATCTCAAGATCTTTACTTTAATCACATCTGCAAAGACCCTTTTGCCAAATAAGGTCACATTCACAGATTTCAGCTGGACATAGCTGTTTTGGGGGACCGCTATTCGACCTACTACATTTGATGCCTACTTTGTTACTTTTCCTTGAATATTATCCTTTTTCAGATTTACAGAATTTCCGCCTTATATCTCTTGTTCTTCCCAAAGCCTGGTTGAGTGCTCTATCTAGGAATGTCATCTTAATAATGATGTATTAAAGAAATGGATGGCAAAAATGAAAGTACAAAGGATTAAAACAAGCTCATGGCATGTAATAACGTAGTTTGAGTCTAGTGATAAGACTGACAAATAAAAAAATCACAGCATGATATGAGAGTGGCAAGTACTATGATATGGCTAAGTGCATATAGCTAAGTGCATATGAAAAGTCACTCTAGACTGGGGGAGTCAGAAAGGCTTTCTGGGGAAGGAGATGTAGGAAATAAACATTGAAGGTTTGAGTAGGAAGTTCCTTGGTGACGTCAATGAAAAAGAGCATCCTAGGCACAGAAAAGAACACATGCAGAGATTTCCAGTGTGCGGTCTCCTGGTACCAATAGGAAGTATTTGGTGTCGCTGGAAGATATAGTGCATGGGATGGAGGTGTGACTGGGGGTTGTTGTTTGCAGGGTAAATTGCAGGAGATAATGCTGGAGTTGCATGAGGGCTATATCATGAAGGACCTTGTATACTCTATTGTCTTAGTCTGTTCATAGACTAAGACATATCATAGACTGTCTGTCATAGACTGAGAGGTTTATAATAGTAGCATATCATAGACTGATAGAAATATCATAGACTGAGTAGCTTATAAACAACATAAATTTATTTCTCCCAGTTCTAGAAGCTAGGAAGTACAATGTCATGGTGGCAGCACATTCGGTGTCTGGTGAGAGCCCATTTCCTGGTTCATAGATAGCACTTTCCCATTGTGTGCATGCACGGTCAAAGAGGTGAAGGCACTCTTTGGTGTCTCATTTTAAAAAGGCATGTCTTATTCATTTCAGGCTGCTAAAACAAAATATCAGAAACTTGGTGGTTTATAAACAATAGTAATTTCTTATAGTTCAAGAGCCTGAGAACTTTAAGATCAAGCCACAGGCAAATTAGGTGCCTGGTAATAATTACAGGTCGTCTTCCTCATAGATGATGCCTTCTAGCTGTGTCCTCACATGGCAATAGGGGCTGGCTAACTCTCTGGAGCCTCTTTTATGAGGACACTAATCCCATTGATGAAGGATCCACCTTCTTGGTCTAATCACCTCCTAGAGGCTCCACCTTCTAAAATTATTACCTTGGGGGTTAGAATTTCAACATATAGATTTCGGGAGAACACAAGTGTTTAGCCCATTGCATCTACCAAGGAGTTTGTATTTATTCATAAAAAATAATGAGAATCATTGAAGTGGTATTTAAGATATCAGCAGATTAAAGTTTTACAAAAATCTCACTGGCAGTAGTTTAAGAAGGGGATCAGATGTTGGTGAATCAGGAAACAGTTGGTATATTTTAAATTTTTGAAGTAATCCAGGTGAAAAATGATAGAGTGATGAGCCTCAATTAAGATAGTCTAGGAATAGGATGTGGGAGTTGCATTTGAGACTTGTTAAATTGATATAGGATTGTTGGGACATGGTGGCAGATTGGAGTTAGGCCATATGGAACAGAGAGGAGTTAAGGATAATTTTCAAGTGTCTGGTTTGTTTGACTCCCATAGATAGGTAATGATATTATTCATGGCAGATGAGGACAGAGGGGGACCAGTATGTATGTTAATCTTCTGAGCCTCATTTCCCTAATCTGTAAAATAACTCTGCCCTTTCCATCTCTGAGAATCATTTTTAAGACTCTTAGTCTGGGTTCTCCAGAGAAACAGAGCCAGTAGAGATAGCTGGATGGATGGATAGATATATAGATGAATGGAAGGATGGATGGATGGATAGATAGATAGATAGACAGATGATAAGGGGTTTATTAGAGAAATTGACTCATGATTATAAAGGCTGAGAAGTCCCACAATATACCATCTGCAAGCTGGAGAACCAGGGAATCAGTAATATGGCTCAGTCCAAGTCTGAAGGCCTGAGAACCTGGTGAGCTGCTGGTGCAAGTCCTGGAGTCCAAAGCCCAGGGAGCCTAGAGTTCAGATGTCCAAAGGCATGAGAAAAGGATGTCCCCATTCCAGGAGGTAGGGGAGAAGAGAGAGAGGGGGAATTCGAGTTTCCTCTGCCCTTTCGTTCTATCTGGACCCTCAGCTGACTGGATGGTGCCCACCCACATTGGGTAAGGGCAGATTTTCCTTATTCAGTCACTGATTCAAATGCCAATCTCTTTTGCAAACAGACTCACATACATATCCAGATATAATGCTTTTCCAGCTATAGTTATCTGGGTATCCCTTAATCCAGTCAAGTTGATACCTAAAATTAACTATCACAAGGACCAAATCATGTAAAGTATTTAAAAATGATTTTAAATTATAAAGCAATTTCTAAAATTGTTTTAAATGATTAGTTTACATTTAACCAGGTGGTATAATTAAAACAAAAACAAAATTAAAGAAGTATATAACTGCAAGAGGGCAAAAAACATTGTTTTTAATCGAAGGAACAAAATCTTTGGAGATGGCAAGAAACATGTCTATGCAATCCGGGCTCTTTTTCTCTTCTCTGTTTTTCCATCCCACACACTGATTTCATCCTGTCATATGCTCAAGAAAAAAAATCCACAATTATTCTCTAATGCTTATTGGTTTAAGCCCAGACCCTTTTTCTCCTGTTCAAAGTTTATTGGTGCCTTGCAACTTTATCAATTGACCTTTCCACTTTCAATCCTGGCATACATGTGTTCCTTGTCCCTTCATATACAGTGAGTGAACTCAGTAATCCATGGTTAAGATCATGGACAACATGTCAGTCTTCTCATCTGTTAAGCAGGTATAATTATATCTATCTTACAGGACTGATAACTAGAAAAATTAAATATACATGACATTTATGTAAATTGCTACATCCTATACCTGACAAAGAATAAAGGCTCACTGAATAGTATTTTATTATGCTTTTTATTTACTAATGTGAACTCTCTGCAGATAGATCCCTCTGGCCCTTAGAAATCTTTCTCTCCTGCTCTCTAATTTTAAAAATTACTCAAGCCCACGATGGCCTCTGATCTCTGCATTCAACCTTCCCTGTGTCTCCAGACCACCTGCTTTCTTCTGTTCTACTCCTGTCTTTTTGAATTTCTGTAACTTGTAGGGTCTGTCTCACATTTAATACTGGATTATCGAACCATTTGCTCTACGTTCACTTTGTCTCTTTAAAGTAGATTTCAAATTCCTCAAGTGATATATCTAGCACAATGTAAGACACCCTGAAGACACAACAAAACAGATGATTTGAGAATCCGTGTGTCTTTTTGGGCTTCAGTTTTCAACATCTCTTCTTTGTGGGGGTCTTATTAAAGTTCTTATTTTCTAGTTCTCTTTTTGTATATCAAAATCAATCTTCATGCTCTAAAGGAAGAAAAATAAGTAAAAAACTGAGGTGGAAATTATAGCTCTTTTTAGCCTTGGTGTCAAAACTGGGGAGAATGTAGGTTTTAGTATATTTTTATCTTCTTAGGCTTATTTTATTTCATTCTCTGACAATTTAAAAATTGCAATAATAATCACATTGTTCCCTAACTGTTCTAGGTAGAACCAGAGCCAAGATTATTTTATCTAACTATTAGGAAAGAGCTGTAGGAAGGCACCTATAAAACATCCTTGCTTTCTTAATAAGAATGAAGATTACCTTAGAGCTGAAGGATAATTAGCCTCAGGCAGTGGATGCCTTGGCCAGACTAGAGTAAAGGGTTTCAGCAAGATGCCTGGAGCAACACGGAACATGAGCACTAAGGGACTGCTTAAGATGGAAGTATATTTATGGGATAACCCTTTAATTTCTTTTAAAATTCTATTTTTGGAAACTAAAAGTTGTGTAACTTGGGGAAAAGACTCAGACAGGCATCCTTTTGAATACACTCTCTGGTACTTAAAAAAGGGCAAATTTACTTAACCTCTTCAAACTCAGTTTCTTCTCTGTTAAATGGGAATGAAAAAAGAAAACATTTGACACCTTTCCATGTAGGCATTTGGAGAGTTATAATAATAAAACAACAATCTGATTCTTAGCTCTTTGAGCAACTGTAAATTACTTATAAGTGATTTGGCAACTCTTCCAACTTTCTACCAAAGCATACTTTTTAAAAAATTCAAACGTTACTATCATGTCAAAGATTTATTTAACTCATTAATGAAGGAACCAGCAGGATGTTAAAGCTGGTTCAAAGAGAATTTGTAAAACTGAGGATATTTAGGTTCTGAAGGAAAGACTGCTAGGATAAATTGCTAGATTTAGATGTAATTTTTTTTTCACTTCCTACAGGGCAATAAAACTAACTTTTGGAGTAACCATATTCAGATATAATTTGCATTTCTATCAGACAACATGTAAAATTAACACATAACTTCAAAGATTATGAGTCCTAATCAATGGTAATTGGTTAATCAAACAAAGCTACATTCTTCTAGAAAATTAAATAATCTTGGAGAAGACCTGTTAGATAATATTCCTATGGCAATGAAAGGGCATACAGTCATTATTTTATCTTATTCACAAATTTTTAATACATATTTTAACATTACTTTTTTTTTTTCATGGGTCGCACTCTGTCACCCAGGCTGGAGTGCAGTGGTGTGATCATGACTCTCTGCAGCCATGACTGCCCAGACTCAAGCAATCCTCCTACCTCAGCCTCCTAAGCAGAGGCTACAGGTGCATACCACCACATCAGGCTAATTTTTAGGAAATTATTTATAGAGATGGGGTATCACTATGTCTCTTACCTGGTCTCGTACTCCTGGGCTCAAACGTTTGATCCTCCCACCTCGGCCTCCCAAAGTGCTGGGATTACAGGCATGAGCCACCACACCTAGCGAACATTACCTTTTTATTTTTAATATTTCCTACCATTTTCACTCCTTGCTAATACCTTCAGTTCACCTACTATTTACCTTTTTTTAACTTCTCTTTGTCCCTGTAAGTCTACCTGTTCCTAACTCCCTCTTTCCCGTCAGCCATTTATTGCCCAATTATATCCACATCCTCTGGTCTTTTTTCTTTCTTCCTCTTCAAGCCATTGTTTGAGTCTGCCTTGGTTCTTATGCTAAAACTAGATTTAAACCAAATTGACTATGTACAACTATCAGCTTCTTTTTAGTATGAGAGATATTAAGATTTACTGTTACCCTCTGAGTATCTCTACGTGGAATAAGGAAAGAAAATCTCAAGTAGAATTCTTCCACACACCTGAAGTCTAAAACAAATGGGCACAGAGTTCTATAAACTCCATGAAGTCCTGGCTCTGCCCTTTTGTCTGCTCCAAAATCACTTCGTATGAAAGTTTCGCTTAAGACAAATGTGCACTAGTCTGTGGCATACATTTTCTAACAAATTTTCTTTTCAGCATCAACTGATCAAGAATGTTCGGAACCAGCATTCCAGAACCAATTAGGAATCAGATTTAGGGAGCCATTACTATGGGTGGGAAGTATACTAGACTTTTATTCTCTGTTCATGTAAAAGTAGGAATGTATCTGTTATATTGTAGCCTGTCCTTGCATCTTGAACACAATCATTTTCACCAATGAATGCCCAGATCTAACGTTATGCTTATTAACAAGCCACTGATTTCACCAATGAAAATCCACTGATAATATTCATTATGCTAATTGAGAAACCTCTGGTGTTGATCAGTGACAATGCTAATTGAGGCTTTGTAGATGCTATCTCTTATGTGTGGTTTTCTGAAAAATGTCAAGTAACCACCTCTGTAGTGTGTCTCCAATTAGGGAAACTGTCCTCTCTGGACTTGTTACACTCATTTACATTACACAATATAGGTTAGAAGCAGTTTAAAATAAAATACAATCTACAATACAACCTGGACTTAGCCTGTGTCTAGTGGGGATATCACAACCTGTGCTGTCTGTAGAGGGCAGAGGTAACATGGCGTTTGTGGGAGAAGATGATTCCTGTCACTGAGCTCTGGAAGCTGGGACAGTAGCAAAACTTCTTTGGGAATATAGAACCCAGTCACCTCGGCTATGGGGAATTGAGCAAGGACAGTGCTGGAGACTCTGAACTTCTCCCTGGTGGGTTGGAATATCCCTGAGGAGGAGACCCCATTGTCCAACAATTGCAGTGGCTACAGTAACTGGGAAAATATGAGGAAATGAAGTAAAGCATCCTGACTTATTAAAAAGAAAGTATATATTTTTACATTGCTAATTTCTTTGGGGCACTAGCATCTGGCAGAGCTTCTGGGAAAAACAAAGACCAAAAGCAATGCTGGTTTAAATTCAACTGTAATTGTGTCAGGTTTTACATTATGATAAAATCTTAGCCTCTTTACAAGGAGGTTAAATCCCTAGTTGATGTGAAGTGAATTTAGTTTCTCCAAGATGAGCAAGATGAGACAAAAACATGACCCATTTCTTTTCTCCTCAGAGTTCAAGTTCTTGCTATATTTTTTCCTCTTCCCTCTGTCTTAAGAAGTTTTCTCACAGCTATCAGTGCAGAGATGCTCTTGCTGCTTGGGGAGTAGAAAGATTCATGGCTTCCTCAGACACAAAAGGCCCTGGATTATTTTAGGCAAAGAGAGCAGCCTGGAGTGATTCATTGGGCATTGCTCATGTTGAGCCCTGGCCAGAGCTTTTACCTATTTGTGACAATATAATTTCATTTGCTTTTAGAGATGCCACTTTATGTCCCCTCTGTCAGACTAACTCAGAAATATGTCAACCAGGAAAAACTTACAACTGCTCCTAGCAGTCTGCACTGAATATAGCCAGGTGGCAGAAGACAGAACTGGCATTTGATTTTGATTCTTCTCTTCTGAAATGAAGGGGTTGCAACAATTGCTGAAACTCTCAAAATTTGTGAATTCATGCAATACTATGATCTGCATGTAAGGATTTGTCTCCTAGAATTGGGAACACAGTTTGTGTTCTAGTTTTAGAATCAATTTTTTGCCACGTAGAAGGTAGAGAACAGTTGTTTTTTCCTGTGTTTACCTTGCCCAGGTTTCATCTTACTTTATTTTACTTTTTTCTCTTTATATTCATTGCCTATGTTTTTATTTTTAATTTTTCAGAGACTTTATACATACAAGTGATTTTAATGCAAACATCATGAGCCCCTATGGATGCCCCTTGTAGTCTTATAAAATCATGATATTTTTGCCAGATGCTGATTCCATTTCTTTGCCTTTCTTTTTAGAGAGAACCATTAACATAATTTTTATTATGTTAATAATAAAAACCATTATTTTTATTCCCACGCATGTGTTTATATTTTAATACATACTTTTAGATCCGTAAGTGCTCAATAGTTTTGGTTGTATACCAAACCTGTATGGTTTATGAATATTATAACTGCTGTATAATTTTCTTTTGTACAATTTTGCCATAATTTATTTCTCTTTTATCTTGGGATATTTCCAGTATTTCATCACGACAAACAAAGCTGCAAAACCCACTCTTATCCATGTTTCCATGTGTAAGGATTGTCTAGGGGGTTGGCTTAGAAAGGAATTGCTAAATTTTTTGATATTGTATCTTCAACTTAACTAGATATTGCCAAATTGCTCTCCAAAGGAAAATGTTGGAGTTCTTTATACATTCTGGGTAGTACAATATTGTCAGCTATATGAACAGCAAATATATTTTCTGGTCTCTTGCATGCATGTCTTTTTCTTTTGTCCACAGTTGTTGTTAAAGTAATTTTAATTTTATTTAAAGATATAAACAATTTCTTTATGTTTTGTGCATTTTGTGTCTTATTCTAAAAATGCTTTCATTTTACATGGTCATGAGGATGTCACCCTCTCCCTCATCCTCTGATTCCTTTGTGTGAGCACTTTATGGATTGCCTTATGTTATACGAGCACTACCTGGTTCAATCCATGCTAATCTGGATCCAAATGTAGATGTAGCACCTTCTTAATGAATCTTCCTGCACAAATGCATTAGTGATCAAAGTACTAAAGATTTTGTAGTTGCGACAAAGGAAGAGTTCACATCTTCCACTCCATTAGATAAATCAGTCTTTTCTGTTATCTGATTCTGTTCTGTCCCTTTGTTATATCTTGACCTAACCAGCACTTTCTCTAGCAGAATTAGCTGCTTATTTCTTCCTTTGGGGAGCAAAAATAACTCCTCTCTTTGCTTCATGGTAAACTTTTCCACCTATTTTGCTATAAAATATTGTTAACAGTTGACTTATAACTTTAACAAGTAACAAGCAAACAAAAGTAAAATCTCAATCATAGTGGGTCTCTCACTAAAATAATTTCTCATAATCATTAATTCAGTTAATCAATTAACATTTATTAAACATCAACTAAGTGCCAAGCATTGTACAAGTCACTGAATGAACAAAACATATCCCAGGTGGAAAAGATAAAGAAAGGGAATCTGAGAAGGCTTCTCTGAGGAGGTGATATTTAAGGTGAGATGGGAAGAACAGGAAACTAGCCATTTCATAGTGGAAAAAAATGTTTAACAGGCTAAATGACAAATGCAAAAGCCAAATGAAGTGAAAAAGAGCTTAGCATATAGAAAGAACTAAAAGGATATCAATTATGGCTAAAAGGAATTATAGAAGGAGAAAAATGATATGGGATATAGATAGCGAGTGGTAGGGGTGAAATTATTTACTATCTTTTAGGTCTTCATAAAAAGGCTAATGATTTGATTTGCATTTTTTAGTATAACATTGGCTGTATATGGTAGATAGGTTGATGGTACACAAGAGTAGAAGGAAACAATTAGAAGTTACTGCTAGGATCCAGATGAGATTTGATGATGGCCAAGATTAGTATGGTAACAGTAGAAATGTGAAAGAATACTTTTTAGAGGAAGAAATGGCAGAATTTACAGAAGAAACAAATTAAGAGAGTAAGGAAGAAAATAGAATCAAAGATGGTACCCAGTATTGTGACATGATTAAGAGTTGGATGATAAACTGACATATTGGAGACTGCCCTGGAATACGTTCTAGGTAGAACAAAGATCATAGTGGTCAAGAGTTTTATCTTAGGCATATCACTTGCAGATGCCTATAGGCATCTAAGTGTAGACCCTGAGTAAGCAGTTGGATCTAGATCTAGCTCAGAGAAGATGTAAATTTGGGAATTTCAACTAGTAGTAAGAGACAATGTTTTCCATTTCATGTTAGAGTAATAGATATACAGATAGGAAAATGAATGAGAAAAGACCTTACTTTAGTTCTAGCCTAAGATATAGATTTCAGTGACCACAAGCCATAGCCTTGAACTTCTATGCATGGATCTTGGACAGATTTTTATCTCAGAACGCCCAAGAAAAGTCAAGGATGGCAATTTTCCATTTGGTCCCTTTTACAAATTTCATTTTTTCTTTAGGTGTCTGTTCTTTATCAGAATTTTCAGAGTTAAGGGCTAGAACGCACCGCACCAATGTATTATCAAAGCAATGAGACCAAAACCTGGCAGAGATACAACAAAAAAAGAAAAGTTCAGACCAATATTTTTGATGAACATCTATGCAAAAATCCTCAGCAAAATACTGTCAAACAAATCTAGCAGCACACCAAAAAGCTTGTCCACCACTCTCAGGTAGGCTTCATCCCCAGGATGCAAGGTTGGTTCAACATATGCAAATCAAGAAATGTGATTCATCATGTAAACAGAACTAAAGACAAAAACCACATGATTATCTCAATAGATGCAGAAAAGATTTGCAATAAAACTTAACATCCCTTAGTGTTAAAAATTCCCAATACACTAGGTGTTGAAGGAACATACCTTAAAATAATAAGAGCCATATATGACAAACCCACAGCCAACATCAAACTGAATGGGCAAAAGCTGGAAGTGTTCCCCTTGAAAACCAGCACAAGACATGGAAGCCCTCTCTCACCACTCCTATTTAACATAGTATTGGAAGTCCTGGCCAGAGCAATCAGGCAAGAGAAGGAAATAAAGAGCACTCAAATAGGAAGAGAGGAAGTCAAACTATTCCTGTTTGCGGATGACATGATTGTATATTTAGAAAACCCCATAGTCTCAGCCCAAAAGCTTCTTAAGCTGATAAGCAACTTTAGCAAAGTCTCAGGATACAAAATCAATGTGCAAAAATAGCTAGCATTTCTACATATTAACAGGCATGCCAAGAGCCAAATAACAAATGAACTCCCATTCACAATTGCCACAAAATGAATAAAATACCTAGGAATACAGCTAACAAGGGAAGTGAAAAATCTCTACAAGGAGAACTACAAACCACTGCTCAAAGAAATCAGAGATGATACAAACAAATGGAAAAACAGTCCATGCTCATGGATAGGAAGAATCAATATCATTAAAATGGCCATACTGCCCAAAGCAATTTATAGATTCAATGCTATTCCCATGAAACTACCATTGACATTTGTCACAGAGTTAGAAAAATCTCTTTTAAAATTCATGTGGAGCCCAGAAAGAGCCTGACTCGCCAAGGCAATCCTAAGCAAAAAGAACAAAGCTGGAGGCATCATGCTACACAACTTCAAACTATACTACAGGGCTACAGCAAACAAAACAGCATGGTACTTGTACAAGAGCAGACACATAGACAAATGGAATAGAATAGAGAACTCAGAAATAAGACTGTACACCTATAACTATCTGATCTTCAACAAACCTGACAAAAACAAGCAATGGGGGAAGGATTCCCTATTCAATAAATGGTGCTAAAATAACTGGTTAGCCATATGTAGCAGAATGAAACTGGACCCCTTCCTTACATTATATTAAAAAATTAACCCAAATGGGTTAAAGACTTAAATGTAAAACCCAAAACTATAAAAATCCTGGAAGACAACTTAGGCAGTACCATTCAGGACATAGGCATGGGCAAATATTTCATGATGAAGATGCCAAAAGCAATTGCAACACAAGCAAAAATGGTCAAATGGGATCTAATTAAACTAAAGACCTTCTGCACAGCAAAAGAAACTATCAACAGAATAAACAGACAATCTACAGAATGGGAGAAAATTTTTACAAACTATGCATCTGACAAAGGTCTAATACCTAGCATTTATATGGAATTTAAATTTACGATAAAAAAAAGATCCCATTAAAAAGTGGGCAAAAGACATGAACAGACACTTTTCAAAAGAAGACATACATGTGGCCAATAAGCATATGAAAAAAAGCTCAACGTCACTAATCATTAGAGAAATGCAAATCAAAACCACAATGAGATACCATCTCACAACAGTCAGAATGGCTATTATTAAAAAGTCAAAATCTAACAGATGCTGGCAAAATTGTGGAGAAAAAGGAATGCTTATACACTATTGGTGAGAGTGTAAATTAGTTCAACCATTGTGGAAGACAATATGGCAATTCCTCAAAGACCTAAAGCCAGAAATACCGTTTGACCCAGGAATTCCATTACTGGGTATATACCCAAAGGAGTATAAATTATTCTATTATAAAGACACATGCATATGTTATGTTCATTGCAGCACTATTCACAATAGCAAAGACATAGAATTAACCGAAATGCTCACCAATGATGGACTGGATACAGCAAATGGGGTACATATGCGCTATGGAATACTGTGCACCCATAAAAAAGAATGAGATCACATCCTTTGCAGGGACATGAATGGAGCTGGAGGCCATTATTCTTAGCAAACTAATGGAGGTATGGAAAACCAGATACCACAGGTGCTCATTTATAAGTTGGAGCTAAATGTTAAGAATTCATGGACACGTAGAGGAGAACAACACACACTCGAGCCTATCGGAGGGTTGGGGGTGGGAGGAGGCAGAGGATCAGAAACAATAACTAATGGATACTAAGCTTAATACCTGGGTGATGAAATAATTGGCACAACAAACTCCCATGACACACGTTTACCTATGTAACAAACCTTCATATCCTGAACATGTACCCCTGAACTTAAAGTTTAAAAAAAGCAATGAGATTATTGCACACATTGAAGGAAAATTGGATTATATCATATGAGGTTTATTGAGATATTTGTATTATAAAATATAATTATCAATGGGTAGCAAAACTGACATGCTGGTGTTTGAGCAACATTAATAGTTATAAAACTTTTTCTTGGTTTTCTGTTGATATTACCAAAGTAGATTTATTGATCATTTCTATGTAATTGATAAGATATTTGATACTTCAGTGGGTTGTATTTAGTTTTTCTTATTGCAGGTAAAATGAATATTCAAGGTTCTTTTTTAAAAAAAGATAATTAATTTCTGGCTTTACTGAGGGATGTTTGAGGTTATTTGGCTAAATCTTCTGTATGGCCATGGATGGATGTACATATCTTATACTTTATTTTCAATGCTTAGTCCACTTATATTTGCCTTTAGCTGCTACTTGCAGGCAAAATTCTAGGCTCAGTCATCCAGTCTTACTGATGACAAGTATACTTACTAGTCAGAAAATACTGGGTGCCTACTATGAACCAGCTGCTATGGTACCCATGAGAATGACCAGAAAGCTAGTTCATCATTCCTGAATTCAAGAAGCTTACAGTCCGGAAAAGAAATGGATTTGTAATTATCTACATACACTGTAAGACAGAATGGAAAAATAGTTATAATAGATTTTTAAAAACATGCTATGTCATTTCCAGGAAACAATGACCACTTGGGTTTACAAAAGCTCCCTAGTGAGATGAATGAAAACCAGTAAAAAACAAACAAACACTAAACAAACTAGCAAACAAACAAGCGGGTAGATCATTAGTAAAGTAAAACAAAGAAAGGGAAATAACTGAGTGCCCTAAATTTCCCCAAGTGGCAGCCAAAAAAAGAATCAAAACACTGTAGTATGGCATGGCATGTCATTAAACCACAGATCCAAAAGTTAAGATGCAATATTGGTGAGTATATTAATCACGGTAGGCAAATTGTTAAAACGTGCAATGTTAAAGCCTCAGTTTTTAAGATACTGCAGGTTTATTTCTTACTCATTTCATAGTTCAAAATGGTTATTCATGTGAGGTAGTTTCTAGGTTCTTTCCATCTGGATCCTTCCTCCTCTAGGCCCTCCATGTCCTTTACATTAAGGGGAAGAAAGGTAGAAGAGCATACATGAGAAGTTTTTATGGAATAGGCTTATATGTGGTAGATATCACCTGGTCAGAAGTCCTCAGTGACATGCCCAACTTTACCTGCAAGGGAGGCTGCAAAATGTAATCTGTATGTGTGCAGAGAAGGAAAAGCAAGGGTTTTGATAAATACAGCAGTCTCTGCCACAGAGAGTCTACAAAATCCCTAAAATTCCCATTAGTCATCCCCAAGCTGGAGAGAAGTAAAACAACAGACATTTTCTTCCCTTTTCTCTCTATTGATTAGAGGTGAGAATTTAAGTTACTCACATTCAGTGTCACATAGGTATCATGTTTCAGAGCCAGGTTTCAAATCCAGGCAGCCTGTTCCAAAATCTGCTCTCAACCGTTATGCTATATTACCAATGTACACAGGAGCCACTTACCAAAGAACAGAGGATGATGGCCTATGGATTGGACAGATCTTGTAAAAGCTGAACATTGTATTTCTAACATTTTTTCAGGATAGATTCTTAAATGTACAAATATTGGGTCATTGGATATAATGTCCAGTGGCTTTCCTGAAAAGTTGCTCTGATTTATGTCCCATAAGAAATATATGCAAGTGCTTCCCTCATCACATTATTACCAACATGGAGTACTAAGATTTATTTCATCTTTGCCAGTTATGTAGGTAGATTAGGAAGCATTTATTCTGACTGTAGGACTGGAGAAATCTTCACAGAAAAGGTGGCATCCAAGTTCATCAATGAGGGCACAGCCAAAGCAAAGTGGAATGGCCTGGAAGACCATGGGTTATTTGGGGAAGGCAAGGTAGCCTGAGCTAGCCCCAGTGTAGAGGGCTACATTATTGAGCCCTCACACTGAGATATGATTCTAGAGAACAATGAAAACCAGGGTGAAATATAATGACTTTGTCATAATCAGTTTAGAGGTGAGAGGCAATTATAGTCTAAAAGAAAGTAGCCCCCAAATAAGCTTTGAGTGAGGTGTTTGCCTATGACAGGTACATATCTTATACACATATACTTATATATATATATATATATATATATAATATATGATATATATATGCACACACACACACACACACATATACACATACACATTCCTTCCCTTGTTACCACCCTCTTCATACTATCATTTTCAAACAAGTAACCATTTTGTTTTAAAAACTGCTGAATGGGTTCATATAGGATTGTGTGTATCAGGTTAAAATACATTCACTAATGGGATGACAGGTGTGAGGGTTTTCAGCTTTGAAATACATCCAACTAAGGACATTTGCATTCTATGAGAAGTCTATGCTAATATAACATTCACACTCAGAGGAGAAGTTTAAATTGCAAATTTTGAAAAGCTTGAAGTCAGTAAATAATATTTTTGGGAGAGGAGTAGTGGTGCCAAGACAATATCAGTGAGGAAGGCTAAATGGAAGGAATGCATTTGCCAGGTGTGAATTCTCTGCTGGAGCTGAAATCACCTGTGAAGCCTGGGACCGGCAATGAATTTTGCTCCTTTCTGACAGGGGATTGCAAACTTTAAAATACATTAGCATCACCTGGAGGGCTTGTAAAACCAAATTGCTCAGCCTCACCTCCAGAGCTACTGACTCAAGAGGGTTGGGGTCAGGCCCGAGAATTTCCATTTCTAAGAAATTCCCAGGTGATGCCTGTTCCAGGAACTACACTTTGAGAACCACTGCTCTAAAAAAATGCTAATAGTAAACTTGCTGGTTAGAGAAGGTGGCAGAGAATAACTAAATAATCACAATGAAAGATTTTGCCTGTTGAAGTTCAGTCTGGCTCATGTTTCTCCATAGCTTTGAAAGGTTGCTTTATTTCTTGGAAGGACATCATGCAAGGAAGGAGCAGGGACAAGAGGTAGGTGGAGATATTTTCCTCACCCTCCCAGGGACCTGATCCTAACTCTTTCCTTTTCCTAACTGCCCGTTTAGAAGGAGAGAAATCCGACGTCTCCCAGGCTGCTGCAGCCACTGCTGAGAGCAGCATCTTATGCCAGTTTCCCCTGGCGGCTTCCCAGCCAGCCAGCCGCTCACCCTCCGTGATGATGTCAGCACTTGCTGCTTCATCACACCTGGCTGAAGGAATCAGATGAGCTCCATGGGAAGAGGCCCGAGGAATGAGCACAGTCTTGACAGGTGAACCAAAGACGCTTTTGTTTTCCAGGCTGGGGCTGGCTGCCAGGTTGTGGATTTCTGTCAGTCAGCTGGCTGCCACACTTCTTTGCTTCTCTATTTTCCCAAGGAAAAAGAAACCATTAGTGATTTGCAAAGCTGCTCCAGAGGATGTAGGGTTTCAGTGTGAGACCGAGATGGGGTTAGAATGGGGAAGCCATCTCTCTACTTTGGCCAGAAGCCTCTGACAGGAGTGGGGCTTATTAATAATTGCAGCCAAGGGGGTATGTAGACAGTTGTGCACTCTGGTAGTGAGTGGGTCCTGCCTGGAAGCTTCTGATAGAATTCCTGAGTGATGCTCTTCCAGTTTCAGTGTGGGCTGACTGTGTCCTGAAGAATGGGCTGGGAAGCAGCTTTACATTCAGCCCCTCGAGGAAGGTGACTCATCTGGGTTTGTTGCCCTGTCTGATGCTCCCCTACTTGGGACACTGGTGAGTTTTGTGCCCACTGTGATTGCTGCTCTGTACGTCTGGTGAAAATCATAGAGATATGTTTAAGAGTTAGAATATTTAAAGAAAATGTCTCCAGAGAATTTTTATCCAATCCTACTCATGTTGGATCAGCCAAGGTGGCAATGGGCTAACCTCAGCATCAGGCTGCTTCTCTCTCCATGTGGTTTGTTGGGCATGGGGGATGAGGAACTGTGTGTGTGTGTGTGTTGTGGGGGTGGCTTCCTCTCTGGATGTATTTATTCACAGATCAAAATCTTTGTAAAGGGAGTTTGTTTGTTTTTGGGTTTGTGTGGTTTTTTTTTTTTTTTTACATCATTACAATTGTTTACAGGTCTAGAGAATGGTCCTAAGAATCATTTCCTTAGGTAGAAGGGATGGGAGGGCAAGATAATACATTCTTTCTGTGGTACAAGATTGAGAAATGACCCCAGTGACTCACTGAGTTACCTGGAAAACCAGCTGAGACTGGGGGGCTTTCTTTTCTCAGCAGCAAGGGGCAACCCAAGCTCAGCTTTCCCCAGGACTTGTGGCTTTCTCTCCTCTCAGGGAGAATGAAACTCTCATGGCCCCAAGCCTTTCAGGTGCTGGGCAGAGAGTGCTCCCAGATACCTTCTGAAAATAGCTGGCACCCAAGTCTACAATGAGTGGTACCAAAATTGTCTGATCATTCCTCCACAGACAGAGCTGCTTCCATGCTTACTATAGCTACAACAAGGCTTCTCAACTGTGGTACTCTTGGTATTCTGAGCCAGGTAATGTTTTGTTATGGAGGGCTGTCCTATGCCCTGTAGGATGTTTTACAGCATCCTGGCCTCAACTCACTAGATGTCAGTAGCAGCCCTCGTCCCCAGTTATAACAAGCAGAAGTGTCTTCAGATACCACCAAATGTCCCTTGGGGATTAAAATTGTCTGTAGTTGAGAATCACTGACTTATAAGAAGGGAGGTGCAGCATGGGTGGGAATCTTCCACTGGAACAGAAACCCATTATTGTGTGGCCAGGTGATTGCCCAGGACCCAGCATACCTCCCCATGGGAGGATGGAACTTATGCCTTCTCTTCACTCACTGACCTCATGTCTTAATCATGGTTTGTCCAAAATCAGAGCCCAAGATGTGGATTCACATAATTTACTTGGGAGAACAAGAAAGCATAAGTGAAAGAATGAAAGTAAGATTGGAACCAGGAAAGTTTAATGCAATATATTTTAATGAGTAGATTACTTCAGATAGATGAGGCTTGATACCTCTTAGTAATGTTTGAGGAACAGTGTAGAATGCACTTCAAAAATGTCCCTCCAAGAATGCAATAGTTGAGGATTATCCACTCACTGTCATCCTGAAATTGGTAGAGGCTGTCCCTGAAGACATGCAGGTTGTTTCTAGTTGATACCCAGCAAGCTCAGGTGGGGCTACAAGAAAGTCCTCAAGAAGACTTGAAGAAAGATGGCAGGTGCTCAAGGTTGGAAGCTCTCAGAATGCTGGAAACTGTCTACTGTAGCTATAAGTGAGTTTAGGTGTGTTGAGAGGATCAGTTGGTTGGAACTTCAACAGCTTTCTCTATATTCTTTGTGAGTTTCCTCTTTCCTCAATATAGCGTGTTCCTTAATCCATAGCATGTGATATTGAGGAATTTGTCCCAATTTCTGGTGCGTGACAATAAGATCCACATAGGGACCTTACTTGAAGGATACTCTGATTGTTATTATGTGGGCTAAAAGGAAAGATTTCTGAATAGACCTTGGTTAAAGAAAGCAAAAGCTGTAAGAAGAAGAGAGAAGCAGCTCAGTGCTTTCTGAAAATGCCAGAGTATCTGAAGGTTTGCTTTGCAGATGGCCCTGAAAGTGTTAAAATTAATGTTTATCCCTTTCCATGTCATCTGTCTTTACAAGGGATTTGTGATTTATCAGGGACATGCCTGTGTTAAAGAGCATGTGGAACATCCCTGGGACTTAGTATGCAGACAGCATGCTTCCTAGGTACTCTGAATTCTAGCAAGTCTGTTGAAAGATGGGAATTAGAGTTATTGCTGTTTTCTGTGAATAAGGGAATTGAGATGCAATGTGGAGGGTCTACAGGGATTTCAAAGACCTTAACTGGTTTTATGAGAGGCCACAATAGCCCAGGATTATTGTTCTTGCCTGTGGGTGGACAGGTTTGAATGCCAGCTGGAGTAGTTTGAATTAGATAGGACTAGCCATAAGCTTCTGAAGCTTGCCTAGTAAGGAAGTGACATGATGAAAATGGTGGTGGAGGACTTCATTCTCACAGCTGTTGGAGGGCAATTATTTTAGTGGCTGACTGGCTGGGTGAGAGGCAAGAGAGGCTGGAGTGGGAGAGACCCACCAAGAAGCTGTTATAATAATACAGGATAAGATGGTGAAGATTGTAGAATCAAATTGAAATCCAGATAAGAATTTCAATATTCTAGCAGTCCTTTCTAGGTCTAAAAATAGTAAGGCAATCCTAGGCTGTCCTAATATTAATGTAGAGAGTGTTTTCTGAGAAGTCTCCCTATAAATCTTGGAATTATCTCATGTTGTAGCTGGAAGGATCTAGGGTCATCTACTCCAGTGGTGGCTAATTTGAATGTCTTTCGAGGCCAGACAGGTAAGGTAAATGTGTGGAGCCGCTATGGCTTTAATGTATATACCTACGTTGTGTGGGCGCGGAATGTTGGGTGCTATGCAGCGTTATGGTGGAACCAGCTCACAAGAGCCGATTGTTAAATTTTCAGAAAATGTGTAAGTTGGTTGACATCACAGTGGTAACTTGAAATTAAACCTAGCAGGAGTATTTACACCATTGAAATGGGCAAATACTACAAATCAGAGCTCCCCATCTCCCAGGACCTTGTTGTTAGACGTTTATCAGCAGCGCACCACTGGTACTGCAACAAACAAGAGCCACGTGCCCAGGCACTGCAACCTGGAAGGTCTGGTGGGAACATGGGCTATTTCCAGATGTTCTAATTTCAAGAATCAAACACCTTCATTTTATGCATGATGTAATGCAGGCCTAGGTGGGAGTGTGGCATATTTGAGGAAATCACAAAGGCCAGAGTAGAAGGAACAAAGAGACAGATCTCTCAGTCAAACAGCATGCTATTAAAACAGGTATCCATTCTCTATGCATTGCTTTAAGATAATTGGACAAAAGATACTCCACAAATATGAAAAAAAAAGAGGCATGGCATTCTTTAGCCTTAGCATGTAACATCTCTTTTATGTTAGTTATTGGGTTAGGTGTGTATGGCCAAAGAACTGATGAGATCAGGGACTACCAAGTAACAGGGGAATATTTCCTACTTCTCTAATCAGTTACTTTCACTAAGAAGCAAATACAAAAGCAAGTATAAGAAAAATTAGATACGCTGAGATTTGACTCTTAGGTGGGTATTGCAATTCTTGAGCTCCCCCTATACCTGTGGAAAGAAACAGGTGCTTTCTGTGATCCCTCTTAATTTAAACCTTGGGAGACAATTTTGCATGACTGACACAGATGGCTTATGCTTACGTTGCCTCAATACTATTTCAATAGATTGTTTTCTCTTTTCCATTAAAAAAAATTTAGAACTTCACATTATTCTAGACAACTCACAGGCAACTGGGAAAGAATCCTAAATTTAGCTAATTTCATAAAAAAGGATCTAAAGTACACTTCAGCAGCTTCATATCTGCTGAGTAGTAAAAGAAGTCTCTCCTAATTGACTGTTGTTCATGTAGAAGGTTCTGAGGAAAAAAATAACAATTAAGCTAAAAGCTACCTTTGTGTCATAAATCTAAGTACCTTGACAAAGATGACTTATTTTAAATTCATTGCAAAGAACTTTTGCAAAATTATATAGGATTTTGAAAGACTTTCTTTATACATAGAACAATATAATCAAGTAGTTAATTTCTTTCTCTTAACTTGGAAACTTTAATTAAGGTTTCCTGTTCTATAACCTTGTCAGATCACTGTCCTGGCTTGGTCTTAAAATAAGTTTTATGGCCTTGTTGACCTTCATTTACCTTAGAAATAGAAACAAGTCAACCTTCTTTCCCTCAAAGTGAGAGGAGAAAAGCTCTGTACATCTTAAAATACTGCAAACTTACTGGGCTAGTGGCTTGGAATTTAGTAGTTTTTTTAGTGTTCTCTTAGAAATGTTTGCTAGCTCATTAACCACTGCTCATGCCCTCTTTAATTGCCCTTTATCCTCACACCATTACAAGTTTTGCGCTTTCTAAAACCAGTTCAACACAGGAGGCCATCAGAAAGGAGTTATTTTATTGACTAGAAACCGGAGCCCTACTATTTATAGATCGGATGAAGGCAAGCCTTAAGGGATGGCTACACGTTCCTCACCTGGTCTCCTCTCTTCTAAGAACTTGGCACGATTGCACTTTTCAGCCCCTTGGTGGCAAGGTTGAGACCCTAGGAGCAGTTCTAAACCAACGAGCTGTGGTCAAAAGTGGTATCTGCTGACTGGCAATGTTCTGATTCATAGCTGATCTATCAGCAGGACTCGGAGTGAGTGACTTTGGTAACAGAGCATCCCCACCCCCTCCTCTGGTGCCCCACATGGATGTGTAGTATAAGCAAGAAATGAACTTATTTTAAGCCACTGAGATTTGGGCACTAGCTGTTACTGTACTGTAACCTAACCTGTCCTGAGTGATACCCAGCAGTCCTGTGATTCTGAGAAAAGTGACTCAAAGTTGAGAGAAGTGCCTTGTACCCCTGAGTGCTTTGTTGTTTTCCCAGTTATCTGATGACTGGGGTGTGAAAGCTCAGAAAGACCTTCAGTCATGCAGAAAATTTATAGTCAGTTTTAATGACTAATTCTTAACCCCTACCACCATAACCACTATGACTATTCTTTTCTCTTTCCGTTTTCTCAAATTGACTTTTGCACTAAGACTTGATCGGTGAGAAGCCAGATTGTATTTTGGATGGGGGTAAGGTTTTCAAGTTTAAAAAGCTAGTGCAAAGGCCCAGAGATGAGAAAGAGCTTGACATGTTAGTCTCAATGGAAGGGTACAAAGTATCCTATAATGTATTCTGTGGGTTCCCTCCACCCCAGGTTCTATCTCCAGAACAGTGCACTCAGTGATTGTCGGCTGCTAATGGCTCACAGCAGCCACCTTCTTTGGAGCATTGCTCTCCACAACTGGGAGGCACCAAAACCAGAAGCTTCTTACTCCTTCCCTCCCCCTTCTCAGGAGGGGGAGCCCACAGCTAATGACTGTCTGCCTTGGGGAACAAAATGCTGTACCATTGCCTCCAGGGAGGATACTTCCGCTTTGTAGTGTATGTCTTAGAGCATCTCCTCACTCTCAAACAGGCAAATCTGGATCCTACCTGAGGCTTCTGTCTCCTTTACAGTAGCAAGCAGTAAGTAATAAAGCAAGTGTCTTAGTCTATTACTGCTGCCATAACAGAATACCTGAGACGGGTAATTTATAAAGAACAGACATACATTGCTCACAGTTTTAAAGGCTGGGAGGCCCAAGATAAAGGTGCCAGGAGGTTTCTGTCCCGTGAGGGCCCAGTCTCTGTCTCTCAGATGGTGCCTTGAACGCTGCCTCTTCTGGAGGGGAGAAAAACTGTTCCTCATGTGTCAGAAGAGCAAAAGCGGAGCAATGTTGTGTCCTGACATGATGGAAAGTAGAAGAAAACAAACCCACTCCCACAAACCCTTTTTATACTGGGATGAATCCATTCATAAGGGTGGAGCCCGCATGACCTAAACACCTCCCACTAAGCCCCACCCACGAACATTGGTGTATTGGGGATTAAGTTTCAACGTGA
The DNA here is from genome assembly GCF_000001405.40 of Homo sapiens. Lineage (NCBI taxonomy): Eukaryota > Metazoa > Chordata > Mammalia > Primates > Hominidae > Homo > Homo sapiens. The sequence goes on from NC_000003.12 coordinate 28,842,300, forward strand.
GTTTTGGAGGGGACAAAAACATGCAAACCATAGCACCATCCTTGTTTAGCCCCTTTCTCTTTTCTATCCTGCTTTCCTCCTCCCATTATACTTTCGTTTCTTCAACACGTTATATGCATCCAGGTCTCTGTCTCATGCTCTGCTTCTAGAGAACTCAACAGAACACAGGTACTGTGATAGGAAAGGGTCCTGTGAGCAATATGTGAAGAAACACTGCATGCTATTAACTTTTCTTGGAAGTTCCTCATATCAAATGGGGCATTAAATCCTCTTAAGTCCTGCAACAGAGAAATTTGTTTAACCTTGAATAATCTATTTAACTTTGAGACTTTAAAGAGTTCTGATACGGAATCAGGGATCTCAGCTTCAGACCCCTGCTTTGCAGTTACTAGTTGTGTAATCTCATACAAGGTCCCTAATCCTGTTGAACTTCCTTTTCCTCTCAGTAAAATGATATTATATTCATTGCTAGTGAAAAAGTAAACATGTAAAATAAAATAGCCACTTTGTAAAATAGTTTGGCAGGTTTTTTTTTTGCAAAGTTAAACATAAATTTATAAACCACCAATACTCCTAGGTTTCCTCCCAAGACAAATGACAGACAATGTATGTCAACACAGACATACACACAGGATTCATAGCATTATTTATAATGGAACAAAAATGGAGACAACCTAAATGTCTGCCAGCTGTGGTATAGCCCCATAGTGCAATACTATTCAGCAATAAAAAGGAAAGAACTACTGATATGTGCTACAGCACAAACCTCAAAATCATTATGCTATGGGTACAAAGACAGAAATAGAAGACAACAGAGCATGTGATTCCATTTGTACAAAATTCCTAGATCAGAGGTTGCCTGGGCTTTGGGTTAGTAGTGGGGGTTGACTGCAAATGAGCAGAGGGAAACTTTTGGGAGTGATGGAAATGTTTTAAAATTGGATCGCGGAGATCATTGTGTAACTTTATAAACTTAATGACCATCAGTTGAATTTTGTATTTACAATGGCCGATTTTTATGGTATGCATGCCATACCTCAACGAAACTGCTACGACACGCTCTGAGAGAGTACTTTCTTGTTCTGACCTGCCTTAAAAATATATTTTTGCAGATATAGGAATTTGTCCAATAAAAAATAATTTTAAAGAAAAGGAAGGAGGACTGTAATATTTACCTCATGGGATTACTGTGAGGATTGCCTGAAATAAGCACTCAGTGTTTGATACATGTTAACTATTGTTGTTTTGTTATTGTAATTTCTGTTGCAGTTGAGCCAGCCTTTCCTTACTTATTTTTTTATTTTTTTTTTGTGGAACATTATTTTATTTATTTTTTTAATTTTTTTTATTATACTTTAAGTTTTGGGGAACATGTGTATAACGTGCAGGTTTGTTACATATGTACACATATGCCATGTTGGTGTGCTGCACCCATTAACTCATCATTTAACATTAGGTGTATCTCCTCACTTATTTTTAAGAGCAAAACTTATTTTTCTGGGAATATAAATATGATTGTGGGATTTTTGGGATCTGTTATCTAAGACATTTTACGCATTGGCTTTTTTCCCTTCTTAATACTCTGTGGTTTATTTTGTTTGTTTGTTTTCCTTGTAACTTACCTGGGGTATGTTGAATTGAAGAAAAGCTTTTTTATTTCCTATGTACAGACAGACTGCAAAACATGATTTTTCAGTATTTTGGATGCAATAAAATATTAGTTTGTGGGTTCTAGTAAGGACACAGAGTTCTACAACAGGTATTCCGTTCTGATAAAATTCGTATTATTTTTGAGAAATTGAATACAGTATGTTAAGCCAAATGTCTCTGAAAAACCAATACATATTTTCACTTTACATCTTTTAGACATTAGACACACCAAAAATCTCACCTAGGTGACCTTGTGTTTTTGAAAGGCAAATACATCTGCTGGTGTACTGTTTTTGGCTTAGCCAGAAATTATTGTTAATTTTGCCCCCCAAAAGGCAGATTACTAAAATACATTAGTGTTTTCAGCATGTGCAGTATAGAACAATTTAGACCAATTTAAGCCGTCAGAGTAAGATTGCACCCAAACAGAAGTGCTTGTAGAAATGAATTGACGACTCCAGTAGTTTTAAATCAATGCATGCTGGGCAATCAGACTCCCTTATCGCTCCCTAAAATGACCTGCTTAAAGGAAATTGAAGCACTGTTATAGTTGAGATAGCTGTGCAATCCACATGCTCAAAGTGGTGATCACCTTCAAATTTAAGCACTTAATTTAAGAGCTCCAATAATTTTAAATTGCTATGTGCCGCAAAGAGTGACAGACGGTTACCAGAGTGCGCCAGTATTTTTAAAACACTTCTGTTCAGTGTAATATATTTCTGTGGAAAGGTTCACAGCAAGTTGAAGCAAATTTCCAAATTAACATTGAAAAATGAAAAGCGACATAGCGACAAACTTCAGGTTGGTTTTCTTTTTTTCGTTTCCTTTTTCTTTTCCCCCAGCCAAGAGAAAGGAGTAAGCCTAGTCACTCATCTTTCCTTTGTATTGAGAGCCACAGGGATTTGTCGGGAGCTAAAAATAAGTCTGTCTTTTTAAGTATGGAACCCCCTGGCGAAGCCACACTTGGCAGCAGAATAGCTCCGTAGAGAGGACCAGGGAGAATGGCCCTTGGAGCCAAAGGGAGAGAGACAGCTTCCATTAATCCAGCTGGGCTCTGAAAATCCCTGCTTGAGTTTTGAAGCACTAGGGCAGGAAACCGGAACCTGGACCCAGGGTAGTGAAATTTACATGGTGCGATCCGGATGGCTCAGGGAACCAGGGGCTGTGTCTGGGAGTGCCTCTGTGTCCACCTGTCTCTCCTCTCCTGCCCTGAATTTCCTCTACATGTCAGGTCCTTGGCCCTGCCCTGGGCTCACCCCGCCCCCTGCAAGTTCTGTTCACTGGGCTGGGCATGCCTCTCCCCTCTTTCTTCTTGTTCCTCCTATCTTCCTTTGATGTGAAGTTCCTCTGCTTTCCTGGATATCTAAATTACCAGTTATGGCTCAGCATTCGTTCCTTTCCTTCCCCGCCTCCACATTTATTTCTCTCCATCCCATCCTCACAATAGCCTTCTAAATTTCTAATAGGGTCTAATTTTTCTTCTGCAATTGGATTCACAGCCAACAGCCTCTTTTAAACTCTTCATTAAAAATTGAAACATTTTAGAAATCTATTTTGATACACTTTTCATACAATAAAACATACCCATTTTTGTTGCATAGGTTTTGTTGTTGTTTTGAAAAAATTTGCATCTAAGTAACCATCACTACAATCAAGATGTAGAATATTTGTCACCCCAAATGTTCCTTCATCTCCCTTTGTGGTCCGTTCCTCTGACCCTGGCCCTAGGAAACCACTGATCTGTTTTCTGTCACTGCAGATTAATGGTGCTTGATTCTTCACCAATAAAATGGTGATTAGAACTTCCACTCTACAGGTTGTCCTGCGACTGAGGGGAGAACTAGTGTGTCTCAGCAACATGGTCCCTACCCCCTGGGGACTAGGGGAAGAGCCTTAAATAGCCTCCTACAGGCCTGAATTTCTTTTGAGGTTTTCTGTTTAAGTTAAAAATGTTATGCTATTTCTCATTTTGTTTAACTTACATCCATGTTTGATGTAACTTAAAAATTATATTCTAAATTACCATCCAGTAAAAAAAAAAAAAAATGCTCCTGGAAGATGTACTATATTTACTCAGTGGTTTCCAGCATGCTCTGACTTACTGATACTCTGTCTGCAATGAGGGACTATCTAGGAGGTATCTCAGTTTGGGGAGATACTTAAAATATTCCTCCTAGCCATTCCTGCCAGAGAGCTGTCACTCAGGATCCTCATTCTCTTATTAAGTTCAGTCATAAACAAAAATTGATGTAGCAGTGTGGGCCTTCTCAAAACAGTACTTGGGGAGGAAGATGGTTCAAGAAAACTTTCATTTGGCAATACAGATCCAAGGCAGAAATGGACTCATCTGTAAGCCTTACATGCTTAGAGGCTACCTTTACCTATGGAATTCTTGACTGCATTTATAGGGTTTATTCAAATATTATTATTAGTCTATATATATTGAATTTCTTGTATATGCCAGGCACTGTTCTAAGTGCACCATTGCTTTTTGCATTTAATTTACAAGATTCTGCAAAGTAGAAACTGAAATCTTCATTTTGTTGATGAAGAAACTGGCCCCTCAGAGGTATTTATCCCAAGTTACTAAAACTTGCGCAAGTACCACAGCAAGTAAGTTTGCAATTATAGCCACACTAAACCCCAAACTTATTCATCAGCAGCATCTCTGTATTAAAACACATCTGATACCAAAATAAAAGGTGGACGTCCAATGAACTATTATCTCAGATTTAGTGGGTATTTCCATTGTTGAATGAGATGCTTTTGCCAGGAGTCTGCGATGATGATGGTGGTGGTGGTGGTGTGTGTGTGTGTGTGTGTGTGTGTGTGTGTGTGTGTCTGTCTGTCTGTCTGTCTGTCTGTCTGTCATCTTCTCCTCCCCTCTATTACCCTACTTCACCTCCCTTTCCTGTCCTGGTTCAGAACTGGAAAGGATGGTTCCCTCTGGAAAGTCAGCTCTCTAGGGATGACAAATGGCTTTGATCTTCTATGTGAAAAGGGTCTCAGAAGAGAAATTGGTGAATGATATGCTACGGGGCTGTGCTGGAGGGCATCAGTCACTTGGGCTGCCTGGACACCTGTGACTAGGGCTGAAAGGGGTTATGGATTCCAGCTAAAACAGGGAGGGGTGGATAACACGACTTGATTTGAGAGGCTCGTATTCTGTTGCAGCCAAGTCGCACAGAAATAGACAGGGCCTGGCTGCTGTGGGATGCAGGGATGAGGGCACAACATGTCCTTGGTTCTAGGGAAGGATTCGGTTCCAAATGGAAGCTAAACATCTTGCCTCCTGTCTCCCTGGCAGCCCCCTCCTATCCCCATAGAGGAAGGGCGACTTTTCATTTGGAACAATGCTAATGGAGTCATTCGGGTCAGTGTCTCCGAGATAAAATCTGTCACTCCCTTCTGCAGGCTCATTATTTCTACCTTCAGGCGGCAAGGAGGCAGGAGGCAGCAGAACACAAGAGGATAGGGCTGTTCCCTCTCAGGGCGCGCTCCCTCTCGCTCCCTCTCGCTCCCTCTCGCTCCCTCTCGCTCCCTCTCGCTCCCTCTCGCTCCCTCTCGCTCCCTCTCGCTCCCTCTCGCTCCCTCTCGCTCCCTCTCCCCCTCTCCCCCTCCCTCCCTCCCTCCCTCCCTCTCTCTCTCTCTGTATGTATGTGTGTGTGTGTGTGTGTGTGTGTGCGCGCTGCGCGCGCATGATTGTGGTCTTAAAGGTGTGATGAATTACGGGCAAACCTTTTGTCTTAAACAGGGTGTCAGTGTTTACATTCTGTATATAAATTTTATTTCCCTGAAAGTCTGACCCCAACCTACTTCTGTATATGCTTTAGTACAGCCATTTAACAACAACAACAATAACAAAAGAATAAGCTGCATACAGGGCCGGACTTGGCCTGAAATTACATCCCACATAGCTCTAATTGTTCAGTAATTTAAACAGAAGAGTGGCATTATGTTGACTCGGCGATTTAAAATTATGCTAAAGCAGGATTTTGCCAGCTGGATCCTTGGCCTCGTTCAGGAACATACTTGGCTGTGTGCAACAGGGACCACTAATCCATGAGGATAGAGAAAATGAAAATTTTTAAAAAGGCAGAGTATTCTCCAAACCAGCAAACCATCACCAATCAAAGTGCTAGGATTTTATGATAAGTAGAGACCCTGTGGTTACTTAGGCAGTGTTAGCAATTTGTACTTGTATGAGAGAAAGGGCACCTGTGAACTCAGCTGTCATTCAAAGGTGAGATGCCACCTTCATTTAACAGCAAGGACAGGGGCATGCATGCTGGATTTTTCTCTCCAGTCCTTGAACAGATACAACCTTTTCTAAAAACCTGGCTCAGTTCTGCACCTTCCTGAACAGTATCCTAGGGAAATATTGGCAATTAAGTGCCCTGTTTTCATGGGCCTCTAATTTTTCTCAGCGATTCAAATTTTAATGCCCATAGGGTTTCCAAGCTGAAGGCTGACTGGGGACTTTACTGAAGTATTTTTCTTTGTCCTTACAAAGGGGGGAAGCTACTTTAGTTTCCATCATATAAATTCATATGACTGGCCATGTGGCTGCTTTAATGACCATTATCTAAGACCTTGTGGCTGTTTTAATAGCCACATGCCCCAGTGCTCCTCTCCTTACAGTCAGAGCTGATTTTTGTAAAGTGTGAATCTGGACTCTGTTTTGCCAGGTCTTCACAATTTTCATTCTGGTTTATAATCTAAAAGTTCCCAATATTTAAATATAAGGCAACCAACTGACCAACCAAACAAATATATACAACAACCAGAAAAGCTCCAGAGAGCTAGGACATTTATAGAGGCTGACAAATGATTTCTCCAGGGCAACTCTGTCAGGATATAACAGCACTATGGGCCGGATAGGGCTGGTGGATCACTCGTTTTGACACCTGTTCTCTACAGTCTTTCTGTAATTTAGACTAAGGCTAAAATGTGTGTCTTGCCTCCTCTGAAAGGGGACTGTTGTAGGTGACAGGGATACTGCACTTAGCATTAGAATTGCTTTTGGTCAGGTCGAGCTTTGGCACCTGAGTGATTGTAAGCAGGTTGTTTCTCTACTCTGCACTTTGCCTACTTGCCTTGTCAGTGAAACATGAATGAATGCTGGCCTTGTCCCTTCCTTGATGTTTTTATCCGGATGCAATGAGGAATGGATATGAAAGCACCATAATTGGTGAACTCTTGAGCACTACAGAGGATGATATCCTGGGCTGGTGGTCAAAGATTGGGGTTGTGCGCTGATGAATTTATAACTAACCAGCTGTGAGATCTGGTCAAGTTATATGATCATTCTGGTATTCAGGCTTCTTATTTGTAAAGACCAGATTTTTTGAAGGGAAGCAGTAGAGTGAATAAGAGAAGGCAAACCTGAAATCAGGTTGTAGCTCTGGCAGTTATTTACTGTGAGATCTGGCTCAGCCAAGTGATCCCTTGCTATTCATTGTGGTCCGGTGGCCTCAGCATCTCCTGGAGCTTGTTAGCAATGCAGAGTTTCAGGCTGCACCCCATATTTGCTGAATCAGAATCTATTCCCTAAACAATTTGTAAGCTCATTAAACTTTGAGAAGCATTGACTCAAGCTAGTGGAAGTCAAAATGTAGTCCTGGATGAGCAACATTATCATCTGGGAACTTGTTAAAAAAAATAACTTCTCAGAGCCCCTCTCAGACCTACTGAATCAGCAGTCTGAAGATGGGAACCAGGAGTCTGTGGTTTAATAAAGCCTTTAGGTGATCCTGATGTACACTGGTGAAGCCTATTTTCGCTTCCATTATCTCCTCATCTCTAATGTAATTGCATGAATAAATCTACCATCAGGGCATTTTAAGGATGAAAAAAATATATGGCATAGTATATTATAGTAGAATGGAATGTACTATAATATAATATGTATTTATATATATATAAAGAGAAAATCATGTATATGATGAGCAGAACATAATGTGCAGTATAGATTGGCAAATAAATTGGATACAAGGTAATTGGTAATGGTCTATACCAGTTATGGTTTCAAGCTAACAGAAGCAAACCCTGGCTAACTCAAGCAAAATGAAATTTATGGACAGATATGTTGTAGATTATATAATTAAAATTTAAAAAATGAGCCTTCATGCTTGGAAAAGGAAACAACCAGGGAAGCTCCAGGGATCTAGGACAGTTATAGCAGCTGATAAATGGTCTTTCCAGGGCACCTCTGTCAGGATGAATCACCTCTAGTTGCCTTTGGGGCCATTCTATTCAAGATCCAAATTTTTGGTAAGGAAACTGCCTGGCAGGCTTGGGTCATCTGGAGGACAAGGCCCCTGAATTGCTATGTAGTGAGGGTGGAGGAGTTTCTCAAAGGAATCTGCTATTGTTATAAAAAAAATGTGAGAATGGGAACTAGGCAAGCCACTCAACAGATACTCATTACAGATATTTCTAGCTCCAGTATTCTGAGTCTAACATTCTGCATGGACCTCAGACCTGGCACAGCAATGGGAAATCCTGAAGCAGCAAGCTAAAAGATAGGGCTGGTGCTTTCTGGAGACCTCCTGGCTGTTTCCTTCTACGCACAGCTGTGGGACTTTTCTCTTATCCAGACTGGAATAGTTTTCCTTTGGGTGATTAAAGGAGTTGTATGTGCCCAGAACTATGTGTGCTTTCACAAACACAACTGTTGGTCATGTATGTCCCTGTTCATGCCGTGAAGCGTGAGGTTTTCCTTGAGAAAGGGCCACTCCTGCCTGCTCACTAACAAAGCCAAGAAGTATACAGCAAAATATGTTAGGATGTCACATTGGACATCCTCCCTTTTCTCCCATAGTTTTATAAGTGATTATAAAGACAAGCCCATGCCCGAATTTTGCCCTATTGGCTCTATGCACCATTTGTTTTTATGAGCATTTTGCTCATGTGGGAAAAATGGCTATGCATTTCTCGGGCTCTCGCCCTGTTATGTTTTTCTCCTCTTGATTCTACCAGTTAATCACAAAAAACAACCCTTCTGAATGTGGGGTTTTCCCCTGGCATGTGTCTGTGCTATGGAACCAGTAGCTCATAATGGCCAGTCTGTGAGGGGAAGTTGGTGTGAATGCTGGCTTATTTAATGTGCATGTGAGGGAAGAAGAGGTTTCAGAGGCCTTTTAAAAGGATTGTGCTGATATCTTAAGAATCATCTGGTGCCTCATAATATTTGCTAATCAAACCACAGAAAACATGGAGAGGCTGGGAGGTTCAGTGGTTACAGTACCCACATGCCCATCAAGCAGGCTTGTCCCAGCGTTAACCATTAACTGTCTTTTTCACACATCCTGGGTAACTTGCTCTTTCTTTCATTTCAACTTATGATAGAGACATCAATAATTATCCCACAAAGTTGTAATTAAAATAGTCAGCAGAACAAGGCCAAAATAGCCAATATCAATAAGAAAATTAATTGGTCTTAGATCTGAAAGAGCATCGAGTTGCTGAGTGCAATATTAGAGATAAGTTCATGTTTGCAGGAGTAGGAAGGCTTGTGAGGTGCTCTTGTGAGAAGAACAGATAACAATGGCATCATCTTTTATGAAAGGGGTTATATTCTAGTGTCCTAATGGAAGGTAGAAATTGCATACAATTAAGATAACCTTTAGAAATCTCTGAAATATTACATGGGGTTTTGTATGTACACATATGCGGCAATATAATATGTAGTATAAATAATATGTAACATTAGATAACATTCACATTATAATAATTATGTACTATGCATATATAATGTGTAATATATATTATATTTTATATGTAATATGTTCTATAACATATATGTAGTGCATTATAAATATAGTAGTCCCCCTTATCCACAGGGGATACATTCCAAAAGCCCTAGTGGATACCTGAAACCATAAATAATACCAAACCATATATATATATATACTGTTTTCTCCTATACATACATACCTATGATGAAGTTTAATTTGTAAATTTGGCACAGTAAGAGATTAACAATAATTAGTAATAGAAAAGTTAAAACAATATACTATAATAAAAATTATGTGAATGTGGTCTCTCTCTCTCTCTCAAAATATCTTATTGTATGTAATATTTCCAGATTGTGGTTGACAGTGGGTGGGGATGGGAGTGAAGACACAAATAAGGGGAAACTGACGTACTTGTGTATTATACACACAAGTAAATATATCCTTGTGTTTATAATATATAAATCTAAGTAATACATATACACATATATATAACATATTGTATATATTATATAAATATATACTATATATTTATAAGGTATTACCTATATAATAATATACAATTGATATTAGTTAAGTTTATATTATATATGAACTTTACAAGTTTATAATGTTATAAACATACATATGTAGCATTTGTATTTGAATACATGTTCAAAATATAATTTCACAGAATTTTAATTATGTAAGCAAATCTGCTTATATTTGAATTCCCAGAAGTTATGGCACATGTGATTATCTTCTTTTTACCTCAAAGCCTTACTTGTAGAGTAGAAAGTACCTTCTCTTGGTTCCTTTTGGAATTCCCTCATTTTATCCCGGTATACAGGTATAGTCTAAGCTCAGCATTTGGTGCTATGCTGGCTTTTCTGCCCAAATGCTATGAATTTAAGCTATGCATAGATATAAAATATGTGGTCATGTTTGAAGTTTGGTTCTTTACCAATCTTAGTTTAGACCTGAGTAATTTGGGAGCACAAGAAGCCAAAGAAATTTTTAATCTGCTAGAAGTGTCTTCAAGAATGGCAATTGTTAAGTATCCATTCAAAGAAAAACTGAGTATTCCTGGCAGATGGATGATATTTTAAATCCTCATAATTTATTTACTCTTATTTTAGCCATCATAAAAATTTTAGTGTATCAATTATACACAAAACTGAATATTAAAAGCCAGAGAAGAAACACGCTGACATGTACTTATTTTGAGCCCAGTCACCTCAAATTATAAACAAGTTCTATACTATGTCTGCACAAATGCACATGTATATTACATAGCCAAGTATTATGTAAATCAACAATTATCATTGCTGCACACATTATTTTCCTACAAACTCCAACATGATTTTCATAAACAACTGTTTCTCAAACATGATGTTTAGAATTTCCCTCCCCAATGACCTCTGTTTATGAGCATATTATATACCTTTTCTTTCCATTGTAGTTATAAAGCAAAAGAGGCTACCTTGCAGAGTACATTTCTTCCTATCCTTCTTGCAGAAGATAATACACTGGTGGCATTTTCTGACTTTTCGGAATTTTTTTTTAATTTTTTCCTCAGTTTTGCTCTGGATAGACTATAAATAATTAAAATTTGTTTCAGGGTATGTTTTTTTGGAATCTATCTTTTTTTAGACTCATAACTTGCATTTGGTCATTGAAAAAGTAAACATTTGAAAGAAAAATGAAAAGATCAGGAAATATGGAGAAACAAGTTGTGTTTCAAATGAAGTTTTCCATGCAGTTCTCTCTACCACCTGCCATAGAACATTTTAAGGAAACTCAGCTGACAGCAGAATTAGTGCCTCCCAAAGGTCCCAAATGTGCACAATGTCTTCCTTTATGACAGAACTCTCTTAATTGTCATTTCAGGTTGTTCAAAATGACAGGAATAAAACAGAAAACAAGAGTTTTGTGTGGAATAAGTATAGAGTTCATCATAGCTATTAAAAATTCTAATGACATGAAAGCCAATTATTGTGAATTCAGGTGGTTATTCTGAATGTACTTAGGTACATGACAGTTGAGGTAAACATTTTGGCCCCAGACAGCTCCATTAATTAATTACTACTCAGGATTCTAAAGCTTGCTTAGCTACTTCAAGAGCTGCGTGGAATACTTATAAGATACATACTCAAGGCAAGTCCAGACAGGCAAACCAGGTACTTAATAACATTTTTCCACATACTTGTTTGACTTTTACATATTAAAGCTCTGTACAAAATATTAAAAATATTTTACACCACCTTCCATTTTTCTCTATAGAGAAATGTATATAGAAAAATCTATAGCAACTTAAAATGAAAAAAAAAATAGTGTGTCTGAAGAGGGCAGCCTTTCCACAATTTCTTGGAATTGACTCCACTTAAATACACATTACACTGGGCAGCTAATTTTTTTTTTTCATTTAATGCTTGTGACTGCTTTTACATGTGCTGGTCCTAAATCTTACTCTCCAAAAATTAGGCTCAATTCTCCACTTCATGTCCCTCCTCCACGTTTTTTTTTTTTCCAGTTTCAATTTATGTAGGTGGCAACAATATTCTTCCAAACAGAAGTCTGTATTTGAAATAATTAACTTTCCCCCAACTTACTAATGAGTATTTTAAGGGTATACAGTTGCTTTTTTAGATGAAGTTTTATAGAAGTTGTTCCTTCTTTTAATAATTATAAAATCTTTAGTTTCTTTGGGGGAAAAATTGACATACTTTTCAAACTTTTCTACACCATTTATGCCCACAAGGATTAGCTATATGATCATTTTCAAGAAAGGTCATATATGTGCTCTCTCTGACATACTCCATTCAGTCATAGAGCAAGACTTTAAACGTTTTCTACCTGTAAGCACACCCACCTTGAGAAGCATGCACACTGAGGGCAGTTTTTACCTGACAGTTAGCATGGAGGATGATTCATTGCTGGAGCTGTGGCTATGCTCTCCTCGGTACCTACGGCCAAATGGTCAAGTTGGAGCCTTGTTACAACTGCCAGTGGTTGGGTAGCTCATTGCAACTGAAGGGGAATCCGTTGCTACTTTTGCAGAGGAGAAGTTGGTCCTCCCATTTAGTTTTATGCTGAAGGTAAAGAGGTGAGAGGAAATCCCAGGATGACAGTGGAGGGCTGCGCAGTGTCTCTGGACATGTTCTTATAGGGGAAAACTTGGGAGTTTCATGTCTCTCTGTGATTAGGGATAGAAAGAAGGATCTCTAATTTTTTGAGGTGTTAATTAAAACACACTTAAAATTCAGCAAATGCCTCTACCACTTTCAATCTTTGAAAAGCTTTGTGGATTATAGTGCATTGGTAGCATTTAAGTCCAGGGAGGTCTGACTCTCCTGAGAATTCATATGGCTTTGAGGAAAATGTGATTGGGTTGGAATCCTGGTTAGGGGCAGCTACATTCCCAGAAACTGTGTTCTAGCTAGCCTGTGGCCAGATCCTTCCCATTTAATATTGTCCTCTGTATGACAGCAATATTATGAAAACACCTTGATAATATATAATGTGACATATGAATATTTAAAGACTCATGTATTCCTGGAAAGTATGACTTTAGTTCAACCTTCTCAATTTATAGATGAGTAGAAATGACTTGATTAATGCCACATAATTAGTCTCAGATCTAAAAGAAACAAAACGTTCCCAGATTTCTTTTCATATACCTTATATGGTAGGCAGCCTCCAAGATGGCCTCCAATACCTGCCTCCTGGTATTAATACCTTGGTGTAGTCAACTCCCACATTGTACCGGGATTGGTTTTCTTGGCAACAATTGCCTGCAATCATGGGTGACTAATGAGGAAATTCAAGATTTCTTTTGTTTAAAAGAACTCTGACAATGCCTGACACCACTACATGTGTTTTACAAGTTTCCAAAACACTTGCTAGAAAATCTTCAATCCACAAATCCAGCCAGTGGAATCAACTTTGAGTTTGGTTTTTGTTTATTTATATTTTTTTGGAGACAGAGTCTCTGTTGCCCAGGCTGGAGGAAAAGTGGCACCGTCATGGCTCATACCAGCCTCAGATTCCTGGGCTCAAGAAGTCCTATCTCCTCAGCCTCCTGAGTAGCTGGAACTATAGGTGTGCACCACTACACCCAGCTAATATTATTATTATTTTTGTTTTTTTGTAGAGACAGCATCTTGCTATGTTGCTCAGGGTGGTTTCAAACTCCTGGCCTCAAGTAATCCTCACCTTGGCCTCCCAAAGTGCTGAAATTATATGCATAAGCCACTGTGCCCATCCCAGCTTTGAGTTTTAAATTCTAGATATGCTAGTGTCTTGACATTTTCTGGAGGTAGTGATCCAATATGATGATTTTTACTTCACAAATTCCCAAAGTAGTGACCAATTCTCAAGTGGGAGTAGACCTAGGAAAATGTGGCAAGCAGTCACTCAATCAATCCTCCATAAAGAAGTCGCAAACCAAACACTTTTTAAGTTTTCTATCTTTGAAACTATCCTCTTTAAGAAAGTTAAGATATTACTTAAAGTCTTCATTGATACTCCAAGTTCCAAACCAGTACTCTGAAGATTTAGGGTCAAATTGTTCAGACTGATATGTTCAGGCTGATATGTACTACAAATTAGATAACTCACTTACTCAGGTGTGTTCTAAGGAAGACCAGTTCCCTGAGATGTTTAATAGGTATTCAATAAGTAAATAAGTTGAGATAAAGAGGGAAGAAGAAGATAAGTAAATAGGTTCACTCGACAAATAACATTGGGAAACTGGGTTTAACACATTGATCCATGAATAGGTCTTTGAATCAGAAATTCTCAGCGCCTTTTATATGCTAAAATGTCCAGAAATTCCTCAAGAGAGCAGTGTCCTCTGTGTTAGCTTTCCTGCTTTCCTCATACCCCAACATACAAGAGAGAGATAAGAACACTATATAAACAGCAACCTGTGGGCCAGATCTGACCCAAGAATGATTTTGCAAATAAAGTTTTATTGGAATACGGCCACACTCATTTGTTTGCATATTGTCTATGGCTGCAAATTTGAGGAATTGTGAAAGAGACCATATGGCTCATAAAGCCTAAAATATTTACTCTAGGCCCCCTTAAAGAAAAATTTTGCTGAGTCCTGAATCGGAACGTTTAGAAAGTGTAGTATTGCCTGAAACTGACCAAAGAACCATATTTCAGTAGTCCATTCTGTGGGTCCAATTTCTGTACAACACAGTTTGGGAAACAGTGAGTCAGCTCAAGCTTTCCTTATGGATGCTGTGTATGCCTCACCTTCTCTTGTTAGCTTGAAAACAGGAGTCCCTACACTGCCCTGCTATGGAGCTGGTAGAGGAGGATTTCTGATTCTCTGAGACATGGTCTGGCAGATTGAGCCCTGTAGCTAAAGTGAGTCAGTTCATTTTTGTAAGATGCAGCAAGATCAAGTTGAGTTAATAACAGGAAGCTTATTTATTTACTGAGCATCCTGTTCGCTCTTTTTAGTTTTGTGCAGAAAGGGAGCTGGAGGTTACCTTGTGCTCACGTCTTCGGGGACTTATGGCTGGTTCTGTCTCCTTGAAGAAAGTGACTGCAAGACATGTTAAATAACAATTCAAAAATTCAGGGAATTAATTTTTCTGGAAAGACCTAAAGGGGGAAAAATCCTGAAACTCCTGTTTTCTGTGTTTCAAAAGAATAATGTCTTTCTTTCCCCTAGGAATGATTCACTGGATGCTATAGGCTTTCTACAGACTTTTACTTGTACCACAGTTAAAGGTGAATAGTGTTTCTGCGAATAAGGTTCATGAGTTATCTGTTGCTGTAGATAACAAATTACCTTAAGAATTAGCAGCCTTAAGCAACATTATCTTACATAGTTTCTGAGTGTAGATTGGGTAGCTGGCTCCAGCACAGTGTCCCTTTTACGGCTACAGTCAAGCCATTAGCTAGTGCTACAGTCTCAGAAGACTTGATAGGCTAGAGTATCAGCTTTTAAGCTCACGCATGTGGTTGTTTATAGGAGGCTTTAATTCCTCACCATATGGGACTCCTCATAGGGTGACCCATGTTGTAGCTTTTCCCAGAGTAAATGATAGAGAGCGTACCCAAGGTGAAAACCTTAGTCTCTTCTCTCCTGGTCTAGGAAATGACATACTATCATTTTTACAGTATTTTATTGGTCGAATAATATGGGAGGGGCCTACAGAGAGGTGTGAATACCAGAAAGCAGCGGTCATTGGAGGGCACCTTAGAGCCTGGGTCCCACATTCTGGTTATTTAAAGCAGTCTCTGCGATGAAACCTCTTAGCCTTTACCTCTTCCGTCTGGCTTAGGATACTGAAAGCCCAAGGCTAGCAAGTTGGGCCTAACATCTTACATGTGCCTAAAGTCAACCCTGCACATGTAAGACCATTGATAGCCCACAGGGCACCTTTTTGTAAATGAGAAAAAGGTACCCTTCCCAAGATATTTTACTTCCACCGGTTGGACAATTGTCCTAATATGCCAATTTTATTACAGCAAGGCACTTTACAACTGCTGGAAGAGTGTTGTAATATACCAAGGTATAATTTTTTTATGTTGTGAATGGCTCCCTCATGCAGTACACAACATGCACAGCCTGTGTATGCTATGGTCTTGGCATATGGATTCTAGCTAACTGTACATTTAAAACAGCTAAGTACAATGACTGCCACATCTTGACCACAGTCTTTCTAGAATCTTCCAAATGGGCTTGATCTCTCACAGTGCACCCATAACACTTAAGAATTAGGGCAGTTATATGCCCTTAGTAATTACATATTCTTCCTTATAGTAGAGTTATGTATGTGTTAACCTCCCTCACTTAACTGTAACCTCTTTGAGGGTAAGAACTGAGTCTCTTCATTCATTATTTCATTCATCTCATATATACTGAGACATCGTTACTGGTAAAAGTGATGGTTAAAAAAAGGGTAACCCCGGTCTCCTGGTACTTAGATTCTCATGTAGGACATGAACAATGTCAAATAAAACAAATATGCGAACAAGATAATTTCGAATAGTGATAGGTTCTGTTAAAAAATTATGACACGGTAATAGGATAAAGACTGATGACATTAGGCTTACTTGTTCTTTGGGGCAGAGTGGGAGGAGGAAGAGGTAAAAACCTCTCAGAGGAGAACCCCAGCATCCTTGTAACCCCTGTTGCTAACAGAGTACCTTGCAGATACTAGATATGGAACAAAATTGTTGTAAAGTTAAAGTGAAGTGGGGTTCAAAGAACAAGCAAATAAAAACTCGGCAAGGAACATTTGGATTTCAGTAAATATGTGCCATATTTTAACTCCTAGAGGAAGATGGAGTCTCTGTTATTCCACATCTGCTTTTTATAAGCAAAGCACAAAGGCTTGGTTAGGTCTCCTTAAATAAGACTCATTTATTTCTCCTCTCTCACTGGAAAATAAGTAAAACCAAGAGGCAAAATCTACTGAACATAGTTACCAAATCAATCTTTACTGGTTAATTGTATTGAGATTTTCTCCCTTTTATATTTGTGCTGAGGCTAGCTTAGATTTATTTTATTTTGCATTTTGTATTGGAATGAGGCACAATGAGTAACTTGTCCAGTTGCAGATTTCGGAAGGAGGAACGTGGAGATTTCGGAGGCAGTCCAGAGGAGGGCAGTGAAATGGCTGAAAGTCTGGAAACTAGGGCTCACTGAGAAAGGTTAAATAAAACGGATTGATGTAATCATGAGAAAAATGCCAAAGGATGCTTGGCATTAAAAAGAGATAAAGAATATGTGAGCTGCTTGTCATAGCTTTAATGATCTGGGGCTTTATTAAAACTGGAAAGATTTAGGTCAGCTTTTATGTAGCATGTCTTTCCCAATTGTTGGAAGAGTCTCCATAGTGTTAAGAATGTGATGGAACTCCTTGGCTTAGTGAAATGAATCTAGAGTTCTTGCGTTTCATAACTGAGCTAGATAATTTATTATTAAAATGAGAGAAATTAGTTCATAATTGTGTTTATAAAGGATGGGGAGGGTAAAGATTGTTTCTTATATATCTCCTGGACACTAACTGCATAGGCTCTCCATAAATGCTGAAGATTTATTGGTATAGCAACACATATTGGAATATTTGTTCCAGAATATCACAGCTATAATGAGGAAATCTTGCCATTCTTTTAATAGCAAAGCTGATAAAGAAAGTCCAGAACTTCACTCCACCTTCTTTTTCCTTATCAGTTTCCTTTTTCTTAGTTTGCCTAGTATGAGTACTTGTGGCTTGTGTAGCTACTTATTATTTAGGTGAACATGGGTAGAGTCTTACTACTTATAGTTAACAAAGTCTCTTACCCTGGAAGAATAATTTTTAAGTCAGCTATCCATATCTTGCTTATTAAAAATGTCACTGCTGTCTAGGTCATTTGCTCTTTTGGTGTTGTTTCTTGCATGATTCACTTCATTGGAGTTGGAAATATGTTTTTCCAGCTGAAATTAAAATCCCAAAACTTATGCCATCCAGAGTTCAGTTTGCCTGAGCAAACCATGTTGGATCCTGGATCATATTTGTCAATTACTTTTTATGCTAAGATGTTAAATGCAGATGTTCAGTTGGCACCTTTCAACACTATTTATTGGTTTTTCATTTTTCTTTCTTCAAATATGCTCAAGGCTTAATGTAGTAATACCAGGAAAAGCTCCAGTTACTGAAAAATATACATGTTCCCAAGGTTCCTTATCTTATGGTGATTGGCAACTAGATTTGGGAGAAGCTGGCCAAGCAAAGGACAGTTGTGGGATGGAGTACAGCGGCTGCCTGGTTGGCTGGCAGTCTCGCTGCAGCAGCTGGCATTGTTCCTCAACTCTAAATTGCCATTGAATTTGGTCTGTGTTCCAGACTTTGCGCAACACTTCCTCTTTTTCCTTTGTTTAACAGAACACCCTGTTAAAAAAGATCTTCCTAATAGCACTCTCTGCATGCTTTGTCACCAAAATGTTCTACACTCTCTTACTCCTGTATTCCCTGTATGATATAAAGTACTTGGATTTCCACAAGCTTTACCAGCCCGAAGAAGGGAAAGAGAAGATTCAAAGTAGTGTAAACATTTTAATCTCAATATTTCTTCGATTTCTAGTTCCTCCTAGCTTTTGTAGATCATTTAGTTCTTTCAAAGTTATTCCACAGTATTCCTGAGACTTCTCATGCAGTACAACATGTGCCCATTAACCAACACTGTCGACTTTAAAGTGGTAACTGTCATTTTCATTATTTCTTACCCTAGCAACTTCAGCAAATGATATTTTCTAAGAAGCCATATTGTAGAGCTCCCCATGCTGATATTTTGAAGTCTAGGCCAATGGTGCTACACTTGCTAAGAAATTACAGAAGCTATGGGGGGCTCTCAAGCTTCACCATTTTTAATGCATACTTGCCTTCAAGAATGCCATTTCCATCACCACTGTCCCTATTGAAGCTGTCTCCTGTTGATATATGCCAAAGGTAAATAGGGTTGTTTACCTGAAGCTGTTAATTAATTAGTTTGATGTTCACTGGGAACTTACTAAATTCCAGGCACAGGCATGGCTGGTTACAGGAGTAAATAAGACCCAGCCCCAGCTGTCACTCCCACCTCTTACCATAGGTTTGTGAATGTGTACTCTAAAGAGGGAGCTGCATTTAGAAGGCAATTCTAAGACAGTGTGATAAGAATTTTGATAAGGGGTAAGCACGGATGTGTTGGAAACAGATCAGAAGGGCAGCAGCCATTCTTGATATTAGGGGTTTTCCCAGGGAGGTGAAGTGGGCTGGGGTATCTAAACTAAAGCCCTTGCTCAACCATTTAATTGGCTTGTGGTTCAAGGTTCAATCTATATCAGTAGATTAAAAATCAGATTCTTTTTTCCCAAGCGATTTCCCACAGTTTCCTGAAATACCTCTCTGGAGTTTGAGTGTTCAATTTATCTGCTTAGAGAAAATTGTTATCAATAATATCCCTGGGACCTTGTCCTTCAGTGAATACATGTGGCTGTAGAAGGATGTGTTGGGATTATTCTGGAATTTTTCTTTGCTCCTAAAATTTAGTATGAATCAATTGAAGAGCCTCTTAAAAATGCAAATTGCTGGATCCTACTCCCAGAGATTTGTAAATTCCTGGGGTCAGATAATTTGCATTTTCAACCAGCATGCCTCATTATTCTGATCTGGGCACTGCTCTTTGATTAACCACTGGCTGCTAAGAACACTAGTAGGAGTAAAATTAGGATATAAACAATTTTTTAGCTAGTTTGTCAGTTAATTTTATTTTTGTCTAAGCTGACACCCAAACCACATATTATGGGTAGTTTTTTTTTTTTTCAAAAACACATCAAAGAAACCCAACCAGATATTATGATTTGTGATATGAGATTGATTTTTTTAGTAGTCATATCCATGAGAGATACCACGTAATTCTGAACATTATGTCCTTAAGCTTATAATTAATGTTGGTCAGTTATTTTGTTGTTAAACTACTGCCTTTTACATTTGTACTTAGCACTAGAAAGGACATGAAGTATGTGAATGATGGTAGATGCAATTACCATTATAAAGTTGATAATACTTGAGTCAATGCTGAAATGCAGTGTGACCTTTAGGAAAATGTTACGTGTGGGCATGGAAGTATTGTGACACTTCTTAGGAGAGACGGAAGTGCATTTCATATTGAGTTATGATTGCAATCAAATCCACAAGTGCCCATCTTTTGCCCTTCCCATTTCAAGATTACTTGATAACTTGGATCATATGCTGCAGGCCACACATCTCACTTTTCTTTAAAATATGTTTTGAATGTCAGCACTTGTATCTTGACTTTGATTACTGTAATTTTATTTTGATTTTAAAAAAAGCCAAAGCTTTGTTTTTCTGATAGTGAAGGTAAAATTTATAGTTACAATTTCAAAAATCCATATTGTGGCTTTAAACAATGATGAGATATGTTCTCAAAACATAATGCCTCAAAAATTAGTCTGATAGTGAATTCCAAAATCTTATGATTTAGGGAGACTTAGAGAGTCTTTGCTAAAGCCCAGATTACTGGGCTGGAAAACCAGCTCACAGTCTCTTTCTAAAAATTCAGGGAAGCTGGAATCTGTTAAACTATGCAGTTAAGGGGCTATTTTGAATTATTAACATTTCCTAGTTAACTGGGGTTTAAGACCACATTTCTTTGGTATTTTTAAAAACAATATTGAAAGGAATCTAATCTTTCCATGGAAATTCAATGTTGCCACTATATTAGTAATCATTTAAACACTCTAAAAGTGTAGAATCATTAAATTGTACAGATTTGGGGCTGGGTTAATTAGCCTGAGGACCATTTAATTTAACCTTATTTCACAATTAAGAAAATGAATATCAGAGAAGGTACACGATCATTTAGTGGCAGAGTCTGATACATCTGAGGTTCATTCCTGTTGTGTCTCGCTAATGAAATACGGTTAAGCTTTTGGTTTAACTTTTAGCTACTACCTTGTTAGTTCTTCCTTTATCCGTATTAAAAACCAAAATACTTTCTCACACTTTGTGCTAGGGTCCAATCTCATTAGCCTCAGTGGTGGAGGGAGGGATTGGGAAGGCCTGAGAGTTAAACCCAGCCCTGCCTTCTCAGATGGGCAGATGCTAGAGGAAAGTCGAATCGAGCCGGCAGAACACAGCATTTACCCACCATGCCAACCTCTCTGTGGCAGAGTTTCAGGAAAGCTGTCAGAATCAGCAAAGCCCAGCACAGAATTACATAGGAATCCTGAAAGGCAGATGGAACGCAGTGATGGTGAATACAAGAATTGGCAGTACGGTATTGGTCTATTGATCATTTTCCAAGCACACGAAGCGCTTTCACATCTTCATGCCTCTGTCATTCTGTTCTTTCTGCCTAAAGCACCCACAAGTTTCTGATGAATCAAATTCCTATAATTTGACTCTTAATTTGAATGAGAGACGAGAGTATATCATTAAACTCTGCAACTAACAGAAAATGTGATTATGGTCATTTACACAAGGAGGATTTAGGCAAAAGTAGCAGCCTGAAGCTTTGCTTCAGCTGGTCAACAAGATTAGGGGCAGCCTGTCTGCTCTGCTCTTGGCTTTTTCCTCGTGGTTACAGAATGATTGCTCTAGCTCTGTGTAGCATATCTGCATTTAGAGAGGGAGAAGAATGATGGGATGGTGCATGCCTTCTCCTTTCCCTCTCACCAGGAAAACAAAGAGTTTTCTAGAACTCCCCCCAGAAGAATTATACTCATGTCTCATTGGCCAGAGCTGTGCCATGTTACCATTCCTAGAGAGAAGGAATGCTGAGAAACTGAGTAGTCAGCTTTCTGGTCTCTATGATGGAAGCAGACACCAAAAAATTGTGTCAAGAATGGTTTTAGATGAGCTTGTGGCATTGTACAAGCCCACAGAGGTGATAGCAATGATGTAGTCAGGTCTTTCCTAAGATGAAGGATCTCTTTATAACAAAAATATAACTGAATCTCAAACAACCTCGTTTATTAACTTGCACATTTGTATACCAGTTTTGTTTCAAGTGGAAACCTATAATAATGTGGCTTCTTTTCTGCTTGTTGAATTAATCCATTTTTTTTTTTTTCGAAAGTGAGTCTTGCTCTGTTGCCTAGGCTGGAGTGCAGTGGCACGGTCTCGGCTCACTGCAACCTCTGCCTCCCGGGTTCAAGCAATTCTCCTGCCTCAGCCACCCAAGCAGCTGGGACTACAGGCATGTGCCACTATGCCCAGCTAATTTTTTGTATTTTTAGTTGAGATGGGATTTCCTTGTGTTAGCCAGGATGGTCTCAATCTCCTGACTTTGTGATCCACCTGCCTCGGCCTCCCAAAGTGAATTAATACTTTATATGTGCAAAGATCTTTACCAAATGCTTCGTATCTATTATATTTGAGCCTCACAAAAATCCTGTGATATAAAAATTATTATTCCGGCCGGGCACAGTGGCTCACGCCTGTAATCCCAACACTTTGGGAGCCCAAGGCAGGCGGATCATGACATCAGGAGATCGAGACCATACTGGCCAACATGGTGAAACACTGTCTCCACTAAAATAAAACAACAACAACAACAACAACAAACAGGCATGGTGGCGTGCACCTGTAGTCCCAGCAACTTGGGAAGCTGAGGCAGGGGAATCGGTTGAACCCTAAAGGTAAAGGTTGCAGTGGGCCGAGATCGGAGATTGCACCACTGTCCTCTAGCCTGGTGATAGAGCGAGTCTCCATAGCAAAAAAAAGTTAAAAAATAATAAATAAAATTATTACTCCTGTGTCATAGAAGAAAAAACTGATGCAGAGAGAGCTTGGGTGACTTGTACCACATAAAATAACTTATACAAACTGAGACTTGAATGCGTGTATTTTGACTCTAGTATCCATATTATTATATTTGCTGAGGAGAATGTTTTAAAAGAAATAAAAGGGAAAGATTAAGTTCAGACGGAATTTAAGATGTGTTCATTTTTGGAGCTGTAGACACTGAGTAAATAATTTGTTTAAAGAAACATGAAGTGTATTCCGCTTGTATGACAGCAGGAATTTTTTTTTTCTCCTCAGAGAACTTCAGCCAACAAGTCTTCAGGTGCTCCTTCCTATAGCAGATGGTCCAGTTCACAGCCACATCAGGTAATAGGCTCTTTTTAAGAAACTTGACATGCTTGTTTTCCTTGAAGTGCACTTGAACTGTCTTTCTTTCTTTCTTTCTTTCTTTCTTTCTTTCTTTCTTTCTTTCTTTCTTTCTTTCTTTCTTTCTTTTTTTCTTTCTTTCTTTCTCTTTCTTTCTTTCTCTTTCTTTCTTTCCTTCTTTCTTTCTTTTTCTTTCTTTCTCTCTTTCTCTTTCTTTCTCTTTCTCTCTTTCTCTCTCTTTCTCTTTTTCTTTCTCTCTCTCTCTCTTTCTCTCTCTTTTTCTCTCTCTCTTTCTCTTTCTCTCTTTTTCTGTCTCTTTCTCCCTTTCTTTCTTTTGCTGGGCAAGTATGGAAGCTTTTGGGCTCTTGTTTAGTCTCACCTCAAATGTGGCCTCTCTTGACAAAGGGCTGTGCAGTTCATTCATCATCTGCGTCAAGTTTAAGGTCAGGGCTGTGAACGTGATGGTGACAGGAAGGTAGGCGCCTAGAAGATGTGAGGTTCCATGTTCAAAGCCCTCCACAGTGAATAGCATAGATAAAATTAATCCAGCAAATATCGAAAGTTAAGTTTGCCTTGTTTTTCTTTGACAAAAAAATTTCTCTTCCATTCCTTTTATTCCGGAAAATTGTATAGGCACCCATGTGTATTTGCATGGAACTGTGTGGTACATGGTGTCTCTCTCTGTGAGTTTATGTACCAATATATTAAGAAAAGACACTAATTTTACGAAGAATTACTTTTTTGCCTAGTTACTCAGGCTCATTAACAACCTCTACTCAGGTCAATTAATACTGAATATTATTTGCCTAAAGGGTAAGTTAAGCCAGCAGAGTGATGTTATATCTCTCCGTGTAAAGAAAACCAGATATTTTCTGTTAGTGAGCATTTTTACAGGTGACACACTGTGACCACGTGGGCTTCTGAGTGGTCTTCTGCTTTTTGAAATCACATGATGAGAGAACACTAACTTTGGACTCTAAAAGCTGAGTAGGATATGCATTCAAATCACCTACTAGTTATGAGACCAAGAAGAAAACAACTCTCATTTATCTTTTGGTTAGAATTATCTCTAACAAAGTGACCTTTCAAGTCACTTCAGCTTCTGCAGTAATTGTAAGAAGGCACATTATAAATAATTTATATTTACTCCCCACTCCTATTAACTTTTGTCAAAATTCAGCATTGGTGCTAACTTACTCCAATGGCAGCATGATATAAGAACTCTTTCTGTATGCTCTTTTTAAACTTTTTTCTTTTTGCAATTATAAATTGCCATTTGTCAATAAAAAAAATGGTAAAGAAAATTAATGAGAAGAATAAATTCTACCGCTATGCAATATTTTATCTTAGAACCTATTTTGACATTGAATCGGTTGGTAAAAAGAAGTTGATGTGATGGCTCTGCCTCCGTTGGCATCAACTTTGTGTGGATGCTGTAGGTTCTGGTAATTTAAAAGGATATATTGCTTGACGAATGTGAACTGAAAAAGCTGGTGGCACAAAAGAGGGGCAGTGGCCCCAGTAGACAGAAATTGCTTTGACTATCCAGGTTTCATTTACTTCCTACAGAGTGGACATAACCTGAAAATGCACAGTTGGTTATGAGTTGGTAGTATTTCTGATTTCTATTCTCAGACTTTCTAGGGACTGAATTGAGCAAGTCACTACTCATCTCTGCACCCACTCCGAAAAAGTCCTAGGAGGTATTTTAATTTAATCTTTATGATCTAAGAAAAGTGAGACCTAGAGATTATACTGTTCAAGATTATATGAATTCAGTTGTTCTAGAATTCTATGTTCTTTTCTTAGAACTTACTTAATTTTGCAAGTCAATAAGATCCTTTTGGGAACTTCCCAGTGAGATAATCTAATATTATCTTTTTGTGAATCTGTGCTGGTCCTGGAAAGCTCTTCACATGATGCAATGAAATGAGAAAAGTGAAGACAGGGTAGTCCTTAATAAAATTACCTTTATTTTTATAAAAGTATAAATATATTGGATGGTATATGTGTCATTTTAAATATCCTAGGTGAGTTAAAGTGTTGACCATTTTATGTACATTTTCCAATGTTTTCTCTTTGAATACTTACAGGTCTGTGAAATTCAAGAGTGGAATAGGTACTAAAAGTGGGTTTCCTTTTTACCCTCTCAAGTGTCGGAAGAACTGTGGTTATATTGGGAGACTTTCAACCTTAGTTATGCCTTTTTCATTGCGGGACATAACTGGGTGGGATTTTCAAATGGTACTCTGTCTAAAACTAATATTGGTGTCATCTTTTTGGTATTGAGGGTTCCCTTTTATTCTAAACAAAAGGAGTGGTATGGTTCTTTATATTCCTTTAGTTTCCTTGGCAATTGCCTATTGTGCTGGACCTTTGCTCTTTTGCTTGCAGATCCATTCAATGACCATCCCTTGACATCTACCTTCCCAGGCTCCCCTGCTAACTGACCGCCAAATAGGTTTTCCCAATGGGAGACCTTAGTGGGACTTAGGAAAGAGATAGGAAGGACAAAACCAGGATATTTATTTCCCTCTCTGTCTGCTTTTGGGTAGTATCTCTCTATAGTCTGGGTAGACCAGCTCCTGTAAGACAACCCTGTTTTCTAGCCCCTGGAGGCAATCCCCTTTGTCCCCTCAGCCCTAAGGGAGGCAGCTGCTTTCTTCACCTGTTGACTTTTTAGCTCTCACAGCACACTTGTAACTAGTTCCCTGTATTAAATTCCTTCTCTTGGACGCCTGGTATGGTCTCTGTTTTACTGACAGCTTTTCAGCTGTTCTCTGAATGATACACCTACTGTTGTATATGCACTTCATTCTTTTGTTCTTGTAACAGTGGCGTTTGTTTTAGAAATGTGTGAGTATTTACAGGATCACAGCCTTGCAGCTGCTGAAAACTCTGAGATTTATTCTTCTGAGCTGGCCTGGTGGGTAGTAATCCTTTTACCTCCCTATTCCATGCAGAATAATTATTCTTCTTTGTTACTCATACTCTAATCCGCCCCTTTTAAATTTGTGTTTATTAGAAGAACCTTTGTCTTTTGTGTTTGCGATAAATAAGCTTATTGGCTTCAGTCTTTGAAAATTACCTACACAAATTCTCAGCCTAAGGTTGAAAGCATAACTGCCAGCTCAATCCCAGATTCCAGCTGCTATGTTCTCCTTTGACTTTTGGCATCTGCAGAACATTTTTTTTTTAATTGAGTCATGGATTTTTTAAAAAACATTTACAAGATTTTATTACAGAAATTTTAGGTGTACAATAAAGTAAAATTGAGTAATGAGCTCTCGTGTATCCATCATCCATTTTGAGCAAACATTAATATATTGCTGTTCTTGTTTTTTTGTTTTTTTCTCTTATTAATATATCATAGTTGTACATATATTAGGTGTACATGTGATATTTTGATACATGTATACAATATATAATAATCAAATCAGGATAATTAGGATATCCATCACCTCAAATATTTAGTTTTTCTTTGTGTTGAGAGCATTACAATTCTTTCTTCTAGCTATTTTGAAATACACAATGTTATAATTTCCCTGCTATACTATCAAATGCTAGAACTTATTCCTTATATCCAACTTCATTATTATACCCATTAACCAACTTTTCTTCAGCATTCCTCGCCTTTTTTTCCTTCCCAGCTTCTGGTAACCACCATCCTACTCTCTACCTTCATGAGATCCACTTTTTTAGCTCCCACATATGAGTAAGAACATAAGAACATGTGATATTGGTCGTTTCATGCCTGGCTTATTTCACTTAACATAATGACAACCAATTTTATCCATATTGCTGAGTCATGGATTTATATTCACCAGAGTTCAAGTGGATCTTGTCCTATTTGTAGAATACTGGTTGTAAACCTCAGATAGATACAACATAGATACAGTAATGAGTAAATCAGTACACAGGCAGATACCTGCCTGTTTATAGCAGTGTGCTGGTATGAGAATTAATAAAATCACCATACCTTCATATTCATTATCATCATAGCTAACATTTATTGAACATTTACTATGTGATGTCTGCTAATTTCTTTGCATGCACTGTCTCATTTAATCTTCCCAATATCTCTATAATAAATATGCAGTATTTTACAGATGAGAAAACTGACTTAATTTGTCCAATGACACAGAGTTAGTTCTGTCAGATTACAGTGCCCTAGTCTACTAAGTGGTAGGCAATATTACCTCTCTAAAGATTTTAGAGTAATTTAAGGCCATTGAAAACCATTTTAACCAATAGTTATGTTTTGAGCTAATCAGAACGTGACATTTTTGTATTTCAAATACTATTTCTACTTTGAAATTATTTTTGCATGATTAATTTTCTTTGTTGAAAAAAGCTTATATTTACTTGCACACTATTTACAAATAGATAACTTTCAAAGCATAGACTTTACCATACTTATTAATACATTTTGTTTTAAAATGTACCTTTTGGTGCTTTGTTTGAAATGATTTGAAAACACATTTGTAAGAAAGTGTTATTTTTCCCCTTGTTTTGCATTTTGTCAGGAATGCATCTTAAAGTTTTATATGCTTACAGATATCTGCGCCAAATAATCATTAAGCACCACACTTTGAATAAAGAAAACCGACAAGTGAGTGTGGTGACTGGCTGAAAAATAAAGTGATAAATTGAAATTATGATAAGTTTTCTATACATACTGTATACTTCTCTGTAGAAATGTTTCTGATGTCCTATCATCCCTCTCATATTCAGAAAATTTCTTGTGAATATTAAATACTTTAGCTTACTATACTTTATAATTTAAAAGTTTTTTTCTTTAGATAATTGGCATCAATCCAAGCATTGTGTTCTTAAAACCCTCAGTGTAAAGTTTTGGTCAATAATGATCAACCTATTGATTGACGACTCTTTAGCTCTTTAGAAAACTTTTGTTTAGAATAGTCTTTGATAGGTGAGAACCTTCAAATGTATCTCATTAAAATGAAAAACCAGTGATTTTTTTTTAAAGACTGTAATGTGTTAAAGAGTAGCAATTGACTCAAGAAAACCCAACTAGATATTTCAGTGTCATTATTTTCTAGTAGTAGATAGAATTGACAGAATTCAAGGCCGATAGCAGAAGTTTTAGGCTTCTAAAAGGATTAGTGTTAAATTAGGGAAAAATAGAGGATTCTACTGTTTTTACTGTGTTTGTATAGTAAGAGAAAGGGGAATGTGGCCTGCTGATAAAAGGCTATAGTGAATATTTTTCCTGGATTTTCTTATATATTATTTTTATACCTATGTATCTTATACTCGCCATGGAGTAGAAGCTCATGAAGTTATTTGATGAATGAATGAATGAGTGAATTATATGAAATAACAGCAGGAATAGCATGCAGAAAGGGGAACCTCAAATCCATATTTATTTATTTTTCTTCCCTCAAATCATTAGTTTCCATTTTCTCCATAACCAAGGCTCACATGAAAGCTGATAAATATGAATTGATCAAGGTGAAATCACTATCATCACTTCAAGCATTGCTGTGGGAAAAGTAGAGGCTGCCAGAGAATAGAGTAGTTTATACTCTCAATCATCGGTCAATCATGATGTTCTGCATTTATAATATCCATGTTATGCATTTGGGATTCATGTGGTGGCCATGAGATTTCAATGATGAAACACTAATATTGTGATTATGTGTATGATTGCTTGGTGCTGTGGTATCCATAGAGATTAATGTGAACTTCCAGTTTATTTTGGTTCAGGATTCTGAGCAAAATTGACCACTTTCATCTGTGTGTGAGTTTTTTTGGTGGAGTTTTTAGGTTATTCCACATGTAAGATCCAATCATCTGCAAACAAGGATAATATGACTTTGTCTTTTCCAATTGGAATGGCCTTCATTTCTCTCTTTTGTCTGATTGCTTTATCTAGAACTTCCAGTACTATGTTGAATAACAGTGGTGAAAGTGGGCATCCTTGTGTCTTATTCTGGAGAGGCTTTGTTTTTTTGTCTTAGAGGAAAGGTTTTCAGTTTTTCCCCATTCAGTATGATACTAGATTTGTGGGGCTTTCATATATGGCTTTCATTGCATTGTGGTATAGTCCTTCTACACCCAGTTTTTTGAGGGTTTTTTTTGTTTTTTAACATGAAGGGATGTTGAATTTTATCAAATGCTTTTTCAACATCAATTGAAATGATCATATAATTTTCATCACGTATTCTGTTGATATGATGTATCACATTGATTGATTTGTGTATGTTGAATCATCCTTGCATCCCAGGAATAAATCCCACTTGGTCATGATGAATGTTCTTTTTAATGTATTGTTGAATTTGGTTTGCTAGCATTTTGTTGAGGATTTTTGCATCAATATTCATCAGGAATATTGGTTTGTAATTTTCTCTTTTTGATGTGTCTTTGGTTTCGGTGTCATGGTAATTCTAGCCTTGCAGAATGAGTTTCAAAGTATTCCATCCTCCTCTAGTTTTTGGAAGGTTTGAATAGAATTGGCATCAGCTCTTCTTTAAATGTTTGGTAAAATTCAGCAGTGAAGCCATTGGGTCCTGGGCTTTTCTTTGCTGGGAGACTTTTTATTACAACCTTGAACTCATTATTATTATTGGTCTTGTCAAGTTTTAGATTCCTTTGTGGTTCAATCTTGGTAGGTTGTATGTGTCTAGAAATTTATCAGTTTCTCCTAGGTTTTCCAATGTATTGGCATATAGTGGCTCATAGCAGCTCTAATGATCCTTTGAATTTCTGTAGTAGTACAGAAATTTCTGTAGTGAGGTTATAATGTCTGTCTGTCTGCCTCTCTTTCTCTCTCTCTCTCTCTCGACGGGGTCTTGCTCTGTTGCCCAGTCTGGAGTGCAATGACGCAATCTTGGCTCACTGCAACCTCTGCCTCCTGGGTTCAAGCGATTCTTCTGCCTCAGCCTCCCAAGTAGCTGGGATTACAGGCGTCTGCCACCACGCCTGGCTAGTTTTTGTATGTTTTGTAGAGACGGAGTCTCACCATGTTGGTCAGGCTGGTCTCGAACTCCTGACCTCAAGCAATCCACCCGCCTCACCCTCCCAAAGAGCTGGGATTACAGGCCTGAGCCACTGTACTCGGAAGTGATGCCTCTTTTAAATCTCAGATTTTATTTATTTGGGTCTTCTTTGTTTGTTTCTTAATCTGGCTAAAGCTTTGTTGCTTTTGTTTATCCTTTCTAAAAACTTATATTTTGTTGATATTTTTTATTTTTCATTTCAAATTCATTTATTTCTACTCTGACCTTTATTATTTTTTTCTTCTACTAAATTGGGGTTTGGTTTGCTCTTGCTTTTCTAATTCTTTAAGATGCATCATTAGGTTGTTTATTTGAATTTTTTCCTACTTTTTGATGTAGGCATTTATTGCTATAAGCTTTCCTCTTACTACTACTTTGCTGTATTCTGTAGGTTTTGGTATGTTGTCTTTCCATTATCATTTGTTTTAAGACTTTTTTTCAATTTCCTTCTTAATTTCTTCATTGACCCACTGGTCATTCAGGAGATATTGTTTAATTTCCATGTGTTTGTATAATTTCCAAAATTCATCCTGTTATTGATTACTATTTTATTCCATTGTGGTCAGAGAAGACATTTGACATACTTTCATTTTTTTTGAATGTTTTAAGACATCTTTGTGGCCTAACATATGTTCTATCCTTGAGGATGATCCATGTGCTGAGAAAAAGCATGTGTGTTCTGCAGCCATTGGGTGAAATGTTCTGTAAATACCTATTATTAAGTAGGTTTGACGTTGAACAAAGGACAGTCTAGATTACCTGTTTAATGCTGAAAGTGGGGTGTTGAAGTCTCCAGCTATTATCGTATTGAGGTCTATCTCTGTTTAGCTGTAATAATATTTGCTTTATATATGGGGGGTGCTCCAGTGTTAGGTACATACATACTTATAATTGTTATATCCTCTTGCTGAATTGACTTTATCATGGTGTCATGACCTTTTTTGTCTCTTTCTATAGTTTTTGTCTTGAAATCTATTTTGTTTGGTATACATATACCTACTCCTGATCTTTTTTGTTTTTCATTGGCATGGACTGTCTTTTTTCTATCCCTTTATTTTGTATCTATGTGTGTCTTTACAGTTGAAGTATGTCTCCTGTAGGCAATGGATCATTGGGTCTTGTATTTTTATCCATCCAGCCAGTCTATGTCTTTTGATTGGAGAGTTTAGTCCATTTACATTCAATGTTATTATTGATAAGTAAGGACTTACTTCTGTCATTTTGTTATTTGTTTTCTGGTTGTTTTATGGTCTTGTCGTCCTTCTTTCCTTCCTTCCTTTCTTCCTTTCAGTCAAGGTGATTTATTCAGGTGGCATGTTTTAATTTTGTGCATTTTATTTTTTGTGTATTTGTTGTGTGTTTTTTGATTTGAGGTTACCGTGAGGCTTTCAAGTATTTTATAACCTGTTATTTTAAACTGATGACAACTTAACACTGCCTGCATAAACCAATAAACAAAGAAAAAATTAATAACTCTATACTTTAACTTTATCCCCTTTTTAACTTTTTGTTATTTTTGTTTACACCTTATTTTACTATCTTGAATTGTTGCTATAGATACTTTTTTGATAGATTTATCTTTTAGTCTTTCTACTCAATATATGAGTAGTTTACATACCACAATCACATTGTTATAATATTCTGTACTTATTCTTACCAGTGAGTTTTGCACCTTCAGATAATTTTTTATTGCTTGTTAATATCATTTTTTTTGAGACTGAAGAACTCTCTCTAGCATTTTTTGTAGGACTGGTCTGGTGTTGATGAAATCCCTCAGCTTTTGTTTGTCTGGGAAACTATTTCTTCTTCGTGATGGAAGGATATTTTCACTGAATATACTATCCTAGAATAAAAGTTTTTCTTCTTTAACACTTTAAATATGTCATGTCACTTTCTCCTGGTCTGCAAGGTTTCAACTGAGAAGTCTGCTGTCAGACATATTGGAGGTTCTTTATATGTTATTTGTTTATTTTCTCTTGCTAGGTTTTGGATCCTTTCTTTATCCTTGACCTTTGTGAGTTTGATTATTAAATATCCTAAGGTAGTTTTTTTTGGATCCTTTCTTTATCCTTGACCTTTGTGAGTTTGATTATTAAATATCCTGAGGTAGTTTTTGGGTTAAATCTACTTAGTGTCCTATAACTTCCTTGTACTTGAATATCGATAACTTTCTTTGCATTTGGGAAGTTCTTTGTTATTATCACTTTGAATAAACTTTCTATCATGATCTTTCTCTCTACCTTCTCGTTAAGGCCAATAACTCTTAGGTTTGCCCTTTTGAGGCTGTGTTATAGATTTTGTAGACATGCTTCCTTGTTTTTTATTATTTTGTCTTTTCTCTGTGACTATGGATTTTCAAATAGCCTGTTCTCAAGTTCACTAATTTTTCTTCTGCTTGATCAATTCTGTTGTTGCGAGATCTGATGCATTCTGCAGTATGTCAGTTGCATTTTGTAGCTCCAGAATTTCTGCTTGATTCTTGTTAATTATTTTAATCTCTTTGTTAAATTTATCTGATCAGGTTCTAAATTCCTTTCTGTGTTATCTTGGATTTTATTGAGTGTCCTCAAAACAACTATTTTGGATTCTCTGTCTGAAAGGTCACATATCTCTGTCTCTTTGGGATTGGTCCCTGGTGCCTTATTTTGTTCATTTGGTGAGGTCATGTTTTTCTGGATGGTCTTGATGCTTGTGGATATTTATGGGCACCTGGGTATTCAAGAGTAAAGTATTTATTGCAGTTTTCACAGTCTAGGCTTGTTTGTACCCATCCATTTTGGGAAGGCTTTCCAGATATTCCAAGGAACTTGGGTGTTATTATCTAAGTCTTGGTTATTATCTAAGTCTTGGGTGTTATTATCTAAGCCATGTCTGCTTTAGAGGGAAGCTAAAGCTCAGTAATGCTGTGGCTCTTGCAGACTCATAGAGGTAATACCTTGGTGGTCTTGGGTAAGATCCAGAAGACTTCCCTGGATCACCAGGAAGAGACCCGTGGTCTCTTTCCTTACTTTTCCCCAAGTAAATGAAGTCTCTCTCTCTCTCTCTCTCTCTCTGTGCTGAGATGCCTGGAGCTGGGGGATGGGTGACACAAGCACCTCTGTGGCCACCATCACTGGGACTGTGCTGGGTCAGAACCAAAGCCAGCATAGTACTGGGTCTTACCCAAGAATTGCAGTGACCACTACCTGGCCATCACCTATGTTCACTCAAGGCTCAAGGGCTGTACAACCTGCAGGTGGCAAATCCAAGCGGACATGTATCCTTTCCTTCGGAGTGTTGAGTTCCCTCTGGCTTTGGATGGATCTGTGGATGCCATCTAGAAGCCAGGACCTGGAGTTGGGAACTGTAGGAATCTACCTGGTGCTCTATTCTACTGAGGCTGAGCTGACACCCAAACTACAAGACAAAGTCCTTCCCACTATTTCTTCTCCTTTTCTCAAGCAGAGAAGTCTCTCCCCATTGCCAGCACTGCCCTAGACATATGTTGAGTGTATCTAGTTTACATCCTGGCTTCATAAATATAGAGATAAGCAGAGAAATGAAATACCAATTCTTACGCATTTGCAAACCATCACGTTTTATCTATAGTTTGGTTTAGAGGATTAGGAGGAAAGAAACTATGGCAAAGCAAATTTGCTGTAATATGAAACCTTAAACATTTCGACTTGCATTTGAAAATAAGTTATTTCGAGTGTAGGAAATTAGGGTCTGAGTTAATGAAATGTCTGATTAATGATACTTGTGTCCAACAATGGCACCCTAATGAAATATGCCTCCTAGTACTCACATCTTTGTATATTTTCCTCTCTTTGGAGCTCACGTGGCCCTGTGATTCACTTTTGACAAGTAGAGTACGGTGGAGGTGACACTAAGACTTCCTAGCCTAGGTGCTAAGCAGTCTTGCAGTATGGGTCTTGTGTTCTTGAAATGTTCCCTCTAGGAGAAACTGTGTAGCAAGTGGAAGTCCAAGTATCCTGATAATGCCATGCTGTGTGGAAGCCCAAGCTAGTCTTTTGGAGAGGCCATGTGGAAAGAGAGATATACTTAGCCAGGCTCCATCCATTTCAGCCATCCCAGCAGAGGTGTTAGATATTTGAGAGATGGTATCTTCAGATGATTCCAACCCCAGCTGCCATCTGATTGCAACCCATAAAAAACCCCCCAACCTACCCACTTTAGCCTAGTAGGTAGTTTGTTATGTAGGAATAGATAACTGAAACAATGGATCATTCTCAAATAAACATTACTATTGTCTGTAGTCATAGCTAGGAAAGTGTTGTCAGTTAAAAGTCAGCTATGCTGGTTTGAATGCAGTTAATATTCATTTGCACTAATTATGTCCCTTATATAAAAATGAATACGTTTTAGTGCTTGAAAAAGTTAGACAGAAAATTCACTCTGTAATCTTCTTTTCATTATTCATTTGCTGAACAAATATTTTCAGACACATCAATGCCATTTAAAGTTTTATTCAGTGTTCACTCAGATTCTAGGATATGTGAGCTGCACTTTTCTTGCAGTGTTTTCCAAAGAAATGGGTGGGCTATAGTGGAAACAGTAATACTCATTAAACATTCCATTGGTCCCGTGGATTACTGTCTCCTTTCATTCAGATGAGAGTACATGACACATTTTGGTCAATGAAATGATAGTGACATATCACTTTTGGTCTGAGGCAATCAAAAGCCTATGTGTAATTCTCTAGTCTATTGCCTGACAAATAGCTAAAGCAAACCATATATTCCAGATGGTAAAATTATAAGATGGTGGGGTCTCTATTGCTGGATTCCTGGGTGGGTGAGGAGAGCAGAGAACCTTGTTAATCTGACAGGCAAGCAGCATAAGCCAAAGACAAACCTTTGTTTTTCTTAAGCCACTGAGATTTGGGGTTAAATTTTATCTATAGCATAAACCTCTGTGGCTTTAGTGTCTCCATCACACCTACTCCAAGGCACTCAAAATAAACCTAAAATCTAAATAAAAATAGTGTGATATTTATGTACACAGAACTTTAAAACAGAATTTCTGATTTGTTCTCTAAGTAGATTTATATCCCTAAGTTCTTCAGTAAAGTTCTAACAATAGCACCGTTTATTTACTTGGGTAATTTGAGAATACTTGATACTTAAGTCATTCTCAAATTGTTTTTCATTTTTGACAATAATTTCATAGCAAGTTGTTAATAAAATTATTAGGGAATTTAAAAATATCAAATCAATGTAATATTAGTGAAATCATCTAAGTATTTTTTTAGAGAACAGTATAATAGCATAATGAACCCTATGTACCTATCAACCTAGCTGCAAGAGTTACGAAAACATGGGCAGTTTTTCAAACAATTCTGTCTACCTAAAATTTTATTCTGTGTTGATCATCTTTTATGAAGATAAGACAGTAACTACTATCTTCTCTACACCTCCAAAAATAGGTCAGAATTTTCTATGAACAAATGTGCTACATGGTTATGATGGTAGCTTCTTCTGTATTTATTTCCAACTTTTCCCTGTGGAAATAAGTTTGGAATCTTTTCTAGAATGGCTTATTTACAGGGTAGCTGTTTCTCACAGTTTGACCAGAAAAGTCCAAGTTTATAACTGTTGTCTTGTGGTAGCTATTAAGAGAGTCCCTTTTATTCTCAAAAGTATCCTAATTTGGATGACAAATTATATAGCCACCATTGTTATTAAACAGGTGTGCCCATTCCCCTTTTGCTTTCTTCTGTCCCTTAGAGCTGAATTCTTGCCTTGCAAGGCCCAGGCAAGACTAGACCAGTCGTAATATGCAAATCTTTATCCCAGCATCTGCCTGTGGGTGTTTGTAATACCTTCAGTGCCTGAATCCATAATGGCCTACCCAGGAACAGCTGTATAATTTGGAGAATTATGTGAAAATGTTAAAATGTGAAAATGTTAAAAAATGATTGAGAATTTCAAGATGCTGACAGCAAAGCACTGAACTAAGTGTGGGGTCCTTCTACACAGAGGTCCCTGTGTGACAGCAGAGGTGGCACACCCATGAAGCTAGCCCTGGGCTTACCACTCCATCTCACCACTCACCACACTCCACCTAGTTCCCTGTGTGGTCCAATTCCAAGATTGCATTTCTGCACTAAACCATCTGCTGTGGTCTTCCTGGTCACCTTATTCCTCAAACCCTCTGTGGGTCTGAACACTTGCCTATCTCACCATGGTCATCATCTAATTAGTACTTATGATGGCTAATGAGTGGCAGACAGAATTCCAACGCACGTTTGCTTAGTTTCAAAGCAAATTCTCATAACCTTTCTGCTGTTCTGACCCATAACGCTCATAGCCTAGTGAACTCTTGGCAGAATTCTCTTCCTTGTTCAGGATTTCAAGAAATGGGATTTAGTCATCCTACAGCAGATGTCCAGGGGACAACATGCAGTTTTGCTGTTCTCCATGTTCTCAACAATTACCTGGAATTTATCTTTGACATATGCACTGGTTCCATTGTGCCTTCTCCCTGACCATATTTTTTTCTCCCTAATTAAGGACTGTGCTTTGGGACTGTGGAAAATGAAATAAGCTATGAAAACCAATAGTTTTATTTCACTAGGAATACACTCATAATTATAAATGCCCTGTTAGAGAGTTAAGGTGAGTGTCTTACATACAGTGACTTCCCCTGCTAACATCAGGCAGAAGGAAAGTTAGAAGAGAAAGGCAATGATCACCAGGCAGTTGTTCTTAGCAATTTGTGGGCCAGTGGAGATGGACATGGTGACCTTCTTCTCTGGCTGCTGATTGCTGCCTGGAGAAGCAACAGTGGCTTCATTGGCTTTGTTGCTGTACTGCGATGTGGTCTCTCCTGTATCACTATTGCCGGCTTCTTAGTGGAGTTTCATAGACCCATTTATCTTTTTTATGGCTAAGAAATCAATGTGTGTGTCATTTTGGAATTTGGAAAATAAGATACAGGGTTCAGTCTCATAATGATATGATTAGTCTAAAGAATATTTAGCTCCACAGTAAGATATTTTTATAAGATAAAAATATTGTATTTTGTATAAGGTGCGTGTGTACACGAAATATTTTACAGTAGGGGAAAAATGATGAGAGTAATGAGCTTGTTATTTTGGATGTGAAAGCCTAGGAATTATCAACACAGTAATGGTTACAAACTTGGACTCTGGAGACATGCAAAGCTAGATTCATATCCCAGCTCTGTTACTGGCTTGATCTTGGGCATGCTGCCGATTTTTTTTAATGTGCATTTCCTTATCTGCAAAATGGGAAAAATGATTTTATCTGATTCATAGATTATTGTATTAAATGATAAAATACATAAAAAACAGTCAGCCAAACCTCTAACATTTTAGTTTTCTGTGTAAAGCATGCCATGATGATAGCTAAGTTATTTCCACAACTCATAGGTATGTGTGGGCAATTTAATTGTACTTCTGTGCTTATGGGGTATAGTTTGAACCATTGCTCTTGCCCGAATAAACTAATGCTTTTATGTAGACACTCAGATTTAGACCAGCATTCATTTGCCACCATTTGAGATTGGGTTGGAATCAAATTATTAATCCAGGCGAAGATGACTTGTTTTGATGTATACATCAAATTAACTTGACATTTAGTACAAAGGTTATGTTAGGTCCAGCCACTTTCCCTAGAGTGTCTCCAGACTAGTGAATGCCTAGATAAAAATCAAGGATATTTATCTTTGTAACTGAGAAAAGATCCAAATTATTGGCAGCTTTTAAAGTAACTTTAAAAAATCAGTTGATGCTCAGGGTATCTAGAGGAAACCCTCTACCTCAATATTTATCCTTTTTAGAGATGATATTAACAGAGTTGTCACTTCTCTCCATGGCTAAGCTGAACATTACAACTATTATAAGCTTTAACTTATATAAAACATTACATTGCATCTATCTCTCACATTAAACATTTCATTTTTCTATAAGCATTTGGAAACAATTTTCATTACTTTGCTTTCAGAAATCATTTGACTATAAGAGCAAATACAATTTATGAGGGGCTATCATTTCTTAACAATTATTGCATATACATGAGCATTCTTGCAAAGTGAGAAAAATTGAATCTATAAATTGTTTTCAAATGCAATGATACTTTATGAATACTGAATTTAACCAATGATGAAGTAGCTAGTTTTATGTCTTATAGATTTTTGTGGTCTACACTTTGTGGATTAGGTTTTGTAGTTTTATTTTCATATTTTGGAGCCAATAGCTTTGTTTTTCAGTTCTCATACTTTTTTTTGCAGGTCCTTAGAAAGATCATAAGTCCTGAATACTGTGTCTGTTGTTCTTAATCAATAAAATGATCCTGCTGGTGACCTGTTTGAGAATACAATAGTAGGCTTATGCCTATGCAAGAAAAATTGGAGTTGAAGATTAAGCAGTTTGAATGATGATAAAAAGAAATCTAACATTTGGTTATATTTTATATATTAGGGACTTTGTTTTAATGCAAACCATATTCTCATTGACCAGATATGCTTTAAAATTCAGAAGTTTTTGGATTCTTAGAAATTTAAAATAGCATATATTTCATATATTATTCTGTAATACTCCTAAAGGGGTCTTGGACAGTATCCTTAACCATATACATTAACATTTCTGCAGTGAAAGTTATGAATATTCAGCAAATGGGACTAAATAAATAAAAAGCTTCAAATCAGTTCAGATCAGGTTTTACCTCCAAATTGGTTCATGTCAGATGAAGTTTTGCTGCCAAAATGACTTATGAAAAAATTTTAAGTAATCAGCAGCTTTTTGAATTTTGTAATACTGTTGGGGAATTATGAACCTATGATGCATAGACTGTTAATCATAGTGGATATTTTTACTTGACTTGTGAGACAAGTTGGGAAGGTATTATCATCCTCATTTTATGACTGGTAAAATTGGGATATCGAGTAAATTTGTGACTTTTTCTAGGTTATACAGCAAGTAAATTGTCAAAACTGATATGGAACCAAAGGGCCCTTACCCTACAACCGAGGGATGTTCCCATTTGTTTTGTAGTCTTCTTAGTTATTGAATGGCTATTTCACTTGCAGCTTGCTTGGCCCATGATGGCAGCCAGCACTTCTCAACACAAGAGTGCTATGTGCAGTTTCCCTAGCTTTTGATGCACTGGGGTACTAGTATACACAATTATGTACTTGTTCTGAAGAAAAGCTCTAATATCAAAAAATACCATCAAAAAATACATTTGTGACATTTGTTGAGATGAGCAAGGGCCATTTTTCTAGTGTTTTCCCTTTCCTTCCTTTGCTAAAGCTAGCCTTCTCCTGTATCTCCTCCAAGCTCTTAAAATTTCCTGCTCTGTTTTGTTGGCATCACACACGCCAGTACCCATGGTGCATTTTATTGCTGCAGCTGTTTCACATGCCTATTTTTGTCAGCACAGAGGTTATTCTCAGAAGTGACGGCTTAAAATAATTCACCTGGCGTAGTCTTCTTGGACATCTGAAACCTGAATTATTTTCATAACACCAGAGGACACTGAGAAGCCTGTTTCACCACTTGCGGTGTCTTTAGCAGCAAGTCAACATTAAAATTCAAGTTTTCTCTTCGCGTGCAAGAATTCATTTATTCATTCCCATATTTGTCTGTTCATCCAGCAAGCATTTATCAAAACTCTAGTAGTGAGCTAGTTGCTGAGAAGGTCACACGAAGATCACTGGACAGCTGTCTCTTGGAAATACCATGGGAAAATAATGGTTTTCAGCACTGGCATGTCAAAGTCATAAATTAGCCTAAGTATTCACAACTTTCCAATGGAGTAGGCTAAGGCATCATTTATTTATTTATTTATTTTTTTACAGCCACACATAAGAAGACAGGTAGAGCAGTTAAAAGTTTGATAGCAGCATTGCACTTTGGGTGACACGTGGCCTGGGTTCAAAATTTGTCAAGCAATTCACAAGGCTGGCTGATTTGGGAAGTAATCTATACATGGAGTACATTTGTGGGTGATTTTTGAGTCTCTTGACTTTTGGTTCTGGTGTCTATGAAATGAAGGCATGAAATAAGGGTGTTTACTCTTGTGGAGTTTAATGGGACCATGTGTGTGTGATTAGTTAATTGAAACTGATGAGGAAACTAACAATAAATACGCTTAGTAGTCTCACATTGCTGTCTTCTTACAGATTCTCTTATATTTCCCTC
This sequence comes from Homo sapiens, assembly GCF_000001405.40. Classification (NCBI taxonomy): domain Eukaryota; kingdom Metazoa; phylum Chordata; class Mammalia; order Primates; family Hominidae; genus Homo; species Homo sapiens. The sequence goes on from NC_000003.12 coordinate 28,882,483, forward strand.
TTCTGTTGCTTGATGAGAGATTCTCTAACTTTTCACTGCTTCTAGCAATAAGAACAATATTATTTTCAGGCATTAAAAAGTTTTAGGTTGGTTTAAAATTTACGTAAACAACCAAGAGTGGGAAAATTTAATTGAAGTACATGTATATATGGAAAATAACCCATATCCAGAGTATATAAGGAACTTCCAATCAGTGGGAATAGAAAACAATCCAATAGAAAAATGAGCAAAAGACTTGAACAGACACTTCTCAAAAGATGGTATCCTAGTGGATAATAAATCTATGAAAAGGTGCTTAAATTCATTAAAATCAACAGAAAAATGCAAACAAAAATTATTAAAATGATGAGGTGCCCATTCATAGTATAGGAAAGAAAAAAACTTCTCTACGTTTTTGGGCTCAGTGGCTGGGGCCTGTAAATTGAACTAAAAAAGAAAGATTTAACAACAGAAGGCTTTACTTCATGTGTACATGGGAACTTCACAGAAAAAAATGAAAGCCCAAAGAAGTGGTAGGACTTGAGAGCTTGTATATCATTTTAACAATGGGGAATAAATTGTGTTAAAGTGAGTAGACAAAGAAAAGGGGTTTGGGCTTTTAGGAGACATATAAATTGTGGGAAAGCAAATACACGAGAGAGAGAAGCTAATAGAATATGATGTTATTTTGTGAGGTGTGTTTATGCAGACTGTTTTTGGTGCTGGTGTTCCTTCTCCTATGAGTATTTCCCTCTTCCTGGTACAAGAGTGTGGAAGAGAGACACTTAAAAAAGGATATTTATGCCTTGTTTTTAAGCATAAAGAAAGAGGGCAGAGAGTCCTCCTGTGTCTGCTGTTTCTCAATTGCCTTCAGCTCAAAATAATCCTCATGCCAAAGTGGCATAATTTGGGATGGCATATTGTGATCCCTTTCAATAACTGCCAGAAGAGCTAAAATGAAAAGACAGCAAATACCATGTATTGAAGAGAAGGTGGAGCAAAAGGAACTTTCAATCACTGCTGATGGGAATATAAATTTTTTCCCAACCACATGGAAAATTCTTTGTCAATATCTCTTGAATCTAGACCAAGCATATGCCATGACCTAGAAAATCCACTCATAGGCATATACCCAACAGAAATACATGCATGTATTCACAGAAGGCATGCTTTGGAATGTTTATTCTTTGGAATAACTTTGGAAAGTCCTACACATAGTAACTCCAAACTGGAAACTGTCCTTCCAGTGTAGGACTTTGGAAAGTCCTACACATAGTAACTCCAAACTGGAAACTGTCCAAATTCCCATACATTCAAATGTTATATGACCACATAAATCAGTGATTTACAACTCTAGGCAGAAACATGAATAAATGTCATAAGTAAAGTGTTGAGTAAAAGAGGCTAGTCCCCAAAAGACTACATATTCAATTCTTCTAGTTATTCAAAGCGCAGAAACAGAAAACTAACGTATAATATTAGAAGTAATATTTTTGAGGGAGTAATAATTACAAGAGGGCAAGAAGGAAGCTCTGCCTTGTTTCTTTATTAAGATACTGGTTATATATTACGTTCAGTTGGTGAAAACTTATCAAGCTACATTTATCATATGTGCACTTTTCTATATATCATTCTCCCTTTTCCCCCTGAAAAGATGTTCTGTAATTTGATTTTACTTGTTTTCACCTTGTTTTTCCACATCTCCTCACATCACCTCCCCATTCTTTTTACATTCCCATTATTATTATGACTCCTCTAAGCTTTGGGCTTCTGTAATCCAGAAGCCCAAGGAAACCTATGCTAGAGCAAGCTTTTCTCTGTCCTCTGCTCTTCCAACCATGTTCTGCACATCCAGACACAGCTCCCTCTCTATCTCCAGTCCCTGGCCCCTACAAGCCACTTTGCGGATTCCTGGACGTACCACCCACCAGGTATGTGGCTCTATTTGTGCTCCACAGTCTTCGAGCCTGCCTGACCCCAATGAATTTATGACATGAGTTTGCACAAAACTTTCGAGAAAAATTAAAAATGTAACTCATGATCCAATCAGCTATAACCAGAATGTAAACTTTTTTTTCACTTCAAAAGGCCTGAGTGGCCTGAGTTTTTCAACAGATAAATAGTATAGAAAGGGATGGTGTGGGATCAGTGGATTAAAAGGGTTTACAAGGAGTGTCAGAGTAATACAAATGGAATAATTAAACTCTCATGTCTATGGATACACATTTAAATGATAAAACTATAAAAAATAAAGAGAAAACAATTACTGTGCAGTCGGGATAACTTATTGGATATTTGGGGAAGGAAAGTGGTGATTGAAATGGAGCATATGGATGGAGCTTCCAGGGCAGGTGGGAAAATTTCTGTTTTCTTAAACCTGGGAATGGATACAAGGGTGTCTGCCATAGAAAAATTTACTAAACCTTGTGTTTATTTTGTGATTTCTATACCTGTGTTTTATTTTGCAAGTGTTAAAGAACTTTTTTAAATGGTAAAATTATGACTTTCATAGAGGTATAAAATAAAGGTGTCAAAAATTTTATTGACATTCATTAATTAGACAAGCAGGAAAGCTGTTACAACTGGTTCAAAGGAGAAATCAAAGAAGCACACACTTATATGGAATAAGGGAATATTGAAATAGATTTATAAATGGTTTGAAAAACTGCCTTCCACAGTGGAGGAGGGAAATCAATTACAATTCTACCAGGCAAAATTTACTTTCCTGTCTACAGACAAGAATTATTTGTGTTACTATCCATTTCCTGCAAGTTAACCTTAGCTCTAGAGCATTGTCAAATAACCTATTCATAGACAAAGGTACATATCCCTGTAGCATCAAATAATATTGGCACTTCCAGTATTGTATTGACACGATATCCAGTAATCTCTTTTCCCTATTAAAAAGTCTTAATTTTCTTTATGAATAAAAAGATTTTTAAAATGAAGTAAAACAAATGTAACTCACATTATTTGCTACATTTCTACCTACCTCGTGCCCTTGGGTGCCTTTTCAGCTTCTAAACTGCAAGAATTGGGGTAAACTGCTAGGCTGTTAAGAATGTGGAGGGATGAACACAAACAATCACAAGATGATAGTTTTTAATGAGTTATATAATCCTATTGAATTAGTTAACTAATTCTTTTGTTTGTAAGCAATCACATTTAATCTTGACTCAGGCATAAATAAATATAAACAAAGCAATGATTTAAATATCTGAAAGACTACTGGTCCATCTCAGGTAACTGAAGAAGTTGGATAACCTCGCTTTTGAAAGAGCATGTACTAGGAAAGCTCAGGAAGCCTCTTTCCTTAGAACATACCCATTAGTGGGACTCAACTTCAAATACTAAAATTCACCGGGCACAGTGGCTCACATCTGTAATTCCAGCACTTTGAGAGGCTGCGGCAGGTGGATCACGAGGTCAGGAGTTCAAGACCAGCCTAGCCAACATAGTGAAACTGTGTCTCTACTAAAAATACAAAAATTAGCCGGGCATGGTGGCATGTGCCTGTAGTCCAGGAGGCTGAGGGAGGAGAATCCCTTGAACCCGGGAGGTATAGGTTGCAGTGAGCCAAGATCCCACTGCACCCCAGCTTGGGCAACCAACAGAGTGAGACTTCGTCTGAAAAAATGAAACAAATTCTTCCAGTTTTTCCATTCTAGATTTCAGTGTCTTGGGAGATTGTATCTGCTTGGTTTACCTTTTCCCAGAAGGGAGAGGTGCTAGGTCATATGACGCAGAAAAGACCCTTTGAGGTCTCTTCCCTCTTCGGCTGTTTCCGGAGAAAGGCAATTCAATGTGAGTTAAGGAGTTGACCCAAGAGTATTGTATCCACTATCTTGACTTTTCATCTCACTCTTTAAGCTAGATCTCAGTTGTTGAGAAAATTATATCCCTGGTTTCAGACTTTGCCATTCCTTAATCTTAAGGAATTATAATTCTGTTTCTATTCCTTAATCCTATTTTCCACATGAATATTCTCTTTTAAAAGGAATAACAACAATAAATCCCAGAGTTCCATTTCCTTGACTGCCAGTACCAAATAGTAAATCTCCTCAAATATTTAGATGTATGTGGAATAAACAGGTTTACCTTATCAGTAAAGCCAGATGATACTCCCAAATAGCTCTATACTTTTGGTCCTCACAATTCTTAAAATTTCCTGTAGATTTATTTTTTAAATTTTCCCAGTCTTTTTATCTCTCTCCATCTATTTCCTTCCTCACTCCTTCCTTTTTTTCTTTCCTATTATCAAGGATTTCAGTGGCTACTATGAACTAGACAGTAGGCTATGTGCTGAAAAAGGATGAAAAAGCCATAAAGTGGAGATGTCAATACCTCTTTAAGAATGATAGGCTACAAAGCTGATTAGCTGCATACTTGCATTCTTTGTCATCACTACCTGAAGGCAAAAGGCCTTTTTTTGGGAGCATGTGCTAAAGATAAAATTACTCTTCCTAGTTCCTTCTGGCAAATGGTCACCAAAAAACACATTCAAGAGCCAATGTCTTTTGTGTGCAATACATAGGATATTAAAAGTTAAGGTAAACAAAGGTCAAAGATTATGCTAGTTGGAGTCTCAGGGTTTCCTGGTTCCTTAAAATTTAGTTAAGTTTGGGCCAATTTTTGGAAGTCCAAATCTCTTCTCAAATATTCTGTTATTTGTGCTCCTCTTAGGTGGGAATGGGAATTTTTGTTCTCTACCCTGGGGTTGACACAAATGTGGGACTTTCTTGATCCTCCCTCCTAAAGAACTACAGATCAAGAGCTTGTATTAGATTTTTAAGGGGCATAGGGAAAGGTTATGTTTGATGTCATAGAGCAATGACTAAGGCATGTTAATAAAATTCCATTTAAAATGTATTTTTTTCCTACCTTCCCATTATCATGTAGTTTAGCAATTCTAGCATCTTGCTTGCTCCTCCACAGGCCAAGGTAAAAGCCTGTGCTTATGATTTGTTGTGGTCTTGATTTCTACCAACCTATATGCCCACAGGTTTGCATACTTTCTATCCCAGTGCTGGTATTTTCCCAAAGATATTTTCTTTCTTAGGTGGACTCTTGGCACCCACTTTTGTAGTACATTTTTGATGTTCATTATACTTAGGAAAAGTAGCCAAATCCCACTTTGGAGACAAGTGGTTTTGATCCTAGCTTATCTCCATTCTGCAAAAGCATCACCCTCACAAGACATATCACAGGGAAACAGAGAAACCGAATTTGATTAAATAAGACCTGGCCCAAATTTTCTCAATGATTATTAAAACTATAGGATTCAGGATGCAGCAAGAAAAAATTGTTGAAAAGTGAAAGGCAGAGTCTCTATGTGGCTTTTTTCTTCATGTCCTCTAAAGAGTGATCTTATATCTTTTGCATTTCCAGTTACTGCCTTTTCTTGAAATACCCTCCTAGATGCCCTTCTCTGCCTAGAAACATTTTTCTTTATTCTTTGGATGTTTTTTCTTCATCGTGAGTAATCTTTAAAGAGTAGCTACAGAAAGTTAATCACTGTCTACCTTGATTCCATCCAGCACTTCGTCTCTTTAATGAAGCAATAGTTCAAGGTAGTACAATTTGAGTTTGTGTGACTACTTTTCCTACTAGACTGAATTCTTTGATATTTGAGACTGAGCCTGGTTATACGATTTGTTCTGAAGCAAAGTATGTTTCTTAATGTGATTGGTAAATAAAGAAAATGATGTCAGAATAATAGGAAGCTGTGTTGATTCATATGTGAGTTTGCCCATCATGCTAATGTTTCGAAATTACCAGTATGTAAGCTTTCTTAAAATTAAAGAGGAAAATTTAGCAGTATATAACAATCTTAAGAAAGTGAAAAATCTTGCTGACATGCCTTCCTTTAGTGAAAGAAATGGTGGTTGATTTAGTGTCGTTAAGAACTGCACATTTTTCACTATGCCACATTTTTAGAAGAGACTGCAAATGCCAATGCAGATGTTGCAAAAGCATTTTCTCCTGTGATTTTTAAGAAATGATGAATGTAAAAGCATACCATTGTATTGTAGTTTTAATTTTGATGAAACTGGCCTCTATTAGAAGCAAACATCTTTAAGGACCTACATCTGAGAAAAAGCACTACCTCCAATATATAGAGCTTGCAAAAGATAATAGGTTCCAATCATGGTAGAGATTTAATATTCCCGGTGTTTTTTTTTTAAGTTCTGGGATGCACATGCAGAATGTGCAGGTTTGTTACATAGGTATACATGTGCCACGGTGGTTTGCTGCACCCATGAACCAATCAACTACATTAGGTATTTCTTGTAATGCTATCCCTCCCCTAGCCCCCAACCCACTGACAGGCCCTGGTGTGTGATGTTCCCCTCCCTGTGCCCATATGTTCTAATTGTTCAACTCCCACTTATGAATGAGAACATGTGGTATTTGGTTTTCTGTTCCTGTGTTAGTTTGCTGAGAATGATGGTTTCCAGCTTAATCCATGCCCTTGCAAAGAACCTGAACTCATTCTTTTTTTGTGGCTGCATAGTATCCCGTGGTGTATATGTGCCACATTTTCTTTATCCAGTCTATCATTGATGGGCATTTGAGTTGGTTCCAAGTCTTTGCAATTGTGAATAGTGCTGCAGTAAACATACATGTGCATGTGTCTTTATAGTAGAATGATTTATAACCTTTTTGGGTATATGCCCAGTAATGGGATTGCTGGGTCAAATGGTATTTCTGGTTCTAGATCCTTGAGGAATTGCCATACTGTCTTCCACAATGGTTGAACCACAATGGTCCACCAACAGTGTAAATGCATTCCTATTTCTCCACATCCCCTCCAGCATCTGTTGTTTCCTGACTTTTTAATGATCTCCATTCTAACTGGTGTGAGATGATATCTCATTGTGGTTTTGATTTGCATTTCTCTAATCAGTGATGATGAGCTTTTTTTCATATGTTTGTTGGCCACATAAATGTCATCTTTTGAGAAGTGTCTGTTCATATCCTTTGCCCACTTTTTGATGGGGTTGTTTTTTTCTTGCAAATTTGTTTAAGTTCCTTGTAGATTATGGATATTAGCCCTTTGTCAGATGGATAGATTGCAAAAATTTTCTTTCATTCTACAGGTTGCCCGTTCACTCTGATGATAGTTTCTGTTGCTGTGCAGAAGCTCTTTAACTAGATCCCGTTTGTCAATTTTGGCTTTTGTTGCCATTGCTTTTGGTGTTTTAGTCATGAAATCTTTGCCCGTGCCTATGTTATAAATGATGTTGCCTAGGTTTCTTCTAGGGTTTTTATGGTTTTAGGTCTTAACGTTTAAGTCTTTAATCCATCTTGAGTTAATTTTTGTATAAGGTGTAAGGAAGGGATCCAGTTTCAGTTTTCTGTATGTGGCTAGCCAGTTTTCCCAACACCAATTATTAAATAGGGAATCTTTTCCCCATTGCTTTTTTTGTCAGGTTTGTCAAAGATCAGATGGTTGTAGATGTGTGGTGTTATTTCTGAGGCCTCTGTTCTGTTCCACTGGTCTATATATCTGTTTTGGTACCAGTACCATGCTGTGTTGGTTAATTTAGCCTTGTGGTGTGGTTTGAAGTCAGGTAGCGTGATGCCTCCAGCTTTGTTCTTTTTGCTTAGGATTGCCTTGGCTATGCGGGCTCTGTTTTGGTTCCATTTGAAATTTAAAGTAGTTTTTTCTAATTCTGTGAAGAAAGTCAGTGGTAGCTTGATGGGGATAGCATTGAATCTATAAATTACATTGGACAGTATGGCCATTTTCATGATATTGATTCTTCCTATCCAGGAGCATGGAATGTTTTTCCATTTGTTTTTGTCCTCTCTTATTTCCTTGAGCAGTGGTTTGTAGTTCTCCTTGAAGAGGTCCTTCCCATCCCTTGTAAGTTGTATTCCTAGGTGTTTTATTCTCTTCGTAGCAATTGTTAATGGGAGTTCACTCATGATTTGGCTGTTTGTCTATTATTGGTATATAAGAATGCTTGTGATTTTTGCACACTGATTTTGTATCCTGAGACTTTGCTGGAGTAGCTTACCAGCTTAAGGAGATTTTTGGCTGAGACGATGGGGTTTTCCAAATATACAATCAGGTCATCTGCAAACAGAGATAATTTCACTTCCTCTCTTCCTATTTGAGTACCCTTTATTTCTTTCTCTTGACTGATTGCCCTTACTGCCAGTGTTTTTTAAATTAAAATTGTTATTTGTGTATTAAAGTTTTAGTTCAAAGTTTCATAGGTTTTGATTGGCTTATTCCAAAGCAGGTTTTCCCCAAAAAACCTGTTATTTTTCCCATGTAGGTTACAACATTTTTCAAAGTATATTTGATATAATAGCAGAAATGCATGTATCTGCAATTTCTGGCAAGATTAAAGTTCTCAAAAATATTTACTAAATGGGAACAAATTATAACTATTATTATTGTATTCCTTGAACATTTTTGTCTGAGCATCTCTTAGTCATAGCTGAACTCAACTTTTCACTGGTTTCTGAAATATTATCCACCTTGACGGTCCCAATTTCCTTTTGAAATAAACCATTTCTGTTTCTTATTATGTTTTATTCTCTTCCCAGTCAAAACTCTTAATTCCCTGTGAGTCTGTGTTTCCCATTAGACTGAGTCATGTACCTGGTAAGCACTCCACAAATGCAAGTGGTTGAATGAAGGATTCAATGTTGAATGAATGTATCACTTTCCAACCTAGAAATAGAGATAGAAAAATGGCAAGATTTATCCATCAACAACCTTCTATGGTCCTGCAGTGAAGCTTCTTCTAATAATGTCTAGAATTTATTTAGCAATAAATATGGGCTAATGTCTTATTATAATCCTTGGATTCACTGTATCAAGGAAATCCTTTTTTTTTTTTTTTTCCTTGAGACAGAGTCTCGCTCTGTTGCCAGGCAGGAGTGCCATGGCACGATCTCAGCTCACTGCAACCTCCACCTCCCGGGTTCAAGTGATTCTCCTGCCTCAGACTCCTGAGTAGCTGGGAATACAGGTGCACACCACCATGCCCAGCTAATTTTTGTATTTTTAGTAGAGACGGGGTTTCATCATGTTGACCAAGACGGTCTCGATCTCTTGACCTCATGATCCACCTGCCTTGGCCTTCCAAAGTGCTGGGATTACAGGCATGAGCCATTGTGCCCAGCCAATGTACTTTTATTATCCCCATTTCATAGACGAGGAAACCAAAACTGAAAGAGATTAAAGTATTGCCCAATAACAACCAGCTAGATGACAGAGCTAGAGTTTAAATGTCTAGGAAGTCTGCCTTCAGAGCCTAGCCCTTAGCCAGCATGCTATAATACCTCCAAGTTACAACAAAATGATTTCACTGTCAATGTAATGCAAAGGTACATGCATGTGTTTGTATGCACAAGTGTGTGAATGCTGTGTTTCATCATAACTGAAGATATTAAAGGATCCATTACTCCAGTATGCTGTCGTCATTGAATGTAACTGAAGACTCCCTCTATGGAAGAACTAGAAGATGTATTTTAACTATGTACAGACTTAGAGACTTCTTCTGTCCATAACTTATTCGGAGTTGTAGTTTGCAATCCTCAATCAGCCTAACCAATGGAACCACCCCACCTTTTTAGAACTTAAAACACCCTGACTTTGCTGCCTTTTTTCCTCCTCATCATTCTGTGAATGTCTCTTCTGTTTTGTGTTCTCCTTCCTGGCATGGTAATAAACTCAAAAACAACTGCTCCTCCTCCTCCTTCTCCATTTCTTTCTTTTACGCTTTTGGTGGTCTTTGGTTTATTCTTTGAAAGCAGTGCTGTGGGAGACTATTACAGAAGTCCATTTACCAACATTGGGTCCCAAACTCCAGCTTTTGAAACTGTGCATTCTTTCAACCTCAGACAAATAATTAGACAAATCCACCTTCAAAAATATCATAAATCTATATTGATTAAGACTTGGGGATAATTACATAAATTAGTGACAGGATGGCATAAAAAATTATTTAATGTAGAGTTCATGTTCTATATAGAAATGTATGTTAATAGAAAGCAGGTCAGAGGCCAGGCGCAGTGGCTCACGTCTTTAATCCCAGCACTTTGGGAGGCTGAGGCAGGAGGATCACGAGGTCAGGAGATCGAGACCATCCTGGCTAACACGGTGCTATTTTATGCTCTACTAAAAAATACAAAACTTAGCCAGGCATGGTGGCACGTGCCTGTAGTCCCAGCTACTGGGGAGACTGAGGCAGGAGAATCACTTGAACCTGGGAGGTGGAGGTTGAAGTAAGCCAAGATCGTGCCACTGCACTCCAGCCTGGGTGACAGAGCGAGACTCTGTCTCAAAAAAAAAAAAAAAAAAGCAGATCACTAAGACTTTACTTACTGGAGACACTTTGGGAGCCTGTTCTGAATAATAAAGGAAGATTCAGATAGTTTATCAATGGTTTATAAGTTATTTGTTCTCTAAAGTGTGGTGGGGCTGAGCATATTTGAAAATAAGTTGTTCTCTTAAGTAAGCAAAGATAAACTACTCCAAAATTATTTCCCAACATATAACCCCCAAATTATCTGGGTTATTCCAACCATTTGCAGAAACAACTTTTTATGCATATGCTTCTATTTATTTTTTTCCCAAATAATTGCAAACTCAATATTAGACAGTCTCGTTCTTAAGGTATACCTTGCATGTTATACAGAAAGTGGAGACTGTGTATGTGAGTTTTTGAGAGAGGGCGAGCACGTAGGAACACATGTGTATGCATACATAATAGTAAAGATTTCTGCATTCTGTAAAAAGTATTCTTGTATATAAGCATTAAAATGAAGACACCTGAGGAAATAACACACTTATGTAACTCCCCTCTGCACCTTTCAAAGAGGTCTTTTTTTGTGTATATTTATTTTCTGTGTAGATCTGTATTGATTGTCTTGTGATAGTATTCAAAGTTTTTCAAGCAGTTTGACTGAATAAATGAGGAAAAAAGAGGGGGAATAAGGACAAGTGGGTATAGTCTGTGATTCTGAAGGAAACCAGAAGGAAACTTTAAAGATTTTTCTCTAATTTTGGATGTAGAAGGAAACAGTACCCTTTACAATTTGTTATTCTTTGAAGCTGATAGTTCAGAGTTTTTTCCCCTTTTTAAATTGGATAATTTATAAATGAATGCTTCCAAAGGAACTTTAAAATCAAAAGAGAAAATATATTTCTTGAAAGTTGTTTTGTCACCAGTACTTTTTAGCCTAAATATTTTTTCAACTCTGGTAATTACTTGATTTTAAAATTCCATATGCTAAAAGTCAAGAATATGCAAATGTCCGTGGGAGAAATGAACATGGTGAGGGTCTCTTGAGGGCAATAATTCAGCTGCATTTCTCATGGATGTAGATCATTACTTTCAGTTACGCTTATATGCCTCAGTTTTGGTATTTGGGTGAGTTGGGAAAAGAGAAAAACAGTGCTCACCCTGGCTCTTCTGATCATCGTGTGCTATGTCTGGTGGTATGTGCATGCCCAATCTGACTTTATTCTTAGGACAACCCTGAGAAGAAGGCAGATCCTCATTTTACACATGGAGATGAAAAGGCAAAGAAAGGTTAGGGAACCTACCACATTCATGACAAATTTAAACAGTATGACTCCTTCAAACTCCTTCCGCGATAGCAGCAGTTCTCAAATTGGAATAAACATTAGAATAATCAGTTGGAGGGTTTATGAAATACAGATTGCTAGACCCCATCGTCAGACTTTCCGATTCAATGGATCTATGGTGAGGCTGATAATTGGCAGTTCTAATTCATTCCCAGGTGATATTAATATGGCTATTCAACACCAGTGCATACCATACGATAGGATCTCTAAGCCTCCATCAAAAATGCCCTGTCAATAAAAAGTGAATATTCAGTGCCTGAGTGAAATAATAAAAACCATGTCCTGTTATACTTTTTGCTCCTCACATTCAGATACATGTACCCTCTGGGAATGAGACGGTTTGCCTAGGGTTGTCAAAGCTACAGGGTAAACATGATGCATTCTCGGAAAGTGCCAGTTTGCCTTGATGGTAAATAGTTCAGCATGCTATTTTTATACTAAAACAAATACATGGCTATGTTATGGAATAGAATACAAATTCACGTGGATTTCTAAAATAAAGCTCTAGGTTTCAAAGAAATTTTGCCCTTCAGGTAGACTGCGTTAGCTATGCTTCAAGTCTCAGAGGGTACCTGTTTGCTTTCCTCTGGCAGTAGGTAGGTTTAGCTAAGAAAAAAAGAAGCTATTTTACATCGATATTAAATACCTTCTTGAACTGAGTTTCTTTCTCCGGATTCAGATTCTAGTCTCCTCCCCGACCTTGTAGTGAATGCTTCTCAGGGTTTAGCCTTCAGGACCAGGAACATTAACCTTTTTCTAAGGATATATAGAAACTCTAGCTTTAGAGATAACACTTCTGTTTAACTCTGAATACCAGAAACTACAAATACAGAGGAAAAAAAAAAACCTACAAATACAGCAAATACAGTCCTAGGTTTTGGTACGCATTAGTTCCTAAGTCAGGTACCCATCGTCCTAGGCTGTGTTGTCCATTTGAAGTGAGTGGCCCTATTCTTTTTATTCCAAGCATGAGCATAGGGCTCTTTCTTTAGGTCCCCAATCTATGCCCTCACTTACAAGTTCTCTCTTTACTCTGGAGAAGAGGATGGCATACTATGTCCCGTGGGCCAAATCAGGCATGCCACCTGTTTTTATATGGTTTGCAAGCTTAGAATGGTTTTATAATTTTAAATGGTTGGAAAAAAATCAAAACAGGAATTATGTTTTACAACACATGAAAATTATAAGAGATTCATATTTCTATTATAAGAAATTCTGCTTGCATAAGTAAAGTCTTCTTGAAACATAGCCTCAATTATTCAGTTTTTTGGTGTCTAAGGTATATTTCATGCTATCAAGTCAGGGGTGAATAGTTGTGACAGAGACCTTGTAGCCCACAAAGCCAAAAATATTTGCTTTTCAGCTATTTACAAAAGAAGTTTACAGATCACTGTTCTACAGGAGGCAGATGTATTTTGGCCTTTAGAGAACCTGTGCTGTCTTAGATCCAGACTCAAACCACTTCCTCTTACAGAATAGGTTGTCCCATTTTCTGTCCTTCCTCCAAGGAAAGTGTGGGTAACTAGTAGTTGTTTGAATGACTGTTAACGCTTACCCAAAAAATCCCAACCTTAATGTGTCCTGAAGTTAGGGTTTCCAGACCCAGAACTCAAGGCTTTTTGAGATGAGGGAGCGAAAGCTACCTTTTATTTATTTCTATGCCAGTATTTTTTAAAATCCTAAATTAATATGTCAGTAAATTTTCTTGCACAGATTCTTAAAGACTTTGCAAGAAAAGACTCTGAAAAACTAGAAATGTATATGAGGGTGTGCCCTTTATCCCACTGATATAGGAAAGTAAGCACATAAAGAACCATGTGAATCTTCCTCAGTGGTGATGGTAGAAATGGTGTCACCTTTTGACCTTTTCTTTCTCCAAGGAGAAATATACTTATTCACTCAAAAGTGCATATCTCCATCCTGTATTCTCCCCAGAAAATAGGGCCTGAGTCAGGGCTTGCATGCAGCTAGTTTATTATGAGAGGTAATCCAGGGAACAGGTGTAGGGGACTCAGAAGAGAAATACAGAAATGGAGGAAAAAGCCATGGAAAGGGTACATTTGTTTTTAGTTTCTTCCTTTCCTTCCTTAAAAAACTAGCTTTATGGAGATATAATTTATATACTATAAAACTCCTCCATTTAAAATATAAAATTCAATGGGTTGATATATATGTATATATGTGTATATATATATAACATACATATGCATGTGTATATATATAACATATATGCATATGTGTGTATATATATATAAAACATATGTATGTATTAGAGTTGTACAATGAATAACCACAATCAAGTTTTAGAATATTAATAACCTTTAAAAGAAATCCCATTGCCACAAAGTTACTTTCTATTTCTCCCTCAATCCTTTCCTAGACACTGTAACCATGAATATATTTTCTATCTTTATGGATTTGCCTATTCCAGATATTTATGTAAATAAAGTCCCATGAGACTGGCTTCTTTCACTTGGCATATTTTCAAGTTTCATCCATGTTGTAGCAATTATCAGATTTTCCTATGTTTTTATTGCCAAATAACATTCACTTGTATGAACAAAGTACGTTTTATTTATCCTCAAGTTAGTGGACATGGGAGTTGCTTCTAATTTTTGGCTATTTTGAATAATGCTGCAAGGAACATTAGCATACAAGTTTTTTTTATAGACATATGGTTTTAATTCTCTTGGGTATATACCTAAAATGGAATTGCTAGGTCATATGGCAACTTTATTTTTAACCTTTTGAGGAATAGTCAAACTGTTTTTCAAAGTGGCTGTACCATTTTACAATCCAACTAGCAATGTATGATGTTTCAATTTCTTTACATCTTCAGGAACACTGAAGATGTATTACCTAACTTTAAAATTTTAGCCACTGTGTTCATCCATTTTGCCTTGCTATAAAGGAATACCTGAGACTAGGTAATTTACAAAGAAAAGAGGTTTATTTGGCTCACAGTTCTGCAGGCTGTACAAGCATGGCACCAGCATCTGCTTGGCTTCTAGTAAGGCCTCAGGAAGCTTCTACTCATGTTGGAAGGCAAAGGGAGAACAAGCATGTCACACACCAAGAGAGGGAGCAAGAAAGAGAGGAGGAGGTGCCAGGCTCTTAAAAACAGCTCTTACATGAACTAGTAGAGTGAGAACTCACTTATTACTGCTGGGAGGGTACCAAACCAGTTATGAGGGATCTGTCCCCATGACCAAAACATCTCCCACCAGGCCCCACCTCTTACACTGGGAGTCACATTTCAACATGAGATTTGGAGGGGACAAACATCAAAGCTATGTCAGGCATCCTCGTTGGTGTGAAGTGGTATCACATGGTTTTGCCATTCCCTGCTGGCTAATGATATTGAGCATCATTTCACATGCTTATTGACCATTTGTATATATTTGGAGAAGTATATATTCAAATCATTTTCCTTTTTGTAATTTGGGTTGTCTTTTTATTGAACTGTAAGTGCTTTATATATTTTAGATATAAGTACCTTATCAAATATGAGTTGTAAATATTTTCTCTTACTCTACACATTGCTTGTTCACCTTTTTTTGAGATGGAGTCTGGTTCTGTCACCCAGACTGCAGTGCAGTGGCGCGATCTCAGCTCACTGCAAGCTCCGCCTCCCGGGTTCATGCCATTCTCCTGCCTCAGCCTCCCGAGTAGCTGGGACTACAGGCGCCCGCCATCACGCCCAGCTAATTTTTGTATTTTTAGTAGAGACGGGGTTTCACTGTGTTAGCCAGGATGGTCTCAATCTCCTGACCTTGTGATCCGCCTGCCTTGGCCTCCCAAAATGCTGGGATTACAGGCATGAGCCACTGCGCCCGGCCGCTTGTTCACCTTCTTGATGGTATCCTTGAAGCACAAAGTTTTAAATTTTTATGAAGGCCAATTTATCTATTTTTCTTCTGTCACTTGTGGTTTTGGTATTAAATCTAAGAAGACTTTGCCTAACCCAAGGTCATGAAGCTGTACTCCTAAATTTTCTTTTAAGAGTTTTATAGTTTTAGGCCTTACATTTAGGTAGGTCTGTGATCCATTTTGGATTAATGTTTGTGCATGCTGTGTAAGGAAGGGGGGGTTCAACTTTATTCTTTTAAATATGTATCTCCTGATGTCCCAGAAAGATTTGTTAACATACTCTTCTTTCTTTTATAGAATTGTCTTGGCACCTTTATCAAGAATCAATTGATCATAAATATTAGTACATATTTCTGGGCTCTCAATTTTATTCCATTGATTTATATGTTCATGTTTATGCCAGTGTCACGCTATCTTCATTATTATAGTTTGGTAGGAAGTTTTGAAATTGAGAAATTTGAGTCCTTCATCTTTTTTTCATCTTTTTAAAGATTGTTTTGGCTATTCTGTGATGCTGGAATTTCCATATGAATTTTAGGATCAGACTGTTAATTTCTTCTGTAAAGAAGCCAGCTGGCATTTGGATAGGAATTGTGTTGATTCTGTAGATCACTTTGGTAAGTATTGCCATTTTAACAATATTAAATCTTCTGACCCATGAGCATGTATGTTTTTCCAGTTAGTTAGTCTTTCTTTAATTTCTTTGAACAGTGTTTTATCATTTTCAAAGTATAAGTTTTACATTGCTTTTGTTAAAATATTTTAAAGTATTTTATTCTTTTTGAAGCTGTTGTCAATGGAATTGTTTTCTTAATTTTATTTTCAGATTGTACATTGCTAAGTGTAGAAATACAACTGTATTTTGCAGCATATCAATATTATACTATGCAACTTTGCTGAACTTGTTTCAAATTATTTTATTTTCTTGCCTAATTGCCTTGCATTTGACCTCCAGTACAATGTGGAATAGAAATGGGGAAAGTGTAATCCTTGTCTCGTTCTTAAAAGAAAAGCTCTCCTTTTTCACCATTAAGTTGGATGGTAGCTGTAGATTTTTTATATTAATTGATGTACTCTATCAGGTTGATAAAGTTCCCTTCCATTCCTAATTTTTTGAAGCTTTTAATCCAGAACGAGTCTTGGATTTTCTGCATCTATTGGAATGATCATATGTTTTTCACCTCCTTTTTTTTTTTTTCCTCCATTGATGTATTGTATCACGTTGACTGATTTTGAGATGTTAAACCAAACGTAGATTTTTGGGATGTATCCTACTTGGTCATGATCTGTAATAATTTTTATATGTTGTTAGATTTGATTTGACAGTATTTGGTTGAGAATGTTGGCATCTGTATTTATAAGAGACATTGGCACATTTTCTGTTTTTGTGAGGTGTTTTCTGGTTTTGGTATCAGTGTATAACTGGCCCCATAGATTGCCTTGAGGAGTAGTCTCTCCTCTTCTAATTTTTGGAAGAGATTGAGAAGAATTGATATTATTGCTTCTTTAAATATTTGGTAGTTTTATAAGTGAAATAATCTGGAAGGGCACATTCTTGAGTTGAACAGTGATGTAAGCCAACTTGACTGGGTTTGGTCATATCCCTCTGAAAGATCAAGTGTACCATATCTCAGAATTGCCCACCAAGGGGGCAGAAAATGGGAGCATTTATCCATTCACCAGTCCCATCCCCTATTGTTCAATAGTTTCCTTGTAAAATGTTAGCTCCCTTGTATTTTCAGGATTTCCTTGTGTGAGTGGCAAGTGAATTCTTGTAGATACAAAGTCCAAAAAGCTGCAGTGCAGCTTAAGTGAGGTGCTGTTATGTATAACAGCATGAAGCTTGTTGTGGCACCAATGGCTGGAATAAATGGTTGGAGCAAAAATGTGAATTAGGGTACAAGAGTCCCCATTTATCTATGGGCAATACATTCTAAGAACTGAGTGGCTGCCTGAAACCACAGAGAGTAAGAAGCTGTATGTATTTTGTGCTTTTTGACCTGATAACTGAGATGGTTACTAAGTGACTAACAGGTGGGTAGTATATACAATATGGATAGGTTGGACAAAGTAATGATTCATGTGTTCAGTAGGATGAAGTGGGACAGCATGAAATTTCATTATGTTCCTCAGAATGGTGTACAATATAAGACTTACTGTTTATTTCTGGAAGTTTTCATTTAATTTTTTCAGACTGAAGATAAGGGAGAAGTACTGTAGTGCATTCATTAAAGCACTTCAGTCTGCTTGTGCCCTTCATTATGTTTGATCAGTCATGAAGACTGCAACATTTGTGGTTACCTCCCAAATCCATAAAGGAATAAAACAAGAGGTTAGTAGGACAAGATTCAACTTCTACAACTCTTTCTGAGATCATAATTAACTATTCATCTCGTTTCTTTACCTCTAATTCCACATTTCCCTCACCTTTATTCAGCACTTCAGTGCAGATAATATGCTGGCCTTGTAGGGTAACTCAAAACTTCATCACTATGGAATATGAGTACTTGATTGTTTTGCCTTTGTTGAACTATAGTTTCTGCAGTTCTCCACTTACAATTATTACTCAGCATAGAAACACTAAGTGATGCCTCAGAGAATCCCCTAGGTACCATATATACTCATTCCTCCCTGGTGTTGTATAGAGACAGCCCTATCTCCTTAAGCTTACAGGGTCAATTATGGCTGTCAATATAACTCATTTCCTTTCTTAATGTCCTACTGTCATGAGGATTCCCAAATGGCAAGGTAATAATTGCAGATTCAAGTTCAGTGGATTCTAATCCAACAAAGCCTAAAGTTTTAAGGATATAAAGAACAACTCTAAACACTAGAAACTGGAAGTGGTAATAAGCATTGTGTATCTACTTTTTCCCCTTGTTATTTTGGCCAGTTGACTCTAGCTTTTAGGGAAAAACCACTATGTGTATCAGCTATTACTTCCATGTAAAATTTCAGAGCTCATTTTCCCAAACTCATTGGATATTGTCCTGAAATGGATCTTATCTAGACTTATCAATTATGCCATTAGATTGACTGCTTTTCAGTGATATAATACATGTAGGATTAGTGGATCAAGTGATCAAATGCCCATCAATGTACCTCCATTACCACAAAATAGGTCCCTTTGTTGGTGATCATTACTAAGATATGATGCTATAAATGAGGAGTTCTGGAAGTCTTTGAATAGTGGTGCTGACAGGAAATGCAGACCAGGAAGACACTCCCATATCTGGAGCATATATCAATTCCAGTAAGTAAAATTCCAAGTAGAACTTGTCTAATAGTAAGTTGCTCAATCTGCCAGTAAGTGGCTGGCTGGTTTCCAGAGTGCCATTGTAAGAGTTCAGTATCAGAACCTTGGCAGGTTGAACCCTCAGCAGTGGCCTTGGTAAGAGGATTCCCACTGTCTTTCACCCATTTATAAGCTTTATTCCTGCTACTTTGTTCAAGGCCCCTTTTTGTAAGCACTGGGTTTAGTGCTTACTTTATAGTGAGCTATAATATAAAACATAAGTAGCAGCATGTTTTGTATCCTCTCCAATAGATTGCCCCATCCCTACATTTCTTTGTCTCTGATCTTTTCATCTTATTCTTTGTAGGCAGCTGACCAGCAAGATAAGTCATTCAGCAATGCCTAGAATTTAATGTTACCCTACACTTTAGGTCATTTCTTCTTCCATACAATGTGAATGACTTCATGTACTCTTCTTATCTTTGCTCACTGGAAGGATTTTCCTTCACCATTTTCCCTCAAGGTCAGCTATGACTGGGACTGCTGTGCCGCAGCATTGTCAGCTAACTCCAACATGTAGAGCTGCTCCATTGGAGAACTAGGCCTAAGTATTTTTCTCCTCTAAAAGTTGATCATAGAATCTCTGCCCCCACCCCTCCCCACCCCGAGACCATACGTATGAATTGAGAGAGAGGTACATTTCAGGTAGAGGTACAATTCGGGTAGAGGTAGGATCTCCAGGAGCCTGGGTCACTTCTTTATCTAAGTTACTTATGCCTTCAAGACCTGCTTGGGCCTTATCCTGAACATCCTATTTCCATTATATATGATGGGTTGCTGCTGTAGCCGTCCAATATTGTGATTTGGAGGATCTGATAATATCAGCTCCAAATGGGTAATTCTAGACACATAATTATTTGGTGTCTTTTGATCAGGCTCTTACACCCCACTAGCGCTCCTTAGCAATATAAGAACTGTCTTTCAAATGATGACTAGTTTTCTCCTGCAGAAAGCATGGCTTTAGAACACAAGGGATATGCATTTGACTCTTCTACTGAAGCTTGTCAAGGATGATGCCCTGTATTCTTATTCAATATGGATGCCTATAGCACCATTATGTGTCCGGAATTTGGTGGGTTCTTGGTCTCATGGACTTCAACAATGAAGCCATGGACCCTCACGGTGAGTGTCACAGTTCTTGAAGATGGTGTGTCCGGAGTTCGTTCCTTCTGATGTTCGGACGTGTTCGGAGTTTCTTCCTTCTGGTGGGTTTGTGGTCTCGCTGGCCTCAGGAATGAGGTTCCAGACCTTTGCGGTGAGTGTTACAGTTCATAAAGGCAGTGCGGACCCAAAGAGTGAGCAGCAGCAAGATATATTGCAAAGAACAAAAGAACAAAGGCTCCATAGTATGGAAGGGGACCCGAATGGGTTGCCACTGCTGGCTCAGGCAGCCTGCTTTTATTCCCTTATCTGGCCCCACCCACATCCTGCTGACTGGTCCATTTTACAGAGAGCTGATTGGTCTGTTTTACAGAGAGCTGATTGGTCCATTTTGACAGGGTGCTGATTGGTGCATTTACAATCCCTGAGCTAGGCATAAAGTTTCTCCAAGTCCCCACTAGATTAGCTAGACACAGAGCACTGATTGGTGCATTTACAAACCTTGAACTAGACACAGGGTGCTGATTGGTGTGTTTACAAACCTTGAGCTAGACACAGAGTGCTGATTGGTGTATTTACAATCCTTTAGCTAGACATAAAGGTTCTCCAAGTCCCCACTAGATTAGCTAGATACAGAGTGCTGATTGGTGCATTTACAAACCTTGAGCTAGACACAGGGTGCTGATTGGTGTATTTACAATCCCTTAGCTAGACATAAAGGTTCTCCAAGTCCCCACTAGACTCAGGAGCCCAGCTGGCTTCACCTAGTGGATCCTTCACCAGGCCGCAGGCGGAGCTTCCTGCCAGTCCCACGCCATGCACCTGCACTCCTCAGCCCTTGGGCAGTCGATGGGACCGGGCGCCGCGGAGCAGCGGGTGGTGCTCGTCGGGGAGGCTCGGGCTGCGCAGTAGCCTGCGGTAGAGGGGAGGCTCGGGCATGGCGGGCTACAGGTCCTGAACCCTGCCCCCCGCGGGGAGGCAGCTAAGGTCTGGCAAGAATTCGAGTGCAACACCGGTGGCCCGCCCTGCTGTGGGACCCGGTGCACACTCTGCAGCTGCTGGCCCAGGTGCTAAGCCCCTTACTGCCCGGGACCGGCGGCACCAGCTGGCTGCTCCAAGTGCGGAGTCCGCTGAGCCCACACCCACCTGGAACTCGCGCTGGCCCACGAGCGTGGCGGGCAGCCCTGGTTCCTGCCCACGCCTCTCCCTCTACACCTCCCCATAAGCAGAGGGAGCCAGCTCTGGCCTTGGCCAGCCCAGAGAGGTGCTCCCACAGTGCAGCGGTGGGCTGAAGGGCTCCTCAAGCGCAGCCAGAGTGGGTGCTGAGGCCAAGGAGGTGCCGAGAGCGAGCGAGGGCTGCCAGCATGCTGTCACCTCTCAATTACATCTGTTGGGTCATATGGTCTTAATGGCAGGACACCTTTCACTGTACCTGGAACTGCTGTAGAATCTTCTCTTGCTTTGAGCACCACTGAAAACTGGCATCTTTCTGAATCACCTGATAAATGGCTCACAGCAATATCCCCAAGTGTGGTAAATGCTTTACAATTCAAACAGGTCCACCAAATACTGTACATCATTTTCAGAGCTGTGGCATACAAGGTGCAACAGCTTATTCTTTACTTAGGAGAGGATATCCTTACATGCCGCAGACTAGTAGGCATCTATCCTGCTCCTAGTAATAGTATGGTCTGGTCACTGTAGTCACAGATCTTCACAGGTCAAGACACCCAGGTTGCTACTTTGGCTTTGCTTTCTCTCACAATAATTTCATCCATCTTGCCTCTGTCTGTTAAGTAATGCCATATGACCTCTGTTATTGTGGAACCCCATTGTCCTTATTGAAACTATAAATCCAAGATCTGTGTCAGCATCTCCAACTGTTAACTCTATCTTGCAAAGCATAACACTCAGGAGCTCTATATAGAAGCTGCTGTTCTCCTCAGTGGTGTAGCTTCTGAGCTACCAGCTGACCCTATCACCTGAGTTTATCTTTATGCCCATCTAGGGGTGGTAAGAGACACACATTAAGATGCACATCCAGGCTGCTATAACAAAATGTCTTAGAATGAATATAAACAGATATTTATTTCACACAGTTCTGAAGGCAGGGAAGTGCAAGATCAAGGTGTCTGCAGATTCATTGTCTGATAAGGACTCTTTGCATCATAGATGGTGCCTCTAGCTGTGTCCTCACATGGCAGAAGGGAAAAACAAGCTCCCTCAAGCCTCTTATAATGTCATTAATCCCATTCATGAGGATAGAGCCCTCATCACCTAATCACTTCCAAAAGGCCCTCCTCTTAGTAGTATTGCATTGGAGATTAGTTTTCAACATATGAATTTTGGGAGATATAAACATTTAGACCATAGCAGGTATCATAAGCTTTTTGAATCTTCTATTAGAATCTTTTACTGAAATGCCTGCAAGCCACTGGGAACCAGTTGGGGATGGTAGCAGCATCCCAATTCTCCAATATGCCATAGTATGGCTTCCCTGTGCTCTGAAAATGTACAGTACTTTGGGAAATCTCCTGCTGTCAGAAATCTCCACATTAGAAACAAGTCAAGCCATCTACTCTTCTTGTCTCTTGGGATTAAATCCAAGAGGAATGAAGGTGACACTAGCTATTTACTGGATCTCATTCTCTCTTATTTTTCTAAGATTTTCTCCCTCTTCTTACCCAGCTCAGAGCTTATTTAGCTCACATTTTGGGCATGTGAGTGGAGGTATGGTAGCCATTACTAGTGTTCACTAATACTTAGTTCTGTTCTCCTTCTGGACGTATGACAGATGGAACTTTCCAGTCTCTATGCAGTTAGGCAGAACTGTTTGACTAGTTCTGGCCCATGGCCTGTGGTCAGATATGATGCATGTCACATTTGAGCTAAACTAATTGTATTAATCTGCTTGGGCTGCCATAACAAAATACCACAGACTGGGTGGCTTAAACAACAGACATTTTATTTTCTCATAGGTGTGGTGAAAAGTGCCAGCAAATTTAGTTTTTGGTAAAGACTTTTTTTCTTGGCTAGTAAACAGCCACCTTCTTGCTGTGTCCTCACATGGCCTTTCCTCTGAGCACGTGGAAAGAGAACAAGAGATCTGATGTCTCTTTCCTTTCTTATAAGGGTACCATTCCTATAAGATTAGTATTGCATCCTTATGTTTTATTTAACTGTAATTGTCACTGGTAAACTGAGTTTTTTCCCCACTTTGTAGTGGTCAAAAAGAAAGACCATGCAATTAGAAAAAGCAATACCGTTTTATTCCCTGGCCAGATAATGGAGAAAGGGAGCACTCATTCTAGATGCACCTTCTCCCCAAACAACAGAAGGCATATGGGGTTTTTAAGGATAAGGCGTGGGGCAGGAGAAGAATGTTAGCATGTGCAGGGTGGGACTCCAGATGCGTAAGCACGGTTCATAAACATGTCTTCATACATCACATGTACACAGAATGGAGGAGATTTTCTTTTAGGGAACAAAATTTTAGCATTATAATTGTATGTTAATGATATGAAGAAAATCAGGGATTGTGGTTCCAGTTTGCATTAGTTTCTCAGCATCTTATCTTCCTCTGGCATCTGGTCAGGGCTCAAGAAGCTCTGGTGCCATCCTGGGCCATGTGGTTTCTTTAAGCAGCTGTGCCTCTAGATAAAGGGACTAAAGAAAAACAGTAAGTAAAAGGAAATTTCCCGGTTATCTCAACAGGTCTTCCCTGCTAAAATAATTACCTCCCTGATAGTCGGTATCTCCAAATGTAGTTCATACAGGTCAATACTTGAAAGGACCTTAAAGAGCCAATGGGACCACGGGGAACTTGGCTGAGTAAGAAACAACATATATTAAGTTGTGGAAATTTGGGGGTTATTAGTGTAGCACAGCCTATCCTATCCTGACTAATACGGGGGGGAAATACCTGCTGGTATGTATTTGCTTCATAATTCTTTCTGTCTCATGATTATCAAAGGGTCCTTTAAATCTAGGAGATTTTACTTCCATCTTTCTGTATATGAGTGATCACAGGGAAACAAGACATACGTTTTGAAGTTTCAGTTAATCGTGTTGTCGTAAATTAATACTTCATATATCACCCTGAATTCCCATCTTTCCTTTTTCCTTGCAGGGGTTGGTTTAGTTTTCCAGTTATTTTAAAATAATTGGTAATATTTTGCATGTTCCTTCCCCCCCATCATCATATAGTTTTCATAAAGATCGTTTTATTGGCTCCACAAATATTTCAGTCTGAGAGATGAAAGTAAAATTTGCAGCCAACTGAAAGGACCATCTTTTGGCCAAGGGGACCCCAAAGTAACCTTGAGTTCTCAGCCACAAGGACAGGTGGTCAGACATGCCTTGTTATACGCCCTCGCTGGCTAACCACCATTAGCCTTTCTTTCCTAAGAAAGAGGCCGCTTCAGGACTCCACACTGGCATAAACCAACCACCTGACGCAGCCTCTCCTTTTTCATCTAATAATTGACCACAAACCACAGAGTTGTCCTGGCCAGTCTATGGAGAATGCACAGTAAAAGTTTTCATGTCTTCTGCTTCGTGTTTTTATGTCAGAGCCTGAAAACTCCACTCCTTGGATCATGCTAATGCTGCCGTTTTTTGTACATAGGATACATAAAGGGACATGAAGCTCAACTGCTCATGTACCTATTTCTCCTTTCATAAATATTCATGACTCCTCCTATAGCTTATTAAATACAGCCATTTGCCACCCTTCTCAGCATAAATTCCTGTTCCCTTTGCCCCTCCGTTTGTCCCTACAGTGTCTGTTTCTGGCTTCTGGCCGAAGGCTATGCTTGTCAGAATGGTGTGTCAGAATGGCCACCCAGCAGGCTGCAACTTTTTATGAGAAATAAAGCTCTCCTTTCCAAATTTATGAACCTCATTCATCTTCAGTTGATAAGTTCAAAGGCTGAGATGCTCTAATTTTAGAGACATTCAAGTTGTTATTTTGTGTATAATTTTGTTTGCTAATCAAAAGTCTTTATATCATTTATATCGAAAGCAATGCCTCTTCTGGGGTGAATTATCAGAGTTAAAAAATATACTTTTTAAAAATAAATGTGAAATGATAATGTTATGTTCAGATTTATTAAGCAATTATATCTTTAATATCTCAAATTACAGCATTTTGCACACTTTCTCTAGCATTGGCTCTAAGGTAGCTTTATTTGCTACTTTCATGTACACAGAACTTTCTCATAGAATGACTTGTGTTGAACAAATAACTAAAAGTTCCTACCCTAAGGACCTGGAGTCTGCAGGCAAGTCACCTAATACAAGAGAAAGAATAAAAGAGCAAGCATTGTATGTGGGTTGGGGTTATGATATCTGGAATGATCAGCAGGAGCAAAGCTATGCTTTCGTCCCAGTGACACACAATTGATGCAATGGTACAATGATTTACCATGTAAAATGAGACATTTAGCAACAAAACAGGCCACTAAGAAGCCACCTGTGAGTCATTACAGTAGGCATTTCCCTCTTAAAGATGGCCTTAACCTTGTAGCAAGGAGTGACAAAGAAATGGTTTACCCTTCAGGAGATCTTAGGCATTCAGGCATGACTTAGGCTAAGCTATTATTTAATGCTTTTATGTGGTACCTGAAGGGAACACAGGAGGACAGAGAAACAAATACAGTCAGCTTTCCGTCGCCACTGATGACAATACCATCTCCAGTTATTGCCCTCCAAGAGATCTCCAAAATTGTATTTCTGAAATGGTCATTTATTAAAAGCTTAAGTCTCTTCTGATAAATAAACTGGCATGTTCTGTCATACTCCTTACAGGGCCAAAGGAGGCTGTGTTTGTGCTCAATGTAAGAGCAAGGAAGGTGCGGGAAGATGAGGGGGATGAGGCGCAGGAGTACAGGGCTGTTATTCAGCTCGGTGAGTAATGAAATGGTAGGCTGGACGGCAACTTCATTATCTGTGGCGCTGTGGATCCATCCATCTGCAGGAAGTGAAAGCTCAGAGAGATAGCAGGAGGCATGTAGTGGGAAAGGGAGTGACATGGGATGGTTGAGTGGAAGGTCTTGGGAGGCAGAAAAATTTAAGTTCAAATTCTGGACTTAGCCATTGCTGAGAGTTTGGGGCAGTTTACTTAATTTCTCTAAATCTCATTTTTCTTATCAGTAAATTGGGAATAAGAATAATGTTCTACATAAGTTTTTTTTTATATATTCTATGAAATAATTCGGATGAAGTACTCAGCATAATGCCTGAAAATAATTACAGTAATAATAACAGCCATTCACTTCCGGGACCATCTGCTAAGTGCTTTATATATTATCATATAAAATCTTCCATTTCCAGTTGATATGGTTTGGCTCTGTGTACCCATCCAAATCTCATGTCGAATTGTAATCCCCACTTGCTGAAGGAGGGTCCTGGTGGGAGGTGATTGAATCATGGGGGTGGACATCCCCCTTGCTGTCCTCGTGATAGAGTTCTCACGAGATCTCGTTGTTTAAAAGTGTGAAGCGCTTCCCCCTTCACTTTCTCTCTCCTGCTCCGCCATGTGAAGATTGTTCTTGCTTCCCTTTTGCCTTCTGCCATGATCGTAAGTTTTCTGAGGCCTTCCCAGACATGCCTTCTGTATAGCCTGTGGGACTGTGAGTCGCTTAAACCTCTTTCATTCATAAATTACCCAGTCTTAGGTAGTTCTTTATAGCAGTGTGAGAACAGACTAATACACCAGCCTAGGAAATCTTTGCAAGATAGCACACCCTTTGTAGGGGAGAAAACCGAAGCAATATGAAGTTTGGTAACTTGTTCAGGGACACACAGGTAGTAAGTGGGGTACGCTAGATTCAAACCCAGTATAGTTAGTTACAAAACTAGCCTTTCTTATACTGTACCACACTGCAAATAGGCTGAATAAATATTCGATACAGTCAGGCAAGAAAGGCATTAGTTCAAGTGAGATATTGATAAAAATATCTTGCCTACAACCCCTGTGGTTGGAGGAGTGCAGAAAGATGCTTATTTTGTGTGTTGGCTACTTGAATGGATTACAGTCTGGCAGATGATTTGAGGAAGTATTAACTAATTAATAGTGGGTGTTTCAATGTATAAAGTCAGATGACAAAAATATTTACCCTCCTTCTCAAGTATGCCAAGATTAGTTGAGACAATACATACATGAATGACAAAATGCCAGATATCATGATATGGCTAATGATAACTATTGTGATAGATAGAGATTCTATCATTTCAACCAGTTTTTCTTTCTTTCTTTTTTTTTTTTTTTTTTTGAGATGGAGTCTCGCTCTGTCGCCCAGGCTGGAGTGCAGTGGCGCAATCTAGGCTCACTGCAAGCTCCGCCTCCCGGGTTCGCGCCACTCTCCTTCCTTCTCCTGCCTCAGCCTCCCGAGTAGCTGGGACTACAGGTGCCCTCCACAACGCCCGGCTAATTTTTTGTATTTTTAGTAGAGACAGGGTTTCACCATGTTAGCCAGGATGGTCTTGATCTCCTGACCTTGTAATCTGCCCGCCTCAGCCTCCCAAAGTGCTGGGATTACAGACATGAGCCACCAGGCCCGGCCAATTTCAACCAGTTTTTCTAAAATCAGATGTACTGAGCCACTTTAGTCCTTTAGGGCCTATGTGGTAACATCAGACAACTGGATAAAATATTTTATATGAGGGTTATTTGCCTCTAAATGCCAACCGTCTAAGGTGGTGGTATAATCATTACTTAGAAACTAAGGGATTGTCATGCTAGTTATGATGCTGCTCAGAGGCTGAGGGGCATACAGGCAAGAGTTAGTTAACATGATTTCTAGGCATGGCTCTGCTATTCATTAGTTGTGTTCACAGTCATCAATAAGTTATTTATTGGATACAGGATCTAAACTTAACAAAACCCAGTCCTTGCACCAAAGCTAATAGAAAAAGAAGAAAAATTCATAAGCAAATAACAAAAGCTCTAGCTATGAAAGAGTGTGGTCTATTTCGATTTACAAGGATAAGGTGAATTACGTATCTGGGAAACAATAAAAAGATTTTAATGGCACCATTCACTTTCACACACATTTTGAAGTGTCTGTGTGTGTGTGTGTGTGTGTGTGCATTATATTCTTAGGTAATGGGTAGGAAAAAAAGGAGAGCTATGCCTGCCCTCAAAGACTTCATAGAGGAGAATCATGTATTTAAAAAGATAAATTGCCATAGAGTGGTTTGGATGAAATAATAGAACCTTAGAGATTAGATTGAGAAGGAGACTTATTGGTCAGAATATTATATTAGTGGAGTTGTGAACCAAAGAAATTAACTGTGGATAACTTAAGCAGAAAAAGAAGTTACTGAGTCTACATTAGGTAACTCACTGAATTACCTAGAAGGTAGAAAAATCAGGTTGGCAAAATATGCAGAAGTAAATGAAAGGTAGATACCCAAAATTAAATCTTGCCAATGAATCAGTCTGCAGAGGATGCCTTTGCTATTACCATTGGATATCAGTGCACCATCTTGAACCCTCCCTACTACTGGCACTGAATGCTTCTCATAACCCACTCTGGACTCAATGCCTTTGACAGGTACATTTTTTTTTTTTTTTGAGACGGAGTCTTGCTCTGTCGCCCAGGCTGGAGTGCAGTGGTGTGATCTCGGCTCACTGCAACTTCTGCCTCCCAGGTTCAAGCGATTCTCCTGCCTCAGACTCCTGAGTAGTTGGGACCACAGGCGTGTGCCACCATGCCCAGCTAATTTTTATATCCTTAGTAGAGACAGGGTTTCACCATGTTGGCTAGGCTGGTCTTGAACTTCTGACCTAAGGTGATCCACCTGCCTTGGCCTCCCAAAGTGCTGGGATTACAGGCGTGAACCACTGTGCCTGGCCAACAGGTACATCTTTTTCATAAAAGGTAGGTCCATGTTTTCTCCATCGTTACGAAGTAGGCTGGGAAAGTATGTCTTTGTCAGTTTCTATAAATGGAGCAGGTTCTATTTCCTACTAATATTTATTGTCAATCAATTCTACAAAGGTAGAAAGGATCTTCTGAAATTGGCCAGCCAAAAATACATGTTGCATATAATAAAAGGTCATATGTTCATCTTTGCTGGTTTTCCTGCAACTATTAGTAAATAGATGTTTTATTATTCCATGTTTATGGAAAAATATATGTAAAGCTGCCATTACATTCTATACTAATTGATCAAAAGGAAATCCTCTGTGTTTGTGCTTCCATAGATGTGCATTTGTTCCCTATTTCTTCCTAAGCCAAGGATAAGACACTCACACAAGCTCCTGACTCAAAACATGGCTCTGTACCAAAGAACTAATAAGCACAGGCAGGGTCCTTTTGTTTGTTTTCTTTTTTTCTTCTTCTTCATTTTTTTTTTTGAATAATTGCTTTCCCTATTTCTTTCTTACCAATTCAGCCAACACACTTTATCTCAAGGAAATTACATTTGCTCACATAGGTGTGTGAATAAGCAGAATGACAGGAGTTTGTTTCAGCCGGAATTAGATGGATATTGCAATTACTTGGGGAGAGAACGTTTCCCTAAATTCAGCGACGAATCCTTCTCAGATCAAAACAAGGATTACTTGAAAGATGGCTTTTGTGCCTTAATACATATTGTGTTTTGGGAGCATATAACTACTTCTTACTCTGTGGTAAAATATTTTTTTGGTTTTGGGAAAAACAAATACATCTTCACAATGATAGTGAGAACAGAAAGGCTGAGTTTTCTGGTCAAAGAAAGGGGATTAGAAGCTTTTCTAGTGATGTGATCCAGACTGAAAAGGGAATGTTGTGGATGTTTTTGTGGCTTGAAAGAATATTCAACCAAGAGCCTTCATTTAGGATTATAACTAGAGCCTCCTTTCCTGACCATGTTCTGCCAGGCTCTCAGGTACTGTTTCTTTGGACTTCTCTTGACATCCCATACTTCACTTTGCTCTACAAGCTATCTCAGTTTTTAGTTTGCTTATCTAATGGTTAATAAACTTCTTGAGGCCAAAGAATGTGTACTTTCTGTCTAGAACTCTTAGTTCTTATTGTAGCTCTAGCATCTAGTTAAGTCAGAAGCCAGAACATTGAAGGGATGAATGACTTGAACACCGAGAGCTCAATGATATCATGGAATTAAAGTCAATATTTCTTTTTTATTTATATTTTAGAATCTATACAGCAGTCCTCCCTTATCTGTGGTTTCGCTTTCTGAAGTTTCAGTTTCCCGTAGTCAATCGAAGTCCAAAAAATGTTAAATGGGAAATTCCAGAAATAAACAATTCATAAGTTTTAAATGGCTCACTATTCTGAATAATGCATTGAAATCTTGTGCTGTCACACTCCATCCTGCCTGGGCGTAACTCATCCCTTTGGCCAACATATCTATGCTCTTGTATATGTTACCTCCCTGCTAGTCACTCAGTAACCATCTCTTATCTGATCGACTGTCTCAGTATTGTAGTGCTTGTGGTCAAGTAATTCTTATTTTACTTAATAATGGTCCCAAAGTTCAAGAGTAGAAATTCTGGCATATTGTTATAAAGTACTATTTTATTATTATTGTTAATCTCTTACTGTGGCTAATTTATAAATTATACCTTATCATAGGTTACATATAGGACAAAACATAGTATATACAGGGTTCAATAGCATCTGAGGTTTCAAGAATCCACTGGAAGTCTTGGAAGGTATCTTCCTCAGATAAGTGGGGACTATGGGATGGATGTTGAAAAATGGATTTTGAGGTTTTTTTTCATTACTTGCTTGCTTATATAATTTTTTTCAAGAATTTCTACAGAGTGTATATATATATAATTTTAATAATTAGAAATAAATGCAAAAATAAAAAATGTACTTTTTAAAAATGTAAACAATACCTTTTAAAAAAGAAACATTGAGATTTTTAAAAGCAAAAATTTAAAATTCCTTAAGGATTTCAGTTTTGGAATAAGATTCTCCCCCAACCTCCTCCACCGTCAAATCGTAACATAGTTGTATTCACATGAAAGGAAGGCAGAATGAGCATGCTGGAAATATGGTGTAATACTAACAAACGACATGAGAAAGAGAGAAATCTTTATTTTTATTTTTTGTTTGACATTTTTTTCCCAACTGGAAAGTAGAATAAAGGTTAATAAGAATATATGGAAGGCCAGGAAAGGAAAGGCCACGTTAAGAAGATACCTACGTATGTCAAATGATTTCTAATATCAAGCCCAGATAAATTGCACTCTGGAGAGGAGACAAACTTCAAGAGCAGAGATGACAAAGTAAGCATAAGCTTCTAGAAAAGCTTATACTAGGCCATTTACAAAAAGAGAGGGAGAGAGAAATGGATTACGAATGTGACAGATTTGTAAATTTGACAACAATTTCTGGGCAAAATAAGTCAGGAAACACATGGTTTTGAGTTCACAGAAAAAGGGCAACCACTAAATTTCAGAATGTATTTTAAAAGGATGGGAATGAAAGTTACTCTTGATTCCTTTTTTGGGGTAGGATTCTAGACTTCTGGATTAGGTGATTTAAAAAGCAAAAGCAAAGTCTTTTCAAATTTGAGCAAGTCATGGAACAGTTTTTACTGATTTGTTGCTGACAAATTGGAGAGCTGTGAATAAAGAATGTAGGTCATGAGATTTTACCCAGAAAGTGGCATATGAATGCCCAGCCTCACAGTCCTGTATTTGTCCCTGTCCCTTTTAAAATGCTGCACAACAACTTGGATGTGGGCTGAAAAGTTACACAAATGCTTTGAAATGGAGGATCACATAATAAATATGGAATTCAAGACAAATTTAAACTGGTTGGAACAAACAGCTAAAACCAAGACGACTTTAACATAGACAAATTCAAATTCAATTGTTTAGGTTAAAAAAAACAACAGAAATAGGAAGACTACTCTGAACCCATCTTAATATAAATATGAGCAAATTTTTATACAAAGCAAATCTCTTTACAAGCCAACAGAGTGATGTAGCGATTAAAACATTCTGATATCCTTTTGGATTGCATTAATAGTGTGTTAATGTCAGGTCCACAGGAGCCGATGTTCCTACCCTATATTGTTTTTCTCAGTTCACACCAGAGTGTGGTATTGAGCAGATGTTCACTGATTCAAGAAAAGGGTGACTGGAGAATTTACATACAACTAACAGAAATCTCTGATGGTACTGGGCATATTTGTCTTAAGGGAGAAAGATTTTAGGGACACCCTGATAATAATCTTTCTATATTTAAAAGGCTTTTATGTAGAAAAGAGAATAATTTTGTATTGTTCCAACAGGTAATAGAAATTGTTACAAGAATGGGGAATTCAATTCAGCATGAAGAACTTTTTAACTATTAGAACTGTGTGAAATTAGAGTAGAAAGCCTTAGGAGGCAATGAACACCTGTGATTTTGAATATTCAGGTGTGTAACTGACAATGCTCTAGGTAGGTATTTTTACATGGTGGTAATATTGAGTTGAATTAGGCAATCTAATGACTTCTAAGCCTAAGGTGTTATGAGCTTATAGGTTCTGTTTGTCTTTACTTTTTAACTCCAAAGGCAAACTTTTAATATCTTAAAATCACCCTTCTTATATTATAAGATGTCTGGGTGAAGATAGTAAACAAAACTATTTAGGGAAGTCTAAATGTATTTGGCTTGCTATTCTTTGACAAATCTTAGCTGAAATTGACATTAACCATGACATATATATGTTATCATGCTCTATCTCTATTTATGATTGTTGCTTTGCACTGCTGTCATTCTTCAGAAGTTTCTTTCTTTTGACTTTCCTTAGAATTAGCTTTAGCGATGAATGAAACTTCAAATTTGTACAGTTTAATATGCTTTTAAATAACTAGAGTAAGACTTTTATATTCTCATTTTAGGTATTATGCAGACTGTAAATGCAAATTTTTACAGCCTAGGTGTGTAGGCAATGGGCAAGTTTACAATCTGCATTAATACTATAATTTCAGCTACATTTATTAACACCTACCCTTTGTGGGACAGACTTATGATCACTTCATGTGCTTTATCTCATTTAATCTTTACAAAAATCCTCTCATATAGATAACACTCTCATGTTATCAAAGCTTTAGAGAATTTAAGTTATTTATCCATAGTGATTCAGAGCAAAAGCTTTATAGCACTGTACCTCATATTACTAGAGAGTAGAAAGATTTATTTTGAATATACAAGAATCTGCCATTCCATTCCACTTTTTCCCTTTTCCAACCCAGAATCAGATACCTTGAAAATTCCCTTTTATACTTTTCTTTTTTCCCCTACCAGCTACACATAAAAAACAAAACAAAACAAAAAAGGAAAACAAAAAATAAATTTCTGTAATCATTTCTTCTACCCATCCTATTAACAAGTTTTAGTCCTAAACATTTAGGACTGCTTCCAAAAGTTAAGTGGTTTTTTTTTTTTTTAATGTTCTACTTAGTTGAGGCTAAACTGTGCCATGTCCCAAACCATCATCCTTACAGTGTTCTTAAAATGTCTCCAAGTCTCACTTAAAACAATCAATCAACTGGGACCATTCATTGGAGTCCACAGTGGGTAGATCCCTGACCTAGTTCCCATGGAGAGTAACCAAAGAAAAGGAAGACTGCCAGCTCACTGAAACACAAAGAGACATAAGAACACATTCAGAGGGATACATGGAGCAGGGATGAATTAATCGAACGTTAGGGGGTCAACCAGCTTATCTGTTGTATTTCTATAGGACATTGACTACCATAGCTGAGTGTATTATTAAAACTTTTTCAATGCAAATATTATAAAAGGCATTCTGCAGTGAGAGCAGATTCCCTGACTTTGTATTCATCCTGTCCATGCAGGATTAGTCATTGATTTCAGCAACAAGGAGCACATACAGTATCTTTACCTGCTGCTGATTGCCTCACTTTCGTTCACCGCACAGACCATAGGAGGCAGCGACGTCACATAGTGGGATATGTTAATCCAACCAAGTCTCTAAATACACAGCCAAGCTTATTGAGACAGAGCTGTGACGTTCCTGGAACAATTTTTTAATCCTGTTTTGTTTATATGAGTGAATTTGCTTTCCTCGTGGATAAATCCTTTGAGAGCAACTCTCATTGGATGCCCTATTGGAAAGGGGCCAGCTTTGGTATCTAAATCCTTAGTTCTTTATTAGTTTGGGAACCATAAAAAATACTTTAGACAATGAAAACTTCTCTCTTTTTCCTCTCCATCTCTCTCCCTGCTTTTCTCCTTCAAGTATATGCACAATCATACTATTCCTCAATTAAAATGGAGTTTGGCGTAAATAAATAACTTCTAAAATCATAGAATGGGAAAAGTCCTCTCTATCCTAGAATTCTAGGGAGAATAATTATAAAAAAAATACTTTAGTACATGAGTACTCTGAATTTCAACTGAAATGTCTTTAGCTAGAAGTCCCATGCATGTTCAGAGAGACGATTATCTGCTTGGATATAGGGCTTGGCAGAAATCACTTTTCAGTTCAGACATGGGATGGCGACAGAGTCTCATTAGGCTAATTTTATTTACAGGGCAGCCTGGTTTCCTGTGCTGTGAGCTGGGTGCTTATTCAGCTGCCTTGGCTTCGGTGGGCTTGCCGCACAGCGTATTTTTGTTTCCGAACTATTTTGGCCCTGGAAGGATGTCTGGCCTCGTTTCACTTTCGGAACTCTGATGAAAGCCACAGAAGTTTCCAGGGAGCCTGAGCAGGCTACTTGTGGGGCCCTTCCTCCTACAGCGTAAATGGCTACTGGAGGGTGACTTATGATCTGGGAAGAGCCCCTGTATCTGGAGACTTTCACCTTTGCAGAGGAAAGAAATTCTCGCTATAGGTGGCATTGACCTCCCTGTTCTGCATCTTCAAGGCAGGACTTAAATCCCGGAGGGCCTTCGATCTGCTACTTTACTTATTAGTATGGGTAGATGTGGGGTCTTATTATACCCTCCTCTGCCAACGCAGGATACTGCGTGTTAGTACTTATTACAGAGGGTGTGAGAAAAACGGAACAAGAATCTCAATTTGACTTTGAGGGTGCTATTATTGTTTTTGCTCCACGTGTTCATTCAAATACTAATATACTCACACATTAACAGGGTACCTACACACATATTCTCTCATGTATGCATCACAACACATGGCTGAAGGAGGGAGAGATGGTGATGATATATGCCTATTTTAAAGAAGGCTCAGAGGGGCCAAGTAATTTATGCAGGTCACACAGCTCAGAGTGCTAGAGCTGGAGTTTAAACAGAAGTCTGACAAATGATCATTGATTACCTTTTTTGTGACTCAGAGAAATGGTCTTAGCCAAAATTAATATGTTTGTTATGTTAATCTTCAGAAATTATTAGTCACAATAAACATTGTTCACATTTTGAAAACAATTATAGAATCGCATTTGCTCAGATCACAAGATGATACTGATAATTGCCGAGAAATCAAATCATAACTAAATTTAAGTTTACATGTTAACAAGGAAAATTAAACATCCTTTCAAAATGTTTGCAGCAGATAAAGTTATATTTTATGTTAGGTGTAGCTGCATTGAATATGCTGTAAATGAAAGGGATTGAGTTCTGCTAACATAAAAGTCGGGGGGCTTACAAGCGTTGGTTGGTTCTGAAAGCTGATGCATTTTCACTTTAGGACTGTGCAAATGTACTTATTTATGCATATATAGCCATGAAGTGTAACCAGGGCTAGTCCCAAACTAACTCAGACCATCAGCTCCCTTTACCAAGCCCATGCTATCTCTGAGTGTATTAAGGGCTTTGCTTATGTTATGTTGTAATTACTCATCACTAACAAATAGCTTGTAAGGTACCATTTGCCTGATGAAGACATGCAGAACCAGAAAGTAAGACATTATTTTAGAAACAGAGAAATGACTTGGAGCGTAGGCCTAACTCAAAAGCCCATGCTTGTCACCTAAATCTCCCAGAGATAGAGCCCCAGGCATTTAGCAAGATCTCTTGCTCCTAAAAGCTGCCTCCATGTGCCTTCCAACCCTAGAGCTTCTTAAGTATTGCAATTACCGGGAAGTAAGGGAGATCAGAA
Organism: Homo sapiens; assembly: GCF_000001405.40. Classification (NCBI taxonomy): domain Eukaryota; kingdom Metazoa; phylum Chordata; class Mammalia; order Primates; family Hominidae; genus Homo; species Homo sapiens. Next base: position 28,918,383 of record NC_000003.12, read on the forward strand.
CCTTCTACTCTCATTCCACATTCCTAAAGTTGACAAACTCAGATTGCAATTGAAATGTATTTGAAATGTCAGATGTTTAAATTTGTTTTAGTGCAAGTTTGATGAAATAAGAACTTTAAACAATTATATATATCTTTCAGGACAGAAAATAGAAAAGAAAAAGAAAGTATTTGCTTCAGTGGCTTGCTAAAGGCTTCTCTTATCTTGAAAGACCTGGGTAATTGCCTCAATTTTCCACTTCTCTTTTCATGTCCAGATAGGGCCTCATTTTTTTTGAGAGTTTTTTCTACCAACTGGTTCCACTATATTTGAAGTTTTCAATTGTCTCAAGTAGAATGTAATAAGGTCTTTTTCTTAGGTACCTCTTGTAAAAGTATTTTAGAAGATTATTAGAATATGTATACTTGAGTTGGCAGTGTTAGCAAATATTCACATCCCTTCAATGGCAGTAGCTTTGTGGGATGATAGAAATTGTGCAGTAAGTTGGGACTATAATCAGCCATTAACATTAAACATCAGGTATAAATGTCATTCTTCTGTTTCACCTCCACCTCTAAAAAAAAAAAAAATTACGTTGCATTTTGAACTAAATCCTTCCCAACTGTGAGTTTAAAATGTTAATGATCTAAAATTTTCTTAGATACTCAAAATGAAGTTTTTATTTTTCTAGATTTTTAAGGTTGAAAAATCAAAACAAGATATTTTAGAATCAATTTCTTCAGCAGCTGAAATTGTTTTTTGTAACATTTTGCTCAAAAACAATTTCCGTAGTAGAATCATCAACCAGAAAATCAGGACCGATATGGAAAATGCTATAGCCAGATGGGGACTACAGTTGGGTAGCAAAGTGTTTGGAATATAAAGAAGAAATAGTCTGTAAATTTCATAATGGGGAAATTGGATGAGAAGTTCAAATTTATCATCTCAACTTTGTGATTGATCCAAAGGCAACTCTTGGCACTTGAATCCTACTTGGTCTTCTTTGTGCAACTAGATTTCCTGACTTAAGGGAACCCAGTTGGTAGATGGGAAAAGTTACAGTTATAGTCATGGTTCAAATGTGCTACTAAGTTTACCTAACTTCTAATTACTGTCTTAAATTACCTCAGCAGGTTCAGTACTTAGAAATGTGCTTTTATGTGGAGATTATCTTAACATCTAGAAAATAATGAAATACTATATTATATCCTTATATGAATAATATATTCAAATATTCATTTATATTTGATGCCCACAGATTTTTAGCTTATAGCACTCCAACAAAGAGCCAAGAAAATAAGCCTTTTTCTTAGAGTCCAGAGGCAGCGAGTGAACCTTTGTAAAATTGGTGAAAAGTACTCCTGTATCTTTTTCTCATTATTCAAAAAGTCATAAGCAAGATTTGAAAATGTAATATGGGGGGCGGTGAGCAGAACAGTTTGTGTCCTGCCTTCAGAGGTAGTAACTGGTTTTTGGTGAGTCCTGAAGTTCACCAGTGAGAAGGTAGTGATTAAATAACTACTTGTCTTCTAAATGCAAAACTGAGGTCTTATCTAGGAAACCAGATGAAGATATGGTGGGTCTGTCTTGCCCTCTCATTTATTTGGCATTGGTTGTCTATCCATCAATCCATTCATTCAATCATTTGACAATTGAGTGCTTATTTTATTCCAGGCATAGTGTTAATTGCTGGGGACAAAACAGTGAACAAGATTGAAGAAGTTCTGTTCTCCATGGAGCAAAATGGGCAGTTGCAATAAAGTATGCCAAGCCCATGGTAAAATTATGTAAAGTGATGAGGGTGGATGTAGCAAGAACACCTAATTCAGACGTGGGACAGGGGTAGGGGGGTTATGAGGCTTCCCTGAGCAAGTGATGTTCATCCTGAAACATGTAGAGCTGGCCAGGAAAAAGGAGATGTGCTCATTAAGATGGGGTTTTGTCTTCCTTCACATATTTTTCTAAAACACAAGATGCAGAGAAAAGAAGAGTGCTCCAGAAGAACCATCCTCTGAGAGGTTTAGCTTATCTCCACCAGGAGATAAACTGCCACCCAAGGACATTTATTTTTATGTGGATATGAACATTGGGACTTACCAGTTGAATCCACACAGACTTACTGTTAAGTTTACAGCTATCTTTAATTGTGACTATTTCTACTGGGGGATATTCAACTAATCCAGCTTTGATTGGATTGACTCAGTGAGAATTGAACTGAGAGTGGTGTCAGCAAAGGATGATGTCACCTTAATTATTAGCCTTGTGTTCAGGACAGTAAGAATTTATTCATTCTGATCTGCATGGTCCTGAAGTCACCGAAAAGTCAGGGCTTCTAAAAGTTTAATGGAATCCTTAGAATAGAATGTTAAAGTTTCTTTGTACTTGTCATTGGTTGACACTTTTAAAATATGTTCTAAAGTGTTTAGGCTCAGTTGGATTGGGAAGTTGAGATGGAATCATAAATTCTGCAAATGTCTACTTTTTTTATCTTTGCATGAAAACGCGATAAAAAGTATTACATAGTAGTAAAGAAATCAGCATGAAAAGCAGATTATGTTATATTTTTGAATTTGTAATTTTCTATCACCTAAGAAATTGTGTGAATTCCTATTTTGTATTTGTATTCACTTATTCAGGTTTTCCATTATGTTAGGTGAGAGACTATATTCAGTAAGTTCCAATCTTCTGCTCAAAAAAGCTGAACAACTCACAGAACTTTCTGGATTGAATATCTCATCAGCTTTTCAGCCACACAGAAGGAAAGGAAACAAGTGCTTATTGAAATTGTTCATCGTGAAAAAATAATTGCTTAAAAGGCCCATAGCAAAATCCTAGAAATATTGTTGAATACGTTGTGAATAATGGTAGACGTTATAACTAGGGCCAAAATTTAACCTGCTTTTTCAGTAATAGTTTATATAAAATGTTACTAAGTGGTTTCATGAAAAATATATTTGCTGTGGTCCAACCTAAAAATATATATATTAAGCCCCCACTCTGCTCACAGCACTGCAACTTTCACTGTTATTATTCCACCTTTCTGGGTCATTGAGAGCTTGACATCTTCAGGTGAGGTCATCTCTTCATTTGGTGTGGCGCTGGCATTTCTCTATCAGAATTTTATTTTTTTCTTATAACATTTTCCCCAGTTTTTTAACATTCCATCAAAAAATATATAAAGTTATCACAGAAAATCAGGAAAATAAGTTATCTGTATTTGCATTATATAGTTATAACAATTGTTGTTACACTTTGCTGTTTTGTTCTCTTTTCACTCATTTTTTTCTATCTCTGAATTAGAATTCAAATACATAGGTTAGGTAATAATCTGATTTGTAAATGACCTCCATATCCTGAGCATTTTCAGATTAATTGCATATTTGGGGGGGTATATAATTTTCAGATTTTTAGCTGAATAATGTTCACCATATGAATGAAGTTATTTAGGCTATCCTATATTGTTAATATTAATTAATGTAGAGACTAAGCAGCTGTAATAAAGAGAATTGAGCATTAGTTACCCAGATGTGATAGAAGTTTATTTCTCTCCCTTGATATAGCACAAAGGTTAGCAGGAGGCCTGGCTCTGATGGGTAGCACCGCTCTGGAAAGTCACCTACAAATCCAGATTTCTTTATTTTCTCTCTTCCATCTCCAAGGAGGTTGCCCTTTTCTGTGCAGTTGGAATCATTTCATGAGCACCATGTCCTTGTCTTTTATGTGGTAGGCAAGCTGCTGCCTTATAAAAATGTCATCTGATGAAACCTGGGAAGGATAGTGGGGGTGGTGTTATAAGATGAAGAAGGAGAAATTGGAAAGTGCTGAGCAATTAATATCAGCCATGGCATCTAGATATTTCCCCCAATTTTTTATTATTAATGTCACATAGAATTCCTTTTACATGTACATGTACATGTTTGATAACTGACTTGGGATAAATATGCAATATTAGGTAAAAATGTAATATACCTTTATATTATCTATATTCTCTGATTGCTTTTCAGAAAGGTTCCATGCTAATTATTATGGTTTATTTTAATCTCTGGTAATTCTTTAGTTTAAAATGACATTTTATCATGGTATCCATTTGCATTTCTTTCATTACTAGCACATGTAAGTATTTTTGAGGATTATCAAACATTCGTATGTATTTTGTGACTTGCCTATTGACATTCTTGACCATTTTTTCTAAGAATTTTTTTTTGCTGATTTGTCAAATTTGAATTGCCCTTTGTCATACATATAGCATATACTTTCTTAGTTTATCATTTTTCTTGTAATTATTTGTGCGTTTTAAAACATACTTTTTGTATAGTTGGATTGTTTCTATTTTCCTTGATGTCATGTTTTGCTTTCTTTTTTGCTTAGACTTATGCAAACGAATTGAGATAAATAATTGCCATTTTTCTTTTTAATTGTTATTTTGCTTTTTTCCTACAGCTATGTTTTAACTTGCCATGTGAGTGAGAACCAAAAAATATTTCTCTCTTTTTTGTTTTTCACTGAATTTAGTCAGCAATTTTTTATGGGTTGTTGGGTACACGCCAGGCATTCTTCTAAGTAGATATTGTAGACCTAAAACCTATGCTTGTACATCCAGTATAGTCACTGATGAATCCTATCTTTTTCTTAATGTGTGAAGTATCATTTTTCAAATGTATAAATCCTTATATAATTGTCTCTTGGTAGCCACAGGAGATTGCTTCCAGGACCTTCTCCAAGTATACCAAAATCCATGCATACTCAAGTCCCTCAGTTGGCCCTGTGGAACCCACATATGTACATACAAAAAGTCAACCCTCCATAAATGCAAGTTTTGCATTCCATGAGTACTATATTTCTATCTGTTTGGTTGAAAAAAATCCACGTATAAGTAGACCTGTGCAATTCAAGCTCATGTTATTTAAGGATCAAGTGAATATTTTAGACCTGGTTTTGACTTTCTCTTCTCTCGCGTTCTGTTATTTTTTACTCCAGTATCAGTTTTAATTAGGGTCGGGGGTAATATGTTATAGTTAACACAAAAGCAAACAAAACTTAAGACTCAATGAAAAAATCTCACCTAAATTCCTGGTATGCTAGTGATAAAGGTAATATTATTTTGTTATATAATTCAGAGGAAGCTGTTAGAAAGCAAGGCAAAATAAGAAAGCAGGTATTATTATTTTGTTTTAAGTACACTTCAGTACTCAATTATTAGAATAGCCTTTTTAAAATTGAAATAATTAGGTTTTGCAATGTACTTTGCCCTATCTTCAAAATATGATAGGACCCCAGCTAATGAGGTATAACAAAAAATTTAATGTGATTTGTTGAGTGAAATATTTAAGTTAAGGTTGGTATAGTTAGGTGTGGCACAGTGAAAGGCACTCAGCCTGGAGTGTCAAAAGGATTAAGTTTGTTATACACAGATCCCAGAGAAGAGGGCAACATGCCTCACAGGACCAATCAGAAAGAGGGAGGTGTCCAGTATATGTGCACTCGATTATTAGGTAGAGAGCAAGAGGGAGGGACTTTTGGGCTGAAGCCTTTATTGGAGTCCAGGGCATTACCTGGGTGGGTTTCTGGCAACAGGCTTGAACTGGTTAACCTGAAGTCTTAATTTGAGGCTAAGCAAAGAACTAGGGTATTACTTTACCATGTTTACCAGGTTTAAGGCAAAAGGCAAAAAGTAAAGTGATCAAGAGGTTCAGGGTATGCGGCCTTGTCTATCTAGAACAGAAAAATGGGAACTGGATAGAATACTGCCTCTAAATGTAGGTCTAAGAAAACAAGCCAGGGACAGGACAAAGTGATAGAAGCTGAAGCAGTATTAATATGAATCATAATCAGAATTATGACAAATAATAATAGTTTATGAGCAGTAATCTCAGTACTTGGGACAACTGCTATTGCTCACAAATATTCTTGTCTGCTTTCGTTGTCAAATATTTTTATACTGTTGAGTTGCTACATGAGTAAGTTTTGATGCATTACATATATGTATTATTAAATATTTACCCTCATTAGTTGGTAATTATGGCTTTATTCTAGTGCTTTACGTAGTTATTGTTTTCCGTGTTCTTAGACTATATACATATATTACATAGACTGCCTGTTTATTAATACATACTTGCCTGTTAAAAATTAAGGCTTGGTACATAATTTTAATATCGTAATTATACTTGTTGCCAAGGTATTTGAGTGCATCTCTTATTTGTCCAAGTATTTCAATTTGTTGTCAATTTTATCTACTATCATCAGTGTCTGTATTCTGTGTTATTATACTACATTGTAGTCATATTTTCAACCAAATACTGCAAAATCTAAAGATCTTAAAGAAATGAAATACTAGCAATTAGTTTGAGCTACATAATCTTGGATAGGTAGATATTGTGTGACTCTTCTTTCTGCCACATTTGTATCTACACATTAGATTTTCTGATGGTTAATTCTCTAGCTTTCAAAATATTAGTAATTTAAAGGCAATAATTTTTATAACCTAAACCATATAGGTTAGATCTGAACCACAGATTTATCAATGGAACCCATTTCTCTGTTTGGTGGTATGTGAGTAATTCAACTGAATCATATTTATGTCTCACTTTATACCATCACTGTGTCATGTATTTGTCATTTTGGGTGACATGCCAGGAAATGTTTTCTATTCACTCGTTACATTTTAAAAACTTTTAAAAAAATTGTGATTTGCCATTAGCAATTACAGATGACTATGGCAAAACCAGATCCCAATCACACAATCTTAACACAGTTTCAATATTGTATCAGGTTTTTACAGTAATCCTGTGAAAAAGTGGAAATCCATCACAATGTTTTGTAATTTGAAGACACTGGGAGGGTCAGAGATGCTGAGTCACAGCCAAAGTGGCACTGCTGTCCATGTCAAACACATTCTTGAATTCTAGCCTCTGATTGCAAGTTCAGGATTCTTTTCAGTGTATATAATAAAAAGATAAAAATTTAAAAATAAACACTTTATAATAGATTGTTGACTGACTTAATCTTATGGAGTATTATCAAAAATACTCATTTGAATTGATAACATTTCATAATTATATGCTTTACTTAGTAAATGAAATTGGTTACAATAAAATATGAAAATATGTTGTTTTTGTATTGAACATTGGCATGCCTTTAGGGTTTGTTTTACTTTTACTCTACTTTTGAGTTTATAATTTTAATCTATTACAAGTAAAACACATTTGTCTAATCATTTTTGTTGATTATGTTAAATTCTTTTATTTAAAATTACTAACAATGATTATTAATTTAAGATGAGTTCATGTGGAAAATTTAGAAATACATTAAAGAAAATACATGATAGGTAATCCCAACATCTGGAGATGACAAATATTGAAGGGTGTGTGTGTGTGTGTGTGTGTGTGTGTGTGTGTGTGTGTGTGTATACACACATATATTCACTCACATCCTTACAGGAAAATGTATATAAATGGTTTTTTTTTAAAAAAAAAATTGAGAGTGTAGTCTTTATTTAGATTATACTCTTATATAGTATGTTAACACTATTTCCCATATTCTTTGATAGCATGATTTTAAAATTTGTATTGTATCAATTTAAAGAAACGATATCCATTCCTTCACCTCTATTTTCATTGACCTGCTCTGACTACCTTCTTCCTATTTCTGTAGTAGTGTGGGAATTATACACTTTATTTTTATTCCTGTGTAGGGATTTCCTTAATGTTGTATTTTTGATTATTTTTCCTAAGCATATAAGAAACACCTTATTTTAAAAATTATTATCTACAATTATTATTATAATAGGAAAGAAAAATTAACCTTCAATGAAGAAAAATTTTGGTTAATGCTATAGACTTTGTCTCACTAAACAAAATAAAGTGGTGATAATAATAATAGTAGGCCTTTTAAGGCCACAGACATCAGTGAGAAATACTATGGTGGAATAACTTTAGAAGACAGATTGCCAAAGAATGGGCCCTGCTGCTGAATAAAACCTGGTGACCCTATGTAAGTTTTAAGCCTGGGGCATGTAATGGAACACCTGTGATGCTTCAAGGATGTTTTGAGAACAGACCTCATCTTGTGGTTTCCCAGAAATAGGCATTTTGGGGTAGCCAAAAATCATGGTCTAAGAACATTACTAATACTACACCTACCACCCTGCAAATCTCATAATGAAGAATTTAGGTCCATGAGAATTTCTGGCCAGGTGTCTAAAGATGGGAGATTAGGTGGTACTGCTTCTCCCATCTATTCTGGCCATACACAATACATAAGACTTTGTCCTTCTTCAAGTATTTGGCCTTGAATGTTCGGTTTAATTGTCTTTCATGAGTAAGTTAAGGAAGATTGTGGGAACATTTTTCTTTTGGCTTGTAACTCCCGAACAACCTCCAAGTCCAGAAAACCCTCGTGATCATCTTTAAATTAAATAAATAACGATTTGAATTTAAATCAATAATAAAGAAAAAGAAATACATTGGTGTCTCTATTATAAGATGGTAAATTGTGAAAGTTTTTCCATCATTTCTTCCTGGAGGAGAATATGGGATAGGATAAACTCCAGATATTGTTTAGAATAATCTGCAGCTTTCGAAGTAGGCTATTACTATTGACTTGTTTCAATCTAGATTATTACTATTTAGTATGAAGTTTCATACATTATATTGATATTTGTATATAATTTTTTGCCCTATTGTGAACAATTATTTTCACCTGGGATAGAAGTCTCTTTCATTAATTTCTCAGATGTGATTTTAGTTTTTGATTTTTTCCCTCTATCTGATCTCACTTATGCTAGATCTTGCTATAATTGCTCAAAATTTCTTGCCTATAGATAGCATTCTTACCTGGTTTCCAGGGCCAGGGAAACATTTTCCCCATTTTTACTTTCTGATATTAATTTCAATAGCAATTGGAGATGGAGAAGCTCAAAAATATGCATTCAATTTACTACAATGAACTAGGCCCTGAAAACATGACTTTATTGACTGTACCCTTTTCTGATGTGAGAGTAGATCCTAATCTATTTATATTTAATATTATTTCTATTTTTTACATTCAATTTGTTTCTAAATTTTGCTTTAATAATTAAATTAATTTTTTATCTATAACTTTATCTGTATATCTCGAAAGTTTTCTCTGTTTTGTATTTATTTCCTCTTAACTCTAGGAAACTCAATAATACACCATTTTGAGACAGCTTATAAAGTGACACAAAAAAAACAGAAGATAAAGGGAGAATAATGGTGGCTAGTTTTAGATCAGAAAACTAATCCGTTGGAAGTGTACTTGTCTCCTGGTCTCTTGCCTCCGCGTAATTCAAACTGAGAACTGTGGAGGAGGACTTAATAAAAGGTGTAAATTTCAATAAGACATTTGTATTTCTGAATGCCTATAGTGTGTATCATTTCAGAAACTTACAAGAATCAAATCTTTAGCTTATAAAGGAGACAGGGTTTGAGTTAAATTCAAATAATATTTATTAAATATTTATTATGTGCCAAACAGTGTACCTAATAAAAATAAGACAGGAAATAAAATAGATAAGACAAGATTCTTGTTCTCGGGCCTATAGTGGTTTCATGGAAAAGCAAAGACATTCAGTTTTGAAACTTCACAAGTATCAAAATGTGTTAGCCAAAATCTATCTGTACAATTTAAAAAATTAACAAATGAGTAAGAAGTATTGGTGGCTGATTGAAATGGACACTGACCAATTGTTTGAAGGATGGGTTGTGGTCATTACTATACCAAATTAATGGATTCTGGGATGGCTTTGTACAGCCTCTTTTATTTTTACTCTATTTACTTTCAATTACTCAAGTAACAACTGCATATATTTTCACAAAATTCAAAAAATAAAGAAATATTTAGAGTAAAATGGATAGGTTTTTGCTTTCTCATTTCCCTCTCTGGAAGTAACCACTTTGTATATACTTCAAAAATGTTTATCTACATAGAAATATGTGGCTATATTTTGTGTTTTTTAGTAATTCTGGAAATTGAACCACATTGTATGTTTTGTTCTGCAAGCACCTTTTTTGTTAACTTAATAAATCTGGAGGGTCTTTCATGTCAGTAACTACAGATCTATGCTAATATTTTAACTGCAAATTACAATTTTATGAGCTAAATAAATGAGTGTCATTGGGAAAGTTGTTTACTCAGCAGTACAGAAAGAGACCATCTGACCAGAATTGGGATTTTGCAAGACTCTTAGCCTCAATTTGTCATCTTCTGATTTGATGTCTTATACACATTTTTATGTGTGTGTATAATGTATATATGTATACATATATATATACACACACACAAGCATATCATATGTATGCTTTTCACTTCTTTAATAGCACCTTTTTAATAACTAGGTGTTAAGTAGACTGGCAGGGATTAGAGTTGGAAGGAAGAATAAATCATTCCTGTCTTATGGGATTCGTTTTCCTAGGTACATTGCTAAAAGTCTGATAAAAGTGAGATTAGGGCCCCCAAAACTGTGATCTGGGCTATTTTTCATGGCATAATATTATCCCTGCCACAAATCGTATATTTGTAAGAGTCTGTGTGGTCCTAAGTAAGGCAGAGACAGGAGTTTGTGGAGTACACACAGCTGTTAGTCAGAGAGTGTTAGAAGATTTTGTACCTGCTGGTGGTAGCAATCTTGATCTTTTTTCCTCTGCCTCCTTTATAAAGCTTTTTTTTTTTTTTTTTTTTTTTTACTTCATTCTTCCTCTCTCAAGCTTTCTCACTTAACCCCCAAAACAGCTTGATTCACAGTTGTTTCTGTCCACCTGATCCTACCCCAAATGGAACAGATGAGCCTGGCTGACAAGTGAGTTTTACTTCTGTCTGCAGCATCAGCTCATAACCCTTAGGGTATTTTGCCATCAAATTTTAGTCATATTTATGTGTTGGAACCTAGCTACCCTGAAAAGAGATCCATAAAGGAACCAGACGTGCTTTATTACATGACAAGTATTCCAGGGAATACTAATGGTGGAAGGTAATGCACTGAATCAGAAAAGAAGGGTTTTCCCCAAACTTTGGTACCCAGTGGTTCCTTTTAAAGTTGAAGTTGTGCTCCACGGAGAGGTAATAAAGTCATCTCTCAAGGACTGATACTTTTCTAATTCCAAAATCCTTTCCTCGGTGTATAATAATCAAAAGCAGAGGCCTGCCTTCCTGGACTTCACATTTTTCCTTTTATGGAAAACATTCAGCACTTTCTTGATGGCTTCATGAGCAAATAGTCCTTGAGCCATGACCTGAAGAATTTAGCTGGATGAATTTTTAAAATTAATGAATATTCAACTGTTTTATTCAAGGTTTACAAGAAGAGTGAAAAAAAATTCGGGGGGGTATTCATATAACTATGGAAACCTCGCCGTACTGAGTGAGGGCTGGGAAAAAGAGTCAATGACAGCCAGAAGTCCATTGAAAGAATCTGGGGGACTGCATCTTCCTCATAAACACATTATGGATTGTGGATTCATCTGCTGTGATGGTTAATATCCTCTCACCACTCAATTTCTCTTTTCTCTGGGCTGTTCTCACCTCCATCTTAATTGCAGGTTACATGTTTCTTAAGTGTTTTCTTTTGCTGCTTAGAGATGTGTGTCATGTCTAAGCACTGAGGGTGAAGCACATGTTACTCTTGCCATCTGAAACTGGCCCTGGTATGGGCAGCATTGAGATCAGAGGGCTAATCTCCACCTCTAGTAACCTTCCGCTGAGGCCTACTTGGCTGCTGGTGTTTTGTGTTACAATCCAACAGTCTCCACCATCTCCACAGTTGTGAGATCACTCAGCTTCTTGGAATAGTTTGCTAGTCAAGAGCCAACCTTACCCCTCTATGAGCATCTAGTGGTGAAACTGGATGATGGTTACTCTCAACTCATCATCCTAAGAACCAATGACTGTGCCAAGCATTAAAAGTGCACTCACAAGAATTTAAAATATTCAGAAATTTACTAACAAGGAGTTGATCCTTCTTTACACCTGAATAGGGGATGGCTAAGAAGAAATAAGAAAAGCATCGAAGGTGAAAATGACAGGAAAAGGAAGATTTTAGAGAAGAGTAATTTCTTCTTTTATCTACCACTTTGAGAAAAATCATAAAAACAGCAATTTCCTTTTGAGGATAGAAACTGCTAATTGTACCAGAATCTCTGCATTCCTGATTTTAAATATGTCTGAGATTCTGTTATGCTCTTTTAAGAGAAGGAAGACACAGACACTTTAATACCTTAATTTGAAGAAAAACTATTCTGGAAACAAATTTGGATTCTTGCAATTGAAGAATTAAGTAAAGTGAAGTCCCTTCATCATCCCCAGCATCATTTCCTATACCTTTCTGGAATTTACTAGTATTTGCAATTATAGGCTTAGTTCCCATCTTTAGTTTCAGAGCCAGTTCTCTTTGAAGGATGAAGCTCTTCTTTCTGCCCTCCACTGTGGTTGGAGAGGTGCATTAAGCCCCCTTTCCAAGTATACTGCCCTGAGAAGGAGAGTCATGAGGCTCACCAAAGACAAACCTGAGACTCATTAAGGCAGAATCTCAGTAATTCTCACTGTCCTGCAATGACCCAGTTCTGATCATAGGATTCTATAGCATAAAGGTACTTTGTTGGCTAGCCTCTGTAGAACTTTCCTTCTTTCTCATACCTGTCCTGAGTTCCTTTGTAAAGATTGTAGTCTTCAGAGTCTCCTTATTGCTTTAGCCTGGTTTTACTTTGCTCTTAACAGAGCCCCTTTTGGCAAATGATCTAGACACGTCCCATAACTCAGCTACCTGTCTGATTTTCTGAAGTTTAGTCATTTCCTCTGTTTTCAGACATTGAGCCTGGTCCAACTTCTGAGACCCCTTGCAACATATTAGACTAGATGTTGCAAACTCACATAGAGACCTCTGAATGGAGAGGGCTGGGTAAAAACCAAGGTGGACTGGAAAGAGCGTGCTTCATTTAAAGGAGGTAGTCACAAGTCATATCTAGCTGATAGCTGCAATTTCAAGAGAAAAAAAAATTATCTGAATTTTGGTGTGAAATTTCCTGATTTGAAAATGTTTGTGGCCGGGCATAGCAGCTCACTCCAGTAATCCCAGCACTTTGGGAGACCAAGGCAGGTGGATTGCTTGAGCCCAGGAGTTTGAGACCAGCTGCAGCAACATGGTGAAACCCCATATCTACCAAAAAATATAAAAATTAGGAGGGTGTGGGGAGGCATGCCTGTAGTCCCAGCTACTTAGAAGGCTGAGGTAGGAGGATCGCTTGGGCCTGGGAAGAGGAGGTTGCAGTGAGCCATGATTATACCACTGCACTCCAGCCTGGGCAATAGAGTGAGACCCTGTCTCAAAAAATATATTCACAACTAGTTCTTTTTATTTTTGAAATAACACGTGTGCCAAATAAACTACGTCTGCAGCCTGACCTATGACACCTGACCTATGACTATATATGTGTGATTTCTATTTCAGACCATGTTCTTAAATGCTGGAATAACCCATGTGTCTGTGCTTCTGTCTAGGTGGATAAACCTGTGCTGTCAGTCTTTAAGCCCAGGACATCACCTCACTATCTATTTTAGCCAAATAGATGGTTGGTCTCCAGGACCATCCTGCTTCCCCTGTATTTTCCATCTTGTTGTGTGTTGGGTATCAACATGTTTCCCAAGGGGCATTTCCTTGGCAAACGTGATTTTTCCAGCCCAGGAAATTATTATTAAACAACTCTAGTTTACTAAGTACTGTGATGTTGCTTTAGGATATAAATATCAAATACCTCTAACACATTGCACTTGTTCTCTAGCTGTAGGGAGGACACAACCTAAAGTGATCCTCCAATAAGTAATATCTTTGCATAATCTGCTCCCCTTGAGAATAGGCAAAACCTATGACGGACTTGCTGCTAAGCAGTAGAATATAGCAAAGGTGATGGGATGACAGTTTCTTGATTAGATTGAGTTAAATGGCAGAGGTGGGGGGTATCATAATGCCATGATTGCATTATGTTATAGAAGAGGCCCTTTTAGCAGACTGGAAAAGAAAATCTCCTACTGGCTTTGAAGAAGCAAACCATCATCCTGTGAACTTTCTACACAAAGAGCCATGTAGCAAGGAAATGTGGGCAACCTTTAAGATTGCTAGTAAGAAGTTGAAGGCCCTAGTCATACAATTGCAAGGAAAGGAATTCTTCCAAAAACTTGAATGAGCTTCAAAGTAGATTTTTTTCTGAGTTAAGCCTTCAGATGAGACTACAACCCTGGTCAATACTTTGAATACCACCTGTGAGAACTTGAGCCAGAGGAACCACCTAAGCTGCACCTGGACTCTTGTCCCATGAAAACTCTGAGATAATAAGTGTGTGTGGTTTTAAAGCATTAAATATGTGGTAATTTGTTATGCAGCATTAGAAAATACAAGCAGTTTAGAGCCTACCATGGAAAATGCAATAGCCCATATGACATATAAAACAAGGTGGAGAAGCATTTACTTGCTTGAATTCATTTTAGGAAAAGTACTTGTTTGGGGGGAATAAAAGTAGAGAGACTTTGTTGAATGAGCCCCAGGGCTGCCCCCAAGGCTACTGTACAACCAAAAAGATGATGGTGTTTTTTTATTAAGAGAAAGATGTATGCTTATGGGTATTCCAGAGATCATCAAGATTTTGAGTGCTTCTCCCCCTGGCACATGCTCCCTTGAAGTTTGCATCTCACTCTTGCTTTGCTCTGATCTGTATCACATAGGGAAGATGGCTCTTTGAATCTGCTTCTTGCTGGATACCACTAATAGGAGGCACTGGAAGGAGATTGGAGTGGAAGGGTGATAGGGGAATGAGAGAAGTCAGGGACTGTCTTCTGGTCTTTCTCGAGGTCTGGTGGCATCTGAGGCATGAGACGCAGTTCCAGTTCCAAAGGGAGTGGCCTTCCATTGTTTCTAGAACTTCACTGAGACATATGGTAGCCACTAATACATATATAGTTATAAGTAGCTATACAATGTTAAAATTTTAAAGTTCAGTTCTTCAATCACATTACTCACATATCACTAGAGGCTACCACGTTGAATGATGCAGATATAGATCATTTACATCATTAGAAAAAGTTTTATTGGACAGTACTGTGCTAAAGAGTAATCCGGTCCATGGGCTCTGGTAACACTCCCTCCTGTCTGCCATTCTAGCCTACTGGTCGATGTGGTTGCTTGGTGCTATTAATTGCTATGTTATCTCACTGTCCTCCCTGTTCTCAGCATTTCTATCACCCGTGTAACCAATTCCCTGCATTAAGAGGGAACTGTGTCCTAAATAACCAACTGATTTCTTTTCTGGTCAAACTTTCATTGAGACATCAGAAGAGGAAAGAATAGGATAATCAACATTCCTATATTAGCTACTTATTGTTATATAACAAATTTCTCCCAAACTTAGAAGATTAAAACAACAATTTATTGTTTCATAGTTTCCGTGACTCAAAAATCTGGGTAGCTTGGCCAGGTGCAGCGGCTCATGCCTGTAATCCCAGAACTTTGGGAGGCCAAGGCAGGCAGATCACCTGAGGTCAGAAGTTTGAGACCAGCCTGGCCAACATGGTAAAACACTGTCTCTACTAAAAATACAAAAATTAGCCAGGCATGGTGGCAGGCCCCTGTAATCCCAGCTACTTGGGAGGCTGAGGCAGGAGAATCGCTTGAACCTGGGAGGTAGAAGTTGCAGTGAGCCAAAATTGTGCCACTGCACTCCAGCCTGGGTGAGAGAGTGAGACTCTGTCTCAATAATAATAATAATAATAATAATCATCATCATCATCATCATCATCATCATCATCATCATCATCTGTGTAGCTAGGTGGTTCTAGCTCAAGTTCTTTAATAACATTGCAGTCAAGATTTTAGCAAGGGCTGCAGTCTTATTTGAAGGCTGAACTGGAGGAGGATTTGCTTCCAAGATCACACATGTGGTTGTTGTCAGGCTTCAGTTCCACACTGGCTGTTGGCTGGAACTCCTTGCCATTTGGACTTCTCAATTGATTGCATGAGTGTTGTGTCGCATGGCACTGGATTACCCCAGAACAAGTAATCAAAAAGGGAAAGAAGGAACAGTAAGAGGGAGGCAGAGAGAGATCAAAAAAGAAACTGATAGTGAGAAAATGTTTAAAGTGGAAGATGTCATCTTTTATAATCTAAATTTAGAAATAACATGCCCTCATTTTGACTGCATTTTATTGACTATAGAGATCAATTCTGGTATAGTGTAGAGGAATACATAGAATGAGAAAGCCAGGAGACATAAATCATTAGGGGCCATCGTGGAAACTACCTGCCAGAAGTGCTTGAGAGAGGTGAGTGGGTTTGATGTATAGGGAGATTGTTTAGCCTCTCCATGACTTAAATTGTGAAGGGAAGAAACCACGTAGCAAAAGGGTAAAAGGCTGTCCTGGTATAGAGGAATTTTATGGGAAAACACTAACATTTCTATGATGCTATGTCACTTTTGAACTGTATGCAGCATTCAGAAGACTATTTGATTACTGTTTCCATTTAAATCTAGGACATGATAAAAAGTATAAAGATGTTACAGAATGGTACTTACTTTGGAAAATAATTTGAAATCATTAGCCCACTTAAAATCAAGATTTGGGGCAAATGTCTTAACATTTAGAAGGAATTTTAAAAACATATATGGCTAGTGCAAAGTTGATTATAAACTTTTGGGGAGGCTGGTTCAGGGTTTGCATTCTTGCTTGATGGTTTAGTAGTGGATGCTCAGTAAGCTTCAGGTTGCTCTTGGCTACATAGAAGTTTTCTGCGAGGAAAGATTTAGAAAGCACAAATCTTTATCTGTCAGCTGACAGATTATGAAGTCAGGCGCCTGTGTGGATGAGTTAGGATGAAAGGAGAGAGCAGTTTCATTTCAACTCTAGCCTGTGGTAAGGAGAAGGGGTGGGCTGTTGAATGCCAGCTTGTTCTTTTCTGATGAATATAAACCTAAAGAAGAAAATGGCATTGATACCCATGTGTTCAGCTGTATCACATGCAGTCCTTGTCACTTCATGAATGAGAGACATCCCATCTTCTCTGCAGTCAGTTATGTTTATGTTTAGCTGAACACAGCCTGCCTGGAAAATGGCCCAGTTCAAGAAAATTGTCATTTTGAAGAAAAAGTTACTACACACTATTCACAATAAAGAAGGGAATTTCTAAGAAGCATTTTTATCTTCTTGAAAGCAGGAAGTGACAGAGAATGAGAATGAGAAAGAAAGAGAATTGTAGCCGAAGTAAGCCCAGGATATAATTTTTGAAAACCTAACAAACTTTAGTGAATAGCTTTTTTTAAAAAAAGAAAAAAATTAAATCAAAATGCATTTTTATGTTTGAAAGTTTCAAGCTGTAAAAATAAACCCTGGAAGTAGATTGCCTGGAGTAAGATTTAATTAAACACTGTACAGTAAATTAGCAGAATTTAATGAGGATCAGCTTTAGTTCCTAGAAACTACAATAGGTAGAAATATTCATTTTGTCATATATTTTAAAATTCCACTATCTCATATCCAAACTGTAGTTTTAGAAAATAAAAACTAAACAAAGTATTACCAAGAAGAAGGCAATTTATTAGGGAGATCATGTATTGCTGCTGGGATTTGAGGAGGGTCTTACTTCAAATACTAAAAGTCAGAAGAATGCTTTTTGTAAAACAAAATATATTGAAAGATGAGTTGAATTTTTGAGCCTGAAGCAGAAGGGTTATCTAGTATTATATTAATACTTCCCTAGGCTGTGGCTTAACTAGAATTTCAAGGAGAGCTCTTCCTTCCTTCCTCTTTTCCTCCCTCTCTTTATCCCGTTTTCTCATCTTCATTTATTTTTTCTTGATCTCTTTCTAAACAGAAAGACTACTGTACATCATAGTTGAGAGGTAAAGTTAAAGGAAGACAACCAGTCATACATACAACAAACCTTCCTGGAACATAACTACGTTATTGTTGTTTTACCCCTGCCTATAATTCACCAAGCACATGTCCTCAGTATTACTCAATATGCATCATTTGTTTTGCCTAAGGAACCACCTGTACTCAAGAGTTACAGTGGACTAGAATACATTCACTGGGGGGAAAAAAAAGTTCTCAGACAACTAGGATCCAAAGAAACCTCTCTGATGGGACTTTTTAAAAGTGAAATGAGAGAACTCAAATCACTTTACAGAGGGAGCAATGTGATAGAATGGCTAGACTGTGAATTTGGGGAATTACAAGTGGGTCTTTATTGTGGGTGCATTCTTAGCACTAAGAAGGATGCCTGAAACATAGTTGAGCCTCCCTAAATGTGTGTTGAATAAAATTATGGATGATGCTTTGCACCATGTGTGTGGTTTACATGAGTAAAAAATTAATGCATCCTCATGTGTCTTTCCTTAGTTGTAATAAATTTTAGAAGTAGAGATTTGTCTTTCTGACTTCAAAGATTAAATTCCTGGAAATCCCATAGTGGGAAAAGTAATGATTGAGAAACTTCAAATTGAAAAGAAATCAAGGATGTGAGAGATTTATATGCAAAAACTGTAATGATGAAACAAATTGAAGGCACAAACAAATGGGAAAATATCCCATGCTCATGGACAGGAAAAATTAATATTACTAAAATGTCCATGCTGCCCAAAGCAGTATACAGATTTAACACAATCTTTATCAAAATTCCATTGACATTCTTTACAGAAATAGAAAAAAAATCCGAAAATGTGTATGGAACCAGAAAAAGACCCACAATTTCCAGAGCAATACTAAGAAAAAGTTGGAGGCATCATACTTCCAGATTTAAAATTATGCTACAAAGCTATAGTGATAAAACAGCATAATACGGGCATAGAAACAGAAACACAAACCAATAGAACAGAATAAAAGCCCAGAAATAAGTCCAAACTTATGCAGTCAACTAATTTTTTACAAGGACACCAAAAGGACACAAAAACAATAAATGGTGCTGGGAAAACTGAATTTCCACCTGCAAAAGAATGAAATTAGACTTTTATCTCATACTACACACAAAAATTAACTCAAAATGGGTAAAATACCTAAATTTAAGATCTGAAACTATACAACTCCTAGAAAGAAATAGGGGAAAAGATTCTCTATTTTTTTTTTTTTTTTTTTTTTGAGACGGAGTCTCGCTCTGTCGCCCAGGCCGGACTGCGGACTGCAGTGGCGCAATCTCGGCTCACTGCAAGCTCAGCTTCCCGGGTTCACGCCATTCTCCTGCCTCAGCCTCCCCAGTAGCTGGGACTACAGGCGCCCGCCACCGCGCCCGGCTAATTTTTTGTATTTTTAGTAGAGACGGGGTTTCACCTTGTTAACCAGGATGGTCTCGATCTCCTGACCTCATGATCCACCCGCCTCGGCCTCCCAAAGTGCTGGGATTACAGGCGTGAGCCACCGCGCCCGGCCGAAAAGATTCTTGATATTAGCCTGGCAATGATTTTTTTGGATATCACACCAAAAGATCAGGCTACAAAAACAAAAATAACTAGGACTACATCAAACTAAAAGCTTCTGTGTAGCAAATGAAACAACCAATAAAATGAAAAGGCAGTCTACAGACTTGGAAATCGTAACTGCAATCCACATATTTGAAAGGGGTTAATATCTAAGATTGATAAGGAACTCTTACAACTCAATAGCAGAAAAATAACTCTATTTAAAAATGGGCAAAAGACTCAAACAGATATTTATCCTATTAAGTAAAACAAGATTGACACAGAAGTTAAAGGAAATAGGATTTATTTGGGAAACAAAGAATCAGAACTCAGGTCCACTGAGTAAGGACAGTCCTGAATTGTGTCCTGCAAGGGAAACACAAGTGAGGTATTTTATGGGGGATTTTCGTGAAAAGTTATTTTCAGAGGCGGTTCACTGGCTTGGCAGAAATCTTAAATTGTAAACTATTCTGATTGGTTAGTTAATATACTCTCCGCTGAGAGACACTGAAGGCCAAAGGATACTGACTTTAGTTGTTATTCGTCTATTACAAGCTTGTCCCACCTGCAGCCTTGGGGCCACATGTGTCCCAGGACAGCTTTAAATGCAGACCAACACAAATTTGTAAACTTTCTTGAAACATTATGAGATTTTTGTACGATTTCTTTTTAAGCTCATTAGCTATTGTTAGAGTATTTTACGTGTGGCCCAAGACAATTCTTCCAGTGTGGGCCAGGGAAGCCAAAAGATTGGACACCCGGTCTAGTGAAAATCCTGTGGTTTGACTTTTAGCAGGTGTTAGTTCAATCCTCCCACAATCTCCTGACTCCCCTTAAAAGCATTAGCCTTAATTACTTCATTTTCTTTCACACTCAAAAGAAGATGTAAAAATGGCCAACAGATATATGAAAAGGTGCTCAACGTTACTAATTAAGAAAATACAAGTTAAAGGCACCATGATATATCACCTCACACCAGTAAGGATGACTATTAAAAAGACAAGAGATAACAAATGTTGACAAGAGTGTGGAGAAAAAGGAATGCTAGTGCACTGTTGGGAAGGTATATTGGTGCAGCCATTGTGGACAAGAGTATGAAGCCTCCTTAAAAAATTAAAATTAAAACTACCTTATAACCCAGCAATCCCTGTTCTGGGTATATACCCAAAGGGGATGAAATCACCACCTCAAAAAGATATCTACACTCCATGTTTATTGCAGAATTATTCACAATAGACAAGATATGGAAACAACCTAAATGTTCATGGATGGATGAATTAATGAAGAAATATTCAGCCTTTGAAAAAGGAGGTCCTGCCATTTGCCACAACATGGATGGACCTGGAGGACATTATTCTAAGTGAAATAAGCCAGACACAGAAGGAAAACTTGTGTGATCTCACTTATATGTAGAATTTGTAAAAGAGCTCAAATACACATATATAATGAAATAGTGGTTACCATGGGCAGGGGAATGGGAGTAGGGAGAGGCAATGGGGAGATACAGGTCAAAGGGTACAAAATAGCAGATATGTAGGAAGAGCAAATCTAGACATCTAATGTATAGCATGAAAACTAAAGTTAATAAAATTATACAGTATTAGGGATTTTTGTTCAATGGATTTTAGCTGTCCTTATCAGAAAAAAGTATGAGATGATGTCTTAATCTGCTTCACTGTGGTAACTATTTTAGTGTCTGCATGTATATCCTAATATGTAAATCTCAAATATGCACAATATTTATTCTAAAAAAACAATCAAGATTTTTATTTTATTTTATTTTATTTTGAGACGGAGTCTCACTGTGTAGCCAGGCTGGGGTGCAGTGACGTGATCTTGGCTCACTGCAACCTCTGCCTCCCGGGTCAAGCGATTCTCCTGCCTCAGCCTCCCAAATAGCTGAAACTACATGCGTGCACCACCACGCCCTGCTAATTTTTGTATTTTTAGTAGAGATGGGGTTTCATCATGTTGCTCAGGATGGTCTTGATCTCTTGACCTCATGATCCACCCACCCCGGCCTCCCAAAGTGCTGCTGGGATTGCAGGTGTTAGCCACCGCGCCTGGCCAAAATGTGCACATTTTAAGGTGTTTTCTCCCCTTAGTGTCTAGAATATCTCCTAAATATTGAATGCCTTTTGGATTTCTTTGGAAGTTTATAGCACAAATGTTTTTGGCCACCTCTTTCTATGTCCCTCCTGTAGCCTCTCCTTGGCCTTTAAGATGCAGAATAATGTAGTTGTTGAGATCTTCCTGATATAAATTTATGCCAAGTATACACATCAGCAACAATTGTACATATCACTGCTTTCCTCCTTCCAACAGGTATAAGGACTTAGTTCTCAGTCCTGGGTTTCACTTCACTGCATGCTGCTTTGTGCAATAGTTAGCAAGCATTTTAGGGGACTGGCTAAGCAAAGTTTCCAAAAATAAGAGAAATCTAGAGGCAATGAACTTCTCCAAAATTTTGAAATTAAAAACATCCTCAAAACCCAAGAAGAAACTAGTTTAATTTTGTCAAACATTATACCTAACATATAGGGTATAAAGTTGTTGTTTTGAATTACACATATCATGAGCAGCTTATAAAATTCTTTTTAGTAAGTATCAGTCCCTAAAATCTTAATATGACCCGGATTTAACCTCATCTTTCCTGTCTTTTCTCTTTCCAGATTTTATTAGCAAAATTTCTCCACTGATTATGACTTTTGAGTTACCCCTTCTTCCTCTGTAAACACTGTTTTTTTTCTATTTTTTCTAGTTATCCAAAACTGGAGTAATTGGCAAATCACTTGCACTGGAACTCAAATTCTTGTGGGTTTGCTGAGAAAAGGTTATACAGAAGTAAAACCACATATACTTGAATTTTGCATAAGGGGAACTCCAGGCCAGGGAAAGATTGTGGTTTTGTAGGAAGATCACTCTCACCCTCAAAAAGCCAAGGGCATCTTTTCTTTAAAAGAGTTCCCACTTTGTTTATGTGGGAAATTGTCCAGGGCACAGCAAGTCTCTGGCAGGACTTTGCTGGCCTTTTGCTTTCTAACTGGCTGTTGTAAGCAAAAACAGCCCTCCAGAGTCTCTGTGTTTTGGTGACATGTGCAGCTGCAGTTTTCAGGGGAGGAAAGGGGCAGGAAAGAAAAAGGAGGATATCCTAATTCCTTTCCCACCTGATGTTCTAAAATGTTGAGATTGGGTCCTTACAGCCAGGGGTCATGAACCTAAATAAAGCACAGGGTAGCCAGCAGTGCTAGAATATCCACTCCATTTTCCTTAATTCAGTCTATAAAACAGAAGTATTCTGAAGTCTGTCCATGGATTTGATTTCCTGCAGTCTGAGCTCTACTGAGAGAGAGGTGGTGGAGCTCCTTCCTCTCTGTGGTGTCTCCAGCACCCTATAAATCAGCAGCTGGCTCACAATGTGTGCCTTTATATCCCATGGCCAAATCTCTACTGGCTACTTAAGGATACATTTCTGGGTCTTTGAGATGAGAAACTACACAACAGATGAGTGAATTTTAAGGATCCTATCGGTGTAAAATATATTAGGATTTGAATTAGAATATAATGGGGGTTCAGAACCTAGACTCTAGTCTGACTGCCTGGGTTTCACATTTCAGTACTTACTAGCTGTTGGACCATAGCTACGTTTTTGTGTGTTTGTTTGTTTTTGAGACAGAGTCTGTGTCACCCAGGCTGGAGCACAGTGGTGCAGTTAAGGCTCACAGCAGCCTCAAACTCATGGGCTCAAGCGATCAGCCCCGACCTCAGCCACCTTGAGTGGCTGGGACTATGGGCGTGTACCACCACGTCAGGCTAATTTTTGCATTTTTTGTAGAGACAGGGTTTCACCATGTTGCCTAGGCTGGTCTCGAACTCTTGGGCTCGAGCAATTGGCCTGCCTCAGCCTCCCAAAGTACTGGGATTACAGGTGTGAGCCACTACGGCCAGTTTTTCTTAAAAAAACTTTCCAAGCCTCTGTTTCCTCTTCTATAAAATGGTAATAATAATAGTACCTATCTCTTGGGTTTTTGTGAGGTTTAAAAACATGATTGTTGCAAAGCCTTGGGAACAGTGCTTGGCAATAATAAACAGTAAATTTAAGTGCTGTTGTGCTTGTGGTGGTTCATAATATTGGTATTATTATTATTATTATTATTATTATTATTATTATTATTATTATTGAGATGGAGTTTCACTCTTGTTGACCAAGCTGGAGTGCAATGGCATAATCTTGGCTCACTGTAACCTCTGCCTCCCGGGTTCAAGCAATTCTCCTACCTCAGCCTCCTGATTAGCTGGGATTACAGGCGCACACCACCATGCCTGGCCAATTTTTCGTATTTTTAGTAGAGACAGGGTTTCGCCATGTTGGCCAGGCTTGTCTCAAACTCCTGACCTCAGGTGATCCTCTCACCTCGGCCTCCCAAAATGCTGGGATTACAGACATGAGCCCCTGTGCCTGGCCTGCTATTATTATTGTTATTCTATTGGCGTAACATAGATTAGGTTGTCCAGGAGTAGAGCCTGAGACAAGAATTCTGGTGCAGGTATTTATTGAGGAATTACTCTCAAGGGAAACCTGTAAGGAGTGAGAGAATTAACGTAGGACAAGGAAGAAACTAGGCAAAGATGTAGTTTTAGCAGAGGCCTCACTTCAGCCTGATCCCATGGGGACATCTTGAGTAAGAATTACAGCAAAAGTTGTCCCACTGTAAGACAAGGTGACCAAATTTGTACCCCTGAAACAATTACTCATTGGTTTTAGGTTGCCTCAAGTGCAGAAAGCATAATTCCCAGCACCTTCTGAGGGGTGGGGATGGCCTGGAAGAGGATCTGAGTAAATTAGCTAGAAATAGTAATTAATTAGGAACCAGCAGAAAAAGTCTATGGGTGCATCTCATTCATATAAATATTTCTATTGAAGTAATCATGTGCATGTGTGCCAGAAACCAGAGCACCAAAAGCACACAGGAAAAGCTGAAGGGAGAATCTTTTACAGACTTGCTTTGGGCTCTTTGGATGGAGATTAAATATACTCAGTTTGGATTTTTATTAGTATTTAGAATTTGCAACTTAAGGCTCTTGAACAGCCTCACTGAATCAGAATTAGTGAATGGCTTCTGGACTGGGAACTCTGGTAGAATGATTTATTTGCCTCTATTCCCTTGCTTCTTGTTGCTGTTGCTCAGAAATCATGCGCAGTGGGTTGTTTTAAGGTAGAGTATGCATCATAGTTCCCAGAGTTTGAAACCTGCTATTTTGAGGCATGAGGCTGTTTTCTTTGCTTTGTTTGCTCTCTTTAGGAATGAAAAAAAATTGGATAGTGAGGAGATGCGAACCTGTCACAATTCTTAAAGTGATTGGAATATAAAATAAAATTTTCAAGACTCCTCCCTACCTACTGCTGTGGAACCTCCTTCCTCCTTCAACTTCGGAAGCCATTCATTGAAAGGGACCCTTTCATTGTACACCATGCTGGGCTTAGTTCTTCCATTAAATTCCTTCCCTGTGTTACTTAGAATTGAGGTAGAAAAAAAATATTTCCTTTGCCCTATGAATGTTTGACTCAGTTGAGGAAAGCCCTTTAATTAATGCTTAAATTTTGTAATTAACGTGCTCTACTTAAAAGACCAGTTTAACCTTGGATTCCTGACTCTGGAATTAATGGAAACTTTTGAGCAAAATCTTTTTCAGCCAAAACCTTCCTTATCCATATATGGCTTGTCCACTTTGTAGGCTTTTCTTTATTTAAATTCCAGACTACCCCCACCCACTGCATCTTGACCACTGCTTTCCACTGGCAGTTGGTGACTATTCACAGTGTGCCAAGTAATTTTAACATAAGCCCAATCCATGATCAATGAAGAAAGGAAGTCAGATAAGATAGGAGAAAGCCTCAGTGTTTTCCTAAGCAAATATAAAAGTATGTTTAAGTACATTATGTTTTAGAATATCTATGCCATTGCTTCTTCCCTATTAGTATGTGTTTTCAAGAGTTGGTTGTAGCAAAAGTAGACAAATAGGATTGTATCAAAAAGCTCCTACGCAGCAATAAAAACAATAAACAGAGGAGACAACCTATGAAATAGAAAGTATATTTGCAAAGCATACCTCTAAGATTAATATCCAATTAATTGTCGAATTATTGGGACTAGTCTAGAGGTGAAAACCTCAGTATCCATCGACAGATGAATGGATAAAGAAAATGTACACACACACACACACACACACACACACACACACACACACACACACACACACTGGATTTCTATTCAGCCTTAAAAACAAAGGAAATCTTATGCTGTCATTTAGGACAACGTGGAAGTAACTGGAAGACATTATGCAAAATGAAATAAGCCAAGCACAAAAAGATAAACACTGTATTATCGCATATGTGGAATCAAGAAAAAGTTGAAATCACAAGAGCAGAGGGGATAATGGTGGTTGCCAGAGTCTGGGGAGTGGAGGAAATTGGGAAATGTTGAAACAATAAAAGATTTTAAAAATTTGGTTTTAAATGCTCTACTGGCCATTGGTGAGTTAATGATTCACAAAATACCCTCAGAGAACTCAAGGCTTTAAAAAAAACACACTATGTGGAAGCTTGTAGTACGTGTGTATGTGTATGGTTTTTTAAATGAACTTTTATAATAGTTTTTGATTTGCGTAAAAGTTGCAAAGAAGTTTTCTGAATACCCCATACTCAGTTACCCTATTATTAACATCTTACATTAGTAGGGCATTTTTTATTGTTAATGAATTATTATTTTTAGATGATTATTATCTAAAGTCTATGTTTTATTAGGATTGTTTCCAATGTAATGCCCTCTTTTTTGTCCCAGAATCCCCATTCAGAAGACCACTTCACATTTAGTTATCATGTCTCCTTAGGTTTAGACTGTGGTAGTTTCTCAGACTTTTCTTGTTTTTGACGACCTTGACAGTTTTGAGGATTAGTAGTAGATATTTTGTAGAAGTCCCTTCAACTGGGTTTTGTCTTATTTTTGTTTTCACGATTGAGGTTTTGGATTCTTGGTGGAAAGATCACAGAGGAAAAATGCATTCTCATCACATCATACCAAGAGTATATGCTCTCAACGTGACTTTTCTCTGATGATGTTAAATTCAATCACCTGCCTGAGGTAGGTTTTTCCGCTATAAAATTACTCTTTCTCTCTACCCCAACACCTTTCCATACTATACTCTTTAAAAGGAAGTTACTATGTGCAGCCAACATTTGGAGGTCTTGGGGAAAGGGTGTTGTGCTCCACCAACTGGAGAGGGGGTATCTATATAAATTACTTGGAATTCTTCTGCATGGATATTAGTCTGTTCTTTTCTGTTTATTATTTACTTATTTGTTCATTCATTCTGGTTTAGACTAATGGATATTTATACATTGAGCTCTAACCCAGTATTGTATTATTTCGTTTGTTGCTCAAGTTATTCCAGCTTTGGCCATTGTGGCCATTTTTAGTTGTTCACTGATGTGCTCCTTTGACATACCCCCATCATTTTGTTTTCTGAGCACTTCCTTACTTTCCGGCACTACAGGGAACTGCAGGCTTATTTTAGATATTCCATGCCATACAATCAGCCATTTCTTTAAGGAGCCCTGATTCCTTGTATTGGAGAATGGTATTAGAAACTAAGATCTGGGCACTAGAGGTTCTCATTCCTGCCAGGATGTCATTTTTTAGGCCATTTCAGTCTATCCGGGCTTGAGAAAAAAATACACACGCTAGCATAAATACATGTATCTAAAATTATTTCTGTTAATCCATTTGTGCCTGTATGTAGCTAAATGTGAGCATATATGGATGTAATACTGTAATTCAGTATTACATGGTTTATTTTAACTTCCTCCCCTTGCTTGTCTGTAAATTCCCGTTCCAACAGAGAAAATCTCGGCTCCCACCATCCACCCCTAATTTTATGTTCAATCCAATATACATGTACAGTGGTTTCACAATTGGTAACCCATACTCCCATGAGAAACAACTTTACCAACTAGAGTATTGTTACTATGTAAAGTTCCTTTTACTTTAACCTCATAGTCTTCACTCATTTCCAAATAAGCACCTATTTCCCCCCCGCCGCCTCCCTTCAGTGTGGTTTGGTTGTCATACATTTGCTGTATAGTTAGACTCTTTTTCATGGCCTGAATTCTATCTTGGACACCCAGATTTTTTCTTTTTACCTTCTTGTAAAGACCTCAAATATTTCTGAGAATTACCTGATATTGTCACCACAAAATTGAATATAGCAATGATGCAAGCAAATGAGAATCATAAATTGACAAATATTGAGGAGAGAATACAACTTAGAGTAAAAAGCAAACAAACAAACAGAAGCACTTTCAAAGTCCTAGCTTTGCATGACTTCAAGCTAGCTGTGTCCTTCGGCAAGGTACCAAATTCCTCTAGGCCTTCAGTTTCTTACCTCTACAATTGGGTGCAGTTTCTCTGGATTGTTATGAGGATTAAATCAGAAAAGAAATATAAGAGTTTAAATGGTATACTATATTTTAAAGTACAATTATTAAATGAAATAAAGGTAAATTCCAAACTTCTGGCAAATAAAGTTTGGGTCAATAATACGGCTTTCATATATCTGGCTTATGTATGGTAGTTCTCCAACATTTGAATGAAAGGATGGTGTGTAAACATATTACCATTTATATTTCCAGGGGAACCCAAGGGACCACTTGGGGGTTTTGGTCCTATTAGATGCTTTGTTGGCCTCACTAACAAATATTTAGAGAGGTAAGATTTAAGAGTTTAAATGTTACACAAAGCCATTTGGACCTTTTTGGTTACTTCTACTTTTATGTACCTAGAAGTAACTCTTTTTTTTTGCACTCTATGGCAAGCTAATTTGTGTTGACCATGTCTCTGGGATATTAATTCTTCTCCAAGAATTAAAAAACATAATGTAATTCAGAGACATAGGGACTGGACATGCGTTTTGGGTGTAACACTTACTGGATTGGAAGGATATATGAACTTGAAGAATCTACTATATCAGTGTAGCCAAGTTGAGCAAAGTAGAGCCAGTGAAGAAAAAAAATGGACAGTCTCTCCTTAAGGCTACATATGTACATTGCACATTTTCAGAGGCACCATTCCTGTATATTAGTGTGAGTGGAATCCCCAGAATGGGCCAATATGCATGACATCTCTGGAGATGAAGTCCGTTTTCTTGTTGGTGTAAGGGAGAAAATACATTTAAAAAGCACACATACACACACACACACACACACACACACACACACACACACACAGACTACCATGCTTCCTATGATTTGACGATTGATAATTCTATAGTATATTTTATACTGCTTCATGGAACATTTTGTGTCTCTTTTTTAAGAAAAAATCATGATCTTAATGATCATGTGAACATTTTTGAAAGATGATACTTCTGCAGAATGTGCTACTGCCAACTCCCAAGGGTACTCCTGATTTATGATCTAAGCCTGAGTTTCCTCTTCATAAAATGAACTAAAGAGGCTGAAATAAATAATGTATAATAAAGCATTTGGTAAAAAGCAAGACGATTGGCATCAATGACCTGCTCTGACTCCACTTCCCATTCAGTGTTGTTCATACACTTCACAAATACCCAAATTCATCTTACCTACATCTCTCTCTATTCCTTTCATGTGTTTGACTTCTCCCCATGCAGTGTTTTATTGTAAATACCTCTTGTACTTTGATAACTACATTAAAATGAAAGCAATGTTTGTAGCAATTTATTTATACAGCTTTTTACTTTCTTTCATCTCAGCTGAATCCATAAATAAAAATGTCTTCTCTTTCAAGCAGTTGCCTATAAAGATATGCATATTTAAGAAAACCTGCAAAAGAATATGCTATCTTTATGATTTATTAAAAGAAGATAATTGAGGAGTTAAAAAATACCTTTCAGCCTACAATCATGAACTAAAGAGGGAAAATGTGTCGACTGGTATATATGCCAAGAATTGCTAGAAAATTATAGTTTTATTACTCAAGATCCTTTTCAGACAAATGGTTGGAGACAAATATTCCCTGTACTTTAACTGTGATTTATTTTACAAGTAAAGCTCTATCTATGCAGCATAACTTAAAGTTAGGATTTGAGTTAGATTGCCAGTTGTACCCAAGCCAAGCAATTCAAATTGTGAAGTGAAACTTTGAGTTGAATTCTCCAGCTTGTATTAAGATGGAAGGCTACTATATTGAGACCTTTCTATTAAAAATACAGGAAACACTTTTCTTCAGCTATTTTCCATCCCGGGTTTTCTGAAATAGACCATCTGCATTTCAATACTCCTTCCCATTTTCCCCATATGTATATCCTTTCCAATCAGAATATATGTTCCTATTTTTTGTTCAGCAAATGTAACTGCCATGTATGTTGTAAAATCTATCTTTTCCACATCTTAGTTCACTTTTAGAGACCACCCTTTTAGCAAGATTCGTCATTTCAGTAGTTTGGAAACAATAGCTTATTCAGGCAGCCACTTTTGATGGGAAATAGCATGGAATAGTGCAGGGTTTCCTAAACTGTGTTTCCCTGGGACATAGTTTCACAAAATGTTAATGAAAGTTTTATAGAGCATGGATTATTTGACTAGATACATGTAAGAATATTAAATTGAACAAAATTAAACAGTTTCTTTTTTGACAGGAGTTCCCAGAACTTTTGATAAGCACTTATGCATTGTGAATCTCAAGATAAATTTATAATTTCAGTCTTTCCAAAATTGTTATATATGTGGAACTCCCATTTTTCTTACAGGAAATTTTAATCTCCCATTTATTTATTGCTGCATCACATAACATCCCCTGATTTAAAACAATTTATTACTATCTGTCATAGTTCAGGCTTACTGGGTTCAATTGGGTGGTTCTAGCATGGATTCTTTTTTGCAGTTGCAATCAGATAGGCTGAGGATGAGTTATCTAAAGATGTAACTAGCCTACACATTTATGTGAATGGCAGTAGATGGTGGCTGTTGCCTAAGACCTCAGATGAGGTTGTCAGCAAGGACACTTATCTACATCTGTTTTCATGCTTTTGGCTTCTCTTACATTCTGTGAAGGAGCATTCTTGGACTCCCAGGGGAAAGCTCCATGGCTTCCAATAATCCAGCCTTGGAAGTCCCAGAACATCATTTTTGACACAGTTGTTTGGTCAAGCAAGGCCCAAAACCACCCTAGATTCAAGGGGAGGGGAATTAGAATCTATGTCTTGATAGAGACATGTGGACATTCAGGAAGGAAAATAATTCATGGTGGCCAACTCTGCAGATTATCCACCAGACTTTAACACCTCATGAGGCACTGAAATTCTGTGGAAAAGTTAGGGTAGTGGTGAATAGAAGTGTGTTGGGGAAATTGGTGTACAAGAATTCCCCATCAGGGAAAAATACTCTGTCATGGACATTGTTTAAAATTGTAGGTGTATGGTAATAACAAAAACATGCCAGCTTTTAGATAATTTTATTCTCATTTTAAAATTCCCTACAGAAGGGGTTGCCAGGTGAAGAACAAGATGCCCAGTTAAATTTGAATTTCAGATAAACAGCAAATAATTTTTTAGGTGTGGTATGTCTCACATATTGGACATACTTATACTAAAAAAAAATGGTTATTTATGTGAAATTCAAATTGACCTTTTGTATTTTTATTTGTTAAATCTGGCAACACTGTCTACAGATAACATATTATTTTATTGTTAGTGTTATTATTAGACTCTTCCTTCTGCCCCGCTTAACATTGCTACACCATTGAGTTTGTGGATAAAAAAAATGATGTCGCAAAAAGAACTTAGGTTTTAGAACCAGAGATATCTGATTTCAGATCCTAGCTTTGCCATGTACCAGCCTTATAACTGTAAATTATTTAAGCTCAGCAAGCCTAAGTTTCATCATCTGTTGGGACTAGTCATAACTACCTGGCAGAATTGCTAGGTGCTTAGATGAGATGTCTTCTGTAAACACCTAAACCTGTGATTGAGGTATAACAGGCATGGAGCCAAAGTTAATCTTGGTTCCTGTTTCCCTGCTAAAGCTGAGGCAAGAGGAAAATTCTGCTTAGTTTCCTGGATGGTGTTTATTTGATGAAGGATGTCAACTGGTAGAGATCTAGGTGGGACTTTTAATTCTTGCAGGTGAATGGAGTAAGTAAGATGTCATCTTGGGAGTTGAAAGTTTGATGGGAAGAAAGATATGTTTAAAGTGATGATGGCAACTGTGCTGTCAACACTGTGATCATCCCATAAGGTCTATTATGTAATCCTCTGAATTACTTACTCAACAATATTTTTATTTTGATTTTATTTGCTTGCATATCCATACTTTTATGTAGATTGTTACTCAAAATCTGTTATAGTATAATTCATTATGGGGTAAATTCCATATCTGTTATTCTGATTAACCACACCAAGAAAAATTTGGGACAAGTGAAATCTGAATTAATACAGTAAAAGCAGTATCTCTTGGATAAAACTCGAATATGCAGGGAAATATTTAATGAACACATACTGTGACAAACACTGTGGAATTCTCTCTGAAATAGGTTGTGGTTAGCTCCATGTTTATAGCTAGGGAAATTGAGGCTCAAATTGGCCTGAAAAGAGTTACAAGGCAAATAAAAGCAAATAAACTCCTCCCCTCCAACTCTTTTGTAACACCCCTTGTTTAGGTCACCAATAGCATTCATGTCACTGAGTGCAATGGACATTTCTCAGTTCTGATATTGGTTGACCTTTCAGCAGTATTCCACAGTGTTTACCATGACTCCCCTGTTTGAAAGACCCTGTTCTGTTCTCAGTAATACTTCACTCTCCTGAGTCCCTCCATCTTCTCTGGCTTTTCTTTTATTTCTTGGAGGCTTGTCTTTTTCATTAGGTATGTTTTGAAGTTCCTCAAGACTGGGCCTGAGGCATCTTCTCTTCTATTTTTTCTCTTTTACCTTTAGGGGAAAAGAAAAGTGATAGGTGATTTATTTATTTATTTATTTATTTATTTATTTATTTATTACCTATCACTAGGTTCATGGCTGTGGTTCTTAAAGATTAATAAGAGACAATTATACAGATTTATTTAATGTAAGTTTTATATGACATGAGAACCTTCAGAAATGGGGAGCCAAGGAAACAGGGAAAGCTGTACATTTTTATGTTAGGTTTGACAAAGAAGTCAATAGTAATGGATAAGTATGATTGGACAAAGGGAATACCATTTAATGATAATACATCAACTTAGCAAGGCCTATTTGTTCAGATTCTTCTCAACGTCCCTGATTCTTCAGAGATAGGGATGTTCCTTTTCTCCAGGTATGGGGGGGTATCTTTTGAATGATGGTCTTATGACCTGCTTCAGGGGAGAAGGAAGGGAGAGGATCAGAGAGTGACCTTCCTAGGTTTTATGGCTTACTTCAAGGGAGAACGGTGATAGGAAGGTGGGAGAGACTTCCTTGCTTCTGTTTTCTCAGATACCAAGGTACCACATTTTGGGATACTGTATACTGTTCCCCATCTTATCTCAATCACATGTACAGCTTCAGTTAGCACTTACCATAGTTCTCCGGGTCTCACACATCTCTCCACTGCCCACACCAGGGTTACACCTTTATTTTCATTGGTTTGCTTATTTCTTAATATCTTCATGTCTGCTTTTACTTACTGTCAGATCCTTAGGGCCTTGCATTTAGTGGTCATTTTACATAGACTTGAGGATTGAAAGAATACATGAATGAATGAACCCAGATTACTGTGACCTGAAACCTCTTTTTTTCACTCCCTACTCTGCATCCCAAAGAACTTTAGGCACCAGAAAATCCCAGAACTTCATTTTGTACACAAGGGGGCTGAAATTCAGAGAAACCTAAAAAGTTTGGCAAAGTCACATAGCACTCAGAAGCTGGGTCTAGTATTCTGCTCTCTCAAAGACTGGGGCTGTGTGCCTCTCTGTAGATTTGATCCCAGCTCACCTGCATGACTGAACATGTTCACAAGAATGATGGTTTTCCTTTTCTGGTAATGGAAAAGTGGTCTTTAGCAACTGGATTAGCATATGTTCATTCTATAATTCATCTCTGCCCTTTAGATGCAGCCAGAATCTGAGATACGTACCTGTATCACTTTCCCAGCACTTTCCTTTATTGGTTTGTCTTTTACAATGACTCAGCATTTTTCATCATGCCTTGTTTTCCGCTCTTTACTGTATCTGAGAAAAATAGCCCTTTAATAATAAAATATGATAGTTCACACAAACTTAATAGAATTCTTAGAAATTCCGTATGTCAAAGGTTTGAAGTTCTGTGTTGAAATACCAAAAATATTAGTAAAATCCTATATAGCTAATAGCTTTTTCTAAAACCCCACAAAAAGATTTCTCTCTTTCCATACTAGAGTCTGCACACATATGCTGTGGTTGGTGGTGTGGTGAGTGGTACTTTTTTTATTGATTGACAGAGTAAATAGAGTATAAAGCCAAAATAATCCACAGCAGATGACTAAAAGCATGTTAAACTTAGCTAAGAGTAAAGGTACTTGCCATTTTTAAACCTTCCTTTTGCTTCCTCTTTTTTTCTAGTGGTGGTGGAGGGTGTGGCAGGGTAATGTGGATTGCCAAAGCAAGCAAAAGGGAAAGGAAAAACATAGCATACATGAGAAACGTTAGGAAAAGAATTGAACAATATTTCCATTCTGTTACAGAGTTACATCATTATTGACTGATGGAACTGAAAAAACCCTTAGAAACTATCCTTCTTACTCCTTCAGTTTTACAGATGAAAATTGCAAAGTCCGGAGAGGTTATGTGATTTATCCAGGGTCACACAATTATTTAATGAAAGAGTTGAGTTGAGGTCATTTGATGTCGGTTTGTCCTGCAAAGTTCAGCTTGCTTATTATATTCTCTATGACATCTTTTATCAGTTCGCCCAGTCCATTGTGCCCCACCGTACCAGTATTGCCATAGCACCCTGCATTTCCTGTGCACTATGTGGTGTCATATGTGCCTCTTGTCTGCGTCAGATTTTGAGCTCCATGAGTTCTGCGATTGCACTGTTCATGTGTCAAGGAGGAAGAAGGCAAGAGGGTTATTGACATGTCCTCTTGTGTGGTGAGGATTGCTACACTTTTTCCAAATATAGGCCTCTTTGCCCATCCCTACCTATAAATTTCCCAGACAGCTCTTTTGTTCTGTGGTACTTTCATCTTACCTAATATCTAAGACCCAGCCTGTCTCATTGGTAATGCTTTGCTACCGCACCTGTCATCCTTACCTGTGTCTGCTACTCATGAGTTGACCCAGGGAAGGCTATTTAGTCTTGTTGAGGACCAGTTTTCTTTAGTCTGGGTATACAAATGGGTATACAAACAGCTGTATTTTAAGATATTCATTTAGACTATGCAAAAGGGGAAGAAGGAAGTCTTTCTGTGTGTATGCCCATTTCACAGACAAAAGAAAACTGGTCCTCAACAAGACTAAATAGCTTATCATTTATCATTTTTCTCTTGGGTCCTCATAGAGAGTGGGCTGAACTGGCGAGGCAGTAAATAAAGTGGTCTACTTGCTTCCTTACAACTTGCTGAGTAGTTTTAGTTGTTGTTGTCATGATTATTGCTGTTTTACTTTTGGTTCCTAAGATTTTTACACTTTTGCTCATCTAGAATTTATTATCTAGGATTTCCTAATGATAAGATGGATTACACCGATCGATTTTTGAATGTTGAATTCTCTTTGCATACCCGGAATAAATTCCACTTGGTTGTGGTATATATTTCCTTTTATATCAATACTTTAAAAAATTCATTTGCTAATTTTTGGAGGAATTTTGCAGCTATGTTCATGATAGATATCAGCCTCTAATATCAGCCAACACCATTAAAATTAGACCAGTTAATAATCCTACAATGCCACTAAGTGTTCAAATAAAAGAAAGAGTTGCACATCTCTCATTTTAAATCAACTGCTAGAAATGATTATTCTTAGTGAGGAGTGTGTGTCACAAACCAAAATAGGATGAAAGCTAGGCCTCTTGTGCCAGACAGTTAGCCAAGTTGTGAATACAAAGAAAAAGTTCTTAAAGGAAACTGAAAATGCTACTTCAGTAGCAACAAAGCCTGGATGACAGCACATTTGTTTACAGAATGGTTGACTGCATATTTTAATTCCACTGTTGAGACCTCCTGCTGAGAAAAAAAAATCCTTTCAAAATAGTATTGCTCATTGACAATGTACCTGTCATCCAAGAGCTCTGATGGAGATGTACAAGATTAATGCTGTTTTCATAGCTGCTAACACAACGTGAACACATGAATGATAAGAAAGTGAAAAGTTTTGTTGCTGATATGAAGAAAATTTTAGTGATCTGGATAGAAGATCAAACCGGCCACAACATTCCCTTATGCCAAAACTTAATCCAGAGCAAGGCCCTAACTGCCTACAATTCTATGAATGTTGAAAGAGATGAGGAAGCTGTAGAAGAAAACTTTAAAGCAAGCAGACGTTGGTTCATGCAGTTTAAAAAAAGAAGCCATCTCTATAACATAAAAGTTCAAGGTGAAGTAGCAAGTGCTAATGGAAAGGATGCAACAAGTTATTCAGAAGGTCTAGCTAAGATAATCCATTTTCCAGGTAGACAAAACAGACTTATATTAGAAGATGTCATCTAAGACTTTCATAGCTAGAGAGGAGAAGTTAATGTCTGGCTTCAAAACTTCAAAGGGTAGGCTGACTCTTGTTGGAGCTATTGCAGCTGGTGACTTTAAGTTGAAGCCAGTGCTCATTACCATTTTGAAAATCCTAGATCCTTTCTAAGAATTATGCTAAAACTACTCTGCCGACACTCTTTAAATGAAACAACAAAGCCTGGTGTACAAGATTAATGCTGTTTTCATAGCTGCTTGAAGGCTCAGATGATTATTAACATTTTTAGCAATATGCACTTTTGACACAATGCTACTGAAGACTTAATAGATTATGATGTAGTGTAGAGCTAACTATATCTACAGTAAAAAAACATAAAATTCAGTATGACTCACTTCATTGTGATATTCTCTTCATTGAGGTGGTCTGGAACTGGACCTGCCATATCTCTGATGATCATCTGTATCTAATTTGTGTTTACCTATTGATGTAAGCAAGTTTGGGTTGTGTTTCCATATGGGCTTTTCGGTGCCATCTTAATGAGAGGCTTTGTTAGGCAGTTTATATGTGTTGTTCATTCAGTCTTCACAAGAGCTTTATGGGTCAGATATTCCTACTAACTTGTTACAGATGAGGAAACAGAGTGTCAAATATTGTTTTATAATAAACAGGAAGAGTATTATCCATTGTATAGGTACTTTAAAATAGGTGCTTTAAAATAGTTCTTGATTGCTTTCCTAATCTCCTTACACATATAGAGACCTATGCTGTGTTAGCTGTATAATCTGAAAGCAAGAGATCATTTGGTAGAAACAAAATGAAATGGCTTAATGTTGGCAGGGTGTTAACTTTCAATGCCACTGAAATTCAAATGGTAGTGGTGCCCCTAGTTTTATTACTGGTAAGTAATTTTTAATTAAGTGTTGATTCCATGCACAGCTGGTTGCATCACACAGACATGCTCCATGCCCTCCTTTGGTTCTGGTTCCCAGGGATAGCAGGCAGGGATTTCCTTGTTCAGCAGCATGACTGCAGTGGGGTAAATACATCTTGGTTCTTGGTTTTATTTCCACAGCTAAATTACATGTACAGTATCCTGATGAGAGGATATTGGGCTGTCACTTGCTAAAGAGAGAAGCACAAGTAATTATGTGAACCTTGTTTGGCATTTATAAGCAACCTGGTCAATTCTGAGAAATGAACAAGACAGTAGACACTTCCATGAAAGGTGGCTGATTGATAGTCTAGCCAAAATATGATACCTGGTAATTTATGGCAATTTTCTCTAACAGGAGTAGATACTGAATTTGTTTCAAAAATGCCTCAAGAGTCTATCCTATCAAGGCATTACTACTTTTTGCAAAGCACACACTAGAAGAAAAAAATGCTTCAGATCAGAAAATAAGGAAATTGTGTGTCTCTGTGTATGCATGCATACACATGCATATGTGTGTGCGTGTTGTAGGGGGAAGGACTTAATTTAGTGAGCTATGGAATTCATGTAGACAGATTGATAAGATTACATCTTATTGCTTTGTGGAGGTTGCAAAATTATTCCCACTGCAGAATTTGTTAAAAGAAAAGGAGAGAGTGATTTAAAGAAATGTATTTGATTTTGATAAGTAACTCATGGGTAATTCCCTCTACAATATTTTAAACAAATATGCCATTAAAAGCCTGCATCTCAATCTCTTTGCACAACTTCTTTTATCCTATTGCCAATTTAAATTATAGAATAGCAATCACCTATTTTAAAATTCTCTCCATCATTTTAACTGTGAAGTCAGAAAAATGGTGCTTATTACTTCACTGAGCTGCTAGCATGATGTGAGAGAAGGAGGTATGTTCTTTCCAATAAACATCTGAGAGAATCAGGATATGTTTTAATTCTGTTTCTGCCATAAATTAATGTATAACTTTTGGAAATCATGTGCCCTCTCAATGTCTAAGTTCCTATGTTTTAAAGTAGAAGCTAAAATACCTATCAAACTTACATTAAAGGGTTGAAATGGTGATAAAGTGAGATAGTGTATTTGAAATTGTAGAGACCTTTTGGATTTTGCCCACTTTGCATTGATGTGGCATAGTTTACAAATATGAATTTTGGTTCTAAAATTTCTAAAAATTCTTTCTGGATATGGACAAATGATTGACATAGCAGTATGTTCTATGAATACTATGCCTTGCCTTCACCTGCTAAGTTTCCTACATTTTAACACATAGGCCTGAGCAGTAAGAATATGGTAACATATGTACATATATGTATTGGCAGAGGTGAGGTGAGCTAAATTTGAAGACAGAATGTAGAACAAATAATGTCTTAGAACTGTGGATGTCACTCATGTAGGATAATATTGCTCTTGACCCACTCATGGTTAGTCAAAGATGGTTCAAGGTTTTTTTTTTTTAATTATCAAAATGACTGGATTATAGTGATGGGGGCAGCATAATCACTAATGATAAGAAAACACAGTGGTCCTGCATGTTAAGTTAAAAACACTTTAATTGTATAGACATATAATTTAGTAAAATCGGTAATTTTGATTTTTGAACAATATTATGTTTTCTAAGCTTTTTTTCCCCCGTCTAGACTGGTAAGAACAGGGTGACCTAGTAC
Source organism: Homo sapiens (assembly GCF_000001405.40). Classification (NCBI taxonomy): domain Eukaryota; kingdom Metazoa; phylum Chordata; class Mammalia; order Primates; family Hominidae; genus Homo; species Homo sapiens. The sequence goes on from NC_000003.12 coordinate 28,957,069, forward strand.
TTTGTTTTGTCGAGATATAATTGACCTGTAATATTCATCCTTTTAAAGTGTACAATTGAGTGCCTTTTATTATACATTGTACAAAAATTATGTATTGTACAAAATTGTACAAACACCAACTTCCTCTAATTTACTTTTGTAATCCCCAAAGAAACTCCATATCCGCCAGTAGCCACTCCCTGTTCCTCCCCACTCTTTACCTAGCAACCACTAATCTACATTTTGTCTTTCTGGATTTGCCTGTTTTGAAAATTTCATATAAATGGAATCATACAACATGTGCCTTTTTGTGTCTGGCTTCTTTCACTTAGCAATGTTTTCAAGGTTCATCTATGTTGTATTATGTATCATTAGGTCATTCCTTCTTATGGCTGAATAATTTCTACTGTATAGATATACTATATTTTGTTTATCCATTCCTCAGTTGATGGACATTTGAATTGTTTTCATTTTTTGGCTATTATGAATAATGCTTTTATAAATACTTGTGTTCAGGATTATGTGTGAATACTTTTTAAATTTGTAGAGTTCATTTTCTTCGGATTAATTTTTTAGGTTTACAGAAAACTTGAGCTGGCAGTACGGAGTTCTATATATTACCTCTCTCCACTCACCTGCCACTGTGCACAGTTTCTCCTATTATTAACTTCTTGTATTGGTCTGTTACATTATTTGTAATTCATGAAGCAATATTGAAACAATATTATTAACCATAGTCCATAGTTTACATTAGGTTTCATTCTTGGTGCTGTACAGTTCTATGGATTTTGGTCAGATTCATAATATCAGGTATCTAACCTAAATTATAATGTAAAGAATAATAATTGTAAGACACTAAAAATCTCCATCTATTCATCCTTCTCTCCATTCCCCCAAACCCCTGGCAATCACTGATCTTTTTACTGTCTCCATAGTTTTGCCTTTTCCACCATGTCATATAGTTGGAATCATACAGTTTGTAGCATTTTTAGGCTGGCTTCTTTCACTCAGTAGTATGTGTTTAAAATTCCTCTATGTCTTTTTCTGGCTTGATAGCTCATTTCCTTTTATCGTCAAATAATATTTCATTGTAACATATTGAAACTATTGAAGGATATCTTGATTATTTCAATTTTTGGTAATTATTAATAAAGCTGCTGTAAACATTCTTGTTCAGGTTTTTGTGTGAGAAGAAGTTTTCAAGTCGTTTGGGTTACTTAGGAGTGCAATTGTTGAATCATATGGTAAGATTATGTGTAGCTTTTTTAAAAAACTGCCAAATGTTCTTCCTTAGTGACTCTATTATTTTGCATTCTTACCAGCAAAGAATGAATGTTTCTGTTACTCCATATCTCACCAGCATTTGGTGGTGTACATGTTTTAGATTTTAGCCATTCTAATAGGTGTGAGGTAGAATCTTATTATTATAGTTTGCAATTCTCGAACTGCAGCAGAGAGGCATGGGAGGGGCTGTACAAGTTATGGAGCCGGTGGGAGCCCCACCCCTTCGGAGTTGGGGCAGGAGCTCCCGGGTGCCTCTGCAGCTGCCCAAAGTGCAGCTGCAGACGAAGGCTTCCTGCTCTACCAGCAGGCAGGTGCCCTGACCTTCTGGGTGGGGCTGCAGACAACCAAACTGCAGTTATGGATGCAGACCTCCCTGTGATCTTGGAGGGGTCCAGGAGCAGGCAAGAACTGCCATCCTGGGTGCAACTGCAGCCACTGGATCCCAGGCTGAAGACTCCACGGAGCAGGCAGTAGTTGGGGACAAGCAGGCATGTTGCCCCTTCGGGGTTGGCCAGGTGGGAGCTCTCCAGGTGCAGCTGTAGCCTCAGCATCCTCCCAGTCACAGGACCTAGGCATCTATGCAGCCTCCATCCTTGGGGCCCAGGAAGGACCCCACCCCATTTCTGCAGGGTCCAGGGTGTCTGCTCCCACTGCCTGGCCTCTCTTCTCTCCCACTGCCATCTCCAAGCGGGAATGGGGCCAAGCAGCTGGGGCCTTGAATGGCAGCTGGAGGCAGAGTCCTGGGCAGAAGGGGCGGTTCCCCAGTAAGGCCCCACCTTCAGGCCAGGGAGGGCCTGAAGGTTGGGGGCTGGGCTGCCACTCCCCTGGATGGTAGTGGAGACTGGTGGTGTCTGATCCGGACCACCCATGGACCAATCAGCATGCACTGCCTCCCCTCTGACATCCATAAAAGCCTTGGGCTCAGCCAGAGCAGAGTAGATGATAAAGAGACAACAGGATGTCCAACTGCAGAGAGGAGCTACCCTCTCTGCTGATAGCTGGAGACATTGGGAGGACCAGCTGCAGAGAGGAGCTACCCTTTCTGCTGAGAATCTCAGAGACCTGCAGAGAGGTCTGAATGACCTGCCTGCAGATAGGAGCTACCTTTTCCAGGGCCTCCTCACTGCTGAGAGCGGCAGACATTGCATGGACAAGTGAGCAGAGAGGAGCTATCCTCTCCAGGGCCTCCTCTCTGCTGAGAGCTGAACACTTGATGGGAGGACCTGCTTGCCTACAGAGGGAAGCTACCCACCTTGGGTCTCCTCTGAGCTGTTCTAGCACTAAATAAAGCTATTTGGTGAGATGTCTGTTCATATATTTTGCCCATGTCTTAGTTTATTATGTTTGCTTGTTTTCTTGTTAAGGTTTAAATGCACATGTTTTTAATTTGGAGGGGTATATACCTAGGAATGAAATTGCGGAGTCATATGTTAATTCTATGTTTAACTTTTTGAGAAACTATAAAACTGTTTTTCAAAGCAATTGTACCACTTTAAATTCCCAACAGCAAAATACAAAAATTCTGTGGGATCGGTGGTGATATCCCCTTTGTCATTTTTTATTGTGTCTATTTGATTCTTCTCTCTTCTTTATTAGTCTTGCTAGCAGCCTATCAATTTTGTTGATCTTTTCAAAAAACCAGCTCCTGGATTCATTGATTTTTTGAAGGGTTTTTTGTGTCTGTATTTCTTCAGTTCTGCTCTGATGTTAGTTATCCCACAGAAATACAAACTACCATCAGAGAATACTATAAAGACCTCTCTGCAAATAAACTAGAAAATCTAGAAGAAATGGATAAATTCCTCGACACATACACTCTCCCAAGACTAAACCAGGAAGAAGTTGAATCTCTGAATAGACCAATAACAGGCTCTGAAATTGAGGCAATAATTAATAGCTTACCAACCAAAAAAAGTCCAGGACCAGATGGATTCACAGCCGAATTCTACCAGAGGTACAAGGAGGAGCTGGTACTATTCCTTCTGAAACTATTCCAATCAATAGAAAAAGAGAGAATCCTCCCTAACTCATTTTATGAGGCCAGCATCATCCTGATACCAAAGCCTGGCAGAGACACAACAAAAAAAGAGAATTTGAGACCAATATCCTTGATGAACATTGATGCAAAAATCCTCAATAAAATACTGGCAAACCGAATCCAGCAGCACATCAAAAAGCTTATCCACCATGATCAAGTGGGCTTTGTCCCGGGGATGCAAGGCTGGTTCAACATACACAAATCAATAAACGTAATCCAGCATATAAACAGAACCAAAGACAAAAACCACATGATTATCTCAATAGATGCAGAAAAGGCCTTTGACAAAATTCAACAGCCCTTCATGCTGAAAACTCTCAATAAATTAGGTATTGATGGGATGTATCTCAAAATAATAAGAGCTATCTATGACAAACCCACAGCCAATATCATACTGAATGGACAAAAACTGGAAGCATTCCCTTTGAAAACTGGCACAAGACAGGGATGCCCTCTCTCACCACTCCTATTCAACATCGTGTTGGAAGTTCTGGCCAGGGCAATTAGGCAGGAGAAGGAAATAAAGGGCATTCAATTAGGAAAAGAAGTCAAATTGTCCCTGTTTGCAGATGACATGATTGTATATCTAGAAAACCCCATCGTCTCAGTGCAAAATCTCCTTAAGCTGATAAGCAACTTCAGCAAAGTCTCAGGATACAAAATCAATGTACAAAAATCACAAGCATTCTTATACACCAATAACAGACAAACAGAGAGCCAAATCATGAGTGAACTCCCATTCACAATTGCTTCAAAGAGAATAAAATACCTAGGAATCCAACTTACAAGGGATGTGAAGGACCTCTCCAAGGAGAACTACAAACCACTGCTCAATGAAATAAAAGAGGATACAAGCAAATGGAAGAACATTCCATGCTCATGGGTAGGAAGAATCAATATCATGAAAATGGCCGTACTGCCCAAGGTAATTTATAGGTTCAATGCCATCCCCATCAAGCTACCAATGACTTTCTTCACAGAATTGGAAAAAAACTACTCTTTAAACTTCCTATGGAACCAAAAAAGAGCCTGCATTGCCAAGGCAATCCTAAGCCAAAAGAACAAAGCTGGAGGCATCACACTACCTGACTTCAAACTATACTACAAGGCTACAGTAACCAAAACAGCATGGTACTGGTACCAAAACAGAGATATAGACCAATGGAACAGAACAGAGCCCTCAGAAATAATGCCGCATATCTACAAATATCTGATTTTTGACAAACCTGAGAAAAAGAAGCAATGGGGAAAGGATTCCCTATTTAATAAATGGTGCTGGGAAAACTGACTAGCCATATGTAGAAAGCTGAAACTGGACCCCTTCCTTACACCTTATACAAAAATTAATTCCAGATGGATCAAAGACTTAAATGTTAGACCTAAAACCATAAAAACCCTAGAAGAAAACCTACGCAATACCACTCAGGACATAGGCATGGGCAAGGACTTCATGTCTAAAACACCAAAAGCAATGACAACAAAAGCCAAAATTGACAAATGGGATCTAATTAAACTAAAGAGCTTCTGCACAGCAAAAGAAACCACCATCAGAGTGAACAGGCAACCTACAGAATGGGAGAAAAATTTTGCAACCTACTCATCTGACAAATGGCTAATATCCAGAATCTACAATGAACTCAAACAAATTTACAAGAAAAAAACAAACAACCCCATCAAAAAGTGGGCAAAGGATATGAACAGACACTTCTCAAAAGAAGACATTTATGCAGCCAAAAAACACGTGAAAAAATGCTCATCATCACTGGCCATCAGAGAAATGCATATCAAAACCACAATGAGATACCATCTCTCACCAGTTAGAATGGTGATCATTAAAAAGTCAGGAAACAACAGGTGCTGGCGAGGATGTGGAGAAATAGGAACACTTTTATAGTGTTGGTGGGAGTGTAAGCTAGTTGAACCATTGTGGAAGTTGGTGAGGCGATTCCTCAGGGATCTAGAACTAGAAATACCATTTGACCCAGCCATCCCATTACTGGGTATACTCCCAAAGGATTATAAATCATGGTGCTATAAAGATGCATGCACACGTATGTTTATTGCGGCACTATTCACAATAGCAAAGACTTGGAACCAACCCAAATGTCCAACAATGATAGACTAGATTAAGAAAATATGGCACATATACACCATGGAATACTATGCAGCCATAAAAAAGGATGAGTTCGTGTCCTTTGTAGGGATGAAGCTGGAAACCATCATTCTCATCAAACTATCGCAAGGACAAAAAAACCAAACACCACATGTTCTCACTCATAGGTGGGAATTGAACAATGAGAACACATGGACACAGGAATGGGAACATCACACACCGGGGCCTGTCATGGGGTGGGGGGAGGGGGGAGGGATAGCATTAGGAGATATACCTAATGTTAAATGACGAGTTACTGGGTGCAGCACACCAACATGGCACATGTATACATATGTAACAAACCTGCACGTTGTGCACATGTACCCTAAAACTTAAAGTATAATAATAATAAAAAAGGAGAAAAAAAAACAAAATACAGAAATTTTGATTTCTCTGAATCATTGTCAACACTTATTATTTTTAGTCTTTCAAATTATAGACATCCTAGTGGCTGTGATGTGGTATCTCAATGCACTTTTGATTTGCATGTAGTCAGATCATTTTTAAAACTTCATTCTACCAATCAGTGATTTTGTATTGGAGTCTATTTACATTTAATGTAACAAACGATAAGATAAGGTTTACATTTGCCATTTTGCAATTTGTTTTCTGTATGTCTATTGCCTTTTTTTCTTATTGTTCTGCATTTCCTCTTTTACTATCTGCTTTTGTGTTAAATCAGTTTTTCTACAATACTATTTTAATTTCCTTGTCATTTTACTATGTACAGTTTATTTTGTTAATGGTGGCCTTGAAAATTATAATGAACATACTAACATATAACAATCTACTCAGATCAATAGAAACCTAATTTCAATATTATAAAAAAAATGTGATTCTATATAGCTCCATTCTCCCTGCCGTCCTTGGTAATATTGTTGCCATACAAATAACATCTGTATAAATTATGTTCTTAGGGCTGCTATAACAGGATACAATAGACCAAGTAGCTTAAACAACAAACATTTATTTCTAAACAAGAAACATTTATTTCTCACAGTTCTAGAGGCTGGAAGTCTGAGTTCAGTGTGAGAACCAAGAACTTAGCATAGTCAGGTTCTTGGTGAGGGCCCTCTTTCTGGTTATGTCCTCACATGGTAGTCTTTGGTGAGTGCATGCAGAAAGCAAATGATCTCTAGTCTCTTTCTCTTCCTCTAAGGACACTAATTCCATGATGGAGGTTCCACCCTCATGAACTGATTACCTATTAAAGGCCCTACCTCCTAATACCATTACATTGGGCATTATGGTTTCAATGTATGAATTTTGCATGGGACACAAACATTTGGTACATATCTACTGATCTATACAGATTTATAATTATTGTTTTGTGCACTTTTTATCAGATAGAAAAAAAGGAAGTGTAAAAACAAGATATCAATTTATATTATCTTTTCTATTTGCGTAGTTACCTTTACTGGTACGTACGTTTTTTTTTTGTTTTTTGTTTTTTTTTTTTTGAGACGGAGTCTCGCTCTGTCACCCAGGCTGGAGTGCAGTGGCGCAATCTCGGCTCACTTCAGGCTCCGCCTCCCGGATTCACGCCATTCTCCTGCCTCAGCCTCCTGAGTAGCTGGGACTACAGGCACCCGCCACCGCGCCCGGCTAACTTTTTTTTTTTTTTGTATTTTTAGTAGAGACGGGGTTTCACCGTGTTAGCCAGGATGGTCTCAATCTTCTGACCTCGTGATCCGCCCGCCTCGGCCTCCCAAAGTGCTGGGATTACAGGCGTGAGCCACCACGCCTGGCCTACTGGTACTCTTTATTTCCTTCATGTGAGTTTAAGTTACTGTCTAGGGACCTTTCATTTCATTCTTAAGGACTTCCTTTGGTATTTCTTGTAGATCACATCTGCTAGTGACTAGTTCTCTCAGTTTTTGTTTACCTGGTAATGTATCAATTTTTCTTTCATTTTTGAATGATATTTTTGCTGGCTATAAAATTCTTGATTAACAGTCATTTTCTTTTAGCTCTTTGAATATTGTATCCCACTACTTTATAGCTTCCATGGGTTCTGATGAGAAATCAGCTATTAACCTTATTGAGGATTCTTTGTACATAATGAGTTAATACTCTGCTGCTTTTAAGATTTTCTGTCTTCATAGCTGATAGTTGGATTGTGTATGTGTTTGAGTCTTTAAGTTCTTCCTACTTGGAGTTAGTCAAGGTTCTTGAATGTGTAGGTTAATATTTTCCATCAAATTTGGGAAGTTTTTAGACAGTATTTTTTCCAAATTTTTTCTGTTCTTTTATCTTTTCCCACTTCTTTTGTGCCCCTCCACTCACTTATCCTGCCTCCACTGTCTATCTTTCTACTTTCTACCTCCATGTATTCGAGTATTTTAGTTCCCACATATAAGTGAGAATGCGCCAATATTTGTCTTTTTTTTGCCTGGCATATTTCACTTAACATAATGATTCTAAGTTCCAATCATGTTGCTGCAAATGACATGATTTCATTCTTTTTTATGGCCAAATAGTATTCCATTGTGTGTGTGTATACATACATATATACATCACATTTTCTATATTAATCTATTGATGAACACAAGTTGATTCCATATCTTTGCTATTGTGAACAGTGCTGCAAGATACTTGAATGAAGGTTCACTTTGATGTATTGATGTTTTTTCCTTTGGGTAGTGATATAATGTGCATATTTGTTCCCACCCAAATCTCATGTTGAATTGTAATACGAAATGGTGGAGGTGGGCCTGATTGGAGGTGTTTGGATCATGGGGGTGGATCCCTCATGGCTTAGTGCTGTCTCTGTGACAGTGAGTTCTCACGAGATCTGGTGCTTTTAAAGTGTGTGGCACCTCCCCCCACATTCCCTCTCTCTTGCTCCTGCTTTTGCCATTTGACATGTTTGCTCCAACTTCGTGTCTGCCATGAGTAAAAAGATCCCTGAGGCTTACCTGGAAGGTAAGAAGATGCTGGTGTCATGCTTTTACACCCTGCAGAACCACAAGCCAATTAAACTTCTTTTCTTTATACATTATTCAGTCTCAGGTAATTCTTCATAGCAATGCAAGAATAGCCTGACATAGGTAGATACCTAGTAGTCAGATTGCTGGATTGAATGGTAATTCCATTTTCAGTTTTCGGAGAAATCTCTATACCATTTTGTATAGTGGCTATACTAGCTTACATCTCATGAGCAATATATAAGAATGTCCTTATCTCCACATTCTTGCCAACACCTTATTTTCTGTCTTTTAAATAATAGCTATTCTGACTAAGATGGCATCTCGTTGAGGTTTAGATTTGCATCTTTGTGATGACTAGTTATGTTGAGCATGTTTTCATATACCTATTGGTCATTTGCATGTTTTTTTTTTTTTGAGAAATGTCTATTCAGGTCCTTTGCTCACTTTTAAATGGGATCGTTTGTTTTTCTTTCCATATTGAGGTGTTTGAGTTCCTTGTATATTCTGGATATTAACCCCCTGTTGGATGAACAGTTTGAAATTATTTTCTCCTGTTCAACAGATTGTTCATTCTGTTAATTGTTTCCTTTTCTATATTAATTATTTTTAGCTTAATGTAGTCTCATTTGCCTGTTTTTGTTTTGTTTCCTGTGCTTTTGAGGTCTTAGTCATAAATTCTTTGCCTAGACTAATGTCCAGGAAAGGTTTTCCTAGGTTTGCTTCTAGTATTTTTATGGTTTTGTGTCTTATGTTTAAGCCTTTAATCCATCTTGAGTTGATTTTTATATATGGTGAGAGATAGAGGGTCGAGTTTCATTCTTTAGCATGTGACCATCCAATTGTCCTGGCACTATCTATTGAAGAAGGTATCCTTTCTTCCAGTGTAAGGTTTTGTTGGCTTTGTTGAAGAAAAGTTGGCTAAAAATACGAGGCATTTTTCTCCCAGGTTCTCTATTCTGTTCCCTTGGTCTATATTTTCTATCTTTATATGAATGTCATGTTTTGATTAGTATAGCCCTGTAATGTATTTTGAAGTCAGATAGTGTGATTCCTGCAGCTTTGTTCTCTTTGCTCAGGATTGCTTTGGCTGTTCAGGCTCTTTCATTGTTCTATATGAATTTTTGCATTGTTTTATATAATTCTGTGAAGAATGATGTTGGTATTTTGATACAAATTGCATTGAATCTACAGATTGCTTTGGTCCATATGGTTATTTTATTGATATTAATTATTTTGACCCATAAGCATGGGAAGTTTTTCCATTCGTTTGTGTCATACTCAGTTTCTTTCATCAGTGTTTTGTAGTTTTCCTTGTAGAGACCTTTTATCTCCTGTGTAAAATTTATTCTCAGGTATTTTATTTTTATTTTTTGGAGCTACTGTAAATGGTAATGCATTCTTAATTTCCTTCTTGGCTAGATCATTATTGATATATATAAACACTACTGGTTACTGATTTTTGTGCATTGATTTTATATCCTGTAACTTTATTAAATTTGTTTATCAAATGTAAGGGGTTTTGGTGGAGTCTTTTTATTTTTCTAGATAAAAGATCAGATCATTAGCCAAAAGGGGTAATCTGACTTAGTTCCTACTTTAGATGCATTTTATTTATTTATTTGTTTATTTTTGTCCAATTGCTCTGGCTAGGACTCCCAGTATTATATTGAATAGGAATGGTGAAAGTGGGCATTCTTATCTTGTTCCACTTCTTAGAGAAAGGCTTTCAACCTTTCCACATTCAATATAAGTTGTAGGCTTGGCATATATAGATTTTATTATTTTGAAGTATGTTCTTTCTTATACCTAGTTTGTTGAGAGGTTTTATCATGAAGGGATGTTGAATTTTTAAAAACATGCTTTCTCTAGATCTGTTAAGATGATCATATGGCTATTGTCCTTCAATCAATTGATGTGATATATCATTGTTATTGATTTTCATATGTTGAGCTATCTTTGCATCTCTGGTATAAATCCCACTTGATCATCCTGTATTAACTTTTTGATGTTTTTAATGGATTTGGTTTGCTAGTATTTTGTTGAGGATTTTTTGCATCTCTGTTCATCAGAGATATTGATTTTTAGTTTTCTTTTTTGTGTGTGTGCTTGTGTGGTTTGGGTATTAGGATAAGGCTTTATAGAATGAGTCAGGAAGAATTGCTCTTTGATTTTTTGGAGTATTTTCAGACGGATTGGTATTAATTCTTCTTTGTACATTTGGTCAGATTTAGCTGTAAATCTATCTGGTCCTGGCCTTTTTTTTTTTTTTTTTTTGGTGGGAGAATTTTTATTACTAATTTAATCTAACTACTTGTTATTGTTCTGTTCAGGTTTTCTGTTTCTTTCTGATTCAATCCTGATATGTTGTACGTTTCCTAGAATGTGTACATTTCCTCTTGATTTTCCCATTTGTCAGTTCATAGTAGTCTCTGATGATCTTTTGTATTTCTGTGTTATCAGTTGTAATGTGTACTTTTTCATTTCTGATTTCATTTATTTGGGTCTTCTCTCTCCTTTTTTTGATTAGTCTAACAATGTTTATTAATTTTGTTTCTCGTTTGTATTTTTCTAGTCTCTATTTTGTTCCAATCTTATCTTTGTTTATTTTTTTCTTCAAATTTTGGGTTTAGTTTGTTCTTGCTTTTTTAGTTACTTGAGGTACATTGTTATATTGTTAATTTGTAATCTTTCTACTTTTTTGATGTAGGCATTTAATACTGTAAACAACCTTTTAGCACTGCTTTTGCTGTATATTGCAGGTTTGGGGATGTATTTCTATTTTCACTTGTTTCAAGAAAATTTTTCATTTTATCTTAATTTCTTCATTGACCCAATCATTATTCAGGAGCATGTTGTTTAATTTCTATGCATTTGTATAGTGTCCAAAGTTTCTCTTGGTATTGATTTCCAGTTTTATTCCATTGTGGTCTGAGAAGATACTTAATATGACTTTAATTTTTTAAAGATTTGTTGAGACTTGCTTTGTGGCTTGATATATGGTCTATCATAAAGAAGGTTCCAGTGCTCAGGAAAAGAATGTATGTTCTGCAATTCTTGAATACAATATTCTGTAAATGTCTGTTAGGCCCATTTGGCCTAAAGTCTAGTTTAAATCCAATGTTTCTGTATTAATTTTCTGTTAGATGATCTGCCTAATGCTGAGAGTGAGATGTTGAACTCCCGACTATTACTATGTTGTAGTCTCTCTCTTTAGATGTAGTAATATTTGTTTTCAAACCCATTCAGCCATTGTGTACTTTTAAGTGGAGAATACAGTTTGTTCACATTCAAGGTTATTGGTATGTGAGGCTTTATTCCTGTCATACTGTTGATTGTTTTCTGGTTGTTTTGTATATTGTTTCTTTTTTCTCTTATTGATTGTTGTTGTGATTTGACAGATTTCTGTAGTGGTACCGTTTTAGTCCTTTCTCTTCTTCCTTTGTTTGATTGCTTTCCCAGTGAGTTTTATAATTTCTTGTGTTTTCATGATGGCAAATGACATCTTTTTGCTTCCAGGCTCAGTACTCTCTCGAGCAGTTCTTGTGGGGCCGGTCTAGTGGTAACAGATTCTCTCAGTATTTGCTTTTCTGAGAAATACTTTATTCTCCTTCATTTAAGAAGGGTAATTTCACTGGATATAGTATTTCTGATGAACTTTTTTTTCTTCTGGCACTTTAAATATATCTTCCCATTCCCTTCTGATGTGTAAGATTTCTGCTGAGAAATCTGCTGTTAGTCTGATGGGCTTCCTTTATCAGTGACTAACTGATTTTCCCCTGCTGTTTATAGGATTTGCTCTTTATAGATAACTTTATAAACAGTCTGAGTATAATGTGCCATGGAGAATATCTTGTTGCTTCTATCTGCCTAGAAATTGTTGAGCCTCCTGTAACTGCATGTTGAAATCTCTTGCTATACTTGGGAAGTTTTATTCTATTATTTCATTAAATAGGTTTCTAATCCTTTCTTTTCCTCTTCACTCTCAGGGCAACCAATAATTTGAATATTTGATTGCTTTATGTTGTCTCTAATGTCATGAAGGCTTTGTTCTTTATTATTATTTTGTTCTTTATTTTTTTTCCTTACTGAATTATTTCAGAAGACTTGTCTTTAAGTTCTGAGATTCTTTCTTCTACCTGATCTAGTCTACTGTTAAACATTTCAAATGTATTTTGTATTTCTTTTAATGAATTCTTCAGTTCTAGAATTTCTTTTTTTTAAGTATCTGTCTTTTGGTAAGTTTTTTATTCATATTCTGAATCTTTTTTTCTGATTTCTTTGCAGTGTTTTTCAGAATTGTCTTGTGTCTCACTAAACTTCTTAAATGTTTTGAATTTTTATGTGTGATTTCAAAATTTTCTTCTTGATATCTATTGCTTGAGAATTATTATGTTCCTTTGGAGGTATCATATTTCCTTACATTTCTGTTTCCTTAGTCCTTATGGTGATATCTGCACATCTGGTGTAGCAGTAATTTCTTCTATTTTTTAATTTATTTTCATGGAGGAGAACTTTTTCTGAAAGGTGTATCTATGATATTAGTTGGATAGGGTACTTTGACTTTAATTCTTGGTGTGTGCTATAGTGTAGTCTCTGTAAGATTTATTTGGCTGTAAACAGCGTTAGTACCATCTATGATTTTCTTGGTGGGTTAGAGTGTAGTTATTAGTGAAAGCTGTGATAAAGTTGTGGTGGGGATTGGGAGCCAGCTAGGTCAGTCTTAAGTCCACAGTGTTGAGCAGTATACTGAGTGTGCACACCTTTGTGCCCCCAGGATGGTATACATTGGCACCTGTGTTGGTATATACCAATGGCTAATTATTGGGCCTCCAAATGGCTTGCTTGGATGCCAGTAGTGGCAACATTGGCCTGGGTAGGCTCTCAGGCCCCTGGGCAGTGGGCATGGTGTGAGCAATAGCTGTAGCAGTGCTAGGATGATTCTCTGGGTCCTGGATGGTGTGCATTGATGTCGGCAGTAGCTGTGATGGGCTGAGCTAGCCAGTCTGCAGGACTGCAGATGGTACCTGCAGGTAGGTATCAACTGAGGTGGTAGTGGCTGGGAGTTGAGGCCCAACCTCAGGCCTCTGAGAGAAGTGTTTAGGTGTCCCAGGTGGTGGATTTGGCTTGGCAGGACCCCAGGCTGTGTGCTGTGTCTTGAGGGATTGCAAAGCCAGATTGAATGGGTTTATGCTCAGGCCCCCCAGTGGTGAGAGCAGAGTGCTCAGGTGAGGTATGGAATCAACCACACTGAGGCCCTGGCACTGGAGAGGGTGAGACTGACCTCAGTGGTCACAATCTGGAGCAGCAGCTGGTGGAGAATATGTATCTCTCTCACGCCCCAGTCCAGAGGGTCTTACCCCCTAGCCTTGGTGGCAGTAGCCCATGCCTACCTCACACCCAGTTTATATTCTCCTCCCTAAGTGCAGGAGGCTCAACTCAGCTGGCAACCAAGTCTCAGGAGTAACTCATAACCTGCCATGTTCTGTTCTCCATCCACGCAGCACTCATTTTTCCAATATTGGCATATCTTACTCACTTCTTAACTCAGCTGTGAGAGATCTTCCACACCCAGCAGTGACAGCCTAAGTTTCTGTAATGCCTTAGCTCTGGTGCTGCTGGACTCCAGGAGAGTGTGCAGTCTCCCAAAGACTATTTGAAAATGGCACCCTGCTGTAGCTGCTTAGGTCTTAGAAAATGTGTGGAGCTCAGCATGAATTCCCTTCCTGGAGCAGTTCCATCCCACCGTCTCCCACTGTCCCGGCAGCTCCCTATGTTAGTTTCAGGCATTGGGTTCTCCCATAGCCAGTATTGTATGATTTCATGGTTGGGATGTGGGCTGCTGGAAGTCTCTCACTCACCCATTCCCCATATTAGGAAGTCGTTTCAGGCTTCCAGCTTATCCAAGCCTGGCAGGCTGCCTCTGTCCCTTCCTTTCCCCTGCTTTTAGTGTTTCCTGCCACTTCTCTGTTGAATTCCAGCATTCTCTCTTATAATGTATTTAAAGTATGACTGTCTATATACCATGTTGATTCTTGTAAGTGGAGGAAGTGGGCATGAAATGCTTATAGTCATCCATCTTGAAACCCAAAGGGAAAGAAAATTCTTTACCCAACTTTTTCACAGCAAAATTTTGAACATTTTTCAACTGCTTTATTTGCTATGTTCTTTGCTATTGCTTTTCTGAGTTTTCTGAGCTTCTGCAGTTTCCTGAAGGGGTCATGCTCCCTTTCCCACATAGTTGTTGGGACATACTGTTTCATTTCCCTGAAAATTCTTTCAGATTCTCCTTTTGCCATCTTTCTATGGATAAAAGCTTCTAGTCCTTCAAGCAATTCTTTACATATCTTCAAAATAATTTTTTTCTATTTGTTACAGGAAAGCAGCTGTTTTTTCCACATTTCTTTCATGGTATTAGGCTGTTTCTTGGTGCCTTATTGCTACAAATATTTCCCACCCTCTTTTGGCACATAATGATCATATTACTTTAGAAAAGAAAAATATAGAGAGAATATAAATACTTGTCTGTCTCACAAATGTTAGGAGGTTTTATTGACTTTATAATTCCTGCCAATTTGAGGGTAGCAAACTCTTCCCAAATTCATTCTTAATTCAGAATTTAAAAATCTCCTTCTAGATTAGGCCTTCTCCTTCCCCATCACTATAACAACTATGTCTCATATCATGCAGCAAAGACATTGTCGGGGAAAAAAGAGAAATGAGCCCTTGATCCAATATTCCACTCTGATTCAAGAAAATTCTCTCCTTGAAAGCCTTCTGAAATCTTAACACTTTCCCATACCCATGGAAAAGAACTACGTGGATCTGTGTGCTCTTGATGCTTTGAAATTAATGGAATCTTTTACTTCTATCAACATAGATTAAATGAATATCATATTTATATAAACCACTTATCAAGGGAAAAAGTGAAAGTTAAAAAATTTTATAATTTACTTTCTGGTGGTCCTGTTTAATCAAAAGCGTATGGAGGGTGTTTGTTGGCTATAATAGTGCCTAAATCTGAAGAAATGGGAAGAAATACTAACTAAAAGATATTTGATTCTATGTCATCATCATATATGCAGAAATTTCAGTTACAATCTGTGTTTATAACGTACATTGGTCAGTTAGAGTTGCTGTCCTAAGTAAATATCAAAATGAAGGAAATCAGTGATGCACAAATGATCCCAGTGAATCATTCGATTCTGTCATCGAGTCAGACATCAAAGACCTGAGCCTATAGTTGGTAGTATTGAAATGGAGAAGAAGGCTGACCAAGTACAGTTATCTGATAAATATGGTGCTGGAGTTTCAGAGAGATCAAAATCACTTCCCAGGGTAGATGGAAAATGAGAAAGATGGAAGTGAGAAATTCCAGAGAAAAAGAAAAGAAGGCTAATTATTTAACTTTCTTGTTAGAGTTTTTATTTCACATCAACATCCTTACTATTTGGGATGCCACATGTGAATGTGTTGTAGACACTCAGAATTGTAACAAGCACTGCCCCAAGAATGAATATACACAGAGTTGTTTCCTGTGTTAGACTAGGTTAGGCTATGCTGTGGTAACAAACAAATCCTAAAATATCACTGATGTGACATAGTAAAAGATCATCATCCACATTATAGTACCACGTGTTTCAGCTCTCTTGAGTATAGCTGTCTTTCATGTGATGACTCAGGGACCTAGAATTTTTCGGTGTTAAAGCTATATCATGTGGAACAAATGACTTCCACTAAAACCATTAGAAGAAAAGAGAAGCTTGCAGAACACACAACATATTTTAAGGTATTTTACATCTCCTCTAGCCATGTGTCATCGACCAAAACTCAGTGAGGTGGCCCCAGCCTACCTACAGCAGTGGTTGGTACTTTACCTGTGTGCTCTGGAAGAAGACATGGAGTCATTATCTCTGCCTCAGATTTCAAGATTTTGAGGAAACAATGCAGCATTAGCATGTGAAACGTGTGAAAGTCCGTGGAAAGGATTCATTGCCAAAATAAAGAAAAAATGTGTTGATGAAAATGTTGATGAAATATGGAAAGCAGAATAAATTAATAGTGGAATTTCAAAGGCTGTATTAGCACTACATATTCTTCATAGAGTTGTGAAGTTCTTGAAATAATAAATATGCCAAGCTTCATATAGAGAAGCCTGATATGTTTATTAGTTCAAGAAGTTTTTAAATCTTCTTTTATGTAGATAAAAAAGAATAATTTGGGCATATGCTATTAGCATTCCCATATTAACATCTAATGCATTTTGACCACAGGATTTCCATCTACTATTGTTACCACATTTGAAATCTCTGGTCTGAGATTTCATCCTCTGTAAGAGGATTGGACATAGTCTCTAAGGTGACTTACATTTCTGCCATTCAATGATTCAATGTTTTTTCCTCTTTTGTGTGTATGTGTGGGTGGGGGCATTTAATGGTAGATTTGATATAAACTTTGTAACTGACAGGAGAATTTTTCTTTGGGAAGAAAATTGTTCAGGCTAGAAATGACTGTTTTACAATCCAGTGTGCATTGTTCAACAGAATTGTATTTTTAAAGATTCTATTTGCCATCTGTTATTTCCTTTACTCAAATGATCATATATACATTTTTTTATTTTATCGAATTGCCAATTATGTTTTTCTTGAGTAACTATTTCAAAAGACAGCTCACATTCTGAGATTTCTAAAACCCTGCTTACTGTAGTTTTCATTATATTTCTTTCTTGAAATATTATTACTCTCTTGGGTTTAGAGCTTGTTAAAAATGGTATTTTGCAAAAGTACGAATCAAAGGATATTATTCTATAAAATGTGAGGGCATATTTTTAACCAAAGTTTAATCTAGCTTGTGGATATGATTTTTAGAATGTGGGTTCTCTCTTATTAGTTGTTCTGTGAACAGACATACATGGTTGGATCTGGTTCTGTATTTTATTATTTCTGTGACCTCTTAAATAAGTTACTTACCTTTCTATGCATTCATTTTGTCATCTGTAAAGTATTAATGACAATCATTAATACTTTAATTTTCTTTCTTTCTTTTTTTTTTTTTTTTTTTGAGACAGAGTCTCGCTTTGTCGCCCAGGCTGGAGTGCAGTGGCGCGATCTCGACTCACTGCAAGCTCTGTCTCCTGGGTTCATGCCATTCTCCTGCCTCAGCCTCCTGAGTAGCTGGGACTACGGGCGCCCACCACCACGCCTGGCTAATTTTTTTGTATTTTTAGTAGAGACGGGGTTTCACTGTGTTAGCCAGGATGGTCTCGATCTCCTGACCTCGTGATCCTCCCGCCTCGGCCTCCCAAAGTGCTGGGATTACAGTCGTGAGCCTTTGTGCCCGGCCTTTTAATTTTATTTCATCAGCAATTAATAGAACCATAATTTAATCTTATTTATTAATTCCTCCCCCTCCGAAAAAAAAACTCTTTTAGTGGAAATGGAAACTAGGCCAATTTCTTCCATTATATTATTAAACTTAGCCTAGTTTTCAAGGGCAGGGTTTGAGGACACAATTTTTTCTGTCACTATCTGGAATGAGTATTAAACATTACCATTCTCTTGAAGATCTAGTTATAATGATATCTGTGTTTAATTATGTATTTTGTGTATGAATCACTGCTTAACATAGTGCCAGGCACATAAGTACTTAATGTCTAAATGCTGAATAAGCGAGGATATTTATGCAATGAAATTATAGGCCCCTACTAATAAAGAAGTCATAATAAAGAAGAACTTTGTTTGAAATTTTTCTAGGATACATAAGCATATTACTTGAAGATTCATTATGTAAATTTAAAAATTCAGCAATTTTGTAACCATAGCGCTTCCGTCTAGGAAGCAAACAATCAACTTCTATGTTGATACGCTCCAATAGAGCATCATTTAAAGAAAAAAGAATGGTGAAAATGATTGACTTCAGGTAAGCAAAAGAAACCTAGAGCTAAAAACAAAATATGTTCTCCAAAACATCAAAGAGATTTCTGTCTGATGTATGGAGGATACCTAGAAATTCACAAGAAATGACAAAAGAAATTCTCTCTCAGAAATAGGAGTAGCTAGGCATTATTGAAAAACAAAGGGGCAAATGAAAGGTGATAATAAAGTAATTAGTGGTCAAATTTAAATCTTACATCATAAGTGCATTTCATCCCTTGCAGGATAAATATAGGCTGAATCTGGGAGAAATACACATTTTTCCTCACAGATCACAACCACAGAAGGTAAAAAAGGAGAAAGATACAGAGATTCTTAAGAAATAACAAGCAAACGAGGTAAGTAAGGACCAACTCAAGCAAGTCTTACAGATAGAAATTTCCTTACTATCTCCTTTCTGCCCTTTTCCCTTGGCCTCAGACATGAAGGCTTTCATAGTGAGTAACTTCTGAGGCCAGATTTTGTTTGTTTTTTTTCTTTTCTTTTCTCTTCTTTTCTTTTCTTTCCTTTCACTTATTTTGCTTGAAACTCAGACATTTCAATTTTATGGCAGGATGAATTTTTGGGGGGTGCACCACCCTTACCCCAAACCCATAAAACCTCTTCAGTTTCTCTTCCTTCTTACCCCTGCACCTGTTTTTATCATCATATTCCTTCCATCTTCTTGCCTGAGTCATGACAAGTTGTTTTCTTTTATTTTTTCTCCTATCTCCTTCGTTTCCCTCCATTCTCTTCTGTTTTTCTTTTTTTTCTTCTCTTCCCATTTTTCCCTCTTTTTTAAATCTGCAATTCTTCTTCCTCATTGTTCTACTTTCTCCTCATTTTCTTCCTCCTTCTCCTCCTCCCCACCCATAAGTCTATTATCATAATTGGGCTCCAGCTGTGGAGCTTTTGGAACTCATACATTTTTCTCTGTGCCAAGCCTACCATTTTTGAGCCTTTGGACAAGATTAGTTCATATTTCTGTAAGAGATTAGAAGAACCTTGTATAAGTTTCCTAGGGCTGGCATAGCAAAGCACCACAGACTCGGAACAACAAAGCTATATTGTTCTAGAAGCTAGATATACAGTTCTGGAAGCTAGAAATCAAGGTGTCAGCAGGACAATACTCCTCTGAAGGCATTAGGGCAGGACCCCTTCCATGCCTCTCCTAGCTTCTGGTAGCCTCAGGTATTCCTTGACATGTAGTTGACCATCTTATCCCTAAGTCTCTTTATGTTGTCTTCCATCTGTGCCTGTCTGTGTCAAATTCCCCCTTTTTATAAGGACACTGTCAGATTGGATTAAGATCTACTTTAATGTCTCATTTTAACCTGATTTCCTTAACTCTATTTCCAAATGAATTCAAATTCTAAAGTATTGGAAGTTAGGACTTCGTTTATTTTTTTAGGGGGACATTCATCATTAAGTCCACATGTAAATTTTATGGTTGTTCATTGGATTGGTAATAGCTCAAACCATATAGAAAATGATTGAAAAATGGAAAAGATTTTAAGAAATGTTATTAGAATATCATCATTATTGACATTAGAGGGGGTGGACATTTGTTTACAATTGAACCTAAGCATTGAATAGGTTATGTTCTTCTCTTTAGTTAAATAAAATCACTTAATAAATGAATGTTTAGTCTTTAAGCTACTGTTTAATCTTTACCTTAGTTTTTCTGCTGAAGAAAACTTTTGTAACTCAGTTTTCAATAAATAATAAACATTCCTGAAAACAGGATTTACTTAGAGTTAATGAAACCTAAATGTAATGAGTTCATTTTGCCCCTGTTAAGTCAGAGGCATATCTATGTGTGCTATTTTAATCTTTACTGTGAATGATTTTATTACTTTGCCCATTTTCATAAAGAGATGACCATTTCCAAGGAAACATTAGGAATCATAAAACCCACAAAATGCATACCTTAATCCTATTTTGTTATGATAGTTTCAAACAGATAGATCCTTGGAAAGCCTCAAAGAGTAGAGTTCTTGATTCTCATACTGTGGTATGGTAAACAAGTATAAAATCTGTGAGCATAGTTTAATCAAATCAAAGTAGGGAAAAAGCAAGGTCTCTGAATGGTAATGGAAGGTGTAGCAGTGGGTGACTTACAACTTCAGAACACTGAGGTCTCAAATGCAAAGCATGGGAGACACTGGAGCCTATTTTTTTCAATCTCACTGCTGCCTATATTCCAATGACATAGTGGTCACTTTGGATGAGAGATTAATAGGTGGTAATAAGACTTAGATATCAGAAAAATCCATTAAAAAGCCCCCTGCGTGCCTTACTTGAACTAACTCTCAGGACTGAGGCCTTACTTCACATAACTCTTAAATGGTTACCTTGCAGTAAACTTTTCATATCCTCTCCTATAGCTGGTGAGTTGGGCAATATTTGAAGTGTATGTGACCGAGGCAGTAGTCTTTCATCAGGTCCATGCTGGCCCACATTTTTAGTCTTCCTGGCACTAGAGCTATTAATAAAATGGCAGCTGTGTAGAATAAAGTAATAGTAATGCTGATGTATTTTGTATTTTGATGCCATCACTGAAGCCATCTTTTCATCACCTGGCAACTCTACAAATCAGTGTCACCCACACCCCACCAATCCCCCAAAGGAATGCACTTGGCTCAAAGCAACAATCCGTTTTCTCCTCCTAACACTCTGATCAGAATCAGAAGTATGACGTTACAGTATCAGTTTGATGGTGGTGTTTTTAAAAGTAAAGTAGTAACTATATTTTGAAAAGGTTGGGTAAAGTAATATGCGGGTGGTCCTCAAGTCTCTGTTTATGACTTTTTTGTGTATTTTTTCTGTAAGAGCTGAGAGATTTTAATAGATAATAGGGAATTAAATAGAATCATCATCTAATAAGCATGACGTGTGCTGTCACTGTTAATTCAAACATAATGAACAATGACTGAATAATGTTGCATAGAGAGGTCTGCCATATGCTCATTCTAGATGGCTGTGGCGGGATGCTTCCTTAAATATGGATAGTATGAGCTAGCCAACAGCACTCCAAATAATCAGATTTTCTGCTACTCTCAGACTCTCATAGGGATTTAAACATTTTCAGTTAGTTGAATCATAATAATGAATTGAGATCCTAAAGGGCTTTATAGATGTGTATGCAGTGGAAGAAAAGGAAGGAGCGGGGAGATGAGAAGAGAAGGAGGGGAAGACAAAAGAGGGAATAAAATGAAATTTGAATGCTGTTTTCCTTATACCATGAGAAACACCTTCTGAATTAGAAAGAGTATGTTTTCCACACCTTCTCCCATCTAAAATTATATTAAATTCTGCTCTATGTAAAGCTGGAATAGTAATGGCACATAGTACATTTAAGTGGACATTTCTCTCTGTACAACATTCTAATATCTAATTAAAGCCCAAATTACAATGTGTTCTGATGTGTAAGTAAAGCCAAATTGATCCTTCAGTTTTATTCCACAAAATTAATTGATGGATTTATCACACTCATTGACTAGATAATATTTGGTCTGAACAAACTGAAGGACTGCAAAATTAGTTCTAGTTTAATTGAAAGGGCTAGGTGTCTCACCCCAGGGAGGATACAGGGGAAAGTCCTTTTTTTGGAAAAGGTCTTTAGACTTTAGAAACCCATATAATCTGAAACAAGTCTAATATCCTTTCTAAAGGACACTAGACTTGTTATTGGAATGTCACATTTGTTACTTAAATCCTTGAGTAAGAATCTGAAGATCTCCGAAACGTGCTTCTTCATTTATATCATGGGAATATGGTGCAAATTATGAGATTATATAAATTTGTGTACTTTATGAACTAGAAAATGCTATAGAGCTCTGCTACTCAAAGTGTGATTTGTGGACTAGCAGCATTGGCATTACCTGGGAGCTTGTGACAAAGGCAGAATCTCAGGACCAAGACCAGATCCACTAAAACAGAATCTGAATTTCAACAAGATCTCTAGGTGATTCATATGCATATTAAAACTTGACCGTTACTTCGCTATGTATGTATTAACTTTGAGTATATTGTTATATATTATATGAATCTTCGAATAACCTAAACTATTTATTGGACATGATCTTTAGAGAAGAGAGATTATGGCAAATTAGCATCCTCCAAAAAAAGTCTGAACCAAGAAAAAAACATGCAACCCCCACCCCTAAATAAAATCCAGAAAGAATCCTTATATATCTCTTCAATGTATCTCCTTGAATGCATACATAGTAAGTCTAAACACATTAATCTTTTATTTTAACCTGTGTATGGCACGAATATTATTAATTGGCAGGATGACCATGAAAGTTCACAGTGGTCTGTAAGTCTGAGTTATATTAATGTTATAATGGTAAAGAAGAAAATGCGTTTATAGATTTATAAAAGATTTTCATCCACAAGAGTTGAAATACATTCTTTCATTACAAAATGAATGTTCTTAAATAATAAGTTTTAAACCCTAATCCTTGAACATTCTGGTAATTGAAGCCTTTTACAGAACTTTCTTTTTGTTACACCAGAAACAGCAGCAGTAGCACTCTCTTGTACTGGTAGAGTTCGGCTGAAGTATCATGGAAAATTTCAATTCCAAACAGACATAGAGGCTGGCATTTTTATTCTTTTTCCAAAGGAGATTTTGTTAACTGAGAGGAAAGGAAACAAAGTGGGAGAAAATCTTCTTTGTTTAAATTGTTTTTAATTATGAGAAGTTTGGAGAAAATATAACCTGTTTATTTCACATATCACTTTGATACCTACTTTTCTTTTGAACTGAAACTATACTTTAGTAGGTTTCATGAAGTGTAGTGCATGTGTAGCAACAATAATGCACAGTCTGAAACAAATAAGATTTGAAAGTAACCTGGTTAAAAAGCAAGTAGCAAAGCTTGTCATTTTTAATCACTGATTTAGATAAACAGTTTTTAAAATCCAGGACTAAAACTCAAGTATGACTCAGATTTAATCTGTAAAATATGAAGTAAATTAGAGACTTACTGACCATTAAATTTATTTTAAGAGAAAAGATATATACACGCAATGCTTTCAGATCTGAAATAAGTGGTTTAATCAAATCTGTAGTATCACTAAAGATTACTGGGTTGGTTCTGAGTTTTGACTATCCTACTCACTTTTCTATACATGGAATAGCTGAATCTCCCATCTCTATTTCTTTCTCAAACTCTCTGCTGTTCCTATTGCCAATTAGGAATGATTTCAGTTGCAAGTAACAGAACAGGGACTTAAACAAAAGGATATTTAATTATCTCACAAAACATGAGTCCAAAAGTGGGCATTTGGTTGTAAAGTCTCAGTGATGTCACCAAGGACCCAGGCTCTTTCTAACTCTTCATTTAGCTATTCTTAGGGTGTTGGTGTCTTCTTTTCTCAGCTGTAAAATGGCTGTCCCATTTCTGAGCATCATATCTTCACAATAAGACTCCTAGGAGAAAAGATGTGAGTAAGTGGCAGGGATGACTCACTTCACTACCTCTACCTTTATCAGGGAGGTAAGTCTTTTTCAGAAACCACCCTATAGAATTTCATTATATCTCCCTGTCCCCTGACTGGTCATTGCTACTTTTAGCTGCAAGAGAGAAAGAGAAAGCAAGTATTTGGCTTTTTTAAATCCTCATTTATTGGGGACAGGCAAGAAAAAAACAGTTTGGGAATCGTTTATGGGTGCATCACTGAAAATATCTGACACTCTCCTAGGGGGCAATTTAATTGGCCTAATTCAGAGGTTTTCTAGATATCATCTACTTTTGAGTATGTGCTGTATCATTACATCAAACTCTAAAGTGCATATGAATTACTTGGAGATCTTGCTGAAAGATTATATGATACAGTAGAACTAAGGTGGGGCCTGAGAAATTGCATTTATAACAAGCTCTCAGGTGATGCCAATGCCGCTCAACCATATAACCATAGTTTGAGTAGTAAAGTTATATATTCTGTCTGTTCTATCATATTTTAAAAATTTTGGTCTCAGTATAATTATGCCTACCCACATTCTCATCCCTTAATTCCTTCTGTCATTTTCTGTATACAGTTATGTTTTTTTTTATCATTTTTATTTTTTCACTTGTCCTCAGTCACTTTTAATGAGATAATGCATGTGAAGGTGCTTAGCACACATAAATATTAGCTACAAATTCCTTCCATGTTTTCTGTTTTTCTACTCTTTCTTAATTTATGAAAGATTGTTTACTTTCTCCCTTTATATTCCTCTTTTAAAATTCCATTTATGGCTGGATGTGGTGGCTCATGCCTGTAATCCTAGAATTTTGGGAGGCTGAGGCAGGCAAATCACTTGAGGCCAGGAGTTTGAGACCAGCCTGGCCAACATGGCGAAACCCCATCTCTACTAAAAATACAAAACTTAGCCAGATGTGGTGGTGTTCCTCTAGTTCCAGCTACCAGAGAGGCTAAGGCACAAGAATTACCTGAGCTGTGGGAACCAGAGGTTGCAGCGAGCCAAGATCATGCCACTGCGCTCTGCCCTGGGCAACAGAGTGAGACTCCATCTCAAAATAAATAAAATAAAATTCCATTTGTGAGGGAAAACTTAACTATCTAAATTAACGAATGTAAATTTAGTTGCAGTGATAGTCTCGTGTCAAAGAAAAGACAAATCTCATGTAAAAACAAATAGTAAGAGAGAATAATTTCTTGGCCATCTCTAACACTGATGGAAAGGCTGAGCATATGTTTAATGAATTGTCACAGAATTCCCTGTTCAGATGGACACTGCTTTCTCAAATTAAACTTGTTATTCCTTAATTACAGCAGTCACAGGAAATAAAGCACTATCTCTCAGGCAATATTATTGTTTTCCTGTTTTGTTTAATTATAAGCGTAGAATAGAATTACTTACAACTATGCCTCTTTGCAAGATTTCAGTTACATTGAAGGTTAAACAGACTTTTATGAATCAACGAGGCATCATTTATACTCATGATTTCATTGGAAAATACATTGTGACTCTAGTCAGCCAGCTTACATGTATACATTTAAGTGTGTTACCTTATTCCTCGAAGACAGCTTCTAGCCTGCAAGCAGTGATGTCCAATAGAGCTTCCTGCAATTATGGCAATATGCTATCCGCACTGTCCCATAGGGCAGCCACTGGCCACATGTGACACATAGCTAGTCCAAATAAAAAAATGGATTTTTAGATTTTTTCTTAGTTACTGCACATTTAAATTTAGATGTTTGTGACTGGTGACTGTCATATCAGACAGACAGCTCTAGCAGCACTGAAAGGTTGTGGGTTTTGTTTGTTTTGACCATTGTTACTGATTGGTTCTGAAGGTTAACACCTCCTTCTTGTATACCACTTATTATCTGAGAGTCCACTTAGCTTTATAGAAACAAAGTTGTGAAATATAAATGGGGCTAACCTCACTAATTTTAAATTTATATATAGTAAAAAATGCATATAAATATTTTGGCTACTGGAGGATACAGCTTTGATAGAAATTCTTGTGACAGGATAAAGCAAAGAAATCGGAGCTAGTAATAATATTTGAACAATAATTCTCTTTTCTGGGCTGAAGAATTCATTGAACTTTATAGTTTTATGTCCATCTGAGTGTAAATTATTCCATTTCCATTAACATGTCATCATCTAATTAGTGTCCATAACATAAATTATCAACATGACTTTTTATTACCATCATTAATTCATTCATTTATTATGCATACTACACCAACTTTCAAAAGGAACAGGAGCTGATTCATTCATGTCATCACTTGGCTTTGCTGGAGTCAGTTTCAGTTCCTTTTGAAAGTTGGTATAGTATTTGTCAGGATGTTTGTAACACACCTTGAATATGACTTCTTACAGAGTAAAAAATGCTAAGCTGTAAACCTCGTCGTATTCATATTTTAATATTATACCTGTCCTCATCTTATTTCTCTTAGTCTTAGTTTCCATTTAATGAGTTTTTCTTCAAGTAATTACTTTTTTTAATCTCTTAGAAAGCTTAAAAAGCTATGTTAAATTCTAGTAAATATATTTATTTACTTTAAGGTAGGGTAAAAATCCAGCATTAAAAGTAAATAAATACATTGAGATAAATACTTTTTGGAGTTTATTTGATGGAATCGAGTATATATTTATATGTATAATATACATATTTATATGTTTATATGTATATATTTGTAACCCTTTGGAATTATTTTGGAGCTATTTATCAAAAATGATACATGATACGTAAATGAACATTTGACCTAGCTATTCTACTTCTTGGTATTTTTCCTAGGGAAATAATCAAATGATATAGAAAGATATGTAAAATCATGTGCATTATACATTTATTTTTAACAAATATATGTAAAACTTAAAATAACATAAATGTGCACCAATAACATATTGGATTAGTAAATCATACATGTAAACTTGAATCTTAAGTATTATTAAATGATCACATATATATTTTTTGACACTGAGAGATGGTGATACGTAAAGAAAATCAGGTTACAAAATAGTAGTATGTGTAGAAAAAATCTTGTTTGGTTTAAAAGAGTGAATATTTATATTCGCATTAAAACATACTGCTATATTTTAATGGTGGTTATCACTGTACGGTAGGATTAAGAATGATTTTAAACTTCTTTGTTATTTTTCCCCTTAAGTGTTAACAATGTCTATATAGAAGCCTAATCATCAACTGGTATATTTTATTTTCTTTTCTTTATTTTTATTTTATTTTTTTGAGACAGAGTTTCACTCTTGTTGCCCAGGCTGGAGTGCAATGGTGTGATCTCAGCTCACTGCAGCCTCTGCCTCCCGGGTTCAAGTGATTCTCCTGCCTCAGCCACCCAAGTAGCTGGGATTACAGATGCCTGCCACCACACCTGGCTAATTTTTTGTATTTTTAGTAAAGACAGGGTTTCACCATATTGGTCAGGCTGGTCTCAAACTCCTGGCCTTAAGTGATCCACCCGCCTCGGCCTCCCAAAGTGCTGGGATTACAGGCGTGAGCCACCATGCCCAGCCCAGCTGGTATATTTTCTTACAGCCATACCAATGGTTAAAATATGGAACTATTTCCATATTGTTTGAAAAATAGCCACTATTCTGAGTCCCTCAACAAGCATGACCCTGTCTCTGCTGCCCTGGCCACCTAGACCCCTCCTCCCAGACTGCCTATATCCCAACTTATGATTTTGTTCTTAAGTTGTGACTGTATTGTTACACACTAATTCAAGTTCTAAATAATGGCCATATATAATCAAAATGGTTACAGTTTTAGAAAGAGTATCTTCCAAATTAATAAAACATTTTAAAGGGTGTTGTGTTGTGTTGTATTTGATTGGAAGTAATAGGGTCTGTCTCAAACCAGGATATTTATTAGTACCATAACTGGAAGTTGAGTTGGATGATGGACTTGGTTATAATTAGAAGTTTGATGATATGTCAAAAACAGAATATCCTATCTTGCTTCTCTGCCATCGTAATGCTGGCTTTGCTCATGGTTCCAAGGTGGCTGCCAGTGGCTTTTAAGGGTAGTTATTTTCTTATTTTTTTCCAGCAGGAAAAAGGGGGAGAAAAATCCCTCTTTCTCAAATATGACCTGTAACAATGTATCATGCCTATGGTATTATCAGTAGAATGTCTGGACTTACTGCCTAAGACTAATCAAGGTCTGTTGTCTGGGTATGGGTCTCCATTCTCTGAATCATGTGGGGGTGGGGTGGATACCTGAAAAAACTGAGTTTCACATTGTGAAGGAAAAAAGTGTGGGATAAATGCTTTATAGGCAAACAGTGGTGTCCATTTCAGCTACTTACAGATTTGGTTGTCCGGACATTTCACTCTGGTGGAAACTATTATTTCTTTATAGTGTATACATACACACACAAAGTCTAAAGCAAATAATACCATTATATAAAGTGAATGGATTGTAGCATTTAAGATCAATACGACTACTTTATTTTCAATAAATAAATTTTATAATCAGTTGAAATGTATTCATTTGACTTATAAATCACCTTCACTACTACAAGCCTAGGATTATGATACCAGTGGGATTACACACAGATACATACACACACAGTCGAAGCTGACCTTGAGAAAAGCATTTGTGTGCAAGCAGCATATTTATGAAGTGCAGGAATCAGTAATAGGGGAATGGGAAATAATTATGGCAAAGAAAGGGCAGCCAACGTGAGTTATTAAGCATGCCACTGTTACAGGCATTGGAGCAAGGAGACTTGGAGAAATTACATAATATACTGTGCCTCTGAATTATCCCACTTGAGTGAGGGAGCTGGGGAATTTATACACCAACTCCCATCATTTACTTGTTGAGGGCTTGCTCCCAGGGGTTTTAATTCTCCATCACTTCTAGTTTGGTACATATACAGGCCCAGGAAGCTTCTGAGATTCTGCTGGGAGAACTCTTGGCACAGATACAGATTCTGGCAGTTAGAAGTCATAAGAGCACCATGACTTGATGGGATCTGAGGGATATGGGTGTGGCTCTGAAGTGTCCATTACATTCACAAGCATGCATGCATTCATATGATAGGCATATATGTATTTGTGAGATTGCATATTATACGTATGACAGTTATAGTTACTATTATATTTTATAGTACACAAATGAGGAAACTGAGGCACAAAGACATTAACCTGCTCATAATTGCACAGTTAGTAGTTAGCACAATGGGAATTCAACTTCAGGTTGCTGATGTCTGGTCCTTTGCTTCTTAATTACTACACTATTGGAATCAGGATACATATTTTTTTCCCCTCAGTGAAACTGTTTTACAGCATTAGATTATTTTAAAGGGCCTTGTTACCACTGTTTTCACTTTCTTGCATGTCACAATGGGCCTTGGGGCAAATGTCATACTGCCCTCTGGGGTAGGTTATCCTGTACAGAATCGAGGCCTTTTATGGCCAATGTTTACATTGAATTTGAATTTTCATTAATTGATAACCTTTTAAAGATGGCATCTCTTTGAGCTAATGCAATCAGGAAGTTAATTTCAAATGATTGTGGTACTGTGTCACTGAGGCCACAGAGTCCTAACAAAGGTTAGGAAATGCAGACAGTGACTCTCAGCATGAGTTTTCTTGCACAGCAAATGTAAAAATTTAGAAACACAGTCAAGCACATATTGTTTATTTCTGCTTTAATACATATTCTCCTATAAACAGGCCAGGTGCCTGGGAGCATCTGCTTTATTTGACTGTTATACATTTTTTATTTGACACTTCAATATTGCCTTTGGTATTGTTGTCTAATACACTTCATTATCTTATAGTGTATTATTTCCTGAGTTTGACAGCATATTTAGCATTGTACAATACGTAAGAAGGGAAAGCTCCATTCTGAGTGCTGGTGGTTGTCATCCTTCAGCTCCATTTTGGTGTGCTGAGAGTAATTGCCACTAAACGGAAGTATACGTGGATGGGTTTGAGAAATGGGTGGGTTGGAAAATGAAAGTTGAGGGGGCCCACCTCTGCCTTGTCTGAATAGCTCCTTTACCAATGTTCTCTTTGAATAACACAAAAGTCCAGTGAAGATCTCCTCTCCATTTCCCTCCTCCTCTTTCTCCTCATCATAATAATCATGATTATTTCTACATTGTAGAGGGAGGGATTAGGAGAGTGGGTTTTGTGCTCAGACTACTTGTGCTCAAGCCCCAACTGCTTCATGGATTTATTTATTTTACTCTTATATTAAGGTATATGTGCTGGATAGAGCTGGCTTGCACCAGCTTGCAAGAACTGATTTTGCAAATCTCTTCCAAGTTCATGTTCAGTCATGTCATGTTGGTAGCTTGAAATACTTATGTATACATCACTAGCTAGGTCAAGATGTAGAGTATTACTCCAAAAATGTCCTCTCATTCCCCTCCCTGACCTAAACCATTCCCATATGAGGTTATCCCTATTTCCACTTCTATAAATATCAGTTAATTTTGCATTTATTGAAATGTGTGTAAGGAAACATCAGCATGTCTTCTTTTGAACCTGATTTCTTTTGTTCAAGAACATGTCAGTGAGTCATGCATGTTTCTGTATGTAACTGTGCTTAACTCTTTTTTTGGTATAAAGTGTGCTGTTCAACATGTTATATGATAGTCCATAACCACATGTGACTGTTGAGTACTTGAAGTGTGGCTAGTGAAACTGAGCAACTAAATTTTTAACCAGGAAACTAAACTTCACAGCACAGTGAATTGAGATGTGCGCTAAGTGTAAAATACACATTAGGTTTTGAAGACAGTATGTAAAACAGGATGTAAAATACCTTCATATTTTTTATATTGATCACTTATTAAAATGATACAAATGATAATATTTTGATTTGTGTTAAATAAAATATGTTACTGAAAATGGTTTCACCATGTATTAACTTGGGCTATGTAACAAATTACCGCAAACTTGGTGGCTTAGAACAACATGAATTTATTCTCATTTTTCTGGAGACCATACGTCTGAAATCAAGATGTCAGGAGGGTTAGTTCCTTCTGGAGGTTCTGAGAGAGAATCCATCCCATGCCTCACTCCTAGCTTCAGGTGGTTGTTGCAATTCTTGGCGTTGCTTGATTTGTAGACACATCACTCCAGTTTCTGCCTCCATCTTCACATGGTCTTCTGTGTCTTTTCCTTTTCTATCCCTTATAAAGACACTTTTTATTGGATTTCAGGCCCACTATAATCCAGGATGATCTCATCTTGAGGTCCTCACCTGTGTACCAAAGACACATTCCAAATAAAATTCTATACTGAAGTTTGTATGTAAATCTTTTGGGAGGGGCATTTTTCAATGTACTATACACATGCTTTTCATTTGTTTTCTACTTTATTTAATGTGACTACTAGAATGCTTAATATTACATATGTGGCTTGCATTGTGTCTCCATTAAACAGTGCTGCTAGATGGTATCCCATCAGGTGAGTATACTTTAATGTACCTATTCATCAGTATGAGATCATTTTTAGCTGTCATCTCTTCAAATCTTTTTCCTCTTTTCATCTAGAGCTTCAAGCACATGTGTGGTAAAAGCTTTTATGTCTTGTGTGTTTCCTTTATTCCTAAATTTCCAGGCCAGGCGCAGTGGCTCACACCTGTAATCCCAGCACTTTAGGAGGCCAAGGCGGGTAGATTACTTGAGGTCAGGAGTTTGAGACCAGCCTGGCCTGCATGGTAAGATCCTGTCTCCACTAAAAATACAAAAATTAGCCAGGCGTAGTGGTGCACACCTGTAATCTCAGCCACCTGGGAGGCTGGGGCAGGAGAATCACTTGAACCTGAGAGGCGGAGGTTGCAGTGAGCCAAGATCACGCCACTGCACTCTAGCCTGGGTGACAGAGTGAGACTCGGTCTCAAAAAGAAAAAAAAAATTAAATTTCCATCGTTTTGTCCTCTGACCCATCATCCAGTTTAATAAGGCTCTCTTCTATTGTGTCCAATCTGCAGCCAAACTCAGTCACTGATTTCTTTCAGTGATTTTATTTTCCGTGTTTAGAATTTGTTTGTTTTTTTATGCACAGATTCCAGTTCTCTAGTAAAAAAATATTGATTTTGCTGTTGATTTTGTTGACATATTAATCAGTTATTTTGGTGTTCATATCTGAGTCTGTTGTCTTTTTATTTTCCCCTTGGTCTTGCTTTTGTAATACTTAATAATGGTTTATTAAATATTTAGCACATATTTGAAACACTGTACAGGCACAGGATGACAATATCCTCCTGAGAGGGTAATTTGATATGTGGCACAGGGACATCGCCTCAGCCCAGCTGGCGGCTGAGCTAACTCAAAGCTGGGCTGTAGTTTTTATACGTCTCAGTCTGCCTTTGCTTTAAATCCTCCTATGTTTTAGCTCTTCATGTATTCTACTTGAGAACCTGAGGTGTTTACTAGGGCCTTTTTCCTATGGCATTTTTTTTAAATTTCATTTTTATCTTCCTAGCAGGATATGACTATTAACAGCTCTTCCATACCACTAGCCAGTTCCTTTCTACTAGATTCTTAGCATTTTGTCTAACACCACTTAAGAAGTGGTAAATACCTCAAAACAAAAACTTGTGCTGAGGATTGGAATCACTTCTGTTTATACACTTGGCCCCTCAACTTCTCTGTAATTTGGCAGCACCAAATGCAATTTTTGTATCAGCAGCTACATGAGATTATCAAAAGCTCTGCTGGCTTCTCTGCCATTTAGGTGCATCTGACAGGCTTGTTAGCTTCTCATTTTGTAGCAAGAATTGGCACATGACCCAGGGGGAGAACCAGTGTATAGAAAGCTGGGCTCAGCTTGAGGATTGTCCTTTCCATTATCTTTGCCTCTACAGTCCTGGCTTCCTTGGAAGGCCCTACAACCCAAGAACAGATGTTCTGCTTTGTTATTGTCTTTCCTAGTTCTCACTGAGAGCTTTGTCTTTACTCCATCAGAAGAGGAAGTTGCAAGTTAGCATTTTAAGCAGAACTTAGACGCAGTTTTATTAAAATTTAATTTCAGTCACAAGTATCACATCCTATTCTTTCCCTCACTGAAACCCCTAAATTATATGCTTTGAAATATAAATAGAAAGCTCCTTTCCTGCCCTGAGTCATCAGCCCGATGACTATCATGAGAGTTCAGTATAATGTATAGTGGAAACAAGTCTCCAAAGCAAACTTTACTAGAAACTAGAGTTGTGTTCTAGGTTAACTCATGTCACTTTGCTTGACTCTGGGATGTCTTCTTTTATACACTGGGTTCACTTTCTAATTGGCTCTGCCTACCCAGGTTGCGCTTTAAAGCCCTGAGCCTGGTTCACTCTATTACATCTAATCTCTAAACTGGCCTAATTCCTTGCCACAAATTTCAGTTTTATTCTCTAATGTTATCTTACCATCCCTAAATCTTCTTCACTTTTGCCATGCTAACAGGCCAGATTAGGATATATGACTTTAACTTACCACAAGATTCTCCCAATACTGCTTTACTAAATGGCCTTGAGTAGATTCCAGTTCTGATTTTGGACGGAACTATCTTGTGCTACCACACCTCAGTTTGTGCCAATAAAGAAAGCTTTTGAGAGCTGCATTTCATACTCTGGTACAGGTGGAAAATAAGTTTCAATCTATGCGTTAGCGCAAATTCATTGGAGATGGACTCCTTGCTTGTTGAAAGAATGTTATAGCAGAGGGATCATAGGTATCTCAAATATAGAAGGGGTGATACAGATTACACTTGTGAATTTGGGATGAGAAATGTTCCTTTTAGATTTCATCTAAGGAAGGATGAAGAAAATAGTTATATCAAGTATCTGTTATATACTAGGTGTTTCTTTCCTTTCTTTCCTTTTCTTTTTTTTTTTTTTTTTTTTGAGATGAAGTCTCACTCCATCACCCAGGCTGGAGTCCAATGGCACAATCTCGGCTCACTGCAACCTCTGCCTCCTGGGTTCAAGTGATTCTCATGCCTCAGCCTCCTGAGTAGCTGGGACTGTATAGGCATGCACCACCATGCCTGGCTAATTTTTGTATTTTTAGTAGAAACAGGGTTTCGCCATGTTGCCCAGGCTGATCTCGAACTCCTGGACTCGAGCAATCCTCCCTCTTTGGCTTCCCAAAGTGCTGGGATTACAGGTGTGAGCCATGGCACCCGGCCATTTCTAGATGTTTCTGTATGCTTTATTCCATGCTATCAGGTAATTGAATATCCAAGGATGTCTGATGTCTTAGCAGTAGAAGAATCTAATTAGCAAATACTTTCCTTGGCATGGAACTGTACATAATTTCATAACAAATGAATATTTATATTACTATAGTCAACTTACATAAATGCCTGCCAATTTTCATAGTCATGCAAAAATACTTTTTATACCCAATGCTAAATTTATTGAGGCATAACTTAAATATAGTGTATACACAGATTCTAAGTATGAAAACTGATCAATTTTGGCAAATGAATATACCCATGTTACCCATTCTCTGGCAAGATGAAGACTACTTCTGTCATCCCAGAGAGTTTCCTTGTGCCCTTCCCAATCAAGTCTCCCCCACCCGGAAACAAATGCTAATCTTATTTCTATCATAATAGTTTTGTCTCGTGTAGAATTTTATATAAATACGATTTTATATACTATTTTTTTTCTGGAGCCTTTTTCTCAGAATAATGTTGAGACTCATGATGTTATATATATCAGTAGTTTATTTGTTATTACTAAGTAGTGTTCTATAATATGAATATACTGCTAATTACCTGTTTTCCTGTTAATGGGCATCTGAACTTTTTCATATTTTGGCTATTTTAAATAAATCTTCTGTAAAGATTTGTATATGAGGCTTTCTTTTGTCAACATAGGTTCTCATTTATCTTAAATAAATACCTATAAATGAGATTCCTGGGTTATAGAATATGTCTATTTAACTTTTAAAGAAATGTCTGTACTAATGATACTCCACGTCTTGAGGTGTATTTTGTCTGCTATTCATATAGATTTTTCCTATATTGATTGTATGGTATATATTTTTCCTTCCTTTTATATCAAAACTTGTCTGTATCTTTAAAGGGCGTTTCTTATAAACAAGATATATAGTGGATCTTTCATTTCAATCTATTCTGACAATCTCTTCTTTTTAACTGGGATATTTAGTTCAACCCAATGCAATGTAGACATTAATATATTTGGATTTAAGGCTACCATCTTGGTATCTAGATTATACTTGTCTCACCTGTTCTGTATTTTCTGAGATGAATTGAGTAAATTTTAGTACTCTCTTTTTTATCTCCTCTATTGGCCTTTTAATTATGCACTCTGGTCTTTTTTTAGTGCATGCTCAAGAGAAAGAGCCAGCAAACTACATCCTGCAGGCCATATCCAGCCCTAGTTCTTTATACACAAAGTTTCACTGGAACAGTTATGCCTATTTATTTACAAATTATATATGGCTGCTTTGGGACTACAATAGTACAGCTAAGTAGCTGCAACAAAGACTAAACAGCCTGTAGAGTCTAAAACATTTACTAATTAACCCTTTACAGAAAAAGTATGCGAGGCCCTGCTCCAGAGATTAAAAATACATGCATTTTCACTCTCTATAGCCTACCTCAGAAAACATCCCACTACTCCACAAACAATATATGAACCTTACAACAATATATTTCTAATTACCAAACTCCTGCACTTTGTGTCCTTTTGTCATATGCCGTACCTCTACATATGCTATAAACCCCACAGTACATTTTTTGTTTTTGTTGTTTTTTGAGACCATCTCACTCTGTCGCCCAAACTAGAGTGAAGTGGCAGGATCTCTCCTCACTGCAACATCTGCCTCCTAGGTTCAAGTGATTCTCGTGCCTCAGCCTCTGAGTAGCTGGGATTACAAACATTCAGCACCACACCCAGCTAATTTTTGTATTTTTAGTAGAGACAGGGTTTCACCATGTTGGTCCGACTGGTCTCGAACTCTTGGCCTCAAGTGATCTGCCTGCCCACTCTCCCGCCTCAGCCTCCCAAAGTACTAGGATTACAGGCATGAGCCATCACACTGGGCCCCACAGTCATTTTTAACATTTCTACTTTAAATAGCTTGAATTTCACTTTAAATACTCTTTTAAAAAGACTTAATCTTGTGAAGTAGGTCTGCTGGAGATAAATTCTTTCAGCTTTTGTCTGTCTGAAAATATCTTTATTTCTCTTTCATTTTTAAAAGATATTTTCACTGGATATAAAATTCTAGTTTGACAGTTTTTTAGTACTTTAAAAATGTCTTCTCAGGCTGGGCACAGTGGCTCACACCTGTAATCCTAGCACTTTGGGAGGCCAAGGTGGGTGGATCACCTGAGGTCAGGAGTTTGAGACCAGCCTGGGAAACATGGTGAAACCCCATCTCTATTAAAAATACAAAAAATTAGCTGGGCATGGTACGGGCGCCTGTAGTTCCAGCTATCTGGGAGGCTGAGGCAGAGAATTGCTTGAACCCAGGAGGTGGAGTTTGCAATGAGCCGAGATCGTGCCACTGCACTCCAGCCTGGGAAACAAGAGCGAGACTCAGTCTCAAAAACAAAAAAAAGAAAAAAAAAATTTTCTCATTAGCTTCTTGCCCCTAGTGTTTCTGATTAAAAATCAACCATTAATTTAATTGTATCACTGTTTCCTGTATGTTGTCTTTGCATTCTTTGACCACTTTCTAGATTTTCCTTAATCTTGGTTTTCATCTGAGTATGTTTTTCCTTCCTATGATTTACTTCATATTTATCCTTCCTGAGATTAACCAAGCTGCTGCAATCTGTGAGTTGATGTCTTTTATTATTTGTGGAAAATTCTTGATTATCTTTTAAAATATTTCTTCTGCTCCTCTCTCCCTTTATTCCTTCTGGAATACCAATTATACACTTCTTAAACTGTTTGATAGTGTCCTCAGATCTTGAATAATGGTTCTTTTTTAACTCCTTTTACTCTTTGTATGTAAGTTTGGATAATTTATTTTGAATGTCTTCAAATTTACAGATTCTTTTCTCTTCTGTGTCCAGTCTGCTGCTAATCTCATATAAATATTTTTTCAAGTTTTATACTATCTTTTTTATTTCTAGCATTTACTTTAGGCTCATTTTTATAGTTTTTATCTCTTAAATTCTCCATCTGTTCATGCATGTTGTCTACCCTTTCCTTTATGTACTTCAACATATCTATTATAACTATTGTATGAGACTGGTGCACTGCCCGTTCATTGCACAGAGAGGGTGATCGTAGTTATTTTAAAATTCCTATTTGACTGTTCCAACATATGAGTTCTTTGGGGTCTGTTTCCTTTAATAAATTTTTCTCTTGATAATGACTCCTATTTTTCTGCCTTTTCATGAGTCTCAAATTTTTATCGAATTCTGAACATTGTATATAAAAAAAGAAAAATAGAAACCGAAGAAAATAATATTTATGTCCAGAAAAAGACGTGTCTCTTCTTCCATTGTGCTCTAGCATGTATTTGTGCATGTGGGAGGTTGAAGAGATATGGTGAGTCAACTTAGGTTGTGTTTGAGACACGTTTGAGCTTTGTTCACCACAGGCGTGTCTTAGCTCTTCTGTTCCACCCTTGGACTTTGGCAGGCCATATATATCTCAACTTGGGTGTGAGGGGAATTCTCTCTCAGCAATTTGTCCTCTCACCCCCAGTAGCATATGGTTAATGCTGGGCATGGTTGTGTGTGTGTGTGTTATTTTTTTCTCAGTTCTCTCCACTATTCTCATAGTTGAGTAGGTACAAATCTTCACTTCAGGGGATTCGCTTTTAGCCTTTCCTTCAGCAGCAGACAGCCACAGCCTGGTATTCAATCTAAGTTTAAGCTCCTTTGTGGGGTTTCTTTTAATCCTCTCACATACACCCTTAGACTTAAGCAGTCCCAGGGGATGTGCCTGGAGAGGCACTCTCTTAGCTCTCCTCCTCTTGCTCTAGTGGTAGACAGCTGTGGTACTTAGAATGAGGCCCAACTTGGCCTAGAACATTTTTCTCACTTCTCCTGGTCTGCCATAGTCTTCACTATCATTGCTTCTCAGTTCTCCTGCCCTGTCCCTAGTTTTTCTCATGAATACTCATGAAGGCCTGTGGAAAAGAACTGGTTGTGGGGAGAGGAGTGGGTGGGTCCCCTTTCATTTGGGGATCTCAGGCTAAACCTGTACATATATGGTCTTAAAATTTGCTGAAAAGTTAGCAAGTTTCTTCTTACCTTCATCTAAAGTGGTTTCTTGATATATATTTTTTCCCATTCTGTAGGTTATCTGTTTACTCTGCTGACAGTTTCTTTTGCTGTACAGAGCTCTTTAGTTAAATTGGGCCCATTTGTCAATTTTTGATTTCATTGCAATTGCTTTTGAGGTCTTAGTCACAAACTCTTTCCAAGGTCAACATCCAGATATGTGATCCCCATATTTTCTAGAATTCGTGCAGTTTGATATCTTACATTTAAATATTTAATCCATCTTGCATTAATTTTTGTATATGGTGAAAGGCATCCAATTTCATTCTGCATATAGCTATCCATATAGTCTAACACCATTTATTGATTAGGCAATCCTTTTTCCTTTGCTTATTTTTGTCAGCATTGTCAAAGTTCAGATGGCTATAGGTGTGCAACTTTATTTCTGGGTTCTCTATTCTGTTCCATTGATCTCTGTATCTGTTTTTGTACCAATACCATGCTGTTTTGGTTACTGTAGCCCTGTCATGTAGTTTGAAGTCAGGTAATGTGATGACTCTGGCTTTGTTCTCTTTACTTAGGATTACTTTGGTTGTTCAGCCTCTTTTTTGGTTTCCTAGGAATTTTAGAATAGTTGTTTCTAATTCCAGAAAATAATGTTGGTAATTTGATAGGAATAATGTTCAATCTGTAGACTGCTTTGGGCAGTATGGCCGTTTTAACAATATTGATTCTTCTGTCCATGAGCATGAAATGTTTTTCCCTTTGTTTGTATCATCTATTTTATTTCTTTCAGCAGTTTTTTAGTTCTCTTTGTAGAGATCTTTCACCTCCTTGGTTGGATGTATTCCTAGGTATTTTTCTTTTATATGTAGCTATTGTAAACAGGATTGCGTTCAAAAGACATAAGCAGACAGTTCTCAAAATAAGACTTACAAATGACCAACAAACATGTGAAAAAGTTTTTCACATCACTAATCATCAGAGAAATGCAAATCAAAACTGCAATAAGATATCATCTCATACCAGTCAGAATGGGTATTGTTAATAAGTCAAAAATCCACAGTTGTTGGCAAGGCTGTGGAGAAAAGGAAACACTTTTCCATTTTTGGTGGTAATGTAAATTAGTTTAGCTACTATGGAAAAGTGTTTGAAGATTTCTCAAAGGACTTAAAACAGAACTATGTTAGACTGAGAAATCCCACTACTGGGTATATATTCAAAGGAAAATAAATCATTCTACATAAAAAAGACACATGTACCTGTATGTTATTTGCAGCATTATTCACGATAGCACAGACATGGGATCAACCTAGAGTGGCCATCAATGTTGAATTGGATAAAGAAAATGTGGTACATAAACACTGTGGAATACTACACAGCCATAAAAAATAATGAAATTATGTTCATTCCAGCAACATGGATGTAGCTGGAGGCCATTATCCTAAATGGATTAGCACAGGAACAGAAAACCAAATACCACATGTTCTCACTTATGAGCAGGAGCTAAACATTGGTTACTCATGGACGTAAATATGACAACAGTAAACACTGGGGACTATAGAGATGGTAGGGAGGAAGGGTTGAAAAACTAACTGTTGGGTACTATGCTCAGTTCCTGGGTGATGGGATCATTCATATTCCAAACCTCAGAATCACACAGTATACCCAGGTAACAAACCTGCACAGGTAGCCCTGAATCTAAGATAAAAGTTGAAAACATAAATAGTAAGTAGTTTCTTCTTTCTTCCGCTACTCAGCTTAAAAAACGAAGCAGTCCTGCTGTTTTGGTTACTATGGCCTTGCAGTATAGTTTGAAGTAAGGTAGCCTGATGCCTCCAGCTTTGTTCTTTTGGCTTAGGATTGTCTTGGCAATGTGGGCCCTTTTTTGGTTCCATATGAACTTTAAAGTAGTTTTTTCCAATTCTGTGAAGAAAGTCACTGGAAGCCAGATGGGGATGGCATTGAATCTATAAATTACCTTGGGCAGTATGGCCATTTTCACAATATTGACTCTTCCTATCCATGAGCATGGAATGTTCTTCCATTTGTTTGTGTCCTCTTTTATTTTGTTGAGCAGTGGTTTGTAGTTCTCCTTGAAGAGGTCCTTCACATCCCTTGTAAGTTGGATTCCTAGGTATTTTATTCTCTTTGAAGCAATAGTGAATGGGAGTTCACTCATGATTTGGCTCTCTGTTTGTCTGTTATTGGTGTATAAGAATGCTTGTGATTTTTGCACATTGATTTTGTATCCTGAGACTTTGCTGAAGTTGCTTATCAGCTTAAGGAGATTTTGGGCTGAGACGATGGGGTTTTCTAAATATATGATCATGTCATCTGCAAACAGGGACAATTTCACTTCCTGTTTTCCTAATTGATTACACTTTATTTCTTTCTCCTGCCTCATTGCCCTGGCCAGAACTTCCAACACTAAATTGAATAGGAGTGGAGAGAGAGGGCATCCCTGTCTTGTGCCAGTTTTCAAAGGGAATGCTTCCAGTTTTTGCCCATTCAGTATGATATTGGCTGTGGGTTTGTCATAAATAGCTCTTACTATTTTGAGATACGTCCCATCAATACCTAATTTATTGAGAGTTTTTAGCATGAAGGCTGTTGAATTTTATCAAAGGCCTTTTCTGCATCTATTGAGATAATCATGTGGTTTTCGTCTTCAAAACAGCATGGTACTGGTACCAAAACAGAGATATAGTCCAAGGGAACAGAACAGATCCCTCAGAAATAACACTACACATCTACAACCATCTGATGTTTGACAAACCTGACAAAAACAAGAAATGGGGAAAGGATTCCCTATTTAATAAATGGTGCTGGGAAAACTGGCTAGCCATAAGTAGAAAGCTGAAACTGGATCCCTTCCTTACACCTTATACAAAAATTAATTCAAGATGGATCAAAGACTTAAATGTTAGACTTAAAACCATAAAAACCCTAGAAGAAAACCTAGGCAATACCATTCAGGACATAGGCATGGGCAAGGGCTTCATGTCTAAAACACTGAAAGCAATGGCAACAAAAGCCAAAATTGACAAATGGGATCTAATTAAACTAAAGACCTTCTGCACAGCAAAAGAAACTACCATCAGAGTGAACAGGCAACCTAGAGAATGGGAGAAAATTTGTGTAATCTACTCATCTGACAAAGGGCTAATATCCAGAATCTACAAAGAACTCAAACAAATTTACAGGAAAAAAACAACCCCATCACAAAGTGGGTGAAGGATATGAACAGACACTTCTCAAAAGAAGACATTTATGTAGCCAACAGACACATGGAAAAATGCTCATCATCACTGGCCATCAGAGAAATGTGTATCAAAACCACAATGAAATACCATCTCACACCAGTTAGAATGGCGATCATTAAAAAGTCAGGAAACAACAGATGCTGGAGAGGATATGGAGAAATAGGAACACTTTTACACTGTTGGTGGGACCGTAAACTAGTTCAACCATTGTGGAAGTCAGTGTGGTGATTCCTCAAGGATCTAGAACTAGAAATACCATTTGACCCAGCCATCCCATTACTGGGTATATACCCAAAAGATTATAAATCATGGTGCTATAAAGACACATGCACACATATGTTTATTGCAGCACTATTCACCATAGCAAAGACTTGGAACCAACCCAAATGTCCATCAATGATAGACTGGATTAAGAAAATGTGGCACATATACACCATGGAATACTATGCAGCCATAAAAAAGGATGAGTTCATGTCCTTTGTGGGGACATGGATGAAGCTGGAAACAATCATTCTCAGCAAACTATCGCAAAGACAAAAAACCAAACACCGCATGTTCTCACTCATAGGCAGGAATTGAACAATGAGAACACTTGGACACAGGAAGGGGAACATCACACACTGGGGCCTGTTGTGGGATGGGGGGAAGGAGAAGGGATAGCATTAGGAGATATACCTAATGTAAATGACGAGTTAATGGGTGTAGCACACCAACATGGCACATAATACTTACGTAACCTGCACGTTGTGCACATGTACCCTAGAACTTAAAGTAAAATAGGTAAAAAACAAAACAAAATGAAAAACGAAGCAGCCGTATATTACTTGTCATCTGGAAGAGGCTTGTCACATTGTGGATTTTAGTTCAATACTGCCTTTTTAAAAATTGCTTGATGACCTGTTCTCTCACGGGCTTTGAAAAGACTTTGGCTTTGTGTATTATCTGGCTTTTTGTGTCATTAAAGTAGGAACAAATGAATCTTGTGGCTGGCTTCCAGTCCTCAACAGCAGTGGAAGTCCATAACTGCTTTTTAAAGTGTTTATCTCGGAAGGTCAGTGTAGTGTACCTAGGAAGTGAATTGAGCCAGCATTATCATCTTCATTTTGCAATAAAGTGAAATCAGTTTCACAGGGTAGGAATAGATCAGAACCTGGATTCTTTTAACTGTCTTTTCTCTTTTCTCAACTATTCTTGCTCTACGTAGCCAGTTGTAAAACATAGCTCATTTAAAACCAATCACTCTGCAGCCCTAGCAGGGTATGATTATACCCTACAGTAATCCGTACCACTGTACAGATTTAAACTGAATTGTGTGAGGTAGAGAGAAGTAGGAACAAAGCTCTCTGGTAGAAAAACTTGCCATACTCTCGAGGCTATCAAGCATATGCTCATAGTCATATATCTGGGTAATTTTGGCTTCTGTTTATGAAGCCATCTTCCAAGCATTAATTGTCTCACCACTGTTGCATTTAGTTGCAACAACTTTAAAAAGTGGAATGGTTAGGTTAGAGCCTCACTGGAATTAGAGCATGTAGTTCTAGGATGGCCAAAGCTAGCTGTTGAGATCATTAAATTTTGTTACTTTTTAT
Source organism: Homo sapiens (assembly GCF_000001405.40). Classification (NCBI taxonomy): domain Eukaryota; kingdom Metazoa; phylum Chordata; class Mammalia; order Primates; family Hominidae; genus Homo; species Homo sapiens. Next base: position 28,999,866 of record NC_000003.12, read on the forward strand.
AAGGATATCAATTCACTGGTCATGAAATGAACTTTGTGTTTTCATTGATAATTGACTCAAATGATTTGTTTAACAAAATTGTATAGCTCCTTGATACAGAATATAAATACTCATATAAATTCCATGTAACTAATTTTTTTGCACCTAAATTTAGGATTATATTCAAATAGCAAATGCCTTGAAGTGCTCTGATACTGAGCTTCCCAGTTTTTGTTGAGCTAGTGACATATTTGTTTAATCAATCACACATATTGGTTTTTAAAACTACCTTTGTCTTTAAGCTTGACTTAAAAGGCCTAGGCTAAGCAAATTGAAGAATTTAGTTAGGCACAGCAATAGCTCTTGGTTAATGTAAACCACAAATAATTAGGATTCATGTGGCTGGCAATGTAACTTTTAATATAATGGACAGAATTTTATTAGTTTGCCCAGGGTTTATCCAGGGAAGTCCTCAAAGTCATTTTAAGGCCACTGGAAAAAGATCTGTCAGTCTTCTCTATAAACTATGGCCTAAGCTACTTTTTAGAATATCAGGTTATGAGTATCTTTAAGAAACTAAAAATAGATTACTGTAGAAGTTCTTTGTTTTCCCAACTTTTATTTTAGGTTAATGGGTACATGTGTAGGTTTGTCACATGAGTAAACTGCATGTCACTGAATTTTGATTCAATCACGCAAGTAGTGAGCATAGGACCCAATAGGTAGTTTTTCAACCCTTGTCCCCATCTCACCCTCCCCACTCTAGTGGTCCCCATTGTCTATTGTTCCCATCTTTATGTCTATGGGTACTGAACATTTAGCTCCCACTTATAGGTGAGAACATGTATTATATGGTTTTCTGTGTTAATTCGCTTAGGATAATGGCCTCCAACTGCATCCATTTTGCTGCAAAAGACATGATTTGATTCTTGTTTATGGCTTTGTAGTATTGCATGGTGTATATGTACCACAGTTTCTTTATTCAGTCCACTGTTGATGGGCATTTTGGTTGATTCCATGTCTTTCCTATTGTGAATAGTGATGTGATGAATATCCAATAGCATGTGTGTTTTTTGTACAATGATTTATATATATTTTTTGTATATGCAGTAGTGGGACTACTGGATCAATGTAGTTCTGTTTTAAATTCTTTAAGAAATCTTCAAACTCAAACAGTGGTTGAACTAGTTTACATTGCCACCAACAGTGTATAAGTGTTCCCTTTGCTTCTCCAGCTGGCCAATATCTTTTTTTTTTTTTTTTTGTCTTTTTGATATAGCCATTCTGCCTGGTGTGAGAGAGTATCTCACTGTGGTTTTGATTTCCACTTCTCTGATAATAATGTTGAGTATTTTTTCATGTATTGGTTGGCTGCATGTATGTTAGAAGTTCTTAAGGCTGATGTGAAGTGTAGATGTTACAGCTTTCTTTCTTTGCACACATTCTCAGTTTGTAGCTATGGATAGGAAATTGAAGCATGAGTGGGTACTTCTGAGATTAGGGTCCCCAGCTTCTATTCAGCTATCCAGTTCTGCATAGCAGATACCAATTCTTCCCCTAAACAATTTTTTTCCTCTGTGTACTGATTCTTATCTATCAAGGGAGATTTATTTCAAGAAACACTAGTGGATGAGTCATGAAATATGATAGAAATTGATTTTAAAGGTGTTTTCTGAAAAGGGAAGAAATTCAGTAAAAATGATGTATAAAACAACCTACCCTATTCCTCAAACAATTAAATGTGAAATTGATCAGCTGATACCTTGTATTATTCTCTATAATATGAGTTAGCAGCTTATAGGAGGGGAAGGACATGGGGTTGTTTTATTTAGAAATCATATTTTAGTGATCAGTTTAAACTTTAGATATTTCCAGCTAAAGGAGTAATTTTCAGCATTACTTCTAATACTTGCTAAATTAAAAACCTTTTTTAGTAGAATTTACCAAAAATTCTACATGTGGTAAACATAAAACTAATATTTCTCAGTGTGTACTATTGGCTGAGTTATGTTAGCTCTTTTTTTAAAAAATTTTATTTTAGGTTTGGGGGTACATGTACATTATCTCTGCAGCAGTGGTACTCAAAATGTAGTCCCCAGACCAGCAGCAGTAGCATAATTTGGGAAATCATTGGAAGTGCAAATCAACATGAAATAAGCCATACATATTCAAAAGTATAAAATTTGATACCTTTTGGCATATGTAAGGCCCAAGAAATTACTATCATAATCAAAAGAATGAACACATCCATTACTCTCAGATGTTTCCTTGCGCCACTTGGTAATTCCACCTTTCCTTCCTCCTCATCTCCTGGTAACTACTGATCTACTTTCTGCTGTATAGATTATTGTTCATATTTCTAAAATCAATATGAATTAAATCATGTGTACTTTTTAAGGTTAATAGATTTTTAAAATATTATTAGGTTTACAGAAAAAAAAAAATTGAGTGGAAAGTATAGAGAGTTTCCATGTGCTCACTCCCCTTGCCATTCCCTGATCAATTTCACCTATTTTTATTATCTTGGATTAGTGTGGTAAATTTTCTATAATTGATGAACCAATGTTGAGACATTATCATTCATTAAAGTCCATAGTTTACATTACAGTTCACTGTTTGTGTCATGTATTCTATGGGTTTTGACAAATGTGTAGTGACATGTATCTATCATTATGGTATCATACAGAATGATAGTTTTACTGCCCTAATAATCTCCTTTGCGCCACCTATTTATCCCTTGCTTCTCCTGAACCTATAGTGCTCACTGAGCCTTTTACTTCTTCATGATTTTTGCCTTTTTCATAATGCAATATGATTGGAATCATATAATGTGTAGTCATTTCAGATTGATTGGCTCCTTTGGCTCAGCTATATGCATTCAAGGTCCATTCATTTCTTTTCATGGCTTGATAGCTCATTTCTTTATAATTTTAATTAAATTATTATTTTTTTTTGTGACAAGGTATTGCTGTGTTGCCCAGGCTGGTCTCAAACTCTTGGCCTCAGATAAACCTCATGCCTTGGCTTCCAAAGTGCTAGAATTACAGGCGTGAGACATTGCACCTGGTTTCATTTCTTTTTACCATGAGTAATATTCTACTATACACATGCCCTACAGTTTGTTTATTCACCTATTGAAGGATATCTAGCTTGCCTCTAAGTTTTGGTGATTATAAATAAGCTGCTATAAACATTTGTATGCAGGTTTTTGTGTGAAATAAGTTTTCAACTAATTTGGGTAAATACGAAGAAGCATGATTGCTGAATCACGTAGTATGTATAATTTTGTAAGAAACTGCCAAACTGTCTTCCCAAGTAGCCTTACCATTTTGCATTCCCACCAGTAATGATAAGAGTTTCTTTTGCTCTACATTCTGATCAGTATTTGGGGTTGTGAGTGTTTGGGATTTTGGCCATTGTAATAGATATGTAGTAGTATCTCATTGTTGTTTTAATTTGCAATTCCCTCATGACACATAAAATGAAGCATCTTTTTATACTGTTACTTTTTGTCTGTGTATCTTCCTTTATAAGGAGTCTTTTTAGATTTTTTGCCAATTTTTAATTTTTTTCTCATTGTTGGATTTCAAGAATTCTTATATATTTTATGTCAATCTTTTTTCTGATGTGTTTTTTGCGAAGATTTTCTCGAAGCTTTTGACTTGCCCTTTCATTCTCTTAATTTACTATTTCTTGACTGACCTCTTTTATTAAGCAAAATAATTTTGAGAATGGTATATGTTGTTGCATATATAGTTTTTAACACTGATAGTAGTATTCCATTGTACCAACATACTGTATCATAATTTACTTATCACTTTAACTGCTGGTAGATATTTTGGTTGTTTCCAGTTTTTGACTATTACAAGTAAAGGTGGTATAACATTCATGTACATTTTTTTTTTTTGAGACTGGGTCTTGTTCTGTCATCCAGGCTGCAGTGCAGTGGTGCAATCACGGCTTACTGCAGCCTCAACCTCCCAGGCTCAATCAGTTCTCACACCTCAGCCTCCTGAAAAGCTGAGACTATGGTGCATGCTGCCACACCTGACTAATTTTTGTATTTTTTTCTAGAGATGAGGGTCTAACTATGTAGTCCCAGCTGGTCTTGCCCTCCTGGGCTCAAGCAATCCACCTACCTCAACCCCCTAAATTGCTGGGATTACAGATGTAAGCCATCATGCCTGGCGACAAGTTTCTGTATGGAGACATATGCTTTCATTTTTCTTGTGTAAAGACCTACGTATGGAAAAACTATACCCTATGGTAGGTGTATGTTTAATTTTTTTAAGAAGCTGCCAAGTGTTTTTTCCAAAATGGTTGTATCACTTTATATTCCTACTAGCTTTGTGTGTGTATTCTAGTTCCTCTACATCTTCACTAACAGATGGTATGATCAGCCCTCTTAATTTTTGTAATTCTAATAGATACATAATGCAACATGATCTTGAATACTTTAGCTTTCTAATAATTCACAAAGGTGATCGTATAAGTTCCAACTTGGTTCTTCTTTTTCAACATTTGGAGGAAGTGTAGAAATTATCATTTAAAAAGATAAAAACAATTTGAATTTTCTGCCTTCTGTCATTTTATCTGGAGTGATAGTTCTCAATATGCTATCTGGGGGCTTCTGGAGGCCCTGTTGCAGAGGATCTACAAGGTCAAAACTTAACCATCAGATGATTTTTTTTTTTTAATTTCATTATTTCACAAGTGTGCACTGAGTTTTCCAGAGACTGCTTAATGAGTGGTGATGTGATTTATCTGACAGCTGGTAGAATGTGTGCTTGTGCATTTTTGTATATTTAAAAATTCTCAGTTTTAATTCTGAATATGATAAATGTTGATACACTTAACCCTAAATAGGGAAAGCCTCCTTTGACTCTTCAATGATTTTTAAAGATATAAAGTGGTTCTGAGACCAGATATCTAAACAAAAGTTAAAGAAAAAAATTGTATAATAAAATATGGAGATGTATAGAAATGAGACAAAGCAAATAATGTGAAAGAAAAAGAATGTCTTCAAACTTCAAAATGTACTGTATTTTCTTTTTCAAACTGTGAAGGGAAGGGAATCTACGCACATCTATACATGCTGTTTTTGGCCCTAGAGGCCTGGCCTTTATTCCGATGTTGGCAGAATTCTGCTTTCTATAGCACTACACTTGCTGTCTCATTGCTTTATCCTAGGGTCATATTTAACCCACAGCCTCTTTCCACTGTGCCTGGCCAAATGGAGCATTTTTCAAAGTTTATGAGAAGTGCCACTAGTTAACTTGCTTCCAATATGAAAATATGACCACAGGGACTGAGAAAAGTTGGGGTTTGGTATTGAAGCCCGCTGTGCTTCTCTGAGAGCTGTGACAGCAGCTGGGATTCTGTCATCCTGGGAAATCTTAGGGGTCAATAGAGACATAAGCAGCAATGACTGTCAAAGGGAATATGATGTTTTCTGTTTCTTCATGTCTATTGGTATATTCATTATTTGTTAATATGTACATGGTTTCACTTGCATGAAGAGAGGGTTTCAGAATGAGTAATCAGTATTTTTCACCTCTTGATTGGTATCTTGAGTAGTCATGGGGCTAGTAGGTGATGCTTCTAATTTCTACCTCGGCACCCTTTGGTTCCCATAGCCTCAGTTGCTAAGTTTGCCATACAAGGCTGAGATTTACAAAGCTATGGGAGGAACAAATGGTTGCAAAATTCTACTAAAACAAATCAGGGTAATTAATTCTTTGTTTAATAATGTCACTTACTGTTTGTGTAAGTGCCACACCAGTTTCTTTTGCTATTTATAACATTTCTTTTCTAATGTTAAAAATCTCCCCAGAGCACAAATCTAAAATATAAAACATTTAGGCAAATGAAATTAAGTCCCATTTTTTTAAGATGTAATTAATAGTTTCTTAAACTCTTTGCAGATCTTTAACTTGCTTTTACTTTCAACAGCTGCAATGTTCATTCTTCTTTATATTTGTAAATACAATATATTTTTTCCTCCTGAGGTTAACTTGAGGCATTCAAATGAAAACAACTGAATAAGGGTTTTAAAAATAAATTAGCCATACATAAAAATATAATTTTGTGTTTTGTGTATTCTTGTAGATGTGGGATTTGGTTTTAGTCCAATAATTTTATTAAATCTCAGTATTTTAGAATGAAAATATATCCCTTAGTTCTAAAGGCAATTTTAAGCAGTCAAATTTTAAGTGCTTACCTGGATCTTTCCCAAGTGTTCTTCAGATTAAATTAACCAGATACTTACAAATCTACAAATTATTTCAACAGTATCATAACATGATTAAAGATTCAAGAGTAAATAAGCCTAAGGAGCAACACTCACAGCATAAGAAAATATTTAAGACTCTAAGAAACAAGATTAAAGGTGGAAATATTGGTACATATTTTATATCCTCTATTTTCACTAAGATAAATTAAAATTACTAATACACAATGGGGAAAGTATTCCCTATTCAGTAAATGGTTCTGGGGTAGCTGGCTAGCCATATGCAGAAGAAAGAAACTGGACTCCTACCTTTCAATGTATACAAAAATTAAAGATGGATTAAAAATTTAAATATAAGACCTCGAACTATAACAATCCAAGAAATCAATGTAGGAACACCATTCTGGACATTGGCCTTAGGAAACAATTTATGACAGTCCTCAAAAGCAATTGCAACAAAAACTAAAATCTACAAGTGGGACCTAGTTAAACTAAAGACCTTCTGCTCAGCAAAAGAAACTATCAACAGAGTAAAGAGACACCCTACTCAATGAGAGCAAATATCCACAAACTACGTATCCAACAAAGCTCTAATCTCCAAAATCTGTAAGGAACTTAAATAATTGAACGAGACAAAAAAAAAAAAAAACAAACCAACCAACAAACAAAAAAAAAACCACCATTTAAAAAAATGGGCTAAAAACATGAATAGATGCTTTTCAAAAGAAGACATACAAGTGACCAACAAACATGTGAAGAAATGCTCCACATCACTAATCATCAGAGAAATGCAAATGAAAACCTCAGTGAGATACCATACCACGCTAGTTAGAATATCTTTTATTAAAGAATCAGAAAATAACAGATGTTGATGAGGCTGCAGAGAAAAGGGAATGCTTATACACTGTTAATGAGAATGTAACTTAGTTCACCCATCATGGAAAACAGTTTCGAGATTTCTCAAAAGGCTTAAAACAGAACTACCATTTGACCCAGCAATCCCGTTACTGGGTATATATCCAAAAGCAAACAAACCATCCCATGAAAAAGACACATGCACTCACATGTTCATTGCAGCACTATTCACAATAGCAAAGACATGGAACCAACCTAGGAGCCCATAAATCATGGATTAGATTTTTATATATATATATATATATATATGTGTGTGTGTATATATGTGCATATATATATGTGTGTGTGTATATATATACACATATATATGTGTATATATATGTGTATATATACACATATATATGTGTATATATGTGTATATATATACATATATATGTGTATATATATATATATATATATGTGTATATATATACACATATATATGTGTATATATACACATATATATGTATATATATACACATATATATGTATATATATACACATATATGTGTGTATATATATACACATATATATGTATATATATGTGTGTATATATATACACACATATATATATGTGTATATATATATACACACATATATATATGTGTATATATATGGCACATATACACCATGGAACACTACACAGCCATAAAAAGAATACAATCATGTCCATTGCAGCAACATGGATGCAGCTGGAGGCCATTATCCTAAGCAAATTAATGCAGAAACAGAAAATCAAATACCGCATGTTCTCACTTATAAGTGGGAGCTAAACATTGGGTACTCATGGACATAAAGATGGCAGCAGTATACACTGGGTATGTATTAGTCCATTCTCACATTGATATAAAGAACTTACTGGATAATTTATAAAGGAAGTAGGTTTAATTGACTCACAGTTCCACAAGTCTGGGGAGGCCTCAGGAAACTTACCCTCATGGGGGAAGGTGAACGGAAAGCAAGCTTGTACCTTCTCACGTGGTGGCAGGAGAGAGAAGAATGAACAAAGGAAGAACTTGCCAAACACTAATAAAACCATCAGATATTATGAGAACTCACTATCACAAGAACTGTATGGGGGAAACTGCCCCATGATCCAGTCATCTCCCACTGGGTCTCTCCCTTGACATGGGATTATGGGGATTACAATTCAAGATGAGATTTGGGTGGGGACACAGCCAAAGCATGTCAGGGGACTACTAGAGTTGGGTGAAGGGAGGCGACAAGGGTTGAGAAACTAACTGTTGGATACTATGCTCGGTCCCTGCATGACAGAAACATTCACACCCCAAACCTCACCATCACACAATATACCAGGTAACATACCAGCCCATGTACCTCCTGAATCTAAAATAAAAGTTTAAAAATAAATAACTTGCTAATACAAAATAGAATAATGGCCTGTGCCATCAGCTTGTGCTTACGGTTCATTAGTTATCACTGGCAAAACCATGGCATTCTGTGTTCTAAACACTATGGTCACTGTGTTTATTCAGCATGCACTTTTGAGCTACCTCTATGATAATGATTATGTTATTAGGATGATTATATTACTGTATTCTGTGTATAGATCACACATACAATTCTATGATTATAGTTTTACAGAAATTATAAATCTATGGTAGTATCTTAAAATGTATATACCCTCTATTATTTTTTGAATATTAATATGTGTTTAGATAACCATATTTCCTTCATGAGATTATATGATTGGCATATAAGAGCTGAAAGTATATTTTATTCAGGTAAAATACAAATCTGCTAGTTGAATGTTCTTATTCTTACAAAATAAAATTATTAAATTTTTAAAAATCTAACATTAATGTTTTTTAATTTTTCATAAACTGAATGAAATCTATAGGCAGGAGACAGTAACAATATGTAGAAAAGCAAGAAAATATGTTGTGGTCATGGTTGTTATTTCAATATTGCAATTACTGTATAGAAGTGACTTATTATCAGATAGAAATTGCATGGTATAAAAAAAGTAAAACCAACTAAAAGACAAATGTGTTATGATACATGGAGCTGACTGGGTGCAGTGGCTCATGCCTGTAATCCCAGAACTTTGAGAGACCGAGAGGGAAAGATCCCTTGAGCCCTGGAGTTCAAGATCAGCCTGGGGATGTCTGTGGTCCCAGCTACTACTCGGGGGGCTGAGGTGAGAGGATTGCGTGAGCTGAGCGGGTGACATTACAGTAAGTCATGATCATGCCACTGCACTCCAGCCTGGATAACAGAGTGAGAACCTATCTCAAAATAAATAAATAAATATATATATATGGAATTTTAAAATTGAGGGTGGTATGATCAGCCTGGTAGCCACAGGGTTCCCTGTGTTGTGTCTGATTTCATCTTTCTCCTATAGCCAACATCTGTTCAATTCTTATGTCTTTAGTGCATAAAAATGAGATCTATAGGTTATTTGATGTGAGAATGTACACCTTTGGGGAATGTGTGTGTGTGTGTGTGTGTGTGTGTGTGTGTGTGTGTGTGTGTGGAGGGGGAGGGTAATAAAGTTCAGGCACCTTTTATGAGTACCATTGTCAGAGACTGACCTTCCATGCTAGATCTGCCTGGCACTAGCCACCCTAATGAATCATCATGAAGCCCAGAGCTAGTTTTGCTCTGATTGGCTCTCATCATTAAAAAGGAGGTATTCTTAAAAAATACATAAATAAAAAAATTGAGAGTATGCTTTAGGTGCATTATTCCCTGCCTGAGATGCTAACAAGTTACTGTGTCTGAGGGATGGAGAAGGCCAGAATGGCCAGCTAAGCACTCAGGAGAATGGGGAGCAGGGCACCAATGGAGCAGTGCAGAGAGCCCTCCCTTCCCTTCTCTCTCACTCATTTTACCAGTGAAACTCACCAGCAAAACATTCCTGAGCCTTTGGCATCCCAAATGTAATTAAGTCACCTTTCTCCTATTTAAGAAATTACTGGGCCGGGCCTGGTGGCTCATGCCTGTAATCCCAGCACTTTGGGAGGCCGAGGTGGGCGGATCACGAGGTCAGGAGATCGAGACCATCCTGGCTAACACAGTGAAACCCTGTCTCTACTAAAAATACAAAAAAATCAGCCGGGCGTGGTAGCACATGCCTGTAGTCCCAGCTACTCGGGAGGCTGAGGCAGGAGAATCACTTGAACCTGGGAGGCAGAGGTTGCAGTGAGCCGAGATCACACCACCGCACTCCACCCTGGGCGACAGAGCAAGACTGTGTCTCCAAAAAAAAAAAAAAAAAAAAAAGTAATTATTACAGTGCCAGCAATAGAAAAGTTTCCCTAAATATTTATAGAGTGGTTTTTGAATAGAAATTTGAATTACTTTATATAGAAAAGGAAATCATTTGTGAACTTGTACACTTTATCATTAGTTTAAAAATTATGAGACATTGCAGGTTAGATTCTGATCTTGAGCAATGGGCAATATTGATACAGTTCAGAGCCACTAGTGTAGTATCAATGATATGAGAGGGATGCCAGTGTCACAAAGTGGATCAAGGCAGAGGATCCAAGGACAAGCCAGGCAGGACAAGCAGGACAGGAGTTGGAATCAAGGAGAGGGATTCCAAGAATGAAATAAATTCTATTTTGCAGTTGGCTGCCTTCATTCTCCTCCTGGTTGTATTAAAGTGGTTTTCCAACTGGGTTTCGAAGCCTTGAGGTCCTAGGGAGAGAGAAGGGAGCAACACTGTATGTGTAAGCCAGTGTTGTGTCGGAGTTGACTTACACTAGCTAAAGAGAGCTACTGTGTGCATTTGTTCCCAAATCCAGTTCCATGACTTCACATTAGTGGCTTTAAATTAGCCACAGTGGGACTATTCGTAGAAAAAACCACCAAATGCTGCAAATCAGAGCTACCCCATCTACTGAACCATATACCGGGACACTTCTGGATAGAGTTTCAAGCATCCTAGCAAGAAAATATGACATTTAACAGCAAAAAATGGCAAAAGAAACTTGGTTTATGAATTATCTATCTTCTACTTTTGTATTATGGTTTTTATATTTAAAGACTAAATATGTCTGGTGTTAGTTCATTCACATTTAATTGGCAATTGTAAGAGGCCAAAAGCAAGAGAGTACCATCTAGGAGTTATAAACTCTTTAGGATTAATGTTTGTCAAAGAACTAAAATGATTCATACTATCTACTCAAAAGTAAAAATATATGTATATTTTTCCTTACTGACTTTATGTGGGGCTTTGTTTAGCTCAGTCCTTTTCAGATGTCATGTCCATACAGATCATCTAGGGATGTTGTTACATACAGATCATCTAGGGATGTTGTTACATTCAGATTCTGTTTCTCTAGGTTTGGAATGGGCCTAAGATTCTGCATTTCTAACAAGCTCCCAGGTGATGCTAGGAACCATATTTTGACTAGCAAAGATTTCGCTATATGTGACAATTAGAGGAAAGCAAATAAACAAAAAGTCAAACAGATGCATTTTTAAAAATCTAGTTTCTAAGAAAGTAATCTCTGGAAAGAAAATTGTATGTTTTAACTTAGCTTTGAGGATCTTTGAATCTGGGCTATTGCACTTTTTCTTTTCTTTTCTTTCTTTTTTTTTTTTTTTGGCAGATGTTTGTTGAGTTCACACAATACAGTAAAAGACTAAATGAGCTGGAAACATTAGCAATCCCAATTATACAACTCACTGACTACCCATAAGCCTGAACAATGAAAAGCATTTTGCGTGCTTTACTCATTTAACTTCATTTAAACCCTCGTTGGCATCTGAGTTGCATTAATGTGATAACACTTGTGTAGCAATTAATAAACTGTGGCAATTGTGAACATTTCTGGAATTTGTCATATTGAATGAGAGCAGGCTCTGGGCATCTAATATTTTGCTCATTTTCTGAGGTTAATCTGGCGTTCTAGAAGATATATATACATTTTTTCCCATTTTCCTTTGTACAAATATTCAAAGTTATGGCTTCGTCGTTTCACCAGACCTTTAGTTTTGGAAGTCATTTGTAATAGATGACTTTCAAGCAGTTTCTTCTTTTTTGCTCTCTTTGTTAGGAAACTCATTGAATCTTCAAGAATGTAATCATATTGTACCCACACAAATGCACATCCAACACTTTCACAAAGGTTACAGAAGCTGTGTGTTCTCCATTGCCCTGAGCCTTGTAAACTCAAGCACATTAAAAGGAAATGGTGAGCGCGTTCTGCATAATACGGTATCCAGTGCTAACAATACTGGATATTGTATCAACTCCACTGCTTCAGAATTGACTGTGTGACTGATAGAAGGTTTGGGAAAGAGAAAAAGCTTCCTTTCCAAATTTGAGGATAGACAGTATATTACCCAGAGGAATAGCAGATGATTTTTCAGCACTGAAATGCAGCATTGTTCTCATAACAACCAAACTGGTGTTTGGAACTTCGATTTAAAATAGCTAACTTACCACCTTCAGGCATTGGAAAATGCTTATTGATTTATTATTTCCTATCCCTGGGATAATAGGAAATGGATTTCTTTGCTTTTACCCACATATATTGCAGTGTTCTGCACAGATTAAGGCTATCCTGTTACCCAGTATTAAGTATAAAAACATTTAACTTTCTGGCTGAGTGTGTGTATAGGTCTACATCATGAATGCAAGAATAATTTTCTTTTAAAGTAACTTGACCTCACAGTGCGCATAGGTTGGTTCTGGTAAGTTCTCAAATCAAGTATCCTTTTATTATAGGAAATAAGAACCTCTGTCCCAGCTCTGTGATCTGTTTAATTATTCATGGTTGCAAGATTCCTGCTTACCATCTTACCATTTCTCATCATAATGTGTTAAAATCACTTTACTGTGTTATTTTTTGAATACTACTCTTGTCAGGAGAAATTCTTGGCCTATTTGTATAATCAGAAAAATTCTGAGCAAGATACATTTTCTAAAGCAATATAAGGAACCCACAAAAAATATTTCTTAAGAAAACATGAGAAAAAAGAAGGTAGAAAGAGGGAAGAAGAAAGGGAGGAAGGAAAGAATGAAGAAAATAAAAATTTAAAAAGGAAAATATATTACATACAACATAAAATGAACCTTGAAAGCTATCAGGTGAAGTTTGTTTTCTCAGGATCTGTTGCTATATTAAACATTGTCACTTTATTGATACTTTCCTAAGAAGTTCAGCTTTATGATTTAGTGAGTAAGCAATTCCATATATCTGCCACCACTGCAAGGTGGATATTAAGTATGCCCAAGTATCAAATACTTCTACTTCAGGTTCAGATTGGTTATGAAAAAAAAAGAGAGGAAGATGGTGGTATAAAGTATGAAGAAAAACAGGAGAATCAATTGATTCTAAAGAAATCTCTAAGGATCATCCAGCTCTAAACCAGATTGCTGTTCATAGAGCTAGGGCATCATTATTCCATGAAATCACTCCAGTATTTCTTATGGTAAATTCCAGGTCAGCAGCTTCTTTTGTAATACCTTTAAGCACCAAGACTCAACATTTCTACATTAATGGAAAAAACAAAATCATTGCTATTAATATAAACATAGATGATAGTGAACGTATTTTGTGTTGGTGTTCAAGAATGTTCCAAAGGGAACTTAAAGTTTGCTAGACAAATCAGAACAATAGATAGGGATTGACTGTTAAGTACAGCTTGAATATTGACTCTTGGGAAGGTATCTAGGTTGACTTGTGTCTTACTTGCCAAGTGGTTCTTCCTGTATCCTGAGCTACAGAATGGCCTACCAAGAAGAATTTGTTGATCAATGTAGATGTGCCACTGGTTATGGCACAGTTTATGAACTCAACATGCAGAGGCCTGATTTTATACCTCAGATGAAAGCCAATACTGAGTCCTTATAGTACATTTTCAATGCTTGTCACTTGACTACCAAGAAAAGTATTTTTTTTAACCTTCTCTGTAATTTTTACTTTTTCATGACTGAGGAAGTGGTGATGGAATTACATTATCCTTAAGCTTAGCAAGAAGATAAGACTTTTCTTCTCAAACCTTTCCATTAAGGCAGATTTCTCTGTTTCCATTATTTTCTGGAGACATTTTTAGACTACATTCTGGTTTCATCTCTCTTACAAGAATGTATTCAAGTCACAATTAGCCCTTTAAAATTTAGAGTTTCTCTTATGATTTCTTTCTGCCTTAGTGGTTAAAAAAAAGTTGATTTTTTACCCCTCATTACCCACATCTTCAAAAGAATGCAAACTAGGGCAAATTCCCTTTGTTTCCTTAGTGAAAAAAAAGTATCAATCTTGAGTTCTCAGTTCTGATTCAGAAAGAATGTTATATTCACTTGAGTCCTTGGCTCTGACCAAAGGAACAGATCATTGCTAGTCCTCAAAACTATTCAGGCGGCCGGGCGCGGTGGCTCACGCCTGTAATCCCAGCACTTTGGGAGGCCGAGGCGGGTGGATCATGAGGTCAGGAGATCGAGACCATCCTGGCTAACAAGGTGAAACCCTGTCTCTACTAAAAATACAAAAAATTAGCCGGGCGCGGTGGCGGGCGCCTGTAGTCCCAGCTACTCGGGAGGCTGAGGCAGGAGAATGGCGTGAACCCGGGAAGCGGAGCTTGCAGTGAGCCGAGATTGCGCCACTGCAGTCCGCAGTCCGGCCTGGGCGACAGAGCGAGACTCCGTCTCAAAAAAAAAAAAAAAAAAAAAAAAAAAAACTATTCAGGCTCCTTACGATAGCCAAAGGCACATATTTTGGAAATGTTTTAGATTTATAGAAACACTGTAAAAATAGTACAGAGTTCCCATATGCCCCACAAGTAAAGTTCATCCACCTTAAACTCATCTTGTCTATGACAATTTCTCAGACTTTCCTTGGTTTTGATCTCCTTGACAGCTTTGAGGAGAATGGGCCAGATATTTCCAGGTATTTTGTAGAATCTCCATTAACTGGGTTTTTACTATTTTTCTCATGGTTAGATGGAGATTATGGCTTTTATCAACGTCGATATTCTGATTATTATATTGTACTATAGTTTTGCAAGACGTTATAATTGGAGAAGACTGTAAAGAACACAGAGTTTTCTCTGTATTATTTGTTACTATTATTAAGTGAATTCAAACTTACCTCAAAATTAAAAGTTAAGTTTTAAATATAAAAAAGTGGCCCTAAGTATTGAGGAGACTTTATGCAGAATCAAATTCTTAAAATAATGTTATTATAATAATGCTATAAGTTGACAGTTTTCTAGTTTCTTATTTAGAAAAAGTAAGTTGTGATGCACTATACACATTAAAGATGCCATTTATTATGTCTAGATTAAACAATTTCATGCAATGTTGTAGATAAAGATGTAAGTAGTGAAAGAATAGGAATATGTATGAGAATAATACACACCAGCTTTGGGATAAAGCCTAGGTTTAAGGAAAGAGGGAGAAAATAGAAATAGATGGGTATGATGAAGCCTTAGTTGTATCTATTTTTTGTGTTTTCCAAAAATGGTGCTAAAATAAAAATAGTAAAATGTTATATGTTACTTTCATCCATGTATATAGTATATTGTTTTTTCTTCAGTTGGAACTATTTCAAAATTAACAATGCTTTCAATAGACACAAATGAATACATTTGATAAATTATACTGTTACTGTAACCTAGCTTAGCTAGTCTACATAATTGAACCATTTTGGTTCTGTAAAAGTTACTTTAACTTAAAAACAAATTTTATTTCATTTTTACCATATGAAAATGAAATAATTAGAATGAAAAAGTATTTTAACTAGAGCTATATGAAGCACCGTGGATGTGTAACATTTTTCATATTATAATGGGATTAGATTAGTTAGAAAATTTGAAGAAATATGAAAGTAAAAATTGATTAGATTGCATAGTTTTTATTCGTCACCAAATGAGATTTCATTATTGCATTGTCTGTACAATTTATCCTTGCAACTTAACTCACCTGGAGTTCAAAATGTACAGAGCAGTAGTTTTAGCCCGGAACATTCTTTTTCTTTTCTTTTTTTTCTTTTCTAAATCACTTCGCCCCAAGGCATCCCCCCAGCCAATCTGGCAGGAAACATAATCTTGCCATTTCAGGGATTCTTCCCTAAGCTATATAGGATTTTACAAGTTTTCTGGCCTCTTTGGTTCTAGAAAAATTGGGAAGTAACTAGGACTTTTGTCAGTGGGGTTCACCACCTGTATTACAGATGTCTCTCCTGAAAGTCTCTGGCATCTCTCTCCTCAGTCCAGCTGCTCCAACAACCCAAGAGATGCCTCTCACCATTGTATTTTCCACAGTCTGCAGCTCACAGTCCATAGCCATGCCTTCTTACTCTGTCCCTATGTGCAAGGGAATGGACACTTATGCCACGTCCCCCATGACTCATGTTCAGACTGTCCCTGAGCTGAGCTGCTTCTACCTCCACAATTCACTGCATCTTCCTTGTGTCTGCTGTCCCTGCAAGCATAACCTCACACAATGGGCTTTGATCTTTTCTGAAATAAGAGAGGAGAAGGGACATTCTAGCAACCTTTTTTTTCCCCTTAAGATAATTACAAAACCAATATTCCAAACCAAAGTTTAAGCAAGTATAAAAACAATACTGATAATGGAAGTTGTCTGAAATTCTCCCCAGCACTAATACAAGTGGTTACAATTCTATTATGAAGGAGACAACCAGTTTTGGAGTGATCTGTAGACAAATCACAAATTTATATGCGTAGCCTAAAATGAAGGAATATTTGAAGCCAGCTGAATGAATTGATTTCATCTTTGTGGTTTCAAAAAATGTTTTAAAAATTATTTCTCTATGTGTAGGAAGAAAGACAGGGTATCAGAAAAAATACCCATTAATAAGAGAACGAGAAAATAAATTAATTTTAATTCTGAAGTGGACATGTGAGAACACTTTATAAGAAAAATGAGGACATTCAATATTAACAGCTAGAAAGTGATAAAAGCAAGCTAAAAGAGTGGAGGAAAAAGAAAAGGGCATGGGCAGAAGTTTACAACTCTGATTTTCAACTTGGGGTGGGATAAAATAAATCCATTGTAATTTAGTTTTCTTGAATAATAATATTTCTGTTCACAGTGAGAACCTAGACATGACTGTCAAATGCAAGCATGTTTCCAAGAAAACTTCTTTTGAATGGAATTGGAGATCTCTAATGAAGTTGTACTCTTGCCTTAGTAGAAATGTATTTCTTTTTCTAGAAGGCAGCTAAGACAAGCTATATTTCATCAGAGGAGTAACTTCACACACACGATTTAATCCAGACTGATTTCGTGCATGTCCACATATGATAAGGGATAACCAAACGTTTAAGTGAAATCATTTTTTACTGAGTTGTCTACAAAGGGAAAAAATCAGCTTAGTGCATCTGCTATTGTCCGTAGCAGAGGTCAGCAAACCTTTTCTGTAAATGGCCATATAGAGTATATTTTAGTCTTTGTAGGCCACACAGTCTCTGTCACAACTACCAACTCTGCTTTTATAGCAAAAAAGCAGCCATAGACAATACATAAACAGATACATGTGACTGCTTTTCAGCAAAACTTAATTGACACAAATGAGCAGCTGCTAGATTTGACCCATGGACTATAGTTTGCTGACACATGACCTAAAATATCTTAAAGCCTAAAGATATTGGCCCATTATTGTTGTTCTGGAAAAATTTTACCAAGGATGCTTTCAGAAAAACATAGGTTCAGAAGCTTGGGAAGTGTGTGTTGTTGATTGAATTAATCTTGGCTGATCTGTTTTATAAGCATGGCTCTACACAAGTACAGTTCTTCAAGACTGCAAATATTTCATCCAGTCTTATACTTTCTATAAACTTTAAAATGGTATGCATTTTTGCTGCTGTGTACAGAGCATGTGTTTTTGAGTAATAGCATATTACAAATAACAACTCCCTCATTGATCTATTGCCCATTTTTCCCCTCTAATTTGAATTGTTTTATTCTTTTTCTTTTTCATGAAGTCTTTTAAGTTGATTAAAAAGCACAGTGAAACTCAATTGGGAAAGAATTACAATTAAATAGTCTCAAAAGTAGAACTAATTAAGAAATTCTGTACAGAAGAGTTAGAATGTAGAACTAAGGTTCAAAATTTTAAATTATGCAAAATTTACTTCATGTATATATACATTTATTTAAATGATTTACAAAAGTCCTAAAGTATATAAGATTTTGTGATAGGTACTGTAAAGGACACACAGAATATAAAATATGTGAAAATTATCTCGTTTAACAGGAAACAGTTGAAATTGCACTGCTCATAGGTGAAACTGGCAGGTATAAAGCAACATTTCAGAATCTAGTTTCTCTTTATGTAAATTCTGGGCATTCAGCTGGTAGCACAGGGGAATTTTCCTAAAAGAAGTTAACCAACCTTCCTTTGTCAGGAAGTAGTTGGCTAATGAACGTCTTTCCTAATTCCAATAAAACCTGTAGATTAACAGACGAAGGCCCACAAACTTTCTCTGTTCCCAATCTTCCTAGCGCTTCCTTTAATAGCTAATACCATTCTGCTACAGTTCAACCATACACGAAATCTTGTTAACTTTACATGTTTCCTTTTTTTCTCACTGAAATAAACCCACTGAATTAGGACAAAAAGAAATTTGTCTTCTGTAGCCTTTAAAATGTTTTTAATGAGGAAGTAGCGTACTCAATTGATTCTCCTCAAATTGAATATCTAAATAATGTTAACATTATAAAGTCTCCAAATCTGCCTATTTTTCATTTTTCAACAATTGTCAGGACGCAGAACATGGTATCATGGAAAGATTACATCCATTTGTCTTGGGTACATTGTGCATGGCTTTAAAAAACAAAAACTTTAAACCTTTAATTTGAGCTTTTTTCATTACCAAAGAATGTGTCAGATTAATGTCCTCACCTCACTTCTGATGTGGATAGTAGACAGGAGGTGAGAGTAAGGGGTGGGGTGAAAATGGGGAATGGTACATATTATGGGTTGAATTGTGTCCCCAAAAAGAATATGTTGAAGTTCGAATCCCCAGTACCTCACAGTGTGTAATCTTATTTGGGTATTTGCAGAGGTAATCAAATTAAAATGAGGTTATTAGGGTGGATCCTAATCCAATATGACTGGTGCTCTTATAGAAAGAGGAAATTTAGACACAGAGATAGATGTGTGCAGAGAGAAGACTACATAAAGAGAAAGAGACATAGGGAAAATGTTATGAAGACAGAGACCACATTGAAGTGATGCATCTATAAGCTAAAGAATGCCAAAGTTTGCCAGCAGCTACGTGAGGGGCATGGAACAGATTCTCCCTCAAAAGCCTCAGAAGAAACCAACCATGCCAACACCTTGGTCTCAGAATTCTAGCCTGCAGAATTGGGAGACAGTCAATTTCTGTTGCTTAAGCAACCCAGTTTGTGGGTTGTTTTAGGGCAGCATCCAGAAACTAATACAGCACAGGAGAGTGGAATGACAAAGAGGTCAAAGATAATGTATAAACCAATGATATATGTTGATACGCACAGTGCATGGTTCTCTATTTTTTAAAAAATCATGATTTTACATTTTGTCAAAACCATTGAGTTTGTTTCTAAATTTTAAGAGCTCACTCAGTATGTTGGAGGCATGAAGGAAGAAATAAATCTAGTTTTAGATTAACGTCCGTTCATTTTGGCCCTGGTTAAGATGAACATTATCCCATCTGGTCCTTGGTCATCAATACCTGCAGACTACTGCCCTATTGTTTCTTATTCTAACAAGACCTCAGCAAGCCCAAATCTCTGACAATAACTTTCTTTATCCTTTGAGTTGCAGGAAATAATTTAGTTTGTCATCCCACTTTGGGGTTATAGGCCACTGATTAGGGTTGGACAAAGTCTTTGACCACCTCTTTGAAATATGGAGAGGCACAGACCTCATTTGACTGGCAAGGGCACAAAAGGGCTTTACTGGGCTCTGTGTGGTTGGAAACCTACATGTGGTTTCTGGATTCCCTATATCACCTTTTTGGTTTTGGAATTTGAGTATTTGTTTTAGCCAGTAGGGAGATTTTGCAGGTTTCAGGTTTTGCTCCTTTTAAGAGTACATTGACTAGTATCTCACTTTTTAGCTTTCCCATAGACTTCCTTTTTCCATTTGAGACATTATGAGTAAGCAATTTTGATCTTCAACGTGCAATCTACCAAAACTAATAAATTTTGTCCTTATCAATGCTGAAATGCAAAAGTAAACAATTAGGCTTTTTATTCTTTGCCTTATACTTTTCATTTCTTCCCTTAGACATGGGCATAAAACATTATAACAACTCTCTGAATGGAGGGAAAGTTACCGAATAAAGGAAATACCAGTAGTGAAAGATAAATAGACTAAGTTTTAGGGAAATGTTGGTGGGGTAATTTGGGTCACTTATCTCGCTGAGGACAAACAAATGTCAGGTAAAATATATTTTAAAATTATTGAAAGCATCAAATAACTAAGAATATAGTAAGGAAATACTACACCAAAGTCTTGAAGAAGATAAAAACCCCTAACAATTAGACCAGCACATAAAGCTGCTTTGACCTTGGGTATTTTTTTAACCCAGAAAATGAGCTGTTGAACTGAACTGTGTTTTGGCAGCTGCATAGAGCTAGCAGGATTCAAACATCAATGCCTATGGCCCATCAAGAATGGAGGCATCTGTAAAGCCACTTCTACTTCAAGCAAGATTTTGGAGATAGACTTTCAGCCTGGCTTTCCACTATTTAGGTGGCTCAGGGGATCTCTGTTGATTAAAGTGATCCCAGACTGGTAGAACTCCTAACACTTTGCCAAAGCAAAATAAAACAAAGCAAACAAAAATCTATCTGAAAGAAGTTAACATAATCTCAGGCTTCAAATTGTCCCTACAAGTAATTTTTAAACTCAAATGTTCAAGACACAGTCAAAGGCAATGAGACACTCAAGAGAAGAAGACATCAGGAATAATAGCTAGTAGACACCAAAGAGAATGGAAAAGAGTCACAAACATTTTAGTATTGGAATTAATCGGGCACTTTAGTACTGGAATTAATCGGGCTCTTTAGTACTGGAATTAATCGGGCTCAATTAACTAAGCTCAATTTGGCTTAGTTAGTCCAAAGAAACAAAGATATAAATCAAATAGGAAATGAACTGCAGAAAATAAATTACATTATTTGAATAGGTAGGAAATAAAAATTTGAGATTTGAACAACACAATAACTGAAATAATTTGGTGGGTATGTTTTACATAAGATTGGATATAGTTGAAAAGAGAAGCCGTGAATAAAAAGATGCATCAGAAAAAATTAAACAGATTATACCATAGCAAGACAAAATGATAGAAAAGACATACAAGGGTGTTACAATAATAGGGAAGAGAGTAAGATCTGTCATACTTTATTTGAAGTTCAAAGATAAGACTGCAGTGAAACTATTATATGACTTCAAAATATTTAATATATAAAACATATTTGACAAAAAGTAGAAATAGGCCATCACGGTGGGAGATTTTAACTGCTTTTAGTAACTGATAGAAAATATTTAAATAACATGATTAGCAATATTGACCTAATGAACACAAAAATAATATTGTATTTAACAAGTGTAAAATCAACATTTTTTTAATCATACATAGAACTTTCATAAAAATTGACCATAAAGGAATCAAAAGACAAATCTCATCAAATATCAAATGACTATAATTATTTAGAGTATATTCTCTGATGACAAGGACATTTGTATAGAAATCAATAACATAAAAATAAAAAGAAAATCCACATATGTTTGGAAATTTTCAGGCACTTCATATTTGTGTTATAGCCATCACATCTATTTCTTTTTTGTTCTTTTTTTTTCAGAATTTCTAATTGCCTTTAGTTTTTTGTTGATGTTGACCAAAATAAATGATGTTTTTTAAGTGCACTCCAGTTAATCAGGAATCTCAGTAATATTTTCTGCTCTGGAAGTTTTTTCTCCAAGACATTATTTCAAAAATACTTGTCCTCCTGCTTCAGTTCTTTACTGGATACAGTATAGGCCTGCTGTATAGCTGTTATACTGAGAATTTCCTTGACTGCCCTTCCGGGTTAGAGCTCTATTTCTAGAAACTTTATTTTCTCTTTTCTGTATTCTTATTTGTTTTGCTAGAGAGTATCCCAAAACCATAAGGTAAATTTTCTGAATTCCTATACATTTATTTAAAAGAGATTTTATTCTCCTGTCACATATGATTGATTCATTATCAAGCTATAGAATTCAGGGATTAAAATAATATTTCTTGTAACTTTGAAAAGATTACTCCATTTTCTTCTAGCATCAAGAACAACAAATGGAAAATTATGTTATATGTCTGATTCTTTTATAGGTAACTCATTTACGTGCAATGTTTTTTCTTTATATAATTTTTTTTAGGATTTTATTGTGATTCTTGAAATTTCAAGTTAATAAGAATTTTTTAAGTCTAGGGTCTTTTTTATGATATTCTTAGCACTTCGTATGCCCTTTAAACCTGAAAACACATTTTCTTTTACACTTCAGGGAAATTTTCTTTATTTCTGTGATAATTTCCTTCCATCAATATTTTTTTTAATCTACTTAAACGTGTTAGTGTGGTTTAGTATTGCACCGTCCATTTACTTCTCCCTATCTCATATTTTCTTTGTTGTGTTTTACCTTTTGAGCATAGTAGTTAAGAGCAAGGGTTTTGGCATCAAACTCACTCCATTTGAATCTAAGATGTGACTTTTTCTACCCCTTAAACTGATAGGTAACTCTTTTCTTAACTGTAAATTGGAAATATGTGCCAGGTGCTATTGTAAACATCTTATGTGTATTATCTAACCTAATTGTCTACATGTTTACAATAGTGCCTGACACATATAACCCTTCACCAATGTTATTTCTTATTCTTCTCTAACTGTGATCTGATATAACTGTTTAATTTTATCATCCTGTCACCACATTGAATTTTTTGAATTATGTTTTAATCTTGAAGAAGTATTTCATATTCCTTGTTGTTTCAATTCGTATTTTCTTTTTTGATATATAATATCTTTTGAAATCTCTACAAGTATACTGAATCCTTTATAAAAAGTTATCTTTAATTTCCCATATTGTCTTGTATTACATGTTTAGGGGCAAGTTGATCTTCCTTATTTGTTCTATTGGATTTTCTCACATGTCTGATGATCCTTGCTATTTAAGAATAAAGGACAGGGGAAGCATTGTAAGTCTTGTTTACTATAGAATAACTTTTTTCTATTGCACAATGGGCCTTTCTCACATGTAACAAGTCTGACCATATTGGTTGACAGGGAACATAACAGATCAGAATTGGATTCAGGATAAGCATAGTGCAAACACCAGAAGAGGAGGGCTTTATTTAAGATAGCAACACTCGTTCTAGAAATCATATGGTTTCTTCTAGGAAGAACCTTTGAACTCTTCTCCTTAAGGATTGGAGCTGAGTTGCTTGCTTTTATGTGAACTAAAGATGATAGAAGGGGTCACTGGCACAGTTTTTCTGTATTAAGTATTTCATTTAATCATCCTATCTTTATTTTTTATATTTATTTTGCTTTATCTATTAACTTAAAGCCCAGAGTCTATGGAATTTATATTTGCAGAGCAGCTACTACAGTGATTGCTGAGCTATTTCTTAATTATAGTGGTCCACAAACTACAGCCAGGGGTTAGCTGCCTGTTTTTTAAAGTTTTATTGGAATGCAACCACATCGATTTTTCCTTCCGGTATTTCCTATGGCCGTTTTGTGTTACAAGAACAGAATTGAGGCTGGGCGTGGTGGCTCATGCCTGTAATCCCGGCACTTTGGGAGGCCGAGGCCGGTGGAATCAAATCCAGCCTGGCCACGATGGAGAAACCCCCTCTCTACTAAAAATACAAAAATTAGGCGGTCATGATGGTGGGCGCTTGTAATACCAGCTACTCAGGAGGCTGTGGCAGATAATTGCTTGAACCCATTAGGCGGAGGTTGCAGTGAGCCAAGATCGTGCCACTGCACTCCAGCCTAGACGACAGAGTGAGACTCTGTCTCAAAAAAAGAAAACAAACAAACAGACAAAAAAAAAAAAAAAAAGAATTGAGTACTTATGACTAATACTATATAGTCTACAAGTCAAAATATTTACTGTGTGACCCAATACAGAAAAGGGTTGCAAGCCCCTGCTTGTTCTACCTATTTTATAGCTATCTGAAATTTGCTAACATATCTTGTCTCATAACGATCCCCATTCCTATTATCTTTATGAGTTTATTTTTTCATATATATTTATAATTTCATATTTTAATGTATTTCATAAGGAACATGAGATATATGTAGGATTTCAGTCTGCCAACTTGAAATAGAAGTCCATTTTCTTTCATTTTAAATTCAACAAATTAGAGAGGATTCTGGGAAGATGACAGGATAGGAAGGGCCAGGAAGCTGCCTCTCCACCTAGAAAACAATTGCACTGGCAGGGTCTGCCTGATGTAACTATTTTGGAATTTTAGAGTCTATTGAAGACTTGCAACTTCCAAGGGAGGACTTGAACAGTAAATTGTGGTTAATTTTGGACAATTTCAACTCTTTGCACAGTAGCAGCTACCATCTATCCACACCCATGGAAGGCAGTTGTGCATATTCTTAGAGCAGTTGCACATAGCTTGCAGGAGCCAGGAGCCGGTGTGGGCAAAAAGGACCCTATCCTCCAAATAGTGGAACCTTCCCTCTGAGAGCTGATTGCACCTTATGATCACAGAGGTACAGACAAGAAGGCAGGTGGTCATTGTTATAGTACCTGTCCCCGTTGTTGCAAGCCCCTCTGCCTCTAGCTGAAGTGAACTCCAGGGGATTTAAAGGGCTAACATACTTCTCCCTTTCCCCTTTATTCTTTTTCTTTTTGGGGTAGCCAAGCATTAAACACTAGAAGATTCAAAAGAAACTGTATATATGGGGAATATTAGAAAGTGACCACACATGCCCAGGGGATGACACAGGATAAGAAAAGGCCTGAGAAGACATTAAATTTATACCTCAGGCTGATTCTTGGTACAGAGAAGGTCTACAAAATAAGTCAACAGAAGCTGTTCCTGACAAGTGACTGATGGCAGATCTACTAGACAAAGACTTTATAAAACTGTCTCAAAAAAGCAAAGGAAGATACGGAAAAAGTAAGAAAATTAAGCATGAACAAAAATGAAATGTCAATACAGATATAGAAAACCTAAAAAATCCCAAAAGAAATTCTGACACTGAAAACCACAGTAACTGAAATGAGTAAAAAAAATTACTAGAGGAGTTCAAAGCAAACTTGAGCATACAGAAGAAACAACCAGCAAATTTGAATGTAGAACAATGGAAATTAAGTGGAATAGAAGTTAAAAGATTGAGGAAAAATTAAAAAAGCATAAGAGACCCATGGGACATCACCAAGTGAACCAACATATGCATTATGGAGAGTCCAGAAAAAGAAGAGAGAAAGAAAGGGGCAGAGAGAATATTTGAAGAAATAATGGCTAAAAAATTCCACAAATTTGATGAAAAACATGAATATAAACATCCAAGAAGATCAACAAACTTTAAGACAAACTGAGAGAGAACCATACAAAGACACGTATAATCAAACTTTCAAAGGCTAAAGACAAAGGATCTCAAAAACAGCAAGAAACAATCACATGCAAGGGATTATCAATAAGATTATCAGCAGATTTCTCATTAGAAACTTTGGAGGCTACAAGAAAATAGGCTAATATATTCAAAATACTAAGAAAAACAAAAATAGACAAATTTGACTTCATAAAAATTTAAATATTTTGTGAATCATCCATAGTAACAGAGTAAAAAGGCAATTCATAGAGTCAGAGAACATATTTATAGATCATAAGAGATTAATATCTAGAATAATAGAAAACCATTAAAACAACACCGTTCAAAAATGGTCAATGGACCTGAGTGGATATTTCTCCAAAGAAGGTATACAAATAGCCAGTAAGTGTAGGAAAAGATCTCAACATCACTAATTATTAAAGAAATTCAAATCAAACTATAATGAAGTATTACCTCTCACCCATTAGAATGGCTACTATTAAAAAAGGATAAAATAACAAATGTTAGTGAGGACATGAAGACATAGGAATCCCTGTATACTATTGGTGAGAGTATAAAATTATACAGCTGCTGTGGAAAACAGAATGGCACTTCCTCAAAGAATTAAATGTAAATTGCCATATGATCCAGCAATTCTACTTCCAGGTATACACCCAAAACAATAGAAATCGAAGTCTCTAAGAGATATTTTTACACCCATGTTCACTGGTGCATTATTCATAATAACTAAAACATGAAAAGAACCCTAGTATCCATTGGCAGATGAATGGATAAGAAACTGTGGTATATGCATACAATGAAATATAATTCAGTATTAAAAAGGAAGCTAATTCTGACACTTGCTACAACATTACGAACCTTGAATACATTATGCTAAATGAATAAGCCAGTCACAAAATGACAAACACTGTACAATTCCATTCAGATGAGGTACTGAAGAGTAGACCAAATCATAAAGGCACAAAGTAGAATGGTGGTTGACAGGGGCTCAGTAGAAAGGGAAATGATGAGTTATTTTTTAACATATACAGAGTTTCAGTTTTACAAGATGAAAATAGTTTTGGAGCCAGATGGTGGTAACAGTAGCACAGTATTGTGGAGGTATTTAATACCACTGAACTATGTACTTAAAAATGGTTAGGATGGTAAGTTTCATATTATACGTATTTTACCACAGTATAAAAGTTCAAAAATATAAACAAGTTATAGACTGAGAGAAAATACGTACAAATCACATGCCAGAGGGAAGACTAGTATCTAAAATGTATAAAGGGCTCCCAAAATTCAACATTAAAAAAGGAAAAGATACAATTAGAAAATGAGCAAAAGACATGCACTAACATTTTAATTATGACAAAATATAGATAGTAACCACATTAAAAATATTTAAAATCATTAGCCATTATGAAATGCAAATAAAAACTACAATGAAATATTATTATACACCTATCAAATGGCTAAAATAAGAAATAGGAATAATCTCAAATGGTGAAGATATGGAGGAACTGGATTGCTTATACATTGCTGATGGCAATGTAAAATAATACAACCATGTGGAAAATTGTTTGGCAGTTCCTTTTAAAACTAAGAACTGTCTTACCATATGACTCAGCAATTGTACTCATCAGCATATTTCCCACAGAAATAAAAACGATGTTCATGTAGAAACTTGTAAATGAATACTCAGTAGTTTAATAACCCTGAACTGGAAACTACATAAATGTTCTGCAATGGACAAATTGCTAAAGTGTGCTACATACGTACCATGGACTGTAATTCAGTAGTTAAAAGAAACGAACTGTTGATATATGCAACAACTTGGATGAACCTCAAGGATATAATGTTGTATTAAAAAGCCAATCTCAATCAAATATATACTATGTGATTCCATGTATGTAACATTTATAAAATAAAATGATTAGGGAGATTAGTGGTTAGCAGGGATTAGGGACAGAAGAGATGAGGTGTGTGTGGCTAGAGAGGGGTGGCGTGGGATTTGGGATCCATATGGTAATAGTGCAGTTAAATATCTTGATTGTGGTGGTAGTTCTTTGAAACTATATATGCGATAAAGTTGCATAGAACTACACACACACAGATACGTATATAGACACATGCACAAATGCATGTATAACTGGTGAAATCTGAGCAACCTGTATGTATTATACCAGTGTCAGTTTCTTGATTTTGCTATTATACCAGCAAAATGTTAACTTTGAAGGAGGTTAGGTGAAAATTTTATACATTTCTTTTGCAACTCTGTGGATCCATAATTATTTCAAAATAACTTTTTAAAATTCAATGAGTTCACTTGTTTTAGTTTATTCTTTTAAATCATTTCTACCTTTTAATTTTATAGCGTTGACTTAGAACATATCTTATTTGCCTCTTACGTATTTATTCTCCAAAACTATTGACACTCTATCTCTCTCTCTGTCTCTCTCTCTCTTTCTATTTGCTTTTGCTCATACCCCACCTTTTTTGGCCTCGTTCTCTCTTTTCAAGCCATGACTTTCATTAACTGAAGATTAATTAATTGATCTCTAGATTGCTTACATTGATAGTTTTCACATACTGGCCATTTGAAGAATTCTGGTACTTTTTCCATAAAATCAGGAGAAAAGAAGTTAAGCCTGCTTATGCCTTTATACCTGCTTATAGCTTCTGGAGGACATGGGGATTTCATTAAGCAATTTACTATTTTAGGAATAACTATTTTAAAAATAACTAATTGAATCCTATTAAACAAGTATATAAGTAGTTGTTTAGGAAATAACTAGCTATTGAAACAAAGTCAAATCTGTAAATTTTCCTTTTTCTAACTGACTAGTTTTGTACATATGAGATCCACATACGAACAAACTTTGCTCTTTATCATCTGTTACACAGAAGACTTCTGATGGAACAATCATTAAATGCATTGTCTAAATAAGATTTGAGGATTAACTATGGATTTGGGGTAGTTTCTCTGTGTCTCAGTACTCTCTGGACAATTAAGAGCCTTTGTACTCACCATCTTCACGTGAGACACATTTGTAACATACTTCAGGATGGTAGGATGTCAAACAGATATCCTTTGTTAATATATATGTCTTAAAAGGCATTCTATCTTTGTTCCCTGTTCCATTAAATTTGGTTGTTGAATGAGAGTAGGGATTATTTTCTTACTGCTATTCTCACCTCTGCTTGGGACTTAACAACAAGCCCACATTTTGCAGCAATTCAGGACTCCTAAATTCACTGATATTTGTACTTTGAGAATGGAGATATTGCAATTCAAATAATAGGCAGTGACGAATCCATGGTTGACTGGAAATAAGCTTAAGATGGTCGCAGTAATAACCAAAGTTTAATTTAAAATTTATATAAAATCATCATTTCTTATAAGAAAGCAAAAAAGGAATCAGAGGCCATCAATTCCAAAGAGAATGAAACCAGAATGGATGAGAAATGGCAAATCAGGCTTAGCAGATCTGTCCTAGTTATTATTTAGACTAGAGTTTTTACAATAATTAAAGTCCCACGCCA
This sequence comes from Homo sapiens, assembly GCF_000001405.40. Taxonomy (NCBI): domain Eukaryota; kingdom Metazoa; phylum Chordata; class Mammalia; order Primates; family Hominidae; genus Homo; species Homo sapiens. The sequence goes on from NC_000003.12 coordinate 29,029,043, forward strand.
TCCCACTCTACCTCCTGTAAGATGTATTCAACAATGTATCTTTTGATCTTAATTTGGTTAACTGCAACTTTCTGTCCACTTGTAAAGATTTCTGTGTGTGTCTATTCACACAGTATATGTGGGCAGATATAATTAGCACCAATGCTGAGAAAAACTAGAGATATAGAAAAAGTTTTAATCATTTGGTCACCACGTAGATATTTACATAATTTAATCACACAAACTAGTTAAATGTCAGGCCATTTGTAATACAGAAATCAAACTGTGACCATAGGTCATCAGACATAGTAATCAGATATGCATGCATAATCATGTTAGAATCATATTAAGAAAAAAAGCAACATAAAATTAGGAAATTTCTTTGTTCCTAATTGCTTTTTTATAGTTTTGATTTATTAGAACTACAAAGAGTTGCACAAATGTATATGAGTGTGAGTATCTTTGTGTGAGTGTTTTAATTGGGTTTATTATATGTCATGTCACAGTTTTCAGATGGATTTTTGGTGTTTGACAGAGAAGTACTTAAAAAATTAATGAGAAGAATAAACAAATAGAATACGTTAACCTTGTGCTGAACATATTGTTATTCCATTCTGCTATAGCTTAAGAGAGCCAGGAAATTTAATTTTCAGTATATTACCCAGATTTGAGCCAAAAATAAGAAGGGGGCATCTCAGTAGATAATAATGCAAAATTTGTTCCATTGATTTTAATTTTCAAAAGTAACTTTAAATAAAAAATACGTTTGCATCAAATCCTTTTTCAGCCAACAATAGATATAAACATAATTAATATATAAGCAAAAATATTTGTTTTGTAAGACCAGGAAAACATATCACAGTAATTTACTAATACTGATAATTTGTTCTAAGCAAATTTAAGATGCAACTTATGACAATTACTTCTTATATTCCTCATAAAATATAAAGAGTTACCATGCTTTTTATTTTTAAAACAAAACACTTCTTTTCTTAGAGTTTACTTTGGTTCTTGAAATCCTAGACATTTTGTATTTGCTTCCAGTTTAATAATGAAAACAGCCAAAGGTAATGGAACTCTCAAGGAGACAGCTGACTTCAATAAGCTGGTCAAGTTCCGCAACAATAGGAGACTGTTATTAAACTGGTTTTGAGGGACAAGATTGACACCTTCATTTTAAGCTTCCCACATTAAGTAAGAGGGAACCTCTATTATGGGAAATAGATTCAAGTGGCAGGTATTATGTAGCCAAACCTGCATTAGAATAACCTTAACAAATACTAAAACATGTTTTAAAATGATGATATTTAAAATAGTTTATACCCATGCATGGATAGATGATGCAATGTAATGGATGGAAAAGAATTTCTAGAAGTAGATCCAAATATGTGTGAGAATTTTATATATATTAAGATGAGTTTTTAGGTCACTGGTAAATATACTTTTAAATAATTTTTTGATAAAATTTACTAAACATCTAGATAAATAAAGCTGTATATCTTCTTAAAATCTTATGTTACAATAATTTTAAAATTAAGGAAAGCATCTTATGTATAAATTAAGCTATAAAATTATAGAATAAAAATTAAATTGTTATAACAAAGGTGAAGTCTTTCTAAGAAAGATGCAAAGTCAAGAAGCCAGGAAACAAAAACAGAATAAAGGTACTAGAATTAGTGTGTGTGTGTGTGTGTGTGTGTGTGTGTGTGTGTGTGTGTGTGTGTGTGTGTGTATTTGACATTACCAACTTGCAACGATTTGGTTTCTTGTTTCCAAAAGTCTTTCATGTTTGAAATGAGGGCTATGAAATGCCATCTTCCTGACTGAGTTCTGCCATCACCTCTGGGACTAATCCTATAATAATTCACACCTCTATTCCTCTTGTCCAAGCAAGGCTTACTTTTGGTTCCATGTTGAATTTGTTTGCTGGTTTCAAAAAAAGTTGGGTTCTGGATTTTATAATCAACCCCTGTTCTTTTTTTTTTTTTCAGTGCTCCCCCAACCCCGGGAGAATGTTGAGGGTCTCTCTTCATGTTCAGAGATGAAGCATAGCCCCAGGTGTTTCCTACAAACTTTTAGGGAAGTGTTTTTAAACACAAGCTGTTCTTTAAATATTGTAAACTCACACACCGGGGACTGTTGTGGGGTCGGGGGAGGGGGGAGGGATAGCATTAGGAGATATACCTAATGCTAAATGACGAGTTAATGGGTGCAGCACACCAACATGGCACATGTATACATATGTAACAAACCTGCACATTGTGCACATGTACCCTAAAACTTAAAGTATAATAATAATAAAAAATAATAATAATAATAAAAATAAATTTAAAAAAAAGAAATTGAGGTACAACCAGGATGCAAAATAATAATAATAATAATAAATATTGTAAACTGAGTAGAGAATGAAAGTAGTCACTAGCCCTTGTAAAAATGGTAAAGAAACACAAAGCATGTTTGCTGGGGGCGACCTTGAAAAAATTGTTGCTCTGCCTTCAGAATTCCTATGCAGAGGTGGATCAAGATTTTGTGGGGACTGAAGCTGAACAATATGAGGGGCCTTGTTTCAGAAAAATACTTTAAGATTACATATACAAATTAGTTACAGGAGTAAATATTTATTTACAGGGTCATGTTCAAGTGAGAAATCCTGAAGTTTAAACTTCATTACCCTCATGATATATCCACCTGTTCCCATGGTAATTATTATCTGATTTATTGTACACTTTTTATTCTGATACTTCAGCATACCCGGCCTAATTTTGTTATTTTACTCTCCATATATAGACTTTAAGTTCCAGGAGCTTATTTTTCAAAAGTTACTCTCCTCTACTGTATCTTTCTCTTCTCTGTCTCCTGCCCATCTGTGCTCATCCAGTATCACATATCTGGGGCTTAGAGTGGGTGTTCATAACATAGTTGTTGAATTACTTTTTGAATAAACAATGAATGAATAACCACTTCTGCTAAAATGAGCACTTGTCCTTTAAAATAGGTAGATAGGGAATAACTAGGCTTTAAGGTAATGAATATCCCAATTATACTGACTTGATATTTACAAATTATAGGAATATATTATCACATGTACCCCCCAAATATGTACCTCTATTATGTATTAGTAAAAAATTACTAGGTCAAGCATTCCCATAAAATATGTTTTAAATCTAATTTACTGACTAGATATGATCAAATCCTTGAGACTAGGTGACATCAATCCAAGGGTTTATTAATGTAAGAAATCGTTACTCTCTTTCAAAATAGGTTTGTTAGTTCTTAATACAATCCACCAATGCTGATGATCTCCTGGGGACAGTTGGATTAATTCAATAAAATGACTCCTCCACAAAAAAACAGCTCTCCTCCCCAGTCCAAGAAAATGCTAGGCTTATATGATTATCTTTGTTTGCCATCACTTTGATAATCATATTGTCATTACTGAACAATTTTCACACCATCATGATTAGGTGTGGATGTAGGTGCACTTCTCTAGTTTTCTTCATCTTTCCTAGCCTTCTTCCTTATTAAAAAATTACCCATGTGGAAAATTAAAAAGAAAGCAAAACTAACTATAAAATTACAACTCACAAACATTCCAATGGTTTGCAATTTTCATGACTATTAACAATGTGCTCCCTGTGGACTGCGGCATAGATGAGATAGGCTGTTGGTTATGCAGGAGCTCCAACTCAGTCTTTCCCTCCCACTCAAGAAGACATAATAAAAGCAAGCAAAGGAAAATAACATTGGTACAACCTTGGATTAATCTTATTATTTATTTTTAACTAAAAAATGATTAGCGGCTTTTTTTTTTCCTGATAGTAAAACAAATTATTTCAAATACCAGGATGCATTCTTTCACAGAATCAGGAAAATGCAAATTTGGAATTGCAACTTCTTTGCCATGAGCATGTTGGCATTTATTATTTTTATTATCACTGCCCTACTAAATTTCATTAGCATTTAAGACAACACAAATGAAGGGAATGAGTATGAAAATACTGCAAAAGTGAACAGTGACCTCATGTTGATATGCATTCAGTTGCACAATTGGAGCACAAATATATTACTAGCAAGTTTCAAGGGATTCTGTTAAGGGCCCCAACTTCTGCTACCAACTTACAGGTAATGGCCAGGTTGATCTAAACTGTTTAATCTAAATCAATTTAGCCCCAATCCCAAGACCTACCTTGCCTGATTTTCGATTAGAGATACAGTGATTAAATGCTGTTTATTGACCAAGAAAGGAATAAAAATGTGTTGATGTATTGTGTATCACTTTCTGTCTTATGATTGTAATTGCTATACATGGACTGAGATCAAGCAGAGGTCAAAGTAAATTTGAGTGAAGAAAAAATTCGTCATTAGAGGCAGATCTAACATGAATTTAGAATGAGGTTCATACACTGATGAGACAATGGAGTGTAGTATGGGCATTCAGAGCATGGACTGTGGAGCCAGACCGCATGGGTGTGAATCCTGACACTACTGATCACTTGCTGTGTGATTCTGGCGTGAGCTTTTTTCTTTCTTTTTCTAATCTTGATCTCTTTAAGCATCACTTTCCCTACTGTAAAATGATAGTCATTGACTCTGTATGTCCTTCAGTGGTTAAGTTGTTTCCAGTTTCTGGCTATTATGAATAAAGCTGACAGGAGCATTCATATACAGGTTTTTGTGTGACCGTAAGTCTTCACTTCTTCTGGGGAAAAAAAGAAAATGCCGAGGTTTGCAGTTACTTGGTCATGTGGTTGCTGCACATTTACTTTTTGTAAAGAAACTGAAAAACTTTTTCAGAGTATCTGTACTATTTTACATTCTCACCAATAATGTATGAGTGATCCAGTTTCTCCCCATTCTCACCTTCATTTGGTGTTACCACCATTTTTTATTTTAGCTATTCTAATAGGTAGTAATATCTCACTATAATCATGTTTTCATCATTTTCATTTCCCCAGTGACTAATGACACTGAACTTTTTTTTCCTTTTTCTTTAAGATAGGGTCTCACTTTGTGATCCAGGCTAGAGTGCAGTGGCATGATCACAGCTCAGTACAGCCTGGACCTCCCAGGCTCGAGGGATGATCCCACATCAGCCACACCCCAAGCAGCTAGGACTATAGGCATGCATCACCATGCCCTGCTAATTTTTTATTTTTTTTAGAGATGGTGTCTTGCTACGTTGCCCAGGCTTATTTCAAACTCCTGGGCTCAAGCAGTCCTCCCACACTGGCTTCTCAAATTGTTGGGATTACAGGCATGAGCCACTGTGCCTGGCTTGTACATTTTTTCATGTGCTTATTCTGGATATCCTCTTTGGTAAAATGGCTGTTCCTGTCTTACCCATTTTCTAATTGGCTTGTTTGGTTTTTATACTTTTGGTTTTTGTGAGTCTTTTTTATAGTAATAGTCTTTTGTGGAATCTATGGCTTACAAATATTTTCTCCCACTCTGTAGCTTGTCTATTCATCTCATTGGAAGAATTTTGCAGATCACATCTTAAATTTTGATAAAGTCCAATTTATCAATTTTTTTCATGTATTTGGTATCATCTAAAAACTGTTTACAACCAGAGGATTTTATTCTTTTTACTTGGAAATTTTACAGTTAAATATTTTCTATTTACGTTTGTGAACCATATAGAGTTAATTTTTATATAAGGTGTGAGGTTTAGGTTGGGTTTATTTTTTCTTTTGTCAGTAGTGTCCATTTGTTTTATCAATGTTTGTTGAGAAGACTATTTTTTCTCCATTGACTCTCTTTAGTTCCTTTGTCAAAAATAAGTTGGGTATATTTACATAGGATTATTTCTGAGTATTCTATTCCATCCATCTATGTGTCTTTCCCTTTGCCAGTATCGTACAGCCTTGATTACTGTAACTGTATGATTTTGAAATCAAGTAGAGTGATTCCTCCCAATTTACTCTTATTTATAAAAATGGTCTTAGCTATTCTAGTTCTTTTGCCTGTCCATATAAATTTTTGAAAACTGTTCCCCTTTGTCTGTAAAAGTCTTGTGGAGATATTGATTGGAATTTCAATATGTTACATATGAAATTGAGAATAATTGATATATTTACTATGTTGAATCTTCCTATCCACAAATGTGGTATGTCTCTCCATTTATTTAGGTTAAATTAAAAAATAATAATAATAAGCAAGGTGTAGTTTTAGCATGCAAGCACTGCACATGTTTTGGTAGACTGACTTTTTTACTTTTTGAAGTATTTGTAAATGATATGCATTTTTAGGTTCTCTGTATATCCTTTCATTGCTAATATATAGAAATATAATTGATTTGTGTTATGTCAGTCTTATACCCTGAAACCTTGTTAAACATATTAATTCTAGAAGCTTTTATTTTAAGATTCCTTGGGTTTTTTTTTTTCTTTTGAGATGGAGTCTCACACTGTTGCCCAGGCTGGAGTACAACGGCGAGATCTCCGCTCACTGCAACCTCCGCCTCCCAGGGTCAAGCGATTCGCCTGCCTCAGCCCCCAGAATAGCTGGGACTACAGGCGCACAACACCACTCCCAGCTAATTTTTGTAGTTTTAGTAGAAACAGGGTTTCGCCATGTTGGCCAGGCTGGTTTTGAACTCCTGACCTCAAGTGATCCGCCTGCCTCGGCCTCCCATAGTGTTGGGATTACAGGCATGAGCCACCACGCCCAGCCTGGGATTTTCTATGTAAACAGTCATGTGATATACAAATAAGGATAGTTTTATTTTTTCACTTCTGATCTACATGCTTTATTTTTTTGCCTTATTATACTAGGATAACTTTTAGTACTATGTTTAATGAGTCACGAGAGTAACATTCTTGCCTAATTCCTGATCTTACAGAGAACTACTGTCAACATTAAGAATGACGTTAACTATAGGTTTTTTGTAGATGGTTGTTATGTAGTTGAAAAAGTCCTTCTTTTCTCATTTTTTTCTAAGAGTTTCAACCATAAATGTGTATTGAATTTTATCAAAAGCTTTTCCTGCATTGATTTGATCATGTGATTCCCCCCACCCCCCGACCCCGGTTTTTTCCTGTTTATATGGTGGATTACCTTAATTGGATTTCAAACATTAAGTCAGCTTTTCATTCCTGTTATAAACCCCACTTGGTCATTTTGTATAATTCTTTTTCTATATTGCTGAATTTTATTTCCTAATATTTTATTAAGGATTTTTGCTTCTATATTAATGAAGGATATTGCTCCATGGTCATTATTGTGTTATTTTTCTTTTATGTTTTGGTACTCTCTTCATCTTGTTTCCATGTCAGGATAATATAGTCTCATAAAATCGATTGAGAAATGTTTCCGTCTTCTGTTTTATAAAAGAGATTGTGCAGAATTGTTCTTAACTCTTCTTTTAAAATTTGGTAGAATCTTCCAGTGAAACTATCTGGGCCTAAAGATTTTTGGGGGGAGAGAGGTGAATATTTTCTAAATTATGAGTTTAGTTTTCTTAATAGGTATAGTAGTATTAAAATTGTCTATTTCATATTGATTAGTGGTAGTAGTTTGTACTTTTTTTTCTTTTAGGAATTAGTTCATTTCAACTGAAGTCTTGAATACGTGTAAGTAGAGTTGTTATAGCATTTCTTTTTTCTCTTTTTGATGTCTCTAGGGTCTGTAATGTTTTCCTCTGTTTGATTCTGGATGTTGGTGTCCTTTCTCTCTTTCTGTTGTCAGTCTTGTTAGAGGTTTGTCAATTTTATATTATAATTTCAAAGAACCAGCATTTTGTGTCATTGACTTTTCTTTGTCATCATTCTGTTTTCAATTTTATTCATTTCTGCTGTTAAATTTATTATGTTCTTCCTCTCTTTGCTTTGGATTTATTTTGCCTTTTCTAGGTCTTGAGATGGGAACCCAGATTATTCATGTGAGACATTTTCACTTTTCTAATGTGTGAACCTAATGCTATGAATTTATTTTTCCCCAGTATTTCAGCTGTGTCCTACAACTATTGTTATGTTGTATTGTCATTTTTTCCAGCTCAATGTATTTTTTTTAATTTACCTTGAAACTTCTTTGATCTATGAATTATTTAAAAGTGTGTTATTTAGCTTTCCAGTTTTTGGAGATTTTCTTATCTTTCTGTTACTGATTTCTAGTTTGGTTCCATGGTAGTCAGAAAATATAATCTATGTTATCTTCATTCTTTTAAATTTGTTGAGGTTTATTTTATGTCTCTGGATATAGTGATATTGGTATATGTTCCCTAGAAACTTGAAAATCCTTCACATAAATGTGATTAGATCCTGATTGTTGATCGTGTTGTTGAGTTTTTCCACATCCTTGCTGATTTTTCTAGTTCTCTTATGTTTTGAAAGAGCAATGTTGAAGGCTCTAACTATATGTAGAGTTGTCCAATTTTAGTTCTATCACTTTTGCTTCACACATTTTGCAGCTCCTTTGTTTGGTGAATAAACATTTAAGATTGCTATGTCTTCTTGATGGATTGACCTTTTATAATTACATAGTGCCCCTCTATGTCTCTGGTAATTTTCTTAGCTCTGAAATCTAATTCATCTGATATTAAAGTAGCTACATCTGCTTCCTTTGATTAATGTTTACATGATATGGTCTTTTTTATCCTTTTACTTTCAACCTTTCTTTATTGTTATATTTGAAATGAAATTCTTATACATACCACATAGCTGAGTCATGTTTTTTAATCCATTTTGCAATTTCTATATTTTAATTAGTGTATCCTTACTTTATGTGGGCTACTTTAACATACATTTAGAATGAATTTTTGATTCGTCTATAGTGTTTTTGAGTGTACTGTTTTGTATTTTTTTAGTATTCACTCTATGTATTACATTATACATACATACATAACTGGTCTACTGGTATCAACATTTGACCAACTTGAAGTGTAAAAACCTTACCTGACTTTATGTCTCTTTACATCCCCCAGTTTCTTAGATAATTTTCTTAAATTTTTCCCATATACCTGTAAAAGTACATCATACAGTGTTAAAATTTTCACTTCAACCATCAAACATAATTTAGAAAACTCAAGAAGAAATGTGTATTTTATTTACTCATATTTTCGCTGTGTCCATTCTTTTTTCCTTTCTAATGTTCTAGATTTTTTCTTTTATTCTTCCTTCATTCTCTTTCTGTTTCAAAAACTCAATTAGCCGTTCTCTTAGGGTAAGTCTGCTGTTGATAAATTCAGTTTACCTTCATCTGAGAATTTCTGAAGTATATTTTTACTGTGTATAGAATTTTGGGTTGATAGTCCTTTTCTTTAAGTACTTGAAAAATATTATGCCACATCCTGTAGGTTTACATGATAGGTGATAAGAAATTCACCATCATTCTAGCTTTATTTATTTATTTATTTTGCTACATATAACATGTTTCTTTCAAGATTTATTCTTTGTTTTCATTTTTCAAAATTTTGACTATAATGTGTCTTGGTGTGGATTTTACTGAATCGACTCTGCTTAGGGTTAGCTCAGCTTCTTCTTGAATCTACATGTTTATGTTTTTTCCAAATTTAGTAAGTTTTAAGCAATTATTTCTTTGAGCAAATTTTTAGCTCCACCATCTTTCTTTTTTGTTTCAATACTTCAATGACATGATTGTTAAACCTATTTTTTATAGTTCCACAGGTCCTGAGGCTCTATTCATGTTTTTTCAGTTAATTTTCTCTGTGCTCCTCAAATTAAATAATTTTTGTTTTTCTAGTTTTAAATTTACTTTTCCCTCTGATTCTTTTGCTGAGCTCATCCATTGGGATTTTAATTTCTATTATTGCACTTTTCAATTTAATATTTACCTTTGGTTCTTTTTTATATCCTCTATTTCTTAGGGGAATTTAAAAAATGTTTCAGGTGTGTTCATAATTGCTTACCAAATCAGTTTTATGATGATGGCTTTAAAATCTTTTTCAAGGCCAGCATGCTGGTCACATCTGCAATCCCAGCACTTTGGGAGGCCAAGGCAGATGAATCGCTTGAGTCCACGAGTTTGTGTCCATCCTGGGCAACACAGTGAAACTTGTGATATGGTTTGGATGTGTCCCCACCCAAATCTTATCTTGAATTGTAGCTCCCTTAATTCCCACATGTCATGAGAAGGACCCAGTGGGAAGTAATTGAATCATGGAGGCAGGTCTTTCCCATGCTGTTCTTGTGATAGTGGATAAATTTCAAGATATCTGATGGTTTTATAGAGGAGAGTTCCCCTGCACATGGTCTCTCACCTGCCATCATATAAGATGTGACTTTGCTTCTCATTCACCTTTAGCCATGATTGTGAGGCCTCCCCAGCCATGAGGAACTGTGGGTCAATTAAACCTCTTTTCTTTTTTAAACTACCCAGTCTTGGGTATATCTTTATTAGCAGCATGAGAACAGACTAATACAGTATATTGGTACCAGGAGTAGGGTGCTGCTGTAAAGATACCCAAACATGTGGAAGTGACTTTGGAACCTGGTAACAGGCAGAGATGGGGACAGTTTGGAGGGCTAAGAAGAAGATAGGAAGATGTGGGAAAGTTTGGAAGTTCCTAGAGACTTCTTGAATGTCTTTGACCAAAATGCTGATAGTGATATGGATAATAAAGCCCAGGCTAAGATGGCCTCAGATGCACATGAGGAAATGTTGGGAACTGGAGCAAAGGTGACTTTTGTAATGCTTTAGCAAAGAGACTGGTGGAATTTTGCCCCTGCCCTAGAGATTTGTGGAACTTTGAACTGGAGATAGATGATTTAGGGCATCTGGTAGAAGAAATTTGTAAACAGCAAAGTGTTCAGGAGGTGACTTGGTACAGTTAAAAGCATTCAGTTTTATGTAGTCACAAATATATGGTTTGGAATTAGAACTTATGTTTAAAGGGGAAGCAGAGCATAAAATGTGAAAATTTATAGCCTGACTATGCAATAGAAAAGAAAAACCCATTTTCTAGAAAGAAATGAAAATCAGCTCCTGAAATCTGCATAAGCAATGAGCCAAATGTTGATCACCAAGACAATGAAGAAAATGTCTCCAGGGCATGTCAGAGATTTTCACGGCAACCCCTCCCATCAAAGTCCTGGTGGCCTAGGAGGAAAAAATGGTTTTGTAGGCCTGGCCCAGGGCCTTGCTGCTTTGTGCAGTCTCGGGACTTAGTGCACTGCATCCCAGCTGTGGCTAAAAGGGGCCAATGTACAGCTCAGGCTGTTACTTCAGAGGGTGCAAGCCCTAAGCCTTGGTGGCTTACATGTGGCATTGGGTCTGTGGGTACATAGAAGTCATGAATTGAGGTTTGGGAACCTCTACCTCGATTTCAGAGGATATGTGGAAATGCCTGGATGTCCAGGGACAGATGTGCTGCAGGGGCAGAGTTCCTTATGGAGAATCTCTGCTAGGGCAGTACAGAAGGGAAATGTGGGGTGGGAGTGTCCACACAGAGTCCCTCCTGGGGCACTGCCTAGTGGAGCTGTGAGAAGAGGGCCACCATCCTCCAGACCCCAGAATCGTAGATCAATTAACAGCTTGAACTATGCACCTGGAAAAGCAGCAAACACTCAACACCACCCTGTGAAAGCAGCCAGGAGGGAGGCTTTACTCTTCAAAGTAACAGGGGTGGAGCTACCCAAGGCCATGGGGGCCCACGTCTTGCATCAGCATAAGCTGGATGTGAGACATGGAGTCAAAGGAGTCATTTTGGAGCTTTAAGATTTGACTGCCCTACTGGATTTTAGACTTCCATGGAGCCTGTAGCTCCTTCATTTTGAACAATTTCTCCCATTTGAAATGGGTGTATTTACCTGTACCCCTGTTGTATCTAGAAGGTAACTAACTTGCTTTTGATTTCAGAGACTCCTAGGTGGAAGGGACTTGCCTTGCATCAGATGAGACTTTGGACTGTGGATTTCTGAGTTAATGCTGAAATGAGTTAAGAATTTGGGGGACTGTTGGGAAGGCATGGTTGGTTTTTAAATGTGAGAACATATGATTTGGGAGGGGTCAGGAGTGGAATTATATGGTTTGGCTCTGTCCCCACCCAAATCTCATCTTGAATTATGCTCCCATAATTCCCACGTGTTGTGGGAGGGACCCAGTGGAAGGTAACTGAATTCACGGAGGGCAGGTCTTTCCCATGCTGTTCTTGTGTTAGTGAATAAGCTTCATGAGATCTGACGGTTTTATTGATAAAACCATCAGAGGAGAACCAAGGGAGTTCCCTTGTACATGCTGTCTTGCCTACCGCCATGTAAGATGTGACTTTGCTCCTCATTCACCTTCAGCTATGATTGTGAGGCCCCCCAGCCATGTGGAACTGTAGGTCAATTAAACCTCTTTCCTTTATAAATTACCAAGTCTTGGGTATGTCTTTATTAGCAGCATGAGAACAGACTAATACACCCTCTTTCTCCAAATAACCAGATACAAAAATTAGCCCAGCATTTTGTGGTGTGTACCTGTAGTCTCAGCTACTCAGGAGGCTGAGATGGTAGGATTGCTTGAGCTTGGAAAGATTGAGGTTGTAGGGAGCTGTGATCAAGTCACTGCACTCCAGCCTGGGTGACAGAGCAAGATGCTGTCTCAATAAAAAAAATAAAATAAAATATTTGTCAGGTAATTCTAACATCTCTGTCATCTCAGTATCGGTGTTTACTGATTGTCTTTTGACATTAGAGCTGTGGTTTTCAAGACTTGGTATGACATAATTTTCAACTGAAACTTGAGTATTTTGTGTATTTTGTTTGAGACTCTGGATCCTATTTATACCTTTTGTTTAACTGGTTTCCTCTGATAGTGCTCTGGTCGGGGAAAGGAAGCACTGCCTCATTACTGACCAGTTGAGCTAAAAATTCAGGATCCCCATTCAGACCCCGTTTATACCCTGAGAAAGGAGGGGCTCCCTATTATTGCTGGATGAGGATGGGACTTCCAGCTCCTCATGAGGCTTCTCTGGTACCACCCTGGCTGTGAGGGATAGAAGTCCCTCATTATTGCTTCCCTGTGGCCTTCACTGACACCATAGTCAGGGAAGGATAACCTTGTTAACCCTAGGTGATTGTAAAAGCTGACTCTACTTGGCCTCCTCTGACACTCTCCCACAGAAAGCTGAGGCACCTTTTTACTGCTGGTAGGGATAAAAATCCATGATCCCCAGATAGTCTTCACTGATACATGGACTAGAATGAGTCCCAGCTTTCTACTCAGCCTTTGCTGACCACCCCAGGATGGCATCGAGGTGCTTCATTACAGCTTGGCAAGGGTGGAAGCTCAGGTCCCCTGCTCCATCTTTGCTGACATTAATGGTGGACAGACCCACAGTTCTTCTTGTGGTGATTGTTTGGTGTAGAGCAGTTATTACCTAAAATCTTTTGCTAGACTATCCCAGTTCTCTGGATATAGACAGTAGGCTGCTGGGGGAGGCTGTCTGGGTCTATTGTGGTTTCTGAGTTGCTGGCTTCTTTGGCACCAAGTATGGGATGTATGAAACAAAGTAAACCTAGGGAACCTACCACAGGGTCATTTCTTAGGTCCTGAGGTTTCTGGTTGGGTTTTCCTTCTTCCTTCCATTTTTCAGATTTTTATTATGTCAGTTTTATATATAATATTATGGTTTGGGGTTGCACATAGCAGAAAGAAAGAGAAAACATACATTGATCTATTTTCCCAGAAGTCCACGTTATTCATTTTTCTTGAACATTTAGAACTTCCCTCATGAAGGAACATATATATATATATATATATTTTTTACCAGATTCACTATTACTCCTTTCTTCTTCCCTCCACTCACATGAAAGATGGTGCTGATTTGCATCATTTTTTAAAATTTATCATGTTCAATCTGATAGTTGTAATAAAGTATAAAAATAAGCTGTTCGAAATGTTTCCAATTGTATTATCTCCTGTAATTTAAATTAAGAAGTGCTTTACAATATTGGTAAGTTTCAATTAGTATGCTGAATCCATATGTTGTTATTTGATACAGAAAAGAAATCAGAAATACTGGGACAATTTTGAGAAGAAACGCAAAACACAGCTTGAGTCCTAAATACTGGTGTAAGTTCAATTGGTTCTATCGTCATGCACAATGAACAAGCTTGTACTAAATAAACTAAACCTATGATATGCATATCAGTGCCCTGGAAAAAATGTTTTGAAATGAAACTTGCTTTAAAGATATTGAAAATGAGATATCACCTGTTCATATTATGGTATTTCACTTTCTCTTACTGAACAATTAAAATAATATAACAGGGCAATGCTACTTAAATTGTGGCCCGTAGACCACAGCATCAGTATCACCAGAGAACTTGTTACAAATGCAAATTTTGAGGCTCTACCCTAGACTGAATGTATCAAAATTTCTGGAGATGGTGCCCAAAAGTCTATGTTTTTAACCATTTCCAGGATCTACAGATGATTCTTATATGCACCTTTGGCAAGGTGAGTAGGCGTTCTTTGGGCTTTAGAACCTCATCGCACATTGAAGCTCTACCACTTCTAAGCTGTGTCAACTTTATTGTCTAGTTGCCTCAGTTTCCTTATCTATAAAAAGGGACAATTAATAGGATATGCCTCTGAAAATTATTTTAAATATTAAATAAAGGTAGTAGCGTCTAATACCTACTTAACTCCTGATAAATATTAGCTATTCTTCTTTAAAATGCATAGTGTGATTACAATAACTAAAATTGAGACCTTTCATTGATTTATTTTCCTCTTTTGTATTTCCACTTTCACTGGAATTCATATGGTATGGAAATATTTGACTTGTACACTTTAAGTTAGTTGCTAAGACAGAATTTCTTTCCAACCATGCGAACACGAAGCTATTGTATAATATCAACTTTATATTCTCTGGTGGGAGAGATGTCTGTATACAAGACAAGTATGTGTAAGGATATGTGTGCATGTGTAAGCCAGTTGGCTTCCACTATATTTGTAGAGGGCAATCTAGGGAATCCCAGCAAGGTAAAACACTGAGATTGTTTCATTACTGCTCCCTTGTTTCTGTGGTTCCTATGACATGTCCATCCTCCATATACTGCTGCCCAGTTAATAGTTCTAGCATATTACATACACAAAATCCATCCTTCTTCCTCACCTCCTTTGTTCCCTCCAGAGTTGCTGACCTTCACAGCTACCTGGGTACGTATAAAAAAATATTAAATCTTTGTAAGTTAGGCCCCTTAAAATCTGTTCCCTTCTAACTTCCTGAAACCCACTCTACTACTTCACTGTAATAGTGTTCCCTTTGACACAGTCCAGTCTACAAGCCTTGGAACTTGCTATGTGTACTCCTATCTTACCCTCTTATCACTTCCTGCAACATGGATTTGTTGGAAGGGCAGATTTGACCCATGGTTTTTACTTGGACTTTGATATGTACTTTTATATAAATATATCTCATCATCAGTTTATCCATTATTTTTAGGTCAGAGACAAGATTATGTCTTTCATCTTTTTATATATTCAGGCTTTGGTTGTTGATGTCTCTCAGAAAACAATTTCAAAACTATTAAAATTTTGATAGTGCTTTTCATTTCATGAATTATATTTATGAGCACTTTAGTAATAATAACATGAGTTGAGTTCTTCCTTTATTGGAGACACTGTGTTTTATATAATCGGACTCATTTAATTTTAATAATTCCAGAAGGTAGGGGCTACTATCAGCCCCATTTTTCAGAGGATGAAACTTTCCAAGGTCATACTGATAACACACGGTGGTGAGTGGCTTGGAACTCAGGCAGTCTGACTCCTGTCACTCTCAGCCACTTTTTTTCACTACCTCTTAATGTCACCCAAGTGGACACAATTCGAAGGGGTTAAGTAAAATTTTCCTGGGGTAACTACTTAGGTTCTCTGACTTTAAATTCTGTATTTTTTCCATTATACCAAAAGGCCAGGACCACTCTATAAGCAAGCACTTACTAATGAAAATAAAGACTTGGGAAGACTTTCTATGGATTATGTTTTTACCATCTCTGATTTCTGGGATTTCCTCACAGTGATGTGAATCGCTTGTTGAATGTGTTGGGAAAAGAAAGATACAGAGAGGAGAGGGAGGAAAAAGTGGAGGGAGGGAGAGAGACATAAATTGAAGCAGGTAGAAAGTATATTTCACTAAGAGATTAGATGTTTGTGACTTGCTATGTGCCACTCATGTTTTTTACCTACTTTACTAATTGAAATATAAATATACTCATATTTGTTGCCAGCTTTTAATCATCAATGGAGACCTACCTGAAAAAGTTTTATAACAGATTTTTCCCTTCTTATTACATAGAGGAATAAGAAGAAAACAAACATCGGCAAAAACAAAAAGCCACACCTGTGGTCTTCGCAATTAGTGACCACTAAATCTAACTTCAAATTTAATTAAAGTCATGGGACCAAAATTAGAAGGAAAAGTCTGTAGATATCCAGGGAGTAACAAAACATTAGCAATAAACAACATACTTTATAAGGAACAAATTGGGCTAGACAGGTTTGGTCACACTTTTCCAATTGAATCACTGAGGTAGTGTATGAAGAGACAGAAGTAGATATATTTGGCCTCCGAGCTCGGGACACACAGCTATGCCCGAGGAGGAGGAAGTTGAGGTAAAAAACCCAAATCAGCAATGCAAATTATTAGTCTGTTCCTTGAACGTGGAGGAGGAATCAAGAAGTAATGAATCAGAACTGCGTGTAATTGGAAGGGTGCAAGGCAATACGATGTTACTCTATAGCTGAATCCTATCAATATATTTGCTAGAACTCCAGCTCTGTTCCAGTCTGTATTGAAAACTCAGAGTTTTCATAATCCACTCATAATCCACTGCTCCTTCTACATCCCAGGTGGTTTTTTGGCCTAGCTCTCATCAAATCTAGGTGCCTGTGGCCTGTACTTGGACTGCTGTATTGCAGCAGCTATCACTTTAATTTGTGCTTTTCCAAACTCTGGGACACTTTCTCATGTGCTGGGAGCTTTTATGCCAGGTATTAGATTTTGAGCCAAGTGGATATTTCCATTTTCTTCTTATGAGCTAAGAACTTTTTTCTGCATCCTTTCTTATTCTATGGAATTGTCTGTCAGAGTGTTGAACTGTGGGACTATCTATGTGCAAGTATCTTTTCCATTTCATGATTTTGTTTTATTCTTTTTTTTCTTGACAGTCCTCCTGGATACAGGAGATTTGGTAGACCACTTGTCCCCCTGTTATGCAGATAGTCAGCACGTTGTCTTACAAATGGATCTTCCCCTCCATTTATAGTTAGACACTTTATTGTAAGGCAGAATGCTATAATTCAGCATTTTCTTTCCTTTGAAAACTTTTGCTATCTATGAGACAAAGAATTGTGAAGAGTCAAAGATTCAACACCATGTTCTAGAGCAGGCTATTTCAAAATAAGACCCATCTTGGAAGTCATAAATTCTATTGCTTATTTAACTGTGTGGTTTTGATTAACTGTGTGTTTTTCCAAAATGACTTTAGCAATATAAACTTTCTTTTCTAATTTTTTTTGAGGTGGAGCTTGCAGTGAGCCAAGATCGTGCCACTGCACTCCAGCCTGGGCAACACAGCGAGACTCTGTCTCAAAAAAAAAAAAAAAAAAAAAAAAAGAAAAGAAAAGAAAAATTGGTATTTTTCCACATATGCAAAAAGATTTATCCAGTGGTAGTTAAGAACACTCTGATAGGAAAAATAAATTTAAATTATTGGCTATTCTTCACTGCTGTAGCCCATCTTTCTCTACATCTAATCCTACCTCTTCAACCCTGAGATACCATTATTTGTGTTTGTATTTGCCTATGGACACTGTGTTTAAAATGTTTGCCCTCCTCTCTAAGCAATTTAGTCTATGAAATTGAGGACAAGCCCATGATGTGGTTTGTTTGTTTATTTGTTTTTGCTGTTGTCACTGGGATTTCCTTGTTCACATACATGCATAAAAAACTATTTTCTATGATGTTAATAAATTGAGAAAATGAGATTTTAATTTTTTCTTTTCTTCAATAGTTTCTCCTGTTAACTAACTGAATAAATGGAGAAAGTGACAAAGATCTTACATTTGTTGATTATCAGCTATGTACCAAGAGTTGTTCTAGGTATTTACTTGCAACTTTTCTTCATTCATTTAATCTTTTCAATAAAGCTACAAGCTACCTCTACAGATGAGAAAAATAGGTATTAGAGAGTTCAACTTACTAGCTCAAGATTGCAGAGCCAGTAAAAGACAGAGCAAAGTTGATATGAAAGGGCTGTCCATTTCCTAGTGGAAAGTGTGCTCTTGGCCAACATTTCCAGAATGGGTACAGATAGTACTCCTGCTTGACTACCCAGGTCCCTTCTTTTATAGGCATTACCCTACTACTCTTTTCCATTTTTACTGTCCACTCTCCTTCATCTGCCTAGCACGTTTATTGGTGACTTAAAAAATTAAATGTATTTTATGAAGAAAAACTTAAATATAGAAAAGCACACAGATAAGTGTATATCTTGATGTGTCGTCACATAGTGAACATACCCATATCAAGTCACAATCTAGATCAAGAACTAGAGCATTATTAACATCAGAAGCCCCTTCAGCTTCCCTCATCCCCCTCATGCCACCTTACTTTTGATAGACTTTTGTTCTTTTCCTAGTTTTTGCTTATTACAAATAATGCTACTATGAATATGCTTGAACAAGTCCCTTCATACACATACCTATATAGTTCTGTTGGCTATACTTCTAGGAGTAGAGTTGCTGGGTTATATGTGTACATATATTCAACTAAGATGCATATTGCCAAAAATATTTCAAATTGGTTTTATACCAGTAGTATATGTAAGTTCCATTTTGTAAACTGCTTTGACAGCATTTGGTATTGTTGGTTATTTAAATGTTTACAACATAGTTGATATGTTTAGGTATATCACTGTGGGTTTTTTTTTTAATTTTTTAATTTTTTATTTTTTCGAGACGGAGTCTCGCTCTGTCGCCCAGGCTGGAGTGCAGTGGCGCGATCTCGGCTCACTACAAGCTCCGCCTCCCGGGTTCATGCCATTCTCCTGCCTCAGCCTCCCGAGTAGCTGGGACTATAGGCGCCCGCCACCACGCCTGGCTAATTTTTTTATATTTTTAGTAGGAACGGGGTTTCACCATGTTAGCCAGGATCTCCTGACCTCGTGATCTGCCCACCTCGGCCTCCCAAAGTGCTGGGATTACAGGCGTGAGCCACCATGCCCGGACATCCCTGTGGTTTTGATTTGCTTTTCCCTGATGACTCATGAGGTTAAGCACCTTTTTAAGTGTTCATTAAATTGATAATATTTTGGTCTGACATCTCTAGCATGAGTTCTGAACTGTTCTGAAGAATTTAAGCTTTGCTGTTAGCCCTGTGACCCAAAGCACCTCAGATGTGTGAAGGAGCTACTGGCCCTCAGGCCTGTAGCTTGGTGCTGTGCAGTCCCCGACCCCAGTGGAGTCAGTGTTCTGAAGAATTTGGGCATTTTGCTTTCTGATCACCAGTCCATTTCCCGTTTTTCTATTTTGTGATACCTATTCCTTCTGCTCTGTTTACTCTCTGTTTTTTAAATAAAGATAGTGAATACACACTTTTTATTGAACTGAACATAAATCAAGCTTACCCTGCTTTGTAGTGAGGGCTGGCCCCAAGCAAAGGCCTCCAGTGTCCATTCTCCTTCTCTCTTACCCTTGCTTTGATTTGCAGCTCTTATGACGATGATGGGGTTTTTCTGGTTGTTGTTCATCCAGTATTGTTCTGCCTTTAGGCTGCCTCTTCATTTTGGATCCATCCACATCAAAATGAAAAAGAACTGCCATCAAGGGTCTGCTTATATAGTGAGTGGGCTTTGAGAGGGATCTACAGAAAACTTTTTTTTTGAAATGGCATCTATTTAGTAGAAACAGGGCTATGTTCCCACCTTCTTTGCATCTCCTCCCCATCTTAGCCAAAGAAAAAGCAAAAGGGAAGCTTACTTGCTCAAATATATCAATTCAGGAAAAGAAAATTAGTCTTGGTTTGTGTTTAGTAATTTAATGTCAAGCAAAATCATTTTCTGTATAATCTAAATTAAAGCCTTGCTATCATGGGAAACTGATTTAAAAAAAATCTCCACCCTTCTGCATAAAAATACTTCAGAATGATAAGCGTTTGGATGTGCAACCATTGATTTTATTCAGATGAATACAAAATATACTTAGAGTGTAGAATTAATGATGTCAAATTTAAAATAAGGTTTTGTTTTCAGCATTTACTAGAGTGGGCTTTATCTGTCCAATTCTTTGAGTCCCTGCTGCTAGCCACTCAGAAACCAGTTTTTCCCATATTACCCACTGAGCTGACTTTCATTAAAATGTTTTTTATTCCACTGTAAAAACTAAATTGACCAACCAACCAAGTAGACGTTCCTCAGAAATTTATGTTAACAGAATGTAAGAATTGTCTTTTAAAACACTAAAATTTTTAATTGGCTCTTTTTAAAATGATTGGTTAATCACCTTAAATAATAAATGCAACTGAAAAAATTATTTAGATTGAAATCCATTCATAGGACTGATATATGTTTATGGCTAAATAAAATATTAAGACAAATTAAGTTATTAGCAGATGCTATTTTAGTCCCAGATGGTGATCTTTGTTTGCACACTTATTAACCAATTCATTTTGCAAGGCTTTGTTTTCTCATCCTATACAAACCTAAATACAGGAACCCAGGAAAGGACCATTTCTAGAAAACCAGTATGCCAGTGTAATGACTTTGATGATGAAACACTGTATATCTTTGTACTTTCATTTCCTATACATATAAGCATGGGTTTCCCAATAACTTTCAAATCTGAGGTAAATCATTTCCAAGGTCCCATCTTCTGATGAAAGGTTGATCACTGTTGGCAAATACTAACAGCTGGCCACATAGACATAGCTCCAAGGGCCACATTTCAAAGAGGAAAAATACCCTTGTCTAAATTTCATAACACCTGATGTTTTGTTGACTATTTCAATTACAAATTTCAGTTTTGACCCAGAAAATTAATGGGATATGAGTTTTCTGAAATACTCAATTTTGATGTGATTCCTGGAATGTACTCACCATTTTCACTGTTAGTAACATTCTGTGTAGCAGTGATTAAAAGCTCTGCTTGAGAATCCCACTTCTTCCACTTTCTTTGTAAATTTGGGTTTCTCTTTCACAGAGAAAAGCGAAGGAAATTAACAAAGATAATAAATCCTGAAGGCATTCCAGTGGTCCTCAAAGCCTTTTGTGTATCTTCCTTCTTGGGGTTCAGTTATTGACCCCCTCTTTGGAATCTGTGAGCTAATAAATTCTCTTCTTTTCCTTTATATAGTACAAGTTGGGTTTCTGGTGCTTATGACTCAGTCCTGACATATACATTATGCTTACTGATGAAAGTTTATATTCATGTTCACCTCTGTCTCTGATTTCCGTTTTGTCTTTTTTTTTTTTTTTTTTTTTTTTTTTGCTTTGTGTTTTAGAGCTGTATGTCATTGGTCACATGAAAGATAAAAGAGCTGAATTTTGAAGTTTTAAAAAAATTCTAATATAGTATGATTTCTAAAAATCTTTAAACATAAGATCACCGTCATACAAGCCTCATTACTTACCATTCAAAAATAATAATAGAAAATATAAGAGTAATGCTAGATTTTATAAGGGTAACTCTAAGAAATTGGTCATGCGGGGGCAGGGAGTTATACTACTCACTATTTTGGGAGATATTTTAAAAGGATACATTTTCTCATAAACAAAGATTATGAAAATACTATTGCAAATGTGACTATTACTATCCATATCATCATGATTAAGGAGTATATCCTAGACCTGACAATAATCACTCAGATTTGGTAAAGATTAAGCATTTCCAGTTTGATTATTCACAGATTGTCATTAAAAAGCATCTCTTCATCATAAATTCTTTGCCTAAGCCAACATCTAGAAGAGCTTTTCTTAGGTTTTCTTCTAGAATTTTTATGGTTTCATAGGTAATTTGACTTAGACCATGGAGTTCATTCAAACTGTATATGTAAATAATTTCAATATTGGCTGATTAGCATAATAATGTAGAGCTTGATTTTGAAAGGTTTGTTAAATACCAAAGGTTTAAACATTGGCTATTACAAAATAGAGTCTTAGGTTACCATAAATCACTCATTTAGCCAAAATGATAACTTGAAAATTTTTAAAAGAAAAAAACATTATTCTGACAGAGAGGAGACTCAGCTTTCCAAACAAGACCCAATGAAAGTAGCATGAGGCCAACTGACTGTCTCCTTTCTTTTCTCTCATTAATCAAAACTTTATAGAGGAGATAAACCCTTTTTTTTTTTTTTAACTATTCATTCAACCATTTTCACACAGAGGTAGAAGCCAGAAATCTGACTTGTAAGAAATTCTTACCCTTTTGCCAGCATGCCAGGCTTCTGGGTTCCCTTTCCCTGAGCGACCCTAGTGATCTGGCTTGTGGCACAATTGACCTCGGGCAAGCCTCATCATAAAGGAAAATTCTTTTTTTTCGTTCTGGCCAGAGCAAAATACATGTGATAAAACAGACATTAGCCACTCTGCTTAGCACCCAATATCAAACTGGCGAGGCTTAAATTTGCCCTCCAATGGGGCACTGTCATCTTTTTTTTTTAATTATATTTTAAGTTCTGGGGTACATGTGCAGAACATGCAGGTTTGTTACGTAGGTATACACGTGCCATGGTGGTTTGCTGTACCCATCAACCCATCATCTACATTAGGTATTTCTCCTAATGCTAACCCTTCCCTAATCCCCCATCCCCCGACAGGCCCCAGTGTGTGATGCTCCCCTGCCCAGCCGTGTCCATGTGTTCTGATTGTTCAACTCCCACTTATGAGTGTGAACATGTGGTGTTTGGTTTTCTGTTCCTGTGTTAGTGTGTTGAAAATGATGATTTCCAGCTTCATCCATGTCCCTGCAAAGGACATGAACTCATCTTCTTTATGGCTGCATAGTATTCCATGGCGTATATGTGCCACATTTTCTTTATTCATTCTATCATTGATGGGCATGTGGGTTGGTTCAAAGTCTTCACTATTGTGAATAGTGCCATAATAAACATACGTGTGCATGTTTCTTTAGAGTAGGATGATTTATAATCCTTTGGGTGTATGCCCAGTAATGGGATTGCTGGGTCAAATGGTATTTCCAGTTCTAGATCCTTGAGGAATTGCTACACCGTCGTCCACAAAGGTTGAACTAATTTACACTCCCATCAACAGTGTAAAAGCATTCCTATTTCTCCACATCCTCTCTAGCATCTGTTGTTTCCTGACTTTTTAATGATTGCCATTCTAACTGGTGTGAGATGGTATCTCATTGTGGCTTTGATTTGCATTTCTCTAATGACCAGTGTGATGAGCTTTTTTTCATGTTTGTTGGCTGCATAAATGTCTTCTTTTGAGAAGTGTCTGTTCATATCTTTTGCCCACTTTTTGATGGGATTGTTGTTTTTTTCTTGTAAATTTGTTGAAGTTCTTTGTAGATTCTGGATATTAGCCCTTTGTCAGATGGATAGATTGCAAAAATTTTCTCCCATTCTGTAGGTTGCCTGTTCACTCTGATGGTAGTTTCTTTTGCTATGCAGAAGCTTTTTAGTTTAATTAGATCCCATTTGTCAATTTTGGCTTTCGTTGCCATTGCTTTTGGTGAAGTCTTTGCCCATGCCTATGTCCTGAATGGTATTGCCTAGGTTTTCTTGCAGGGTTTTTATGGTTTTAGGGCTTACGTTTAAGTCTTTAATCCATCTTGAGTTAATTTTTGTATAAGATCTAAGGAAGGGGTCCAGTTTCAATTTTCTGCATATGGCTAGCCAGTTTTCCCAACACCATCTATTAAATAGGGAACTCTTTCCCCATTTCTTATTCTTGTCAGGTTTGTCAAAGATCAGATGGTTGTAGATGTGTGGTGTTAGTTCTGAGGCCTCTGTCTGTTCCATTGGTCTATATATCTGTTTTGGTACCAGTACCATGCTGTTTTGGTTACTGTAGCCTTGTAGTATAGTTTGAAGTCAGGTAGCGTGATGCCTCCAGCTTTGTTCTTTTTACTTAGGATTGTCTTGGCTATGTGGGCTCTTTTTTGGTTCCATATTAAATTTAAAGTAGTATTTTCTAATTCTGTGAAGAAAGTCAATGGTAGCTTCATGGGGATAGCATTGAATCTATAAATAACTTTGGGCAGTATGGCCATTTTCACAATATTGATTCTTCCTATCCATGAGTATGGAATGTTTTTCCATAATTTGTGTCATCTCTTATTTGCTTGAGCAATGGTTTTTAGTTCCTCTTGAAGAGTTCCTTCACATCCCTTGTAAGTTGTATTCCTAGGTATTTTATTCTCATTGTAGTAATTGTGAATGGACGTTAACTCATGATTTGGCTCTCTGTTTGTCTGTTATTGGTGTATAGGAATGCTTATGATTTTTGAGCATTGATTTTGTATCCTGAGACTTTGCTGAAGTTGCTTATCAGCTTAAGGAGATTTTTGGGTGAGACGATGGGGTTTTCCAAATATACAATCATATCATCTGCAAACAGAGACAATGTGACTTCCTCTTTTCCTATTTGAATACCCTTTATTTCCTTCTCTTGCCTGATTGCCCTGGCCAGAACTTCCAATACTATGTTGAATAGGAGTGTTGAGAGAGGGCATCCTTGTCTTGTGCCGGTTTTCAAAGGGAATGTTTACAGCTTTTGCCCATTCAGTATGATGTTGGCTGTGTGTTTGTCATAAATAGCTCTTATTATTTTGAGATATGTTCCATCAATACCTAGTTTATTGAGAGTTTTTAGCATGAAGGGGTGTTGAATTTTTTTCAAAGGCCTTTTCTGCATCTATTGAGATAATCACGTGGTTTTTGTCCTTGGTTCTGTTTATGTGATGGATATGTTTATTGATTTGTGTATGTTGAACCACCCTTGCATCCCAGGGATGAAGCCAACTTGATTGTGGTGGATAAGCTTTTTGATGTGCTGCTGGATTTGGTTTGCCAGTATTTTACTGAGGATTTTTGCATCAATGTTCATCAGGGATATTGGCCTGAAATTTTCTTTTTTTGTGTGTGTCTCTGCCAGGTTTTGGTATCAGGATGATGCTGGCCTCATAAAATGAGTTAGGGAGGATTCTCTCTTTTTCTATTGATTGGAATAGTTTCAGAAGGAATGGTACCAGCTCCTCTTTGCACCTCTGGTAGAATTCGGCTGTGAATCCATCTCGTCCTGGACTTTTTTGGTTGGTAGGCCATTAATTACTGTCTCAGTTTCAGAACTTGTTATTGGTCTATTCAGGGATTCAACTTCTTTCTGGTTTAGACTTGGGAGGGTGTATGTGTCCATGAATTTATCCATTTCTTCTAGATTTTCTAGTTTATTTATGTAGAGGTGTTTATAGTATTCTCTGATGGTAGTTTGTATTTCTGTGGGATCGGTGGTGATATCCCCTTTATCATTTTTTATTGCATCTATTTGATTCTTCTCTCTTTTCTTCCTTATTAGTTTTGGTAGTGGTCTATTTTGTTGATCTTTAAAAACAAAACAGCTCCTGGATTCATTGATTTTTTTGAAGGGTTTTTTGTGTCTTTATCTCCTTCAGTTTGGCTCTGTTGTTAGCTATTTCTTGTCTTTTGTATTCTGCTGGCTTTTGAGTTTGTTTGCTCTTGCTTCTCTAGTTCTTTTCAATGTGATGTTAGAGTGTAAACTTTAGATATTTCCTGCTTTCTCTTGTGGGCATTTAGTGCTATAAATTTCCCTCTACACACTGCTTTAAATGTGTCCCAGAGGTTCTGGTATGTTGTGTCTTTTTTCTCATTGGTTTCAAAGAACATCTTTATTTCTACATTAATTTCGTTATTTACCCAGTAGTCATTCAGGAGCAGGTTTTCAGTTTCCATGTAGTTGTGTGATTTTGAGTGAGTTTCTTAATCCTGAGTTCTAATTTGATTGCACTGTGGTCTGAAAGACCTTTTTATGATTTCTATTCTTTTACATTTGCTGAGGAGTGTTTTACTTCCAATTATGTGATCAATTTTAGAATAAGTGTGATGTGGTGCTGAGAAGAATGTATAGTCTGTTGATTTGTGGTGGAGAGTTCTGTAGATGTCTGTTAGGTCTGCTTGGTCTAGAGCTGAGTTCAAGTCCTGAATATCCTTGTTAATTATCTGTCTCACCGATCTGTCTAATATTCATCGTGGGGTGTTAAAATCTCCCACTATGATTGTGTGAGAGTCTAAGTCTCTTTGTATGTCTATAAGGACTTGCTTTATGAATTTGGGTGCTCTTGTATTGTGTACACATATTTTTAGGATAGTTAGCTCTTCTTGTTGCATTGATCCTTTTACCATTATGTAATGCCCTTTTTTGTCTCTTTTGATCTTTGTTGTTTTAAAGTCTATTTTATCAGAGACTAGGATTGTAACCCTTGCTTTTTTTATTGCTTTCCACTTGCTTGGTAAATATTCCTCGATCCCTTTATTTTGAGCCTATGTGTGTGTTTGCACATGAGATGGGTCTCCTGAATACAGTACACTGATGGGTCTTGACTCTATCCAATTTGCCAGTCTGTGTCTTTTAATTGGGCCCTTTAGCCCATTTACATTTAAGGCTAATATTGTTATGTGTGAATTTGATCCTGTTATTATGATGCTAGCTGGTTATTTTGCTCATTAGTTGATGAAGTTTCTTCATAGTGTTGATAGCCTTTACAATTTGGTATGTTTTTGCACTGGGGGCCCCATCATCTTTAATCCAACCTCAGTCTAGGAGTTTCAATACGTGGTCTCTGGACAAGATGGTTGCCCTGCGTAACAGAAAAGATAAGAAAGGGAAAGGAGAGAGAGAAACACATTATCTGTGGCAGGATGGGGAAGCTGAAATGATCAGGGAGGCCAGAGAAAGGTCCACCCATGGCAGCAACACTGGTAATTTCAGGTTGCTGCTTCTCGGTAGCAAAGCGATTTTTTCCAGCAGTCTCATCAGCTCTCATTTCCCCTTTCAGGGAGGAAAAAGCCCTCCATAACCCACAATCCTGTATATGCCTAATCCTGTCACCCACAGCTGTCAGCAGAGAGTGCAAGGCAGATTATTCCAAAGAGAATAGCATTTAACATCCTGTAGTGCCAAACCTGTTCTTAGTTGAAAGGGACTTTACCAAGAGCGCTCATTTTTAAATGTATTTCAGTGCACTGTTGTTCCTTTGGAATATTCCACTGTAAGTTATCTTTAGTAAGATTTTGCCATTTCTGTAAGACTTCATTGCCTCCCAGGTCTAAAGTATAAGCCAAAAAGAAATCAGTTTTCCAGAAATTAAGGATCTCATTTTTACCTAAATATTGGCTTTACTCTCAGGTTCTCTTGATTAACTTAGCCAGTAATTTTTTTCCTATCTAAGCACACAAGAAAAATGAAACAAAGGGGTAGAACACAAAAATCCCTGTGAATTTTCAAAAGCCAAATTTTATAACCCCTGCAATATTACTGCTTACTACCAGTTCCTTTCTGACCCAGTCAGATGTAAGAGGTCTCTACCTGGATCAAAGCCAATTAATTCCCAGATCAAATCTCTGTTCCTGTACCCAGTCCAGTTTGTGTGATAACTCCAAACCCAATTTGGATCAGAAATTTGCTCAAAGAAACTTGTAGAGTTCAAAACACAAATCTATGGAGCTCCAAAATCTGAGAGGGGCTTACCCACAATCCTCAGCTGCTTTGAGAGATCCATGGACACAAGTGGGTCCTGAAGGTAGCTTGCATGTTCACTTGGCACTCCTGGGGGTCCCTAGAAGCTCTGCTTGGGATCCCACTTCTGACACCATCTGATAAAAGAAAAACTTCAGCTGAATTAAATTTAAAGAAGTTTAATTGAGCAATTAATGATTCGTGAGTTAGGCAGCCTCCAGAATCAAGCAGATTCACAGTGACTCCAGAGGTGCCTTGAGGTCAGAACAAATTTATAGACAAAAAAGATAAAGTGACATACAGGAATCAGAAGTGAGGTACAGAAACAGCGAGATTGGTTACAGCTTGGTGTTTGCCTTTTTTGAATGCAGTTTGAACACTCAGCAGTCTATGAGTGGTTGAAGTATGGCCACTTGGATTGGCCAACACTCAGCTATTGTTATGGGTGCATATAAGTAAGTTAGGTTTTCAATTTTGTCTGACTATTAAGCTAGGTTACAGTTTATCCACAAGGACTCAAATATAGAAATATGGAGTCCTTCTCAGGCCATATTTAGTTTGCTTTAACAGGCTGCAGGACTAACTTGTAGCTCCCACTTACGTGGACAGAGCAGCATGTAGAGATTTACATCATGAACATTTTCTCCATGAACTACCACAGGAACATACCAGGAAAGCCAAGAGAAGCCACAGACCCTTTGAAGGAGGTGGATTGCCACTGCAGGCTCCATTGGACAGCCAAGGAACTGTGAGTCAGCTTGCTTTCTCAACTAGGAGGCTTGTAGCCTGGGGTAAATTCACAGCCCTGCTCACTGGCTGCCTGGGAATAAACTCAGTGCTGTTGGGAGAGTAAGACTGGCCTTTCAAAAGGCTGTAGGCTGCTTGGGAGCTAGATGAGGCCTGTGGCTGCTGGCTTTCCCCCCACCTTCCCTGGATACCTTTGTGATGCAGTGGAGGCAGCCATAATCCCCTGGGAACATAACTCCATTGGCCTGGGAACCACACCCCCAACCCCCAGAGCAGCCACAACAAACCCCACCCAGGGAGAGTCTGAGCTCAGATACACCTAACCCTGCCCCCACCTGATGGTCTTTGTCTACTTGCCTGGGTAGCTGAAGACAAAGGAAATAGTCTCTTAGGAGCTCTGTGGCCCTGACCACCACCTGAGAAACTTGAATACTTATCCAAATGTGACCCTAGGGCAAGTTTGTATCCTCCCTGTACAACTACAGCTAATAAGCTCTTGAAAGCTCCACCTCCTGATTAGAAGCCAACCAGCACAAAACCTGTGTACATAACAGAAATACAACCAAGGACTCTGACAGAGTTTACTTCACTCCTTTGATACCTCCACCAGAGTAGGTGCTGGTGTCGATGGCTGAGAGACCTGAAGATGGATCACATCACAGGACTCTTTGCAGACACTCTCCAGTCCTAGCTCAGAGCCTGGTAGCTCCTCTGGGTGGCTAGATCCAGAAGAGAAATAGTAATCACTGCAGTTCAGCTCAGGAAGCCCCATCCCTAGGGGAGAGGGGAGAGTACCACATCAAGAAAGCACCCCCGTGGGACAAAAGAATCTGATATAGTCTACCCCAATGGGAAGGAACCAGAAAAACAATTCTGGTTAAATGACAAAATAAGCTTTTTTAACAACCCCAAAAGATCACACTAGCTCACCAGCAATGGATTCAAACTAAGAAGAAATCTCTGAATTGCCAGAAAAAGAATTCAGACGTCGATTATTAAGCCAATCAAGGAAGCAATAAACCCAGCAGCAGAAGAGAAATAACCAAGATCAGAGGAGAACCAAATGAAATTGAAACAAAACAAAACAAAAAAATACAAAAGATAAATGAAACAAAAAGCTGGTTTTTTGAATAGATAAATAAAATTTATAGACCATTAGCAAGATTAATTATGAAAAGAAGAGAGAAGATCCAAATAAGCTCAATTAGAAATGAAACAGGAAATATTACAACCAATACCACAGAAATACAAAAGATCATTCAAGGCTACTATGAACACCTTTGCGTGCATAAACTAGAAAACTCAGAGGAGGTGGGTAAATTTCTAGAAATATACAACTCTCCTAGATTAAACCAGGAACAAATAGAAATTCTGAACAGACCAATAACAAGCACCAAGATTGAAATGGTAATTTAAAAGTTACCAACAAAAACAAAAAAAAAAATCCAGGACCAGAAGGATTCACAACTGAATTTGACCAGACATCCAAAGAAAAATTGGTAGCAATCATATTGACACTATTCCAAAAGAGCGAAAGAGGGAATCCTCCCTAAACCATCCTATGAATACCAAAACCATGAAAGGACATAACAAAAAAAGAAAACTACTAGACCAATATCCCTGATAAACATACATGCTAAAATTCTGAACAAAATACTTGCTAACCAAATCCAACAACATATCAGAAAGATAATCCATTATGATCAAATAGGTTTCATACCAGGGATGCAGGGATGGTTTAACATATGCAAGTGAATAAATGTGATACACCACATAAACAGAATTGAAAACAAAAACCACATGACTATCTCAATAGACACAGAAAAAGCATTTGACAAAATCCAGCATTCCTTTATGATTAAAACCATCAGCAAAATAGGCATAGAAGAGACATACCTTAAACTAATAAAAGGCATCTATGACAAACCCGCAGCCCACATTGTACTGAATGGGGAAAAGTTGGAAGCCTTCCCTCTGAGAACTGGAACAAGACAAGGATGCCCACTTTCACCATTTATTTTTACTGTAGCACTGGAAATTCTAACTAGAGCAATCAAACAAGAAAAAGAAATAAAGGGCACCCAGTCAAACTGTCACTGTTTGCTGATGACATGATTGTATACCTGGAAATATCCTAAAGATTCATCCAAAAAGCTCCCAGAACTGGTAAATGAATTTAGCAAAGTTTCAGGATACAAAATTAACGTACACAAATCAGTAGCTCTGCTATACACCAACAGCGATCAAGCTGAGAATCAAATCAAGAACTCAACCCCTTTAACGATAGCTGCAAACAAAAACAAAAACAAAAAACAACAACAGCAAAAACAAACAAAAAAACTTAGGAATATAGCTAACCAAGGAGGTAAAAGACTTCTACGAGGAAAATTACAAAACACTGTTGAAGGAAATCATAGATGACACAAACAAATGGAAATACA
Source organism: Homo sapiens (assembly GCF_000001405.40). Lineage (NCBI taxonomy): Eukaryota > Metazoa > Chordata > Mammalia > Primates > Hominidae > Homo > Homo sapiens. Next base: position 29,059,881 of record NC_000003.12, read on the forward strand.
TCTCATGCTCATGGATTGGTAGAATCAATATTGTGAAAATGACCATGCTGCCAAAAGCAATCTACAAGTCAATACAATTTCCATCAAAATACCACCATCATTCTTCACAGAACTAGAAAAAGCAATCCTAAAATTCGTGTAGAACCAAAAAAGAGCCTGCACAGCCAAAGCAAGACTAAGCAAAGAAAACAAATCTGGAAGCATTACATTACCCGACTTCAAACTATACGATAAGGCCATAAACACCAAAACAGAATGGTATCGGTATAAAAATAGGCATATTGACCAATGGAACGGAATAGAGAACCCCGAACTAAGTACTTACAGTCAACTGATCTTCAACAAAGCAAACAAAAGCATAAAGTGGGGAAAAGGCGTCCTCTTCAACAAATAGTGCTGGGATAATTGGCAAGCCACAAGTAGAATAATGAAACTGGATCTTCATCTCTCACCCTACACAGAAATTAACTGAAGATGGATCAAAGGCTTAAATCTAAGACCTGAAACAATAAAAATTCTAGAATATAACATTGGAAAAACCCTTCTAGACTTTGACTTAGGCAAAGACTTCATGACGAAGAACCCAAAAGCAAATGCAACAAAAGCAAAGATAAATAGATGTGACTTAAACTAAAAAGCTTCTGCACAGCAAAAGAAATAAAGCTGATTTGATTCTCAGCTTGATCGCTGTTGGTGTATAGCAGAGCTACTGATTTGTGTATGTTAATTTTGTATCCTGAAACTTTGCTAAATTCATTTACCAGTTCTGGGAGCTTTTTGGATGAATCTTTAGGATATTTCCAGGTATACAATCATGTCATCAGCAAACAGTGACAGTTTGACTGGGTGCCCTTTATTTCTTTCTCTTGTCTGATTGCTCTAGTTAGAATTTCCAGTACTACAGTGAAAATAAATGGTGAAAGTGGGCAGAGTAAACAGACAACCCACAGAGTGGGAGAAAAACTTCACAATCTGTACATCTGACAAAGGACTAATATACAGAATCTATAAGGAATTCAAACAAATCAGCAAGAAAAAACAAAGAATCCCATCAAAAAGTGGGCTAGGGACATGTATAGACAATTCTCAAAAGTAGATACACAAATGGCCAAAAAACATATGAAAAAATGCTCAACATCACTACTTATCAGTGAAATACAAATCAAAACCACAATGCGATACCACCACATTCCTGCAAGAATGGCCATAGTAAAAAAATCAGAAAAGAATAGATGTTGGTGTGGTCGTGATGAAAAGGGAACACTTTTAGGTAAACTAGTATAACCACTATGGAAAACAGTGTAGTGATTCCTTAAAGAACTAAAAGTAGATCTACCATTTGATCCAGTAGTCTCACTGCTGGGTATCTACCCAGAGAAAAAGAAGTCATAATTTGAAAAAGATACTTATACATGTTTACAGCAGCACAATTTGTAATTGTAAAAACATGGAACCAGCTCAAATGGCCATCAATCAATGAATAGATAAAGAAAATGTGATATATATATATATATATATATATATATATATATATATATAATAGAATACTACTCAGCCATGAAAAAGAATGAAATAATGACATTCACAGCAACCTGGATGGAATTGGAGACCATTATTCTAAGTAAAGTAACTCAGGAGTGGAAAACCAAACGTTGTATGTTCTGACTCATAAGTGGGAGCTAAGCTATGAGGCCACAAAGACATAAGAATGATACAGAGGACCTTGGGAATTTGGGAGGGTGGGAGTGGGGAGAGGGATGAAAGACTATACATTGGGTACAGTGTATACTGCTCAAGTGATGGGTGCACCAAAATCTCAGAAATCACCACTAAAGAACTTTTTTATGTAACCAAAGCACCTGTTCCCAAAAAACCTACTGAAATAAAAAAATACAAAAATAAAAAAGTTGGCAAATGACAGACATTTCTCAAAAGAAAATGTACAAATGGCCAACAAAATTATGAAAAAATGCTCAATATCACTAATCATCAGGGAAATGCAAATGAAAACCACAATGAGATACTACCTTACCCTAGCCACAATGGCCATTATTAAAAAGTCAAAAAACAATAGATGTTAGCACAGATATGGTGAAAAGGGAGTGCTAACACTGCTGGTGGGAATGTAACTTAGTACAATCTCTATGGAGAACAGTATGGAGACTTCTCAGAGAACTAAAGGTAAATCTCCCATTTGATCCAGCAACCTACTACTGGCTATCTCTTTAGGCAAGAAAAAAATCATTATATTAAAAAAAGACACCTGCATGCATGCTTCTCGCAACACAATTCACAATTGCAAAGATATAGAATCAACCTAAGTGCCCATCAACCAAAGAGTGGGTAAGGAAAATGTGGTATATATTTATGTCATGGAATACTACTCAGTTATAAAAAGAATGAAATAATGTCTTTTGCAGCAACATGGAACCGGAGGTCATTATTTTAAGTAAAGTAACTCAGGAATGAAAAACCAAATACCATATGTTCTCACTTGTAAGTGAGAATGCTATGGGCATGCAAAGGTAGACAGAGAGGTATAATGAACATTGGAAATTTAGAAAGAGGGGGTGAGGGATGAAAAACTACCTGTTGGAATACAATATATACTACTTGGGTGATGGGTACACTAAAATCCCAGATTTCACTACTATACAATTCATCCACATAGCAAAAAAAAACTTGTACTTCTAAAGTTATTGAAAAAAAGTCATTTTAAAAAGCCTTCCTCAGGATATTTCTCTCAGAATTTTTTCTCTTTCTGAAAACAGTTTGCATACCATAAAAGTTATTTGAAAATGATTAGAAACATGTGGCATAAAATAGAGGAATTAATAAATGAGGATTTCCAATCAAGTGGCATAAGTCACTAGATAGTAACAGTCCTGCATTATAAATTTGTGGGTCACAGGTACTTTTGCCTTCATGGGGCTCTTCGTCCATAAAAACTTAAAAATTATATTTTAAGGGTCTGTTGTTATGAAGACAAATGTACTGATAATATGCAATAAAACACTTATTGTGACCTAAAAGTTCATTTTTTTCTTCTAATTAAAAAGATAAAAGTTTTTTTGTAGGTTCCTGGCAGTATTGTAGCCCCTCAACACTGCGCCTACTGTGCCTGGCAGTTATGTTGGCTCAGGACAGCAAGCCAACCAATTCATTCTCAGCTATTAGCCATGTTTAGATTACATGACCACACAATTAGACCCCATTTTAGGTAATGGAGGGCAAAGCTCTAGAGGAATGAAATGTAAGACAGGTAAGTTTTATTAGAAAAGACAAAATGGTAGAATGTGGCCTGATGAAAGAAAACTTCAATCTGGTTTCAAGGGGTGAGGATAGAGGTGGCAGGAGAAATGGATATCCCAAGAATCTGGAGAAATGTTTAAAGATGGAGTAGGTAGGAGGATGAGTAAAACAAACACAAACCAGCATCCTAATCCTAATGATGGCCAAGGTTTTCAATGGAAACATACATTTTGAAATGACTCCAGTTTTAACATCTCTTTTAGAAAAAAATGCTTCTATTTATATAAACCAAATAATTTGTGATAAAATGCCTATCCATTTTTTTTTTTTTTTTGCCTTATGTCAGGGAAGGAAAGCATACCTTTTAAGTTAACTAACTTCATAATCCTTTTAACTTGTAAATCTTTTAATTGAAGGAATGTCAAAGTCTAATGTGTCAGTGGAGACTTTCAGGCACAATGTTCATTTCAATTGTGAAAAGTTAAAAGCCATAGCCCTTATTGAACATCTTCACATCCATTCCTGCTGAAAATAATGCCCAAAGGTTAGAGATGGGTATGAGAGGAGGGAGAGTGGTAATGGCAGTGGTGGTGGTGTTTTAACTGAACTTCTAAGACATGTTTTCCAAGATGTCTTTGAGGACTGCTTTGTGAAAATTAAGCTGCTAATCATGTACATGTAAATTTATGAAAGAAAACAATTAGAATTGTCATGTCATAGAGTGAAAACTTCGTTTTTACTCTGTGCTCTATAAAAGCCCAACACCTCTTTATTGCAATGTATGCCTTTCACCTTAAAAGAAAAATAAAACTGATTTTAATCGATTTTTCTCTCAGTATAGTGGATTGTCATTAACACTGTGGTAACATTTCATGTTATTGCAATCATTTTCCATGGTCATATATGTGGGGAAAATACTTAGTATCTGCTTCTGTGGGTTATAGAAACAGACGGTTTGGATAAATTACATCTGTCTAGGCAGACTCCTACTTTTTTGTTGTGTTATGTCATTCATCAGGGAAGTAATAAAATAGAGATCAGTGGTTCTGATGTAGTAACTAATACGTCAACCACAAGCTGATTTGAATAGCATTTTCATGGTGCATACCAACACTAATAACTGTGTGGTTTCCTCATAACCTCAGCAGGTTGTATTTATATACTGACAAAAGGACCATGTAAAATCCATGCACAGCTGGTCATCAGAAGGACTATAAAACACTAGGGTTTGTCATACATGTGGTAATTATAAAGTGAGGCTGTGCAGTGTTCCCTAAACCTTGAAAACAAAGCTTCAACTTAATCCTTAAGTGAACTGTTTTGGGTTGGCTTATCACACAGAAGCCCACTCAACAATACCTCCAAGGCAGTTTGTCCTTTGAAGAGAGAGGGGAAAAAAACATAAAATTCACAATAGTCAGTGTTGTGTTATTCAGTTGGTTACATATGGAAACACAAATCTTTGGATTGTCAACACTACTTTCATAACAGAAAGAAACATTTCATTTTGAAAACGTTTCCTTCCATTTTCTTTTACTGTTTGATGCTTGTTTGTACAGTTCATAATCTAATAATCTGAATTACAGCAATACTTTCTTGCATATTGTCCATGCTGAAATAAAAGTACATTGAAAGCTTTAGTTTTATGAAGTGCATACTGCATATGGAGATTTGTTTTCTAAGTAAACACTAAGCAATTTATGCACTAGTAGCATTCAAATCTCTGATGCTGTTTTGGGATAATTCTCAAGGATTTATGACTTTCATGAATTTCTCTCTAACCAACCTAGATGTACTTCAGAATTTTATCATTGTTTTTGACCAAATACCTTGAGTTTGAAGGCTGCTGTGGAAAGTACTCCATATACAAAGATTGGATAAAATCTGAGGCTTTTCAGAATGCTAAAGAAGATTTCAATTCTGCTGCCCTCCCAAAATTAAAAAACAAATCTTCAAAGCTCTGTGTTATTTTTACATTTTGTTTATGAAAATAAAATAAAATGTTGGACCACTTTTGATAATATTTAAGTTGACCAAATCACATTTGTTTTCACCAAATGAAGAAATTCTTCATTTACTGTATCACTTTAGTTTTCCTTCTCATGACTCCTTTGCCAAGAAAACAGATTTTGCAATCAGATGCCTACTAGCTGGGTGTTCATGAGCTGTGATGGATTACTTTTAATAGGTGCTATTTTCCTACTTCATTAACTGCTCTTTTTCTGATGGTGTTTTTTGGGTCAAGTTAGAAAAGAAACAAAGGTTTAACCATTTACCCAAATAGGCAATGACGCTAAGTGTATTTTTTTAAAGTTGATTATGTACACACAAGGATGTGTTTATTTTGGGAGTATGTGTGAGTAAGAGCTTGAGTGTGTGTGAATGTGTTGTTTTTTTCAACTTAAAACTCTTTGCCTGGCCAACTGCCATCTCCATGCCAGTCTCCATGGCAACTTCCTTAAGGATAAAGTAACAGAAATGTGAGGAGGCTGCCTGCCCACAAACAAAGCTGCCACAGCCCTGCCAGAGGCCTGACTAGACAGAATCCCGGAACACTCCACATTCCATGAGAGTTCTGCAGGTTACTGCAGCTAGCTCCATTTAAAGGTGCAGTGCCTCTAGTCCTGGGAGGAAAGTTTAAAAATGTCTTCTGACTAGTCTTTCCATATATTAGAATGTAGATATGCAACCCACATGTCTTGACATTATTTTTCCCTTCCCATCTACATTGAATAAACATTTTATATCTAGCATTTATTTTTTAGTGATATTTGGAAATTTGCTTGACAGAGACCTTTGCCTAATATTGTGTGTTGTATGTACATCACATCAGGATGTGATGTATGTACCTTTAAAATACTTGTATAAAATATAAAATATTGAAAAAGTGAGACTAAATATCTTGATCCATTCTGCTTTCTTAAAAAAAGTGTCTGCTTTCTAATCTTAATGGATTTATGCATGTTTTTCCAAGAAATCAATAAAATTATTAAAATTCATAGTATATTAACATATATAATATATATTATATATAACAGTAATTTTCAAATGGTAGCAATCTTCCATAGGACACTTGGCAATATCTCAGTGGATATTGGTTGTCACAACTGGGGCCATGATACTGGTATCCAGTGGTTAGAGTCCTGGGGGAGCTTTTAAATATCCTACAATCAATAGAATAGCTCCCATAGCAAAGGATTACTGGCCTGAAATGTCAATAATACGAAGGTTGGGAAACCCTAGTATACATACATAGATGTTATATATGTATGTATGTATGTGTGTATGTACATACCAATTTAAAAATAAAGATTATAAGGTGTAGAGAGCTTAAATAGGAATAAACTATGCTAAGGCAACTTTCTAAGTTGTTTTTGCTCTGTCTCCTCAAACTGGGTACCAGAACTCTGATGACAACTGTCAATCTAGAGTCCACTGTCCAGGATTATCTATACAATGTATTTAGTATCTCTATAGCAATTGTTTTTTAAGACCACAAAAGAATACCTAAGAAGACCAGGCCTAGGCTAGGGAGTAAGAACTATGTGTAGTTTACTCTGTCTCTAAGAGTGTTTTCTATGCAATGAACTATACATCATATACAAGCTGTTTTTTACCTTAACTATTAATTCTTTCCCATTAGGAATTAGTAAAATGCTTCATAATTATGGCTAAGGGAAATATTTATGATCTTCAGCATACAGATTGCTCATTTCATCTCCAAAGTTTTGCTAATACTATTCAGGCTGTTTATGTTGTTGTTACCCCATAATATTCAACACAGTGTTTATATCAGTTATGTTAACCAGTTATGGAAAATCCTGAGTTTCTGGTTACCCAAATGAAAAGTTTACTTTAAACACAAGCCAAGGAAGTTTGGTTATGTTCAGCAGTGCTACTCAAAGTATGATTTCCTAAACTGGTGAATGACTACAACCATTTGATTACTGGTCTGTAACAAAATAGGTATAGAAATTAAAAATAAGCTTTTAGAAATTTTAATAACAATTTTGTAATGTCACAGCATCTAAGCATGTCTCATCAAACAGCTTGAGGTGTTGTCAAATTCATGTGGTGAGTCATAGAGTCACTAGCTATGAACTAGTCATCATGATCTCTAGCTACGAACTGGTGTGATCATATAAACTCACATAGTGAGATAGTATGTTGGGTCTGTGATAGATTGGAAATTAATTTTAACAATAACCAAAAGTCGGCCAGGTGCAGTGGCTCACGCCTATAATCCCAGCTACTCCGGAGGCTGAGGAATGAGAATTGCTTGAACCTGGGAGGTAGAGGTTGCAGTGAGCCGAGATCACGCCACTGCACTCCAGCCTGGGCAACAGAGCGAGACCCCATCTCAAAAACAACAACAACAAAAAACCCTGAAACTCCCTGATATGAGAAACACAATCATATTTACTATATTTTTATTACCTGGAAATGTCTTCTCATTCTATTTATGTCCAGATAAAAGTCAGTTCTGCTTTTTGGACATATATGGTTTAGCCTTCCCTGTGATTTGTTGCAATGTTGAGGTTAGTTACTTCTTATAGGTAGAGTAATGTATGGATTTGGTACAACCTACAAAAGGTCTTCTCTTGGAGAGAAATGAACATCATGAGTATCAGGATATGATAGATCATGCTGCTGTAGTCAACAACCCTAAGTATCAGAGGCTTAAATCAACAATTTATTTCTGGCTAACACTACCTATCTATCATGGGCAAGCAGGGACTCTCCTATTGTTTCCAGGTTAGTCAGTCCAGAACTCAGGCTGATGGAGCATCTACCATGTTTAACTTTGCTGATTACTGCCAGGAGGAAAAAAGATTTTGGCCATTCTTTCACCAAGTAACTAATTCACATGTCACTTCTCTCCCCTCAGTAGCCAGATCTACCACTTGACCCTATCCCACCATGCAAGAAAAGAGTGCAAATCTAACATGTGCCCAGAGTGTAGGGATTCATAGAGATTTGGTGAACTCCATTAATGACTATGGCACTAGAAAGCTTCTGGGTATTACTATTAAGTGCATATTTTTGCCTTTAATCCTTGGGTTTTACTCTTTAGTATATCACTTTCACATTTGCACAGGCATAGGAGGCAGCATGGGGAAGCTGACAGACTACTTCCTTTGACTTTAGATTGAATCCCAACCCTACATCTTAGCTGTGGTATAACCATACATAAATTCTTTAATCACTTTGAAATGAGACAATAATGCTCACATCATGTGTTGTAATGAAGATTAAGTTGGATAACCTTCATTAAATGAAGACTAAGTTGGATAACCTTCATTAAACGAGTAACTTTCATATTATTAAGTGCAGGCAGATGGAAGTATTTATTGTTAGGCAATAATAATTTTAGCTCAGCTTACAAAAAGTATTTTTGGGTCTGGAAAAATATAACTAATATTGGTATTGATTTAGGTAGAACTCAGCTATTGAACCATGGTAGATTCTGAAGCATCTTTTGAATCTTGTCTGTTGGTGTTGATCTAGCCAACAGATTTTGAATTATTCTTGGTGAAATCATGGTGGTTGGAAGATATGAGTTATCAAATTTCTCCTTTGGGTAAAAATGTTTCTAATCTTTCAGAAATTTCTCTATTAAGGCATTTTGTGTTGCCACTTAGGTACTTATTGTTCTGCAATACAGCGTAATATTGTTTCTAGAAATCAAAAATGTAATGTGGCTCTTATTTGAAATTTCTGTTCAATTTCAGTTGATTTTCTGGCGAATTGCATATTTTTTCTGTTTAAGAGTTTATTATATAGGTTAATTCTTTTTAAAAGAGAGATTACTTAATATACTCAAACTAAACCTAATAATAATAATATATCAGAAGATTATTTGCGGAAATACCAGATGCTGTTGATGATCAGGCAATTTTGTCTTTCTGGCAACAGAAAAGGCACCCAGCAGTAGTAAAACATGTATCAGTGACTGATTCCCAGCCAGTATAGGAGTAACACTCCAGTTTTTAAAATTTTTTCTGTTCCCGTGTTTGCTTAGGGTAATGGCCTCCAGTTACATCCAGGTTGCTGCAAAGCACATGATCTCATTATTTGTAGTGGCTGCATAGTATTCCATGGTGTGTATGTGCTACATTTTCTTGGTCCAGTCTACTGTTGATGGACATTTGGGGCGATTCTATTGATTCTATGTCTTTGCTATTGGGAACAGTGCTACAGTGAACATAAGCATCCATATATCTTTACCATAGAATGATTTAGATTCCTTTGGGTATATACTCAATAACGGGATTGCTGGGTTGAATGGTAATTCTAAGTTTTTTGAGAAATTGCCAAACTGCTTTCCAGAAAGACTGAACTAATTTACATTCCCACCAGCAGTGTATAAGCACTACCTTTTCTCCAAGACCTCGTCAGCATCTGTTATTTTTTGACTTTTTAATAATGGCCATTCTGACTGGTATGAGATAATATATCATTGTGGTTTTGATTTGCATTTCTCTAATGATTAGCAATGTGGAACTTTTTTTTTTGTATACTTGTTTGCCTTGTCTATGACTTTTGAAAAGTGTCTGTTCATATCCTTTGCCCACTTTTTAATGGAGTTGTTTTTTGCTTATAAGTTTGTTTAAGTTCCTTATAGATTCTGGATATTAGACCTTGGTTAGATGCATAGTTTGCAAATATTTTCTTCCATTCTACAGGTTGTCTCTTTACTCCGTTGATAGCTTATTTTGCTGTGCAGAAGCTCTTTAGCTTATTCTATTTATCAATTTTATATTTTTGTTTCAAATGCTTTTGACATCTTTGTTATGAAATCGTTGCCAGTGCCTATGTCCAGAATAGTATTGCCTTGGTTATCTTCCAGAGTTTTTATAGTTTCAGGTTTTACACTGACATTTTTAATGCATCTCGAGTTGATTTTTGTATATGGTGTAAAGAATGGGTCCAGTTTCATTCTTCTACATATGGCTAGCCATTTATCCCAGCACCATTTGTTGAATAGGGAATCCTTTCTCCATTGCTTTAGTCAATTTTGTTGAAGATCAGATGGTTGTAGGTGTGTGGCATTATTTCTGCACTCTTTATTCAATTCCAATGGGCTATGTGTCTGTTTTTGTACCAGTACCGTGCCGTTTTTGTTACTATAACCCTGTAATATAGTTTGCAGTTAGGTAACATGATGCCTCCAGCTTTGTTTTTTTAGCTTAAGATTGCCTTGGCTATTTGCACTCTTTTTTTGGTTCAAAATAAATTTTAAAATATTTTTTTCTTGTTATGTGAAGAATGTTATTGGTACTTTGATAGGAAGAGCACTGAATATGTAATGCCTTTTCATTTGTTGTTGTCCTCTCTGATTTCTTTGAGCAGTGTTTTGTAATTCATTGCAGAGATCTTTCACCTCCCTGGTTAGCTGTTGTCCTAGATATTTTATTTTTTCTGGCAATTATAATTGGAATTGCATTCTTGATTTGGCTCTCAGCTTGGACGTTATTGATATATTGGAATGCTACTGTTTTTTGTATTTTGATTTTTTATCATGAAACTCTGAAGTTGTGTATCAGATTAAGCAGCTTGGAGCAAAGACTGGGGTTTTCTAGGTATTGAATCATCTGTAAACAGGAATAGTTTGACTTTCTTTCTTCCATTTGATGCCTTTTATTTTTTTCTCTTGCCTGATTGCTCTGGGATTTCAGTACTATATCGACAAGGAGTGTTGAGAGATGACATCCTTTTTTATCCCATTTTTCAAGGGGAATTCTTCCGTTTTTTGCCTATTCAGTATGATGTTGACTGTGGGTTTTTCATAGATGGCTCTTTTATTATATTTTGACATGTGTTCCTTCAATGCCTAGTTTGTTGAGGGTATTTAACATGAAGTAATGTTGAATTTTATTGGAAGTCTTTTCTGCATCTATTGAGATAATCATGTGGTTTTTGGTTTTAGTTCTATTTATATGTTGAATCACATTTATTGATTTGCATATGTTAAAGCAACCTTGCCTCCCAGGAATAAAGCCTACTTGAATATAGTGGACTAGCTTTTTGATGTGCAGCTGGATTCAGTTTGTTGGTATTTTGTTGAGGATTTTTGCAACTATATTAGTCAAAGGTATAGGCCTGAGGTTTTTTGTTTTTGTTGTGTCTCTGCCAGGTTTTGGTATCAGGATTATGCTGGACTCGTAGGATGAGTTAGTGAGGAGTACTTCCTCCTCAATTTTTGGATTAGTTTCAGTAGGAATGGTACCAGCTCTTTTTTATACAACTGGTAGAATTCGGCTGTGAATCTGGCTGGTCCTGGGCTTTTTCTGCTTAGTCAGCTTTTTATTACTGATTCAGTTGCAGATCTCATTACTGGTCTGTTCAGGAATTCAATTTCTTTCTGGTTTAATCTTAGGAGGTTGTATGTTTCCACTTTTTTCTAGGTTTTCTCACTTCTGTGCATAGAGGTGTTCATAGTAGTCTCTGAAGTTTTTTATATTTGTGTTGAGTCAGTGGTAACGTCCCCTTTGTCATTTCTGATTGTGTTTATATCTTCTCTCTTTTTGTCTTTATTAGTCTAGCTAGCAGTCTATCTTATTATTTCATTCAAAGAACAAACTCATGGATTTGCTGATCTTTTCTATGTTTTTTGCATCTTAATTTCCTACGCTTCAACTGTGATTTTGATTATTTCTTGTCTTCTACTAGCTTTGGGGTTGGTTTGCTCTTGTTTCTCTAATTGTGATGTTAGAGTGTTAATTCGAGATCTTTCTAACTTTTTGATGTGGGCATTTAGTGCTATAAACTTTCCTCTTAATACTGCTTTAGCTGTGTCCCAGAGATTCTGGTATGTTGTATCTTTGTTCTCACCAGTTTCAAAGAATTTCTTGATTTCTGCCTTAATTTCATTATTTTCCCAGAAGTGATTGAGGCCGACACTCAAGCTTTGTAGTCTGTCATTCCTGCTCTACAATGAATCAATCACTGAATCAGTCTGGGTAGAGTGGATCACATCCGTGATCCCAGCACTTTGGGATGGCCAAGGTGGGAGGATCACTTGTGGTCAGGAGTTTGAGACCAGCCTTGCCAATATGGCAAAACCCCATCTGTACTAAAAATACAAAAAGTAGCTGGGCATGGTGGTACACACCTGTAATCTCAGTTACTCAGGAGGCTGAGGCACAAGAATCACTTGAACACGGGAGGTGGAGGTTGCAGTAAACTAAGATGGTATGGGTGGCAGAGTTAGACTCTATCTCAAAAAAAAAAATCACTGAATTTATCACTGAATCAATCTCTTACTCTTTTTTTTTCCTACCTCTTTCTCTCCCTTTTTCTCTGGGTTTATGGTATTAGTTGAAGGACTTTGATGTTTTGTAGGTTCCTGGACCTAACTTCTATTTTAGGAGTTATTATCATTGTTTTTGTCTTGAGCATAGCAGTAGATTCATGCAAATATATTGCCATTTTTTCTTTCCACTCATTTCAGTAACCATGCCTTCAATGGAGCTTTCCAGCTCTTCCCTTTAAGATATGGAGTCTCTCCTGACCCTGGACTGGCTGTGAGACTTGCTTTGGTAGGTAAAAGTGATAGTACGCTACTTCAGAGTCTAGGACTCAAGAAACCATGCATGTGTCTATTTTCTCTCCTGGAATACTGCCACTTTCTTGAGAACAAGCCAGGCTAGCTTGCTAGAAGAGCAGATGCCAAGTGGAAAAGAGACAGCTCATCCCAGCTGAGGCCATACTAGATCAACAAGAATCCAACCAGTCTGCAGCTGACTGCCAAGCAAGAGTGAGCACATCAAAAATTCCCAGGAGATGCTTAGACTTACAGAAACTAATACATCATGGTGTTTAAATCACCAAATTTTAGGGTGGTTTGTTAACTATTATGTGCACTATAGATAACATTTAATCTTTCCTTATACAAGTGAAGGAGTAAGTGACTGTTAGTCTCAAAGAGATTCATCAACTTAATCCTAATTCTCAGAGGTTTTCCTTTCAAATAACTACATTCTACATTTACCCAGGGCTCCTTATTTTAACCTCTGTGTTAGTTTACATTTGGTGATATAACAAACTACTGCCAATTTAATGGCATAAAACAACACACTTCTATTATTTTACAGTTCTGGAGTTCAGAAGTCCTAAAATCATGCATCCTTTGAAATCTGGATCTACTGAGAATTTCCAAAATTATGTAGTGCTGGTTTTGCTTAAGAGTTCTTCCCTCAATGTGTCTCTTTCCTCATATTTTGCTATAAACAGCAATCAGAAACAAGGCCATACTTTCAACACTTTTCTTGGAAATCTCTTCAGGTAAATATCCAAAGTTATTGTTACCTGTTCTGCTTTCCATGTATTGGTAGGACACAATTCAACTAAGCTTTCTGCCACTATGTAACAAGGATCCCCTTTCTTTCGGTTTCCAATGACATGTTCCTTCTTTTCTTCTGGACCCTTATCAGTGATACTTTTAAAGTTTGTATTTCTACCAAGAGTTCATTTACAATGATTTAAATATCCTGTAAGAAAATACAGATTTTTCTACCATGTTCCTCACTATCATCTAGGTCTTCACTAGAAGAGTTGTCTACATTTTCACTAAAAGTCTAAGGAAATCTAAACTTTTCAGTCTTTGTCCCCAAAATTCTTTCAGTTTTTTCCTATTGCCCAATTCCAAAGCCACTTCTGTGTTTTTATTTGTTTTTTACAGAAGCACCTCACTACCAGTGCCATAGTTTGTATTTATTTATTACTGTTGCTGTAAAATTTGCGACAAACTTGGTGGCTTGAAACAACATAAATTTATTATCTTACCTTTCTAGAGGTCAGAAATCCTAAATTCAAAATGATGGCAGTGCTGTATTCCTTCTGGAGGCTCTAAGGGAGAATTCATTTCCTTGCATTTTTCCATGTTCTAGAGGACACCTCCATTTCTTGACCTCATGATTGTTTAATCTAGCTTTAAAGTAGGCAGCATAGCCTCTTCAAATCTCTTTCTCTGGGTGTGTGTGCTTGTCTTACCTCTGCTTTTGTCATATGTCCTCCTGTGACTCTGAAACCTCTGCCTCTCTCTTATCAGGACCCTTGTGATTATATAAGACACACTAACATAATCTAAGAGGATCTTCCCCTCTCATGACTTTTTACGTAATCATATCAACAAAGTCCCCTTTGCAATTGAAGGTAATCCACCCACAAATTAGGTCATAGATATCTTTGGGTGGGTGGGAACATTATTCTGCCTACCGTAACTACTTTTCTCAGTAGCTTTCTTTCAGTATCAAAATTCAGATCTAGAAAAAGCAGAAAAAGCAAATAGCGCTTTTCCATGGGTATTAAAATTTGCATGTATATATTAAAATTATGATTCCAAAGAGAAATAATTACTGATAAAATTATTTTATCAGTAATTGATATGTAGTGAAAAATAAAATGAGCCCCATATTATTTTCTTAAATAAGTCTCTTTGAATTCTTAACTACTTCTGAAACATTCATAGCCTAAATGGCTTTAACTATTATTAAATTTTTACTAGTAAGAAAGACCATTCTTGACAGAAGTCTGTCAACAATAAGGAAAGACCATCTTTGCATTAGTAGGAAAATGGATACGTCCCATGCTCTGTCATTTCTCTGATGCTTAAATTGAAATAATCTGCCTTTAAAGATGTTAATGACACTTCGGGAGGGCGAGGCGGGCAGATCATGAGGTCTGGAATTCAAGACTAGCCTGACCAATACAGTGAAACCCCATCCTTACTAAAAATACAAAAATTAGCCGGGCATGATGCTGCATGCCTGTAGTCCCAGCTACTTGGGAGGTTGAGACAGGAGAATCGCTTGAACCCAGGAGGCAGAGGTTACAGTGAACGAAGATCATGCCACTGCCCTCCAGAGAGCGAGACTCCATCTCAAAAAACAAACAAACAAATAAACAAACTGTTAATACAGGCAGGGTGAGACTGTGCTTGGTTTCTAATGCCCATAGCTCAGATTTCCGGTTTAAGAACAATCAATGGAGGCTAAAACAAGTATTTTTAAGATCAAAACCAAACTCAAGATAGGAACAAATAGCACCATATCACAAATAATATTATTTAATATATGATATTATCATTAACATCATATAATATGTTATAATATGAATATAATATGAATATGATGTTAATGATAACATATCACTTAAGATATGATATTTTCCTGTATCTTGAGTTTGGGTTTGAGCACTACTCACTTAGGTATTCTATTGTCATTGTTATCGTTGATCTGAAAATTAGTCAGCTTCTTTACAACTCCAGCCACAGTATTTGGCATCCTGACCTTCATTGACATTGATTGCCCCAAGCTGATCATATCCTGCAGAGATGAAAAATTTCCTTTTGTATATTATTTTGTCATTACTTCCTTGTGACTCCAATTTTTGCTTTGTAAAATTGTATAGACACAAGATAGAAACATAACTTTGCTACCCCTGCCCTGTGGTACATGGTAATATTAAAATAGTACTTCTCAGTGGCTTCCATTAGCAGAAATGACAATAGTAACTTTTTTTCATCTCATATAATCTAAATGCATGACTACATATCACACTGTACTTCTTTCAAGTCCTTGGATTCTGGTCCAGATAGTGCTCTTTATATAGGAAAAGATTATTTACTTTCACTCCAGGACTGTTTCAGTTCTGGCTTTAAGGCACACACATTAAAATCAAATATAATGCTTCAGCATGGTGTTAAGATCTGTCCTTTTTCGCATTCTGCTAAGCATCCTGTTTGCTTTTTGAAAATTGGTTTTTCACAGTGAAGAACATCATCAAAGTAACTCCAAAATAATTCCAAACTATTTTCTCCATAGAACATTTGGTCAGTTTACAGTCCAGCTGTTGACAGATGCAGGTTACATGGGGAAAGTTATCCTTCTGTAATATTTACTCTCTTAAATTCACACTAGGCTCCTGTGACAGTGAAATACTATGAACTGACTTCTTATACTGAGGTTAAAAGACAATCCAGAATGCTGCACTGGAAAGCTGATCTCATGTTTTACCCGCGCTTTATTTCATTCTTTCCGGAGTTAATTTTCATCTGCCATGAATCTGCCTCTTCATTCACTCCGGTGGAGTCCATCTGGAGTTCCTTTAGATTATCTGTGTGTTGATTTCCCCTCCCATCAAATCAAGGTAAGTTAGCATCATCAGAAACCTTCTCAATTATCATCTTTCACCTTACTTCAGATTTTGAGATGCCTACAGAATTCAGAAGTCCTGAAACTAGTCATGCTTGCCTGAAAGACTTTTTGCATGTAATCTTTAGTGTTATTATTATGTATTGTCTTATTTTTTAGCATGTGATATGCATGGAGGTGTGTGGTGGTGTATGTGTATAGGCTTGTATTTTAATACACACTATGGTTGACCTTAAACAGGATTTGAGTTGCAAATAGAACAGTTTATAGAAGGCAATATGACTTAGTGGTTAAATGTATGACTTTGGGGTCAGAACACATAGGTGTAAACGATGACTCTGCCATTTACTGAGTTTGCTTCTTTAGCCAGCTACCTTTGCTGTTCAAGACTCAATTTCTCCTTCCTTAAAATAGTGATTAAGATACAGTCTTTTCTGTAGGCTTTTTGATGGAGTTTAATGAGATCTTGCAAATAAGATCCTTAGCATGGTGCTTGCCAGGTATTAAATGCTCAGAATTTCATCTTTTATTCTTTATCTTGATAAAGATGTTGAGAAAATGTTCAGGAAAATTCCAACTCAAATAGAAATATGATTATATTGCTTAAAAGGAAATTGACATGTCTGACATTATGGATATAAATTTAAGGTCCTTGCCCTTAAGCAACACAGAATATAGGGAGGATATAGTAAAACAAAGGATTATATCACAGTTGACTAACTATGATGGGTAAAGATGTGGCCAAGACAGTATGAAAAAGCAGGGGTGCCTTCCCTCCATGTTGGCAAGAAAAGAATAAAGAGAAGGCTTTTTGGAGGAAGCAAGGTCTAGCTTTTAGTTCTTAATGGTGGGCAAGGAGTTCACAAAGTGAAGGGATAATTATTCTAGGTACAGACGTAAAAAGAATAAGATAATCTAAAAAATACAACCAAACTAAGCACAAACAAACAAAAAACTTAAAAGGCTAGATTATGTCACAGGAACTGAACTTGATTTCTGGCATAAATTTGTATGACATCAGAACCTGGTTGAGGAATTAAATAGCTCATTGGGCAGCTCTCATTTAGGCAGTGCTAAGAATATCCGGTTTAACTTCTGCCCTTGTACAAAATTTAGTAAAATAATAGTGGCTGTTATTTATTGAATACTCACTATAGACCAAACACTGAAGTTGGATACTTTATAACCATTGTCCTCTTCAAATATATTTTATCTATTTTAAGCTAAGTACAGTAAGCATGCCACCACTGTACAAACCTGTGTAGCAACTATGAGGAATGTTAAACAGAGTTTGAATTCCCAACCCCCTTTATTCTGTCCGGGTTATTTTTATTATGAGGATTAGAATTTCATATCTAAAGAATCCACTCACTGCTGCTACAACTTAGTTTCTTGATATGGCAATATTTAATAGCTTTGAGATTCAAAACAAAGTTATTACCAGTCTGTAACTTTCCTAAATGTCAACAACAAAACTTACAACTTGTTAACAGCTTATGGAGTTTGAAATTTTACGTACCTTATTTTCTAGCTGTCATTCCTTTCCCTTCAAGGAACAGCACAGATAGTTAACTTTCTGTAAGAGTTTCTCGACACAGGTGGCCTCCAAAGAAAGCCATAAAAGGCTGTCAACCTTCTATGTGGAGAACCCTACAAAGTACTAGAGAAACAAGACAAAGTAGTGGAGGGTCCCTATTTCTCCTTTTTACGGAAGACGATTTTTAGGATTGAGTAAGAGCTTCTAACCCTGAAGTTAAGCTCTTTAGTGAGAGCGTAGGCTCTGTAGGAAATGTAAGGAGCTCTGATGACCATGCCTAACCCCTGGTTAGAATTGCTTCTTTTGAATGCTACCATGCCTGTCAGGCGTAGAGATGGTTCTTAGATTCATTATCTGTAGAAAAGAAAAGTGTGCCTCTTTGTAGGTATTGACCCCCTCTTGCTCACTTGCTTCCAGTGATCACAATGGACTTGCCAGTGCTAACTAACTGTGCCCCATCTAAAAGGTTTAACTGTGATGAATTGAGCTAATAAACATTTAACTGAATGATGCAGCTACTGTTTGAATTGTCTTGATGGGACATTCCTGCTTTCCCATATATCTCCACTTCTTAACATAAAACACTGAACACCCCCAGAGACCCAACTCCTGTTACTTTTGGTTAGTTGACAGTTTTTCTTCTGAAATCTGGATTTCTGTGTGTCTTATAGCAAAGAACATTGAGAGGGAGATCATCTAAAATGAATAGTAAATATCTAGCTACTCATGCCTTACCATAGAAGCCATTACCAATTGATTATTGTACTCTTTTTTGCTGACCTACAAATCCTTCTCATCTTCTTGCTCCAGACAGCACTATCGATGACAGAGAATTAGCAGGTGAGATGAAACCTGTTGGTCCTATGCACCATTGTCATATTTTCCATGCTTCAGGGAATCAAGTGTAATTAAGCAAGAAGACTTAAATTCATCTGATATTGTGAGAAGAAAAAAGTGTATGTGTAGATATGTATATGTTTGTTCAGTGTGTATTAACATGCATTTGAGGGAGAGAGAGAGGAATATTAGTTGATTATATACAGGCAATCAAAATAACTATGTATAGAGTTTTCATAATCTATAATACATTCAGTTAGTACATTGTAGAAAGTAATGCATTTGTAATATCCTTCCATTACCAAGTTTTATTATAAATAACATTTGATAGATCAATAGGGTGACTATAGTTAACATTAATCTATTGGACATTTAAAAATAGCTGGAAGAGAATAATCAAATGTTCCTAGCATAAAGAAAAGATAAATATTTAAGGTGATGGATGCCCTAACTATCCCAATTTGCTTATACAGATGTATCAAATTATCACATGTATAGGGAAAATATGTACAGATGTTAAGTATCAATTAAAATAGATAAATCAATTAAATGAAATCATACACTCACAAAACCCATTTTCTGTATCCTTACAAAAATTAGCCGGCAGTACCTGCACAAGTTTATGGTCAGAAGCTAAACATTTTTGTGGGGTTTGAACATGGGAAATAGTTCACATTGATTTGAATGTCATGCCAAACCTAGGCAATAATTTGTACTTTTCATCATTGTATGAGAAACAAAAATGTGAGTTAAAAGGAAAGTCCTTATATCCCTATGCTCTGTAACTGAATAGAATTTGTCTCTCCTTTAATTTTGTATTTCATCCAGAGTAGTGTAGAAAGTCTCACCATCTCTTCATGTCATTTCAATTTGCCAAGAGCTTTTTAAAAAATGTGCTCTTACACAATCTTAGATGAGTTGAGCATCTTATTTCTGGCACAGATTTCCTAAGTCTCCATTAGACTTATTTACCAATTGCTCAGTTTTCAGGCAGGGGCACCTAAAGTTTGGGTTAATTCAACCAAGTTCTACTAGATAAAAAATTAAAAAGACAATTTTGTTTCTTGTTCTTCAGGGGAAGATATTTTTCTTGCTTTGGGAACAGCCGTATTATATTCCCTTAATGTTTCTTTTTAAAAAGTTTACAGCAATTTCAACAGCTTCTCCTTTCTTCTGAAAATACTTTGTAAATAGAAATAAGAGTAATGAAATTAGTCATCCCTGTGATAGAGATTTTTCTTTGGGTCTTTTGCTTTATCTTTCATTATTCAAACTTTATCATGCTTACATATGGCATTAAACAAAATATAATTTTCCTCTAATGTTGAATAGGCAGATGTGTGAATTTCAGTATCTTTTCGATAAATGATTTCAAGAAAACAGATTGTCCTGGAAAAATGATATTTGCCCATACATTGTATTAGAAAGTGATTTTTCATCTGACCAGTGGTTATACTCTATCGATGGAAATTAGAGCCATTTTGAAAAATACTTTCCGTTAACTTCCCAGGCATTTTGAATTGTGTTTACTGTGATTCCATATAAATTCTTAAATGGTAAAATTATTAACTTGGAATTTTCGGACTGAGAGGCAATCATTAATATCTGCTTGTGAGACTTTGAAAAGAAGTTATTTAGAAAGTCAGTCTGAATATTAGCACACATTCAAAAGTGACTCCCTGGCCAATTTAAATACTCTCAAAAACAAACTTAAAGTCTCTTTTTACCCTAGAATGTCTGGAAAGCTGACCATGTTATTGGTTTTAGAGAGAAAGAGAAGGAAATTATATCTGAGAAAGTGAACCACCTCTTGTACTTGCTTCTTGGAGGCCAGAGAATTTAGAAGATGCACAGCTAGAGGCTGGGAGGAAGACAAGTTGGGTAAAAGAAATGGAACCATAAGAATCTTAAGATGTCTCTTACTGTAGAAACATATGGAGCCAATCACAGATCTTGCCACAGGGGCTAAAAATTAGCATTTGTGTGAGACAAATGTAGTATGTCTCTTTTTATATTATTAAGGAGTTGTATGGGGATTTTTTTCCTGCATTTCCAGTGTTTTTAATTGAATGCTAGGAAAAGGGTTCACAGTAAGATGCTTTCTCCATGTTCATCTTTAATTACCCCTTCTTACTCCTCACAAAATAAATTTGTTTGGCTTGAAAGTAAAGTTAATGGTAGTAATGGCACTAACAACATCCTGGCTGCTAAAATATCTGTTTACAGAGAATCATGTGAAATATTTAGGGAAAAATGGCTTTTGTTATAAATAAAATCCAGTGGAATTTTAGAACACTTTGGTGATAACTATAATTCTGTACATGTTTTCACATTGGAATTACATTTTACACAGGCATCCTAAAGTTAGTGTGTAAGTGAAAAAAATCTCACCCCAACATATTTCCTCTTTTAAAAAAATCCTGTTTAATTTCAAGACCTTCATGCTCTGAATGTCACTTTCACCCCAGCATGAGCTAAGCCATGGAAGATTTGTATCTTTTGACTTACCTGACTCTGAGTCACACACTCAATGAGTGAATGATGACTGAACAAGTCACTGATATATTTTTTAAATGTGTCCCAGAATGTAGAATTTCTATTAGTTAAATGTACATATGATGTTTCATTTATCCCCTTTAAAGTACACAATTAAATAATGATACTACAATACAAATTGTTTATATTTATGTAACAGGATTAATTTTTACCCGTTATTAATGCAATAGAGACAGTGCTATTAAGCAATTGCTTACATGTCTTGACCCACTTACTACAATTTGTATCTGACCTCCAAATCCTTGGGCAGTTTTACCTGCTGTTGTCCATTGTTACTCTATCTCAGCTATCTATAATGAGACGCTATCTGCAAGCAGCTCAAAACTGCCTACAGAGTGAAGAGGTCTTCAGTGATCAGTAACTCTGCAGACAATAGGATTTGCTCTTTATTTTACATATCTTAGCCACATTATCAAATAGTAAAATATATGTATATGATCTAGTCCATAGACATATGAGAAAATAAAATTTGAAATATCAAAAGATAATTCAGAATAAAGAAAATAGGTCATATTTGAGATAGAGTACTTTCAGAATTTGCACTCATTTGTTATGTAGGACATAAAAATTGGTTAAATAGAAGGAGGTAAATAACATTAATATAAGTGGTAGGTTATTAGAGTAATTGTTCCCAATATGTCACACCTCCCTGTCTTCACATGCTTGTGTAGCTCACTCCTGTGTTTACTCCAAACTTGGCCTTATGACTTGCTTTAGTCAATAAGACATTAACAAATATGACACAAGCAAAGGCTCAAATAGGACTGATGTATTGTGACCAGCTCTCTTGTAGCATTGGCACCACGTGAAGAAGCCCAGGCTAAAATGTCAAAGACACATATCCCAAATGACATCTAGCACTAACCTCCAGACAAAAAGGTAGGGTCATTTTGTACCATCAAGCCTCAGTTGAACTGCCAGTTGAGGAAAGCCATATGAACGAACCAAGGCAAGACAAGCAGAAGAACCACCAGCTGAACTCAGCCCAAATTGCTGGTCATGTGTTAATTAATGGCAACTAAAATCATTAAGTTTTGGGACTATAAGTTGCACAACAATAGATTATGGAGGAGTAAACATGTATTTCAAATAAGTTTTCTTTCTTCCTCTTTTTTAAAATTTCATGTAAAAAAAGTAGAAGGATAGGTAGAACAAGCCTGATGCAGGGGATTGATGATGTCATCTAGGGGCTTTCTATCTTTAATATCTTAGTTTTCTGTTTACAACATAGGGACTGCTCTGCCTTCATCTGTGTCCAGGGAAGGATGGAGGGAAAATAGCTTTATGTACTGCTCCTGTTCTATTCATTGTAAACGCAGAACACTGTCAGAGATCCTTTCCAGACTTCTGCTGTATGTTATTAGGAAGGAGTGTGTCAGCCGGGTGCAGCGGCTCCCACCTGTAATCCCAGCACTTTGGGAGGCTGAGGAGGGCGGATCATGAGGTCAGGACATCGAGACCATCCTGGCTAACATGGTGAAACCCCGTCTCTACTAAAAATACAAAAAAATTAGCCAGGCGCGGTGGTGGGCACCTGTGGTCCCAGCTACTCGGGAGGCTGAAGCAGGAGAATGGCGTGAACCCGGGAGGCGGAGCTTGCAGTGAGCCGAGATCGCGCCACTGCACTCCAGCCTGGGCGACAGAGCGAGACTCCATCTCAAAAAATAAATAAATAAATAAATAAAGGAGTGTGTCATCTGGTCACTTCTAGCTGCTAGGGTGGCTGGGTGGGGAAGAGAATATTCAGCTTTTTTAGCTGCTTTAGTAAATGTATAGCTGCTATGTTATCCGGTCCACAGTGTTAGATAAGTTTCCTTTCTTCTCACATTGCTTTTATTTTCTCATTATTACTTGAAACCCTAAATAAAAGACATAGGATACATCTGAATTTATATATATTCATTATTTAGGCAACATTCCTTTAAGCCTCAGTTTTCTGGTTTCTTCATAGTTATAACCTTGAGTCTTCAATAAAGCGAGTGAGTTAATATTTACACAATATATAGTAGAATATCTAGCACCAGGAAAGCTGAGACCATATCTGTTTTGTTTACTTCTACGTGTCCAGCACTGTGTAGAGTGGTTGGCAAATAGGAGGAACTATAAAATGAATGAATGATGACAGAATGACTGCATGACTCTCTGACTTAATAGACAAGTACTAGCTGCCTTTCTTTCAACTATATTTTATCATTTTTAGGTATAGACCAGGTGCAATATAAATACAAATTATATTTCTGAGTTTTCAGAGGTTAGCAAAATGCCCAGCACATAACGTATAGTCAACAAGTATTTGTTGATGATGATGTTGATGATAAATAAGGCTAGCATCTTATAGTAATTGTACTGAATGATTTTATTTTTCCTCCAAGAAAAGAGTTAAATTTTAAAATAGAATGAATTGTATCCTCCTCTGGTTGTTTGATTTATGTATATTTTAGAATCAGAATCTTGAAAAACCTTGTTCAACTTTGAAATACCAGGACAAATGTTCACCATGTGCTGCACGAAGCTTAAAGCATTTAATATAACTGGACCTCTGTAGCACACTGCTTTTCTTTCTTAAACAACATAAATTTGCTGAGCTAGACCTTAGAGAACTATGATTTGTTGACATGAATTCAACATGATCCCAACCTGCATAGTAAGAATGTTTTGATTTCTTTGCCAACTTTGATTCCTTTGCCAAGTTTTGTGGAACATGTTTTTGGTCTTGGCAAACTCCTGCATATTAGCTATCCCATTCCTTCTAATTTCCAGAGACAGACATTAATTATTTTCCTTTGCACTCCTGGGAGTTAAACATATGAAATTACTAGACAATGCCAGTAAATTATTTTCCCTGAGAAATATTAAGTTGGGATGGATTGAGAATTTCTGAAAGTTGGAGACTTGGTCTCAGTGATTCACTCTCAGCTGGTGTTTGTCAGTTTATTGTTTCACTCAGTCACAATAAACATAAGTAAGTTGAACTGTTAAAGTTGTCCATAAAGACATAAAAGATGTTTTTCCATTTTTATTCACAAGAAGTACCTTCTTGATGAAAACTCTAGGTGAATGTGGAAATCTGCATTGTTGGATTTAAGGAGAAAAAAACTGAAACACTGAGAACATGAACTAGAGAAAATATTAAGATAAAAACAAAGGGTACTGATGCCATAGAGGCTAGCTGTCCATCTGACAAATGAAGAAATGATGTGACTTGTATAAACAAGGAGCTCTCAATTTTGCCACAAAATTGTGTTGCAAAACTTGACCTGTTCGTTGATTTTTTAAAAAGTGTATTCATTTATGTATTCATTGAGTTTTTTTTTTAATAATTCAGTATATATAAATGTTATTTTACTTATTTTTTTTAACTTTTGAGTTTGGAGATATATGTGAAGGTTTGTTAAATAGGTAAACACATGTCACAAGGGTTTGTTGTACGTATTATTTCATCACCCAAGTATTAAGCTTAGTACCCAACAGTTATCTTTTTTCTGCTCTTCTCCCTGTTTCCACTCTCCCTGCTCAAGTAGACCCTTGTGTCTGTTGTTTTGTGCTTTGTGTTCGTAAGTTCTTCCCATTTAGCTCCCACTTATAAGTGAGAACATGTGGTATTTGGTTTTCTGTTCCTGTGTTAGTTTGCTAAGGATAACAGCCTCCAGCTCTATCCATGTTCCCGCAAAAGGCATCACCTCATTCTTATTTATGGCTGCATAGTATTCCATCGTGTATATGTACCACATTTTCTTTAGTGGATCTGTCATTGGTTGCATTTAGGTTGATTCTATTTCTTTGCTATTGTGAATAGTGCTGTAATGAACATTCTTGGGCATGTGTCTTTATTTTAGAATGATTTATATTCCTCTGGGTATATACCCAGTAATGGAATCGCTGGTTGAATGCTAGTTCTGCTTTTAGCCCTTTGAGGAATCACTATAGTGCTTTCCACAGTGATTGAACTAATTTACACTCCTACCAACAGTGTTTAAATGTTCCCTTTTCTCCACAATCTTGCCAGCATCAGTTATTTTTTGACTTTTTAATAGTAGCCATTCTAACTGGAGTGAGATGGTATCACATCGTGGTTTTGATTTGCATTTCTCTAATGATCAGTGATATTGAGCTTTATTTCATATGTTTGTTGGCTACATATATGTCTTATTTTGAGAAGTGTCTGTTCATGTCCTTTGCCCACTTTTTAATGGAGTTGTTTGTTTTTCTCTTGTAAATTTATTTTTATCGATGCTGGATATTAGACCTTTGTCAGATGCATAGATTAGAAATATTTTCTCCCATTCTGCATGTTGTCTCTTTACTCTGTTGATATCCTTTTGCAGTATAGAAGCTCTTAAGTTTAATCAGATCCTACTTCTCAATTTTTGCTTTTGTTGCAATTGCTTTTGTTATATTTGAAATGAAATCTTTGTTTGTTTCTATGTCCAGGATAGTATTGCCTAGATTATCTTCCAGGGTTTTTATAATTTGGAGTTTTACATTTAAATCTTTAATCCATCTTTTTTTAAAAAATTTTTTTGAGATAGAGTTTCACTCTGCCACCCAGGCCTGGAGTGCAGCGGCGCTATCTCAGCTCCCTACACCTTCCACCTCCCAGGCTCAAACAATTCTCATACCTCAGCCTCCTGAGTAGCTGGGATTACAGCTACCTGCTATCATGCCCACCTAATTTTTGTATTTTTAGTGTAGACGGGGTTTCACCATGTTGGCCAGACTGGTCTTGAACTCCTGACCATAAGTGATCCACGCTCCTCAGCCTCCCACAGTGCTGGGATTACAGGCATGAGCCACTGCACCCAGCCTTTAATCCATCTTGAGTTGATTTTTGTATATGGTTTAAGGAATGGCTCCAGCTTCAATCTTCTGCATATGGCTAGCCAGTTATTCCAGCACCATTTATTGAACACGGAGTCTTTTCCCCATTGCTTGTTTTTGTCAGCTTTGTTGAAGACAGGATGATTCTACGTGTGCGGCCTTGTTTCTGGGCTCTCTATTCTGTTCCATTGGTCTATGTGCCTGTTTGTGTACCAATTCCATGCTCTTTTGGTTATTGTAGTATAGTTTGAAGGTGGGTAGCTTGATGCCTCCAGCTTTGTTCCTTTTGATTAGGATTGCCTTGGGTATTCAGGCTTTTTTTGGTTTCATATGAATTCTAAAATAATTTTTATAGTTCTGTGAAGAATGTCACTGGTAGTTTGATAGGAATAGCATTGAATCTGTAAATGGCTTTGGACAGTATAGCTGTTTTAATGATATTGATTCTTTCTATACATGAGCATGGGATGTTTTTCCATTTGTTTGTGACTTCTCTGATTTCTTTGAGAAATCTTTTGTAATTCTCATTGTAGAGATTTTTTACCTCCCTGGTTAGCTGTATCCCTAGGTATTTTTGTGGGTGTGTGGCAATTGTGAATGAGATTGGTTTCTGATTTGGCTCTCAGTTTGGCTGTTGTTGGTGTATAGGGATGCTAGTGATTTTTGCACATTGATTTTGCATCCTGTAACTTTGCTGAAGTTGTTTTTCAGCTGGAGCAGCTTTTGGGCTGAGACTATGGGGTTTTCTAGATAGAAAATCATGTCATTTGCAAACGGAGATAGTTTGACTTCCTCTCTTTCTTTTTGGATGCCCTTTATTTCTTTCTCTTGCCTGATTGCTCTGGCTAGGACTTTCAATACTATGTTGAATAGAAGTGATGAGAGAGGGCATCCTTGTCTTGTGCTGGTTTTCAAGGAGAATGATGCTAGTTTTTGCCTATTCAGTGTACTGTTGGCTGTGACCTTTACAGAACTCTTCACCCAAAAACAACACAGTATACATTCTCCTCATCACCACATGGCATGTACTCTAAAATTAACCACATAATTGGACATAAAACAATCCTCAACAAGTGTAAAAAGAACCAAAATCATATCAAACACACTCTAGGACCACAGCACAATAAAAATAAAAGTTGAGACTATGAAAATTGCTCAAAACCAAATAATTACATGGAAATTAAACAATACAATATGTCCTGAGTGACTTTTGGGTAAATAATGAAATTAAGGCAGAAATCAGGAAGTTCTTTGAAAATAATGAGAACAAAAATACAATATAAAATACAATATACTAGCATGCACAACCGGTTCCCCCAAACATGGAGTCCTGCAGCCCAGTTCTTACCTGAATCAGGATGGAGGGTGTGGTGGGTCCAAGTGGAGCTGTTGGCCATGTGCCTACTTGCTGCGTACCTGCAGATCCCACTCCCTCAGGTCTCCCTGGCCCTTCACTCTTGGAAGTCTTCAGGCAAATTTTTCACTTACGAGGGACTGCATATATTCTACCAAGACTCTGTGGGTGTGGTTGGAAGTCTGGAGATAGCTGTGCTTTTACACAGCCTTCCAACATCCAGCTATGATTGGTACAAGATTTGGGAAGGTCTGACCTTGAGGTTTCATCAAGTTCTTGTGCTTGATTTCTTAGGCTTTGGCTTCAGTGACAATCCACAACCACATCACTATTCCATATTTGAGCAGGCCAGCATTATGGAAGTGCTTTTGTGGCATCTGGGGCTCCAGAACCACAGGACCAACCTTTTGTCTCATGACTATGGAGATATTGTTGCTCAGGAGCTCCTCTACCAGTACAAGCAGAATCAATCTGGTAGGCTTACCATAAAGAGTATCCATCTGTCAAATGGAGGTATCTTTCCTGAGACTCACCGTCCACTCCTTCTCCAAAAGATACTCAAAGATGGAGGTGTGCTGTCACCCATCCTCACGTGGCTGATGAACTTCTTTGTATTCTCGATGTCTCACCCCAGTCTTTGGGCCATGTACTTGGCCCTCTGAGAGTGAGCTGTGGGATGGTACATGTGGGCAGTCCCATCCCACAGCTGCAACAATGATGGGAACTTAGTCATTGTCAATCTCTTACAGTACATCATCAATCAGAGAAGTTTAGAAGACACCGAGTGGGAGCTCTTGCCTCTGAAACTAACCCCATTGATTTTATCTATGAGCCACTGGATCCTGTAAATCCCTATCCAGAGTTTTTCGAGCTGTACAGGAAAATGCTGTCACGGTCCATGATGTCAATTCTGGATGACCACATTAGCCACGATCCACAGCTAGAGGATCCCATGGGCTTCCTGAATGCATACCTGGGCTTCATCAAGTCCTTTTGAGTTGGAAAGAGTAGATTCACTGTATTACCTCCCCTACCCCCTTATCCATTGCGTATTCCACTTAAGAAGAAATGCCCAAAAGAGGTCCTGGCCATCAAACACTGTTCTCTCACAAAGTCCACTTTACTCAAATTGGTGAACAGTATATAGGAAGAAGCCAGCAGGAGCTCTGGCTAAGGTTGACATAATAGTCCACCTCCCATTACTTTGACATCTGATCAAATGTACAGACTTGCCTTTGTTTTTATGTTTCTAGGAAATTCTGATTAGTACTACTATTCACTGATGCAGAAAGACATTCTTTTGCATAAAAGACTGTTTAACACTCTGGACTTTTCTAAAGTATTTAGTAGTGCTAATTTCTGGCCCAGCCCTAATAGGAATTCTGCGGTAAGAATGATGAGAAGGGCCTCCTTCCTTCTCCTCGAATGGCTTTATGCGCACATGCTTTTTAAAAGTTCTTTAAGCAAGACAGAGCTGAGTCTTATTTGTCATACCTTGGGATTTAGTTTCACCAGCTGTTTTTAATTATAAACATAGCATTAAAATAGATATTGGTTTAAATAATGTAGTATTCTTAGTATGATTTAAGACTTATGATTTACCTACATATTATACATATTTGATAAGAATGCTAAATCAATATACCCTTACTCTGCCAGTGAACATAATTAAACATGTTTCATTTCTGAATAAATTTAAGTAGATCCAAACTATTTACTGAATTTACTAAAATCACAGGACATTAAGGACCAGTAGCATCTATGCCAGAGATTTACCGTTATTGCCAGTAAGACCGATTCTAACAGCAAATAACAGTCTGAGACTCCTCATACCTCAGTGCTTAGAAGCATGTCTCTCTTGAGCTACCATAGAGGGGAACGGATGGTTTTGTTGTCCAAGCCACCATATGCAACGTACATTGATTCCTTTATGATGACTGCTTAACTCCCCATTGCCTGTCCCAGAGAAGCTTTCTCATGTAGCTTGGTAATTCCTGTACTTTACAGACAGAAAAGTTCCAGAAACTTTAAGAACAAATTCTGAGAGACCTATGAGCAAATGATGCTGAATACTTTTTTTAAGCCACATTTCACTGTCTTAGTCAAAGCAGGATTATTAAGTGACTATTTAAAATTCATTTTTTAAATTAGCAACTTCAAGTATGGCAACTTTGAGACTGGAATAAGTATTTATTTTCTGTAAATAAAAATGAATTGTGACAAAAAAAATGACAACATACTAGAATCTCTAGGACACAGCTAAGGCAGTGTTAAAAGGGAAATTCATAGCACTAAATACCCACATCAAACTCTTAGAAAGATCTCACATTAACAGCCTAACTTCATAACTGAAAGAATTAGAGAAGCAGGAACAAACCAGCCCCAAAGCTAGCAGAAGATGAGAAATAAAAATAAAAATCAGGCCAGGCACGGTGGCTCACACCTGTAAGTCCGGTACTTTGGGAGGCTGAGGCAGGGGGGT
Organism: Homo sapiens; assembly: GCF_000001405.40. NCBI lineage: Eukaryota > Metazoa > Chordata > Mammalia > Primates > Hominidae > Homo > Homo sapiens. The sequence continues at coordinate 29,089,874 of NC_000003.12, forward strand.
CACCTGATGTTAGGAGTTCAAGACCAGCCTGGCCAACATGGTGAAACCCTATCTCTACTAAAAATACAAAAATTAGCCGGGTGTGGTAGCAGGCACCTGTAATTCCAGCTATTCGGTAGGCTGAGGCAGGAGAATTGCTTGAAGCTGGGAGACAGAAGTTGCAGTGAGCCAAGATTGTATCATTGCACTCCAGCCTGGGGTGACAAGAGCAAGACTTTGTCTCAGAAATCAAAAGTTCAACGAACCCAGGAGCTGGTTTTTTGAAAAAAAAAAAAAGTAGGCCACTAGCTAGACTAATAAAGAAAAAAAAAACAGAAGTTCCAAATAAACACAATTAGAATTTTGAAGGGAATGTTACTACTGACCTCACAGAAATGAAAACAACCATCAGAAACTACTACGAACACCTTTACGCACAAAAACTAGAAAACTTAGAAGAGATGGATAAATTCCGAGACACATACACCCTCCCAAGACTGAGCCAGGAAGAAATTGACTCCCTGAATAGACCAATAATCAGCTCTGAAATTGAATCAGTAATAAATAGCCTAGCAACCAAAAAAAAAAAAAAAAAAAAAGCCCACGACCTGATGGATTCACAGCTGAATTCTATCAGATGTACAAAGAAAAGATGGTATAATTCCTACAGAGACTATTCCCAAAAAATTGAGAAGAGGGACTCCTTTTCAGCTCATCCTATAAGGCTAGCATCATCCTGATACCAAAACCTGGCAGAGACACAACAAAAAATGAAAACTTCAGGCCAATACCTTTGAATAATCGAAACAAAAATCCTCAACAAAATATTTGCGAACTGAATCCAGCAACACATCAAAAAGCTAATCTACCATGATCAAATAGGCTTCATCCCCAGGATGCAAGATTGGTTCAACATATGCAAATCAATAAGTGTGATTCATCACATATACAGAACTAAAGACAAAAACCACATGATTATCTCAATAGACACAGAAAAGGCTTTCAATAAAATTCAACACCCTTCATGTTAAAAACTTTCAATAAAGTAGGTATTGAAGGAACATACCTCAAAATAATGAAAGCCATCTGTTTATTTAGTTGATACTATGTGCTGGGTATATTTCTAAGTGTATGGACACAGCAGTGAACAACATTAAAACAAAGCAAAATAAAACTAAAATGTTCCTACTCTCAGGGAGAGTTTAAGGAACTTGCCTGAAGTCACAAAGCTCCTAAATGACAGAGCTGGAATTGAAACCTAGACTGTGTGACTCTATAGCCTATGCTCTTCACTACTAAGCTGTGGTGCCTTTCTTTTAAAAAATTAATTAACTTTATTTTTAGACCAATTTTGGTTTTACGGAAAAATTGAGTGGAAATTACAAAGAATTCTGAATCCATTCACTGCTCAATCATGTTTCTTGACTTTTGATGCAGAAAGCAATGGAAAATGAATAAAACACTAGTATACCTAAAGAAAATCCCCTCCCTTTTCTCTGTACTTGCATTACAATAAAGTAAGTGAAAATTTCCATCATCCTAAGTTATTCATTCATTCTTTCCACACGTACTTATAGAACCTCTCCCATGTGTCAGGCTACTCAAAAAGAATGATGAATAAACTGACATGAACCCTGACCTTATAGAGTTTATGGTAGAATATAAACCTTGGCGGAGACAATATCGGAAATGAATGTCTAATTACAAAAGACAGAAACATTAAAAGACAATGTGGCAAACAGTTTTAAAGTCCAAGTTCTTTTTGAGGGAGTAATAGTTCAGTGACACCTGGAGGATGAAGAAAAGTTAACCTTGCAAAGAAAAGAGGAAAGGACATTTCAGGGAGGGGATCACCACACACACAGTTACTGAGGAGGTTAAGAATTCGAAGGTTTCAAAGTATAAAGAGCTGAGTTGGTAAAGGAAATGAAAAATGACTGGACTGAGAGATAGGAAAAAAGCCAGGAGAATTTGTTGTCACAAGAATCAAGAGAAGTATGATCACATAAGGTCAAGTAAGTTTAAGATTTTTTAAGAGGTCCATTGGAGGATGTTTGTGACCTTTCATTTTTTGATATCAGCATTAACACAAGGGCTGTTTTAAATGGCTTTCTAAAAAATTTCAAGTGCATGTTTTCCTATCAAGAACTGTGTTCTCAAGGTTCTGAGTAAAGAAGTGTCTAGTTAATGGCCGATGAGAAAGTCATCATAGGTGTGTGTAGATAATATTTAAAAGCAGTTGAATATGCAAGGAAGAGAGAACAGTCAGTAGAAATGAAGGTGCATTCAGGGAGTTCTTCTTTCCTTTGCTTGAGACCAATTAGAGAAAATTAAAATGCTGTTTTCAGAAATCTAACAGAGAGGGAGAGGCTGAAAATGCAAGTAGGAGGAGATAACTGAGGTGGTAGAAATGTTAGTATCTGGATAGCCATACAGGGAAAGGCCTCTGCTAGAAGAAGCCTCACTTACTCCAAGGTTGTTAGAAGGAAAAAGAAAAGATGAGCAAAGATTTAGGTCAGTTGTATATTTGATGACAATATCAATTATGATTTTTAGGAAGCGTGCAGTGCACATTTAATATAGAATGAGAAAGGGTAGGAGTTGGGGAGAAAGAGAGGTCAGGTCCTTGAAGTCAGTAAAGGATGGTTGTGGAGAGTGGGAAAGTGAACTTAGAGAAACGGTAAGTATGCCAACCAGTGTTGGGTAACCACTTGAACTAACAACCAGGAATTTATAGTGAGATCAGCAAATTAGAATCGAGTTTCCTTGGGCCTAGAGCTGAAATGGGAGTAGTTTACATACAGTTTCTCTCTCAAATATCTTGATATTATATCCAGGGCTGGTCCAATGTTTCTACAGTTATTAAGAGCCCAGGCCCATTCTGTTTTGGCACTCTGCTTTCTCCATCATTTGACTTCCATTTCATGGCAAAGATGGTTTTCTGTTCCAATCAGCAAGAAGGGGAAAGAGACAAATAGAGTACATCTACCCATCTTTTAAATTTGTCGGCGAGTGAGATGATTGAATTAATCACTTTGGAAACTGAGCAGGTGAGGTGTTGAAAAGTCTAGGATCAGCTGGGCACAGTGGCTCACACCTGTAATCTCAGCCCTTTGGGAGGCCGAGATATGGTGAAACCCCATCTCTACTAAAAACACAAAAATTAGCCAGGCATGGTGGCACATGCCTGTAGTCCCAGCTACTCGGGAGGCTGAGGCAGAAGAATCGCTTGAACCCAGGAGGCAGAGGTTGCAGTGATCCGAGATCATGCTACTGCACTCCAGCCTGGGTGACAGAGTGAGACTCTGTCTCAAAAAAAATAATAATAATAATAATAATAATTCTAGGACCTTACTGTGGGAATGAGGTGGCAGGAGAAAAAGTCATTGGAGATGAGGAAGTCAAGGATGGAAAATCCAAATTATTAGTGTTATTCCTGTGGAATATGATATCCAGATTGATAGCCAGATTTAGGGAATAGAGAGACTTGTGCTGTTCTTCGTAATTTTTTTCTTAATTTCTATTTAAATAGCTTTGAGGTACAAGTGTTTTTTGTTATGTGGATGAATTATATAGTGGTGAATTCTGAGATTTTTAGTGCACCTGTAATTTGAGTAGTGTACATTATACCCAATGTGTAGGTATTTTTTCTTCCTAACCCACCTTTCCCTCCTCCCACTTCTGAGTCTCTAAAGTCTATTATATAACTCTGTATGCTTTTGCATACTCATAACTTAGCTCCCACTTATAAGTGAGAACACAGTTTTTGGTTTTTCCACTCTTGTGTTACTTCACTTAGAATGATGGCCTCCAGCTCCATCCAAATTGCTGCAAAAGACATTATTGTGTTCTTTTTCATGGCTGAATAGTATTCCATGGTGTATATATATCACATTTTCTTTATCCACTCATTAGTCAATGAGCACTTAGGTTGGTTCCACATCTTTGCAGTTGTGAATGGTGATGCTACAAACATGTGTGTGCCAGAGTCTTTTTCATATAGACTTCGTTTTTGGGGGTTTGATACCCAGCAGTAAGATTGCTGAATCCAGCAGTAGATCTACTTTTAGATCTTTAAGGAATTTCCATACTGTTTTCCATTAGGTTGTACTAATTTATATATTTCTACCAGCAGTGTATAAGCTTTACTTTTCATCATATCTGTGCCAACATCATTGTTTTTTGACTTTTTAATAATGGCTATTCTGAGTGGTATGCATCTCGCTGTGGTTTTAATTTGCATTTCCCTGATGATTAGTGATATTGAGCATTTTTTTCATATTTTTGTTGGCCATTTATACATCTTCTTTTGAGAAGTGTCCATTTATGTCATTTGCCTACTTTTTAATGAAATTATTTGATTTTTTTTCTTGCTGATTTGAGTTCCTTGTATATTCTGTATATTATGTATGTATTCTATATATTATATTCTGCATATTCCTTTGTCAATTGTATAGTTTACAAATATTTTCTCTCATTCTGTGGGTTTTCTGTTTACTCTCCTGATTATTTATTTTGCAGTGCAGAAGCTTTTTAGTTTAATTAGGTCCCATTTATTTATTTTTATGTTTGTCGTATTTGCTTTTGGGATCTTAGTCATAAATTCTTGCCTAGGCTTATTTCTAGAAGAGTTTTTGCAATGTTGTCTACTAAAATTTTTATAGTTTCAGGTCCTATGTTTAAGGTTTTGATCCATCTTGAGTTGATTTTTGTATAAAGTGAGAGATATAGGAATCCAGTTTCATTCTTCTACATGTGGCTTGCCAGTTTTCCCAGCACCGTTTATTAAATAGCGAGTCCATTCCTGAATTTATGTTTTTGTATGCTTTGTTGAAAATCAGCTGGCTGAATGTATTTGGCTTCATTTCTGGGTTCTCTATTCTGTTCAATTGGTCTACCTGCCTACTTTCATGCCAGTACTATGCTGTTTTGGTAACTATAGCCTTGCGGTGTTACTTGAAGTCTCATAATGTGATACCTCCAGATTTGTTCATTTTGCTTAGGATTGCTTTGGCTATTTCGGCTCTTTTGTGCTTCCATATGAATTTTAGGAGTGTTTTTTCTAATTCTGTGAAGAATAAAGTTAGTATTTTGATAGGAATTGCATTGAATTTATAGATTGCTTTGGGTAGTATGGCCATTTTCATAATACTGATTCTTTCAATCCATGAGCATGGTATTGTTTGTGTCATCTATTATTTCTTTCAACAGCATTTTGTAGGTCTCCTTGAAGAGAACTTTTACCTCCTTGGTTAAGTATATTCCTAGGTGTTTTGTTTTGTTTTTTGTTTTTTTCAGCTGTTGAAAAAAGAGTTCTTGGTTTGATTCTCAGCTTGGTCATTGTTGGTGTATAGCAGTGCTACTGATTTGTGTACATTGACTTTGTAATTTGAGATTTTACCAAATTTGTTTATCAAATCTAAGAGTCTTTTTGGAGGAGTTTTTAGGGTTTTCTAGGTATACAATCATATTATCTGCAAACAGTGATAGTCTGACTTCCTCTTTTCCAATTTGGATGCTTTTTCTTTCCTTCTTTTGACTAATTGCCCTGGCTAGGACTTTCAGAACTATATTGAATAGGAATGGTGAAAGTGGGCACCACTGTCTTGTTCCTGTTCTCAGGGGGAATGCATTCAACTATTCCACATTTAGTGTAATGTTGGCTGTGGTTTTGTCATATATGGCTTTTATTCTTTTGAGGTAGGTTCCTTCTATGCCTAGTTTGTTAAGAGTTTTATCATAAAGTGATGCTGGATTTTGGTGAATGCTTTTTCTACATCAATTGAGATTATTATATGGCTTTTGTTTATAATTCTGTTTATGTCATGTATCACATTTATTAACTTGCTTATTTTAAACCATCCCTGCATCCCTGGGATGAACCCCATTTGATCATTATGTATTATGTTTTTTATGTGCTGTTGGATTTGGTTAGCCAGTATTTTGGTGAAGATTTTTGCATCTATGTTCATCAGGGAAATTGGTCTGTAGTTTTTCTTTTTTGTGTGTGCCGTTTCCTGGTTTTGGTACTAGGGTGATACTAGCTTCCTAGAATGATTTAGGGGGCATTCCTTCTTTCTCAACCTAATTTCAGTAGGATTGGTAGCAATTTTTCTTTGAATGTCTGGAAGAATTCAGTTATGAATCTATCTGGTCCTGGGCTTTTTTTGTTGGCAATTTTTAAGTTACTGTTTTGATCTTGCTACTTGTTATTGGTCTGTTCAGGCTTATATTTGTTTCTGTTTCAATCCAAGAAGTTTGTACGTTTCCAGGAACTTGGATATTTTCTCTAGGTTTTCGAGTTTGTGCACATAAAGGTGTTCATAGCAGTCTTGAATGACCTTTTGTATTTCTGTAGTGTCGGTCTATTGATTTTGTTTATTTTTTCAAAGAACCAGCTTCTTGTTTCATTGATCTTCTGTATTTTTGTTTGTTTGTTCAATTTCATTTAGTTCTCTTCTAATTTTGTTATTTCTTTTCTTCTTCAAGCTTTCGGTTTAGTTCTTGTTTCTCCAGTTCCTTGAGGTGTGACATTAGGTTGTCAATCTGTCCTCTTTGAGACTTTTTGATGTAGGCATTTAGTGCTATAAACATTCCTCTTAGCACCACTTTTGCTGTGCCCCTGAGGTTTTGATAACTTGTGTCATTATAATAATACAGTTCAAAGAATTGTTTAATTTCTATCTTGATTTCATTGTTAGCCCAGATATCATGCATGAGCAGATTATTTAATTTCCATGTATATTTGTATAGTTTTAAGGGTTCCTTTTGGAGTTGATTCTAGTTTTATTCTATTGTGTTCTGAGAAGATACTTGATATAATTTCAATTTTTAAATATTTGTTGAGACTTATTTTGTGGCTTATCCTATGGTCTATCTTAAAGAATGTTCCATGTGCTGATGAGAAGAATGTATATTCTGCAGATCTCGGCAGAATGTTCTGTAAATATCTGTTAAGTCCATTTGTTCTGGTGTGTCTCATTTAAGTCTAATGTGTCTCTGCTGACTTTGTGTCTCAAAGATCTATCTAGTTCTGTCAGTGGTGTACTGAAGTCTTCCACTATTATTGTTTTGCTGTCTATCTCATTTTTTTAGGTCTAGTAGTAATTATTAATCTGGGAGTTCCAGTGTTTGGAGCACATAAATTTAGGATTGCAATATCTTCTTGTTGAATTGATCCTTTCATTATTATATAGTGACTGTCTTATTGGTTATTGTTTTATAGGCCCTGTGAGATTTAAGCTTTCAAGAGGTTCTAGTTTGGTGCATATCAGGCTTTTGTTTCAAGGTTTAGAACTTCTTTAAGCATTTCTTATAATGCTGTTTTGGTAGTGACAACTTCTCTCAACATTTGTTTGTCTGAAAATAACTTTATTTCTCCTTTATTTATGAAACTTAGTTTTGTGGATACAAAATTCTTGGTAGACAGTTGTTTTGTTTATGAAGATAGGACCCAAATCCTTTCTAGATTGTAAGGTTTCTTCTGAGAAGTCTGTTGTTAGTCCGATAGGTTTTTCTTTGTAGGTTTCTTGATATTTTTGTCTTACTGCTCTTAAAATTCTTTCCTTCATGTTGACTTTAGATAGCCTCATGAGTATATGCTTTGGTGAAGATCTTTCTACAGTGAATTTCCCAGGAGTTCTGTGAGCTTCTTGGATTTTGATGTCTAGATCCCTAGCCACAGCAGGGAAGTTTTCCTCAATTACTCCCTCAAATAAGTTTTCCAGACTTATTTTTTTCTTTTCCCTCAGAAACATCAATTATTCTTAGGTTTGGCCATTTTACATAATTGCATATTTCTTGGAGACTTTGTTCACTTCTTTTGGTTCCTTTTTATTTACTTTTGTCTGATTGTATTAATTCAAAAGCCTGTATTTGAGCTCTGAAATTCTCTCCTCCACTTGTTCTAGTCTACTCTTAACACTTTCCACTGCATTTTGTAATTTCCTCACTGTGTCTTTCATTTCCAGAACTTCTAATTGGTTTTTCTTGATGATATCTAGCTCTCTAGAAAATTTTTCATTCACATTTCGAACTGCTTTTAAAATTTTCTTTAAGATGGTTTTTGCCTGTCTCTGATATCTCCTTGAGTACCTTAATAATTGATCTTCTGAATTTCTTATCTGGTGTTTCAAAGATTTCATCTTGGTTTGGGTCCATTGCTGGAGAGCTAGTGTGATCTTTTGGGGGTGTTATAGCACCCTATTTTCTCATATATTCAAAGGTTTTTTTGTTCCTTCTCATTTGGATAGACTATTTCTTCTAATTATTCTTGAATATATGTTAGATTTGACTGTGCTTCTTTTTTTTTGTTTGTTTTTAAATTTATTTTTTCCCTTAAAGATGATACCTTAATACTTATAGTTAATTATAGCCTAATTTGGTTCTTGGTGCTTTCAGGGGTGAAGACTCTGTAGAGTTCCTTGGTTATAGAAGAGTCTTTGTACGATGGCTTTCCCATATGCTGGTTGTAGTAGCAATCAATGCACTCAATGTATGAGCAAGTTCACTATCTCCTATGGTTTGGAATGGTAGAGGTCTCTTAAAGCTTATCTCATTCCTTGATGGTATGTACTTTTTTATTTACTTACTTTCCCCCACTATTGTATTTACTGTTTGATGGTTTAGGCTTCAGGCCAGTAGGGGAGGTGTCCCTATGTAGGAACCAACTGTGGCTAAAGCAGGTGGGTAAATGAAGTCCCAGCCTTGACAGAGGTGGCTAGAGGAACTCTCAGTGAGTTGCACTGAGGTCGTATCAGAGAGAAGGGTTGGAGCCACCTCAGTTCCCCTTCCAGGTAAGCAGGAAAGTTATCCACCTCACAGACACACTCCTGTCCCAGAGCTCTGGCTATTCAGATCAGACAGGCCCCTCTTTTCTTCTGTAGGGATGTTGATGTTCCAAGTAGAGAGGAACTGTGACTCTGTTTCTCAGGCAAGCTTGACCCTGGAGGGTGCTCCTGTGGGAATGCAGTCACCCTGATGTGTTACAGAAAGGTTGTCTATGGTCGCATCCTTGCCGAGCTCCTGTGGGAAAAATCCCAACTGTGCCTTCAGTGGTGGACAAGCAGGGACAAGCGGGTCTTCTTCTCCAAGACTTTCACACGCACCAGGGATGTCTGACTGTTGGGACAGAGCTGAAGACTTCCCTTACTGAGCCCAACTGCCTCTGCTGAAAGAAGCTTCCCACCAGTGGAAGGATCTGATGCTCAAGGCCTGCCATCCAGATTCCTTTGACTCATAAGATGTTCCCTTGATGTAGTTAACTCCCTCTTCCCCTGGGAGTGGGCATCCCTGGAAGCTAGACTATTGTGAGTGTTGTTGCTCCTCTGGGTCAAGCCGAAGTTGCCACACTCCGGGCTCACACTAGGAAAAGCTTGCAAATGATCTGGTGATGTGACCTGTCCTCAAGCTTCCCAGCAGTGAGTAGCAGCACCAGCTCTAATGGGGATGGCAGGGGAGTGATGTAGACTCTGAAATTCCTTGGTTATTGATAGCTTTAGTATGTTGGCTTTCTTGAATGCTGGTTATATTAGTAATAAACTGGTCACTGGTCACATGGACAGACTCAGGACCTCCTGGTTAACGAGAGTGGTATAAGCAGTGGTGACAGCTGATATTGTGCAGCTGTTTTCTCCTTCCTGGGCACAGTGTTATTCTTTCAGGAGATACTACAATGGACTGTGTTCGTTGGCCTCCAGCCAGGAGGTGGCAGTTTCAAAAGAGCCCCAGCTGTGGTAGCAGTGGGATTTTTTGCTCGCCTTATATTGCCTGGGGTGGGTCCTCTGTTTTCTCAGGCAATGGTCAGAGCCACATAGCTCCCAAGAGATTCTGTCCTTTGTGTTAAGCTACCAAGACAAGTGGCCAGATGGGGTCTGGGTCAGGCAGGTTTGTGCTCTGAGTCTCCACATGAGGGCAAACAGCTGCCCCTGTGTGTGTTGGGGGATGGGAGTGGTTCTCAGGTCATTGGGTTGATGATGTTCCAGAAGGGAGCATTGCTGCCTTTATTGCATAGAAGAATCTGCACAAGGAGTGGGGAGTAGCAGGCGGTGGTAAGCCCCACACAGTTCCCACACACTTGGTGAGGCCAATTCACTCTCACAGTGTTCCACTGGCAGCAGCAAGCTGAGTTCTAGTCAGCCTGTATTCAGAACTCCCAACTGCCTTGAGTCATAAGCTTTCCCAGTGAAGATAGCAATGGAGCTTTCAGGCCACCCACCTTCCCCTCCCTGTTGGCTGCAAAGCTGGGTGCCTGGCTATTGCAGTTGCAACTCCTGCACTTTTGCCCCTTTTCACTCTCCCTTGCCCTGGCCCTGGCCAAGGGAGTTGGTCTCACTCGAGGTTATATCATGAAATCCTGTTGGGGGCTTCTTTCAACCTGCAACCACTGCCTGAACATTTTGGCTGTCCTCCACAGGGTCCCCTGTGAAGAATAAGGAATGGTTGTCCTCAGTTGATGCCGGTATCTGGGAGTGCATGCAAGGGTCTTCCCGCTACTGCTCCTACTTTTATATTCCAGGACCCTCCCCAGGTCGGTTCCTGTGCTGACTGGAGTTATGGCCTTCCCCCATAGCCTGGACTTTCAGGATCTCTGGTGGGAGGTGTGTATCCTGAAGGCAGAGTCCCCCTCTCACACTCTGGGGACTCATAGCCTTTAGCCTGACTCACAGCATATGCTGCAGCCTCCTGCTTCCTTCACAGTGTCTGTAGATTCCTTTGGTTTTCCTGTAGGTTCCTGTGTCACTTTTGGAAAAAAAGTTCACAATGTGAATCTCTGCACAGTATTTTGTCCTCTTAAGTGGGAGAATTATGCTAGCAATGCCTCTAATCAGCCATCTTGAAAAAAAAAAAACCTATTTTTTAAATAATTTTTATACTTTGGAAGATCCAAATGTAATTCTGGTTATCTTCACAAATACGATGTTTATTTTACTTTAATGCTTTACTTAAATTATAAAGTATGCACATAGTGCAAAATATTCCAACTACATAGAAAGTTATACATTTAAAAGCCCAAAAGCCTTTTGGTTCTTCACCTTTCCATTCCTAGTGCCACACTTTAGAGACAATTGTGTTTAAATCTGTCCAGAGTCTCCTTGGTGGTTAATCCAAAAATTTAATATGTTATACTAATTTCTATGTTTGTTTTTAACCTTTATATAGTATCTGTTGACTTCATGTTAAGAAAAATTGAGAATTTAGCAGTTATAATTCTAACAACCTCCTTTACCCCCCATGCTTCCTGATTTTGTTAGTAATATTATTATTTTTGTTTTAAAACACTTAACCTCTATTTCTTGATCCTAAACTTTGAACAGTTCTACTACATAATATAAGCAGTTTAGTGTTCCTCCCTGATCCTTCTCTCATCATCTTTCACCTCCTACTACTAGGCTTAACATGTCAAAATTTCTGTGTTTTAAATCTTGTTCTATAATTATAATTCTTCAAGGATTTATCCATAAGTTGATATTAAACTTAGAAAATTTTATAAATAGAATTTATAATAGTATGATTATATTAATCTTAGGATTAAAATGAAAAGTAGAATGTCTAATCTCATGGAATGAAATCTGTGTTCTTCTGAAAGACAGTTTTTACACAACACTCCAACTTCCTAATCTAAATTAAAATGCCTAGTGTTTAGGCCTGTGGTTCGACGGCCATTCTGTCTTTGTTGTTATTTTTAATTTCATTTCTAAAGTAATTCCATTGTTTCTGAGATGTCATAATTTCTCTCTCCTATATTTGTCTCAGTTTGCTAAAGTCAATTTTTAATATTTTTGTTTTTAATATGAGAAAGAAAAGATGGAAAATAAATTTTCAGAATTCTTTCATGTAACTCTCAATGAACAGTTGTTATTGCTCCATTTTTTTCCCTAACATAAAATGTTTATAATGAGAAAGAATTTTGATGCCATTTTTATTCTTATTCCTTTATAGGTAACATGCTCTTTTTTTTTTTTTTTTTTTTCCCCAGGAAGATTTAGGACATTTTTCTAGTGGAGTGCTAACATCTTATCAAGAAGTGTATGCCCAAAACTTTTCTTGTTGATTTTGAAGAGTTGAGATGAATTTTCTTTGTTGATTTTTTTCATTCACTTCTCTTTGAATAATTTTCTTCTTTCCCTTCATTTTCTTCATTCGCTTCTCTTTGAATAATTTTTAAATTAGGTTTTGGATATTCTGAATCTGTCTACCATGTCTCTAAATGTTTCTCTAAAATTTCCCTTCTCTTTATCTTTTTAGACTATGTTCTACTTTTCTTTGCATTTATGTAACCTATTATTAACATGTCCTTCAGCTGTGTCCATTCCATTATTCAGTCTCTAGTTGATCTGTTATTTTGTGATCATTTTATTCATTTTCAGGATCTCATTTATTCTTTTAAGTGATCCTTTTTAATAGTTGCCTTTTTGTAGATGACTATTTCCTCATATTTCTCTAAGGAAAGAAGCATTTTTTTTAAAGCTTTTTGTGTTTGTTTTTTACATTACATTTACTATCTTCTGGGACAATGTTTCTATTGCCTACTTTTGTTTTTCTCTTTGAATTTGTGAATTTTCTTCAAATACTAAATGAATCTTGGTTGCCTATTCATAATTATAAATGAAGAATACATTGGTTAGTGTAAATAACTGGTCTGCATTTCATGTACAGCTGTGGAGTGGTTGTCCCAAAGCTTTATACTCTGAAATAGAAGGCCGATTCTATATAAAATAAGGGACCTGTCAATGTGCAGATTTCCCTTTAGACTATGTGGACAGGAAGTATATTGTCAGGCCCAGCACCACTGTTGTTACCAAGCTAAAGAACATTTTATTTTGAGGTATTATTCATCACAATTCTTAGGTGCAAAAGAAAAAACTCACTTCAGTTAGTTGAATCAGGAAGGAATTTATTAAGAGATGTTAAATAATTCACCTAGCTATTGAGAGAATTGGAGGATTAGTTTCTAGAAGAAACTGTCAGATAAAAAAACAAAAACAGTTGACAGAACCTCATTGAAGAACTGACCCAACTAGAGAACTCACAAAAGGTCACTTGTTCCCTAGAACCTCTCTCCTTCTGCTGCCTCCCACAGCCGCAGAACAGATGCCCTCTGCCCAGCCTGCTGCCTTATGTGGGTCACTTCCAGATCAAAGTTTTGTATGGATACAACTGATTGGGGTAACTAACATTACCTGTCTTCATTCTAGTTGCGATGGAGACTAGGAAATAAAGACTTTAAAAATTGTACTTCAGGTAGCAGTATTCACAGTGTGGGGAACCATCAAAAGCAGAGAGTACTCAAAAGATTCAGAGCAGTCACAAGTGTCAGAGATCCCCTATGTGGAAAAACATACTTGAGTCTATTTCCATCTTCTGGTCCAGGTGCTCTTCCTTTTAACTGCACTGATCCAGTGACTTTATACCTGGCTTTATACCTGTCTCTAGTCCTAAAATACACATGAATGGTCCCCTTACCGATAAATCTTTCTCATTAGAAAGCCTACCTGAAGCTTGAGATTCATTGCTACTGCCAACTGAACAGAATATGAAATTGAAGGCATTGACCAGCTCCAGCTGTGCAAAGGAAATCCTTTAACTAATTATCCTAATTCTCAGCCCTGGTCCACTTGTGCTCTCTGTGCCTGCTGATTCCAAGGATGTGAGGGGGAGGTCCACCAGAAAGCAGTATGTCCACCTTCACTGCAGCCTCTTTTAACTATTTTCTCTGATCTGATTTATGCATCCATAAGGCCCATCTAACTGCTATCTTCCAGAAATTAGTCAACATTTCTGTTTGGCTGATTGCATACTTCTTTTTTCTGTGCTCTTACAGATGAATTATCTTTGCATGTCCTTGTTATCAATTCATTGGTTCTTTAAAAGGAATCTGAGGTAAATGTGGCTGTTAAGACACTATTTTGTTACAATGTTTAGTTCATATTTTAGATAAGGAAAAGCAAAGAAAATCTTATAGCCAGTGCCCCTCTCTGTTCTCTGCCCCGTGTTTAATATATATTGCCTACACTGGGGGCTGGCCAACTTTTTCTATAAAGGGTCAGATGCAAATATTTTGGGCTTTACTGATAGTAAGGTCTCTGTCCTAACTATTCAAATCTGCTGTTGTAGGGCAAACACAGCCGTAGACAATATATGAAGAGACAAGTGTGGCTGTGTTCAATAAAAGTTTATTTACAAAAACAGGTGGCAGGCCAGATTTGCCCAACAAAGCATGACTTTCCCACCCCTGGTTTTCGTGAAAGGAGCTGAAGAAGAATATGCTGACAGTTTCAGCATGAAACAAGGAATGAAGTATTTGGGGATGCATCTAAGTTACTCATATTGAGTAACTTGCTTCAACTCTCAATCTCTCATTGTCTATAGATATTAAAGAAATTTTAATTGGAAAAATGTAGATTTAAAAACATAGCATCATACCCACAAAATACTTTGTTTTACTGTTTTCTTGTACCAATGAATGATAATTTCTATAGGGCTTCTTGTGACTTTGCTCTTTACAAAATGAAAGCAGCTTTTAAACAGCATTTTCTAGTGTAAAACACCCTAATATCAGAAATATTTTCCTCAGAAATTAGCATGTTTACATGCAAAGGAGAAGAAAGGTAAAAATCTCCAAAATTAACTTTAGAAAACCAGAATTGTATGTCATACATACATGGTAAATTAGCATGTGAAGAGAGCACAAAAATGAATGGTGATACACAATCACTTTCATCTCATTTTTTCTTAAATGAAATGCATATTGAAACATGGAGTCAGGAAGAGGACATAAATGTGTAGAGTAGCTATAATATAAAATATTTTAAAGTTGAAATGGATCAGAAAGATGCTGAAAACATACTTTCTCCACACATTTACTAAGGTGGATTTGTGACCACAAGCAGATTATATTTCCCTCTTTCATTTTATTCATGCAATACTTGAACACCAATAAACAATCCCTTTAACTTCGATGTTCAGCTTGACATTTGTGTATGCAAACTGGAGAGAGAAAAATGCAGCTCTGAAGGTGTGTTAGAAGGACAGTGAACCTTAGGAGGTAGGAATTGAGCCTCTAAGGGAAGGAAAATATGTTCTGCAGGGCTGATTCTCCATGCTTTGTCAGTTGCTTCTATTGCTGTTGAGGCAGGTGACTCTCTTTGGGTGCTACTTATAAATGAGAAGTTTTCACTCATCACTGCCACTGCAGTGCTACCTCTTTGCTTTGCAGCCAGGCCTTCTCTCACATTCCTCTCTCAAACATCACTAATAACTTTCCAACTGGCAACTCCAAGGGATTTGACTTCTTTTTTTCTTTTTCTTGTTTACATCTGTTTAAGATTTATTTCATTAACCACAATGTTTTAGAATGATAGTATATACCGAAATACAGATGGAGTGATTCAAAATCCACCAAGAGTTAAAGGTCAAGAACCAAAGTCAGTGGCATTTGTATCCCAGGTCAATAAGAGTTTTCATCCACCATTTTGTTTTTCTTGGGTTAATGAGTTGACATACAAAACGCTGTGTTCTGAGCTCACCATGACTTCTGACAAACAAGCACCACCGGGGCAAAGTGCTTCATTTTTATTCTGCCTGTGCTTCTTCTTTCTTGACCGCTATGTGGTATATGAAGTTTCCCTTAAAAACTTAAATCTTTGATTCCTAAACACTTGTGTTTTTGTTTTCTTCCTAATTCTTTTCCTACTCTATGAATCAATTACCTAGAATTCTTCCATACTCTTCCTATCCTTTAAGGGTTTAGCCCACTTTAATGCTCACTTATGGACAGAATTACATAATGATTCTGAGCATAGATGTCTGAGCCCGATGGCATGGCTTTAAATCCCAGTTTGGCCAGTCATTGTCTGTGTGACCATGGGTAAGTTCCTTAACCCTTTATGCCTCAGTTTCTTCAACTTTAGAATGGGCCAATAATAATGTTTACCATGAATATGAAGTTTATGAAGTTCTACTGATAAAAATATGTAAAGCAGGGTTTTCCATGTTATAACGTGCAGACAGATCAAATGGAATTCTGGATGAAATGCAAATTCTGATTCAGTAGTTCAGGGATGGAGCTTTGGAGTCTGTTTCTATTATTCCCAAGTGATGCTGATGCTTCTGGTGTGCAGACCACTGCAAGTAGCAATAAGGAAAAGTGTTTAAAACCAAGCTGGGCACTACAGAAGCGTTAGCATCATCATCATTGTCATTCTCATAATCATCACAGTCAATATCATGCTCCTCTGTCCTTGAAACATTCTCTTCTCTTAGTGATCTCATGCATTTCCTTAGTATCATCCTACAAGAAGGAAAGCTTTGTGAGTGCAGGAATCTTATTAGTCTTGTTATATCTAAATGCTTAGTAAATATTTGTTGGAAAAAGAAAAAGGAAGGAGAGGAGGCAGGAAAGTAGGATAATATTTCATGTGAATAACTCCTAGTGTTTATCAACAGGTCTTCTCTCCTTAATTCCACTCCAACACCACCTACTCTGCTAAATGTCTCTATCTGAAAGTCCCCCAGGCAACTCATATTTAATCCTTACAAAACTGTTGTGGTATCTGCTCTAGTCTTTCGTCTGTCCATATCTCTTTTCTCCAAATCTGTTACTATCTTCTGTGTTTCTTTTCATGCTACACCCACATTTTTCTTTCTTTTGTTACTACCATTTTTCTAAAAAAAAAAAAAGTCCTCCTCCAGTCTTCACCTGTCAAGACAATAAATTTTCTTGATGGCTTCCTCAAGGAATCTTCCTGTATGCCCCAATTAATGTGTAGTCTCAATACCCTGAAACCAATAATATTGCAGGTAGTACCTCTCTCATGACCCGCATCTATTAATATTTGATTGTTGTTAAGGCGGTAGCAGTGCTACCCAACTTCAGTCATGCACATGCTGCCTCTATGATTTTGATAAATTTCTCCCTGTACAATCTGTTATTGTCACTTTTATCAAAGATATTTGCACATACAAAAATCAGTAGCATGTGTATATGCCAACAGTGAACAATCTCAAGGAGAAATCAAGAAAGCAATCCAATTTACAACAGCTACAAAAAATATAAAATATTTGGGAATCAACCTAACTAAAGAAGTGAAAGATCTATACAAGGAATACTATAAAACACTGAGGAAAGAAATAGAAGAGGACATTTAAAAAATGGGAAGCTATGTCATGCTCGAGGACTGGAAGAATAAATATTGTTAAAATGACAGTACTACCCAAAGCAATTTAAGGATTCAATGCAGTGCCTAACAAAATACCAATGACATTCTTCACATAAATAAGAAAAAAATCCTAAAATTTATATGGAACCATGAAAGACCCTGAATAGCCAAAGCAATCCTGAGCAAAAAGGACAAAGCTAGAGGCATCATACTAACTGACTTTGAAATTTATGACAAAGATATCGTAATCAAAATGGCATGGTACTGGCATAAAAACAAACATTATAGACCAATGGAGTAGAATACAGAACACATATATAAATTGATGCATTTACAACCAACTCATCTTCAACAAATGTGCCAAGAATTTATAATAGGGAAAGGACAATCTTTTCAGTAAACGATTCTGGGAAAACTGGACAACCATATGCAGAAGAATGAAACTAGATCTCTCTCTCTCTTTCTCTCTCTCTCTCTCTCTGTCTCTCCATACAGAAAAATAAAGTTTAAATAGATTAAAGATTTGAATCTAAGATGTGAAACTATAAAACTACTAGAAGAAAACATCAGGGAAATGCTCCAGGATGATGTTCTGGGCTTGTGTAAGATCTAAAAGCACAGAAAACCAAAGCAAAAATAGACAATTAGAATTACTAAATGCTAAAAAGCATTTTCACGCAAAGGAAACAATCATCAAAGTGAAAAGGCAACACACAAAATGGGGGAAAATATTTGTAAACTACTCATCTGACAAGAGATTAATAACCAGAATATAGAAGCAGCTCAAGCAACTCAGTACCAAAAAATAAAAATCTGATTTAAAAATGGGCAAAAGATCTGAGCAGACATTTCTCAAAGAAGACATACAGTTGGCCAACAGGTTTATGAAAAAAATAGTCAACATCCCCAATCATTTGAGCAATGCAAATCAAAATCACAATGCAATATTATCTCATTCCAGTTAAAATGGCTTTATTAAAAAAGAAAGGCAATAACAGATGCTGGTGGAGAAAGGGGAACCCTCTTTCACTGTGGGTGGTAATAAAAATCAGTACAGCCACTATGGAGAACAGTATGGAGGTTCTTCAAAAAACTAAAAATAATTGCCCTGGCCAGAACTTCCAACACTATGTTGAATAGGAGTGGTGAGAGAGGGCATCCCTGTCTTGTGCCAGTTTTCAAAGGGAATGCTTCCAGTTTTTGCCCATTCAGTATGGTATTGGCTGTGGGTTTGTCATAGATAGCTCTTATTATTTTGAGATACGTCCCATCAATACCTAATTTATTGAGAGTTTTTAGCATGAAGGGTTGTTGAATTTGTCAAAGGCCTTTTCTGCATCTATTGAGATAATCATGTGGTTTCTGTCTTTGGTTCTGTTTATATGCTAGATTACATTTATTGATTTGCATATATTGAACCAGCCTTGCATCCCAGGGATGAAGCCCACTTGATCATGGTGGATAAGCTTTTTGATGTGCTGCTGGATTCGGTTTGCCAGTATTTTATTGAGGATTTTTGCATCAGTGTTCATCAAGGATATTGCTCTAAAATTCTCTTTTTTGGTTGTGTCTCTGCCAGGCTTTGGTATCAGGATGATGCTGGCCTCATAAAATGAGTTAGGGAGGATTCCCTCTTTTTCTATTGATTGGAATAGTTTCAGAAGGAATGGTACCAGTTCCTCCTTGTACCTCTGGAAGAATTCGGCTGTGAATCCATCTGGTCCTGCACTCTTTTTGGTTGGTAAGCTATTGATTATTGCCACAATTTCAGAGCCTGTTATTGGTCTATTCAGAGATTCAAATTCTTCCTGGTTTAGTCTTGGGAGAGTGTATGTGTCGCGGAATTTATCCATTTCTTCTAGATTTTCTAGTTTATTTGCGTAGAGGTGTTTGTAGTATTCTCTGATGGTAGTTTGTATTTCTGTGGGATCTGTGGTGATATCCCCTTTATCATTTTTTATTGCGTCTATTTGATTCTTCTCTCTCTTTTTCTTTATTAGTCTTGCTAGTGGTCTATCAATTTTGTTGATCCTTTCAAAAAACCAGCTCCTGGATTCATTGATTTTTTGAAGGGTTTTTTGTGTCTCTATTTCCTTCAGTTCTGCTCTGATTTTAGTTATTTCTTGCCTTCTGCTAGCTTTTGAATGTGTTTGCTCTTGCTTTTCTAGTTCTTTTAATTGTGATGTTAGGGTGTCAATGTTGGATCTTTCCTGCTTTCTCTTGTGGGCATTTAGTGCTATAAATTTCCCTCTACACACTGCTTTGAATGCGTCCCAGAGATTCTGGTATGTTGTGTCTTTGTTCTCGTTGGTTTCAAAGAACATCTTTATTTCTGCCTTCATTTTGTTATGTACCCAGTAGTCATTCAGGAGCAGGTTGTTCAGTTTCCATGTAGTTGAGCGGTTTTGAGTGAGATTCTTAATCCTGAGTTCTAGTTTGATTGCACTGTGGTCTGAGAGATAGTTTGTTATAATTTCTGTTCTTTTACATTTGCTGAGGAGAGCTTTACTTCCAACTATGTGGTCAATTTTGGAATAGGTGTGGTGTGGTGCTGAAAAAAATGTATATTCTGTTGATTTGGGGTGGAGAGTTCTGTAGATGTCCATTAGGTCCACTTGGTGCAGAGCTGAGTTCAATTCCTGGGTATCCTTGTTGACTTTCTGTCTCGTTGATCTGTCTAATGTTGACAGTGGGGTGTTAAAGTCTCCCATTATTAATGTGTGGGACTCTAAGTCTCTTTGTAGGTCACTCAGGACTTGCTTTATGAATCTGGGTGCTCCTGTATTGGGTGCATATATATTTAGGATAGTTAGCTCTTCTTGTTGAATTGATCCCTTTACCATTATGTAATGGCCTTCTTTGTCTCTTTTGATCTTTGTTGGTTTGAAGTCTGTTCTGTCAGAGACTAGGATTGCAACCCCTGCCTTTTTTTGTTTTCCATTTGCTTGGTAGATCTTCCTCCATCCTTTTATTTTGAGCCTATGTGTGTCTCTGCACGTGAGATGGGTTTCCTGAATACAGCACACTGATGGGTCTTGAGTCTTTATCCAATTTGCCAGTCTGTGTCTTTTAATTGGAGCATTTAGTCCATTTACATTTAAAGTTAATATTGTTATGTGTGAATTTGATCCTGTCATTATGATGTTAGCTGGTGATTTTGCTCGTTAGTTGATGCAGTTTCTTCCTAGTCTCGATGGTCTTTACATTTTGGCATGATTTTGCAGCGGCTGGTACCAGTTGTTCCTTTCCATGTTTAGCGCTTCCTTCAGGAGCTCTTTTAGGGCAGGCCTGGTGGTGACAAAATCTCTCAGCATTTGCTTGTCTGTGAAGTATTTTATTTCTCCTTCACTTATGAAGCTTAGTTTGGCTGGATATGAAATTCTGGGTTGAAAATTCTTTTCTTTAAGAATGTTGAATATTGGCCCCCACTCTCTTCTGGCTTGTAGGGTTTCTGCCGAGAGATCCGCTGTTAGTCTGATGGGCTTCCCTTTGAGGGTAACCCGACCTTTCTTTCTGGCTGCCCTTAACATTTTTTCCTTCATTTCAACTTTGGTGAATCTGACAATTATGTGTCTTGGAGTTGCTCTTCTCGAGGAGTATCTTTGTGGCGTTCTCTGTATTTCCTGAATCTGAACGTTGGCCTGCCTTGCTAGATTGGGGAAGTTCTCCTGGATAATATCCTGCAGAGTGTTTTCCAACTTGGTTCCATTCTCCCCATCACTTTCAGGTACACCAATCAGACGTAGATTTGGTCTTTTCACATAGTCCCATATTTCTTGGAGGCTTTGCTCATTTCTTTTTATTCTTTTTTCTCTAACCTTCCCTTCTCACTTCATTTCATTCATTTCATCTTCCATTGCTGATACCCTTTCTTCCAGTTGATCGCGTCGGCTCCTGAGGCTTCTGCATTCTTCATGTAGTTCTCGAGCCTTGGTTTTCAGCTCCATCAGCTCCTTTAAGCACTTCTCTGTATTGGTTATTCTAGTTATACATTCTTCTAAATTTTTTTCAAAGTTTTCAACTTCTTTGCCTTTGGTTTGAATGTCCTCCCGTAGCTCAGAGTAATTTGATCGTCTGAAGCCTTCTTCTCTCAGCTCGTCAAAGTCATTCTCCATCCAGCTTTGTTCCGTTGCTGGTGAGGAACTGCGTTCCTTTGGAGGAGGAGAGGCGCTCTGCGTTTTAGAGTTTCCAGTTTTTCTGTTCTGTTTTTTCCCCATCTTTGTGGTTTTATCTACTTTTGGTCTTTGATGATGGTGATGTACAGATGGGTTTTCGGTGTGGATGTCCTTTCTGTTTGTTAGTTTTCCTTCTTACAGACAGGACCCTCAGCTGCAGGTCTGTTGGAATACCCTGCCATGTGAGGTGTCAGTGTGCCCCTGCTGGGGGGTGCCTCCCAGTTAGGCTGCTCGGGGGTCAGGGGTCAGGGACCCACTTCAGGAGGCAGTCTGCCGGTTCTGGGAGAACCACTGCTCTCTTCAAAGCTGTCAGACAGGGACACTTAAGTCTGCAGAGGTTACTGCTGTCTTTTTGTTTGTCTGTGCCCTGCCCCCAGAGGTGGAGCCTACAGAGGCAGGCAGGCCTCCTTGAGCTGTGGTGGGCTCCACCCAGTTCGAGCTTCCTGGCTGCTTTGTTTACCTAAGCAAGCCTGGGCAATGGCGGGCGCCCCTCCCCCAGCCTCGTTGCCGCCTTGCAGTTTGATCTCAGACTGCTGTGCTAGCAGTCAGCGAGATTCCGTGGGCGTAGGACCCTCCGAGCCAGGTGTGGGATATAATCTCGTGGTTCACCGTTTTTTAAGCCGGTCTGAAAAGCGCAATATTCGGGTGGGAGTGACCCGATTTTCCAGGTGCGTCCGTCACCCCTTTCTTTGACTCGGAAAGGGAACTCCCTGACCCCTTGGGCTTCCCAAGTGAGGCAATGCCTCGCCCTGCTTCGGCTCGCACACGGTGCGCTCACCCACTGGCCTGCGCCCACTGTCTGGCACTCCCTAGTGAGATAAACCAGGTACCTCAGATGGAAATGCAGAAATCACCCGTCTTCTGCGTCGCTCACGCTGGGAGCTGTAGACCGGAGCTGTTCCTATTCGGCCATCTTGGCTCCTCCCCTTTCTGTGCTTCTATTAAGAAATATGATGCTATTTTGCTTCTTGATCATTTATATGCTAACTTTTTTTTCCTCTGTGAATGGTTTTAAGATTTTCATCTTTATTTCACGTTGTTATCAAGTGTGCGGTCTTAATGAGAACCTATTTGAATGTATTCTGGAAAGATTGGAAGCCCTTTAAATCTAGAAATTCTAAGTTCATGTATGAAAGTATTTTTGTACTTTCTGTTGATATTGTCCACCCATCCCGGATGAACTGAATTTTGCTTTCTGAAAATACTGTCACTTAGATGTCCAATCTTCTAGATTCATTCTGTAAATGTCTTATATTTTCTTTTCATATTTTTATCTTTCTTTGTTCTGTTTTCTGAGATTTCTTTTTTCAGTGTTTCTATTGAGGTTGTAATTTCTAAACACATCTTTTAATTTTAGAGAGTTCCTTTTTGTTCAGTAAATGACCTTTTATATCACCTTATTCTTGATTCATGAATATAATATTTCCTATTCTCTGATGGAAGATGGTAACAATATTTTTGACATTTTCCTCTCCATGAATCATCTCTGCTTTCCTAAAATTTATTTTTTCTATGTGCTAAAGCTTCTATTTGCACATTAGAGCGTTTTCTGTTTTGTTTGTTTATTTTTTACAAATATCTTCCTTTTCTTCCCTATCTGCTCAAACTTAAATACATGGTAACAGTTCTGGTTGGAAATTCTTACGTGCAGATGATAATTTTTAAATGTGAGTTGTTGGTATTATTTTACTGGAGAACCCCCAAAATGATGACCTTTCAGACAGATTCATCAGAATTACCAAGGAAGAATCTTCCATTATTTCTTGCAATCTCAAAATTTATAAGTAAATTTGTACTCATTCCCTGGTTTTACTAATGTACTGTTCTTACCTTTTCCTCACTTCTCATACACAGATTTATTTGCTCCTTTTGACACAAATCCACAATTGCCGGGCTATACAACATAGAAGAAGGAATTGGGGTATCAAAGTTCTCTTTGAACAAAATTACAGTATTTGCCAGCTTTTCTCCATTATCACTCCCTCTTCTGGAAGTTTCCATACTACTGACTCTTAAGCCTGTGGGAGGTCTGCAGTAAAAAGTAGGTAGTTTCCTAGCTTTCTAAGTGCAGCCACCAGATTCAGCTTTTCCAGGACCAAGTATGCAAGCTTCCCCTAATCCTTCTGATCTCAAACTGTCAAAGTTATGTTGCTGTTGTCTTTTCACTTCTTTTTGCTTCTGTAAGTTTATTTCTTTTAAAACATTTTTCATGGCTGGGCATGGTAGCTCACACCTGTAATCCCACTATTTCGGGAGGCCGAGGCAGATGGATTTCGTGAAGCCAGGAGTTCAAGACCAGCCTGACCAATATGATGAAATTGTCTGTGCTAAAAATACAAATATTAGCCAGGCATGGTGGCAGGTGCCTGTAATCCCAGCTACTTGGGAGGCTGGCTGAGGCATGAAAATCACTTAAACCCAGGAGGTAGAGATTGCACTGAGTGGAGCTCAAGCTACTCCACTCCAGCCTAGGTGACACAGTGAGATTCCATCTCAAAAAATAAATAAATAAAAATAAGTAAATAATAACATAAAACATATTTCATTATTTTATTTAGAAGTAATGCATCAAAATAAGCTTTCTTAATCCTCTCCTGATTATTTTTTAACTGAAGTAACTATTTTTGCTTTAGCCCTAGCAATGTTTGTGAAATTTTTTTTCTGTTTAGCTATGTTTTATGCACAGCAAATAAACACACAGTTTTTTAACTGCCCTCATAATGTCCAAGATTATTTTATGAATGTTTAATTTTAAGCATGATGTATTTTGAAAAGTGCTATGCAATATTTCTCAGCATGAGGTTGACACTCCTTAGATATTTATTGACTGGTAAAATTAATGGTCCCTGGACATTCCTTAGAATAATTTTTTAATAATGTATTTTACACAATATGTTCATGTGTGGGTTCTGTGTCTGTGTGTATATGTGTGTGTGTGTGTGTGTGTGTGTGTGTGTGTGTGTGCATGCACACAGCAGCTAATCAGTCACTTAATGGAAGGAGCACTGCAAATTGTCTGTGTACCCCCAGGAACAATTCCCCACTACTGAGTTGCCATATCACTCAGCAGGGTTGAGACCCTAGCAGTGGCGTTAAGTATTATCATTATTTTCCAGAATATTACCATCTGCTCATTTGATTCATTAACCTCCTATTGTACCTCATAAAAGAAATGTCTAGGCATGGAAGAAGATACACTATAGAACCAAACAGGGAAGAGATGTTCATCACACATTTTGCTTTGGGAACAGGGGTCAATGTTTCTCTTGTTTTATTTTTTTCTTTCCTATACAGTTTATTAACTTTCTTGCAGGGAGGTGGTAGACTGTCCACATAAATGAAATGATCCTGGTCTAGTTTGTTTATTGCTGGTGACAAGTTAAGACAAATCAATTAATATTCAATGTAGTCATTTTTTGTGTGTCTTCCAAGAGGAGAAAAAGTAAATGAGCTAGTAATGAGCTAATAGCTGGTTAAATTAACAAACATGTTTTCCCACTCCCCAGTTGGCTTTTTAAACCAATCATTATTAACATTAAAAGGATGTAATTTTTATGTTGGCCATATTCATGCTTATATGAGGTTGTAGAATCTGAAAAAATATGTGTTTTGGTGATTTCTCCGAATTATTTATGCAGGCACTTTTCTGTATTTTTCATCACTTAGTAATAATAAATACACATAACATATGCTATGTGGCAGACTTTGTTTAAAGAACTATGTATGTTAATTTATTTAATCTTCAAAACAACCTTTTGAAAGAGTTATTATTCTACTTAACTAATAACAAGATGAGGTACTCAGAGAATTGAGTAATATTCCAAGTCACATAGCTGGTAAGTGGTAGATAACTCTCTGAAGCCATCCATCCCCTCTACCTCCAGAGTTGGCCCTTCAGTACTACACTCTATCACCACCCTAACTTCTGAGATAATGCAGGTCCAGTTTAGCTAAAGTAATGAATATCTTTGAAAAAGGAATGAACAAATTATTTTTTATCTGACCTGAAGTTATGCTTATAGTACGGATTGTACCGGAATCTAGGGTCTATAGAAGACATTCAGTGTAGTCCCATTGTACTTTCTATATTAAATAATGATTCTGTTAGTTTATTTAATTTTAATCTTATCTAAGTCTGCCATAAAATTAGAATAATGTGAATTCATTGGACTTCTAAACTAAAGAAATCACATTAAAATAACAAATACAAATTCAAATGATGTAAATTCCAGGCTCTTAAATTTTTGACAACTTTTAGAAGCTAAACAAAACAAAAAAGCTTTGAAGTACAGAGTAGACCATTATCTTTGTTATAAAATATTTAAAGCAGAGCTCTGTGCTCAATACTCATAATTAAATTTCACATTGTTAAATTTATTGTCTAAGTGCTTTAAACTCATGCTTATTTCCGAATATATCAACCTAGTTAAAAACGTGCCTGCATTGACGAAAATTATTCTCCTTTGGAAGGTAAAGTCTTTAGCATGAAATTTAAAAAATGAAAAACAGTTAAAATATAAAATCAATGCATTCCTTTCCATTTACCTCCACTTACTATTACTCAAAAATATTTTATTTTTGATACAAAAACTGTCTCCATTATCTGAGTTAAATTAGTTCTGTTATTTTATATTTGGTTGATGAGGCCATCTTTTTATTTTTACAAAGGACTTTGTAAGTATTTGGCCTCAGAGCTGAAACTGTCCTTACGGAGAATTAAAACTTGGACGTTTGAATAGGAACTAAAATGCCTTGATGTCTATATTTGTATGACTCAGTATAGAAATGTTGAAATAATCTACTCTTCCAGTTTTCTTAAAAAATGCATGAGTTTTAGACTTATCCAACAAAGAGAGGTAACAAGCAAAGATAATAGAAGCTTTTCTGTAAGAGCTTAGTAGTATTTTTTAAGGTGATTAAATATCGGCTCACGCCAGTGAATCCCAGCACTTTGAGAGGCTGAGGCAGGTGGATCACGAGGTGAGAAGTTCGAGACCGGCCTGGCCAATATGGTGAAACCCCGACTCTACTAAAAATACAAAAATTAGCTGGGCATGGTGGTACGCACCTGTAGCCCAGCTACTCAGGAGGTTGAGTCAGAAGAATCGCTCGAACCCGGGGGGCGGAGGTTGCAGTGAGCCAAGATCATGCCACTGCACTCTAGCCTGGGTGACTCCCTCTCAACGAGAAAAAAGATATGTGAACATACATTAATATATTTTAAAAATAAATGCTAAATATATACATGTGTACCAGTAAGATGGATAAATGCATGAATTGAAATATATACATATTACTATGGTTTTAATGTGTCCTCTCCAAAATTCAGCCATTTCCAATGTAGTATTAGGAGGTAGGGCTTTTTAGTGGTGATCAGGCCAGAAAGGCTTCTCCCTTATGAATAGGATTAGGTGCCCTCATAAAAGGGATTCATAGATGGAATTCATCTCTCTTGCCTTTTCACCTTCTGCTATGTGAAGATGAGGCCAGAATACCCTGACCAGACACCAAATGCCAGCACCTCAATCTTAGACTTTCCAGCCTCCAGAACTGTGAGAAAAAATGTATTCTCTTTATAAATTACCCAATCATTTAGGTCTACACATTATTTAGTTTGCCAAATCTACAATGCCTCTGAAGAATCTGTGTTTCTCCAGACAATAACTTGCTGTTCTTCAAGTTGTTTCTGTTCATCTGAACCTCTCTGTTTAATACAAGAAGAGCAGATTGATGTTGAACATGAGACAAACTTTTTTTTTTTAACACTAAAACAATTTATTCTCATACTATGTAAGGCCAAAGGTAACCATTAAAGATGCTTGCTGAAGTACACCAAAAGAATAATAAACTTAGCAAATCAATAGATTTCTCTTGGTTTTCTAAGGTTTAAGTTTTCTTATACCTTAAATATCTGATATCAGTCAATATTCATAGAAACTACTCAGATATTTCAAACAAGAAATTTAATACAGATAATTAATTACAAAAGAGGGAGAAGGATAACAGGAACAAAGAGGAGAAGGGAAAGCTTCTCAGTGTAATAACTGTAGCAGCTCCTATACAACCTTAGGTGTGAAAGAGAAGTAGAAAAAACTGATGTCACCAGAACTCATGATTGCTCTGCTGTTGAGGCTGCTTGAGCATCTACTGAAGCTATCATTGCTAATGTACAAGCCATTGATACTTCCATTGTGTGAGAATTCTGCACTGTACTGCTAGTCTATATATATACAATTACCAGTGCATTGCTAGTATATACATACATATATATATACATGTATAGATAAAATAGTGTTATAATTTTATTTTCTAATTGTTTATTGCTGTGTAAAGAAATGTAATTAGTAACAATAAGTACCTGATAAACCCGATAAACCTTTTCTCAACATCCTAATGATTAATCTGTGGTTTTCCTTCGATTTTCTATACAAACATTTCACCTGAATGTAATTACAACTCTTCCATTTTTTAGATAGTTTCTTTTTTTGTTGTTGTTCTAGGTATTTTTCCTTTTTGTATAGCTCTTTAAATTTCTTGGCTTAAAACTATTTTTTAATATCCACTTCTAATCTTCTGAGAAATATATCTTCAGTATCTATGGTTGTGTCTCCATTTTATTCCTAATATGTTCTGTTTTTTCTTTCTCGCCTTTCTTATTGATAAGCTGCACCAGATATTTGTCAGTTTTACAAGGTTTCTCCAAAAGCTGAGTTGTTTATATCACTGAATCATTTTTCCCTTTGTTATTATATTTGGTTCTTGTTTTTGTATTCCTTTACCTCTACTTTATTTGTGATTTATCTGTTTATTTCCTAAATTCTTGAAATGGATACTTGTTAATTTTCGGCTTCTCTTCCAGTATAAGTAGATATGGATATGTAGATTCATATATATCTATTTCCATATTTACTATATCTATATATATTTCATCTGACCTTGTAGGACTATTCCCCTGTCCTTTCTCTTTTAAAGTTTCAGCCCAGCACTTACTTTTTTTCTGTTGGCTCTAGATTTTTTTCTCAGGAAACTATCTATTTCATTTTCATTTCATTACTTTCGCATAATTTGAATTCTAAAGTAGTCTCTTAGGTAGATCATAGATGATGGTTATTTATGTTTTTGTTACTCTATTTTTAAAGAATTTCTTGAAATATATAGACTGTTGTAGTTTCCATTATTTTATCAAAACATGGAACTCTTTTCTTTTTTTTGAATCTTCTTGAACATATAGTTTCATATTCTCTACCTAATAATTGCAATGTCTGTATCTCCCATGGGTCTGATTTTGCTGTCATTTCCCTTTGCCCTTTCTCATGGGACTTTGCATGTTTAGTAAAATTTTCACAGTGAGATGTTTTGTTTTGTTTTTACTTGTAAATTTTTATGGTGGAATTATTAAAATTCCAGGATGAATTTTTTTTTCCCAGAAACAAATTCTGTGTTTTTGTTATTTGCCTGGGAGCACTGACAGATTTATGAATAAGGGTATACTCTTTGGGTTCCAAACTTTACATAATACCTTCTATTACACTCCTCACCTAGAGAAGGTCTGATATGGTTTAGCTGTGTCCCTACCCAAATCTCATCTTGAACCCATAATCCCCACATGTTGTAGGAGGGACCTGGTGGAAGGTAATTGAATCATGGGGGTGGGTTTTTCTCATTCTATTAGGATAGTGAATCAGTTTCATGAGATCTGATAGTTTTATAAGGGGGAGTTCCCCTGCACAAGCTCTCTTGCCTACTGCCATGTAAGACATGCCTCTGCTCCTCCTTCATCTTCTGTCATGATTGTGAGGACTCCTCCCCAGCCATGTGGAACTGAGAGTCCATTAAACATCTTTTTTTATTTACAAATTACCTAGTCTTAGGTGTTTCTTCATAGCAGTATGAAAATTGGCTAATAGAGTAAATTGCTACCAGTAGAGTGGGGTACTGCTATAAGGATACCCAAAAATGTGGAATTGACTTTGGAACTGGGTAACAAGCAGAGGTTGAAACACTTTGGAGGGCTCAGAAGAAGACAGGAAAATGTGGGAAAGTTTGGAACTTCCTAGAGACTTGTTGAATGGCTTTGACTAAAATGCCGATAGTGATATGGACAATAAACTCCAGGCTGAGGTGGTCTCTGATAGAGATGAGGAACTTGGTAGGAACTGGAGTAAAGGTCACTCTTGCTATGTTTTAGGAAAGAGACTGGCAGCATTTTGCCTCTGCCCTAGAGATTTTTGGAACTTAGAACTCGAGAGAGATGATTTAGGGTATCTGGCAGAAGAAATTTCTAAGTGGTAAAGTGTTCAAGAGGAAGCAGAGCATAGAAGTTTGAGAAATTTGCAGACTGATGATGCAGTAGAAAAGAAAACCCCATTTTCTGGGGAGAAATTCAAGCCAGCAGCATAAATTTGCTTAAGTAACCAGCAGCCCAATGTTAATCACCAAGAGAATGAGGGAAATGTCTCCAGGAAATGTCAGAGACGTTTATAGCAACCACTCCCATCACAGACCTGGAGGCCTAGGAGGAAAAACTGGTTTCATGGGCTGGGTCCAGGGCTCCCCTGCTGTGTGCACCCTAGGGATTTGGTGCCCTGTATCCCAGCTGCTCCAGCCATGGCTAAAAGGGGCCAAGGTACAGCTCAGGCCATGGCTTGGGAGGGTGCAAGCCCCAAGCCTTGGCAGCTTCCACATAGTGTTGAGCCTGCAGGTATGCAGAAGTCAAGAATCAAGGTTTGGGAACCTCTGCCTAGATTTCAGAGGATGTATGGAAATGCTTGGATGTCCAGGCAAAATTTTGCTGCAGGGATGAAGCCCTCATGGCAAACCTCCACCAAGGCAATGCGAAAGTGAAATGTGGGATGGGAGCCCCCACACAGAGTCCCTACTGGGTCACTGACTAGTGGAGCTGTGAGAAGAGGGCCACTGTCCTCCAGACCCCAGAATGGTAGATCAGCTTGTGCTGTGCACTTGGAATAGCTGCAGACACAACACCAGCCTGTGAAAGCAGCCAGGAGGGGTCTGTACCCTGCAAAACTACAGAGGCAGAGTTTCCCAAGGCTAGGGAAGCCCACTTATTGCATCAGAGCGACCTGGATGTGAGACATGGAGCCAAAGGAGTTCATTTTGGAGCTTTAAGATTTTACTGCACTGCTGGATTTTGGACTTGAATGAGGCCTGTAGCCCGTTTGTTTTGGCCAATTTCTCCCATTTGGAACTGGCATATTTACCCAATGCCTGTACCCCCATTGTATCTAGGAATTAACTAACTTGCTTTTGATTTTACAGGCTCATAGGCAGAAGGGACTTGCTTTGTCTCAGATGAGACTTTGGACTCTGGACTTTTGAGTTAATGTTGAAATGAGTTAAGACTTTGGGGGACTGTTGGGAAGACATGGTTGATTTTGAAATGTGAAGACATGAAATTTCGGAGGGGCCAGGAATAGAATGATATGACTTGGCTCTGTCCCCACCCCAGTCTTATCTTGCATTATAGCTCCCATAATCTCCATGTGTCATGGGAGGGACACAGTGGGAGGTAATTGAATCACGGAGGTGTGTTTTTTCCATGCTGTTCTCATGATAGGGAATAAATCGCATGATATCTGATGGTTTTATAAAGGGTAGTTCCCCTGCACATGCTCTCTTGCCTGCCACCATGTAAGACGTGCCTCTGCTCCTCCTTTGCCTTCTGTAATGATTATGAGGCCTCCCCAGCCATGTGGAACTGTGAGTCCATTAAACCTCTTAAAAAAAATTACCCAGTCTCAGGTATTTCTTCATAGCAGTATGAAAATAGACTAATACAATGCCCCATTAGAGAAATATTCTGTCTCAGTTTATAAATCTGTAAAAAGTGGTACTCAAACTCAGTTTGGAAAAATCATCTTAATGTACTTGCTTGATGACTTAGTCAGTTCTGGCTACTGTAAAAAAAAAAAATACCATAGACTGAGTGGGTTAAACAACAAAAATTTATTTCTCCCAGTTTTGGAGGGTGAAAAGTCCGGATTAAAGTGCTGGCCAAATTTTTGCCTGGTAAGGGCTCTCTTCCTGGTTTATAGAGGGATGGCTTCCTATTGTATTCTCACATGGCAGAGCGGGGAAAGAGACAATGAGAGAGAGAAGGAGGGAGGGAGGCAGGGAGGGAAGGAGAGAGAGAGAGAAAGAGAGGAGAGAGAGAGAGAGAGTGAGTGAGCTTATGTCTTTTCTTATAAGGACACTAACCCCATTGAGACTTCTGCTCTCATGACCTAATTACCTCTTAAAGACCCCATCTCTAAATGCCATCACATTGGAGATTAGAGTTTCAGTATATCAATTTTGAGCCATTGATGTATTCAAGAACATTGTAACAACCATGCTACCAAGTATTCTTTATTGATTTTACTGGGATGTACTTTGCACAGCATGTTGAGATATAAAATGCTACCTAGTTCATAATGATTAAAGTTAGAAAATAAGCTAAATTTCCATCAATAGATGAATGCTAAATAAATAGGTAAGTATTGGACCATCCATATTGTGGCATACAAGATCCTCAACAGCTTTGAAAATAGAACTTATTAGGTCTGTATATGCTAAAATGCATAATTTTTTATGTAATGTATATGTTATACTTGCTTTTGTCTCAAAATATATTTGTTATAAATACATACAGGCATAGATATATTCATAATGTAAATAAATAAATCTGTGAGAATGCATTTAAACAGTTATCAGAAATTACTTCGAGAGAGGGGAGTAAGATCAGTAGTGAAACTGGGAATTGAAAAAGGAATTTTACTTTCAAATCTATAGACTGCTGAGTTGTTTACATTTGTAGGGAATATATGTTCGTGTATTAAACTTTTAACATTTTCAAGAATCTTCATAAAAGATAGATAAATCACTAAAAGGGTTTTCACATGAACTAATCGTACATGTAAATACAACAAATAGAATTTCTTTTGCAATACCTATGGATATCTTTATTTAATAAAATGTGCTGTAGCAGAAAGCTTCTATATAAAAAATTTGTAGCTTAAAATCTAAGATCAAAAGGAAATCTATTAAAGCAAGATAATACTCCTTTGATATAATTTTTTAAGTTTATTCTTCACCTTGATTTGGTATTATACAAATCACTGTACATTTTGCAATTTCCATCTTTTTAGCTGCTGAAATATATGTTTCTATTAGGGCCAACTGTATTTAGCATTATATCCTAAATTTGTTCTATAAATAAGTTTAAATTAATTTCAATTCAGAGAAGAAATATTCTTCTACGGACACATGCGTAAGACTAGTTAGAGGTAAATGACCAAATAACACATTTCAGAAAGAAATTTATTCCTCTCATATAGTAGTTTGTGATAACTATTTAACCATTTCACAGATACTTTTTAAATTAAATATTCTTGTGATTTTATTTAAAGCAGTAATTATATCAATAACAATGTTGGGAAGACTTAAATTTTTCTGTAACACCTGTTTTATTTTTCACAATGCATTTTTCACCATTTGAATTTTTGACCTAGATGATAAAAATGAGAAGCTACTTACGGATTTTTAGTTACTCTATTGTCATGAGGCCCCCATGCCAAAATACAATATGTATATCAGAATGATAAATCTGCAGCTCCAATCTTTAGAAAATATGTTCAAAATTTTATTTTTTCGTGATCAATTTTGTTTTCAAATTTATTAACTTCTTTAATGTCTGCAACAAATATAAATGAAAACTGCTACGTCATAGACCATACATCACAATGGCCCCAGTGTAAAGCATTGACTACAGTGGCTTCATTTTACCAGTCAGCAATGCTTAAAGCATGAGGAGGTGCTCGGCACCTGGCAAAGAGGCATTCCAAGTACAGAGAGAAGCACAAGAAAAGCCTATATTTGATCCAAACATAGGTCCAAACTAGCAGCTACTTTCGGGTAAAGCAAATAGTTTTGAATGGCTAAAACTAGGCTGCTTTATGTACGGTTGGATCCTAAAGTACAAGAAGCAATAGCAATTCGTGCACCTGGAGAAGTAGACAGGAGAGGAGCAACGTCATGTAGAAACTTTTATACCACTTCATAATTTACTAGCTAGGTAATAGAAGGAGATATTCAGATGGGTATAGGCACACAGAGAAACAGATATGAATTTATGACTTTTTTTTTTTTTTTTGAGACAGAGTCTCACTCTGTTGTCCAGGCTGGAGTGCAGTGGTGCAATTTCAGCTCACCACAACCTCCGCCTCTTGGGTTCAAGTGATTTTCATGCCTCAGCCTCCTGCGCCTTAGCCTCCTGAGTAGCTGGGACTACAGGCATTTGCCACTGCACCCAGCTAATTTTTTATATTTTTAGTAGAGATGGGGTTTTGCCATGTTGGCCAGGCTGGTCTCAAACCCCTGACCTCAGGTGATCCGCCCACTTCGGCCTCCCAAAGTGCTGGGATTACAGGCATGAACCACCATGCCTGGCTGAATATATGTTTTATATCACACACATAAAATTATATATGGTACACATATTGACTAAGAATATTTAATTTATTTCGATATATTAAATGATATCTGAACATCTACATTTATCAATTCCCTTTGCTTATTAGGTGTTGTATCTACACATTGAAGATATTTGCAATATTACAGCATTTTTTGCCCGAACAAAACTAAAGTTCTACAAATTCCTATCAATTCAGATAACACTCAGGGAATTTCTAATGAGGATTTGAGTTATTAGACACATTTACTAACATTTATTCGGGAACTGATAGCAGAGCTTCCCAATTGAAATTCATCTTTCTGACCTCATCCTTCATTTATTCTTACACATATCCTATTATGGTCCTGAAAATTTAATGATGGACTATATCATTGTTAATTATGTGACACATATTATCAATGATGTAGGAATTTAAAGGTGGTAGAGCTTTTGCCCTTGCGATAGTTTAGAAGATTTAGACATGTGAAAACCTTTGTATTCTGTGATTTGCTTAGTAAATGTCAGAAGAGTGTTGGTACTGGGCTAGGAAACCTATCATAATGCTCTTTGTCCATGCTCCAGTATGTGCTTTGGAACCTAAACACAGAACAAGTCCTTAATATAAGCTTATTATGGAAAATGTAGCATATTGTGTATCATTTAAATCACTCAAATGCCCATTTGTTGTTCTAAATTGATAGTCTCCCTTCTATAAATTCTATATGGTGCTGCTCAGAGACTGGTTTCTTGTAGAAAGTAAAAAAGGAAGAACATGTCTCTTTCATAGGAATTTTTCAAAAAAAAAAGATACAACAAAACTTCTTCATCTTAAAGCCCTCATTTATCCTTTTTTTTTTTTTTTTTTTTTGAGACGGAGTCTCACTCTATTGCCAGGTCAGAGTGCAGTGGCACTATCTCGGCTCACCGCAACCTCCTACTCCCTGCTTTGAGCGATTCTACTGCCTTAGCCTCCCGAGCAGCTGGGACTACAGGCACGTGCCACCACACCCAGCTAAGTTTTGTATTTTTAGTAGAGACAGGGTTTCATCATATTGGCCAGGATGGTCTCCATCTCCTGACCTCATGATCTGCCCACCTCGGCCTTCCGAAGTGCTGGGGATTACAGGCGTGAGCCACCGCACCCAACCTTATACTCTTTTAATTGGCTGTTTCCAATCCAGGTTTTTCAATGTGGTCTAGGTTGGATGATGGGGAGAGAGGCTTCCCTTTCCAATTTCTATTTTATTTGCCTTTAATAATATGTAATTGTGTTTTACTCAATCAAATATTCCTTAAATTATTAGTAATTATTGGTTAGATTCCTCAGAGAGGACACCGTTGTTGCTCTTTTTTGTTCATAATAACAAAAAAGAACACTGGTTTTGCTAACATTATATAAAGTATCGGGCGATACGTTATTGTTCTATGTTATATATAATTTAATGTATAAATTTTATTAATGTACACATAAATTTTCATAAGTAAATAATAAAAATGTTAGAGAAATGTGATTTTCCGAGTAATTTGGAGGTTGCTGTATTTCACTGAGTCTAAAGTGCCTACCTTCATGTTCTAACGTCTCTGAAGTTGCAATATGCCTTACAAACCATTTTGATAAGGTAATAGTTTCAGCATAATGATTGTTGCTCGTGCTGTGATCTACAGTGGTATGTCTGGACAACTTCAACTCTCAGTGTTTCATTCTGTACATCATTTAAGGACTGTTTAGGAGGGTGATATGGTTTGCCTGTGTCCCCGCTCAAATCTCAACTTGAATTGTATTTCCCATAATTCCCATGTGTTGTGGGAGGGATCCAGGGGGAGGTAACTGAGTCATGGTGGCAGGTCTTTCCTGTGCTATTCTCGTGATAGTGAATAAGTCTCGTGAGATCTGATGGGTTTATCATGGGTTCCCGCTTTTGCATCTTCCTCATTTTCTCTTATCGCCACCATGTAAGAAATGCCTTTCAGCTCCCGCCAAGATTCTGAGGCCTCCCCAGCCATGTGGAACTCTAAATCCAATTAAACCTCTTTTTCTTCCCAGTCTCAGGTATGTCTTTATCAACAGACTGAAAAAGAACTAATACAATGGGAATATAAATCCTGTTTGTTGTTTTTATTTTATTTTATTTTTCACTTTTAACTATGACTTTTTTTTTTTTTTTTAAGTTCTGGGATACATGTGCTGAACGTGCAGGTTTGTTACATAGGTGTACACGTACCATGGAGGTTTGCTGCACCTATCAACCCATCATCTACATTTTAAGCTCTGCATGCATTAGGGATTTATCCTAATGTTCTCCCTCCCCTTTCACCCCACCCCCAACAAGCCCCAGTGTGTGATGTTCCCCTCCCTGTGTCCATGTGTTCTCATTGTTCAGCTCCCACTTATGAGAGAGAACATGCAGTGTTTGATTTTCTGTTCCTGTGTTAGTTGCTGAGGATGATTGTTTCCACCTTCATCCATGTCCCTGCAGAGAACATGAACTCATTATTTTAATGGCTACATAGTATTCCATGGTGTATATGTGCCACATTTTCTTTATCCAATCTATCATTGATGGGCATTTGGGTTGGTACCAAGTCTTTGCTATTGTGAATAGTGCTGCAATAAACATATGTGTGCATGTGTCTTTACAGGAAAATGATTTATAACCCTTTGGGTATATACCTAGTAATGGCATTGCTGGGTCAAATCGTATATCTGGTTCTAGATCCTTGAGGAATCACCATACTGTCTTCCAAAATGGTTGAACTAATTTACACTCTGATCAACAGTGTAAAAGCATTCCTATTTCTCCACATCCTCGCCAGCATCTGTTTGTTGTTTTAAATTCTTCCAATAACACTTTTTGTTGATATCAAGACTGGTAGAATGGGTGTTAAAGCTTGGAAGCAAAGATCAAAGATACTAGTAAAACATCCTCTTAAGAGAAGCTGCATCACTTACTCTTTTGTTGTTTGGAGACTGTTATTTGTACAAAAAAACATATGTAGTGACAACTTTGACTTGAAAAGTGATATAGAAAATTCAAAGTCAGAATGTGATAGTGTTAAAAGTATCTTTATTTTACTTATATTTTCTTTTTATGATTACACAAGAGTGACAGAGTTAAAATTATGTGCCAAAGTAAATCTAACAGAGTTCTTTTATTAAGTGTAAAATAAAAATTCCAAGTGATAATAATAAAACCTTGTGTCATTTTTTAATTGGCAGCTTTTAAATTCATTCATGAAATATATAATGGTTTATAATGCAATTAATAGCACCTTAGAAAACTGATGAAAAATGGTAATTGGCTTCTCTTTCAGGCTAAGTAAAGTGGATATTAATAAAACTTTGTTTTTTTACTGGGAATTTTGTGGAATAATCTCTGTAAGGTCAATTCTGGCTGTACATACTGCTTACTAAATTATAAAGATTAGTGAACATAGCCTGAACATAAAGTGAGTCAGAAATTTTATTTTGTTAAATCTCTAATACCAGCTCTTCAGTTGTTTGTGTTTGTTTGGATTTAATTGCAGGGGAAAACTTGACCCAACCAAGCCAAACACCTTTATTTATTTTACTTTCATTTTAATCAGATTGTATTATTTCACTTTGGATAAGTGCTTATGTTTCATAAAGTATGTTAAAGAATTATCCTAGACCACATTTGATCGAATATTCTTGTGATCTCCTTTAATGATTTATAAGAAATTCACTGGCCCTGAGAAAACCATTTAGTATAGATCTGTAGGGGACTCTCTACTACCTAGGTCTTAGCATTTCACTCTCATAAGCCTTATTCCTTATTTAAATCACCATAAGCACTTGTAATGGGAAATAACACTTTTTATTGACAGCCTTGGTGTGATCACTTATTATATACATTTTTAAAATGTATTCCATCAGAATAGAGAAGAGAGAATGGAGATATTAGCCCCTAATGTCATTTTATGATTTCTCTGTTTAAAATTATTGATTTTAGGTTACTAGAGTATCTGTTTCCTTACCTCATAAATTCAACTAGTGACTGAGACCTACAAATGCAATTTTTCTTTAAAATATTAGAAATGTCAGAGGGATAATGGTACCATTTCCATTATCTAGATCGTTAGGAAGCACTTTGAACAAACAACTCTTAGCATTTATCTCACTATGGAGTTTTATGTACATACAAGTCTGCTGACTGAAACTAACCATGCACTTTTTGGCAGGAGGAATCTTTTGTTACATCTTTAAATCCACAGTACCTAGAGCCTTTTCTACTTCATGGCCTATTGTTAAGTGCTGAATAAAGTACAGTGAATGGAATGTAAGCTATATGAAGTTAAGGACCTAATCTTCTCTGTGCCTTTCACCCAGTAGGTACCCAGCAAATATCTTCAGTGAATAAATTAATGATGAAAAATAGGTTATTGAACTTTCTTCCAAATTATGAGCATTTGTGAAGGAAATGACAATATGGAAGAGGAATAATTTCAGCTGCATTTGTGCACCTGACCTTTGAGGAGAAGCCAAGTCATCCTTCCCACCACAGACCTCCCTTCAAAGCCCTCCTGTCTTGCTCAGCTGCAGACAGAGCTGGCAGACAGGAAGGAAAGCGTGCCTCCCTGACCTTGCTTCCCACAGACTCCAGGCCAGCTGCAGGCCCGGGACAAGCAGGTTTTCAATAGGTCTGCCAATCTGCTTCATTCTGTCTAAATGAATATTTATATACATATCATTAAAAAGGCCCTAATTTAATCTTTACTAATATTTTCTCTTTGACTGACTTTACTCTGAAGTTAAGATTCCAGAGTATGGATGATCTGTAAATAAAAAGAATTTTTTGTTGTTGGCTATTCTTATCTTTATGGTTGACTGCAAACTTTAGTGACTGACAATTGCTATTTAGAACCATATTTCTGGCCACAGATAATTGACCGAAATTATACCTAGAATTATGATTGTAAGAGCTGAATATGAGTTGTGTCTCCATGATATCAGAGAAACAGAGTTGAAAAAGGGTCTTGAGTCTCTTTACTTGGAACAGGATATTATTTTATAGAGGGTAACATTTATTTTTAAAACCTCAGCCCTTGACTCTGTACTCTTGTACTTCTATACTTTTTCCTTTTTTGTAGAAGTTTCCATGACCTACCCCCTGCCTTTTGCACATGTTTTTCTCCCTCTTCCAACTCTAAGATCTTTCTTTTATCCCTACAGCTTAACAGTGTGAATTTTAAAATGATTTATATTACATAGGTTTGAAGAGCTGATTATTTTTAAAAAGAAGGGGCTTGGAAAATTTAGCCATTTCCATGGAGCATAGTTATGTAAAATATCAAAAGTTTAGGCTTCTTAAAAAAATCCCTTTTTGGGGGAGGTTATCTCCAGGTGGTACTTAAACCAACTCCTGTCAATAACATGACTAGAACCGGTTATCTAGCAGATGTTTCTGTAGATTATTGCCAGTGGAAAAAAAAAAAAGCACTCTTATTTTTCAGTGAATACCTCAGATAGCAACATACATCATGGGAAAACAATAAACAGGATTTTTCTTAAGCAAAAATTGAATGAGACAAGATTGAAACAAAGGAAAAAATATAACAAAAACTTGACATCTAAATTGCTCACGCCTGCTTTTTCTCTCTCTCTACCTCCTTTTCCTTTTGAAAGCCACACACAACTATAGAAAAACACTCAAAGATAAAATTTAGAAAGTCAAAGCTGAAGAAGCAAGAGGAAATTTTCTGAGGCAAGAAAAAAGGCAAGCAAAAAAGATGGTAGCTGAATGTAGACAATAGCAGAATGATGGTAGACATTGAAATTAAACATTTAGGCAAAGGAGGCAAGGAAAAGTCATTTATATTTTTAAACACCTGTTGTACTAGCCAGCGAAGTAGATATTTTGCCCAGTTTTAGTTTTCACAACAGCTCTATGACCTAGCATTATGTCCATTTTTATACATCATAAAACTTAGGCTTAGAAAGTTGAGTAGCTCCCTCTTTTCTAGTTCCTTTAATGGTGATGTTAGGGTGTCAATTTTGGATCTTTCCTGCTTTCTCTTGTGGGCATTTAGTGCTATAAATTTCCCTCTACACACTGCTTTGAATGTGTCCCAGAGATTCTGGTATGTTGTGTCTTCATTCTCGTTGGTTTCAAAGAACATCTTTATTTCTGCCTTCATTTCATTATGTACCCAGTAGTCATTCAGGAGCAGGTTGTTCAGTTTCCATGTAGTTGAGCAGTTTTGAGTGAATTTCTTAATCCTGAGTTCTAGTTTGATTTCACTGTGGTCTGAGAGACAGTTTGTTATAATTTCTGTTCTTTTACATTTGCTGAGGAGTGCTTTACTTCCAACTATGTGGTCAATTTTGGAATAGGTGTGGTGTGGTGCTGAAAAAAATGTATATTCTGTTGATTTGGGGTGGAGAGTTCTGTAGATGTCTATTAGGTCCGCTTAGTGCAGAGCTGAGTTCAATTCCTGGATATCCTTGTTAACTTTCTGTCTCATTGATCTGTCTAATGTTGACAGTGGGGTGTTAAAGTCTCCCATTATTATTGTATGGGAGTCTAAGTCTCTTTGTAGGTCACTCAGGACTTGCTTTATGAATCTGGGTGCTCCTGTATTGGGTGCATATATATTTAGGATAGTTAGCTCTTCTTGTTGAATTGATCCCTTTACCATTATGTAATGGCCTTCTTTGTCTCTTTTGATCTTTGCTGGTTTAAAGTCTGTTTTATCAGAGAACAGTCTTGCAACCCCTGCCTTTTTTTGTTTTCCATTTGCTTGGTAGATCTTCCTCCATCCTTTTATTTTGAGCCTATGTGTGCCTCTGCACATGAGAGGGTTTCCTGAATACAGCACACTGATGGGTCTTGAGTCTTTATCCAATTTGCCAGTCTGTGTCTTTTAATTGGAGCATTTAGTCCATTTACATTTAAAGTTAATATTGTTATGTGTGAATTTGATCCTGTCATTATGATGTTAGCTGGGAAAACTGGCTAGCCATATGTAGAAAGCTGAAACTGGATCCCTTCCTTACATCTTATACAAAAATTAATTCAAGATGGTTTAAAGACTTAAACGTTAGACCTAAAACCATAAAAACCCTAGAAGAAAACCTAGGCATTACTATTCAGGACATAGGCAAGGACTTCATGTCTAAAACACCAAAAGCAATGGCAACAAAAGCCAAAATTGACAAATGGGATCTAATTAAACTAAAGACCTTCTGCACAGCAAAAGAAACTACCATCAGAGTGAACAGGCAACCTACAAAATGGGAGAAAATTTTCGCAACCTACTCATGTGACAAAGGGCTAATATCCGGAATCTACAATGAACTCAAACAAATTTACGAGAAAAAAACAACCCCATCAAAAAAATGGGCAAAGGATATGAACAGACACTTCTCAAAAGAAGACATTTATGCAGCCAAAAGACACATGAAAAAATGCTCACCATCACTGGCCATCAGAGAAATGCAAATCAAAACCACAATGAGATACCATCTCACACCAGTTAGAATGGCAATTATTAAAAAGTCAGGAAACAACAGGTGCTGGAGAGGATGTGGAGAAATAGGAACACTTTTACACTGTTGGTGGGACTGTAAACTAGTTCAACCATTGTGGAAGTCTGTGTGGCAATTCTTCAGGGATCTAGAACTCGAAATACCATTTGACCCAGCCATCCCATTACTGGGTATATACCCAAAGGACTATAAATCATGCTGCTATAAAGACACATGCACACGTATGTTTATTGCGACACTATTCACAATAGCAAAGACTTGGAACCAACCCAAATGTCCACCAATGATAGACTGGATTAAGAAAATGTGGCACATATACACCATGGAATACTATGCAGCCATAAAAAATGATGAGTTCATGTCCTTTGTAGGGACATGGATGAAATTGAAGATCATCATTCTCAGTAAACTATCGCAAGGACAAAAAACCAAACACCGCATGTTCTTTTTTTTTTTTTTTTGAGACGGAGTCTCGCTCTGTCGCCCAGGCCGGAGTGCAGTGGCGGGATCTCGGCTCACTGCAAGCTCCGCCTCCCGGGTTCACGCCATTCTCCTGCCTCAGCCTCCCAAGTAGCTGGGACTACAGGCGTCTGCCACTACGCCCGGCTAATTTTTTGTATTTTTAGTAGAGACGGGGTTTCACCGTTTTAGCCGGGATGGTCTCGATCTCCTGACCTCGTGATCCGCCCGCCTCGGCCTCCCAAAGTGCTGGGATTACAGGCGTGAGCCACCGCGCCCGGCCCGCATGTTCTTACTCATAGGTGGGAATGAACAATGAGAACACATGGACACAGGAAGGGGAACATCACACTCTGGGGACTGTTGTGGGGTGGGTGGAGGGGGGAGGGATAGCATTAGGAGATATACCTTATGCTAAATGATGAGTTAATGGGTGCAGCACACCAGCATGGCACATGTATACATATGTAAC
The DNA here is from genome assembly GCF_000001405.40 of Homo sapiens. Lineage (NCBI taxonomy): Eukaryota > Metazoa > Chordata > Mammalia > Primates > Hominidae > Homo > Homo sapiens. Next base: position 29,132,076 of record NC_000003.12, read on the forward strand.
TAACCGGCACATTGTTCACATGTACCCTAAATCTTAAAGTATAATAATAAAAAAAAAAAGTTGAGTAGCTCCCCTTAGTGCTTATAGCTTTTAAGTAGCAGCAATGAGCTTCAAACAGAAGATGCTAAAGGGAGCTGGAGAATGCATAAAGAGTTTGAAAGCCTAAACTATCAATAAACATTAAGTTAATAATGAGGAAATGATAACTTACATACTTAAGAGCTACGAAAAGAGAAGAAGAGATCAACAGGACATGAGCTAGGAATTTGATTCCAAAAGTGACAAGCCAAATGAATGTATCCTATACATTTCACCTTTCAGATGCTTCCCACAATTTTTCTACTGTGTGAAAATTACACATTAAACTAAAAATTTTATGTATTTTTCCATCATACTGACTTTGTAAGTCTCATTTGTGTGACATATTGATTGGAAGGAAGAATTCTAGGACCTATGAGATGGAACTGTAAAGTGGGACATTCCATTCATAAATAGTTTAGATACCTGGATTTATAGCTCAACTATACCACTTAGCACTTCCACTCTTAGTGCCTCAGTTTCCTCATTGATAGCAGAGGCGATTGGACAAGATGACTTTTCAGCTTTCCTTCTTCTTGAGTACTCTGTAGTTCTATGATCCTTGATCAATGGTATGTAATTAAGAGCCTTAGGGCCAGGAGCAGTGGCTCACACCTGCATCACAGCACTTTGGGAAGCTGAGGTGGGAGGATTACTTGAGCCTATGAGTTCAAGGCTAGCCTGGGCAAGATGGTGAGACCCTGTCTCTACAAATATATAATAATAATAAAAAGCTGTGAATATTTGTGCCTGTGATATAGTTTGGATATATCCAAACCTCATGTTGAAGTCTGATCCCCGATGTTGGAGATGGGCCTGGTGGGAGGTGTTTGGGTCATGGAGGTAGATTCCTCCTGAATGGCTTGGTGCCTTCCTGAGGTAATGTGTGACTTCTAACTCTATTAGTTCCCATGAGAGCTTGTTTAAAAGAGTCTTGCATATCCTCCTTTCACTCTTCTTCCCTCTCGCCATGAGATCTCTGCATACTGGTTCCACTTCACCTTTTCCTATGAGTGAAAGCAGCCTGAGACATGCCAAAACCATGCTTCCTGTACAGCCTATAGAACTGTGAGCCAAATTAACCTCTTTTCTCTATAAATTACCCAGCCTCAGGTGTTCCTTAGTCGTAACACAAAAGGACTAAGACAGCCTGTCAGTGTGACTTTTATTCTTTTCATGGTCCTTGCCTGATTTACTAAGTTGCAAGATATTTGTTGTTGGTTTTTGCTTCTTTACAGAATATTTTATTTTAGGTCTTTAAACAATAGCTTGTGCACAAGTTGTGTATTATTAATTTGTGGACCTAAACCATATTTATTCTCCATGTGCCTAAGTTTATTTATCTTTCTAATGGGGGTAATACAGTGATATTATCTACATTTTAGTGTTGGTAGATAATTTAGATCATTAATAAAGTTTTGCATATACTGCATGTTACAAGGAATATTCTGCTTATAAATTCCGAATAAATTATCACTCCTCTTTTCCAAACTAAATATTGATTACTTGCTTTTCGGAACCTGGATGCTATCTCTTCAGAAATAAAATGTAGCAATGCCTATTTCATTTTCTAGAAAAGACATACTGCTTTCTGTGGCTTCAAAAATAGTAGCTTTAGAAATTATGCCTCAAAATATATCCTTCCCTTTATACTACTTTGATTAAACACTTTCAGTATAGTTGTGTTCCGATTTAGTCATTGATATATGCAAATCTAATGCTGATTTAAAGAAGGATTAATGATTTATGACTTCGCTGACTGTAAGTAAAATTTTCTATTTAGCCAAAAACACACTAATATAATCAAGTTAAATTGACAGATGAACGCATTAAAGTCACTGAACTAATATCCTTAATTGCTATACATTTGCTTACAACCAGGGATCTATTCCTTTGATATTTTGGAAACTACTATGCATTACTACTTGATATATTTCATGTACAAATCTTGTCTGTATAAAAACAATAGAATTAACTATTTTCAAAAATAGTGATCATATGAATCACCCAGGAATCTTGGTAACAAGTCTGCTTTCTTTGTCCGACATTCAGAATTTCTGATTCCAAGTGTCTGTAGTGGGTTTCAGCAATTTCAATTTTAACAAATATCCTAGGAGTACCACATTATATATTGGTTACTATACCATAGGGACCATTTAGTGCCTTAATTTAGATTTCCTACAGAACTCACATATAGCAGCTGCTCAACAAATTTTTCAATGAATAAATCAAATAATCAGTGAGCAAGTGAATATATGTTCTCTTTTCTGGGTGAATACTCAAAAGATTATGACTTAATTAATGTTACTTTTCAGTACTTACAGATACAGAAGTAGAAATCTTTTGGTTTTTAAGAGATTATGATTGAATTCATGTGGAATATAAATCATATTTGGTTATTTCTGATTGATAAAGGTCTGGATTTCTGATATTTAGTAGCTTATTTACTGATGAAGTACTAAATGCATGGCACTTAACTATTACCTGTATATGCAACAAAGCAGAGACACAAAAATAATTCCTTTGTCATATAATTAAAAATGTCCCCTTTTCCATTGTTTCCTCTTTCCAGTATTTTTCCCAGCGACATTTTAGAGTACAGGCCACACTTGTGTCATCATTCCACACAATTTAATCAGTATGCTGCATTTTACAAAAGGGAATTTGTAATAAGAAAGGGATGAGTGAAACATTTATTCTCATTGTGCATCCCAAGCTCTTAGAATTGGTTTTGAATGGTTTAATGATGTTGTATTAATTTTCCTATCCTTTGGCATTGACAGCTAACAACAGGGGGGTGAGTCTGGCGTGCATCAGTGGAAGTCAGAATTGAATTATTTGGACTACACATTAAAATGTAGGCAACCTATTGAAAGGAATTGAATCTCAATTTGTGAAACATAGAAAATAGTTGAAAATAAAAAGAAGACCTGATCATTCCTATTATATATAACCAAAAACTCTACTTCGAGTGCTGTTTTAGAAATTAACCATTTTCTTCTGATTTAAAGACTATTTGTTTTCTGGAACATTTGTGAGAAATTTAAAAATTGTCTCACAAAGCAACAATGCATTATCCATAATTACATTGCTTAGCTATAACTACAATAAATCTTTTGCTGTAATATCTTTTATTCTCAGAACTGTAGGTATATTTGAAGCATATGTTTTGTATCTGCTTTTTTTCACTTACTATTCTTTTTTTTTCTTCATGTTGGTAAAGCTGCAGAGAAAGGGGAACACTCATACATGGTTGGTGGGAGTATAAATTAGACCAGCTGCTGTGGAAAGCAGTTTGGTGAATTCTTAAAGAACTTAGAACTATCATTCAATCCACAATCCCACCACTGGGTATACATCCAAAAGAAAACAAATCTTTCTACCAAAAAGACACGTGTACTAACATGTTCACTGGGGCAATATTCACAATAGCAAAGACATCTATTAAACATAAGTGCCCATCAATGGTGGACTGAATAAGGAAAATGTGGTGTATATACACCTTGGAATACTATACAGCCATCAAAAGAATGAAATCGTGTCCTTTGTAGCAACATGGATGCAGCTGGAGTCCATTATCCTAAGCAAATTAATGCAGGAACAGAAAACCAAATACTGCATGTTCTCACATAAGAGGGAGCTAAACATAGGGTGCTTGGGTCATAAAGATGATAACAATAGACACTGAGGACTACTAGAGGGAGGAGGGAGGGAACAAGGCAAGGGTTGAAAAACTGTCATGTACTATGCTTGGTACTGGGTGATAGGATCACTGGTACCCCAAAACTCAGCCTCACACAATGTACCCAAGTGACAAACTTGCACATGTACTCCCTGAAACAAAAATAAAAGTTGAAAAAAACACGTAAATTAGTTAATGAGAAATGTTTTAGTTACTGGATAGTAAATATCTTAAAAAATAAAATATAACTTCAAAAATAAATTAATAAAAGCACTCTTTTCCATAGCATCATCTGCTTAAGGCAGGTACAAAATAGTATTTTATTGGTCCATTTTCTTTTCTCTGATTAAACTTTAATTTCCCTTTCAATATTTTTTTAAGAGTTTGGTGGGTTGGGGGAAAAAGAAACTTTAATGGCAAATCTATACCACGTATGCTTTGCATGAAATGTAAAAGTCACCGGATCAGGAATGAAGTTACTGAAAAACTTGAGAAGTGTAAGTGACATTAATCACCTGGCCTGACCAGAGAATACTGAGAAAAACAACCAAGAAATTATGAAGAGAAGAATGAGCCTCTTCAATGAATATCTTAAAAGTTCGATGTATTTCAGATAACCATAAGCAGATCATGGTTAAGACCATGGGTTTTTGAATTCCACAGCTATGAGTTAGAATCCCAGCTCTGCCTTTTATTAGCTGAGTAGTTTTGACCCAGCTCTTTCCCCACTGTCCCTTGATAATAAGGCAATTTCATAGGGTTGTACTGAACATGAAATGATATTAAAATTCATATTACAACTCTTTGATTAAAAAAGGGACTTAAAAATAGTATGAGTAATAGTCAAAGTTGTTATGGATATGTTATGATTGCTGTTATTATGTAGGGCAGACTGACACAAAAGCAAGGTTGACAGCAACCTTCATGAACCTTGCGTGCTAAGGTTGACAAAACTCCATGAAGCTATTCCCCTAAAAGTACTACCACCTCCACCCCAACAACTCACCACCTGCCTCTATTGCCTGAAATTCTACCTTAAAAGACTCATTAACTTTACCTTAAACATTTTATATTCTAAAATGGAATGATCTGGAAAGATGTGATTCATTTTTTAACTGATATATATAGTTCTATGGGAATTAGTTAATCAGATTCTGAGTGCAGATTTTAATAATGAGAAACTTGAGAGTTCTACATCCTGAAGGGGTCAGTGAAGAATTATATTATCTTGGAGTATTACTGATTTGGGAAAATTACAGAACAATGGTAGCAATGAATAAGAGTGGTTAGGAAGGAGACATTATATTAGAATAGGGAATTTGTCATAAGAGCTAAAAACAGTAAATGTGAATGGCAAAAATGATTTATAGAGAAAAATGTATACATTGTGCTATGCACTCAGTAGGAATAAAGTAGATTGTTAAATCTCTGAATTCAGGAAAATAGATACTGTGTGGAAATAGATACCTGCGGTAAGGCAGGAATATGACTGGAGCTCAAGAAAATGAATCAGAATACTGGTTTCATCAGGACATGCTCGCTTGTCACTGGTCCTGGAGCTTCCTCCTTTTGATAATGCCATTTTAAATAATTTTTAAAGGAATAAAAATTATTGAAGTTATTAAAAAGCCCCATAGAATCATATATAAAAGGCCAAAAAACATGTGGTCTGGGAAAGGCAATTGTATTATAGACAGATATTGAAAGAAGCTGGAGTGTCTGAATTTGGATTGCAATAAAATTAATTTTCATGAAACAGCATGGTCCAGAACTTCTTGGAGGTGTTGAAGACAAGTTGTCTCTTTTTTCTTCATCCACATCAATGCAAGTAAATTAGATGTACTTAGTGTGCTTCCCCTTTGCCTCACGTTTGCCTCACCTGCTGAAACAGGAGGCACCAGGAGCTCCTTCTTCTGGTGACTCATGTGGACTGGCTGATGATACTGGGTTTGTGTTTTCAGCCACACAGCAGCTTGTGTCAAAACCTGTTTCCCACTTGCTTGTAACCATCCTGGAAGGAGTGACACACCCAGTGGGGTTAAGGTAATCAGAAATGGAGAGCACAGCAAGGATGTCTCCAGAAGAATGATGAAAATCTAGAGGTTTTTTTTTATGTTTCTTTCTTTCACTTTTGACTAGCCACCCCTCTAAACTCCAAGAGTATCATTTTATTTGTCTCAGTAGTACATTAATCAACAGTTGCTGAAAGAAGATTACATTTGGTGAATATTCAAATACCTAATTAGACTTCATAATATTTATATTAGAAGGTTGGGAAAAATAGAAATAGCAAGTAAAGCTTAGTGCTTTAAGGAATCAGGTCACAATTGGTTATTCTGTAAGGCTGATCCTAGTCTACCTGCTTTCTTTCCCACAATGAATAATGATGACCCAATTAATCTGAAGACTGTTGTTCAGATTTCTTCATCCAATGATAAATTTTAGTAGTACAAAACTAAAACCTCAAGATTTGTTATCCATGAGAAAGACCAGTCTTAAAACTTAGCCACCTCTTGATTACGCAAGAACTCATCATTGCACTTTCCTAGTGGCTTTTTGCCACCCTCTGTTTTTCTCTCCTGTCCTTCAGATCACTTGCCTTGAGCTATTTCATCCCTGATTTGCACTTTCACTAAAAGATGGATCTCTAGAGAAATTAAATTCAAATAATTCATTTTTATTGCTTATAGAGGAGAGTTGATAGGAAGTTGAAATGACAGAAATGAGATTTTAAATCTCTTCTATAAGTTTCATTTATTCCATCCATGTTTATTGATTGTCTACTGCATAATAGGTACAGTAGGGGATAGAGAGAGCATAAAGCACAGTCCTGCCCTCCAGAAGACTTTTATCCCAAAAAAGAGGAGTTCTGTGCACAACTCATACCATCTTAAATCCCCACCTAGAAAGGCTGGTATAAATAAATATGCATTAAAACACAGCTTTACCACCAGGAAGTTAGAAGTGTCATATAAATAGCATGCAAAATAAATAGTAAAAGAATTCAGTTTAGAAAGAAGCAAGTTTAGAGAGTGTGTGATCAGGGAAAGATTTACTGAAGAGCTAACATTTGTCACAAGTTAGATTTCTAAGAACATAATTCCTGTAGTTATTTCAAATTCCAAAATTATTATATATTGATTATACAATATTGGAGAGTACAGAAAAACATAAGAGAAAAAAACTATCCAAATTACTCATAATCCTACCACCTAGTGAGATATCATTGTTGGTTTTTTGCAGCATATTGTTATAAGCCTTTTCCTTGCCTTCATGCATAAGTGTGTTTGTATGTGATAATCAAGATCTTGACAAGAAACATATGGAAAGGTCAAATTATACAGCTGGGTAAAACACAAGGAAGCCACAAGGGGTGGTACAAGCATCTCCAAGATTAAAGTTGGTAAAATGGGACAAGTTCAACTCAAAGTACGAAAGATGACAACCTGGTAGAATTACATTCAGTGAGTTCAAGACCCCTTAACGTAAGTGAAAAGGCCTAGGCAGGCCCTTTGGTAAATTTTGGTTCACATTTTGACTCCAGCACCAACCAACTGTGACTTTGATCCAAGTGACATAAAGTTTCTTGGAGTAAAAATTAGAGACTTTATGTTGAAGAGTGCTTTGTACAGCATCTAATGCGTATAGGGGCTCAATAACTGGTCATTACTAAGGAGAATAAATGGTGACTGTGTCTTAGACCCTGTTTTATAGGAAATTGGCCCAATTAGCACATTGCCCAAGCAGTGTTGTAGGTGTCAAGCAGTTGAACAACATTCATGCTTAATGTTTATCATGCTGGATAGATGGGTTCCGCTAAAAAAAAAAATAGAAATAAAATATTTATTTTATAGAAATCTACAGAAAAATAGAATTTTATCCATGGTAAATTTTATCTCTTATTTTTGAAATCCCTTTGCAACCTGTTACCACTCATTTGTCTTTGAGTACTAATAGAGAAACGACATTCACATATTAGTAATACATCTTCGAAATAATCTGTTATGCATTAGTATATGCATAATATATATATGCATTAATATGTCTTTTGTTTTGCCTGCTCAGATTTCACTTACCCTACTTTGGGTAACAATACAATTTCCCTCTGAGAAACTCTAGTTTTCAGTTCATGAGGTTTGTGTGGACCTCAAAGAAGGGAACTCATAACTCAGGCCGACCTATTAAGAGCACAGAACTTCCCTAATCTCAACGAATGATGCTTCAGGAGTGATGTGACCACAGTCAGTCCCGTCAGTGAAACCTGAGATTTTAAGGAGCATTTGGTAAGAGCCACTTTTTCTCTTCCCCAATGCACTTAGGCTTGTAACAGTTAAAGCCTAAAGCTGCTGGTAGCTATCATGCCATCATAAGGTTGCTTCACAGAGAAGCCAATATGGAGATGGGCTGCATTGAGCTGAGCTGAGAGGTGGAAAAAGATAAACCAGCTCCTGTCACTCTCTTGATACCTTAGATCGAACTGTATCGGAAGTGATCTCCTCTTGGATGCCACAGTTACAAGACACAATAATTTTTCTTTTTCAGCTTCAGTTAGTTTCATTTTGGGTTTTCTGTCATTTGCAACTAAAATAGAGCTGAACAACGCATTCACTTTGATTTAGTAGTTTATTTTTCCTGGAATGTGAGGTCACAGTTACAATCTTAATTCTTCCCAGCTCCTGTAATGAGACTAAAAATTAAATTTCATGCTATTCAACAGAATTTGAGAACCAATAAACTAGAATATGCTAGAGACCAACATAGCACTTCTGTGGACTTGAGGGCATAATTTTGTGTCATTTATGCAATAGAAACTTCAGCAGAAAGCTCTCTCATCATGGAAATACTGCTCTTTTAAAATAAATATAAGACAAGCATGTGAGGAATCTAGTGGAATCTCTCCATTTCACCCCAATAGAATCTTCTGAGAGTAGAGAAACATGCATTTGTTAGATGTTTTTTTTTTTGTAAGTTAGAATTGTCTGGCTCAGTGTACAATAAATCATTTGTATTTTTCTCTGTAGTCTTCTCATTCAGGATAAAAGAGACACATATAACCGCCAGCCCCAGTCCACTCACTGTAGACTGATTTCCTCACTGCTTTCATCTCAGCAGCTGCTAATGTCACAAATAGGCAGGCTTTGAAGTCAGAGGGAGGGGACAAGAGCAGCACAACTTTTTAACTGTACAGCAACCAGGAAACTTCTTTGAAAACCAGAATTTCAGCATCAAATTCAGTTAGGGCACTCTGCCTTGAAGGGAGTAGGGGGGTATCACTGCCAATTGATATGTAAGACGATTCTTTCTTCTTTATCTTATTCTTAAGTGTGAGCAGAAACCTTGCTCATGTGTAATCTTGAAGTGAAGCAGAAGACAAAGTGGGAGAGAAAATCTGGGCCCCTTAGGGAGGTCCTGCCTGGTGTAGCTGGTATTAGCAGTACATTCGTTTAGTGTGCTTTGGGGGTTAGGGGAAAGGTAGAAGCCAAATGGTACTTGAAACAGAGAAGAAAGCAGGATGACCTGGTTTTTGCTTTCTTCCCTTCAGGACTTGCTTTTCCATTTACATCCTGCTTTAGACAGTGAGGCATGATAAACATTTGAGTTATTCGTGGATTGCTTTGAACTCTGAGTAAAAGATGCATATACAAGTCTCCTGTATTTTTGTTTATTCTCTATATACTGGGTAGATGGGAATAAATCCTAAAGTAAATGGAATAAGAGTGAAGGGTATAGAAGGATTAACAAATGTATCATCATAGGCCTTTCCCTTTCCTTTTTTCCTTTCTATTCTTCCTTCATGCTTTATACTACTTTCTGTCTTGAAGTAGGAGGAACTGTGGGGAATTTCTTCTGAAAACGTGCCATAGTCCACACACTGATGACTCCCTTGCATGAAATCTAATTCCATAGTTCATAATTTTCCTCTTTTGCCTTCCTTTCTCTTGGCTCTGTTTAAATTTTCCATCTGCCTCTATTCTCTCTGTTGCTTCCCTCTCCTTCCTGTTTTTAAGTAGCCTTTTCAAGCTTAGTCTCAAACAACTTGATACAGTCACGTTTCTCCTCTTTTCTCTCTCACCATATGTTTACTTCTAGCTTTCCTCTTTAGGTATCCTCCCTTTCTGATTTATTTCTGAGTCCTAAGGCTCTGGGCAAGGCCTGCTCAGGGTGCCCACAAAGCTTCTTAGGGAAAAGAGCTTGGAAACTTTAATAGGACAGTAACATTCCAAGCTCAGCATGGATGGCAGAGAATCCACAATTCTCCCTGGCATGAGATTTTTCCAGAGGCCTTGTCCATAATGCTTGCACGCCGGAACTTGGAATTTCCAGATGTGATATTAGGGCTATGGGCAGTCAGTTTGCCTTTACAAAAGCAAATCTGAACCTTAGCCTCTAGTAATTATTGGGGGAAAAATATTTCTATAACTTTCTTCTTCTTTTTTTGGACCTTTATTCTGATGTATGGCTTGGAGTTGCTCACATTTAGATAAGAAACTTCAATGTGTTGACAGTATAATTATTTCACAATAGTTAAGATAGTGAATTCCACAAACTTACTTCCAGCATCATTCTATCTCTGACAGAGGCTCACATTTTCTCTTAATGCCTGTTTTAAATATATAGATAAATTTCATTTGCATATTCATGAGAAAATCTATTTCTCCTCCTATCTTCTAATTCCCAATATGGTTGCATGTAATTTAACCATTTCTGACAGTCCTGGTAAAGAGTTTGGTCAATTTCTAAAGGTAAGAACTATTCTAGAAAATAAACTGTTAGGAAACAGAAACCTCAATGTGGAGAAAGTTGCCAGGCGGGCTGCTAGAATGTGACATTTTTTATGCCCTGGAGCTGGTGGTAGTGTGATACAATAAGAAGGTGAGACACCTAATCCAGCCCTGCCAACTCCCAGCTCTGTGATCCTTAGAAAGTTACTGATATAATTTGAACCTTAATTTATCTATCAAATGTGATTTGAGAATAATAATCTTGTAGATGTGATAGGATTAAGTAAAATAATATTTGTAAATTACCCAGTACATTTATATTTAAACTTACATAAGACTGTATGCCAAGCAGGGTTTGAGTGCTCTGCAAATACAATTTCATTCTTCATAACAGCCCTGTAAGATAACCTTATTTGTATAAGTGTTCCCATTTTTCAGAGAAGAAAAATGACCTATACAGGGGTTAACTAACTTGGTTAAGGTCACCCAGCTAGTGCCACCTAGCAGGCTGCCTGTCTTAGAACATGCAATGGTGGATAAATACAGCTACCAGAATATAATATCAGATATGTTTTTAAAATGGAATGAGAAACCATCTCTCTAGGGTTGGCCCTACACACTACAAATGTCCAACCTGGGCATCTAGTCATTGAAGCCCCGCACCTAACCACAGAGTGGTGCCTTCCCCATAGAACAGGTTACTCCATGTATGTTCATGTTCATTTCGATTGCTGCCCCATTGTATTTTCATGATTTCCTGCTATTTTTTTTAGTTTTGTGGCATAGATATTGCTATTTCACCTGTAATGTGACTATTGCCTCAACAGTTGACTTCCTCTGTTAACATTATTGTTTTCTTAGCTGTTTCCTTCCCCATTTTCACCTCCAGTTGTCTACATTTACATTCCCCAGTTCTCTAACAACTTTCTACCCTCCTGGGCTAACGCATATTTAATAAGTTTGTATGGTTTATCTTTAAAGTTTGTTTTTCCTGCTTTTAGAGCTATTAAGTAGAACTCGATAAATTGCTGGAGGATAAATTGTGGTGCACATTGAATCTATGCAAATTTGTATTTTGTTTTAAGTGTCTCGTTTTCTACAATCACATGCCTGGCTGATAAATCAATGGCTTTATTTTCTATAGAACCTCCCTCGGCATGATCTTCAAGGCAGGTAACCCTACTCCATCAGACCTCCTGAACTAGTCCTCCTCCGTTACTTAACCTAGTGCCTATCTTAGAACATGCGATGGTGGATATATTCAGCTGCCAGAATATAATATGAGATATGTTTTTAAAATGGAATGAAAAACCCTCTCTCTAGGGTTGGCCCTACACACTACAACTCTCTTTGTCATACCCTTAGCCACCAGATCCCTACCTTCAGGTCACCAGCCTGGAGCTGCAGTCATTTGAGTTTGTGATTAATGCTTTAGCATTGGATTTCTGGATATCCAGAGGTAACTGAGTTTCAATCATGCTTGACGCCCCTTGCTTTGTTTCTAACTTTGCTTTTTACTTGCCTTCCACCTTGTTTTGACTTCACCATCAATCCAGTCTTGGGTTCAAACTGACTCTGGTTTTCCCCACTTCTTGAGTGACTCCCAGCTAATCTTTGTTGTTCTGTCATAACTAGGTCTTGGTTCCTCACTGGCTGTTGGTCCCTGACTTGGGTCCGGTGCTTATGACATTCCGCTGCCTTGTTCCAGGCTTGCCCTACGTGGCAGCCACCATATCCACTTCTTCTTCTGAACCCTGCTGACTTAGGGGCTTCTGGTGCACTCTCAACACCTAAGGACTGCTTCTGCCTTGCAACCCGGTCTCTTTTAACCTTTTGTGACATTTGAGTCAGTCTTTAGGAACTGCACAAGCAAAGCTGCTGAGAGTCTCTTGCTAAATGTTGTTCTTATCATCTTCTTTGTGCTTTGCAGTAAGTTATGAGCACATTCCCTCTTATCAAGCATTAAGTGAGGTGTTGTGGTAGAAACACTATTACTTCCTTCCTAAGTCGGTGTACTGCATATGTGGAGAAGTTGGCCAAATGCCCCATGCTTGGGCTTTTGGCTAAGCCCTAGCACATGCAACTTATACAAAAGAAGCTGCTAGCTCAGCACCTGACTGGCATCCCTGAAGCCCGTGGGGAAAGTATGTAAATTTGATTCAAAAAGGAACTCTGGATTGCCTACACTAATGCTATAATTCTGACTGTTAATCCTGACAAACAGCGGCCTGTAATTCTTGTTAACTCTCTAGTATCTAACCTGACATATACCATACCATTTCAAAAGATCAATTCCCAGTAAATACAGGATGTTTTCAGTTGACTGTCCACAGTATTTAGCAAAGATGTTTTACACCAGTGCCCAAAAGACAGGTCTTTAATAGCCACCACTTCTGTTTCAAGCTGCAGACAGTAGGGGTAGATAGAAGTACACATCTGAAAGACAGCTGAGTGTTTCTTCCCGACACCAGACGCTTCTCTCCTGGAATAGGGCCAGATCGGAGCTGTCTGGATTCTTTGTGAGCCTGTTCCAAACTAACGTATTTATTATCAAGGAGGAAAGCTTGCCTGATGTTAGATCACTGATGTTTGCTTTGCAGTGTTTTCTTGCAGAAAATTGCAAGAAAGAGCTTGAAACAATTTTGGTGAGGAAACTACAGAGAAATCCACTTTTCTCAAGGGTGAAGTCCTGACAATACCCCTGCAGATTGGGAAAACTGGCTATCACCTTTTTCCTCTTTTTATAAGAAAAGTGATGCTTCCCAAATGATAAATAGTGACAATATATGAGGGTCTAATGGTATTTTGTTAAAGGCTGGAGCATTCTTACTGAATGTTTTAAATATTCTTGGTTATGAGAATAGGGATTTATTTTTAAATGATTATTTGGCCCAGACAATGCTTATAAAATATGTACATTCTGTTGGTACAACATACAAATCTTTTGTGGTGGTTTTGAGAAAACCCCAGACTTCTCAAGTCTGGGAACAGATGGAGCTCTAAACTCAACCGCATCTTACAAAAAGGACATGTGTTACTATCTGCCTGTCTTTTCACTTTATGTGAGATGTTCCACTTTCTAGTGAGCAGTTATCAGACTTCTGTGAGTATACAAACTTTTGAAGTGGATGTGTTACACAGTTGTAAAATTAGAGAATTTTGGACTCAGCTATGTCTTTTAACAGGTATTGGTAATTAAGACCTTTGGAAAGTGATAACCATTTAAATGTGTTTCACAAGATGGGATCTGTAGCATTTTGGTCACAGGTATCGACATGTATACATCTGTAAGAACTTGAACTCAAATGCTTTGAAAACATCAAGATAAAATAGTTCATTTAAATTATAAAATTTCTCATTCCCTCATTCCTGTGTAGCTGACTAAAATCCACTGGATAAGACCTAACTGGTGGTGTATGCAGGGCACTGGAGATGTTGTACATTATTCATAACTTTAGCTGGTATTTATGAACTTCCTACTATTCAATTAGGAAGTTATTTATGCTAAATCTTGACAGAGCAATCTCAAAGTATAGAGTTTAGAATCACCTCCCATTTAAAGAAAAGAATAAATTTCCTTCCTTCCTTCCTTCCATCATTCCTTCCTTTCTTTTCTTTCTTTTTTTTGAGACAGAGTCTTGCTCTGTAGCCCAGGGTGGAGTGCAATGGTGCTATCTCGGTTCACTGCAGCCTCCACCTTCCAAGTTCCAGTGATTCTCCTGACCAGCCTCCTGGGTAGCTGAGATTACAGGCACATGCCACCGCGCCTGGCTAATTTTTGTATTTTTAGTAAAGACAGGGTTTCACCATGTTGGCCAGGCTGGTCGTGAATTCCTGACCTCAGGTGATCCACCTGCCTTGGCCTCCCAAAGTGCTAGGATTACAGGCATGAGCCACCATGCCCAGCCCTTTCTTTTCTTTTGTTATTCAAATTATTTTCACAATAAAGGGCCAAGTTTTATGAAAAGCAGAATTGCCTTCTGTAAAGAACATAAAGTTGTTGTGTTTCAGTTTCTCATATGCCAAGCTGTTACATCAAAGCTAAAGCTTGTCAATGTTGAATAGAAAGTTAAATTATTTAACTTAAAAACACTAATCAATACTAATCAAAAGATTCATTGTAAGCTACTTTAACAAAGATTCATACTACACGTATAATAATTCAACTTATATGTATACTATAAAACTATAAAAACTAAAAAAACATGGATACTATAAAAACTAAAAAAAACTAATCAATACTAATCAAAAGATTCATTGTAAGCTACTTTAACAAAGATTCATACTACACGTATAATAATTCAACTTATATGTATACAATTGACTTAAAATATATTTTCTATAAAAGTATGCTTCTTAGCTAGTCATAAAATATTGACTGGATAAAGGAATCAGTCTTAGAGATGGTACTTTCTACATGGTACTTCTACAAGCAATTAAATACAATATTGTAGGCCGGGCATGGTGGCTCACTCTTGTAATCCTAGGACTTTGGGAGGCTGAGGCGGGTGGATCACCTGAGGTCAGAAGTTTGAGAACAGCCTGGCCAACATGGTAAAACCCTGTTTCTACTAATAATACAAAAAAAAATTAGCTGGGTGTGGTGGCACGTGCCTGTAATCCCAGCTACCTGGGAGGCTGAGGCAGGAGAATCGCTTGCACCTGGGAGGCAAAGGTTGCAGTGAGCCGAGATAGCATCACTGCACTCCAGCCTGGGTGACAGAGTGAGACTCCATCTCAAAAACAAAATAAAAAAAAAACAAAAAAATATTGTAAATCATCATTAACAGAATAAACAAGAATATTTGTTATTGGGCATATTGTAACACTGGGGAAAATAGCGTTTGAAATAGGCAATGTTGACATGCATATTTCGGTATGTTCAAGGCCTTAATGATTACTTTGCATTTCACTTTCTCAAGATGGAAGTCTCTAAGGTCAGGCTTCTTAGTTGTTTGTGTCATTACATCTCTTCATTCCTTTACATTGCCTGTGGAAGGCTCTGAAATGTGAAATGCCACTTAGAATCTGAAATAGCTTTATTTGTTTATTTTTTTAACGTTGAATTTGGGGTACTAGGAGGTAGGTAGGGAAGATCTGGTGGACTCGTATCTTCTAGAACTATCCAAAGAAATATTTCTTTTTTTGTCATGTGGCTTTTCAGAACTTGAACAAATTGTCTGTTTTTGTGTTTTTTTTTTTAATAGAATGGGCCATGACTAAACTCAATTGCCTAGTCAGTAACTAATTTGATATAAGTCTTATGGGAGGTGCCAATTAAGCATAATGTAAAAATTTTCATGTTCAGCAGTGGCAGACTACGAGTTAAAGTGTTGGGTCTTTGGCGCTTTCCCTCTGTGTTATGGAAAAAGGAAAAAGAGATGACTTTAGACTAGTGGTTCTCACAGTATGGTCCCTGGACCAGCAGTAGGGACATCATCTGAGAACTTACCTAGAAATGTAAATTTTAGGGCCCTTCCCTGATTGATTCTAATGATTGACAGACAGGATCTTTAAAATGTCTTCATGCAGGTGGGCCTTTGGGTAACCCTTAAGTCATAGAGCACAGGCAACCATGAGGTTGTTTAGGATTAGAAGAAATCTTGTCAAGTTGTATCTCTGTCTCCCACCTTGTAGGAAAGGACTATACTCCCATGCAGCCAGCCTAGTTGAAAATATGTATTTTAAACTGTTTTTAAAAGATTCCACAGCTTCAAAAATTGATTTGCCCCAAATTTAACAGCCCTTTTCATCTGGAAATTTATTATATGGCTTAATTAAGGCAAACCACTCTATTGTTCTATTTTAAAACAAATTTAATGGAAAACTGCTTAATATCCCCTCCCTTTCCTTTGAACACTTGAAAAACATTTTTATTTTATTTTTTTGATACAGAGTCTTGCTGTGTCACCCAGGCTGGAGTGCAGTGGTAGTGCAATCTTGACTCACTGCAACCTTCGCCTCCCAGGTTCAAGTGATTCTCATACCTCAGCCTCCCTTTTAGCTGGGATTTCAGGTGTGTGTCATTGTGCCTGGCTAATTTTTATGTTTTTAGTAGAGACAAGGTTTTACCATGTTGGTCAAGCTGGTCTGGAACTCCTGGGCTCAAGTGATTTGCCTGCCTTAGCTTCCCAAAGTGCTGGGGTCACAGGCCTGAGCCACCGCGCCTGGCCAGGAAAACTTTTATTTTAAATAGGCTACTTGCCTTTTATACTGCATGCTTATTCATGTAATCCTTTGTTTCTAAGTTTATCTTTTCAAGATTTATTTCCCAGCAAATGTAACTCTATAGAAATTAACCTAGTCTCCAATTGGAAACGTGTTGAAGCAAAGTCCCCCTTTTGCATGAGGTTAGAAAATGACAGTACTTCGGGTATAAAATTAGTTCCTTAATCCTCCCCCAAGGTGTACCATTTTGTGCTTCAACTTGTATGGCCTATAAACCTTGAGGAATTTTATTGTCTTTGAACATTATCCAGCAAATCTCCTCTAATTAATTTAATCCCTACAGACATATACTTGTTGATCAGTACAAATCAAGGCCAAAAATATCAGTCCTGCTTGGAAAGCTGCTTTTGGCAAGAAGACTCTTGATTCTGAGTTGTTTTGAGCTCATGCAGCAAAGGTACTCAGGAAGGCTTTTACCTCACCCTACTCCCATTTCATTAGTGACAACTGGCAGACACGAGAATCTTCATGTATGTGCTCATCCCTCTGGCTTCCTTCTCCCACCTGCTAATGGAAATTGTTAACATTACTTTATTTGCAGAAATAGTCTTAGAATAATTAGAGGGCCAACCATCCTGAGAATCACTTAATACAGCCTATTGGCTTAAATCAATTTTCCTCTAAAGGGTAGTGTGGATGAATGCCTTTTGTTTGTTCGTTTGCTTGTAAGGACTTCCAGCCTTGAAAAACCATTGTCTTTACAGATAACACAGTTCCATGATTAATAACACACTTTGTCAAGAAAGTTTCCCTAATGGGTAAACTCAGTACCTTCCACTGTATCTCAAGATCATTGCCTCTGCCTTGCCTTCTTCATGCCTAAAAGTCCAGCAGTAAGTCATCCTTTAGCTTTTTTGTCCTTTGATGCAATTATCCTGATTTTCTTTCATCATTTTCCATCTATCTGTTTCTGGCTTTCTACATTTCTCTTAATTCTTTCTAAACTCTTCATATAAAACAGATTTATTATTTTGTAGGATCAAGACAGTGCTAACCTGAGTGGGTAGATGGATTACCTAATGATTCTTGGATATATTTTTATTCTTATATCCCAGAGTCACACTACAAAAATCATAGATTACTGTGATTCCTTTATCCATTCTTCAGATACTTACGTGTGGATTTAGATATTTTATCTTTTTCCAGCCTGTTTTATATGTTGGTAGACAAATAGAAAACGTTCTTATTGATTGCTTTTAAAAGTACAGAATTTGAAGCTATAGTGTGTACACACAATGCTTTACTCAGACCAATTATACAATTATATCAGAGGTTGGTAAGCTTTTTCTTTAAAGGAGCAGATAGTAAATAATTTAGGTTTGTAGATCATAAAGTCTTGTTACAATTACTTGACTCTGCTTTTATAGCATGAAAGTAGCCCCAGACAATATATAAGTGAATGACAATGACTGTGTCCCAATAAAACTTTATTTGTAGGTATTATATGCAATTTGAATTCATAAAATTTTTATGTCACAAAATATTATTATTTTGATCTTTTTCTTACTATTTAAAAATGTAAAAACCATTCTTAGCTTGCAGACAGTACAATAACAGGCAGTGGACTGGATTTGGCCCTTGGGCTGTAGTTTGCTGACACCTGAATTATATGAAATGGGGGGTTTTAAACACTGAAAATATTTATTAAGCCTCAGCATATCTTGTCATCCTGAAGTGCTTAGTTTGGTCTCCCCCTCATTCATATTTTCTGCTGTCGTCTTTTACAGATCAGACCCATTTCCACTGTCCTCTAATATCCTTTCTAGTGATATTTTAGTGCCACTACACTACACTTCTAGTAGAATGAATGACGGTATTCAAACAATGTTGACTGAATGAATGCATGAATGGGAAAAGAGGATGTGGAGAAAAGAAGGAAGAAAGACAGCACCTAAAATGGAGACAATTTCATAATTGGTGAAATGGAAAAATAAATACGAATAAGTTATTTGAAAGAAGAGATCATCTATGTGTTCCAATTTCAGTAGTTTTGTATTGTGTCCAAACAGAAAAAATTTTGAATTGGATATAATTCCATTGCTCCTCCTACTTGTCCTTTGGTGTTGCCTCATATTTTTAGTGTGTTTTATTTTTCTGTGTCCAAATCAGAATAAAAAACAATTTTGCCATTTTTTAAAAGATGCCATACAGTACAAAGAAATTACATCCCTATATGTGGATGGTTCATTCAACCAATAATAATCTTGAGGTTATTGGTTCAAATCTACTGTACACCAATTCTTCACAGCAACAGACCTAACTTCAAAATGTGAACAGCAGCCCAGTAAATGCTTACTCTTGATAAGAAGATCTAGGGAAGAGAATATTGGTGAATCAAAATATAACCTTCCCTGTAACTGAAAATGTGCCTGACAGCATATATCCTTTGTACAGTGGATAAATGGTATTATATAAGTGAAGGATAACATATTCAGAAAAATATTTATGATTAATTCAGGGATACAGAATCCATCCTAGTTAATGACAATCTCTTCTGAACACTGAAAATATCATTATTGCACTCATATTTATACTTGTCTGTGCATGGGGGTTTTTACATAAACTTCCCTGGTCTTTTGGCGTTGGGAAAACAATGCTGTTTTGAAAGCTAGAACATGTATCCTTGTGTTTTCTGTGGCATCAGTGCTTTAAGTATATATTAAGCAATACACTGGAAATGTTTTTTTAATAAGAAAGGAAATAGAAAATCCACCACTTCACAGGTATCTACAGTGCTTTATATTCTATAGAATGTGAGTACTTAGCTCTGGAAGGGTTTAGGCTCTTAAAGAATGAGAACAATCCAAATCCATTAGAACAAGTTGATGAACTGCATTTCCATGGGCTTGCCTTGGGTCCAGTTAAATGAGAGACAAGCTAGCTAATAGATCCATCAGGTAAGCTGGCTACGGCCATTGCTTTTATTCCGCATGGAGGCAGAGTTCATTGGGAAGAGGCCAGGTTTACCATTCCAGTGCTTTCCAAATATGCCCTGTGGAACTCCAATTTTATAAAATGCAACCAAATAAAGGGCTCTGTAGTGAAATTAGTTCAGAAGACCCTATGGGGTATGGTCTGCCACTGGAGATACATAGGACACATTAATATATTAAGGGCTCTGAGCAGTCCTGCAATAGATAGCTGACATTGGGAATATATTTCCTGGCCCATTGCTGTCCTCTTGACTTTACAGAGCTAAAATTAAGTAGCACTTAGTAAACCTAATATGTTATTTCAACTCCTGACTTGAACATGGGAAATTTCACAAGAATATAAGATCAAAAGTCAAAGACTGTTTTTCCTCTATAAAATGTTCTTTCTCTATTTAAAGGTGAAAAACTATATATGATTATTTTATATATATATATACAGCGATTATGACCTTATATTCTAAACTTTCAGTTTGTTTTTTTCTAAAGACTTCTGTGGAGTTGGCAGATGAATGAGAAATAAAATACTATCCTTCTAAATTCTTTAAGATATGCCGAAGTATGTCTATTTAACTGGGTTAGCTCTGAGTTAAGATCATTAATCCACAGTCCTGGTGTACAACAGCCAATGGTGGTCTGGTGATGTTAAGGGGTGTTGCTGAAATACTAAAAAGAAAATAAATTTTTGTTTATTTCCATTTATAAGATGAATACATGCCATAGAGCATGTTTAGAAGTGTGTTTTGAAATCAGAGTGTAGCAACTTGCAAAGATTATGGATCATGAGGCTAGCACAAGGTTTCTCAACCTCAGCATAATTGACATTTTAAGAGAGAGGATTCTTTGTTGCAGGGCGCTGTCCTGAGTAAAGCAGGATCCCTGGTTTCCACTAGATGCCAGTAGCATCCCCCCTCGAGTTGTGACAATCACAAATGTCTCCAGACATTGCCAAATGTGCCCTGGAGGTCAAAATCATCCCCAGTTGAGAATCACTGGACCAACAGCTCTGCTGTGGGGCTCCTTTGTTGCCTGGATGCTTCTTCATTCCTTCAAAATTTATGAATTGAGCTTTAACCACTTACCTAGTACCTGATTCATTCATCGGGAAATGACCTGCAAAATATGGCTTTTTCATTATGAGCTTTCTGCTCATATTATTACCATACTATTTTGAAACAAATTCACATTTCGTAGCAGTCTAATTCATTATTATAAAATCCAAATCGTGCCGAAGTTCCCAGTTTCTACTCTTCCTAGAGCAGAGCTTGTAGCAAGAGTTTAGGTCATAACTTCTAATATAGTTATTAAATTACAGAAGAATATATTCTAGAATATTCTATGTATAGACCAATGGAATGAAATTTGAAAAACATTTTTGGAAGGTGTCTGAATAGTTTGTTTACATATGTGATTTTCAAAAGCAAGTATTTACCTAGGTGAGAAAAATATAAATATGATTCACTCTTAATAAAGTTAATTATTTGTCAGGTTAAAGAAAATCACCCCGTAAGCATGCTAAGAGCAGTGACAAATAAGATATTTTCCATATTGAACTTTTCACCCCAGGTTCTTGGGTCCACATTTTTATTTTCTATTGAAGAAGATTCAGATGATTTTTAAAAACTGTAGAAGTGACTAGCAGGAACAAGTTATAAAATTAATGCTGTGCATCCATAAACTTGGAGAGATCATTTTGTGTGCCTGAACTGCTTGAAAGGCACTGTGTTAGCATCATGTTTAAAACTTGACAAATTCATGTCATATTGATAACACTCTATGTAATTTTTAAATTAGCTTTGCTCATATTTTTACATTTCACTTTTTTCCTCTCCTGATTATCTTCACCTTTCCATTTTAGTTCTTATTGTGTAGACCCAAAGACTAAAAGAATGAAACTGTCTGCTCAGAAATAAATCCACTGGGAGAACATTGATTTTTTTTCAAGCCCACATGTGTGTGTGCACACACAATAAGATAAAGAAAAAAGGGAGGGCAGGAAGGGAAGGAAAGGGAAAAGAAGGGAGAGAAAAATGTTAGGGAGTTGCTAAAAATATTTACAACTGGAAATGTGCCTTACAGCACAATCCCTTGTCCCTGTTTTATTAAAATAAAACTAAAAAGGAAAAGACAACACTAAACTTTAATGAGAGAAGTTGTAACAAAAATCCAGGGCATTTGTTTGGGTTAGACACTGGAATAACCTGTGGTGAGGAGCTATTGGTTCTTTGCAGGCTTAGGTAACCGCAGCGTGGAAACCACTTCTTCCTCTTGCAGGGGAAGTTGAGCAAAACCAAGCATAGATGCTCTATGAGTATGAGCTGTCAGAAGTGCTGGCATGTGGAAACCATCACTTGAAATTTGATTAGTCTCCCAAACCATCGAGGTTGGCCCTGAAGATGATATAATGAAAAGCTGAAAGTCTTGAGAAATGGACCAGTGTTTTGTCCTTCTTTCACTGTGGAACCTTGAGTGTCTCCTTTTCCTCACTTAATGTGCTGCAAGGGTGTTATAGGAATTACAAGGATGCTCAACACACATTCCTTATCTTTTAGGAGCTTTTAATACATTAGGCCTTCTAGGAAGAATAGTCAAGAGAGAGTCATCTTTTCTTGAAAACTGTTCATGAGGCACCAGTGAATTTTTATTTTTGGTCTTGTTAATATTCAGGCTGAAAACAAAAAATGGTTAAAAGCATTATTTTAATGTATATCTTTAACTCATTTATTTTGTATTACCTGCTTAGCAAAATTATTAAGACAGGATTATGGTTTATATACCTTTTCTTAGCTCTTACTATATTATTTTGAAATAACCTGAGAAATATATGTGTGTGTATGTATGTATTTAATATATTGAGCTATTGAATATATATTACATATTTTGTAATATCTTCCTTTTCTACTAAAAGATGAACTTATCAAGAGCAGGCTCCATGCTTTATTCATCTTTGGAACCACAGAGCCTAGCATACAGTAGAGCTCAATAAATGCCACACTGAACCAAGCTTGGAAATGTGATATGTGATCTGTTTGTAATTAAAGAAAAGTAAGTTTAGGTTAAATAAGTTTACTTTTTATAAAAAGTTACATTCCCACTGCCTAAGAGATGACTGAGCTAGCTCTTGTCAGATTATCTAAAAAGTTGGCTCTGCAGAGGTGCAAAGGCACACATATTTCTTTGAGCACTTCTTCCTTTCCTAGGGAGAATGTGGTTGGCTTCCCTATTCAGTCCTGTTCCCTTTCATTCTGCCATGCCAGGAAAGATCCATATGTACAGTGAACCCCAGTGTTTCTATTTATTGATTTCCACCTCATCTTATTCCCAAAGGGATCTGAGTTGGAAAACTCCAGTACGAATTGTGTACCTAGTGACCATGTTGGCCTGATTCTTCTGCTCCCTTTGCTTGGTCTTTCCTTAAGAAATTGTGCTCTGACTGGTTTCCAACTCTAGTTGCTAACAACATGTCAGGTAAATAATAAATGAAGCAACATATGTATTTCTTATGTGCCATGGAAGATTTACTCTGAATAAATAATAAAGCATTGAGAGGATAGCGAGACAGGTTCCGAAGGATTGTTTCCATCAAGCTCTCCAATCCATCTGGTATATAACAAACAGATTTAACCTAAGCAATTTCTTTTGTACCCATGAATTATTTTACCCCACCCCCTTTGGGTAGAAGGAATCATGAGAGTAAAATGTGGTTTCTACCAGTAAGTTGTGAAAATGCTGACAAGTGGTAGGATATTCAAGGAGACAGGATAGAAAACACTGTTACTCAGTAACGGTTACGTTGTAATGATGAAAAACCTTGTTCCATTTGTGCCCTTTCCGACAAAGCAGGTTGCAAGAAACTTCACTGAATTTTGAATTCTCTTGAATGGTTTAGTCATCAATTTTACCTTCCTAATATATGTGTGTAGATGTTTTCATTAATACATTTAAGTACAGTGAAGCCACATGTGTCTTAGTGCAAGCAAAGATTTGAACTTTGTATATATCATTGATATCTTTTAAAGCAAGCATCAGCGACTTCTCTTGGAAGTGTCAAATTGTAAATATTTTTGGTTGTGTGGGCCATGCCATCTCTGTTGAAACTACTCAATAATACAAAATGAATGGATATGCTGTGTTTCAATAAACCTTTATTTACAATAACAGGTGGCAGTCTGAACATGGCCCACGGGCCTGTAGTTTAATGATCTTTAACAAAATGCGAAATGGGTAATATGGGAAAGAAGCACCTGTCTATATAACATCCGATCATCTTGTGTAACCACATTTATAATCAAGTTCGACCTAAATATTTAAATTTCTTGCATATTAGATCTTTTTTTCCCCTAGACTGCATATGAATCAGTTGCCATTACCAAATAAGAAAATAATGCGTTTGTCACCATGAAACATTGCCCTCCCCCTTAACATAATTCCTCTTAGTATATCCCTCTCTTTTACTTAACTGCTGGTGATAAACCTCACTTGTGAGAACGGCCAGGGATTTGCTGCCAGAATGACTTAGCATCTTCAAGCCCCTGCCTGCAGCTCTTGAAAAAGCTCCGAAGCTCAGCTGGCTGCCTGGGCTGGCACTCTGTTTCTGTGGGTTAGAGTGGGTATCACATTTCTAATGGATTAGCTGACTATTGGGAATGCAGAAGGGTTTTTAAAGTCTCTTAACTTCTAAATGCAGCACATAAATGGAGTTCTATGAATATTTAATTCGAGTGCAAGACCCGAAGTTCTTTGCAATTAGTTTAACTGTTGCTTTCAGGAGAGAGAGTATTTCCTTTGAGTGTTGTAGGGTTTACAGTACACTCTTTGTTTTCCTCACTTCAGAGCTTTCCATGAGCTGGATCATGATCACTTTTTTACAATGTTCAAAATCCATTCCTTTTTTGGTACATCTAGCACATATCTTCTCCTACTCATTAGTAAAGAGATGGAGTTTTCAGGTACAATATCTCTTACATTTTCATTTAGCAATCTTCCCTCTTATATCTTCCGTTAGGATCTCAGTGGAACTTAAATACTTAGATTTGCCTAATGGCTAGCAGCCTCTGCTACAAAATTTATTTGCTTACCCTTCCAATGAAATAAACATTATAATGGCTATGCCATGGACAGGCTCTCTTTCTCTTTTTATGTGTCTTTCCTCCTTTCTCTCTTCTCTCCTTTCTTCTTTATTTTCTTCTCCCCTTTCCTTACCTTAAAGTGAATATGGTAGCAGTGTCATTCAAATTATTTTATTCACCAAATGTTTTTTAAGCACTTGACATATGCATGAAATCAAGCTGTCATCATTGCTTGCACAGATTATTGCAACAGCTTTTTAAATTGTCTCCATGTCTCCAGTTAGTCCTTCTTCAGTTCCTCTTCTCCAGCCATGCTGGAGTAACATGCAAGTCTAAACTTTTCAAAATGTAAGTCTCACCATGTCAGTGCAATTACATCCTAACATCTGAGGACACAGGACAACACTTTGATTTGCATTTTCAGCCTTTTCTGAGTTTGGCTCTAGCAACATGCAGAACTCATCATGCCTCCTTCTCGCTTGTGCATCAGACAAACCTGATTTATCTCAGTTCCCTAAACATGGCTAATTGTTCCCCATACCACCATATTTGTCCTATATCACCTCTTTACTTATTTATTCCTTTGAAAATGTTATTTTTTCCCAAATTGGGCCACTTTCTCTACCTTACTTGTTTTTAGTAAAATTCTTTTCACTGTACTCTAATATTACTTGATTGTAACAACTAGATGTAATTTCATAAGAAGAAGGTATGTGCCTTTTCATTTTGGAGTTCCAAGCACCCAGCACAATCTTTGGCACATAGAGATGTACAGCAAATGTTGAATAAACATCTAGTCCTCAGTGCTGAGGTACAAAGCTAGAGAAAGAACTTATATTCTGTCCTGTATAAATTAAAGTTTCCTGTGTTTTCACGAAGTTATTGTTAGACTTTGCTGATTTATCATATTGTTTTTCTATCTCATTTGAATCTCATTTTTAAACATATCTTTTTCTCTTGTCTATCTGCTAATGTCTTTCTAGCTCCATTATTAATCTTGTGAATAAATGTTCTAATGTATTCAACATGTAATGTCTTAACAGTTTTCTGTAATTTGTGGCATCACCATCTGCTATCTTGTGGTGGAATCAGGAAAATACTGTGTGTTGTGCTTTGTGGAGAGTGTATATGAATTAAGGCAACACTGTACTTCTCTTTCACAATGTACTTACCACAACAACAGGACAACATAAGACCTTCTGTGACAACATCTGTGGAGAAATAAATCCTTCTGTGTATGAAAGCATCTGTTTCCCTTATACCTCTATATGGTTAGGAGATGTATTTGTCCATGCCTTTGTTTATTTAGCATAAATAAATTTATTTTCCACAGGATAGTTGGAAATGTATAAATATTCCATGTATATAGATATAGATATATATACACACACGCAATACCCTCCACACATTTTATATTTTTAATATTTTATTTTTAAAATTTATTTGTTTCTTAAGATGGAGTCTTGCTCTGTCACTCAGGCTGGAGTGCAGTAGCATGATCATGGCTCACTGCAGCCTCAAACTCTTGAGCTCAAGAGATCCTCCTGCCTCAGCCTCCCAAGTTGCTCAGAAAACAGGCACACACTATCATGACTGACAATTTTAAAAATTTTGTTGTAGAGATAGGGTCTTGCTTTGCTGCCTAGGCTGCTCTCAGGCTCCTGGCTTCCAAGCAGTTCTCCAGTTTGGGCCTCCCAAAGTGCTGTGATTATAGGCATAAACCACCATGCCTGGCTCCCTCCACACATTTAAAATATGAATAGATCCTGAAAATACTTTGCAATGATGACTTATTCAGAGTTTCTGACCATTTCATGCAGTTTGGTAAGACTTTGAAGTCAACAAAATGCATATTTCAACTCTTCACTGTTTTTATTTGAAAT
Source organism: Homo sapiens (assembly GCF_000001405.40). Lineage (NCBI taxonomy): Eukaryota > Metazoa > Chordata > Mammalia > Primates > Hominidae > Homo > Homo sapiens. The sequence continues at coordinate 29,158,668 of NC_000003.12, forward strand.
TATTTTATTTCACTTAACTTTTGATTTATCTACCTTTAGTCATACAAGAAATTATAATTACATTGAATATATCCCCATCTGCACCTTCATCTCCAATTTGTTCCATCTCTTTAGACACAGTTGTTATCAAATATCAGTTTGGTGTATAAACTTTCAGACATTTTTCTAAGCATTTATATAAATATCGATATATAGAGATATATACATCCTCATAAATGTTTTCATAACATGTACATTTATATATATGTAATTTTATACCTTTAGCATAAATATATATACAATTAGCAAAATATCAGAAAATACAGATTATCTGATTCCCTTTGACAACCACATTATACTCCACAGAATGTATAATGGAGTCATCTATCTGAAAGCAGCCAAACGTCCTCTACCTATGGCTCAAACAATATAGACATTTGTTATATCACTAACACAATAACTGAAGATAATACGTTCAGGGCTGGGTCAGTGGCTTGGCAATGTTATTCAGGGAGCAATATTCTTTTTATCTTTCCTAACCATCCTCACATGTTGGCACTTTCCTTCAGGCTTTTTGACTACTTCGGCTCTAGGCTCTGTTCATACTGCATTTACAAGCAAGAGCAAGGAGGCCAGGGCAAAATAGCTTTTATTTTATTAGAAAGTTCAGTACCTTTCCACAAACTTCCCATTGCATCTTACTCACCAAAATTGGGTCAATTCCACACTAGTTGCAAGGGAGGGTGAGGACATGAACATCCAGCAAAGGGGAAACAAATAGTTTTAATTGGATTAGACCCATAATGACTTATCATTGAGACTTCACATACTGCTGAAACAAAACTGTTCAGCTTATAAGGAAGAAGAAAGGGATGACAAATTGATTGCTAACATATTCTGCCATAGAAGGCAGTTATTTAATTTTCCAAACTCATTGACATTTAGATTATGTATACTCTGTGCTATTAAAAATAATACTTCAGGCCAGGCGCTGTGGCTCACGCCTGTAATCCCAGCACTTTGGGAGGCTGAGGCAGGCGGATCATGAGGTCAAGAGATCGAGACCATTCTGGCCAACATGGTGAACCCCCATCTCTCTCTAAGAGTACAAAATTTAGCTGGGCATGGTGGTGCATGCCTGTAGTTCCAGCTACTCAGGAGGCTGAGGCAGGAGAATCGCTTGAACCCAGGAGACAGGGGTTGCAGTGAGCCCAGATCGCACCACTGCACTCTAGACTGGCAATAGAGGGAGACTCCGTCTCAAAGAAAACAAAAACAAAAAAAAACTTCAATAAAAATTATTGTATGTACTTCCTGGTTCACGTGTGGTATATTTCTCTTATGGAAATACAATGACAAGGAATTGACGTACTGTGGAATACATATGTATGTATGCATGAGTATATGTATGTATCTGTGAGGTAGATATTATGTTCATTAAAGCTTTAATGAAAGCCAACCCTGAGTCTATTTGGATTTAGTGATACTTTTAAAGGTAAAGCTTGACTTCCTTTTCATTTTCCTTTATGAGTCAATGATGGTAAGAATATTTTTTCCAAGTAATATTGTCTAATATACTAGCTTAACGTTAAACATTATTTTCCTTTTTTCTTTCTTGCCTTCTTTTTATTTTCCTTTAAATCATCCCTTTTATCTATAGTTATTTCCCCCTAAAGTTGGCTTCTTGGTGCCTTTTTTCTTTTTTCCTAAAGTTGATTTCTTTCAGCCTTCTTTTTTCTTTCAAAGACTGTAATTTCAAATATTTTTTTCTCTATTTTAGTGGACTTTTAAGAAAACTAACTTTCAACTTCATTAAATTGTACTTTTTTCAAGTATGTGTTCCATAATTTTGTTTTCATTAATTCCTTCTTTATATTTTATTTAGTTGAAAATCAGATTTTTTAGGGGAAGGGAAGAGATCTTCTATGTATTTCCATATTCTTTCCATTGTGACCCCTGAGAATGACTTGTAGGAATTCTTCCTGTTGGTAACCTAAGACATATTTTTAGTCAATAAGTTATTTCCTAAGAGAGAATGTGTATCCTATATTTAGGGAACAAAGTATTATAGATTATGTATATCTGTGTCTTGTTTCTTCTTATATTCAAATCCTCTATAGCAGCACATTTTGGGGGACTGTGTAATCTGTGAGTTTCTTAGAGATAAAATAAAATTTTATAGTTATATAGGTATGCATCTCTCTACTCTAACATTGTTCTTCTTTTTGATTTTAAAAATTCATTTCAATTATATTGTGTGCTTGAGGTTTCTAAGGTTTCATCTTTTGAGTAGATAATTCCCTAATCTGTATGAGATATCCATTTGCCAATTGTAATGGTTTTATCTTTGAATTTCCTATCAGTATATTGGTTCTCTGAGTATGTTTTTTGTTTGTTTGTTTTTGGTTTTGGTTTTGGTTGTAAGTGTCATTCTTGCTACTGGTTTAAAAAAAAATTTAACAATTTATGGTTGGGTTAATTTTTTCCAATTTTTTATTGTGGTAAAATACATATAAAATGTATCATTTTAACCAACTTGAAACAAACAGTTTGGTAGTATAAAATACATTTATATTGTGCAACCATCACCACCATCCATGTCCAGAACTCTTCTCTTGCAAACCTGAAACTCTATACCCATTAAACAATAATCTCCCATTCCTCTCCCCTGTGTTCCTGGTAACTATTATTCTACTTTTTTTCTCTATGTTTTTGACTACTCTGAGTACCTCATATAAGTGGAATCAGATAGTGTTTGTCCTTTCATGATTGGCTTTTTTCTCATCATATGATATCCTCTAGCTTCATCTATATTGTAGCGTATATCTGAACTTTCTTCTTCTTTAAGGCTGAAATGTATTTCATTTATGAATAATGGAATATTATTTTACTTCTCCATTCACCCATTGATAGACCGTTAGGTTGCTTCCACATTTTAGCTATTGTGAATAATGCTGCTATAAACGTGGGTGTGCAAATATCTCTTTAAGACTCTACTTTTGATTATTTTGGATTTAAATCTACAAGTGAGATTGCAAAATCAAATAATTCTATTTTTAATATTTGTGAGGAACTGCCATACTGTTTTACATTATGACCATACAATATTTTTACCAACAGTGTGCAAGTGTTCCAACGTCTCCACATCCTCACCAACACTTGTGGGTTTTTTGTTTTTATTTTTTTAACAGTTGCCATCCCAAAGCTTGTGAAGTGGCATCTCATTGTAGCTTTTACTTACATTGTGGTTAGGGGTTCAATTTTGTTCATGAGATCTCCTATGAGCCCTTCAGTAGATGCCATATTTGTTTCCCAACACCTGCTCTAGAGATATAGGTGAGTCTTATTTCTGGGAAAGATATGTTTCAACTTAATATCTATGGACAGCAAGAGAAGAGAGCAGGGACGCTGAAACGTGTAACAAGACAATAGCCAATCTTCTGGGAAGGGGCCCTCCCATTTTTACTGAGTGTCACTAAGCGCTAGGGATTCTGCCTCCTTTTTTTTTTTTTTTTTTTTGAAGAAAGCATCCACTGTCCCCAAGTGCAAAGTTTCCTTCATTTATTTACTAAATACTCAGTAAGAGCCTATTATGTTGTAGACTCTGTTTTAGGAGGTAAGAATACCAGAGTGAACAAAACTAATATAGACTATGCCTTCATGGAGCATGCATTTCAGTAAGGGGAGACAGATAATAAATAAAGAAGCAGGTCGAAGATATGCCTAGTAGAGATAAGTGCTTTGGAAAAAAAAAAGGTTTTATTTATTTTCTATTTTGGTGTAATAAATTGTCACCTATCTAGAAATTGCCACTTAGAAGCTCAAAAATAACACAAATTTTCTATCTCAGAGTTTCTTGTGGTCAGGAATCCTACCTGGTATAGCTGGATTCTCTATTTAGGATCTCACATGGCCAAAATCAGGGTGTCATTCAAGACTGCTATCTCATCAGAGGCTTGAGGACCTCCTCCAAGCTTATTGAGCTTATTGGCTGAATTCAGTTTCTCATGTTTGTAGGAATAAGATCCCTGTTTCTTTACTGACTATCTACCAGGGGGCTGTTGTCAGCTCTTAGAATCTGCCCCCCATTTTCTGCCATGTGGTCCTCTCCACAACATGGCAATTGCTTCTCTAAGACCAGCAGAAAAATCTCCCTGCTGCTTTGAAGTTCTGACTTCGCCTATCTCTGACCTATAAATGGAGAGTCAAAGGATTCAAATGATTAGTTCACAGGAAATCTCCCTTTCTTAAACTCAACTATGCCTTTTAGCATAATCTAATCAGGGAAGTAAAATCCATCATATTCACATTCCTGTGAGTTATGCAGGACATGGACACAAAGGGGTGGGGATCACAGACGCCATGTTAGAATTCTGTCTTCCCCATAGGATGAGGGGATAGATAGTAAAGAAGTGAGATAAGCCTGTTGCCCTTTATGTGGGGTGATATGGGGCAGCTCTCTGGCATGTGACCTTTAAATACAGCTGTGAGATTTTTGGAGGGAGAGTTTTTTCCAGGATTAAAGAATAGTAAGTGCCATGTCTGAAGCAAGAGCGGGATGAATATGTGTTTGAGACACCAAGCGGTACTGTGTGGCTGAGGTAGAGTGATTAACAGGGAGAACAGAGGGAGATTCATGCAAGAGACTCAGATAAGGTTGGACCTTGAAAGCCATCATAACAACTTTGGTTTTTACTCATATCTGTTGCTTTTTTGTGTATATAATCACAATTTTAAATGCTGACTTTAAAAAATCCATATTCTAAAAAAAAAAAAAGCTTTATAAAGTTGAGTTGGGATGCATTTACAAAAACATACATGGACACAAAACCTATAGTTCTTTCTAAAAATTTTAGAACAGTTGTAGGCTTATAGAAGACTTGAGCAAGTAGAACTGAGAGTTGCCATTTAACTCGCTCCTTCTTCCAGTGCTTTCCCCTGTTATTAACATCTTGTGTTAGTGCGGTATATTTGTTATAGTTGATGAGACAATATCAATGCATTATTAACTAAAGTTCATAGCTTACATTAGGGTTCATACTTCGTGCTATACAATTCTATGGGTCTTGAGAAATGCACAATGTTATGTATCCACCCTTAAAGTATCATACAGAATAGTTTCACTGCGCTAAAAATCTGTTGAGTTTAACTATTCATCTGTCTTCTCTTCCTCTCCCCTGAGCTCAAGGCAACCATTTATCCTTTACTGTCTCTATAGTTGTGCCTTTTCCAGAATGTTATATAGGTTGATATAGAACACAGCCTTTTCAAATTGGCTTCATTCACTTACCAATGTGCATTTAATGTTTCTTCATGTCTTTCCATGACTTGTTGGCTCATTTATCTTTTTTATACATTTTTTAAAAATTAAATCTTTATTTTAGATTTAGACAGTACATGTGCAGGATTGTTACAACAATGTTTTGCATGGTGCTGAGGTTTGGGGTATGATTGAACCCCTCACCCAGGTAGCGAGCATTATACCCAACAGGTAGTTTTTCAACCCTTGCCCTTGCACCTCCCTTTTTTCTCTTGTGGTCCCAGTGTCTGTCGTTCCCATCTTTATGTCCATGTGTACCCAATGTTTAGTTCTCGTTTATGAGAATGTGCAGCATTTAAAAAACCGATAGTTCTTGCTGATACCTTACAATGGCTGGGATTCCCAGTTGATGGTGGAAATAGTCATGATATGGGGATGGGGAATTAGGAAGTTTACCAGCTCAATGCTTTAATGTAATTTACCCAAATTGTATCTCTTCCTACTGTGAAGCTTCTGGAGGAAATAAAGATGTCAAGACATGCATACACATACACACACATAATATTTATCTTAGTTAAGTTTTCTGTCAGACTAAATATATACCACTTTTTAATTTAAAGGCTAAATTTCAACTTACACAAATAAACTTGTATTCCCTGCCTAATCTGAACCATGAGTTACTGAGGATTCTTTGATTTTTTTTTTTAAATTTTGTGGGTTATATCCTACAAAGTTGGGACTTCTGATTTGACAGGAAATGTGAGATTAGCTTCTTTAATTGGGCCACATACATTTTCTCTTATGACTGTGAAATCCATTTTGTGGTATCTACTTAGGCATCCCAAAAGAGAAAAAATAAAAATCTTTAGAATCAATTTAACAAATCAAAGCTTCTTCCTGAAAGGGTAACTGATGTGTAGGCCGCAAAACATCTTGCAAAATTGGCAGTTTTCTGACTATGGAGATAGAGATAATCCCTATCCACTTTTTGTACTCACACAGTAACTTTAAAAGTAATGTGCTGAATGTCTAGGCATTTCTCAGCCACTTTACTTGGATGGCTCAATGCTGCTCCAAGAACCGACAATTCCTCTTTCTCTTAGTTTCTTTTCTGCCAAGTTCCCTCCTTGCTGACGGAGACACCATCTGCTGCATGTGCAGTGACTGAGGCATCACTGAAATTCTGCTGTCAGTTTTATTCCAACATTCAAACAATTGCTAGTTTATTTTTGAAGCAGATTTCCACTCTAAAGCTCCTCATTTAAGCTTCAGTCATCCCATAACAGTTATCAGTCATGTTGCTATTTGCAACCTCAAGGCAGATGTTCTAGAAGCAGCCTTTCATTGACTTGCCTTCCATCAGCCATTAGTGTGTTTGTGGAAGGTGGATGCCCTTCATGCCGGATACTTTCCTCATTATGTCAGTAGAAACTATAGAGGTTGGGAGTGAGTCTGGATTGGTGGTGTGGGGGTCAAGAATTAGAAAACTGTGGCTATTCAACCAGTTAGCACAGAACGCCACCAGAAAAGCCACTGCAAAGGGCTTCTCAGAATGTCACTGTACAATCACAGATAATGTCTTGTTCCCCCATATGATAAATCCCCAAGTGGAAGCAGGGCTCTTGAGGGCCCTTTCCCATAACTAAAAAAACCTCATCTTTCTCACTGTCTCATTTGTTCCAAGTGTCTTTCTGGACTCTTCTAACTACTTCTGCTTCTGACATTTATCCACTGAGTAGAAGGCAATTTGGCAAAGGGGCTGAAGAGCATGTGCACTGAGGTTAGAGATACTTACTTTTGAAACTGAGTTTCCCTATTTGCTGGTCCAAGCCCCAGAGTCCTTAATATAGACTTTATGCACATTGTTGTGAAAATGAATTATATAATGTTTGCAAAGTGCTGAGGGATGATAAGCGCTCTGTTTCTCTCTCACACATTTTCACTCTTGCTCTTTCTCTTGTTCACTCTGTATGTTTCCATATATGTATGTATATGTATATGTGTCATACAATGATCTATCATACACACACAAACACACACATACACACACACACACAAAGAGATAGCTAGAGAGAGTCATACATCCCTGAACAACAAGGATACATTTTTAGAAATGGGTTGCTAGGCTATTTCGTCCATGAACATCGTAGAGGGCACTTACACAAACCTAGATGGTATAGTCTACTACATGCCTAGGATGTATGGAATAGCCTATTGCTTTTAGGTTGTAAACCTGTACAGTATGTTACTGTATTGAACATTGTCAGTTGTAACACAATGGTGCAATGGTATTTGTGTATCTAAACATATTTAAATATAGGCAAAGTGCGGTAAAAATATGATATAAAAGGCAAAAAAATGGCACATCTGTACAGGGCATGTACCATGAATGCAGCTTGCAAGACTGGCAGTTGTTCTTAGTGAGTCAGCGAGTGAGTGATTAGTGAATATCAAGGCCTGGGACATTACTGTATACTACTGTATACTTTATAAACACTGGACACTTAGGCTTCACTAAATTTATTTAAAAATATTTTTATTCAATAATACAGTACCTTTAGCTTGGATATTTTTACTTTATAAACTTTTAATTTTTTTAACTTTTTTGTAATAACGCTTAAAAACATTGTATAGCTGTAGAAAAAATATTTTCTTTCTTTATATCCTTATTCTACATACTTTTTTCAAATTTAATTTTTTTTTTTTTTTTTTTTGAGACAGAGTCTCACTCTGTCCTCCAGGCTAGAGTGCAGTAGCACAATCTCAGCTCACTGCAACCTCTGTCTCCCGGGTTCAAGAGATTCTCCTGCCTCAGCCACCCCCAAGTAGCTAGGACTACAGGTGCAGGCCACCATGCCCAGTTAATTTTTGTATTTTTAGTAGAGATATGGTTTCACCATGTTGGTTAGGCTAGTCTCGAACTCCTGACATCAAGTGATTGACCCGCCTCGGCCTCTGAAAGTGCTGGGATTACAGGCATGAGCCACCGCACCCTGCCTATTTTTAAAATTTTTTTATTATTTTTTTTTACTTAAAAGCTTTTCGTTAGAAACAAAGGCACAAACGCACGAATTAGCCTAGGCTAACACAGGGTCAGGATGATCAACGTGGAGGTCTTCCACCTCCACATCTCCCGACTGGAAGGTCTTCAGGGGCAATAATGTGCATGGAGCTGTTATCTCCTATAGCAACTATGATTTCTTTTGGAATACATCCTGAAAGACCTGCTTCAAGCTGTTTTACGGCTATTTTTATAAGTAGAAGAAGTACACTCTTAAGTAATGACAAAAAGTCATTACTTTTTGTTGCATAGTAAATACATAAATCAGTAACATAGTTGCTTACTATCATTACCAAGTATTATGTACTATACACAATTGCATGTGAAATATTTTTATACAACTGGCAGTGCAGTAGGTTTGCTTATACCAGCATCACCACAAACACATGAGTAATGCATTGCTCTATGAAGTTATGATGGCTACAACATTCTGTGGGACCACTGTATATATATGATCTGTGGTTAACTGAAACTATATTATGTGGCTCATGACTGTGTAACGCAATACAACTGTGAGATATATACAATGAATTTTGTATCTGTATTGTCAAAAATAAACTTCTTCAACCTATAGTTCTCTAACTTTATACCTATTCCTCTTTGTTTCTGTAAGATATTTCTTTTTTTTTTTTTTTTTTTGTTTTGAGATGGAGTCTCGCTCTGTGGCCCAGGCTGGAGTGCAGTGGCACGATTTCGGCTCACTGCAAGCTCCACCTCCCGGGTTCACGCCATTCTCCTGCCTCAGCCTCCCGAGCAGCTGGGACTACAGGTGCCCGCCACCACGCCTGGCTAATTTTTTGTATTTTTAGTAAAGACGGGGTTTCACCATGTTAGCCAGGATGGTCTCGATCTCCTGACCTCATGATCCACCCACCTTGGCTTCCCAAAGTGCTGGGATTACAGGCGTGAGCCACCGCGCTTGGCCTCTGTAAGATATTTCTAACTGGGATATTCTGTAGTTACATGGAGCAAACTACTGGTAGATATAGAAGGAAGAAAGCAATTTCCCTTTTCCCCATTACTCTCATCAGTATCACTATTCATACTGTTTTAAACACCTTCTATTTTCATGATCCTTTCCTGTAAATTTCAACTTCAATTACCTTCTGCAGTAGGCATAAAGAAATTTATGAATTGATTCAAAGCGTTTTCTTTCCCCAACTTCTCTTTCCATAACATTATGCTTGTTGGTGGAGAAAGTACAATGATAAATTTAAAAAGTTGACAGTTTAGAACGGAATTTGGCAAACTCCAGCAAGTCAAATCCATCCAGCCCACTGCCTGCTTTTGTAAATAAAGTTTTATTGGCACCCAGCCACTCCCCTTTTTTTTTTTTTCAGATTGTCTATGGCTGCTTTTATGCTACAATGGCAGAGTTGAATAGTTGCTACTGAGATTGTGTAGCTCATATAACCTAAAATATTTACCATCTGACCCTTTGTAGTAAAACAAATTGCCAAGCCCCAGTCTAAAAGATTCTGAATTGTCTGTGTATGTAAGAGATAGGGTAAGATACAAGTGCATGCATAAACACATTTTAATGCTTTTGAACTTAGATATATCTGCCACAAAAAAACCCACAAAAATATGTAAATTCCAAATTATGTGATGATAAAGACAAAGGAACAATAAAATCTGCTGAAGGACTACAAATTGGGTAATAGTTCACAGACTAGCTCACATGTCAGTAGAACATCTGAAATTAGTAAAATTTGGTAACAACAGGTGAGCACAGCAAGTTCTTTCAATAAATATTTAGTGAGTGTCTATTGACATATTCCAATAGATGGAGAATTTACTTAGAGTGAGTATCCCTCACCTTCTTGTGCCTTCTGCAAGATCTAGTGCAGTACTGCTCACATGGTAAGTTGACAATAAATGCCTGTTATTCAATTGCTGATGAAGTAGTTTGTAACAAAGGCATGATAACATTCCACAGCATAAATCATACAATGCTGAAGACACATAACTTCTGGCAAGATTCCTTAGAGAGGATGCAGGAGGGGGTTATTGCAACTAAAGTTTTGTGATGGATAGGATAGTTCTTGGGTGATGATTATCATTTGTTACTACGATTTAGTGGTTACTCTATCCTTAGTTCTCTGATACTCAAAACAGTTTTTTAGTCTGTAATGATTTTCATGACTGGTAGAGAGTATATTCTGTGCTTGAGAATGAAAACTCCCAATAATCTGTGCCCTTTGAAGTAGAGATTCAATAAGTGGTACTAATATTAGAATGAACTTGCCAAGGGCAAACTACTCATGGTACTTTGCCATACTTTGCAGCATGGAAACAGTAATTTTATAGAATTTTCCACTAATAAGCCACTCCTTATGTCTTTGGCCGATGGGAATTAATTTTTTGGATACGGGGCCTAATTGAATTAGCTCATCACCTTAAGCTTATACTAATAAATTTGGTGATAGCCTTAAGCTCCCTGCCTTCTCAACTCAGTCCATTTGCATGGTCTTAGTCACTGATGACTTCTAAATCTCCAGGACAGAGCTTTCTACTGAACTCAAGATCCACAGAAATATCAAATATATCACTATTTTTCTGTTTATTAAAATGTCTGCCTTTCTTGCTAATTATTAATATCTATAAAAGCAGAGTCTGTGTCTTTCTTTCTCATGGTTGTACTCCCAGCTTCTACACAGTATCTGGCCCGCTGCCAGCCCCATTAAATGTTTAATGAATGAATAGGTTTTTTTGTGGACCATCGTGTACCAGACATGGTATTAGGTGCAGAGATAAGATTATTAACTCCTGCCCTAGCATCACTTATGGTCTAGCATTGACATTTCTCTTAAAACAGATAAACTAGCTTACCTCTTGATGTTAAACTATTAAAAGACTTGTAAGAATCGTTTTCAATGTATCGTCATTTTTATAGGCTAATTTCATTTTGGGGAATCAGCCCATTTCAGTCGCAGTTACTCTGGGGCTGTGGGACTGTCCTCCAGGGATGTTCTGTATGACTTTATCTTCCACACACTCACGCAGGAGCACTAGTGTGCTTGGGTTCATTGAATGTGCACTGAGCCAGAAATGAGCTGTAGAGTAACTTTTAGGAGGGAAAAGGAAAATGAGTATTAGAATCAATTACTCAAATGTAAAGAAATTAGCCTATGCTACTTTTTTTTTCATTTAGAAAGAGAGGAAGGAAGGAACAAAGAAAGAAATGGAGGATGGAAGAGAGTGATGGAAGGAAGGAGGGAGGGAGGAAAATTGAGAGAGAGGAAGGGGGGGAAGGGAAGGAAGTAGAAAAGGAGAGGAGACAAGGCTTTCACAAATTTCTGTCCGTAAACAAGGTTATATGTTTATATTGTTTTAAGAATAAAAAATAATAGTAGCTTTTAAATTCAATAATAGTTATTAACATCATGTAATGAGTACAAGAAACTCTATTATATGCTTTATTAACTTATTTAATCCCAATGACAATCTTAGAAGGTGGGTTCTATTATTAGTCCAATTCTACAGATAAAGAAAGGGAGGCACAGGAAGGGTACAGGAGTTTATCAAAATTAGAGAGCTGGGGGTAAGCAGCATTATGCTGATCACAGCAGTCAGCCCCCAGAACCTGCGCTCTGAACAACTTTTCTCTACTGTTCTCTTTTTCAACATGCTTTTATGGAATATTATCTATGTACCAGATACTTTCACATACCTCATTTTATTTTAACTTCCACAGTAACCCAATGAGCCAGGGATTTTCAGATGAGGGGAGGGTGCAGAGTTTTGGAGTGACTTACTCAGGATCATTAAGTAGAAATGGGCATGGTTAAAATTCGTGTCTAGGCTTTAAGTCTAACACCTACCTATCCTTTCCCAGCTAAAGCAACTGGCAGAATTTGAAATTGCCTCTCCATTCACATTCATGCCAGAAACCCTTGTTCTAATCTCTGAAGAACTCTGAGTCGTTGTAATAATTAGTATTTAATAGTAGACAGAGCTTCTTCTTATTGTGTCCTAATAGAGGTTTCCTAGTCACTGAGTGGCAATTCCCAATTTTTAGGAGACAGTATATGAGGAGTCAAAGCAGATCAGGAGATTCCCTGGTCCTAGCAGATGTAAGTAGGAGGGGTCACCTGGTATAACCTTGCTGGTCTAGGGACAGTCTTCAGTGGGAGCTCTGGAAGCACAGCATGGCTGGCAAGAGCCCTAAAACATGTCTTCTAGAGCACAAAAAATGTTCTATCACATTCCACCCTTTGAAGTTTTGAAGCTTGACAATAACAATAAAATTAAGTGCCAGAAAGCACCATGTTTTATGATTATTTGATAAAAAGGGCCTCTGATAAGCAAAGCTCACTCAGATACTTTATGTTTACAAGTCATAAAACAAGTGATGTTGGAAAAATAAAGACAATCCCCATGTCAAGGGAGTAACAATAACAATAACAAAAAAGCCTGACTTTCCTCAGAGAAGCAAATCTACGGAGACCAAGCTAGAGACTCATCTTTGAGGAATGTTACAAAAGATAATGTCAAAGAAGAGAAGATATATTTTCTCTTCCTCCGGGGTGACAGGGTATGAGAAGAACTTAAAAGTTTCTACCCATTTCCTTGTGCAGCCTCCTTCCTTTTGAATGCCATGATTTAGATCCCTTTATAAGGATTTATTTGAAAGAAGCTTCTTATACCATAAGGGCAGTTTGTCTCTCTCTTTTTTAGGCCTTTGTAAATGAACAAAGTAACCACTTGTCCCACACAGGGTGCAAAGAGAGGTTTGGTATGGGTTTTACTGTCCATTCAGGCTCTGTATTCAGCAAGTTGTAAGTGAAATCTTTAGAAACCACATAGTGGGAATCCTTTGCTTGGGGCACGGGGTGGGGAGGTAACTTTGAAAAACCTATTGAAACTCTGAGAGCTGTTGGGTAGAAACTGTTCTTTTTAGACTTCCTCACAGGCAGTACGGGAAATAAACACACACAGGAAGTCGTTTAGCCTCTCCGTGAACTTTATGTTGACATTTGCTTACCAAAAAGTCCATTGTGGGTACTTAAAAAAAAATGCATGCACATGTGTGTGTATCAGTACACACACACACACAACACACAACACACACATATACACACACGTATGTAAACATTTTTTAATTCTCCCAAATCATGATGTTCATAATGAATACTGCTAAAATAAAACCAACAATGGGGAAAAAAAAACACAAAAAATATAGGTGTAGAAACCTATAACACTATGTTTTTGGAGTAGAAGCTACATATACATGATATATTTCTAAACAAATATTTAAGAATCTGCTGCATGGCCTTTCTCACATATTCTTTGCAGTGTTTTATAATAACTTCTTGACTTACAATGTCATTATTTATGTATAATGTTTGGTTCAGGCTTTTTATCTTTACTTATGTGATTATGGCTTTAGAACTGAAACGACGTTAAAATCTTCAATGGAGGGTCACTGAATCCTTAATGTGAAGTGGAAATGCTGATTTGAAAGCCAAAGATGAAGGACAATAAATGCATTTTACAGTGGAAAATGAAAAGACATAAACAAAAGGGAAGATTACCAGTGTCTAAAAAGTAACCACTGGCGGGGCGCGGTGCACTTTGGGAGGCCGAGGTGGGCGGATCACCAGGTCAGGAGATCGAGACCATCCTGGTTAACACGGTGAAACCCTGTCTCTACTAAAAGTACAAAAAATTAGCCGGGCGTGGTGGCAGGCACCTGTAGTCCCAGCTACTTGGGAGGCTGAGGCAGGAGAATGGCATGAACCTGGGAGGCAGAGCTTGCATTGAGTCGAGATAGCGCCGCTGGACTCCAGCCTGGGCAGCAGAGCAAGACTCCATCTCAAAAAAAAAAAAAAAAAAAGTAACCATTTGGTTGTTAGGAATATAAATTATTCAAGCTAGCGAAGACAAAGCGGGAGTCACTGGAATGATACACAGGATTCCTATGAAACATGTGACACATCTTATCAGAACCAGAAAGTCCTTGGTTTCTCTCTCTGAGCCACATGGTCCTTCAGCTCTGCTTCTTTCTGTGCATCTGCTCCTTCCATTTTGCCTAGTCAGTGGTCATTTAATTGCAATTTCTACTCAAGATCTTCTAGGCAGAAAAGAATAACTTAATATTTGGATAAAGGAATGCCTTATGGAGCTCAGAATCAGTAGTGGATCCAGGTATTGCAAGAAACTGGAGCCAAAAACTAAGAAGCCATCCAGAACTGAAACATTTCTTTCACTACCTTTGAATAAAATCTTCTCTTATCTCTATTATGGTCTATACTTTTTCTTTCTCCCTCTCCCCGTCTCAGACCCCTGCCTCTCTCACTCCTGCTCTCTGTTATCCCTTCCCAGACAGACTTTTTTTGTCTGTGGCTTCATTCACACAACTAAATCCCAGTTTTTCCTTGACATCACTTCTTAATTCGAATTCCCTATAGAGATTTATAATTCATCACATGATATTTCTGTATTTCCAGAAAAGACATCTGATTGGTTCAGTCTTGTTCAGGCCACTACCTGGTTCACTCAGACTCAAGTTGGGGAAGTCACCTGGAATAACCATGTTTGTATTAAAATGTGCTTCAGCGGGAGCTGTAAGAGGACTAGCTGGACTGCAAAGGCTGCAGAAACATGTCTGCTACAATAATTATTATAGGATACTCTGGTCTACTAGTATATGTAGTATACTCCAAATATTTTAATAGTACTTACCAGAAAGGGCATAAATTCTCCTTAAGACTAAAGCAATATTTTTAATTAGAATATACATAAAGTGGTTTCAGTGTAAATTTATTGGCTAGTTCTAGAATTATCTTGCAATTTCTTCTTGCTGAGGACCTTCACCAATAGTGACTTAGTGACTTTTTTTTTTTTTTTCTTGAGATGATGTTTCACTCTTGTCACCCAGGCTGGAGTGCAGTGGCCCGATCTCAGCTCACTGCAACCTCTAACTCCCAGGTTCAAGCGGTTCTCATGCCTCAGCCTCCTGAGTACCTGGGATTACAGGCATGTGTCCCCAAGCCTGGCTAATTTTTTGTATTTTTACTAGAGACAGGGTTTCACCATGTTGGCCAGGCTGGTCTCAAACTCCTGACCTCAGGTGATCTGCCCTCCTCGGCCTCCCAAAGTATTGGAATTACAGGTGTGAGCCACCATACCCGGCCCTGAGTAACTTTTAAAGGAGACAAATATGGCATCATCACTGATAGCTGAACCTGAGGTAACTTTAGTACATTATCACATGATATTCATATTAGCAACAGGAAAAGATGGTATTATTCTATAACAGCAAGCAGTTCCCATTCCTGCATCTTATAACAATCTTCTGCTCTTTTGGATCATTGACTTTCTCTACATATTTATATTACCATATACCTATAATGGTTTCTCTTTTAATCTCCCTTTCACAGTGGGATATGTGGTGCAGAAATACAGAAATGTTAAGGACATTTCTGAGCTTTATTCTTTCGACACAACAGATTGTTAATAAGATAATTAACCATAATTCTGTTTCCTTTGAACCTTTAATCCTTAGCTCTGTATCCTTACTAGTTGGTGTGTCCTTAAGCAAGTTGCCCGAACTCTGTACATTCCAATTTCTTCATCAGTAAAATGTGAATAATAACACCTACAACATTAGATTGTTCTGATGATTCAGAGAGACAATGCATGAAAGATCTGTAGAAGCAGGTGTTCAATTAATATTGATATTATGATTATAACCATTGCACTTATTATTCTTAGAGTAAGTATTCTTAGTATACTTATTCTAAGTAAGTATTATTCTTACTTAGTTGATAGTAGTAACTGATTCACATTGCCCCATCCTCATCCCTGGCTCATCTCTGGTTTCAGCTGCAACTATGATGGACAGTTCTACCTCACCTAGCACTTGACAGCATCCTGCCCGATTTTACTTGTGTACCTTTCCACTTTCTGCCCATGGGCTTTCTCTGATGCCAAGGGAGCTTGTTTTCTCATGCCCAGACACAGCTTGGAAGTACTGGCAGGATGATTCCCTTGAGGGCAACCCTTACCCAGTGGCAAAATCTCTAGCTCTCATCTTTCAGTAGACAATTCTAGGTGACATTTTGAACACTTCTCAGAGGCCTCAGCAGGATCCAGGGCCTTTACCTTTGTAAACCGAAAAGTATCTGAGACAGGCTTCAATTCAGAAGTGTATTTTTCCAAGGTTAAGGACATGCTCATGACACAGCCTCAGAAAGTCCTAATATGTACCCAAGATGGTCACACTACTGCTTGGTTTTATATATTTTAGGGACATATAAGACATCAATCAATACATATAAGATGTACATTGCTTCAGTCAGGAAAGGTGGAACAACTCGAAGTGGGTGGGTGGGGCTTCCAGGCCATAGGTGGATTCAAAGATTTTCTGATTGCCAATTGGTTGAGTTTACCTAAAAGCATAGAATCAATAGAAGGGAGTGTCTGGGTTTAAGATTAAACGTTATGGAGACCAAGGTTCTTATTATTCAGATGAAGCCCCAGGTAGCAAGCTTCTGAGAGAATAGATTGTAAATGATTTTATCAAACTTAAAAAGTTGCTACACTCTTAGTTAACTTATCTCCTGGATAAGAAAAGACCTCGAAAGGGAAGGGGATTCTCCACAGAATATAGATTTTTCCCACAAGAAATGGATTTGCAGGCCCATTTCAAAATATATCAAAGAAATATTAGGCATAATATGTTGGTGCAAAAGTAATTGGTTACTAATATTTGTTACAACCCAATATTAAATATACTTGGGGGTAAAATACTCAATTCCTTTCAGGGCCTGATATCTGTCATGTTAATATCTTATTGCTACAAAGGGTCTGCTTTGTCAGCCTTAAGGTCTCTGTTTCAATGTTAATGCTGGTCAGTTGTACCTGAATTCCAAAGGGAGGAGGGTACGATGAGGTACGTCTGACCCCATGTTCCCATCATGGCCTGAACTAGTGTTTCAGGTTAGTTTTGGAATGCCCTTGGCTGAGAGGAGGGGGTCCATTTAGTTGGTTGGAAGGTTTAGAATCATATTTTTGGATTATACCTTATAACATAGATCTCAATAACACACATTTATATTGATTCTTCATTTTCTCTCTGTTTCTTCCTTCCTGTTTGCTTTTTGGGATTACCTCCCCCCACCCCCAAAACAAACAAACAAACAAACCCAACCCAGTCTTTGTCTTAAAATCTGCTTTGGAAGAACCCAAGCTAAGCAGCATTATAGCAGAATATTTGAGAGCATGAATTCCAATCCAAGAAAGAAGTCTCTGCCTGGATTTGAATCCCAATTCAACAGTTTAGTAGTTATATGACCTTATCTTTTAAAGTTATTTTATTTCTTTCTTCCTCAGTTTCCTCACCTACAAAATGCAGATTATAATAATAACTACTTCTTAACATTGTTATGAGGACTAATTGAGTCACTACAGTATAAATATACTGAAATAGTATTTGATAGATAGTAGGTTGCATGTAAGTGTTAGCTGTTATTATTTCCCCCTAGCACTTATTAAATTGTGCCTATGAATCTTATAGTATTGGTTATTTTCTGCTTCCTCATTGCATTTTTTTTCCTTAGAGCACCTTCCTTCTGCCCCTCCCTTTCTTTCTTTTGTTTGCTAGTGCTGACTGAGTAGATAGAACAGCAGGTGTTCCCTGGAGCTCTGTAATTTCTGGAAGCATGTAAGAGGCCTCTTCTTTTGTGCTGTGCTCCATTTTTTCTTGCTCCAGCAGCCCTGACCCCTGATCTGTTGGCAGACACCGGATAATGCTGCCAGCTCTTGGTTATTCAGAGGCTCTTTATCCAGACTCTTTGCTCTTCTTTCTGGCTGCCTGCCTTTTGGCTGTTAGATGCTCCCTGGCATTGCTCTCAGAGGTCGTGCCAAGGAGGGGAAAGATAGTGGAACTCAGATTTTATGGAGTCTAGACAATTAGAATTTGGGGATCACTGGGCTTCAGTTTCAGAGCCATCTCTAACCTTTCTTATCATGGAAAATTCAGTGTCTTTTGCAATAGCAGTATATACTTTTTAATTGAAATATAAATAAGACATAATAAAATGCAAAGATCTCAAGTGTTCAATTTGATGAGGTCTGGTAAGTATATGCATTCCTAATGTGAGTACATAAAAAATAAGATAGCAAACATTTCTATCACTCTAGAATATTATCTTGTTCTCCTTGCTTGACTCCTCAACTGCCCAGCAACCACTTTCTGATTTCTATGACTGTGTATTTTCTCCTCATCTTGGACTTCATATAAATAAATAACACACATCTATTCTTCTGTTCCTGTCTTCTTTTATTTGGCATGATTTTAAGATTTATCCATGTCTGTGTATGTATCAAAAGTTTATTTTTGATATCTGAAGATTATTTTATTTTATAAATGTACTCCATTTTTAAAAATCCATTCTCTTGTTGATAGACAGTGGGCCATTTCCAGTTTGGGGCTGCTGTGAATAAAGCTGCTATTCATATTCTTATAAAATATTTTTGTGTATATATTTTTTTCTTTTGGGTAAATAACTAGGGGTATAATTGTTGGGTCATAGGTAGAAGCATGTTTAATTTTATTTTTATCTTTTTCTTTTTTAAATATTTTATTTTATTTTATTTTATTTGAGACCAAGTCTCGCTCTGTTGTCTAGGCTGGAGTGCAGTGGCGTGATCTTGGCTCACTGCAACCTCCGCCTCCCAGGTTCAAGTGATTCTCCTACCTCAGCCTCCTGAGTAGCTGGGATTACAGGCCTGCGCCACCACACCCGGCTAATTTTTTATTTTTAGTAGAGGTAGGGTTTCACCATGTTGGTGAGGCTGGTCTCGAACTCCTGACCTTGTGATCCACCTGCCTTGGCCTCCCAAAGTTCTGGGATTACAGGCATGAGCCACCACACCCGGCCTATTTATTTGTTTTAAGACGGAGTTTCTCTCTGTTGCCCAGGCTGGAGTGCAGTGGCACGATCTTGGCTACTGCAACCTCTGCCTCCCAGGTTCAAGCGATTCTCCTGCCTCAGCCTCCCGGATAGCTGGTATTATAGGTGCCCACCACTATGCCTGGCTAATTTTTTTGCATTTTTAGTAGAGACGGGGTTTCACCATGTTGGCCAGGCTGGTTTCAAACTCCTGACTTCAAGTGATCCACCCACCTTGGCCTCCTAATATGCTAGTATTACAGGTGTGAGCCACCATGCTCTGCCTGTTTAATTTTATAAAATGCTACCCAGGCCGGGCCCAGTGGCTCACGCCTATAATCCCAGCACTCTGGGAGGCTGAAGTGGGCGGATCACCTGAGGTCGGGAGTTCGAGACCAGCCTGACCAACATGGAGAAACCCTGTCTCTACTAAAAATAAAAATTAGCCGGGTGTGGTGGCACATGCCTGTAATCCCAGCTACTTTGGAGGCTGAGGGGGAGAATAACTTGAACCCAGGAGGTGGAGGTTGTGGTGAGCTGAGATCGCGCCATTGCACTCCAGCCTGGGCAACAAGAGCGACACTCCATCTCAAAACAAAACAAAAGAAAATGTAAGCCAACAGTTCTTCAAAGTAGCTGTATCATTTTACCCATCCATGAACAGTATTTGGGAAGTTTAGGTCTATAATAACTAACCAACATTTAGTGTTATCAGTCTTTCTGGTTTCAGCCATCCTTGTGGGTATGAACTGGTATATTATTGTAGCTCTATTTTGCATTTCCTGGATGACTAATGATTTTGAACATTGTTTACTGTATTTACTGGCCAATCCGTTATCTTCCTCTGTGTATTGCTTTTGCAAGTCTGTAATGGCAGTGTGGTCAGGCCAGTTTGACCATTGTTTTTGAGCCCTTGCTCTCAGTCACCCAGAATAAAAATGTGAGTGTCTGGAGTTCTATGATAGATGCAAAAAAGTTCATGGAATCATCTATTTAGTAGCAGATACTACCAATACTCTGCTTGTACCTTCTTGGCACTTACTTTTCTAGAGCATGTCAACAGTGTCCTGGGACACTCTACTTGAGAACTTCCTTTTGGCCTGTAGTGGAACAGACCAGAAGTGCCAAGAAATCAATGTTTCAAGGAACAGCCCTTAGCCAATACAAATAAGAACTGGAGGTTAGATAGTTTAGCTTCCTGACATGTTGAGTGGAATAACTCCACGGCATGTTCTACACTGTGTCCCAGAGTCCTCAGTGGAACTGAGCCTCAGTTCTCCACAGGAATAACTTATTCAGTGATGCAAACTTACTGGCTCACTCTTTATCCCTACTGATTTATTCTACTGATTTTCTCTGGGATCAATTCCAAAATGAACTACTTGTACACAAGTTCTTGCGTTGTGATATGCTTCTTAAGAAAGACAAATAGGCACCTATTCTAAAAGATGTGTGTTGGGACTTAAGAGTTGTAGTATGAAAGGCTAATTAAGGAATTTGGTGAGTTATGCTATGACATTATGATGTTAATTTCCTGGGTAGCCACAGAGAGGAAAAGATCAGATGAACCTGGCAGAAAATCAGTAACATCAGTGCTTTGTAGAAACAAAATTCCCGGTGGGCTGGTGGCCGAGGCTGTTGGAATAGGTTTTATAGAAGGTTGAGCCTGGCAGGTTCATTGAAGTGTGAACTGAGAGGAGGTGAAGACATTTTAGAAAGTGATGACTGTGACAGTGGCATGAACATGTAAGTCATGTTTGGAGTAACAAACTATCTGGAGCAACACTCTATCTGGATGTTGAAATTATATGGAAAGGAACAAAAAATAAACCTTGCAATGACAGTTGGAATGACATTAGACTCTCAAATGAGAGACTAAGAAGTTTTAACTTTGTCTAGTAGATGGTAGAGAGGCATTGAATATTTTTCAGCAAGGAGAAGTCATATAGTAAAAGCATGCTTTTAGAAAGACAAATCTAGTGTCATTGTGGAGAGTCAATCGAGGCTTAAAGTAGAAGCTTCTTGATTTAGTTTTAGTGGCTCTGACATAAATTAACTAAATCCTAAAAAATGGTTCGTGATAATGGGAATGAAAAAGACAACATGAATTCAAGTACTCTTAGATAAATACAATAGAATCTGGTGACACTGATAATGGGAGTTGAAAGAGATAAATGGGTCAAAGTTGTTCTGTCTTTGAGGAAACTGATTTTAAAGGTGATCATAACATTAACAAAAGTAAATGAAAATGAACTGTGGGGGAGGTGAAATCTTAGAGTAAAACAATTAATTCATTTAATTTAAAAGAAAACTTTTTTTTTGAGGTAGAATCTCGCTCTGTTGCCCAGGCTGGAGTACAGTGGCACCGTCCCGGCTCACTGCAACCTCCACCTCCCAGGTTCACGCCATTCTCCTACCTCAGCCTCTTGAATAGCAGGGACTATAGGCGCCCACCACCACGCCCGGCTAATTTTTTATATTTTTAGTAGAGGCAGGGTTTCACTGTGTTAGTCAGGATGGTCTTGATCTCCTGACCTTGTGATCTGCCCGCCTTGGCTTCCCAGAGTGCTGGGATTACAGGCGTGAGCCACCACGCCCAGCCCATTTAATTTCATGCATGGTAATTTAAACTTTGATTCTTCTTGTGATGATTAATAGTTACACATCCATATTCAGCAGATATTTTAAGATTTGGCACTGGAACTCAGGAGACGGTTTGGACTGTTAATTTATACCTGGGAGTCATCTTCTTAGAGGTAATACGTAAAGCTTTGACCGTGAATAAGTTCACAAAGGAGAAAAGTTAGAAGAGTTAAGAACACAGAACCAAGAAGTAAGGCCTGAAAAATAACCTAATTTAGGGAGAATACAGAAAAAAGGATGCAGGAAGTGAGACAAGAGACAAGGTACAATCAGAAGGGACAAGGAATCTAAGGGAAAGATGATTGTAATGAGGAGGGGGTAAACACCATTAGAGGCTTCAAAAGCCAAGGAGGAAGAAACTCCTTAGAGCCATAGAAGAGACAATATATTATCTAGAATTAAGTGGGCTCTCTGAAGCCTGGTTGGGACGCTGAGTTTTATACACACAGGGAATAATCTACAACAACATAATCATATGCTGAAGTATTTGAGCAACACTATATAGGCTCTGTGAGAGCAGGAAGGTGAAGGACATAATCTGGAGGTCTTAGAAGTAGGGACAAGTATAAGGTATAACTTCAGCATGAGCTTTACAAAAGAGGGGAAGGAAAGTTTGCAAGGGACCACCATGATTAAAATCATTGAGGAAAGACTAATGCCCCTTGGGAACGTAAGTAAACTAAGAGGTGAGGGTATTTACAAACTTGTTTATGCATAAATTTAAATCCTCTCTCCTAATCTAACTGTGAAAACAGATAAGAGACAACCATGTAACTACAAGGGCTAGTCCTGAAATAACTACTTACAGAAACAACCAAAGTGAAAGTGTTTGATTTTAGTGACCGTAGTTGCAGAGCAGAAACCGAGACACTTTCAAGGCCAAAGGTAAGTTTTGTGGTGGGCTCATTTATTCTTTGAAGTGACTGTGTATGGCATACAAATAACAGGATTTTTTACATAAATACAGGGCTTACGTACTTCGAACCAAGCACAAATGTCTATTTTTACAAAAGTCCACTGTTACTTCTCCAACACAGGTTTGTCCTGGGGAGGTATGCAGTATGCATACCTTTGTAATGCTGTATCTGCAGATCTCATTGAACTATTGAACTATTGAATCATGTGGACAGCGTACATGGTAGGGTGGTGATGGAGAATGTTAATGGGGAAAGATAGACCACCAAATAAGTTTGGCTACCTTAAGAAGGCTGTATTCTCCAGTTTTTGGTTTACATATTTTAAATCGTTAACTACCATTAAATCACAGATTTAAATTTTCTTTTCACTTTCCTAATATTTTTAAGGTCATTGTGAGAGAAATGGCCCACTTAGAGCGTTTAAATCACTGAGGTTTTTGCTTTCTTTTGGTTATCCCAAGATGCTCAAACCTGGGATATTTTCTTCAGAAAATTCTTCTTTTAAGTATTTAATGGTATCAGAATCTACCCCAATGGGAAACACAATCATAGATAAAAGTTTCTTCCCCACTGGGTTTCCTGAATATAATGGCAATGCGATTAGCACATTTTCCCAGTGATTGAGTTGGCATGTGCCCATAGATTTATAAATAGAATTTATTGTGAAAGTCACTGTGCTACTGGGGTAAGTGGCTATTGCAATTTGAGGATAGAAAGTGTTCTCTGAAAAGAAACTATTATATGCCTTATATGCCATGGCCATCTGAGGACAAAGAAGGACAGAAGATACAAGTGAGTTTTGTTTTCAGTGAATTCTACCCTATGCACAGTTATGAACAACCAGATATATTTAACATTTAAAAAATGCATATTTTCCTACCCCTCTATTTTCAGTTATGTAGGTAGAGCAGGTTAGGGGTGAATGATGATTTCGAATCCTTCACCATTTTGCTCTTTAGAAAGTAGAATGGTGACCTGTATAAATGTATCCAGATTCCTGCTGATGTCTCCCAGGACAGCAATAGACTTACGGAGTTTAAAGACTAGTTAGAGTTGAGAAGCAGCCTGTGCCTTAATCCAATCCTTGTAAACTAAGATTTTTGTTTACTGCCTTCAGATGAGACTAATGGTAAATTTCTAAGGTGAACACTATGATAAAAGGACATTTATATAATTGAAAATATCACTGTTGCTGTCACCACTAAAATATATCTTATTTCTAAAGGCTGGAGTTGCATCTTGCAACTAGAAAAAAAACTGTTTTCAATAAGATCAATTTCAAAGAGCCTTTGTGCTTTGTGATCCGGTCAAAATTCGAATAGTGAGAAAATACTTTTATCCCATTCAGAACGGTATTTGATGCAGTATTTGAACAGTATTTGATGCATCCTCTTAAGCCATCAGCCATTTCTCTTAATCAGCTGAGTCCTGTGCCTTGGTCATACATGAGAATACATGCTGCGATATATTGCTGGCTCAGGTTTAATAAAGAGCTGTCTTCACATTGCATTTCTTTCTTTTTGATAGTCTAGCTCCACAGTGAGAGCCTATCAAACTAGTAAGTCACGAGTGACCATGAGCCCTGGCTTCAGCTCCCAGTGGAACAGCAGCCAACCAGCCTGGAATACATACTCCTTTCCAAGAGCCAGCCTGCACTACCAGTCCCATGCCAGCTATACCTACTGTACTGGACACCCTGCTGTAAGTACCTTATTTTTCTGTATTTTGAAAATTGGATGATTTATGCAGTTACATTTTCAATCTAGCGTGGGTATCTATTAATTGGGCTTTTTTTCTAATGATATAATGCTTCTAAGGTAAGAATTTGCTGCTCTTGAGTAAAAGAGATAAGAATTTAAAAAGTCTTTTAAGTGTTTAAGTAACATGTTTGGATGATTTTTGCTGAAAACTGATATTGCACTAAAAGTTATTTCTAAGTGATGTAGTGTTGGTGTGGAGACTGGATGCACATGTATCTCTGGTTTTATTCTTCTGGTTTCCTTTTGACTGTTGCTTATGAATTTAGTTGGTTGCTTTTGTGCTGAGACAGGATGTCTTTCAAAATGACATAAGAAGCCAGTGGCGGGGGGGGATCATGGATGCCCCCACTTTCATCAGTGGCCTCGTTGACATATTTATACAGACATAAATATGTAGAAATCGATTCATCAGTAGGGTGTTTTTCAGTTACTATTACACAGATATCTGAGGTTGTTGGCATAGATGACTCAAAGGGCAAGGGAAATAAACCTCTAATAAGGGAAAAATGAACTCATGGAATTTGAAGACCTTTTAGAGTAGGGTACGTATTTCACCAATATGTTTTTCTGTTTTGATTCAATTCTTATGGAGTAAAATTTTTCTTTGATTGCAAATTACCTTTTGTATACTTGAAAAACGTCATGATTAATGTTGATTAGTAAGATCTCTCTTTACTGCTAAGAACCCACGCACAGGATTCCTAGAAAATGAAAGACCTTTGAAAGTGAATCACATATGCCTCTCGTAGCAAATCGTCTAATTGGTGAGTCACAGTAGACATGGATTCTGCAGCCATTTCATTCAGAAGACCTATTGTAGACTTCTGTACTTCAGCTATCCTGCTGGCATTTTAAGGTTATGGAACTATAAAGTACACAGTGCTTCTAAGTTGAGAGAATGTGTCTCAAATATCATGTCATAATTTCACTTAAAAGAAGACTCGAGGAATTCACTTAAAATGTAAATTAGTATGACTTTTTTCATAGGCAATTTGGAAATAACTATCAAAATTGCACATACTTTTGACTCAATAATTAAACTTTTGGCATTTAATCGGACATGTACAGGATATATGCACAAGGATAGTGTTGACAACAGTTTTGAAATTACTTGGACCTCAATAACCATATTTTCTTTTCATTTATCTTTTAACAAATACTTATTAAGCATTATTAACCATTTAATATGTTCGGTATTTTTCTAGGTGAAAGAAATCCAAGAGTGAACAAGACCAAGTCTTGCTCTTATGGAACTTCTATTCTAGGGAATGGGGAAGTTGGTTATTATATAAAAAAAATATAAATACAAAGAAGCAAACAAGAGAGAAAATTATACCACAGTGTTATATGCTAAGCAAAATAAATTCTACACAGAGACTTAAAATAAATAGAAGTAACAGAGAATAACTGGGTGGCTACTTGTGATTGTGTGGTCCACCAAGTCCTCATTCAGGAGGCCGGGTTTTATCTGAGATCTGAATGAAAAAGAGATGTAACTAGTCAGAGTTTGGGAGGATGAGCATTATAAGCAGAGGAAACAGCTAGTGTGAAGGATCTGAGGCAGCAGTGAGCCTGGTTCCCTACACAGGGAGAAAGTCATTGGAACTTAGGAGAGAATAGAGAGATAAAGTCAGAGAGAGAGAGACAGGGACCACTTTATTCAGATTGAAAAGTAGCACTTTGTCATACCAAGTAAGGAGTTTATATTTTATTTAACTGCGATGGAAAACTATCAGAGTGTTTTAAGCAAGGAAATAACATGACATAATTTTTTTAGGACTCAGTCTGACTGCTAAGTGGAAAATTTCTGGTGGAGTAATAGGAAGTAAAGCACAGAGTCAAATTAGGAGAGTATTACACACACATATGTGTGACTGCAAAAAAATACATTTTCTTGTAATATCCTTTGACCTATTTGGTGTTCAAAATATATGGAACCTGTATTTATAATGAAAAACCAAGTTGCATTTATTTTGCATAAATTTTTCTTTAGTAACCAGTTTCATATCTAGTATGTCTCATTAGTTTCTTCTTGAGTAGTTATTTGTCAAGCCAGAAGATGACAAATTGTAATTTAATAAAGTATTTCAATTCATATTCTTATTGGCTTCAAGGTCATCTAAAAGTAGCTGACATTAATTGAGCACTTAATGTTTTCCAAGCTCTGTACTAAGTACTTTTACATGAATTTCACACACACACACACACACACACACACACACACACACTTTTTTCAGAACAGTCCTAGGAGGTAGGTACTATTATTATCATTTTAAGGGTTAGTGAAATGAAGTTCAGAAAAATTAAGTATCTTTTCTTAAGTTACACGACCAGAAGTGGGGCCTGAGATTCAAACATTGGCTGTCTAGCCTCCCACTAGTATTCTTATCCATTGTATTATATTGCCCCTTGACATTGAATCACTGTGTCTTTATTTACATGCCAAGGACAGTTACATGATTATATCTCAGAAAGAACCCTTGCTAATAATTTAGTTTAGATGTTCATGTTACTCTTTAGAGAAATATTTGCATTTATAGGATACTTGATTTTAGGTCTGGGGGTAGGAGGAAACAATAGGTGCTATCATGTCTTAGAAACCACTAGGAAAATTACAGGTTATCTAGCTACTTTTTGTGCTTTAAGGCCCAGCAGCTGATACTTTCTTTTGTCTCGCTGCTGTGAGTCAAGTGAGTCAAGTAAGAAAAGTAGAAGTAAAAGATTAGAAAATCCTTAAGAAATAGTCATGGGCTTCACACTTCTGATTTCAAGGACACTCTGAGGATCAACTTTAAAGCCTACTTGGAATTCTTTCATTATCCCAACATTATAACTTTCTTTCAAATTTTCTTTCCATGCCTGAACAGATGGCATTAAACTCTTGACTCACAGATCAGTGCTCATTTAACTCTGCTACTGCTTTGTGAAAGGAATTATATAATCTAAAAATACATCAGAGGTTCAATATAGGGAGACTTTGAGGGCTGGGTTTGGAAGACAACATGCAAAAATGTTGACTATTTCATAGTTTTTACTTGAGTCCATTTTTCAAGAGAAATATTTGGGGCTTCAAAATGTGAGAGTGGATTCCATAGTTGCTATGCAGTCTAAGATCCACAGTGGTTTCGTGGTTAAAACCACAGAAATGGAATTCTTGTCTGAATAGATTCCCAGTGATTTTCTTGAGTCACATAATTTAGTAGCCTTTAATGGAGCTATAAATCCTCTGCCTGCCTTGTGAAACTCATGTCCTTTTCTCCAAGTCACTAGTTTGATTGAAGATTTCCAGTTTTTTAACTGGATATCCTGGAGTTACAAGGGTGTCAGCCAATGTGGTATTTGTGTAGTAAGTATATGTGACTCAAAGGCTTCCCCTTTGCCTCTATTCCCCTGCTTCTGAGGAATCCTGATATCCCATGAATGTGTGGTTAGTTAACTTGAAATTGGTAACCTTGAGATTTTATTCTAGGATTTAATCTAGATTTTATCTCAGAATGCAGTTAGGCCTCTCCCTGACCAAGTAAGGATTTTCTCAGAGCTCTTTTGTACATCACTGTATTAGTTTCCTATGACTGCTGTAACAAATTACCGCTGACATTGAGCTAAAAACAACATGTCTATCTTTTATAGTTCTGGAGGTTGGAAGGCTGAAATGAGTTTCACTGAGCTGAAATCAAGGTGTTGGTAAGGCTGTGCTCCCTCACGAGGCTCCAGAGGAGAATCTATTTCTTGGCCTTTTCCAGCTTCCAGAGCTATATTTATTGCATATCTTGGCTCATAGGCCCTTCTTCATCTTCAAGGCCAGCAGCATAGCATCTTCACATCTATCTCTGCTCCATCTTCAGATCACCTTCCCTATCTATAGTCAAATCTCTCTCTGCTTCCCTTTTACAAGCTCACTTGTTATTTCATTTAAGGGGCCACCTGGCTAATCCAGGATAATCTCCCTGTCTAAATATTTTTAAGTTAGTCACATCTGCAAATTTTATTTTGCCATATAAAGTCATACTCACAGGTTCTGGGGATTAGGTCATAGACATCCTGGTGAACCATTATTCACCTTACACTGATCATAATATTCCGTGACTCAATGACTAATTTCTGAGTCATTAGGTAAGTATTTGGGGCTTCTTGAAATTAATGAGGCTTATCTTACTGAGGGAGATAATATGAGAGGGATTCTTTGAGTGATAGAGGATGAAATCCCTGTGGCAATTCAAAATTATTGAAACTCACAAATATAAGTTTGATTTTCCAGAAATCCACTGTATTTCCACTTCTAAAATGACGTCAGTGTTAACTATCCCCTTGGTAACTACTCCAATACATATCTTAAAAGAAAATAAAAAGACAGGATTACTAAAGCTCTACTAATGTTTTATTCACTGCACTAGAATTTCCAGGCATCTAGAATGCCCTCACCAGCTTGGATAATATTCAAGAAGTGGCAAAAAGTAATATTCAAAATATTCAAGTAATGAAATATTACAACTTTTTAGCCACATATTAAATACGGAAATACCTTTTATTATCCAAGGAAACTACTAATATATAAGTGAATTTATATAGTGATATTATTTGTAGTACATTTTATTCCAAAAATCATTCCACAAGTTTCCAAATAGTATATGGACTAGTGTGTTGGTGTGATCTGTCATTTGACACTTCTGTTACTAGCTAAATGATAACTCTATCTGCTTCATGACTTAACATCACTTAACATGGAATAACATCGAATTTCCAACAACTTTCTATTAATTGAGAACCATTATATGAGGATAATGTTAATTAAAAGGAAGAGGATTCATTTTCTGCCTTCATACTAGCTCTCTGGTCTCCCTGCATCTACTCCTCTCTTGCTCCTTTCTTTTCTCACATTTGAAATTTATAATTTAAATGATCCTAGGGACGTGGAGAAAAAGAAGGGAATTAGAAAGAGATGGAAAGTAGATAGTAACGATCTGATCCTAGGTGCTGAGGCCAGGAGCCTGTGTACCTTCTTTTTTTTTTTTTTTTTTCCTTTTCCAGTGAGGAAGTACAATATGACTTTTCACCCCACTGAGGCTAATGAGGAGACAGTGCCCAAGTGTAGCCCACTTAATAAGGGAGACAAAGCAGAAAGAGGTAAAGAAAATAGAAAGAGGTAAAGAAAACCTCTGAGCAGGTGCTCAGAGGTTCATGCTGCCTGCAGGTAGTAGAGGCTTCTTCTAAGCCTTTGTCTATCCCTTCAGAAAATAGCAGGCACAAAGGAGAGGAAAAGTGGGAGGGCTGTACTAATTTTCTCTTTCAAAAAAAAAAAAAAAAAAAAGATCTGAAAGGGGAAGGGTGCAGACCTAGTACTGTCTTGCTGAAAGAGTCTCTCCTTTAGTCATTAAATAGGTTTCCAGGAGATTCCCTCCCTAGAAACTTGTTTACAAGCCTCAGAGACAACTGCCTTTCACCAAGAATTAGGTTGTCAAATGAAACAAGGGTTCCCAAACCTACCAGAAGGGACATTAGCCCACAGTAAAGGCATTTTCTGTGTATGTCTATGGCAACTGCCTATATCCCTGGCACCTAATAGCCTGAATAGCTGCTTCCTCAGCCCAGACCATGCTTTTCCCCATGGATAGGGACATGCGTTTTTTGTTTTTGATTTTTTGTTTTTGAAGTGTATAGAAAAGATAGGAAGAGGTTGAAGTCTCCTTTCTTCTATATGAGGACCTTTATGCATCAAAGACCTACCAACTTTGCAAATAAATAGCAAATCCTCTGTCACAGGTCCTCTATCTCTGCGCTCCAATGCCTGAGCCAGAAAGATATCTTGGAATCACAGCTTACTTGTTCATAGTTTCTGAAATGATACACAAATGCTGGGATTTAGATTATTAATTTTCATTGGTTATTCCAATTACTTTTATTCTATTTACTAATGTGTGGAAGTGTGTCAACACTTTAACAATTAGTATTTCTCTATACTAGCTTAATAATAGGTCTACCTAGACTCTTGGAGCTATGGAAAACTTTTCAAAAAGTACTGACAATAGACAGTTTTCAAAAGATAATGAACAGATCTCCAGATACTGTGAATTCTCTTTTGTAAACTGATTTGCCTGAAAACTCACCAGTATTACAATAGCTAAGGTCAACATATTCCCCAGTTTTCCTAGTTTATGCTTATTTCCTAGTATAGTTATTAATGATATCCCCTTTAACTCTAAAAAGTGTTTAGGTTTAGAAGTTATATTATATGGTCTCCCTACCACACTCCTTTACAAAAAAAAGGCATATTCCTTGCACATAAATCTTACTGTGCTTCACTGCTTCAGGGTTTAAAATCTCTCCAGGGAGCACCAACAAAGGAGATGCCTCATGTAATGATTAATCAGGTACCATAAACCAATGGGGCTTCTAGTCTTTTCCAGCCATGTATGTATCTCTGTACTAAGGGAGAAGGAAAGTCTTTAACTTACATCTTTTGCAATTATTTAAACTTTTAATGAGATTTTTAGATAACTGAGAAATGGGATACAGGGCATGTAATTTTTCAAAATTCTTCTAGGCATATGTGAACAGTTTGAAGACCTTGGCTCAATGGTAGTTTTCCTAAGCTTCCTTTTTTACATCATGGAGGCCACTTTTAGTGAAAGGAGCTGCTCAGAATTCACAACTCTTGCTGCCCCCAACTCTGCTCAATTTTCCCAAAGGCCAAGAGAATAAATACTCTGCACACCTGTATCTCTTTCATTGTATAGCACATCTAAGCCTATAATTTTTTCCCCTAACATAAATCTCCAAGACTAAATAGACAAGGCAGATAATAACATGGTTGACTTCATTTAAGGTGGGTTAACAAACTTTATCAATTAAAATTATTTTGCTACTCATAACAGAACATCCAACTGACAGTGGCTTCTAATGGTAAGGTTTATATTAACTGCCTTAATAAAAAGCCTGGATGTAGGGGTGCACATTTATATTTGTCAAAGATGGCTGCAATAACACCACGCATTCCACATTTCTGTCTGCAATACGATATTGCCATTTCCCAACCAAGAAATGGGGTCTCATAGCCCTGTTCTTGAAACTGGCTGGCCTTTGTATCTCACTTCTAATTGATAGAATGTGGTAGAAGTGATGCAGTGTGATTTTAGCTTTGAAAAAGCTATGCAGCTTCTATGTGGTTTTCTTGAAAAGCTTAGCTTCTGAATGCATTCTCTCTGGACACTGTCACCACACTCTTCCAATCACCATGCAATGAGGAAGCCCCAAGCCACATGGAGAGACCACATGTAGGTTCTCTGGGCAATAGTTTCTTGGGCCTACTTCTTGAGGTACCAGACATGAGTATGAATGACTCTCCAGATGATTACATTATCTAACTGTCTGAGCCACTTTCAGGTATCGGTGTCTTCCCATCTAAAGTCCTAGGAATGAGAGAGCAGAGATAAATCCTTCCCATTGTGTCCTACCTAAGTTTCTCTCCCACAGAAACAGTGATCATAACAAAATGGCGGTAGTTTTAAGCTGCTAAACCTGGGATAGTTTATTTTTCAGCAATAGTAACTGGAACAATAACTATGTCTACATTTGGTGCAGCAGTTGATCAACATCATCTAAGAGACAGGCTCGTTCTGCCTTTCCTCTTTGCCATCCTCTGTGTGTTGGTGATGTCACGTCTCTTTGAAACGAGATGAAACCTACAACTCTAAACCTTTCATTTATATAGTACAGTGCTCCAAGAAGGTAGGAAGAAAGCAGGGGATTTTACCTTGTGCTACAATTTTTAGAAACATTTTAAATAAAATTTTTAATTTCCAAATAAAAATTATATACATTTATGGTGTATATCGTCATGTTTTAAAATATGTATAAGTTGTGAAATGGCTAAATCAAGCTAATTAATAAATGTATTACCTCATATACTTATTTTTTATGGTGAAAACACTTAAAATCTACTCCCTCAGCAATTTTTAAGAGTATAATACACTGTTATTAACTGTAGCCCCAATGTTGTACAATAGATCTCTGGAACTTATTCTTACCATATGACTGAAATTTTCTATCCTCTGATCACCATCTCCCCAATTCCTCTAACCCACTCCAGCCTTTGGTAACCACCATTCTATTCTATGTCTATGAGTTCAATGTTTTTAGGTTCTACAAAATAAGTGAGATCATGTATTTGTCTGGTGCCTGGCTAATTACACTTAGGATAATGTATTCCAGGTTCATCCATGTTGTCATAAAGGCTAGAATTTCCTTCTTTTTAAAGGCTGAATAGTATTCCATTTTGTGTATGTGTATATGTATGTATACAAATGTGTGTACATACATGCGGTTTTTTGTAATGACTGTACACCAACAGTGGACAACGGTTCCCCTTTCTCTACATTCTCTTTAACACTTGTTATCACTGATCTTCTTGATAATAGCCATTCTTGTAGCTATGAGACAATATCTCATTGTGGTTTTAATTTGTATGTCTCTCGTGATTAGTGATTTTGAGCATTTTTCTTTTAGTATGCTGTGAAATTTGGTTTGGTAGTATTTTGTTGAGGATATTTGCATCCATGTTCATCAGGGATATTGGCCTGTAATTCTCTTTTCTTATAGTGTCCTTGTCTGGTTTGGTATCAGGATAAGCTAGCTGGCCTTGTACAAAGGAGTAGGAAAGCATTCCCTTTTCTTCAATTTTTTGAAAGAGTTTGAGAAGGATTGGAAATAGATCTTTTAAAGTTTGATAGAATTTAGCAGTGAAACCATTAGGTCTTGGCTTCTCTTTGATGGAAGACTTTTCATTAGTTCCGTCTCCTTACTCATTATTAGTCTGTTCAGATAGTCCATTTCTTTGTGATTCAGTCTTGGTAGGTTGCATGTGTCTGGAAATGTATCAATTTCTTCCAGACTATCCAATTTATTGGCATATAATTTTTCCTAGTAGTCTCATGATCTTTTATATTTCTATGGTATAAGTTATAATGTCTCCTCTTTTCCTTTCTGATTTTATTTGAGTCATATCTCTTTTTTTTTTTTAGTCTAGCTAAAGATTTGTTGATTTTGCTTATCTTTTTCAAAAATCAACTCTTAATTTTGTTTATCTTTTCTACTGTTTTTCTAGTCTTACTTCATTTATTTCTGCTCTGGTCTTTATTATTTTCTGCTTTTTGCTAACTTTGGGATTAGTTTGTTCCTGTTTTTCTAGTTCCATGAAGTGTAGTGCTAGGTTGTTTATTTGGGATCGTTCTCCTTTGTTGATGTATGTAAGTGTTTATTGCTATAAACTTTACTCTTAGAACTGCTTTTGTGGCATCCCACCAGTTTGGGTATGTTTCGTTTCCATTTTCATCTCAAGATGTTTTTAAATACCGCTTTTAATTTCTTCCCTTTTAATTCTTTGATTAGATAATTTAATCCATTTAAATTCAAGGTAATTATTAATATGTAATGACTTACGACTGCCATTTTGTTCATTGTTTTCTGGTTGTTCCATTTTCTTTCTCTCTTGCTGTCTTCCTTTATGATTAAGAGATTTTCTCTATTGGTATGCTTTCTTTTAAGGTGGGGCATTAAATTTCTTCACTGACTTACTGGTTTTCAAAAGCATGTTGTTTACTTCATATGTATTTGTGAATTTTCTGGAATTCCTCCTGTTATTTCTGGTTTCCATATATAAATATATATATATATATATATATATATATATATATATATTCCATATATTGTGGTAGGAAAAGATACTTGTTATAATTTCAGTCTTCTTAAATTTGTTAAGGCATGTTTTGTGACTGTCTATCTGAATCTATCCTGAAGAATGTTTCATGTGCCCTTGAGAAGACTATATTCTGTTGTGGGTTGGAATGTTCTGTATGTTTGTTAGGTCGACTAGGTCTAAAGGGTAGTTTGTCTCGTATTTCCTTACTAATTTTCTGTCAGAATTATCTCTCAGTAGCTGAAAATAGGGTATTTAAGTTCATTACTATCATTTTAATTACAGTCTCTCTCTCCCTTTAGATCTATTAACATTTGCTTTATATATTTATGTGGTCTAATGTGAAGTACATATAAATTAATATTTTTGTTATAGTCTCTTGATGGACTGACCATTTTATCATACAATGAAATTCTTTGCTTCTTTTTACAGTTTTTGACTTAGAGTTTACTTTATCTGATATTAGTATAATTACTATTCCTGATGTCTTTTGGTTTCCATTTGCACGGAATATGTTTTTGCATCCCTTCACTTTCAGTCTGTGTGTTCTTACAGCTAAAGTGAGTATCTTCTAAGTAGCATACAGTTGGGTCTCTTTTCTTATAATCTACATTCAAGGTAATTATTGATATGTAATGACTCCCTGTTGCCATTTGTTAATTGTTTTCTGGTTATCGCATAGGTTCTTTATTCCTTTCTTCCTCTCTTGCTGTCTTCCTTTATGATTACGTGATTTTTCTCTACTGGTATGCTTTGATTTTTTACTATGTATCTTTTGTGTATTTACTATAGATTTTTGCTTACCAGGAGGTTTACAAAGAGTATCATATAGTTATGACAGGCTATTTTGAGCTGATAATAACTTTTATTACATTAAAAAACTATGATTTTACTTCACTCTCTCATTTAAAATTTTGTTGTTTTTGTGGAGATAAGGTCTTACTCTGTTGCCCAGGCTGGTCTTGAACTCCTGAGCTCAAGTGATTCTTCCACCTTGGCTGCCCAAAGTGTAGAGATTATAGGTGTGAGCTACTGTGACTGGTCCCATTTTAAATATTTGCTGTCACAATTTATATCTTTTTACATTATGTATCCCTTAAAATTTATAGTAATGGTTATTACTTTAACCTTCATATTAAAGATATAAATGATTTACACACCATTCTTACAGTATTGAGTGTTCTTGATTTGACTGTGTAATTACCAGTGAGCTTCATAATTTCATATGTTTTTTGTTACTAATTAGCTTCATTTTCTTTCAGCTTGAAGAACTCCCTTAAACATTTATTATAAGGCAGGTCTTGTGGCCGTGAAATCCTTCAGCTTTTATTCATCTGGAAAAGTCTTTATGTGTCCTTTATTTCTAAAGGACAGTTTTGCCAGGTACTTCAGCACTTTAAATGTATCATCTCACCCTCTCCTGCCCTGTAAATTCTCTGCTGAGAAATCCACTGCTAGCCTTATGGGAACTCCCTTATATGTTATTTGTTTCTCTTCATTTGCTTCTTTTAAGATCTCTCTTTGTCCTTGCTTTTTTACAGTTTGATTGTAATATATTTTGGTGTAGTCTTATTTGGATTGAATCTGAATGGAGACATTTCTTCTACTTTAATATTCATATCTTTCTCCTCATTTTAAAAGTTTTCTGCTATTATTTCTTTAAATAAGCTTTCTACCATTTTGTCTTCTTCTTGAACTCTTATAATTTTCTCTTTAGATGCTATCCCATAAATTCTATAAGCTTTAATTGTTTTTTATTCTTTTTTGTTCTTCTCTGACTATATATTTTCAAATCATCTGTCTTTCACTTCACAGATTATTTTTTTCTGCTTGATTAATTTTGCTGTTGATGCTCTCTACCACAGTTTACATTTCACTCATTGTATTATTAAGGTCTAGAATTTCTCTTTAAAAATGTCTTTAATCTCTCTGTTAAATTTCTTGTTCTGGTCGTTTGTGGTTTTTCTGATTTTTTTTGGATTATTTCTCTTTATTTTCTTGAAGTTTGCTTAGCTTTCTTAAAAAAATAACTATTTTGAATTCTTTGTTATGCAATTTGTATATTGCTATTTCTTTGGGGTCTGCTTCTAGCAGATTGTGTTCTTTGGTGGTGTTACGTCTTCTTATTTTTGTGTGTTTCTTGTTGCCTTACATTTATGTCTATGCATTAAAGAATTAGGGACTTGTTCCAGTTTTTACAGACTCACTTTTTCTGGGTAAGCTCTTTAGTAGTAGTCAGCTTATTTAGAGATTCTAGGCATGTCTCTGGTATAGTCTGAGAGTGAGTTTCCTCCTTGAGTCCTTAGGTAGTAAGTCTACCCCAGTGGCTCCAGGCTTGGATTTCCTGTAGTAACCCAGCTTGGTGCCTGAATCAGCAGGTATGTTGGCTTGATGCCTGGTTACATGCAGTTGAGCCTGAATCCTGGAGCCACTGGGGTAGACTTACTGATCTGGTCCGCAGGTATATTAGTCAGAGTTCTCCAGAGGGACAGAGCCAAAAGGATATAGGTATATATAAAGGAGAGTTTATTAAGGAGAATTGGCTCACCCGATGAAAAGACTAAGTCCCACGATAGGCCATCTGCAAGCTGGGGAAGAGAGAAGCCAATAGTGTGCCAGTCCAAGTCTGAAAGCCTCAAAATTAGGGAAGCCAACAGTGTAGCCTTCAGTCATGGCCAAAGGCCTGAGAGCTCCCAGGAAGCTACTGGTGCAAGTCCCAGAGTCCAAAGGCCAAATAACCTACAGTCTGATATCCAAGGGTAGGAGGAGTGGAAGCAAGTGTCCAGCATGGGAAGAAGAAAAAAGAAGACTCAACAAGCAAAGTTATCCACCTTCTTCCCTCTGCTTTGTTCTAGCTGCTTTGGCAGCCAATTGGATGATGCCCAACCACATTGAAGGTGGGTCTTTCTTTCCCAGGCAACTGACTCAAATACCAATCTCTTCTGGCAGCTCCCTCACAGACACCCCAGAAGTAATACTTTACTAGCCATCCAGACATCCTTCAATTCAGTCAAGTTGACACCTAATATTAACCATCCCAGCAGGGATAGGAATAGAGCCTAAGTCCACTAGCATGTGCCTTCAGTCTGAGTCTTTAAGGGCTTGCCTGGCACTGGGGTGAGCCTGGCACCTGGGCTGAATAGGATAGGCCTGGAACCTGAGTTCTTGAGGGAGTGGCCTGGACCCAGGGTCTGCTGAAGGAAGCCTGAACCCTGAGTTTTCTGGAACCTGGGACTGCATGGACTGGACAGGGGCCTGGGGCTGGCCTGATGCTGGAACTGGCATGAAGCCTGGGTCTGAGGGGATTAGTCTGGAGCCTAGGATTCCCAGTGCTTGCCTAGTACCTGGAGCCACTGTGGCTTACCTGAGACTGAGGCTGGGACTATGGGGCCTAGCCTGGAGCCTTTGCCACTGATAACCTGCCTGGATGTTGGGTTTATACGGTGCTGGCCTAGAGGCTAGGTCTCTGAAGGATGGCCTGGGTCCTAAGGTATTGGGAGGCTGGCCTGGGACCTGGGTATACAGAGATAGTCCTAAATCCAGGGTCTGTGGGCCTACTCCAATACTAAGGTCTATTGGGACAGATGTAGATTCTGGATATGCTGGAGCTGGTCTGGACCCTGGGTCTACAGTAGTGTGTGAGGTGCTGCAGGGTTCAGCCTTAGTACATTGTTAACTAAATAGGTTCAGGATTCCATAAGTGCTGAGAAGGGGGAATGACTATTGGAAAATAACCAACAGTGTTTGCTATAGGTGCCCAAACCTATGCTATTTTGCCTCCCCCAACATGCCCTGCGGTATTTCCTACAAGATACAGTTTTCTTGAAACAAAATTTTTAAAATTATAGACTAAAAGTCAACTCCTATTTATATAATATTTTAAAAGAATTTGTATTCTTTTCTGTGATTATAATATTAAAATATTCTTAATATTTTAAAAGAATCTGTGATTCTTGGTCATATGTATGGTTTGTCAGTGCTCATTTGCACATGGCTCTGGGAGAACACACAGGTTTTCCTGTCGTAAACTTTGTCCCTTCTTTTATATAATTCTTCAGAGGCCAGGACTTGATTCATGAAAATGTATTTGCATCCTGATGATACTTTTTCAGTTGTCTAGATTCATATATTTTTGGAGAAGCTGAGTCCTAGCAATGACCCCTTCAATGCTCTTGAACTTTGAATGAGGTCATGTCATCAATGCAGCAAACATTACTTGAGTTCATGCTATCTGTTGGGCATTGTGTTGGGTGGGCACAACAACAGGGGGTAGAGTAGAAGATGAAGGGAATGATGAATGTTATAAAGTGTCCATATATTCAAGTTGCTTAAAATCTAGTGGAGAAGAGAACTGAGGAAACAGACAGATATTAGATGATGGTAGCAAGGTTCTAAACCAATGATGCCCAAATATTAAATGTGGGCCCTTTAAACACTATAATTTGAGGAAATTGCAGGCATGTTATAGTTAAACATTGGGACCCTGGAACCAGTCTGAGTTGGCTGCATATCCAAACTATCAATGCTCTAGCTGTTTGACCTGGAGCAAAGTTATCGAATGTCTCAGAATCAACTTCCTTCTTTATGTAATAAGACAATTATACATTGGTTTTTAATGTCATTGTGAGAATTTAATGAGATAATATGTGTAAAGCTGTTGAACACAGAATTACTATTTATAAATCACTTAATAAATACAAATTATATTAAAATAGGAAAGAAATCAATTTCAATTTGGGTCTTCAAAGAAGGCTTACAGACTCCCAGTTTATACTCTTAGGGTGGCATCTGTTTTTAAGACCCTGAGACTCAGGCTTTAAACTGTTGAGAACCCCTCAGGTACAAAAAGACTTATTTGTGTCTGCCTGGAAATTTCTACCTTTCTCCTTTATCTGCTGTTTAACATTCATGCTTTAGTAGACCAAGACAAGGAAAGCATTAAAACTGTGCCAAGATTTAGTCAATTATAGTAAGGTCTAAGATTTAAACGCTATTTTTTTCATATGCTTTTTTCCAAGTAGCAGTGTTTTCCAGATAAAATTGAGATTCCTGTTCTGCTTCTCTCCCTTATGACTTTTATTTTTCACACATGGTATGAAAGACTAAGATTTCATCTGGTATACTTCGTTCCCTTCATTTAGTTCCTAGCCATGATGGAGTATCCCTTCCCATGACCTTTCCTCTCTCCTAATAGTCCCTTACACCATTTCCATAATGCATGGCTTGATACTACTTAATTCTGAGTGTTCCAAACAGATGTTCTGGGGAAAGGATTCAGCCATCCATCTGGGCTGGGTCTATACCTCCCATGGCAGATGGTTAAATTTCATAAGACATTGTTGGAAATCCAGGCTGTGGTATTTTATGCTGTTCTACCCAGTTTCGTATGTTTGATTTTTAAAAAAATCTCCTGCCGTGATAATTATTAAAAATTAACATTGAAGTTGATTAAATGCAATAAATGTCACATTAAATAGTAAATTTTAAAATTATCAATAAAATATTAACTTATAGAAATAAGCTAGATTCAAATATTTTAGTTGCTAGCATGGTGTCTTATACAGTTTGGTTATGATCACTGGGGCAAGATTAAACTCTCTTTATAATAGGGAATCTGACACATGAGAAGAATTTCAAGATTTTTTTTTTCCAAACATGGCACCATTCTTACAAAAGGCACATGAGATGGAAAGGTTTTATGACCAGTGGTGCTCTAAATGCTGTGGCTGACATACATTACTAGTTTTATCTGTTATTTTTTTATCTATGAGTGAGGCCTCCTAAACACAATCTTATAAAGCTGAGTCTTTGATAGAAACAATGACAAAATGTATTTACATTATAAGGAGTCCCTTTTGAAAAGTAAAATAATTTTAAGCTTAAAAACAAAAGTGCTTCTGATTAGCTCCCTTCACCCTTTCAGGGAAGGCAAATTCTATCAATCACGTTGATGAAGAGGCTTTCAATGCAATCTGTTAAGACCAAGCTTTGTGGTAGTCACAGGCAATGAACTTAAATTACATCAACTTATCAGCTGAGTTCATTGGAGCATCTCTGTAATCACTCGTGTATGAAGACCCAATAAGGCTGAATCGACCTTTTTTTTTTTCTTTCAATTACAAAAATTGGTACAGATTCTTTTGGGACAAACACTCAAACTTTTAAAATATATTTTAAAGTTAAAGTGAAAATTCAAACTTCCTCCTAAATACCTTTTAGTTGTCGATGGTTATTCTTCAGTAGCTCTTTAAACTGACGTGTATTTAGATACTACTAATAAAAACAAAAATGTAGTAAACTGTACACCTCTAAACCCAACAGCCAGCTGCAGAGGCAGAATATTGTCAACACTTTTGAAGCTCTCTTATTCCCCTTTAAAGCATCCCCTTTCCATCTCCCAGGGGTAACCCTAATCCAGAATTTTCTACTAAGCATTTCCTTGCCTTTATTCATAGTTTTGCCACTTACAGATACCTAAATATATTGTTGACTCATTTTGAACTTTGTATCAATGCAAAAGGTACTACAGGTATTTTCATAATCTTTTTGGTTTTGGTCAACATTATGCTTTTTGAGATCCATTCATTATGATGTGATTAGCTATAGTTCATTTGATTGTATATAATTCATTTTCTGAATACATTGTGATTGATTTATCCATTTTAATGTTGAAGGGAATGCAGGCTGTTTCTTGTTTTTACTATATAATGAGCAGTGCTGCTGAATCCCTGTTTTCTTATCCACATGTTGTCTATACCAAGCATTGGTATTGCTGGGTTGTAGGGTGTAGCATAATCAAATTGTCTAGGCAGATTGTGGCTATATTATAACTTGTGGTTGAACATGAGCCTTTTTTCCTCTTCTGTGAAATGCTGTGCTACCTTCTCTTCATTTTTATATTGCAATATTTGTCTTTTTCCTTATGATTTGTAGGGTTTCTCTATAGAGCTGGATAATAATCTTTTGTCAGCTCTGTATGTAGCAAATATCTCCTATCAATTTCTTCATTATATTTCATTTTTATGGTGCCTTTTGATAAACAGCGTTCTTAATCTGAATGCAGTAAAATTCTCTTTAAAATGAGTAATACATTTTCTGTGTTGTTTGAGAAATTATTTTTTTACCACAAGGCAGATGGTGATTGTCTCTTCTTTCGTCTGTCTCCCTTACAGGATAATCAAAGCAAAGAAGCCATTTTTCACCTCTTTTCCATTATAAATTCTCCCTTGGTAATCCTTTTGTGATTTTTGTATTGGAAATTGAGGGTTGGCTAATTGAAGTCAGATGTTCAGTGCAGAGTGTTGCAGCGTATCCCAATTTGTTGCCTTGTTTCTCTGTTCTCTCTTTGTATGATCTATGGAGACTCCAAAAAGTTATCTGGGGAAGAACAATGGCACATTTAACTCAGATTCTATTCCAGACAAGCTTATCAAACAATTTCTGTGGAACAAGTACAGTGTTATTCCTGATAGAATTCTGTCGAGATAGATAGGACACATAGGACTTATCAAAGAGGGAAGCCCGTCACCTTTATTAGTCTGGAACTTCCTTTTCTTCAATCAACAACATATGTGAACCTTCTTTTCTTGCTAGAAATATAGAATATATCTTCCTTTTGATTTTTGCATAAAGTATAATAATATAGCTTTACAGTAAAGTATTTAAATCTTCCCTTATTAGGAACCAAAAGGTGTTTTCCAGTTGTTCTTTAATTTCATAATGATATAATGAATGCAGGTGTATGTAACATAGTGTATATATGTGTATGTGTATATGTACATGTCAGTATGTATATATCTCCATATGTTTGTGATATGGCTTCCTTATAATTGTATTAGAGAAGTAGAATTGCTATGACTAATGGTATTTTCACTTAAAATTTTTTTGGAAATGCTAAATTGCCTTATCACCAAAGTTGACAAGGGTATGCTTCATCACACTCTAGCTCACATTAGATACTGTCGCTTAAGTAGACTTTTGTCAGTTTTAGGGGAAATAGTATTCTTTTGTTCTAATTTGTATTTCTTTTCTCACTGCATTAGCCAACCTCATTTTTGAATGTTTCTCAGCTATTTATAACTTTTTAACATTTGAGTTCCTTCCATGAATAAACGTAGAGTGATAATGTAAAGCAGTGTAACTGAAGAGATGCTTGCCATTTCACTGCAGTTGTATTTTCATCATAAGAGCAATAGAATTAAATTTGTATCACCTGCAAAATGGCATTTTTGTGGCTATTTGTACTTCATCTACAAAATCACAAACCTAACCATGCTAAAAACAAACAAATTTGGGTTTGCTGCCTGAAACCTTTAGTTGGGTGTTTTAAAATAAAATAAAATAGCAAATATTCAAAACACTTTCACCAGTGTTATCTCATCTGATCCATTACATCCTTCTAACAAATCGTTAAATCAACAGATGTCAAATTAAACAAAATGAAGCACAACAAAATGCTTATCTATTTATTGCTGCAAAAGTACTTAAACAGGTGTCATATATTCAAGATTCTAATCGCTGTTCCAGAGAGCAAGCTTTTAGTGAAAATATTTGTAAGTGTTATGACCAAATGTAACAAAGGCATAAATAAAATCCAGGAAAATTATAAAATTCAAATTAAGAGGAAACACTAAGGAAAGTATAAAGGTATCTTAACTTTCCTGGTAATGTTCTGTTTCTGAAGCTGGATGATATCAACACAAGTATTTACATATATGCTTTATAATTTCTCATATTTGTAAAATACTTTTTAAAAATTAAAACCTCAGTGCTTTTTTTTTTTTTTTCATTTCTACAGTGGCACATAAAAAAGGATTACCACTCTAAAGCTTAATGATCACATCCAAGGGGTTCAAATGCCAATGCATTTGGCAGCAATTCAGTGCAGGGTTTGCTGAGCCAATTCTCCAGTTCTGAGTAGCCTCAATGCCTCAACCTAATCTGGCAGAGGGAACACTCCGATGATAGCAATTACTTCAATTCTCAGTTTGTTGAGTTCATATGGCCCCACAAGTAATAAAAGTTCTTAAAAGAGTTTGCTGAAAAGAATGAAAATAGACATGGTACATGACTCAACAAATCTATGCCAAACCACCTGTGTGAAAATATATACACATATTTAATTTAGCCAACTGTTCTCCTTGATTGATAGTTTGCATATATTATACTATAGACCTGATGCTCCTAACCTTCCACAGCTTCCTAAATTGAGAGTGTAAATTTCTTAATTTTCCCAAGATGTGTATGTTATTGAAACCTAAGGATAAGTGTCATGGACTTCTTGTGGTCATCTAGATCACACTGAAAGGGTACTTGTCACTTTGGGATTTAATAATTAAAACACATAGGAATATTTAGTGAATCTGACTCTTC
Organism: Homo sapiens; assembly: GCF_000001405.40. Lineage (NCBI taxonomy): Eukaryota > Metazoa > Chordata > Mammalia > Primates > Hominidae > Homo > Homo sapiens. The sequence goes on from NC_000003.12 coordinate 29,202,252, forward strand.
AGGGTGGGAGGTCTGTCTTGTTTAAACAAATGAAACTTATGTTGGCAAATATTTTTATTGATGGACTTGAATAAAGATGTAGCCTCATTTTGTGAGGGAAGAGGTAGTGCATATTTAACAGATACACATTTGGACCCGATGTTGGCTTTGCATTCACTCTCAGGTACCACAGCAGAAATTTACCCTGTAGCAGCATTGCTTTGGTATGATGTTCAACATTGCTATCAGTGGTCGTTAACATTTATGGCACAATTCATTTAGGTTTTTACGAGTCCTTCATATTCCCTTTATGATCCCAAACAGGAAATGTCCATGTGGGAAATGAGTAACACTATACACCAAAATCTCTTTGATTTTCATTTTTATGTTAATAGTCACTACATTTCTAAACCCAGGATGTGTAGTTTTCTGAATCTTAAGTATTATATATATATCTTGGAGGTCTCTAAGAGTCATCTGAATGGAATTTCTCACTGCACACTGATATTGTCGTCTTTGACCCACTTTGAAAGAATATAGTTTAGGGCTAAATATTTGATATAATATGACACATAATACCATTAATTTAATTATTTTGCTTATTTAACTAATATCTGTTGCACATTTATTGAGGACCTACTATGTGCCAGGCAGTTTTCTAGGTCCTATAGTGTATTTGTTCTGCTATTCACATGGCCGATTGCTGTTATAAATTAAAAAATCTCAGAGGCTAAACAAAAATAGAAATCTATTTATTATTCATGTGAAGTCCATTTGGGGGTCAGAAGTTTTCCACTCAGGAATTAGGGTACTAGTTTCATTATATATCCCAAACTTGCAACCCCCTTGGGCCTCGGGGCAATCCCCAGGAACCTCTTCATTTCAATTAGCAAAGAATGGATGAGAGAATAGAGAATTGCAATTAAGAGGTCTTTGTGAATCTGGCCTTGAAGGGGCACACATCACTGCCTCCACATTCTGTATTCTAGGACTCAGCTATATGGTCATGCTGATTTCAAAGAAAGTGGGAAATGTGGCATAGCCATATTTCTTGGAAGAGAGGAAACAAACTTGGTGAGTATTAAGCTAATCTCTGCCAAATGTGCTATTATATTTGGTAAGACAGATGAGGTTCCTACTTGTATGGAGCAACCATTCTGGTATAGTGAGATAGACAATAAACATGAAAACAAATATATAAGTAAGAATTGCAGGTAGTGATGAGTGCTGGGAAGTAAACAACAAAGGGTGGTGGGATTTAGGAAGAACAGCAGATGGAAAGGAGCTCTTCTACCTAGCATGATGAGAGGGCAAATGTCTGTTGCGATGGAATCCCATCTGAGGCTTGAATGAAGGGAAGGAGTTGGCCATGCAAAGACTTAGAGAAAAGCTTTCCAGACAGGACAAAGGGCAGAATCTGAACAGGCTTAGTATGTTTAGATGACAGAAAGAAGGTAAGTCTGGCAAAACTTACTGAGGTTGGGATTGGGTTGGATGAGCAGAGGAGAAGCAGGGAGCACGTTATGCAGTTCTTGGAGGTCTTTACTGTAATTTCATATACAGGGATTTTTGCTAAGTTTGTGGAATGCTTTATCTCATTTAATCTTTTCAACAAATCTGGATATTATTACCCCTTCTTTTGCAGACAAGTAAATGGAGGTTTAGGGAGTTTAAATAACTTCTGCAAGATCATACAGCTGATGAAGCAGAGTCAGATTTACCCAAGTCTGTCTGACTCCAAAACTCATGCTTCTGACCGTGATACAACCATGGTTTTAACCAAGTTTTTAGTCAACACTGAAAACCTGTTTTCTCTTCCATTCATGAAACAATGCAAAAGAATGTACTCTGTCATCTTAAACTTTCTGACAACTTGAAACCACTAAGACTGTTCCAAAGCCAATGTATATTTAGCAAAGACATTTTAAATATTTTCACTTTAAAATTTCTCTATAATAAACATGCTTTGCTCTTATACAAACAATTCTAGTCACAATTATCATTGTCAAGTATGAATTCTTATCTAATGGAACTTGTTACCTCAATTCAGTCAATTCATACAAGAATACTACTCTTATGTACTTTCCTCCCCAAAAATGTATAGCAACCTCATTCCAAATTTAACTAAGGAATATCTAATGCACCTTTTGGTAACCTATTCCATTTTTACTACCATCTAGTCATTATTTTCAGAGTTTATATTTGTTCAAAGTGCCCTTACCATCATTCCTATTTCCACTTTCCTGGCATCTAACTTTCCTTAAATTTAGCTGTTTGATTTGGAACTTAAGCACAGGTTAATAAGTTAAATCATGATTAGTTTATATTTCTTTCAAAATCTAGAAAATCTGGAAATCTTCAACCAGTTAAGGATGAAAGATTGCATGGAGTCCTATTTTAACCCTATTATTTGTTTTTTCTTGCAATGCCATTTCTTTTTTTCTTTTCTTGTATAAATTACTCCTGGCATCTTTTATCAGTCTAAGGAGGACAGGTACAAGATCACTCTTGAAACTTGGGATACAAAAGTAATTCAATATGAGATGTTTATGTGGAAGAGTAGTTGGTTGCCTCATCTTTAATAAATGATATGGAATTACCAGAGAACAAGAAACTCTGCAAAGTGTTGCTATACATGGAAAATACCTAATTGGGAGCCTAGTTGGTAAAACCTTAAAATTGTTATATGATATGTACACTTCAGAATAAAAAGTCTCCCTTTTGTTCTTCCTTATTCTATTAATGCACAAAAGACTCAAGGGATTTAATTTTTTTTTTCTTTAAAGACAGAGAGGACTCTGTGGTTGTTTTTTGGAGGAAAATAAACAGATATAAACACTCTAAAATAGCTGAAAGCAAAATTTGACTAGTATTTTGTAGACGAAAAGCAAAGAGATTTAAACCAGATAATCTGTACTGATATACTACCTATCTCCTCTTTACTATTCTCCTCTTCTATGGTATTTTGTATGGTTGACATGTGCAATGAGCAGAAAATGTAGTATCAGAAGATCTAAATGTGGGTCCTGACTCTGTCATTTATTTGTTTGATGACTCTGGGCAAACCATTAGTAAATCTTGACTTGCTTTTGTTCTCTGCAAAGTATGGTAGGTAACATAAGTGAAAACACTTAATAAATATTTAGTGTTATATTAATGAGAACATGTTAGCGTCATTAGAATCAAACTTTTCTGATTGAATCTAGCATCTTGACTGTTCAGTTCCTCCTATTCTTTGCACAATCTCTGTCTATTCTGAGCTCTCCATCAGGCCTGGACCATTCTAACTTGTAAGGTGTGTTTTATTTTGCTTGATTAAAATTCCTGAATTATTTTTTCTTTCATGCATCCCTGAATCAATAACAACTGTCATCTTTCCCTCCTTCTCCACTATCCTTACTTCTCCTGGTCCCATTTGTCCCACCATTTTCTTCTTCAAGGCAAATGCATTTTTATTATTTCCAAGGACTTGATATACTTCCCAACTCTTTGAATCAAATGGTGTTCTCCTTGTAAGAATGAAGGAAGTTCTTTAAAATCCCATAATTTTGAACTTAGTGGAGGTACCACTTCTTGCAGCAAGTCCTTCCTGACTCCACCCTCTTCTGTATTGAAACATTGCCACAGGCTTATAGATCCATGTTACGTGATTGCATAGCCCTCTGTAAATTTGTTTCTGGGGTAAGTGTAGTTTAAATTTACAAAGTACTTAGCAATATTTTTTAAAACATAGGTTATTTCTAAATTGAGAATGGCTTTGTATTCATGCCTCCATTTATTCATCCTTTTGAAAAATATTTATTGAGCCTCTGCTACATGCCACATGTAGTTCCAGATACATGGTATGCAGAAATGAATAAGATGTAATCACTCAAGGAGACTGTAGCTTAAGGGAGTAGGAGACACCTACAGATTATGAGAATTGCAAGACAGGGGGAAATCGAAGTCTATAGATAGTGTCATAGAAGTACCAAATATGAGATGATAACCTTTGCTTGCTTTCTTTCTTTCTTTCTTTTTTTTTCTTTGAGACGGGAGTCTCGCTCTCTCGCCCAGGCTGGAGTGCAGTGGCGCGATCTCGGCTCACTGCAAGCTCCGCCTCCCAGGTTCATGCCATTCTTCTGCCTCAGCCTCCGGAGTAGCTGGGACTACAGGCGCCCACCACCACGCCTGGCTAATTTTTTGTATTTTTAGTAGAGATGGGGTTTCACCATGTCAGCCAGGATGGTCTCGATCTCCTGACCTGGTGATCCGCCCGCCTCAGCCTCCCAAAGTGCTGGGATTACAGGCGTGAGCCACCACGCCCAGCTGACAACCTTTGCTTTCTAACCAGGGGTGACTGTAGGAAGAAAGGATACATCAGTGGAATCTCGGAAAGTCAAGAGTTAGCCATGTGTTGGTGAAGCCGTTAAAAACAGACACCACAGCAAGGGAAAGACCTATTTCCACATATATCACTAGTCACCCAGGTCCCAAATTCCTCTGTAACATGAGAGAGTTGAATTGGATAAGTTCATGTCTCTCTCTAAGTTCGGTTCTCCTAGGATTTGTACAGTTTTGAATACCCACTACGGGTAAAACATGTACTGACTTCAGTGGTGAAAATGTTAGTGCTGCCCTTGAATAACTTATCCTCCAGTAAGATATGGTAAAAGACGGTTCATTTCTTCAACTGGTTAATTAATAGCAGTACTTGAAGTGCTGCCTTGAGAAGGATGATAAGATCATATCTCTGTTCATCATAACAAAAGCTGTTATCAATTACTGATGTTTGTTCTGATGGGGAGAAAGAAGTGGAAGTATGTGCATCACCTATTTACCACCTCTGTTCTAGTTTTAGATGTTAAATTTAGTAAGTTACTCAAAATCATATTAAAATAGAAATTTGAAGAAATGAATTAAAAAATAAGACTCTTACCCCCAAAACCAGAGTATTATTTTATGGGTATTCCTATCTGTAAACAAAAAATCCTCAACTCAATGGCTTGTTCTTTTAGCACGTAGCCCAATATCCTGAGCCAATAAAGCTGATTATGTATTTTAGGGATGCAAAGAATAAAGGCAGTTTAAACTGCCTTGGACAAATTAAATTTCATATTCTGTTCAAAGAGCCTATCTTCCGTTACAACAGCCCTTAGATGTGTCTCCTTCACTGAAGTATGTTCTACTGGAGGGCGGGAACCACCAGATCAGTATATTGACTCCTGTATCCCTGGCATCTAGCAAAGGACCATTACATGGGAGGTATTCAGTAGGTACCTGCTTCCTGAATGTTGGGTGAAAAAATGAAAGTTCTCTGAGATAGTTTGTGTAACTTTTTGGCTCATCAAGGTCCTGCAGAAAGTTCACATCTGTAGATCATAAACAAGACGTGAGGGAATGTCAGATATTCAACTGAAGTCAACAATGCATAAGGAAGGAGAGTTTAGAAGTGATGTTATTTCAGAAATAAAACTTTATGAATCTTGCATATAACCAAATAACAAGCTGGCTTTTCATTTACACAATGGAAATGAATGTTAAAGTATTCATAAAGACTAGTGGAGAAATAAAAAGTTATTCTGGTGGAGTGAAGTTTTAAATGCAAAGAATGAATATATTTTATAGATTTATCTCAGCATGTAACAAATGTTGATGAACACAGTGCAGACCATGGGTATAAAATTCATTTATGCAGATTCTTAGGGCATAGCCCATTAGAATTCTAGAAATACCTTTAGTCCATGTTTAATAAAAACTCCAAAACATTTATAATTTTTTTTTGTGCCTCTGTCTTTCAATTTTTCCCTTAACTTAGTTATACAGGCTACTCTTACTGTTGGGTGTAACTTTCAGAGACATTTTGTTATTCATTAAATTGTTGAGAGAAATTCTTCAATTCTAGGAAGTGCTTTCCTTCCAGTTAAACTTCATAATCTTGGAAAGTTAGAGAACCATTTCTTCCCTCACCAAGGCAGCAAAACTCCTATTTAGGCTAACATTATAAATTAAAATTTTGATTAGAAAAATTTCTATGAATGTGAAAACTTCAACTTAAATGCTTATTAATTATTAAGTCGGCCTCTTCATCTTCAAACATTAGCAAATTATTTTGAATTTTATTGCAATGGCTTTTCAGTAAGTTTTTCCTTATTCTACTTTTCTACAAATTTAGTATTTCACAGAGAGACAGTTTGTGACTTTGTAAGAAAGCTATCCTTGAACCTTTTACCATAGGATAGAGTTATAACAAGGGCCCTTTATTACTTCAGGCATAAACACCTTTGAATGGGCCAAAGATGGACCAGCTTTATTCTGAGCTCCAATATAGAAATGTCTTGTTATTTGAGTATATCTCAGATATCCAAACCTATCTATTAGGAACTATTTATAAGTAACCTAATTAAAAGCAATGATGCCTTCTAGAGCACTTTCTTACTGCAGTGTTTTTTGCATTCTTTCTTAGTTAATCTGGGTTAGGCCTTTGGGAGTTTATAAGCAGAATCAGTTAATGTGCAAAAAGGATGATGTGAAAGATTGCTAGAGAGAAGGAATTAACTTGAAAAGATGTGAATAACACATTCTCTAACATCCCCCTGCAGAATTTAAATTCAGAACATTATGGATAGAGATAAGGAGGTTCCTGAACTTAGCTCTATTTGAGGGGTTTAACTGACATTGGATTGACTATATTTCTTTAAGATGAAAACTTTAAGCATTTTTTAAAAACATAAAAATAGTCTAGAATCTACTTGCCTATGAAATTCACATGATTAAATATAACGAGGATTTTTCCTCCACAGAGTAAATAACCTCCTTCCCATGTGTATATTGATATAAACTTCAGTGCATTTGTTTTATGATTTAGCACAGATGGTTTCTCCCTTGTTTGAGGCTGAAAAATGGATTTTCTTTTTGCTCCCCTGGAGTTCTTTTTCTTTGATGGTTAGAGAATAGGTATTAGTGTTTCTTGAAAATCACACTTAACGGAAAACCATTTGTATGCCTTTAAAATGTTTTTTATTTGTGTATATTTCAAAAAGAATTGTATTATCTTAGTATCCGTTGTTAGCACGTATTAGAATTTATGTTCTCATGATAAGAACAATTCCCAAAGCCTCAGAAGAAAGCCAGATGATTTTAAGAAAAATCACATGAAAATTTATTATATTTAAATAGACATTTGGCATTTATTATACTGTTTATTTCACATATTTTGTTAGTGTCAGCATAAGATTCAAAGGCATGCTATTTTATCTGTTTATCATGTTTAGATAGAGATAAAACTAATCAAAATAAATAAGCTATAACCTGAAAATCTTTAGCAGTATGGTGAAGAAGATTTAAATAATTTCTCTATCTTATCTAAGCTATGCATAATTGCTAAATATGTTTCTAGGTCAATATCATTTAGTCTGGCATAAGTACTTGATATTTTCTAAACCATTTAAAGTCATTATTTCATATTTATCAAAGGAATTCTTTGAAGCACACAGTGTTATGTTTTCTAATGTGAATAGATATAAAGAAACAGGGGCTTAAGTGCCTTACCTTAGATAACCCAGGACTTGGGGGAAGGGAATTAAGTAAATATTAGTTCATAGTTTTTTTTGTGGGAACAATTCTATCTTCGAAGGTGCAGCATTTAAACAGATCTCCTCATTCTTATACAATGTATTCCCAAATGGGAACATTCCTTAAACATATTGTGCCTGAGATGAGCCTTATGATAACAGTAGCAGGAACAGCTAACATTTATTGAGTGCTAATTATGTTTGGCAATGAATAAAAATTTTAAACTGTTATTTCATTTAATTCTATTAGTTACCTATGAGATAGAGGCTGCTGTTGTCACCATTTTAGAGACAAGGAAATGTAGATTTAAAGACTGGAAATTGACCCAGTGTCATAAAATGATAGATACTATATTCTAAAACCAGTTATTAAGCTTGTTACCAATATACTGTGCCCTGAGAAAAATTTGGCTGAAGAGGAAAACCAGAACAAACCCTATCATTAATAAGGATATTGTAAAAGCCCTGTTATAATTCTTTAAATTACTGTTGCACAAATATAATTAAACTTTCAAAGTAACTCATCAGATTAAGATCCTACATTATAATTTAATCCTTTTGGGTTTGGGTATTACCACAAGCACAGAGCTGTTAAATCAAACTGTGGGGCTTCACAAATCAAATGATTAGCAGTTCTAATTTGTTAATGGTACATTCACTAAAGTAAGTTAAGCAAACAAAGAATCTGCCTTTAGTATATGGATATTGGCCAAACTCATTTGTTTCTGCTGCAATTGGGTTTTCAGATGTCCTCCTACTGTGGCCGGGTCTAGCTTTCCTCCATATTTTCACACTTGTTTCCTTTTAGTCCTGTTCTTCCAATCCTTCATGCCTCACTTGTCACCACTTCAGCTCCTTTTCATGCTTTTTTACATCTGCTTGCTGTCCCTGAGAGACCTTGCAAATCTTTAAAGTTTCTAAATGCAAATGATATGTGATTGAGGCAGGGTCTATGGAGTCAATAAGAATTTTAGAGCCAACTTTAGAAGTACTGTGATTCAGTAGCAGTGGAGGGTGAGGTATTATAAATGATAAGCTGTGCTGCAGATGGAAACTAAATCAATAAATGCTAAATGATTGGATGTCTATATCCTTCATGTGGCTTTGTCAACTTTCTTTGTCCTTTGGGTTTGCCTAAATCATCCACGCATTTGCTGTGCATAAATCTAAGTCCCTTTCTCTCCCACCTTAAAATTTTGAATTTGTAGTACCTTTGCTCATTTTAGTAAGGAGCAGAACAGCTTTGCAAAGAAACATCATCCATCAATAGAAAGTAATGAGATTTTTCTGTGCATAATACACTAGGGCTTTCTTTTTCTATCATAAGTTGCTCTTAAGCCACACATACTGTCCTTTACAAGTTGGGTTGAATATTATTTGCATTTACTCTGCTACAGATGAACTCTGTCAGATTTTAAGGTTGAAATCCCCAAATGGACTCCCTGTATAAAAGTGTATTAAACCTAAAAAATAAAATGCAATACTCCAAAATGAGAGTAATAAAAAGTCACGTTTAATGCATTTGATAATTATTGAATTAACAATCTCTATTGTTTCCATTTGGTGTTAACAGGGACAGGGGCACAGCAAATCATAAATCCATCTTCCTTCCCAGGAGAGCTCACAGCCCAAGAATTTTGTTTTGTACTTCCCATTACTTTCTTTCTTGTGAGCATTACCAGCACCCACATGTAAACTAAAGAATTGATCTGCACATAATTACACATATGAAAGCATTAACCAGTCTCTCTAATCTCTCCAAATGCCCTGAGTCCTTGAAGGGTACAGTGTCAGTAGTGCCGAGGGATAGTTGTTCTCATCATCTACACATCATTTAAATGTTTCCCATGAATGTCTCACTCTCCTTGGTCCCAAATGACTAACATATGTTTTCTGTATTTTTTTTAAGCAAGATTTCCACTGATCCTAAAAAACTGAATAAGTCAAGAGATCCTGAAAAGCTTATGGAAGTAGAAGAAAGGTGATGATCTATGTAGCAGACAATCTAGTGTGGGAATTAAAGATTTCCTCCCAATTGGGATTCTAAGATATTTCATCTGCTTCTACTGAGCAGTGCAACAAAAGATACTACTAAAAGTATTTAAACAGGTATTTTGAATAAATGTAATGCTCTTACTAAACTAAGCCTACCTTTGAAAAAATGATTAGGCATTGGGAGTTTTGACTGACAAAATATAACATGTTAGACAAGTTATTGTGATCATCACAACTGGCACATAATGGAACAGCTGTAGTTCTTCTGTCTCTCACTGTCTTTGCTTATCATCATAGATGGCTGTGCCAACTACCCTCTTCTCTTTGTTTGTGAATATGAGTGGAAAAGTAGAAACCTGGGCATTATTTGATATAATTCTTTCAACAAGCAGTTGCATTCTCTGCAAGAAGTTGGAGTACAGAGAGAAATAAAACATAATCCCTACCACTAGGATCCACATTCTAATAGGAGAAAAGGTATTTAAGAAACAAAAAGCAACACAGTACAACATAATAGCTGAGAGAAAAGAGGTATGTACATAGTACAAGGGAAACACCAGGTAAAATGTGGTCAATTTCCCTGGAATGGCGATGGGGAGATGGGAAGGGCATCTGCAAGCGGATGTCTACCTGAACTTAACTTGATTGCCCAGGTCCAAGCACTGAGGTGACCTGAACATCTACCCAGGCATGATTGGTTTGAAATGTGCAGACATGAGGTTTGGGAAGGGCCAGGGGTGGAATGATATGGTTTGGCTCTGTGTCTCCAGCCAAATCTCACCTTGTAGCTCCCATAATTCCCACTTGTTGTGGGAGGGACCAGTGGGAGATAATTGAATCATGGGGATGGGTCTTTCCCATGCTCTTCTTGTGATAGTGAATACGTCTCACAAGATCTTATGGTTTTAAAAATTGGAGTTTCCCTGCACAAGCTCTCTTTTTTTGCCTGCCACCATCCATTTAAGATGTGACTTTTTCCTCCTTGCCTTCCATCATGATTGTGAGACCTCCCCAGCCATATGGAACTGTAACCCCATTAAACCTCTTTCTTTTGTAAATTGCCCAGTCTGGGGTATGTCTTTTTCAGCAGCATGAAAACAGACTAATACACCATACTAGGCTTGAGTAAATTCACTGAGTAGTTCATTGCCCCAGAGAGGGGATGACAGATGTCACACAGCCTGCTACCATTTCCTTGACTTGTCACTTCCTTCTTTACACACCCCTGGGTTAAAGGAAATATCTCTTCTGGCTCTCTTCAGAGTTATCAAACCACATTTTTAAAATTTTGGCAGCAGTTTCCACTCATGCCCCAACATACTCACCTACCTTAATTGGGCTATAAGAAAGTTTTCTCAGAAAAGGCAGTTCTCCCTCAAGCAGGGATTGTCAGACAAGCTGCTAAGGGAATGAAACTTTTATGACACAAAGAAAGCTTCATTGTGATGATGCAAACTTGGCTGAATAAATGACTTGCCTTGGGTCATTTCTAAATAAATAATATTAGATAATGCTTATTGAGTGCTTACTAAGTGCCACGTTCTATTGTAAGCATGTAAAGGATTGTAGCTCATTGCATTTAGCGGCAAACTTGTGTGGTAACACTACTAATTTTCTGACTTTGCTGAAAGCACAGAGATGTAAAATCACATCACCAAGGTTTCACAGCTAATAAATGGTGAACCAAGATTCAAACCCAAAGATTGGCTTAAATCTGTGCTCTTACAAACTATACTTTATTTCACAAGAAGTGGGCTTTGAATGACACATTGAGTCTGTCAAAGTACTCTAAATGTATTGGGTATCAGTCTGGAAGTTGTAAGAGACATCCAAAATAATAACCATTTAAGCAAGTTATGAAGAGATTCCCTCACATTTAAAAGTGTAAGAAGAACCCATCACCTTTCACATCCATTGGCTGTAAAGTTGACACATGACATCTCATGTCCATTGGCTAGAATATAGTCACATGGTGATATTTAATCACAAAGAGGAAATGATAAATCGTGTTTTTCTCTTGATGATCATGTGCCAACTAAAATTGTAACCCTATGTAAAAAGTGAGCAGATATTGGGGCAACCAGTAACCTGTCATGAAGTGTTCATGCTTCATATTTTTCCTCAAATTCTTTCAAGAGCCATTTCTTCTCTAAATAGTTTTACACCAGGTTTGAGTTACAAAAGAACCCTGAGAGTAATCAGATACAACAGATGCATCCTCATTTTGTCTTTCTGTATTTTCATACCTCCATCTCTGCAGAACATGGACATGTGGAATCATTTGGGTGGAATATTTAATGATGTATGGGTTTTTTTTTTCCAGCTTAAAACAACATCACAAGAGAACAGATGTTCCCATAATGCCTACAAGCACAACCTACTTCTGTGACAATGAGTTAGCCTGTGATTTTGCTCAAGTCAGGAACAGAAGCATAGGCAGGCATATGTTTTCTTAGGGAGGTAAAAACAGAGACCAGAGGCTTGACAAGCTGATAATATTTAGAGGAAACCTTTGGCCTTTCACTCTTAATGGGACACTAATTTTTCACTTCTTTTCATTGGATCCTGATGCAAGAGTTGGTAAGTAAGTAAATACTCTGAAAAAGGCAAACAAGTAGTCAAGCGTCAAATTTGGCACCGAGGAAGCGGCATTGCCTTTATAGAGTTGTGTGTCACTTATTAAATGACGAATCCAGTGCTGTGTTTGCTACTGTGCTCATTTGACAAGGTTAAATTTGTTGAGGAGCATAACATATGACATCAGTGAATCCCTTGATTACCTCAACAGTAAATAGAGGGTAGATGGGTGGTGCAAGGTAAAAAGATATCCTGATTCTGGTACTGTATCCCAGACATTATATTATGTAATGAACAAAAATAGCATCCTTGTCTTCGTGGATTTTATATTTTGGATAGAGGAGGAGAAAAAATCTAATAATAAATATTATTAAATATTAAAATATTTTCAAAAATAATGGATACGTAATAAGGATTTAATCTGTAATATGGTGGTATGCTAAGAAGAAAAGTAGAGTAGGGTAAAGGTTAGAGAGAAATGACAAGGGGTGCTTTAGAGAGAGTGGTCAGGAAAGGGCCTCTTATAAGGGGCATTTATGTAGAGACCCCATTGAAATGGGGAATAGGTCAAGCAGAGGTCACAGCAAGTGCAATGGCCCTGAGTTGGGATAGTGCTTGGGTATTCGAGGAATACTAAGGAGATTAGTGTGACTGGAGCAGAGGGTATATAAAGGGGACTGGTAAGAGTTGAGGCCTGAAATTTTTCTGGGAAGCAGATCTTTTAGTCACCTTCTAGCCCAGTTATGTGCTTTGCATCTAATTCAGAACAAGATAGGAATCTATTGGAGGGTTTTTAGTGTGTTTTTTGCTTTTCTTTATGTAACCGTGACCCTCTCTGATCTCCCATACAGGGAAGAGACAAACTCAACAGTCAGTATTTCTATCTCTTGTTTATTCTTCTTCTAATTCATTTACATCCCACCTGAATATTCTGTAACTTAAAGGTCCTTATATGATAAAAGAAACGAGGAGGGTGATACAATTAATATATTATTAATGAACAGACAATAAGGAGAAAATAATATATAAATTTCTATTACAGTCCCCATTTGCATAACTGAACATGAGGATGTTGTTGATATTTATAACTCCCTCCTTCCGTTACCCATCACATATTCCTCATTCCATCAGCCAGTCCTTCATCTGAACAGTTTTTAAATTGGTGGGTTAAATGAAACCTTCAGTTCAGAAAGGTCTGAAAGGCTTAAATTGTCAGTGTCGATGATTTTGTTTTCTGGTAGCTTTCCAGTAAGTTATACTATTGGACATAAAAATATGAATAGGTATCTTGAACAATCTCCTGGGTGCCAGACATATTACTCCTTGCCACCATTGGATGACATCAACCTGATTCCCTCTTGGTAAATTACATTGAGTACCCAAGCAATATTTAATCACCTTTGCCTATTACTTCAGTAGTACAAAGAGCCCCAAACGACCAAGTGGTGGTGTCAGCTTCCAGTCATGTGGAACTCTTGTTGTGTTACCTGGCCAAACCACTCTTCCCTTGGGAACTAAGATAGCTAAATTAGCAGAACCCAAATTTGGAGGAGAAGAAAACAATAATTTTATGAGCGGCAAGTTTGTTGTAATAGTGAGAGAAACTAGTCTTTCTTCTACCACAGTATTCTGGCAAGGGGGGAGAAACAGCATTGCATATTGCTCTCTGTTTCAAATGCTATACTGGAAGCTGTAGGTTAATACTCAAAAGTTTTATGGTGTTGTTTCCAGTGAAGGCCACATCTGAGTCTTCAATAGGCCATTCTGCTGACCTATCAGGTCAGCTCCTCTGGATGATGGTGTATGTAGTAAAGCCAGTAAATTCTTTGTGCATGAGTCCATTTGCTCAGATTTTTGCTATAAAATTTAGTTGCTTCATTAGAAGAAATGTGTTGTGAGATGATAATGCTGTCAGAAGCATTGCAAATAAAAATACAAATCAGTAGCTAGAATAAGTGTGTACACCTATGAGAACAAATCACTACTCCCATTGTGATAGAAGGGTCCAAGTGTAATTCACTTGCTACTTATTAGGTGGCTATTTGGTCTCCTTGGGATTGATATCACGTAGGAAGTTCTGCCTTTCTTTCTGATGCTTGCAATTACTCAAGAATGGTGAGAGTCATATCAGCTTTGGTGGGGGATGTCCATACTTTGAACACATGGGTACCCTCTATCATTTCAGCTTGGGTTATGTTTTCAATTAACACATTTAGCAAGCACTAGAATGACTAGAGAAAGAGGCTGATATCCACTGTGTATCTTTTGACCACCTGATTATTGAGAGCCTTTTCTGTAGTGGATGTCACTTATGTTATAACTCATATAGGACAAAAATATCTTTACATGTATCTATTCGGGGAGATCTATCACATAACTTCTCCAAAAACTTTCTTGCCACCAGTCTTCCAAGTTTGTTTCTTTTCAAGTCCCTGACCATTCAACCACATTATTAGCCACTGCCTATTAATCAGTATAGATCCTTTCCTTTGGCCATCTTTGAATCTAGAGAAAGGAGCACAGAATATACTGTTCAAATTCTCTCCAGCAGGATGTTCTCCACTCACTTTTGTCTTTAAGAACTAGCCAGATTGAGGCAGTGATACTGAAGCAATCTATGTCCAGTTGCTTTCAGGATATCATGCTGTAAACCAAGCCCAAGTTTTTAACCTTGGCCAAACTTTTCATAGGAACTTCCCATGAAGCCTTAAGTAGAGAGTGAGAGAGAGGAGACAAAGTAGCAGGAGTAGGTGCTAGAGGAATCACTTACTCACAAAACCTACTTCTTCCTTCAGGACCTGCTCCAAATCCATCTCTAATATCTCATTTGCACTTAGTGGATCACAGGTGCATATGCCCAAACTTCTGGTTTGATAGGCTAAATGAAACGTAGGCAGCTCAAGATGCATGGTCACTTGGTGTACCACGGTCAAGTGTACAGTATCCATGAGATCCCGGTAGTAATCTAGGAGCTGTTTCTCAAAAAGAGAATACTCTGTAAATAGGATAAGCCTTTGTCCTAAACCTGAAAAGTATACACTGTGGCTGTTCTATTAATGGATAATAGCAGGTTATGAAACACCCATATGTGCCACAAATCCTGTGAACCCATGGGATCTGATGGGTCATAAGGCCCAAATGATACAGCAGCTTTCATTGCACTCTGAATCTATAGCAGAATCTTCTCTTTCTCTAGGCCCCACCCAAAATTAGAAGCCTTAAAATTACCCTTTACATTATTTGGAACAGCATACTCAAATGTGCTATATTTTGCCTTCAAAACCCAAAGATACCAAATTAGCATTCTGCCTCTTTCCTAATTCCAGGTAGTGCAAGTTGCTACAATTTGTCTTTCACTATGGAAGAAGCAGTTCAACTTGCTCCAGACCATTGGAGTCTTAGAAACTTCACAGATAGTGGGCCTCAGAATTTTTGTGGTTTTTGACTATCCTCTGGCATTTATGTGTCCAAGTAAGGCACCTAAGGTTTATTGTTTTTCATGTTCACCAGGTCTAAACAGCACTATGCCATCAGTGTGGTACACCAATGTGGTGATCTACAGAACGTCCAGAAGAACAAGGTCCCTGTGGACTAGATTATGGGGTTACAGCAGAGAGAAGGACAGATGACATATCCCTGAGAAAGACAGCAAAGGCATCCTCTTGTTCATGCCAATTGAAAACTAAAAACCAGTATAGAAGTTAATCAGTATAACAAAATTATTTGAAATCATGAGACTGGATAAATTCACCTAGAAAGGGAATGTAGAAAATGAGAAGATATCTGATGAATAAATCTAGAGCAACTCTAATGTTTAGAAGTCAGATAAATAGGACTAGGCCAATCAGAGTGACTGAGAAACATCCAGAGAACTACTAAGAAAATAAGAAGAGTGTGGTATCTCAGAAGCCAGGCAAAGAAGCTGTTTTAAGGAGAAGGTATTGGTAGACATTCATGTTTTGCTGAAAGCCTGAGTAAAATAAGCATTGAGAATTGAATGTAGATTTGAGCAATGTGGGAGTCGTTAACAACTTGAGGATAGTTTCAATGGAGTATGAAGCAGGGGGCCAAAAATCAGATTGGAGTGAATTCAAGAGAGAATGGAAGAAAACAAGTGACTAGAGCAAATATAGAAAGGTCTTTCAATGTGTAATTGTAAAGATAATGAAAGAAATTAGTGTAAACTGGAGGGAGTTAATATAGCATGCTTGTGTGCTAATGGAAATGATGTAAGAGAAATAGAAAAAAATGTTTCAAAAAAGGAGAGAAAATTACATAAATGGAGACAGTGAGTAAACAAGAATCAGAAGAGGATTCTACACTTAGGATCTAAAGATGCTCATAAGAGTTTGATGAATCCATGATGATCTTCAATTAGAATATAAAAGTGGGGAAGGAGGGCAATAATTTGAACTTAACCTACGTGGTTATTTTATGAAAAGTTGGATCAGAATAGTTCTCCCTTTCCCCAGCCTACACGCACACACACACACACACACACACACACACACACACACACACACACTTCTCTATGCAGACACAAATACATTAGCACTGAAGCATGGAAAACTTGAAGGCCAGGTGGAGGTGCTCATAAATATTCATCAGAATATCATATTGGTGTTTCCTGGTATTCTGTCCTCAAATATCATTGCAATGTTTCAGAACCAAGTATTTTTGCTGTTAGATTACAAATTATCTGAGGACGCAGAGAAATCTCTATGCAGTTTTAAAATTACAAGGTACATTCCATGATTTAGCAAAACAAATACAAAATCGTTTAAAAACACAGATGCTATTGATGGCTTGTACAAACAGCTGCCATAATATTATTGAACCATGAAAA
The DNA here is from genome assembly GCF_000001405.40 of Homo sapiens. Taxonomy (NCBI): domain Eukaryota; kingdom Metazoa; phylum Chordata; class Mammalia; order Primates; family Hominidae; genus Homo; species Homo sapiens. The sequence continues at coordinate 29,219,202 of NC_000003.12, forward strand.
AGAACATTTTGCTTTTCTATATTATAGAGTTGAAAATTTTTTGACCTAGAGTCATTGATGTAGTTTGCCTATTTTGTCCATATAAGGAGTCAGCAAACTTTTTTTTTTATAAAGGTCTAAATAATAAATATTTTAGACTTGTGGGTCATATAGTCTCTGCCACAACCACTCCATTTTGCAATTGTAGTGCAAAAAACATGGACAATACGTAAATAGATAGGTGTGTATTCCAATAAAACTTTATTTGCAAAAACAGGTGGCAGGCCAGATTTGGTCTGCAGGGTATATAGTTGTTTGCTAATCATTGTTTAACATAAAATTGGAAAATGAAAACATTCATTAGTAGTTCTTAAATTATAAGTAGTTATTTCCAATATGCAACAAAAAACAATATAGCTTGTTAAAATGTTTTGTCATGTTGTATTTAACCACCCAAAGAACCCTAAGTACCCTTGTGAGTTGTGGGCTTTTCCCTACATTCGTAAGCTGCTTGGCTCATTGGAATATTGTTGGAAAGAATGTAGTTTTTTAAAAAGAAAACTTGGGGCTTGGTGCAGTGGCTCACGCCTGTAATCCCAGCACTTTGGGAGGCCGAGGCGGGCAGATCACTTGAGGCCAGGAATTTGAGACCAGCCTGGCCAACATGGTAAAACCCCGTCTCTACCAAAAATACAAAAATTAGCCAGGCGTGGTGGCCCATGGCTGTATTCCCAGCCACTTGAGAGGCTGAGGCAGGGGAATCGCTTGAACCCATGAGGTGGTGGTTGCAGTGAGCCGAGATGGTGCCACTACACTCCAACCTGAGCGACATGGCAAACTCTGTCTCAGAAAAAAAAAAAAAAGCTTATAATAAAACAGGAAGGGTATTACTCCCAGATTAACTGAGGGCCATGGCATTTAGCTAAGACAAAATGTTTCATGCTGTATATACATTATTTAAATTTTTTAATATAAATAAATACATTAATTTCTACAATGCTTAGCTTGCTTTAACCTGGTCAAAATTAAGTATTTTCATATTATAAAATTACATTCTGTAAAACACTTCATTACTATTACTATTCATGCATTTTAGTGCTTTGAGAAGTAACTCTTGCCATTGCCTTAACAGTATTCTAAGGTCTAACCAATTAATATCAGTTCATCTTGACAAGAAGAACTTTACTAATTCCATAATGTCCCCCTTATCTATTTATGAATTATAATATAAATGTTTGGTTTTAGTTGATATTAGTTGTTCTTTTCATGCATCATTCATTCCTCTTTTCCTTTTTTGGACACTCATTCTTCTTCTATTTCAATATGTGATTTGGGGTAGAATTAATCCCAGTTTTTGTTCTCAAGGTGGTCATATCATCCAGGTCTGGCCAATAGAGCACTATACATAGGCACATCATGAAACCAAATCAATCAATTTCAATCAGAAGCGTTTTTAGGATTTTCCTTTGACCACCTGGCAAGGAGGCATTTCATTTTCCTTGTGGACAATTATGAAGTAGAATATTGTCCTGGAGACTTTGGGAGACATTTTGCCTCTTTGAGAGTTACGCTTGCCTGAGCATGGAGATGCTTCTGAAGGAAGCAGAGCTGAAAGATAGTAAGAGACCAGACCAAGATGACTGATTCAGCCTCTTCCTTTTTTTTTTTTCTTCGGGGATTTATTAATATGAGGAGAGTTTTATTGCAGTATCATGCAGTGGATAAATTAAAATGAAATCTTTCTGCCTTTAAAGTCCCCCTCACTTCCTCCCATTTCCTACTTTCAGCCACTCACAGCGCTGCTCAGCTCAGCTCTGCCCCTTCCCCTGGATGCAGTGCGACTTGCGCCCTGCCCCTTTCTCATTCTACCCTTTACTTCTATTCCAATCAGCATTTTACACAGCCCTGGACACAGCCTAGGGGCTCCATCCAAGGGGCACAGGAAGCAGTCAGGGAAGAAGAACGCCATCTTCCCTCTACACCTGTCCCTGTTGTGGCAGTCCTTCCGCGGAAGCTCCCTCCATGCCCAGAACCTCAAGGCTCCTGGAAGCTGGCACAGAGGTCCCCTCAGATGAAGCATTTTTATTTCTTTTTTTTTTAAACTTTAAGTTCTGGGTTACATGTGCAGAACCTGCAGGTTTGTTTCATAGGTATACACGTGCCATGATGGTTTGCTGCACCCATCAACCCGTCATCTAGGTTTTAAGCCCCGCATGCATTAGGTATTTGTCCTAATGCTCTCCCTCCCCTTTCCCCCAACACCCGACAGGCACCAGTGTGTGATGTTCCCCTCCCTGTGTCCATGTGTTCTCATTGTTCAACTCCCACTTATGAGTGAGAACGTGCGGTGTTCGGTTTTCTGTTCTTGTGTTAGTTTGTTGAGAATGATGGTTTCCAACTTCATACATGTCCCTGCAAAGGACATGAACTCATTCTTTTTATGGCTGCATAGTATTCCATGGTGTATATGTACCACATTTTCTTTATCCAGTCAATCATTGATGGACATTTCGGTTGGTTCCAAGTCTTTGCTATTGTAAATAGTTTCAGCCTCTTCTTAAAGCAGCAATCATAGGAGCTAATAGATTCCCCTTTTGCCAAACAAGTTTCAATCAGATGGCTTCTTACTAGCAATCTGTTCACTACTGTATCTGTTGGTCATTGTGATGAGCATCTCCCATAATATATTGATTTAATGTCACAGTAAATCTCTGAGGTAGACTTTTTAATTACTATTTTACAAATGAAGAAACCAAGGCTTAATATTATCATAGAACCTCAGTCTCTTCATTTATAAAATGAGTTGCTCAATAACATCCAGGATTCAAATTTAGGTCTTTCTGCCTTCAAAACTCCTAGCCTTTATGCTTCCCCCTCTCCCCCAAAATGGAAGGGGACATGTTAGCAACAACAAAGGTCCTTGTTTTTCCTTCCATCTTGTTCAGCCTCTGTCACTTACTGCTTTGCCGCTAGAAATGCATCTATTTTCTAGTGGGGGAACATGTCAGAAATATAAGGAAGTCAACAAGGGTTAAAGCAAATATAATCAATGGGATTGGATACTCCATAAGTTACTATACAAAATATATCTACATCTGTTTTATAGGTAACTCCATTAATGTGTCATTTTCTCATATGAAGAACTGCATTATTCTAATTTCTCATAATGCAACATAGCCTGGTAGATGAGAGCACATTTTCCTGAGTCGGCCTTCTTGGACTTAAATCTCAGCTCTGTTATTCACTACTCACGTGACATTGCAAAATTACATACCACCCTGTGTCGCAGTTTATTCATTTGATAATGGGAGATAGCATTAGTATCTGCCTCATAGAGTTTTGCAAATAAATATGTTTACATTTGCAAAATGGTTAGAACTGGATCTGGCGTTAAATAGTCCCCTCAGCCATTGTTGGTGATTATCACTACAATTATTGATACCTTTTGTATTGTCTGACACATTCTCTCAGAAATTTTTGGCCTGGGTTTTTGTTTCATTTTGTAGTACTAGAACTGGTTATAGTTTACCCTAGAACTACGACCATCTTTACCTAAGCCTTCTCATGCTTTAGTATGTGTGGCACAGGTTAGCATCAAAATCTTCCTATACAGAGCAAATGGATCCAGGCTGGCTGGCTTTCCCTCTCATTTCTCCTTCTCTCTCTTCTTCCCTCTTCTGTAGAGGCTGATAGAGTGAGAGTTGGGGATGGTATTTGTCAGAATCAGCTAGATATTACTATAGAAACAAAATATTCCTGACATTTTAGTGGTTTAATTTTAAGAAGATTTATTTATTGCTCTGCTCTCCTACTTTCCTGGAGAACTCTACTCCAAATAGTATCTCAGGCAATTAGACCATTAGAAATTCTACCATCTCATCATGTGGCATCAGTGTTCAGAGGAGCCACGGAGAAAACACTGGTGATTTATTTTCTTCTTTTAATTTTTCTGTATTTTCAAGATTAAACTTTTTTAAATGTTTAGAAATGAAAAAAAGTCTTATTTTAAAAATAAATTGGCCTCAATTACAGTAAACTGACTCAAACCAAAGAAAACCCCAAACAGGAAACCTCATAATATCTAAAGGAGAAAGGGAATTATTTAATGATATTTTAATTTAGAAGAAATGTTTTTCTTCTTTACAATAACTATAATGACTATAGTCCTTTTGTTTCATCATTGAGCACAAAATTCAAGAAATTTAGTAATAATTTAAAAATCATACAGTACTATAATATTGCAGCTAAAATCTTGAGTTTATTGCAAATTTAAATAAAATGTAGTGGTGATAAAAATTTTCCCAACACAAATAATATATGAATAGATGAAATAATTTTAGTGTGTGCTACCGGTAATATTCAAGTTTAGTAACTCATAAATGCTTGTGAATTTAGGAAATTTTTGAAAGTTGTTATTTTACTCCTCTAAAGCAGTAATAATGCTGGTAAATAATGAGGTATTTAGTGTTATTTTATTTTTAAGAATGCGATGTGGCCATTAGAAATTATTTTTAATTCAGAAACAATCCCTTCCCTCATTGTTTTCATTAAGTACTTCCCAGCTTGTAGAAGAATATACTGTCCTTTTTCTTACACTCAAATAGCTACCATTAATTTTAGTAAGAGTTTCTAGTCTAAGAATGGAAGATGAATTAGAAAACAGCTATGAAGAATGAATAAACTCTCAATCTTTTCCCCAGAAGAATATTAATTGCACTTCTTAACAGATCTTTTATTAATTTTGTATCATTCTAAGAATGCCAAAGAAATAAGGTTGTTGAATTTCTCCTTTCTGTCTCTTTAACAATGATGGAGATGTAACTATTGACTAATATTTTTTACTTCAAGTTCAGATGTTGAGGATATTTTCCCTTTCTTTCCTTCTTTAATTTTCAATGTTTTATCGCTATTCGTATCTTTAGTTAATCCAATATATCTTGGTCAAAATGAGAAAAAATGGCAGTTCTCAATTCTCCCTTTGCTTTCTGCTTCTAGGGGCAACTACTTGGAAATGATCCAGTAATTTCCTGGAGAATTCTCTGTGTCATTCTCAGTGATATACCTTCCCTTCTATGTCTTAATATTTCAATTTTGATATTATCTACTGGTTTTTTCTGTTATAGAAGTTTAAGCTTTAACTCTCACACATTCATAGACATACTTCTCTATCTTCTTTAAACATAGCTATATCTTAATGTTTTGTTAGATGATGATTTAGGGTTCATAAACCATAAAGCTTAACAAACAGCTGTGCCATGTCTTATACTAGTGTTATACATTTTTTTTTGTAGTTTCTTATATACCCTGAAATTAATAATCTCACTTTTGTTGTTGTTTGCTTAGTTTTCCCATTCTAATCTGGACAGTTGCTCACCTAACCTGCTGCAGAGCTGATGTCCTGGGATCTCCTTCTACAGTTCTGGAGATTTTCTTCTTCCTTCTTTCCTTCATTGAATCCTCTATCTTCTGGCACTGATGTCTTCCTTTCCCTTTGCTTACTCCTTTGTTTTGGGGGCCTCTATCTTCCAATAGCTTCCCAAAAAGGGTTATGTGAGAGGTTAATTTTGCTTTATTCTTCATTCATATTTGATTGATAGTTTGGATATAGAATTCTAAGTTATAAATCATTTTTCTTCTTAGAATGTGGAATGCAGTTCTGCATTGTCTCCCAGTTTTGAATGTTGATGTTCAGAAATCAGATGACATTTAATTCCCAATGCTGTGTATGTGATCTGAAATCCACAATGATGTGGATTGGTATGAGTAATTTTCATCCATTTTTCTAAGAAGTCAGTACTTTCTTAATTGGGAAAATCATGTTGTCATTCTGGGAATACTTTTGCATATATTTTGATAAATTTATTGCAGATAGAGCCTTGTAGGCCTTGATAAAAAGGTGGATTTTACTTTGGTTGCAGGAGGAAGCTATTGGAAAAGTTATAGAGGGTGATGTGATACAGCAAATACATAAATCAAACTATGATACTATTAATGTTTTACATCATGCTTGAGTATTTTTCTACTCATCATGAGAAATCCATATGGCAACAATTAAAATTCAATGTTTAAATATCTATCACAATATCATGGTTCAAAAATCAAAAGGCATATAATGGTGTACTGTGATAAGTCACACGCCTGCTCACTTTCTCCTATTTTCCCGGTTCCAAACATCCGCCAACATGAGGTAAACACTTTTGTTATAAATGCTTGCATATGTCTCTTTATGTAAAAGTCAGAAAATACAAGTATTCTCATTTTCCCTCATTTTTATACAAATCATACATACAAATTCATCTACTTCTAAAAACTTAACATATCTTAGTATATTTCTAGATCAGTAATTAGACAGCTTCTTCATTGTTTTACACAATTATATAGTATTCAGCTTTATCCATATAACATAATCTATTTTTCCAGTCCTCTATTTAGAGGCATTTAATTTGTTTCTAAATATTTGCTGTAAAGAATGAATAATCCTGTACATATGTCAATCTGCAGTTGTGAAAACATAGCTTTAAAGTAAATATCTAAGACTGAAATAGTTAGATCAAAAGATTAATGTTTTTGTAATTTGGATGAATGTTGGTTAATTTTTTTTTTTTTTTTTTTTTTTTTTGAGATGGAGTTTTGCTCTTGTTGCCCAGGCTGGAGTGCAATGGCACGATCTCAGCTCACTGCACCCTCCTCTTCCCAGGTTCAAGTGATTCTCCTGCCTCAGCCTCCTGTGTAGCTCAGATTACAGGTGCCCACCACAATGCCCGGCTAATTTTCTGTATTTTTAGTAGAGATGGGATTTCACCATGTTGACCAGGCTGGTCTCAAACTCCTGACCTCAGGTGATCCACCCGCCTTGGCCTCCCAAAATGCTGGGATTATAGGCGTGAGCCACCATGCCCAGCCAGGTTAATTTTTTAAATGCTGTCTAACTTATTAGAATTAATATCTTGGGTTCTAGAATCAAACTGGCATGAGTTTAAATCTCAGCTCTGCCACTGCTGTCTTTGTAAAATGAGCAGGTTTTTTCTACCTCTCAGTGCCCAGCTAGAGCTGTTTCCATGCAGATGGGCTTTTAATCAAATATCAAGTAGATTGAGGGTATAAATAAATATTAAATGTGGAATACCCTGTTTCAAAAAAATGTGTCTATGAAATGAAAGAAGGAATGTAAAGAACTTAGGGTGATAGGTGAAGGGATAGTTGAAAGTAGGAGAGGCTTGAGCATGTTTAAATTCTGATGAACGTGATCATCAGTTGAGAAGAACTGGTTGGATATATGAAAGATGAGAAACATAAAAGTTACTAAGAAGCAAGAAGATAAAAGGAACTGAAGAAGAAATAAAAAGGCTTATTTGGCTGGGATGGTAGAAAGGGCACCCCTCTGCAGTAACTTAAGGGATCATGAAGGTCAAAGAAATGGGAGCTGTAGCTCCCATTCAGTGAATGAGTAGTTTTTATACAAGGGAGCTGAGAGCATCTCCATCCAGCTGCTTCTACTTTTTTCACTAAAGTAGAAGGCAGGATCTTCTGAGATTAAGGAGGCAAGATAGAGTGGAAGGGTTAGAAATTAGATCTTTGAAAAAAGTAGAAAAGGTTGATGTTGTTGCAGACAATGTGAAAGTGAGTTGGCCAAGGAAATGTACCATGATTGCCAGCCCGTGCTATGTTTCCATTTGAGATTAGTGATCATAAATTTACAGCGGAAACCCAGCTGTCCTTCTGAGGGACTTCAGCCAAGCTCAGTTACTTGTAGAATCTCTATGATTTGTTTGAGTTTCCAGATGAGCAGTAAGAGAGGTTATGGCTCTCCAAGTGCATTTTTAAAATAACAAACCACAGGATGTAAGCTAAATAAAAAATTAGCTGAAGAAAGCAATAGATTGAAAGAAAGTAGAAGGTAAATTAGGGGCAGAGCAGTCTAACAAGCAAACAGAAGCAGAAGTTTGTAATAACAGTTGTTTTCAATATTAAATAAGACATTGAAACAAAAACATATAAAACTACTCCAGCACATAGTTAGCGTTCAATAAATGTTAAATGGTGTCATCACCATGAATAGAATTGTATTCTATGTTTATCCAGTCTAACACTTCTCTTTGAGTCCAAAAAGTACAATAATCTTTAAATAGAGAAAGTAGAAGAGAGAGCCTTCAAGCTAGCTGTGTATTTCAAAGGGACAAAATCAACCTACTTTTAAAAATCTGGCAAGCCAATGGGGAGGGTCATTTTTGTTTTCCTTTTTTCTATTGCAAACACGTTTTACTAGCTTTGAGAGTAATAAAAGTACAAGACAAATGAAATTTGACCTGGTCAAATTGAGCATCTCAGTGATAGCCTTCAGAAACTGCCACAAATTGGATATCTGATTTAAAGAGGCATGATTCCTTTCCTTTTACCTCCTCATCTTTGATGAGATTGGGTTGTGAATTTTGACATAGGAAAGGTGGAAGAGGGTGAACACATCTAGATCATTTGATGTTGCCAGTACCAGAGCATATATTGATCAGCTTTGGTTATTCAATCCTATTGTAATGGCTGTTATTTCAATACAATTAGAGTATGAGACTGTAACAGCAAGCTGTTTTGCTTGGGGTTCTCTTGTTTACTGAAGAGCTATAAGAAGTGAGAGAACAAATATACAAAGCTGAATCCAAACAACCAAAATAGGCAACACAATGGAAATCGTGTAATTTATTATCTATATGAATGTGAAAACATAGAAGAGAGCAGAATTTTTAGTAGTCCTGGAGGAAAGATTAAAATAATTCAGAGTGATTTGTTGCAAGCTATGCGACAGGTCAGCACATTTGAATCTCATTTGAATTCAATAATGTTCATGAGAAGAGGTGTAAGCAGAATATCTTCAGTTAGCTGTGCATGTTTTGTACTGGCAATGTAAAAAATAAACCGCTTGCTGTACATAGATCTTAAATTGGGCCGCTGTTAGATGCTCTGTTTTCTAGTGGATGTATTTATCTTACCTGTTTATTCTTTTAATTTGGTTTGTTTTATGCTCTTTATTGTCTCTCCCCTATTAGACAGCATGGCCTACGTTGGCTTTGCTCCAGTTCCTAAAACAATGCCTGGAACATATTACATATTCACTAAATGTTAGCTGAATAAATAAATTAGTGAATAATAAATAGATGTCTAAATAGTGCTATCACTCAATAAATTTTATTTTTTTCAAGAAAACATTTGATTGAAACTATGTATAAAAATGTAATATTTTTGAATTGCTTTCATAGAACAGCAATTTAAGGAGATTTAGTGGGCAAATCCAAAATGTGTGGGGCAAAGGACTTGAACCGCTGTCAGTGATTTAAAGTGCCTGTTATCTGAGCTGGTGCCAACTAACACAGTGATATGTCATGGGGAATTTATGCTTTGCTTGATCAGAACATAGGGTGACATTTTGTTGAAAATGTCTTCAAGTAAAAGTATTTATAAGAAAAATACTCCAACTATATAGACAATTCTTTTATTAGTTGAACGTGAGCTGGGAAACCACCCAGGGTTTTTCTTTAAATATAGAACTGATGGCAAATTGTGATTTCAGTCACCATGATTATATAATATTCAAGACTCTTTAAGAGCATTACAAATAGTGTGGCTTAGAAAGAAGGGCCTTTTGATTATTATTTTTTCTCTCATAGTTTCTTTCTCCAGTGAGTTCTTGACTGTGTAAAACACTGCATCCTGAATTCCTAACATAATAAGCAAATATATTCCTAGATTTTGTTTTTTATTTGTTTATGAGTAGCATTTCTGTTACACACCGAGTGTGGTCCTTTCTGTATTATTCCTTTGAAAGACTTTGAATGATCCATACTGACTTGAAAAATTCAATAAAAATGAGAGAGGATTGCAGGATAATGGTTACCTTCCAAGCAGAGATGAAGCTTTTGATAGTTTCCTTTCTCTATTTAAGAATATTTTGTCCTTTATCCTTGTTCCTCACCTTCTGTTTGCAATGATCCTGTGTATAATGAGGTGTGGAATGCACAGTGTCAGAGAAGGGGCCAGATAAGAGAAAGAGCATAATCACATAGTGCTTGTCTAACACACAGTATTTCTCTCCATTACCCTTATCTTCTACACTGTACTTTGATTACTATACCTTTTGCAGTTTAAAATGAATACGTTAAGTATGCAGCTCTTATACAATAATAATACATTTTAACAGCAGGACTCACAGATGTGACTCTTTTATCCGTTCATGTAATTCCATGGATTAAAGAGCAAAACATTTTTTATTGAATTATCTATATACATTTCTAAATTATAAAAAAAAATTGATTTGTAGGGGCACTTGCCTTCATTATCTCATTTCAGACAACTTTCAAGGTCTAGCTCATACCATAGTTTACATGTATATTCTTTTTATTGTTCTAAATTATCTAATATTAGCTTCCTTCATGGTACTCCTAGAATTGCCCAAAGAGTAAATTTAATCACACTGCATCTGTTTTTAGGAAAATAATTTTCCCAGTAGATTTGGTATATTTCTAGGTTTGAAAAAATTCATGGAAAAGCTGAGATTTGAAAAATGACTAATCATATTTTTCATTTTTTATTGAAGTATAATTTGTATACAATTAAAAATCACGATTTTTAAGGTACAGTTCTATGAGGTTCAACAAATGATTATGTAAGCATCACCACCTCCAAATTTTCCATACCATTTTTTAGTCAACCTCTATTCCCACCTCCAAGTCTTGTTAATAGCTAATTATTTTTTTCTAGAATGTCATGTAAATGAAAGTATAAAATAAGTAGCATTTTGAATCTGGATTCTTTCATTTGTGATATATTTGAAATTTATCTATGTTATTGTATGTATCAGTAGTTCATTCCTTTTTAGTGCTGGGTAATATTCTATTGCATGGGTGTACCACAGTTGTTTTTTTTTTAATTAATTTTTGAGTTGAGGAATATCTGAATTGTTACTACCTTTTTAGAATTGCAAATAAGGCTGTTTAAAACATGTTTGTATAGGCTTTTATATAAATATAATTTTTTATTTCCCTTGTGTAAATGCCCAGGAGTGGGATTGCTAGAAAGCATGGTTGAGTATGTTTTACTTTACAAGAAAAAAGTACCAAATTGTTTTCCAGAGTAGCTGGACAATTTTGCATTTTCACCAGCAATGTATGAAAGTTTCTGGTGCTCTGACTTCTCACCAACAACTGGTATTGCTTCCTGTCTCTGTCTTTCTCTCTCTCTCTCTCTCTCTCTCTCTCTCATTTGTAATTTTTTTCCAACCTCCCACACTCTCAAGCAATCTTCCTGCCTCAGCCCCCTGAGTAGCTGGGACTACAAGTGCATGCTAAATTTTTTTTTTTTTGGAGAGAAGAAGTCTCATTATGCTGTCCAGGCCAGTCTTAAACTCTTGGGCTCAAACAATCCTCCTGCCTCAGCCTCCCAAAATGTTGGGATTACAGATATGAGCCACCATGCCAGGCTTCTTTTATTTCCTTTCTTTTCCTTTTTCCTTCCCTTTCCTCTCCTTTTCCTTCCTTCCCTCCCCCACTCCCTCCTTCTCTTTTTCCCTCCCTCCCTCCTTCCCTCCCTCTCCTTACATCCTTCCCTCCCTCCTTCCTTCCATCCATCCTTCTCTCTTTCTGTCTTCTTGTATTCCTGTCTTTCTCTCTCTCTAATAGATATGTAAGTGTATTATACTGTGGATTTTTTAAAAAATTAGTGTTTCCCTAATGACTGATGATATTAAGCAGCTATTCACATGTTTATTTGCATTTATATATGTTTTCCTTAGTGAAATGTCTGTTCAAATAGTTTGTCCCTTACTTGTTAAATATTATTACATTTTCATAATTCCTTATACATTTTGATAAGTAGTTTAACAAATTTGTGATTTGTGAATATTTTCTTCCAATCTCTGACTTGTCTTTTCATTCTTTTAACAATGTCTTTCAAAAGGTAAAACTTCTTAACTTTTTGTCTTTTTTTTTTCCCCTTGAGACAGAGTCTCACTATGTCACCCAGGCTGGAGAGCAGTGGTGCAATCTTGGCCCACTGCAACCGCTGCCTCCCAGGTTCAAATGATTCTCCTGCCTCAGCCTCCCAAGTAGCTGGAACTACAGGTGTGTGCCCCCACACCTGGCTAATTTTTGTATTTTTAGTAGAGATGGACTTTTGCCATGTTGGCCAGGCTGGTCTGGAACTCCTGACCTCAGGTGATCCACCTGCCTCAGCCTCCCAAAGTGCTGGGATCACAGGCATGAGCCACCGTGCCTGGCCTAAAGGTTCTTAATTTTGGTGAAGCCTAATTATCATCTTTTTAAAAATGTATTATGCTTCTGATTTTGTGTCTAGGAAATTTCTTAAAAGATTTTCTTCTATGTTTTCTCATAGGAACTTTATAGATTTACAGTTTACATTTGGCGTTAATTTTTATACAGGGTGCAAAATAAGGATCAAGGTTAATTTTCTGCATTTGTGTTCCCAACTATCCCAGTACCATTTGTTGAAAACACTATCATTTCTCCATTCATTTGCCTTCGTACCTTAGTGGAAAATTAATTGACTATAGTTGTGTGTGTCTATTTCTGGACTTTCAACATGCACCATTAATCCGTGTTTTTCATTTCTTCCATATCATATTGTCTTGATTGTTGTAACTTTATAGTAAGTCTTCAAATCAGATAACACAATTCATCCAACTTTGATCTTCATATTCACAATTGTTTTGTCTTTTCTAGTTACTTTGCATTACTGCATACATTTTAGAATCAATTTGTCAATTTCAGTTTTTAAAAATCACACTGGGATTTTAGTTAAATTTGTATTGAATTATGGGTCAGTTTGGAATAAAATGGCATCTTTTTAGCATTGGGTTTGATAATGTTTTATAAAGGAACATGGTATGCCTTTCCATTTATTAGGTCTTCTTTGATTGTTTTCAACAGTATTTTATGACTAATCGTTTTTATTTATCTCATTATGGCTTCTTGTTTCTACATTAAATTTTTCAAATACCAACATCCTTCTCAGAAATTCAAAATCATGCTTTCTAATATTGTTATACCATAACTACTTAAATTGTAATAGTAATTATGACAAATAATTATCAAAAGAATATGTAAGTAGACATTTCAATAATTGTAATCTTCTTGTTATTAAAACCTACAGAAATATTGATGGCTATCACTTTTCATCAGATTTCAATTTAAAACATCTTAAAGAGCTTTATACTTGAAAATAATCTGAGACTTACCACAGTCCCCCTGTTTCACAGATGAGGAAATTAAAGCCTGACTGAAATGACATCGCCAAATCCCCCCAGCTGGTTAGTAGAACCATAACTAAAACTTATGTCTCAATCCAAAGTTCTTTTCCTTAAATATTCCTTGAGTACTGATATATATGGGAAACCTAAACCTAATTTTCTATTTAAGAGTGAATTAAGTAGATTGTATAATCTACATATATCCCAAAGTCTTTTTTTCTTTCCTTCTTTCCTTTCTTTTTAGAACTCTATTACTTCTTTTTGATAATTCCTTAGTTTAATTGATTCCTTTGGGACTTACTGTAAAACCTTGATATAAAACATAGCTGACATAGGTGCACTATTAGGATCATTTAGAAAAGTCTATGAAGGTTAAATTGGACATGATAGTAAATATGTGTTCAGAATCCGATTTGGTGTATTCCCATTCTGTGGCCTACTGCAAACTATAGTATAACACCAGAGATAGTAATTTGCTGTTTATATTTGCAACAATTTATATTCTATCAAATTATATCAAAGGTGGTTTTATCAAATTATATTACAATTTATTTAATTATATCCTGAGCTGTTTCTGGAAAGCTGACTACAATCTTACATATGCTTTTCCTGTATCTTCCACAATAGCCATCACCAAACTCCTTCCCTTGAAGCACTAATATGATGAGATTTTAATGGTTATTTTATGGGGGGAAAATGGACTTGTTATCAATAAGTTTAAGAGATTTTATTTTAAAGAAAAAATACACAAAATCTATGTAAAGGACTTCTCTGAGCCTTTAACAGTCTAATAGTCTTGCAGGCTGCATACCATTCTAGAGTCTTGAGCTATGGCAGTAACAATACAAAAATTCCAAGACTTCATGGCATTTACACTCTAGTAAGAGGAGACAGACATGAAAAATAAACATGTGGGCTGGGCACAGTGGCTCATGCGTATAATCCCAGCACTTTGGGAGGCCAAAGTGGGTGGATCATGAGGTCAGGAGTTGGAGACCAGCCTGGCCAACATGGTGAAACCCTGTCTCTACTAAAAATACAAAAAATAGCTGGACATGGTGGCAGGCACCTGTAATCCCAGCTACTCAGGAGGCTGAGGCAGGAGAATCACTTGAACCTGGGAGGCGGAGGTTGCAGTGAGCCGAGACCGTGCCACTGCCCTCCAGCCGCGGCAACAGAGTGAGACTCCATCTCAAAATAAATAATAAATAAATAAATAAATAAATAAATAAAAACATCGGCCGGGTGTGGTGGCTTACACATGTAATCATAGCACTTTGGAAGGCCAAGTCAGAAAGATTACTTGAGCCCAGGAGTTTGATTCCAGCCTGGGCAACATAATGGACTCCATCTCTACACAATATACAAAAACTAGCTCAGTGTGGTGCACACTCATGCAGTCCCAGCTACTTGGGAGGCTGAGGTGAGAGGTTCCCTTGAGCCTCATAGGTTGAGGTTGCAGTGAGTAAGCCATGATAGCACCAGTGTCCGCCAGCCTGGGTGACAGAGTGAGACCATGTCTCAAAAATTAAAATTAAAAAATAAATATGAGAAGTGAAATATATGTTGAATTCAAAGGTGATAAATGCTACAGAAAAAGGAACACATAGAGTAGGGAAAAAGGACTGGGCAAGGATGGAGGAGAGCAGGATGTAAGCTTACATACTGTTAGTGAGAGCAAGCCTCATGGATAATGTAACCATTCATCAGGACTTGGGGGAAGTAGGGAAATTAGAATGAAAGAACATTCCAGGCAAAGCAAATAGCCCATGCAAAGGCTCTGAGGTAGGATTGTGCCTGGAGTATCTGAAAAATAACAAGAAGGTTATGTGGCTGAAGTGAGTGTGAAGGCCAGGTGAGGAGGTTAATAAGATAGGAGAAGTAGTTGGGGTTTGAGAGCTAATGGGATTTGATATTACTTGCCATTGCAAGGACTTTGGCTTTACTCTGAGTGAGATGGGGGAAAAAAAAAAAAGAGACTTTAAACAAAAGAGTAATATAGTCTAACTCTATTTTAGAAAGGTCAGTGAGGCTGCTCTTTGGAGAATAGACTAGGGGAGCAAGGGTGGAAACAGGAAGACTATTTAAGCGTAATACAGCATTCCAGGTAGTGAAGAAGGTGGTTCGGTCCAAAGTGGTAGCAGTAAAGGCAGTAACAAGTGGTCAGATATTGGATATTTTTAATGATAGAGGTGAATTGATTTCTTGATAGCTTGGATGTGGTGTGTGAAACCATGAAAAGCGTCATGATGATTCCAAATTCTATGACCTGAGAAACTAGAGAGTTCGAGTTGCCATTTACAATAATGGGGATACTGTGGGTGGAACAAGCTTTTGGAAAAAGACCAGGAGTTTGGTTTTAGACATGCTAAGATGGATGTCTGTTAGACATCCAAGTAGAGTTACTAAGAACACAGGTGGATATGAGAACCAATCTGTCTTGGTTCGACTCTTACCTTTGCAACTTCCTGGCCAGCTATGTTACTTTGAAAGTGCCATTTGGCTTCTTTGTGCTTCCAGTTCTAATTTTTCAAATTACATTATCATTTGATCAATTTGTTGTCAATAACACCATCTTGCTAACAAGTGTCTTAAATTGTTTAATTAATTGATATATAGAGATTAATTTATATATATCTATAGCTATCTACACATCTATAGGCCTATATGCCTATAGATAAATGTATGGTACAACAAATATGTTGATCACTGGATAGTTTTAGCTATTATCATTATTGTCATCACCAATTCAATTTGGAATCTGGGAGAGAGGGCTAGACTAGAGATTAAAAATTTAGAAGTCATCAGTTTATAGTTTTGTTTTTTTTTTTTTTTTTTGAGACAGAGTCTCGCACTCTCGCCCAGGCTGGATCTCCGCTCACTGCAACCTCCGCCTCCCAGGTTCAAGTGATTCACCTGCCTCAGCCTCCCAAGTAGCTGGGATTACAGGCACCCACTACCAAGCCCATCTAATTTTCTGTATTTGTAGTAAAGACAGGGTTTCACTATGTTGGCCAGGCTGGTCTTGAACTCCTGACCTTGTGATCCGCCTGCCTTAGCCTCCCAAAGTGCTGGGATTACAGGCGTGACCCACCATGTCCAGACTATAATTATTATTTAAAGCCATGATGCTGAATTATTTCACCATGGACACCAATGGATATAGATTTTATAAACAGTGTATGCTTCATTTTCCCAGCTTTCTTGGTCCCAGTATTTTTTTTCTTTTAAAGCACCGGTTTCTAGTGGTTTTTTTTGTTTGTTTGTTTTGTGTTCGAAAGTTTTTTTTGTTTTGTTTTGTTTTGTTTTTGGAGAAGAGTCTGGCTCTGTCATCCAGGCTGGAGTGCAGTGGCCCTATCTCAGCTCACTGCAAGCTCCGCCTCCTGGGTTCACTCCATTCTCCTGCCTCAGCCTCCCGAGTAGCTGGGACTACAGGTGGCTGCCACCACACCCAGCTAATTTTTTGTATTTTTACTAGAGACAGGTTTCATCATATTAGCCAGTATGGTGTTGATCTCCTGACCTTGTGATCCGCCTACCTCGGGCTCCCAAAGTGCTGGGATTACAGGCATGAGCCACTGCGCCCAGCCCCATTCTTCTAGTGTTTTATGAAAGTATCTTATAAAAGGTCCTCAGTGGATGCTCAGTGAAAAATTTTTGATTAGAAAATGACACATCAAAAAGTTAGGAAGAAATATAATCTTCCTTAGGAAACTAGTTAAGTGTCTCTTGGGAAAAGGACCAGAGGTCTATATATCAGGAGGCAAAGTCAGTGGATAGAAATCAGTGGACTCATATTGGAGGGTAGCTGCACTGTAGAAATGCCAGTTCTCTCTAGTTATTCCTGTCTGTCACAGATGCAGGCAGGATACAAAGCCACAGTTATACTGTCTCCAACAGATGGGAAACTATGCTAATGAGTTTTGGATTATCAACAATTACAAGCAGTTCTCTTATTGGTCACTGGCCAGATGCTTAAATTTTTGGGTGGGAGTGGGAGAGAATGAAAAGTAGCAGCTCCTTTATGCCGTCTTGATGGTGTTCTGAGCTGTTTCTTTCCTTGTCGAATCTTTTTCACCAGCCATTTCTAGAGTCTCCTGAGTTTTCCCGGGGCATAAGAAATCCTATTCTTTATTTATGGTGATATAACTGATCCATGGTAAGCAGGTCATAGCTTGAATCATTCTCTGGTCTTGGTAGATTGATTTGCAGTGGTCCTTTCATGGGCTCACATCTGTTCTCACTTGTGGCCAGATACTAGAATTAACAGAGGGTTGGCTCTGGCTAAGGGTTTGGCCATTGACCATGAACCAAATTGAAATTGACTGACTCCTATGAGGCTCAATATTCTTGTTAGAACTATGTTCAATCTAGTAGCATTCAGTGCTTAGTATAATACTGACTTTTTATGAAATCCAGGATTTTCCATAAGAGCACTTACCAAATTGGTAAGATAATTAACTCTATGATCTTTTCATGGATTTAATACAGATGAAAATTTTAAGGTATTATTAATTTTTCTTTTCTCTGCCACCATTTTACTAAGCACTTCCTAGATATTATTTCACTTAATTTTCAGAAAAGGCTAGACATTATCCCATTTACCTAATGAGGCAACTGAACACCTCAGAGGTGAACAGAATTTCAGAGGGTCACATAGCTAGGCAGAGAACACTATGGGATTGACATACTTCCAGGGTTATCCTATCTCAATCCCCTGATCTTTTTTCTATGCTTACAGCAACTCCTATAACCAGAAATTTTAGAGGTTGGAGACCCAGAGATATTGAACTTAGACAAGTTGGCATAATTAATTGCTGAGTTTTTTGATGACTTTTCTGTCACCTGCAGACGTGCTGTGAAGCATCTGTGGACAGCATTCTCCAATCAGATGTACTTTCCCACCTGGAGGTGTCTTGCTGGTGTGTTCATCTATCTGCTGTTAAACAGTCCCTATTTCCACAAGAGTCCTTGAGGCTTTTTTTCTTTGTCCATCTTGTTAGAAAGTCAATCTGTTCTGTCATGCAAAGAACAGTTAGGAAGGCTACAGATTTAAGTTTTAAGATCTTTCATCATTGATAACTTTGTGAAGCAACGTTTGGCTTTCATATATATGCATACACACATAGGCACACATGTAGGCATCTATATACATGTATTTCTAGTTATATATGCACACATATATGTATGTATGTATTTCATTATATAATATTTAGACATGTAGAAACAGCATCTATTTACTAATTAAATTAGTAATTTAGTAAATATATGTACTGTATAAATTTAAATTAGCAATTTAGTAAATATATGTACTATATATAGTTACTAAATAATTTATAATATATTATATGTTATATATAATTAATTATATTATATTTAATTATATATTAATTAATATAATTAATTATATTATATTTAATTATGTATTAATTAATATAATTAATTATATTTACTAAATAAACTATTTATAAATAAGTTATTTTTACATGTATGTTCATGTTACTACCATCCACATCAAGGTATAGAACATTTCTATCTTCCCCAGGGAGTTCTCTCATCCCTTTTCTATTCCAAAGCAAAACATGACCCTAAATCCCTACTCCTCCACATACACCTAAATAGATACTTGGGTTAAAGCTGCTGTCTGCGTTTTTGTGACAAGTCTTTGCGTGGACACAGGCCTCCATTTCTGTTGAAGATGTACCTGTGAGTAGAATCATTGGGTCATAGGGTCAGTCTTATATTTTCCAAAAGCTATTTGGAATGCTGTTCAGAGTGGAGGACAGCATGTCAAATTATTAAAAAGAAGTAAAAGCGTACTTATGATAGAGAAAGAGAAATTGGGGTTACTCAGTCTGAAGGATACAGCTAAGAGGTGATATTCTAATTCTCTTGAAGTATATGAAGGGTAATTTTAAGGAAGAAAGGAACACACTATCAATTTATACAAAGTACAAGATGAGAGAAAATGGGATTAAATTTCAACAAAGGAGTGCTTAGGCGGACTATTATCATAATTAACATAGAAATAGGTTACTGTCCCAAGGGTGTCTTCAAACATATAATGCTCTCTCCTTGGGTAAAAGGTAGATAAGTATCGAAGCAAACTTTCCTTGCTATCTCATGAGTCCTTTTTTTTTTTTTTTCTTCATTTGTCTTCTGGAAGATACAGTTTTTCTTTTGCTAAAACATCTTATGTCTAGGGTGACTATATATATTTTCTATTGTTGAAGCCAGAATACTTTAGTCCAGTACAAATGCTAAACTGCATGGTATGCCAGGACAAAGCCTTACGTATGCACACTAAGGTATGTGGTCATGCTTGTGCTATTTATAATTAACATTTCTTGCACAAACCAGTAACACCTGGACACATTTGACAAAAGTAAAGCTAGTGAAAAGTCTGCTCCTAGTGTGGCAGAATAGCTCCTATTAGACCAGCCTTTCTGAAGATAAAAAGTAAAAACCCTGGACAAAACGCAAAGAACAAGTAACTAAAAACACTGGACAGAGACTCAAGGCAGGCAGATTCTGGAGGAGAATAGAAAATGGGTTTGGTTGGATTTTTCATTTTCATGGCTTCTAGCCCAAGAATAGGCTATAGTGTGTACCTTTGCTGGGTGGCTAAAACTTCTGAATTCATCTTCCACCTTTGTTTGGGACAGAGACTTATAATCTCCATGTGGTTTCCTGCAAATAGGACACAGAGATCACTTTCATTTGCCCTAAATCACTGACAAATCCAGACCTTAGCTTCCCTGTTCATTTTTCTGTACCTGGCTACTGGCTGCTTTGTGTATCAATGGCATAAAAAGTCAAGACGTATTCATTCCCAGTATCAGGCTCAACCAGGATCACCATTAGCATATGTGACACCATTGCAAGAATTGGAAAATGCCACCCTCCTTGATAAAATAGCTTGCATGGAGAATTCTTGGCAAGCAAACTACAAAAAGATGTCTAGAGCCACTGCATAGCACACCTCTAGGGAATACCATTCTCATAGTGGTCTTTGTAAAGGACAGCTTCTGGAGTTATGTCAGGCAGAACCTGTTTATCTTTATGGTGTTGCCTTCAAGGGGCCTCTTCCTCCAAGAGATCACTGCTCTATGACGGAGCACATGGCTTTGTGAGCAGAGCGTGGCCTGGGTTTTAGCACAGCTTGCCCATTGTGCAGTGAATGATTCACACAGATATAAATGTCAGTCTTGGGTCAACTTGCTCTTTCATGGCTAAGAAGATTTTCTGTTTAATTTATATCCTTGTGCTTCTTTACCTATAAAGTACTGTTCTTGTACCACTATGGTCATTGGACTGAGATGAAGACTGTAACTCAGAACTTTCCTGATGTCAAAGTTAGACTTCAAGGGCATAACAATTTGAATACATACTCCAAAGGCTACATATGTGCAGATTTTTCATAGCACATGAATATCAAATATGAAATCTGAAATCAAATATCAAATCTAATGATCCAATCAGCAGTCATTATTTTGGGAAATGGCTTTATCTAAATTCCATTTGTGAAGAGCAGTTTTCTTTTGTGTAATTGATTTTCCATCTGTGCATGTTCTTTGCTAGGTAAGTTGTATTGTTGAACTTTCAAGGATAATCACTTTATTTTTGGTCATGAGAACCCATGACAGAGGCTCACTTTGGCCAGCCTTCCAAGAATGAACACTGTACTTGCTTGCTACTATTGCCAAACAAATTGTCACAAACTTAACACCTTAAAAGAACACAGATTGATCTCATACAGTTATGTAGGTCAGAAGTTTGGTAATGTTCTCACCAGGCTACACTCAAAGTATAGGCAACACTATGTTTCTTTCAGAGGTTCCATTTCCTGCTCATTTGAGTTGTTGGCAGAATTCAGTTCCTTGCAGTTACAGGACTGAAGTCCCTATTTTCTTGTTAGCTGTCAGCTGAGAATTGTTCTAGCTTCTGTAGGCCTCCACATTCCTTAGCTCATGCCTCCCTTCCTCTTTTCTCAAATTACATTTCACTGACTCACTCATCTTCCTTCCTCCTTTACTTTTAAGGATTTATGTAATTAGATTGGGCCTGCCTGGATAATCTAGTATAATTTCCCCATATCAAGGTCCTTAATCTTAAATAACATCAGCAAAATCCCCTTTGTCATATAATATAACATATTCACAGATTCCTAGAATTAGGATCTAAACATGTTTGGGGGGGAATTATTTTTGTTTATCACAGCTTTCAGACATTCTGCCTTAATTGCATTCTTAGATCGATTTATTTAGTCAACATTTAATAAATCTTCAGTTAACAACAAAGAATATAGAGATGAATAAAATATGACCCTACTTCTAGGTGTTTATCACTACAGAAACCAGACTGATGTTTACATATGCACACTGAACTTCCTATAATGTCAATTTACCTGGCTACCTCCTTAAAAATAAAGACAATGGCTTCAATCACTGAGTTCCCAATGTCAAGCTGTGTGAAATAAAATAACAAGTATTCAGCAAGTATTGCTGAATTCATTAATTCTCAAAGTCAGATGGGAGAATTCCCTTGCTTCCTTCACGGGATTTGCAACAAGGGTGTGGCTCACTTAGCTGCCATGCTCAAACCCCCTGAAGGAGGGGCAGCATGCAGGTCAGCAGGTGCTGGGGCCGGGGCAAGCGGTTTTGGGCTCTGGTCCCATGGCAGCGTCTAGGGGTGTGTTAAAATTAATGCTCTTTTAGCAATTGCCATCTGCAGATGACTAAGTGTTAACCAGCTCAGTGGAGAGTCAGGGTGACAGCCTTTTATACCCTCTTGGTACCCAGGTTTTTCTCCAGCATCCAGGAAGAATCATGTCATGGATTTGAAGGGTGCAGAGATTTTATTGAGTGATGGAGGTGGCTCTCAGTGGGATGGGGAGCTGGAAAGGGGATGGAGTGGGAATAGAATCTTCTGCTGGAGTTTGGCTGTCCCCAGCTGAACTCCTCTCCCACCGTCCCCAGCCGAACCCCTCTCGACGTTCAGATGCTTCTTCTCTTCTTTCCTTTTCTGCTGTACTGCTCTGCTCTTCTGCCAGTGGAGTTTGGGGTTTTGATGGGTATAAAATGGGGGGGTGTGGTGGGCCAGGGTGGTTTTAGACAAAGCAACATTTCAGTGAGAAAACAGGAGTAACTTGTTCTCATTTAGGGCTGTTGTTTTCAGGCTTGAAGGTGGGGCCTTTGCCCAGGAACTGCCCTCTTCTACCCAGTATTTTCCTGCCTCCTGTCCGTATCAGAAGTATTTTTAAAGCATCTATTAATGCCAATACTGTTCTAGATATTTGGTAAACACTAGTGAATAAAATCAACTATATATGTACCTACTCTCCTGGAGCTCATATTCTAGTGGGACACTTAATATCTTAGGGGGGTACTTTCATTCTATTGCTGAATGATTACATGAGCACATGAATGAATGAGGCTAAATAAATAAGTTGGTGAAAGAATATCAGAGATTTTGAATGCCTCATTAAGGTGTTTAAATTTTATTTTACAGGCAGTGAGGAACTGGGGATTGTTCTTATGCAGAAGTAAATTGATGAAATCTATTTTTAGAAACAGTTGATAGAGTAGAGAATGGATTTAGAGGTGAAGAATGGCTTGCCAAAGGCTTGAACCATGACAATGACAGTTGGAATACAGAGTAGGAAATAGACCCAAGAGATATTTATAATACTGATAACTGAGATGAAAAAAGGCTAGGAAAACTGGTGTGGTAAATCAGAGGCTGAAAACAAAGTCATACATTTATAATCATTTGAGTGTAGGTGATAGTCACTTCTCTTTAATTTAGACTAGCTTAATGAGAAACTTTTTTTCCTGTTAACATATTAAAAGGTACACACACAGAGACACCTCAAATTAAAACATTCTGCCATTTTCTATCACATTACTAACATTACCAATAATGTATTGAGCATCTGTAGAACATGTAGTATACTTCAACATTCAAACAGGGAATTTAGACAATTATTCTATTTGAAAGCAATAGGCTTTATGTGCAGAGCCATCAGAACGGAAAGCTTGACATGGGAAATTTAGCCGTTGAAATGCAACCAAGAACACATCAGAGGTGACCTACATAAAGAAACTTAGTACAAATGATTCCTCCTTTGGGGAATCTACTTTTGTTCTTTCTTGTTCAACTGAGGAGAGGGGAAAAATTCTGTCTATAAAAATGCTGAGAAAGAAACTAGGATGAAGAATTGTTTTAGAAGGCCCATTTGTACTGCATCTGTGAGAATTTCTTGTAGTTAGTTGTTAGAATTTATTCATTTCATCTGAATATGTTTCATCCTTAAATGGATTTTCAATGATAGCTCTTTTGAGACTGTCTGATCACTGTCCTGCATGTATGAAACCATTGATCAGGAAATTCTCCTGCAACAGAAAGGACTTGGTGGCATCCAGAAAGTCCAGTGGCATCTTTAAAATAGCAGCCTGTCTCCTGACCCCTCTATTGACAGTTTTTTTTTTCACATTTAACATAGAACAGTCATTGTACATCACAGCAAGAAAGGAAGCAACCACCCTTGCATTTATATTTGCTGAGATAAATACACAAACACAGACTCAGAGATATCAGCAAAATCCCAACATAGAAGTATAAATAAGAACCAACAATTCAAATGCATAAAATGTTTGTTTATATTATTGAGAGCTTAATGAGATGTTTGGGGTTTAACTAGCTTAACCAGCTGACTGGGAGTTTTAGGGTCCAAGAGTCAGTCACCAACAGTGTTATAACCAAATTAACTTTATTGCAGGATGTAAGGTTGGTAGGGTTTTACTATTTTCCATATAAAGGTATACAAACTCATACACACACATACACAGTTAAGAAATAAATATATGGAAAAGAAACCTAGCTTTTATTTTGAAAATTGTGAAACCATATCAGATAATTCCACATTTTCCGTAGGTCAGGTATACTCTATATATCCAGCACCTTGTGCAGTGGGCTACTAGAAAGACAATTCCACAAACTTTCAATCGTGAAATCTTAGAGCTGGAAAGGGGATTGTTCAATCTCCTCATCAAAAGAGTCATAGACTTTGGGAGGACAAGGCCAGTGGATCACGAAGTCAAGAGATTGAGATCATCCTGGCCAACATGGTGAAACCTCGTCTCTACTAAAATGCAAAAATTAGCTGGGCGTCGTGGTGCATTCCTGTAGTCCCAGCAACTCAGGAGATGGAGGTTGCAGTGAGCCGAGATGGAACCACTGTACTCCAGCCTGGTGACAGAGTGAGAATCCATCTCAGGAGAAAAAAACAAAAAGAGAGGCATAGAGAGTATCCAATAATTTTTTAATTTCATAGAGCTGGATAATTTCTGAGCTAGACTAAAACCCAAATATCTTGTTTTGAAGGGTATCTATTCAGTGTTCTTATATTTATTCATTTTTCAACTGGTGCTTTATGTTTATAAGAAAATATGAAAAGTCATACTTCAGTAATGTAAAGTCCAGAATGAAGGAGAATTCAGAAATACCTCTGTTGTTCTCCTTGTCTTTGTCTTATAATCTTTCTTTTTCTCTCTCTTCCCTCTACCCCCTGCCATTCTGACCATTATGCCATGGGCTGGGTAGTTTTATTCAAATATTCTGCATATCTAAGTTTTCCTCCTCCTGAATATCAAAACCCTTGGCCTTTTGCTTATCATGTGAAGAAATTATGAAAACTGGAGAGCCAATTTTTTAAAGAATTGAAGATACTTGAGGGAAAAGTCTTGTCTTTTAAAATTAAATAATATTTTATATTTCATCTATTACTTAATTATAATGCTTTGAGTAAGATACACCGCAAAAAAAAAAAAAAAGCAAAAGCGAACGACTAAAAAGCAGACAACTGCCTAAAACTGAAAGGTGAGGAAACTTGAAGTGTGAGGGTCAATTTTTTTCTTTCCTTAAAGCTTGTTGTTGCATTAATCATAAGGTTGTAATATTCCTGACAGGTTAGGAAGTGATAAAAACAAAAGAAAAACCCAAACTGATTGCACTAAGAAAATATTTATGCATCTTGTTTTTTTTTATTCCAAGCCTTCAACTTTCACTAGTTGCTAAAAAAAATTTTTTTAAAGACATAGTTCCTGAGAAAGTTGAGAATGACTGAAGAAATGACTGAAAAATTACAAGAAAAACTAAGGGAATTTTTAGTCCCACTGTAATGTGCTGAAAAAAACTTTGTTGGATTATTTGTTGCTATGATTCCCTGATCAAAAAGTTAAGAGCTAAATAGATTATAAGCTGCTTAAGGATCGGTCCCCTGTTTTATTTGATTTTGTTTCCTCTCAGGAATTTTACATAGATTTCTCAACAGTTATTGTTTTCTTAAACTGTTACTGGCCTATAGTTCAGCTGTAATAATTGCAAAGAACATGTATCTACTGTTCCTGCCAATGTTTCACTTGCCTTTAATAGTATAGACCAATTTCCCATAGACTGTATTCACCAGCAAACCAGTCAATGTCTTCGGATTCAAATACATAGTACTAAGCCATTAAATAAGCTTAACAATGCCAAAGAGCCATCAAGAATTACTCCCATGAATTTAAAGTTATGGGAAAGAATTTTACAAAGATGATTATCAAAATGTTTTTAGAAACTAAAACTTGAATTTATTACATAATTCTTTTTAACTTATATTGAGGTTTTAACCACAGTGTTATATTTCAAATTTTCACTGATTATTTATTCCAGAAATTATTACAATTAAAAGGAAAGGGGAATAAATATCTACTTCTTTCTCCACCTCTTTTTAAAGGGTAAAACAAAAACAGTGTTCGCGTATTCCAATTCACTTCTTAGTTTATTCCCATTCCCTTCCATGACAATAATCTTGGAAAAGTGTGATGAGTCTTGTTACTGAGTGGAGCTGCAAGGGATGGCTGGGGAGTACCTGGATCTTACAGTAATATACATATTGATTCATTTAATAAATTGGCACATATTAACTTTGAGGCCTATAGAAACTTTCTGAGTCTCTGTTACTCCACATGAAAAAAATAAAGGTTTTTTGAGGATGAATGATAAAACAAGTACAAGAATATCAATCATATTTTCTGGCATAAAGTTTTGCTTGCTACATATGAGTGTCCTTTCTCAGAGTTAGCTGATGGTACTCATTTCAAGGAAATGAGTGATATTACACATGGAAGAGTTCACTTTCTGTGATCATTTAAATATAGAGCTGCATATCATTTTCTACTCATACTATGTTGCAACGCTTTACCCAAGAGTTATTGGCAACGGAAACCAGCCTGTTTAAGATGAATGACACACCCATTTTATTTTCACTATCCCTGCTACTAGTTTCCCTATATTTCCAGAGAGCTAGCCACCTTGAATACAGAGTTCTTAAAGGCAGTGGACATTTTTATATACATTCTGTACAGTGGCTACTCTCATATTTTAAACAGAAAATACAGATTTCTCTCATGTAACGACTTGGTTAAAAATGGTAGCAGTTGGCAAGAGTTGTTAAGTGCTGTTTTTGTTTTGTTTTGTTTTGTTTTAAGACAAATGCCATATTTTAACCAAGTGATAAAACTTAATGTCACCTATAATTGGACCCAAATAATAGCATGTGCCTGCTGACATGATATATCAGAAAGGGCACAATATAACCTGTGTAGTAATTCTGCCAAATGAAGCTTATCTTAAATCTAATCACATGCACAAAAAAATTAGACAAACCCCCATTGAGGAAGAGCTTAGCTGGCTTGAACTGTTCAAGAATGTCAAGATCATGAAACTGAAAAAAATAAAAATAAAAATAAAAATGACTGGGTTTATTTTAGATTAAGGGAGATTAAAGAGACATGAAAACTAAATGATCCTTCATTAGAGGCTGGATTTTTTTAAAGCTGTAAAAGGACCATAAGAAACACTTTTGGGGACAATTGAGGAAATTTCCATAGGGACTGTATTGTAGATAATGCTACATTAATATCAATATTTTGGGGAATGAAAATAATATAATGGTTTTACAGGGGGCCGGGCGTGGTGGCTCACACCTGTAATCCCAGCACTTTGGGAGGCCTTGGAGGGAGGATCATAAGGTCAGGGGATCAAGACCATCCTGGCTAATATGGTGAAACCCCGTCTCTACTAAAAAATATAAAAAATTAGCCGGGCATCGTGGCAGGCGCCTGTAGTCCCAGCTACTTGGCAGGCTGAGGCAGAAGAATGGCATGAACCCGGGAGGCGGAGCTTGCAGTGAGCTGAGATTGTGCCACTGCACTCCAGCCTGGGTGACAGAGTGAGACTCCATCTCAAAAAAAAAAAAAAAGAAAAGAAAAAGAAAAAAAATAATATAATGGTTTTACAGGAGAATACCCTTGTTCCAAGAGATATACTATATAATCAAGAAGGGAAGTGTCATGTCTGCTCCTTGCTTTAAAAAGTTTCAGGAGAAATATGTGTATGTACATATAGATGCAACAAAATGTTAAAATTGGTGAATCTAGGTAAAGGAAAATAGGGACGTTTATAGTATAACCTTGCAACATTTTCAACAGGTTTCAAGTTTTCAAAATAAATGTTAGTCAATGAAACAAGTATCATTTTTATTTTCACATATTAATACTTTTCAAGATAAGAAAGAAAGTTAACTCAAGTAAGAAGACATGACAGAAGTATGGTTGAGAATGGTTTTGGTTTAAGGATCCACCTAGTTGCTCAACCAAAAACCACAATTGTCGTTCTTTTTTTTTTTTTTTTTTTCTTATTCTTACCCTGACATTCTATTCATCAACAATCCTGTCTCCTCTCCCTTGAAAACATATCTGAAATCTAATAAACTGCCTCCCTCTCCACAGCTGCCACCTGAGTCCAATCACCACCATCACAGTCACCCAGCAGCAGAGGTGACTCATGTCCTAGCTTGCACCCCAGTTTCCTAGATTCCTCTCTTCCCAAAAGCAGTCCTAGTAATCCTCTAAAACTTTAAGTTAAACTGTGCTCCCCACTCCTGCTAAAAACTCTCCAATGGCTTTTTATCTCACTTTTAAAAATATAATTCAAACTCCAACCTCTATGATCAGTCTTCTACCTTGATTTCTGACCTCTGCCTACTCTTCTGAGCTGTACCTTCCTCACCTCTCTGTTGCTCAACTATTTTAAGCTTCTTCCGGTTCAAGTTTCTCTGTCTCTGCCTGAAATATTCTTTCCTCTTCCGTCACATAGCTGATTCCTTCTAGTCTTTCACATCTCAGCTCAATGAGACATTCCCTGATGCTTGAATTTAAAGTAGTGCTCACTTTTTCACCCTCATATCACCTAGCTTTAAAATTTTCTGCATTACAGTTATTACCATTATTTTGCATTTTTTGATTCTTTATCTTCCTGAAACTTATAAAGTTTTAAGAGAACAGAGATATTGCTTGCTTTGTTCAATGCTCTGTCTCTAGCAACTAAAATGATACCTGCCACTATAGGTACTCAATAAATATTAAATGAATGAAGACAAATAAATAGTGGAGTTAGTCAGGAACCAGCCAAGAATATAGAATCTATGCCAATTATTTAAAGAAAAAACTTATTGCAGGGAATTTGCTACCCAGGTGGTGTTAAGAACTGAGAAGCCAAACAGGGCACTGGGAAGCCACTGAAAAATTATCAACAGCAGGAATATCAGCATAGGGCTGATGGCAAATGGAAAAGGTTGTGCTGCTGGAGTCTCAAACCAGAGTCCACTGGTAGAAGCACAAACTACAGAGAAGCTTCCTTCTAATGGAGAAGTCTCCAAAAGCAGAGAAGGAGGAAATAACCTACATTTTCCATCTTCCTGCTTCTAGTTTTCAGCCAGATGGAGCCAAGGCAGAAGCCCACTGGTGGAACCTAGGCAGATGCCAGCAGACACAGAAACCTGGGAAACAGGCTGCACATTGAGTCATCCTCTAATGGAAGATGGGATGGCAAGGAATGGACACAAGGGAGAACTGACGAGGGATCTACACGTGTAGGAACTTTTCTCTGGATGAGAAAAATGTAAATCCATTCAGAAACATTTCTTCTCTATCAGTGAAGCTCTACTTATATTTAGGGGAATAGAAACATTTGAGGGTATCTAAAATATCTGGTAATAGAGGAAATTTAATATATTATTTGGTGTGCTTTTTACCCAGTGAACAGTTGAACCCATTATTTACAACTTAGCATTACTTTAGCTGAAAAGGTATCTGGAGATTAAGAAAAATTATACTGATCATAATATTAAAAATGTAACTTATTTTTTATTTTGTGTTTCCAGAGTTAGAGGATACCCTGTAGTGTTCTAGCCCACCCATATCTTTCTAATTTTTAAGTGTGATCACCATTAGAACATGAACATTACCAAATGGGGATTAGGCTTATTCATATGTTTCATTTATTTTAACCTACTTGAACACTGAACTTTCTTTCCTTATAATTTGCAAAGACAAAGTCAACATCTGGAGGAGGCCATGCTGATCCCATCTATGCCATAACCTTTACACTGCTGGCTCAACTGTGAGATTGCAAAGGGATCAGTGAACTAGATCGCAGACCCCCAGCTCCTTCTGGCCATTTCTCACCTGCTCTCTTCTTCCTGCCCTTCATCTGCCCACCTGTCCCTCTATTTTTCTCTCTGCTGCTTTCAGACCACAAAGAAAATTGAGTGCAGTGTCACCTTATGATATGGATTGGATGTTTGTCCTCTCCAAACCTCATAATGAAATGTGACCTCCAGTGTTTTGAGGTTGGCCTGGTGGGAGGTATTGGATGATGAGGGTGGATCCATTATGAATGGCTTAGTGCTATTCCCTTGGTGATGAGTGAATTCATCAGTTAATTCACAAGAGATCTGGTTGTTTAAGAGTCTAGGACATCCCCCTTCTTTCTCTCTTTCTCCTGTTTTTACCATGTAATGTGTTTACTCCTCCTTCCCCGTGCTCCATAATTGGAAGCTTCCTGAGGCCTTCACCAGAAGGAGATGCAGCACTATTCTTGGTGTACAGCCCACAGCACTATGAGCCAATTAAGCCTCCTTTCTTTATAAATTACTCCACCTTAGGTATTTCTTTATAGTAATGCAAAAATAGACTAATAGACATCTTACCTACTCATGCCACTGTTTCAGAAGCCACCCCCGTTCCACTTAAATATCATACATGATGGAAAACAAAACAATACACAAGGTAGAAAACATCCTAGATAGCAGCTCCTGAGGGAAGGTACACTTCTACAAAATAAAAATCAATGAGTTTATATTTTGGTAGCCTGTGATGTTATACAGAATAGACAGAGATTCTACTTAGGATTCCAATTCCCTTAGGCCCATTAAGTAGGGCAGATGGACATTAGAAGAGATGCCTTCAAAAGTGGACATTAATGTACTCTTAAAAGTAATGGGTCTGACCTATAAATCATGGGAGGAATGTAGTACAAAATAGTGAATGAAATATTTATACGTTCCATTGAAGCTTCGTGTATATTCTAGAGGGAGAAGTCCCAGAGAGATGGGTCTTCCCCTTTGTTCTGAATCTATTTTCCAATTGCTCTGACACAGCTGTTGGCTTCACAGTCATTCTGAAGTTGATTAGATCAGAAAGCAGAGGCCTGCCTGCCCAGCATGACCAATGAAAAACATAAAGTTTGTCGCTGTTTCAAGCCTGGAGCATGTATTTTGAAGTTGTTTTGGTGTGCATGGGCCTTCGAAGTGGTTCTTTAAATTTCAGTGCTGCTGCGTTTGTACATCATCTGTGTCCCAAACAGTGCAGCAAAATGTGCAGTGCATAGACTTGCATAAAATCTACCAATCACATTTGGAAATGGCTGTCAGATTTATGGAGCATGGCTGTAATTACATTCACAGAAATGCTCAGTTGAAAGCAGTAACGAAGGCTTATTACTTTTGTTTTGTTTGTTTTAATAAAACAAAACACTTGAGTTTAAGGAAATAAATTGTTACCTATGGAGAAATCTTTTGACTTGTTGTTGGAATGATTTAGTGTTTCTAAAACATGTGCTGTAGGTGAGCCTAAATGCAGATTCGTTTTTGTCTGAAGGTCAGAAAGGTTTGTAACAACTGCTAACAGTAATATGAGATATTATGCTAACTGCTTTTCAACAATTATTTCATTTAATCTTCAAAATTAAAAGGCAAGGAGGGAGTATGATTTTCATTCTCCACTTACAGAATCCCTCCTCCCTACCAGCCGAGTCTGTCCTTCACCGTATTCTGATCCCAGGTCCCTCTAAGCACAAAGTCATATAGATAGGGGAGCCTTTTAGTGAAGCCCTATCCTCCTTCGAAAAGAATTCTCCTAAGTGAATACTGGCCTCTAGGCCCCTGTGACTATGGGCACAACCTGGGATGCTTTGGGGCTTCATCGATGGGAAACTTGAGTGGCACTTTGCCAGCAACAGCAACACTTCCACTTGCCTTTCTCGTTTAGTTGCCAACTTGGCTCCTTGAAAGCCTTATGAGCTGGGTACGGTGGCTCATGCCTATAATCCCAGAGCTTTGGGAGGCCAAGTCGGGCAGATCACCTGAGGTCGGGAGTTCGAGACCAGCCTGACCAATATGGAGAAACCCCGTCTCTACTAAAAAATATACAAAATTAGCCAGGCATGGTGGCACACGCCTGTAATCCCAGCTACTCGGGAGGCTGAGGCAGGAGAATCGCTTGAACCCAGGAGGCGGAGGTTGTGGTGAGCCAAGATCGTGCCATTGCACTCCAGCCTGGGCAACAAGAGTGAAACTCTGTCTATAAAAAGAAAAAAAAAAAAGCCTGATGTTGCCAAAGTTACCTAGTCTCTAAATATAGGATCCAGTACCAACAACATTTTAACTATGTCATCGGGAGTGGTCAGCTGAATTATTGAGTCATACAATTTTAGAGTTGGTATGACCTTAAATTTCATGTGGTCTGCACCCCTCCATCTTCAGCTGAGGAGGCTGGCCTTCAAGGAGTTGGGGGGATTTTACTAAGCCATATAAGTGGGGAGGGTAGTCTGGAATAAGAAACAACATATATTCACTCCCAGTTCTGAACTTTTCCTTATACTGTATTGCCAGAACACACCATGAAATTTCGCTCTGCAATAGATAAGAGTTTCTTCTTGATACTATATTTTACTATGTTGATACTATATTATGGAAACAATAAATATATATACATAATAAGTTTTAATTTATTAATCTTTACAGAAAAGAGCTGGCTTTTCATTTATCATTTTAAACTTTATACTTGAAAATTCACTTTTTTCTTTTTTTTTGAGGCAGAATCTCACTCTGTTGCCCAGGCTGGAGTGCAGTGGCGCAATCTTGGCTCACTGCAACCTCCACCTCCCAGGTTCAAGTGATTCTTCTGCCTCAGCCTCTCGAATAGCTGGGATTACAGGCACCCGCCACCACACCTGGCTAATTTTTGCACTTTTAGAGTGCAAAAATTAGTAGAGACAGGGTTTTTCCATGTTAGCCAGGCTGATCTCAAACTCCTTACCTCAGGTCATCTGCCCACCTTGGCCTCCCAAAGTGCTGGGATTACAGGCGTGAACCCCCATACCTGGCTGAAAATTCTTTATTATCTCCCTTCAAAGAGACAAACAGAAAATGAAATTGTTGTCTTAGAATATCTTACAATAAAGATTAGCTTACAGAAAACCAAGACTGGTCATGAGGTTTTCTTTCTCTACTCTTTCACATGTTATATGTTTTGTAGGAATTTTGGCCAAGAATCTAGAGGCTAAATCTGTATACATGGTTTTAAAAAACTGATATAACTGCACCAAAAACTGGAGAGAGGGCAGTGGGGACATCACATCCTAGATATTGACATTTCAAATGGAGATACTTTCTTTACAAGTGTAGATTCCTAACCTTTAATGCATTCTGAGAATTTGACATGGATTTGTTTTATAGCTCTCAAAGTATTCAATTTAGAACAACAACAAAAATTGCATTAGAAAACATACTATGCTGGGCCCGGCGAAGTGGCTCACACTTGTAATCCCAGCACTTTGGGAGGCCAGGTGGGCAGATCACCTGAGGTCAGGAGTTTGAAACCAGCTTGGCCACCATGGTAAAACCCCATCTCTACTAAAGAAAAAAAAAAAAAAGAAAGAAAATTAGCCGGGTGTGTTAGTGCATGCCTGTAGTCCTAGCTACCTGGGAGGCTGAGACAGGAGATTGCAGTGAGCTAAGAACACTCCACTGCACTCCAGCCTGGGCAACAGAGCTAGACTCCATCACAAAAAAAAAAAAATGTACATATACACACACACACACACACACACACACACACACACACACACACATATACACACATACACACGCTGTTCTTTTTTCTCTGGGAATGCTTAGAGAGACTATACCTTACACGTGTTTTATGAAATAAAATCCTGCTGACTGAGTATGATGGTATGTAAGAGCCCTTTTCATGTCCCAGGAGAAATAATAGGACAAGTATGTACTTGCCCGAATGTATGTGGCTATTGTATTATTTTCATTTTTGAAAAACTGGCTATTAAAATTGTTTTCTACATTAAAAAAAGATTGTTTCAGATAAGTGATATATCTAAAGCACTTTAAAAAATGCTGCTCTTACTGTGTTTCAAAATAGTTAAAGTGGGTTTTGGGAAAAGCAATGAGTAGCTTCAAGGGACTGAATTCTGAAGAAGGAGCCTGAATACCAAATATCACACAAACTAAATTTAGCCTTCTGATGCCATTCTCTGGAGATGAAATTTGGAGAACTGAATGGAGAGGGAGAGTGTAGAACATTTCCTCCAATTTGTAATATTGGATCAGGCCCATTTTAAACTGTGCTAATTTATTCTTCATTGAACCATGGAGATTAATTAATCCTTTGTTTTGATGGATTAATGAGTAATCAATATGCCAAAAGAGGGGAAAGAGAATGATTTCTTCTCAAGGAACAAAGCATTCAGGTAGCCAAGTCATTTTATCTTTCGTGTTTACAAAGCACACTACAACCCAGATGAAATGTGTGCCGTTCAAGGAGATTTGGACTTTTTTTTTTTAAGCTTAGGTATCATGAAGGAGCTTCTCTGAGAGAGACAGATTTGATGTGAGGGATTGCAGGGGAGAACTTGGAGCTCTCAGTGGCTTAAAATCTAATTGAGATATGTTGAAAATATCACAGCACTTTAGGGACCTGTACTTGGTCTACAGAATACTATGGACCTTCTAGATTTCCCTGGGTTAGGAGCTAGCCTGCCAAGAATTTCTCAGAAACCTTGGTCTCCTTTTTGCCTATCTAGTCTAAGCAGATTTGCATGCAGTTCAGGGGTGGGATGACATGGGTTAAGATGGGTGGAGGGCATGTCTGTAAGAGATGCTCCTGTTACCTGTGAGAATCATCCTGATACTATTCAGTGTCTGCTGCCACCATATTAATTCCCTTAATATGGTATCAGGCAGATTAACAACAGATACCAGGACATACCCTGTGGAATAATCTTTGTTAGTTTTGTAGGCATTCATCTGTACTCAGAAGCTCTGGGACAGTATTTTAAAATCCTACCCTAACTTAATTAACAACTTGACAGTCATCTTAATACTTATGTTTCTAACCTGAAGGGTAAAGATAATAACTGTTAATATGTTTGTTTTTAGTTAGAGGGAGGAGCTTATGTTACAAAACACATAAAAAAATATCAAAGTGGCATAAAGGGGTAGCTGAAATTTTCTGACAAGTGTAATATATTTCCATAAAATTGTTAAATTAAGATATGTAATCAATTGCCATCTGAACTGGCAAGTGATCCTAAACATCAAACATATATGTTTATGAATAATCATAACATTTATCTCTTCAAATAAAATAGAGACTGCTCTCTTTGGTTGCCTTTTGTTTAGGCCATTCTACTTTAGAATAGGAAGTCAAAATCCATCATTTAAAATTTTTTTAATTATTGGTTTTTAAATTTAAGAGTCACTGTGTTTCCAGCCCTGCGGTGGCAGGCAACAGACACTATTCCTAGCTAATAGCAATAACAGCAGATTTTTGAAGTAATATGTGGCTGTCAAAAGACAAGGTGAATTTGAGAGACCAAGGAACAGGAATCAGTGAAGACTATCTTCAAGGCATCAGAGTGCTGATGAAGACATGCCAGTTATTTTTTGTTTTGAGCTCATGTAAAACATACATTTTCAGGAAATGAATCTGTTTGGTTCAGCTAAATCAGGGTCAGGTGCCCAATACTTGTGTGGGTAGGAGACTATCTTTAATACACGTTCAGAATTATAGAAAGATAGTTTCTCGGGGGAGAATTAGTATGCAAACAAAAAAGTAAAAGAGACACAGGGCAGGCAAAATACAAATGTCCATTATAGTAACTAAACTAATCCCATCAGTTTTTCATATTTTGTCTTCAGAAGCATGAGAAATAGTCACTCATACTAATCACATCACCTTGAGCAATGATAAAAGAATAAACTTAGATTAAATCTTAGTGTTGATTAAAGTACAATGCAGCCAGTACTTTAAAAAGAAATATTAATTGATGGTGACAAGGTAGTAAAGTGGAAGTAAATTAATATTTGGAGAGAGCGAAGTACTATGCAAATTGCTTTACAGGAGCCTCTCATTTAATATTCGTGATGATGATGGGGGAAGACATTCTTAAACTCATCTCACTGATAGGGAAACTGAGGATCAGAGCGATTAAGCAACTTTTTCAAGGTCACATACTTAATGACATACAAATATAGTGATGCAGTACAAGTCTTGAATTACTGGAATACAAATTTGAAGGAAAACACAGAATTGTTTGTCTTGCTGCTATGATGTTGCAGTTGTCATGGATAGTTACTACATAACTCCCCTCTGTTGGATCATAATGTTATCTTGAGACCTAATCAACTGTAAGCATCTCTTTTCCTGCCAATATCTTTATGATTGTGAATATTATCACTAAATGGTATATTCTCTTTTCCTGCTGAAAATCTCAGTTGTCAGTTTTTATTTACAACCAGCCATGCTGTTTTTAATCCGTTTGTCTAAGGTCAGGTTTCCTAGAAGCAGAGGTTGATACTGGGATTCAGGTGTATGTGATTTATCACAGAGTGCTTTTCAGGAAAAAAAGCGAACAAAATACTTTAAAGGAAGCAAGAGAAGGGAGAAGAGTCAAGTAAGGATGTGCGCTCAGGTAAAAACAAGGGGCCTGGTCCTGATCCACACAAGGCATTCTAAAGTACACCATCCTATAAGATATTTCTCCCTTGAAAGGGGGGGAACCAGGCCATATATTGGATGAGGGTAATTATCCTGAGTAGGGCAACTGTTAGCCTTTTATTGGAGGGTATTCACAGAAATTGGCAGACGGGCATACCAGATCCATAAAACGAAGCCAGGCCAGTCATGAACACAGTCTATTCTCATTTTACGTTCAGGAGCTGAATCTTTGCTTGGCATATCCCCTCTGGTCAAACAAAGGTTAGATCTCACTTAAAGAAAAGTTTCTTTTCTTTTTTTAAAAAAAAAAAAAAAAAAAGAATCTCCCTCTGTCACGCAGGCTGGAGTGCAGTGGTGTGATCTCTGCTCACTGCAACCTCCCCCTCCCAAGTTCAAACAATTCTTGTGCCTCAGACTCCAGAGTAGCTGGAATTACAGGAGTGAGTCACCATGCCTGGCTAATTTTTGTATTTTTAGTAGAGATGAGGTTTCACCATGTTGTTCAGGCTGGTCTCGAACTGTTGACCTCAAGTGATCCACCTGCCTTGGCCTCCCAAAGTGCTGAGATTACAGGCGTGAGCCACCACACCCGGTGCCAAGTAAAGTTTCTACTCCTCAGGAAACCTACTTATTAATAGGAAGATTCACCTCACAACTGAGCCTGCTAATTCCTGGCAGTGGGGACATGTGACCTTGAATACCTAAGGCAAGGCTTAGTCATTGGCTGGATTTAAGCCTGCTTCCATAGCTGTAATGATACAGAGGGCTCATCCTAAAAGACAATAAAGTAGAATCGATGCCATATAACCATGATTCACCACTGTAGTTCATGCACCTGTGGTCTAAGGATGAAATCTTATAAGGGAAAATAGTACCTTTTTTGTTTGTTTTCTTAGCTTGCAGAGCTAGCCTAAATGTTCATATCTTACTTTTGTGGTTTGAGTAGATAGCTTTTGTTTATGTCCCTATTCTCCTTTTCCTTATCTGCTTATCTTGAATTTTGTGAACTGATACACTTTTGTGGTTTAACCAGCATCAGGCTATTTAATATTATTTGAGTGTGCTAACACTGAGGTGTTTTTATGCATGGGGATTTTTAAAGTGGTGTAAATAGGTATTTTCTATTTTCTTCTCCCTTGCATCCAAATGATAACTATTTGCATTTATTTTCTTTTTACCAACCATATTTTTCAGTCTTTCCTCCCCTACCCACCTTTTTCTTTCCCCAGACCACTATCTTAGTTCACAACCTTTTCACTTCTTCCCTGGGATATTAGAATAGATTGCTATGTGCTTGTCAAAAGTGTAATGGTGATTTACTGAGAAATCAGAGGGTGTGAATCCCTTTAATGTAAGTAAAACAGGCAAGATATCAACTGCATAGAGATGGCTTTACAAAGCTGGAGATTCAGAAACATTCACCCCACTGGAGAGACAAATGTCTCTTGACTTCACAGAGGGACCCTGTCATCGGTAATTGGGTCTGATGGATGCATGAGCCCTTCACTTTCTCAAGAATGTATTCTTACCTTTCTCACATGTTTTCCACCCTCTAGCCTCTCTTGAATGTCTTAAAGAGTCTTACCTACTAAGTGCTTACTTACTAACTTACTTACTTAGAGAGTCTTACCTACTACTGCTTACCTACTAAGTGCAAGAAATGAAACAAGTCCGATATGCATCTGCTTATGATAAGAGTTAATTTTAGATTAATTCTTCAGGATCCTGTATCTCCTTAACACCCTGAGTTTTTGGCCCTTCCACCCCATTCTGGCGTCTTTTAACTGCTCTCCCTCCCTGCAGGTTCTACTCCATTCCTGCACATTCTCCACACTTTCACTAGAATCCTGTTTACTAGATCCAATTTTTCTATATCTCTATGTTTTGAGTTTTTCATTGTGTATGCTTTACACAAAGTTAAACAACTAATTAAAATTAAATGAAACAAATTGAATTATGTCATTTTTCTGCTTGTGTTTTCTAGGTCTCCATCATGTAATGATCATGAATTATATATATGTAAATGTATGTATGGTGTGTGTATCTCCTCATCTTGTGCCAATTTACGTCTTATACCCGGCACACCAAACTACTTGCAGATTTCTGAACACACCATGCTTTCTCAAATCTGAGTGTTAACACATGGCATTTTTTTTTTCATTAAGCTTTCCCTGCCTTGTCTACTTGAGCAAATCTCAGGCAGCTTCATGTCCCCATGATTAACTCAAATCTTACCTCTTCAATGAAGCTTTTGCTGAATTCTCAGAAAGTGTTAGTTATTCACTTTTCCCTGTACTTCTATCGCACTTTTTCATATGTGCATTTTAATAATTTGTAATTGTCTCTTTGCATGTCTGTTTCTCCTCTGAGCCCCTAAGGGCAGCGTATAACTCCATAGATATGGTTCCCCAAGGTTCATCTGGTTGTTGTTTTCACATGATTGTGCTAGCCAAACACATTGTGGAAACCAGTGAAAACATAAATACCATGCCCAGCGGAAATCTGAGGAAACATGTGAGGTGGGATTGCCTATAAGCAGAGTCAGAGATGGTGGTTCTTGTATAATTGATTTATTGAGGGAATGTTCTCAGGAGAAACCTGTGAGGAAGTGAGGGAAGCCAAGTATAATAGGGGAAAGAGTTCGCCAAAGAAGTGGTTTCAGAATTCTAGCTTCAGCCTGGTCCCTGGGGGAGCTCTGGAACATAAGCATTGCCTGCCTTTAGGCAAAGTAGTTGGGCTTTTATACTTCCTGGTTAGGAAAGTGGTCCTGCAGTGGAGGATATAGGATGCGGTGGGGTGTTATAACCTCCCAGGCAACTCTCAGTGGGGTGGTTCCGGTGAGCTAGAAGCAAGTCTCCAGAAAAGATGGAAGGAAGAGAACATGGGCTTGTTAAAGGAGTTCTGGCAGGGGCAGAGACAGAATTTGCTACACATACCCAAATATTCTCTATATACGTTAGGGTGGTGCCAAAGTCATTGCAGTCTTTGCTGTTACTTTTAATAGAAAAAAAGCTCAATGACTTTTGAACCAACCTAATGTAAAAAAAAGGCAACAGGTGTCATTTATTGAGCACTCACTTTTTACCAAGCACTGTACTAAGTGCCTTACATGCATGAGCTTGGGCCCTTCAGTAGTCTGTCCCGGAGTGTGTTTAACCACTTTTGGATGTTTCAGTACAACGTCAGGTGCTTCAGTGTAACATTATAAAACAAATCCAGGCCTTCACCCAGGGAAACAATGCCTATTCCTGCATTTTGTTGAATTCGGGGAATGCTGATTGCAAGATACATCATTAGTTTATGTTCTACTAGGAAGGAAAACAAAAAGCTTCCTACCAAACCGTAGTGTAGTGCTTTTATGTTGTCCGCTGTGTGACAAACCTGCTTTCAGATAAATTGAAACATAGGGAAAAAATGTGCATGAAATTTGGAAATTTATAAATATTGATGACCAAATAACAAGTAGGAAGTTTATGTTTAGATTTATACATTTTTAGATCATTGATTAATATCTTTGAAATTAATTCTAAAAAGGGTTAAAGTGATTATTATTTTAAAAATAATGGAATATATACAAGTGCTTGTGATAATTTGATGTGCTACTAAGTCAATCACAGGGATAGACTTTTGATAGATTCTGATATATTTTCTGAAACATATTTAGTCCAAGACAACTGTATGGTGTTCTCACACACAATTATTATGTGCCGTATCTGAGAAGAGGTTATTAACTCTATTTATCAATAGTTTGTCAATTAGTATTATGATTTATTAGAATGGCATATAATATATTGGAAATAGTGTCTTGTCACATTTCAAAAAGTAAAAACCGAAGAATAAGGCCACCAATTTGATAAAAACAATATTTTTGGGTTAGTGTAATGGGTTATTCTATTGCAGATTGGTGTTTTCCTAATTTTTCAATATTAATGTGAACATTATAATATTCATTATAATATTAGTGTGAACACTGTAAATATTAACAATGAAACATTTTTAA
Source organism: Homo sapiens (assembly GCF_000001405.40). Taxonomy (NCBI): domain Eukaryota; kingdom Metazoa; phylum Chordata; class Mammalia; order Primates; family Hominidae; genus Homo; species Homo sapiens. Next base: position 29,259,610 of record NC_000003.12, read on the forward strand.
TGAATGTTCTTTGAGCAACAGTCAAATGAAACAGCCATACTGGTTATGCTGAAGTGAGTTAATTGAAATGTGAGAGATTTCTTTCTTTATTCTATGTTAAAAAGTGCTTATTGCCTTAGCCAGCTAGTTGCTATTACCAATATTAAAAGCTACATAAATTATACAAAGCTATCCACAGAGGCTAGCAAAAAAATTACCGCCCCTGCTGAGGACAAAATGATGTCTTTGTTTGAATTGCCAGATATGAAGTAACAGCAAGAGATAAATTATTTTCTGGGCCATTATTAAAGGATTAAAGGTGGGTCCCAAATCTCTGTTGACCAGATTCATTTTCTTCTGTGTGGTTGGTTTGTCTTTGCTCTGTTTGGAGTTATTATAGAGGAAATTGCTGCATCGTTAAATAAAGCTAAGAGTTGCAAAGAAAACATGTCTCACTTATTGTTTGTATTTGTTGCTTTGGTTTTATGTAGCATCGTCAGAGTCAGCTTCGACATATTTTACAAATAATCAACATTTTAAATTGCTTAATGCCTCGTTGATCTAAAAAAATCCTTGAAAGCAGGTTTAAAGATAGGGTTCAAATTCATTTATAATCACTAACATTTTTAGAACTGAAAGTCTAAGTCTTCAGAATTGGTCCTCCCTTGTGTGGGCATAGGAGGATTGGCAACACAGAAAAAATTTTCATCATGTAGTTTTGCCCTTAGATATAAGCTTCAATTTTTCTCCTGTCTAAGAAACAATATCTCAAAAGAAAGGCAAAAGGATAACCTTTTAAGAGAATGTGACAGCATCTCTCTGCTGGACCATTTGACTTGGCCCATGATGAAATTGTATCATAGAAAAATTGAATAGCTTCAGATGTTATGAAACTGGGTCATCTCCCACCATCATGATTGATCAGAAACTACACCAAAATCAGTGGGAGTGGGAAAAACCCATGGAAATAACTGCAGAGTTTAGATATGTTTTATTGGTGTTTGATTCAAGGATAGTTTAAACAGATTTTCTTTAGTTGTTCTTTCGTATGAATACAGAAGAAATTTAGTTTATTTTCCAGGCTAAGAATAAAAGCAATGACTTGAGCACATGTGATAAGTTTTTTTTTTCCTTTTATTCATTTTCTAGTTTTAATATTAATAAGGAAAATACAGATAGTTTATAGAAGAAAATTAAAATCACATTTATTTATACTACCCTGTGATTCATTTATTTTTTAGCGTGTACTATGTGCCAGACATTGTTCTAGGAACTGAGGTTATAGCAGTAAGTACAACAGACATTCCCACCCTCATGGAGCTGATGATCCTAGAGGAGGAGATAGACAATTTTTAAAAAGTAAATGATATAATGTATTAAAAGGTGATAAGAACTATCGAGAAAAATAAAGTGAGGTCTTCACATTCCACACAATTTCAGTAAGTATCATTCACATTCTATTTTATGAGACACCCATCCCCTGGAACTGTGCAACATGACTCTGGGAAGGAAGTTTGGAGATATTTGGCAAGACTAGAAGGAGGAGGGGGTGTGTTGAGGGGGTAGCTGGATTTCTTGAGAAGGTTACATTAAAGGCTTGAAGAGAGTGCTAACTAAAGGAAGAATTCCAGGCAGCAAGAACAGCCCGTGCAAAGGAAAGAACATGATTGTCAAATCTAAGGACCCACAAGGAGGTCAGTGTGGTTGGACAAGAGTCAGTACAAGAACAGTAGCAGAACATAATGTCTGACTAGTTAATAGAGAGGCTTATGAAATGACAGTGATGTGCAGTCACTGGGAAGTTCTGAGCAGAGAAATCTGACTTACGTCTTTGAAAGGCCACTCTGTCTGCTGTGTAGAAACTACACCATGGGGCACACAGTGGGCAAGAAGGGAAGCCAGTAGAACTATTAGGAGGCTAATGCAGCAATTTGAGAAAAAAAAAATGATGGTGGTTCAGGCCAGAGTGGCAGCAATTGTAGATAGTGTTTGGATTCTGGATATATCCTGAATAAAAGGCCAATTAAGTTTCTTCTCACCTAACATATGAAAAGTAAGAATAAAAATAACTTTGCGATTTTGATACAGTTGCCATAATGGAGTGCAGTTGGCCCTCCACATCAGTGGACTCCACATTTGTGGATTCAACCAATCATGGATTGAAAATATTTGGGAGAAAAAAATGGATGGCTGCGTCTGTGCTATAAAGGTACAAACACTTTTTTTTCTTGTAATGATTCTCTAAACAATACAGTATTCCAACTATTTACATAGCATTTACATTGTATGAGACATTATAAGTAATCTAGAGATGATTTCACATATATGGGAAGATGTGCATAGGTTATATGCTAATACTACACTATTACACTATTAAGGGACTTGAGCATCCACAGATATTGGTATCACAAAGGGTTCTGGGACCAATCCCCCCTGGATACTGAGTGCCAACTGTATATCTGTGCCATACTTTTGTATCAATTTTTGTGTGTTTAGTTGTATAAAATATTTTCAGGTTGTAATCCTAAATCACCTACTTGTTTACACATTTTTCACTTAATATAACACATATAATAAAAGGATCTCTTACATCCTCAAATGTTAGTTGAGAATGTGATATTTAAAACAAAAGTTACATAGCATTTCATAAATCAAACTTGTTACTCAATACTCAGAATTGAGAATTAAAATGGGTTCTGTCAGAGATTGAGGGGCAGTTTGCTGAACTCTTTTCAGAAAAGAAATCTGTTTGGGTTTGCTGTGCCTTCATCTTACCACTTCAGATCCCCTTAACTTGAGAAATTTCCCAAAGAATTTATCCTCTGAGTTTGGTGAGGAAACCCAGAGACAGGGGACCAGGGTCCTTCTCTTTGCCAGGCAAGGGTGACCTCATTCTAAGATGATCCCTTTCCCATGCTGACTGGGCTCTTCTCACCTAGCATAGGCCTGGACAGGCTGGTCTTCGTGGTCCCTATCTCACAGTCTTCCCAGCAATACTAGTGGGGTTCAGATATTCACCTACCACCACTGCCGGCACACAGACAGTGGATGTTACTAGGTTCTGCAGGGACGTCTTTCATATGTAATGCACATAGGCTGTTCCCTCACCTGCCTATCACTGTAGTCTGGCTGTCTTCCTTTCAATCTTGTATATAGACGTTTCCATGTTTTTCTGCTGGCAATTATGTCTAGTATTCCTATTGCCATTTTGCCTGGAAGTCTCCGAAACATTTTGTGCATATGTGGCTTAAGTTCCACATCAAATGGAAATTCCAAGCCATACTAAACTTATTTTTTAAATCACTATTGACTAATTATATTACCTTATTTCTTCATGATTTTGACATACGTTTTTATGACTATTTCTGGCATATAAAATACAATTGAATCAGAATTAAAACACATTTTCTAATTAGAGTATTATAAGTTGTAGGATGTGTCTCAGTCACTACTCTGTTGGGATTTGCCTTTTATTTCTTATTAGAATGATAGATGCTGTTCAGCTTTCAACATAAACAGCTCACCCTAAAAAATGAGGGTCTTGCTTAGAGGAAAGTAGATGAAAGAAGAAAGATATCGACTTACTTGGGCTTACTATGGGTATTACTGATTATCATAGAGAAAGATGCCTGCCCAGGATGAGGTACCTCTTGAATTATGTTGTGATCTACGTTAAGGAACAGAAAGATCATCTAAGTTTCCCATGGCCAGTAGCCACCCATCAGTTCATTCTATACATATTTAAGACATGCCTATATGTGTCAGGCACTATACTAGGCTCAGAGAAACAAACTGTGAACAAAATATAAACACTTGTCTCATGGATAATTACTTATAAGAACAATAAATAAATGCATACCATGTCAGGTGGTTATAAGAGCCATAAGCATATATAAACTGGGGTAATAGGACAAAGAATGAAATAAAGTTGCTATGTTACATAAGATGGTCAGGACAAACCTCTTTAATAAGGTGGCACGTGAGCAGAAACTCATAGTAAGGGAGGAATTAAGTAACATGGTTATATGAAGAAAGCTTGGTGTGGGCACAGGGAAGTAAAGTACAAAGTCCCCAGGGTGAGAGAATGCTGGCCTCTTAGAGGAACTGCAGAGAGGCCGACGTGGCCATAACAGAGTGTGCAGAGTAGTGTGATAGGAGATAAAGTGAGGAGGTCATAGGAGCGAACTGGGCCTTAAATCCTTTCTTGCCTGCCACACCCCCATGACTGCTTTATTCCTATAGATCTTGAAGATGTTTATATCTTTTAGAGCTTTCTTTTTAAAAATTTGTATACATTTAAATGGTGCAAATGCAGTTTTGTTACATGGATATATTGTATAATGGTAAAGTCTGGACTTATAGGGTAACCCATCACCCAAATAATGAGTATTGCCCCCACTAAGTAATTTCTTACCATTCACTCCCCTCCTACCCTCCCAGCTTTCAAGAAGAAACAAGACCTTAAGCTCATTATCACTGTAATGTTAATTATCACTCAATTTCTTGGAGATTTATGGATGACCATCAAAAATTTGATTTAAAGAGGCTTATTGGTGATGAATTAAGGTGAGAAGGGTAACAAGGAAAAAAATGTGATAAAGTAGATGAGAGAGTAACAAAACAAAGTTTATTTGGCATTGGAGACTATTGTGTTTTGCCTACACAATCATTTCCCTTTAATTCCCCCTTTCTTTCCTGGAGGACTCCAATTTTGTTTTATAGTTCATTCCTATCTTCAGCCATATGCAGTTGTTTGCTCTGAGAAAATTATCTTTCTCCAGGCTCAGGAGTGGTGAATCTTAGGTAGTCTAATCCAGTCATGATAATTCCACTTTCCTCATCAGTAAATGACTTAAGAAATTCCATGGGACCAAATTTGTCCAATGAAACATGAGTAGTAGTCTAGAGGAGGACCTTCTGGTAAAAGTATCCTACATTTGTAATAGATGGAGATTGAAAAGACAGATACCTCCAGATGTTGGTGGATTAGGATAACATGGCTGAAACTGCTGCAGCCATCTTGGGACCATCAGGGTGGGAATTACCATGCTGAGTAAGATTGCCATGGTTAAGTGATTGGTCTTGGCATTCTCTGCTGAGAGATATTTGCCTCTTGCTTCAGAAAGGAGTTCCGGAATCCACACCAAAAGAAGAGAAGTCTCAAGACTCCTAGAAAGAGATAAATAAGATACTTGGAAGTTGTAGTCTCACTTGTGATAACAAACATAAGAAATAATTTTTACATCTATCAGCAGAGAATCATCAAATATCATTAAATGTTACATACTCCAAAAATGCTTTTTGCAAAAGAAATGCTTACAATATGTTGTCAGAAGAAAGAAGTATATGAAAATTTTATAAAATCTCAATAAAATAATGCTTTTATCTGGATCTCACACATAAAATAGAAGGAGAGAGAGAAAATGAGAAATACATATTCATATATTCATATGGGAAAATGCCAGAAGCAAATGGACTTAACATTAATAGCAATTAGCTCTGGGTGATAGAATCAAATGGGATTATATGTGTAAATGTTTGTGTTTATTTTTATATAATTTTGCATTTCAACATTTTATAGTAAAAGAGTAGAGCTTTTACAGTCAAGTAAAAGTTAACAATTTTTCAAAAATCAAATAAAGATGATCTCAGGTGTCCTGCAGGCCTTCTCTTATACAATTTTTAAAGTCTGGGAGTCCTTTTTCTGAAACTGAGTGAGACCCTCAGTTAACCTTTGCCCCAGTCCAGCTCCTAAGTCAGATTCTAGCCTCAATTTGAATACTTCATGGAAGTTGGATGTCTAAACTGTTCCAAAGAACTGATGAGATTCTCTGCAGTTCACCCATTCACTGCCTTTCTCTATCTCTTGGGGCCAACAGGCTATCCCTACAGTGAGTATGGAACTGTCAACTCAGGGGTGGCCTGGCCTTCTTAGGCTGCCCTAACTTTCCTAAACTGCATAGACTTAAAATGGTGGACTATGGACTTCATAAGGCCCTTCTCTTAGGTTATAACACTACCTACTGATGATCTGCACAAAACAAGAATGGTAGTGACAAGTTTTACTGCATAAATATTTTTCTATCCCCAGGGCTAAGGCAGCATGAGGCTAAGCATGCAGATGATATCGCCAGGATTGCTGCATAGTACAAATTAGAATTCAAGTCAGCTTGAGTTACACAGGGGCTTGGGCCTCTAAGCTAATGTATGGTGACCTGCAGAGGCTAAAATAAGGCAGAATCTAGACTTTTCCACTAGTTATAAGACTGAAAATAATTGCTGAGTCATTGGTAAAATACAACATTTAGAGCTAACATGTAATATTTCAGAATACACATCGCAGCAGTCTTATTCTTCCTATTTCCTGGCGTAAGCATGGCATATAATCTGTCAGCCTGTATGTAACGGAGCACTCTTGGCATAATATTTATCTGCTTCATGATAGGAAAGAAAATGAAATGGTGGCTGAACAGGCATACTGTGTTTTTATGGGGACAGTCTACTAGTGTGACTATCAGCATAGTGATGTCCCAAGTTGTCACAGTTTAGATTGCTCTATAATCAATGTCTGAGGAAAAGACTTGGGTACAGATAGTTTGCTTGGGATGTGATGTCCTGAAGTAGGAGAGAGTGAGTGGGGATGGTGGGAGGACAATCCAATATAATGGTGTGTTATCGAAGTCACTGCTAAAAGATTTTCAGCAAAATCCAAACCAAAACAAAAACGTGGAGTTGGTCAGTAGGGTCCAGTGTCACTGAAACTTCCAGAGAAGGTGCAAAGGACTCCCAGACTTGTCTGCCTGCAGGCTGGGAAACAGGAACATTTACCCACCAGCTCCTTTCCTATGCTCTTTGGTGCTGCATTGGTGCAATTGCTCTCTAGTTTCAGGCTACACTCCACCCAGGTATCCAGCATCTCTGAAAACCAACTCTGGGAGAAGGTCCTGGGGCAGAAGTAGAACACTATGTGGCATTTGCTTGAGATGGGGTACTTTACGCAAGGAGAGTCTATGCTTTCATGGAACTGTTCCCTAGAGCTAAGGTGGCCAAGGGGATGTGACATGGGCTACTAAAGATCCTGGTGATTTACATCCCTTAGAAATAGCATTTTGGGAGTCAGAGCTTGGACAAATTGGATTTGAACTATGTAGTCTGTATTTTAATTCATTTATTGAGTACCTATTAAGTTCTAGGTGCTGGGGAAACAGAAATGGATAGGATCCCTTTTAAGATTCTACTTTAGTACAGCAAATAATCTCCTTTAAATTAAATATGTGACCTACTGTACTGAGGTATGCATAGGATGCCTAGTGAGGTTTCATGGGAAAGCAATTTTATCCTAGACTGATGAAGACTCTCAGCAGGTAAGAGTTGGGACACACACACACACACACACACACACACACACACATACACATACATATGTATATATATGTGTGTGGGTGTACAACTGGGTAATATGTGTACATGGCAGAGTAATGGTTGCCTGCATCATGTGAATTATTTATCCTTATTATCCAAATTCAAACTTACAGGCACTTTAAGATTTATGGAGTACAAAAGATCACACTATAGAATGGCTTCAGTGAAAGCGTATTTTTCTCCCAATTCATATTTATGCTCTGGATACTTTTATATTTCTGATTTTCTGGTACCTATATTTATTGCAAAAATAAAAAGCATTCATGAATCTTATTCCTAGGGCACAATTTGTATTCTGCAGAAGAAAACCTTTGCACCTGCCACTAAAATGCATCCACTTCTGGGGTGGAATGCACCAGCTGTTCCCAGTCTCCAACGGCACGCCAGGCCGTTCAGCACCAAGAATGAGGCATCATATCCCAGGCAGATGAAACTGGTGAGGAAATTTCAAGTCGACAGAATGCAATTACCCAAATTGAAATTAGGCCAGGGGCATATCAGGAGGCCCTTCCCATCTGTTGGGGAAAAGGATCACCAGATATTTACTGAGGGCAAGTGGTCAGAATCTTAGCTTTAGGAATCATTTCAAAGGCAGAAATTTTAAAATATACCAAAGGAAAACTGCACCTGGTATAAAAATCATATCCCTTCTCTGGCAAATAAATAATATTAGGGCCTTGAGAAGCTCAGCCCTTTCCTGCTCTGGGAGAAAATAAATGTTTATGGATGGGGTGGTTAAATATTTCTACATCAGCTACTCTTAGCAAGGACATGCTATAATGGACAATTGGTTATACTGGAACTGACAAAAAGAGATTTCCCAAACCAAACATATTGAATCCAATACATTTATCCCTGGTTATAATGGATAGAGCCTTCCATTATGAGCTTATGAAACAACACCATTCGATTTTTCTAGGGGCCTTGACATAAGCATTGTTTCTTTACCAGAAAAAATAAGCTAATTTTTAGAGTTCGTAGCAAAAATAAATAAGCTGTTGTTGTACAGGCCTTGACTAGTTCCCATGTGACATACATCAGAACCATAGACTCTGCAGGTCCATTTGGTACAGGTACAGGGGTCTTCTGCCTGTAATCCCTGTCCTTGGTAACATTTGTAGCTTTCTCCTGGGAGGATGACTGGTGAGGGAATAGATGAATTTATCTTAGTCTTTGTACCATTGTAAACCCAAGCATTGGCATAAGGTCCACACAGCCCTTTAGAAATAAATGAATAAAGCATTTCACACCAAATCATGCTTTGGGGGTAATCCATGTCCATCGTATCGAGCAAATAAACTGACTTTCTTTTATTGATTCCTCTCAAGAACTTGCCTTTTTTGGGGAATAAGAACCCAACATTTCCAGCCTGAGTGAGGAATAATAGAGGCACCTCTGGGCCAGACATCTTCTTTTCCAGCTGCTGCCTTTTGAAGATGTGGTGGCCTCGGGTTCCCACATGCCACACCCCAAAGTTGGTGCCAGGGAGTCTTCTCTGTACCATCCCTGCAGGTGGCTATTTGATAGCACATTGCTAATCCTGAAAAACTCTCACATCTCTTTCCCATTGGATGTAAAGAGGAAGGCAAAGAGTGAGCTGCATAATAAATCTTATTCAGTATTAAAAGAAAAAAAATTTTTTGTTGTTAGGGTGGTTCACTTTGCACTCTCTTTACTGGCTCAGAGGCTGCATGCATGTTGGGGAATATGAGGGAATGGCCCCAGCTGGAAGGGGTGAGACAAGTTTAACTGTCAAATTTAATGCAGCTGCCCACTATGAGAGGGAAGAAGCCAGAGGAAGGCTATCTACAGGCTGAGTCTCTCACTGTCTCTTTCCCCCAATGATGTCACCCTTTACTCACCACTATGGCAGTTAAGATCAAGAGTCAAGGCCAGGTGCGGTGGCTTATGCCTGTAATCTAGTGCTTTGGGAGGCTGAGGTGGGAGGATCGCTTGAGGCCAGGAGTTTGAGACCAGCCTGAGCAACATAGTGAGACCTCATCTCTACAAAAGGTAAAAAAACAAACAAACAAACAAACAAACAAACAAACAAACAAACAGGAGTCCCAAAGTCTCAGGGGCCTCACACTCACACTGTTTTCTCCACCACACAGTGCCAAACATTCCCAGAAAACCTCCTAAAATGAGCTCAGTACAACCCATCCTGGTCATAAGTGGATACTGTTCTAAACTCTTAAGAGGTACAAGCATTTCATCACACTTGCTAAATGCTAACCTGAGCCTTGCCACATTTTTACTAATTGGACAGAACGTATTTCTTAACATTTCTGTTTTTGATTCTTGTTAATTGGTGAGTACCAAAGTACATCTCTCACAGAGGAAAACAGAACATATTAGTTAAGGTTGATCCAGAACTCCCAAATGTTAAAACTTGGCTTTATTTAGAGGTTTAGCTTGTACTAATTACCCCTTAGCTTTACTAGCCCTATATAACAAGCTACCTTCTGCATATTTTATGTGAAAGCTGATTTTCTGAAAGGATGAGAGTTGTAGGAGCAAGGAATGAAATAGGTGCTAAGTTTTATTTCCTGCTAAGTAATTCTCCTCAAGGTGGGTAAACTTTTAGTAGTTAAATTGCTAAAAACAAAGATTCTACACTACAAGAACAAATCTCCAGTGACAATTATTTGTCTGTGTTCTTAGCATTTATGAGTCTCAGTAAACAGTCAGTACATTTATGTTCCCCCCATTACCTTCGGTCATAAACTTCCTTAAAGGAAAACGAATAATTATGTTTCCTGACTGCATAATGAACATAAACATCCAGAATACTGAAGCCCTGGTGGGATGGATGGAGCATCTGGACTACCAGGGGTTTAACTGTTTTTGAGGCACTGGCAAAAGTGTCAGGCAGGCTGTATGGCCACAATTTAGTGCTGTTCATGCGGATGTCATCCCTAGAAGGCAAAACATAATTTGTGGTGGTTTTTTTTGGGTGTCAGGGCCTCCCAGTGTAAAGTTGCTGGGAGGGGCTGGGAGTCTGGCAAACCCTCTGGCTCAGGTGCGACAACCTCATGTTGCTGATGTGAGCCCCGCCAGCCACCCCCTGGGGCCAGTGAGTGTACCCCTGTAGGCAGAGAGACGCAGGCTCATCTTAGTTTAATAGCAAGCGTATTGTAGCCGTCCAGGAATCTTGGAATCACAAGGTGACCTTCAATGACTAAGTACAACCTGCATTTTACACACAAGGCAACTGAGGCTCCAGCTGGGGGATTGATATTGCCAGGGACAGTCACCGCCAAGAAACCCTGCATGTCCTGATTTTGGGTTTGATACTCTTAAATTTCTTCCTCGGAGTCAGGAAGGTATGGTGCAGGTTAGAGAGTAAGGACTAGGCAAAGAAAACAGAGTTAAGAAAGCAAGTAAAGTAAATGTGAGGGAATTAAATTTTTCCTTTGTAGTTCGTGTGGGTTTACTCTCTGTACTGTGATCAGAAAACACAAGACCTACTATTTTGTGGCACAATAAGGTGACTATAGTTCATAATAACTTAATTGTATATTTTAAAATAATTTTTAAAATGTAATTGGATATCTCATGTACCCCATACGTATATACACCTATGTACTCACAAAAATTTAAAAAATTAGATTTTTGTTTAAAATAAGAAAACACATCAATGCAACTTTTTTTACCACTAGAAGTGTAAAAATGAAAATGAAGGAAAATAAGAAAATTTTCAGCACTTTTCTATCAGTGGTGAAAACTAGTGTTTTTAATCCTTAATTGACCCCAGCTGATATTTTTGTAAAACTAGAATGAAAATTACTAGAAAATGAAAAAGCATAAAGCAGACTTCCAAAATCCAAGTCCAACCTTTATTATAGACAAGAGACTAACAATTCTTTGGACAAATGACCATAAAGTTGCTAGACATGAATTCTTTATCCCAGACTCACTGGTCAGGGATGTGTAAATTTTGCCAGTCAGCACTTGTCTGCAGACCACACTTTGGGCAGCATTGCCCTTCATCTCCTTTTCTGTTCTGTTTTGCATATTTTTCTGGTCTCTCTGAATTGTACTTTTCTGATATCAGGGATGGGGATCTGGACATCTGTCATTCTAGATAGTACTTTATTGTGTTGAATAACAATTTAAGAAAACAATTTAAATTTTCCCGCATGCCAAAAGGAAAGACATCAGCTTAAAACCATAACGAAAACAGAGCTCCTGGAATACTGTATTGCTCTATATCAGAAACACCACTGGTGGTTTAAGTCTCTCTTAAAGGGCAGTTAATTTGGGGACACTTTTGGTTTACACAGTTTAAGTGTAAAAACGATAGAAAATATTAACCATTGTCAATTGTCATTCCATTTAGAGACTCCGTCAAATCTTCTGTGTCCTCTGAAAGGCCTGTAAACTGTCTCAGTACATCAGTTGGGAGTAGGGTGGCCAGATTTAGGCTATAAAAATACAAAATACCCAGCTAAATTTGAATCTCAGACAAGCAATGAATAATTTTTATAAGTTCAGTTCAAATTTTTTGAGGCATACCATATGTAATATTTTAGACATACTTATATTTTAAAACTTATTATTTTCTGAAATTCAAATTTAACCAGCTGTCCTGTATTTTATGTGGCAATTCTAATTAGTAGCCTTTTGGCATGGACTTCTGCCACTCTAGATTTTTCTGGGGAGAAGAATCGGCCCTGCCAAATCAAATATAGCCATATCGACCATATTTGCTTAGCTATTGGCAGCTGGAAGCTGGAAGTCAATAAAAGTGAAGATACTTCTTTCTGAAAAGAATGTGTTTCCCATGTGGCAAAGAAGTTACATATTTTTCCCTAGCTTGAGGCTTTCAGTTGCATGTTTTCTAATGCACTGCTCCGCTGATGGTACTAATCATGGTAGAAGGCATGCTTGTGAGAAGGACCACTTGGAATCTACCTCCTCCATCAGGACAAAATTCACTCCATGGGCTGCAAGTAGCGGAATTTGTGGTATCAAAACATGCAGAAGGCATAGTGAGAGACTGAAAAAAAAACCCACTATTGTTATAACACATTATAAACAAACTGCCAAGAGATGTATCAATATTTGAAAAAAATATAAATTTAGTGAGAAGTACATGGCAAAAGTCCTATATTAGGCTATTCTTGTATTGCTATAAGGAAATACCAGAGACTGGGTAATTTATGGAGAAAATAAGGTTAACTGGTTCATGATTCTGCAGGCTGTAGAGGAAACATAGGTCTGGCATCAGCTTCTGGGGAGACTTCAGGGAGCTTACAATCATGGTGGATGGCAAAGAAGAAGTAGGCACAACACATGGCAAAAGCAGAATCAAAAGTATGGGGTGAGAGATGCCTCACACTTTTAAATGACCAGATCTTGTGAGAACCCTCTATCACGAAGACAGTACCAAGCCATGAGGGATCAGCCCTGATGATTCAAACACCTACCACCATGCCCCACAGGGGATTAAAATTCAACATGAGATTGTGCAGGGACACATATCCAAACTATATCAAGTGCAAAGGTAGAATTAGAATGTTAAAAGTGAAAATATTGCATACTTATTCAGGTTTAAACCTTTCAAAGACTTATCCTTTGCCATTCATTGGTAGCTGTTATTATTTCATTAAGTGATATTTGTCTTTATGTCTTAAATGAGAATTTTGACATCATTTTGATGTAGAACTAATGCTCCCAGATTTTAAAGAAAGACAAACTTTTCTTAAATTGATGTTTGGTTCAGATAGAGAGGAAATGACTAAAGTACACATGTAATTTATTTTTCTATTGTCACCTCTGGGCTTTTAAAAATGTCCTCTCAGATAATAATAAAAATCTATACTTTGGAATACACTTACCCTAATATTTCTTTTAAAATAATGTTCACTTTAAATAGTGAAATAACATGTTCATTTTAAGATAAATTGGAAAATGCCAAAATTTATCAAAAAGAAAAGTAAAATCACAAAATACCTAACCACAGAGGAAACAATTCACTGTGGTTATTTTGGTATTGTTCTTCCATTCTCTTTGTATTTCATAGTTGAAAACCTGCATATATAATATCATATTCTGATTTTTTTCCATTAGTTAATCACCCTAAACATTTTCCATATTGATAAATTTTTTCTCAGTATCATTTTAATGGTTGAATCATAATTTATTCATTGGTGATTTATTTAACCAACCTGCTAGGCCTGGACATCAGGTTACTCCAATTACTTACACTTAAAATGTTAATCGGATGATCTATTTTAGATTCTTAGAACTGAAATGACTGGAAAATGATCTTTAAGACTATATATTTTGTCTAAATTATATTAGAAGCATTATAGATATTTATTAGGAATGTATTAGAGTGCCCATCTCACTGACTTTTATAGCTGCCTTATTTATCTTTCATTATATTAGGATTTTCCAAAGAAGTGGAACCATATTTCATATATATATATATATGAGAGATTTCAAGGAATTGGTTCACACAATTATTGTGGGAGCTGGAGGGTCCCCACAATAACCTTCAGGGTGAGCCAGCAGGCTGGAGACCTGGGGAAGAGTTGGTAAAGAGTCTTGAGTTCAGAGGCAGCCTGGGAGCAGAATTTCTTCCTTCTCCAAAGATCTTGGGTGTTTATGCTTAAGGCCTTCAACTGACTGATGAGGCCCACCTACATTACGAAGGGTAATATGCTTTACTCAAAGTGCCCTAATTTAAATGTTAACCACATTTAAAAAATACCTCACAGCAACACTTAGACTAGTGTATGACCACACAACTGGCACCATAGCCATGCCAGGTTGACAGGTGCAATTAACCATCACATTTGTCATCCAGAGAGAGTTTTTGCTATGTGATAAAAAGACATGCTCTTTCTTTCCAGTTTTTTGTCTGTCTCCATGCAGACACAATTGACTTATTTAGAACTTATATGTATACTGTTTTTCCATTTTAAACACAAAGGTTATCTCATCCAATTTTCAAATAAAGCATTTAAGATTGCCATCAGATGATGCTGAGGACTAAGCCTCTGGGCCCTACACAGACATGAGTCAGGAATATTCCTCTACCATGTTGTAACTGGGCAAACTTGGATAGGGTAGTTACATCCTCATCTTCTCAATTTCCTCTGTTGTAAAGTGTGAAAAATCGTGCCTACTTCCCAGGTACTTGTGAATATTTATTGAGGAAATATTTATATTACTAGTAGTATATACTGTGTAGTAGGCCATGTATTAATATATTTTTTTCTTTTTTGTTTCAATCAGTTCAGGATGCTATAACAAATTACCATAGACTGAGTGGCTTAAGCAACAAACATTTATTTCTCACAGTTCTGGAGGCTGAGCAGTCCAACATCATGGTGGCAGCAGACCTGGTGTCTGATGAGGGCTTGCCTCCGGGTTTGCAGAAGGCAGGTCTTCTCATTGTATCCTCACATGGCAGAGAGGAAAGAGAGATCACCTCTTCAATATCTCCTCTTATAAAGACACTAATCTCATTCATGAAGCCTCTGCTCTACTAACAAAATTATCTCCCAAGGGTCCCACCTGCTAATACCATCACACTGGGGGTTAGAATTTCAACACATGAGTCTGGGGAGGATACAAGCATTCAATTCATAACACTCTAACTTTTTTCTTTTTTAGCTCATCAACTCCAGTACCCATTTCCAACAGTCAGTGTACAAAAACATTTCCCTCTTCAGAATACCTAGTACTTTAACAGTGCTCCTTCCAGAAAACCTAACATTTTTTACCTTTTGGGTATAAGTCTCATTTACCCTTTTATTTTTTCACAAAATAGTGTCCGTTAACCACTAGCACATAAATGAGATGATTTCAGAGAAACCATTTGCAGTAGTTTCCTGCCCCCATAGCTTTTTCCCAGTTTTGTTTCTGTGGCTTCAGGTTTCGGTTACCAGTGGTACAGTATGACATTTTGAGAGACTGAGAGAAAGACTCATATAACTTTTACTACAGTATATTGTTATAATTATCTTTTGTATTATTATTGTTGTTATTCTCATATTGTGCCTAGTTAATAAATAAATCTGTCACACATATGTATGCGTAGGAAAAAAAACATTACTTATAGGATTCAGTACTATCCAAGATTTCAGGCATCCACTGGGAGTCTTGGAATATATCCCCTATGAATAAGAGGGAAGTACTCCATTTATTTATTTAAGAAATATTTATTAAGAGTGTATTAAATCCCAAGGACTATTCTGTGCATTGGAATATAATGTGTTAAATAAACTCATTGCCCTGTGGAGCTTAGATATTAGTGGGAGATATACCCAAATAAGAAAACCAAAAATGTATAACCAAATTATAAGTAATGCTGTATTAAACAGGTGGCCTAGGATAATCTCTGGTAACAATCACCACATTTTACTAGTACACTGTAGCAAAGGTTTATTTCTTGATTATGAGAAGTCCACAGTGGCTAGTCCAGGCAGCTATCCAAATTTGCTGCCCTCAGCTTTCCAAGATGCTCCCTTCTTGCGGCTCCTTCATGTCAGCACGTGTTTCCACTAAAGAAGAATCAAACAGCAGCAGCTAAAAGCTTTTACATGTGTCACTGCTGCTTCATGTTTTATTGGCCTTGGCAAGTCACGTGGCCAGGCCTACTTTCAGTGGAGTGAGAAAATGTGAATCTTGGTAATCCCAGTGGTAACAAAGAACTGGATGTCCCTACCACAAGTATTAAATGCTATGAAAAATGGAGATAGAAAGAGAGGATACAGAACATGTAGTTTTTGCAAAGATGATAGAATAAAAATAGACATAATCCTTCATGTGTATTTTTGCTTTCTAACAAAGTATGTATTTCAGAAAAAAATTAAGACGATTTAAAGAAAACTATTTAATAACTATTGTTACAAGTTGGTTCTCAGATATGAGAAAAAACATAAAGATTATACATGAATGGCTGGTGTTTAGAAATATAGAGTTGTTAAATCCATTTGAGGACAGGGACAATAATATTTATATTGGTACCCTCAATTATTTAGGCACATAGTAAGTATTCAATAAAACGCTGTTGAAGTTAATAATTCTCATTGTTTTTATTTCTTCTTGCTTTTCTACCTGATTAAATGTCTCAAACTAAATTATGGTACAATTTTGTCCTGAGGTTTGATATTGTCTTTCAAGGCTAATTTTAATCATCTTTACATCAATATTTTTATATTCAACTATTGTTTAAATTTGGACCACATACACTTGAATCACTAGTTGTCTCTCCTAATTTGTCTTGGGTGTTTTCCTAAACCATTGGTAAGTATTCTGCAGAGAAAAAAAAAGTTGTAACAGTACCTTAATGTTGGAATTTGAAATCTACCATTTTATATATATATATTTAAACAACTTTTATGTTTAACATTCCTTTGACAAGTGCTGTGTTGGAGAGGGATTTAATACATTTAAATAAAGTGGGCATAAAATGCAAAGATTTACAAAAATTCTTTCAAGGTCATGCATGTCCTTCTTAAAGATAGAAGGGTATATGTATGTAGTTTTTAGGGTAGTAGAATTACGGTTTGTCTTTCGACTTCTGTTCTTTTCTCTTGCTTTCCACTGAATCTTTTTTTTTAGATGGAGTTTCCCTCCTGTCACCCAAGCTGGAGTGCAATGGTGCAATCTTGGCTCTCTACAACCTCCGCCTCCCGGGTTCAAGTGATTCTCCTGCCTCAGCCTCCCGAGTAGCTGGAATTACAGGCATGCACCACCACACCAGGCTAATTTTTGTATTTTTAGTAGAGACGGGGTTTCACCATGTTGGTCAGGCTGGTCTCAAACTTCCAACCTCAGGTGATCCACTCGCCTTGGCCTCCCAAAGTGCTAGGATTACAGGTGTGAGCCATTGCACCCAGCCTTGAATAAATCTTTATAATTTAAAACACAAATCATCCAAAGAAAGGACTCAGTTATTCTCTGAGTGGATAAGTCAAGAGCAAACTAGAAGAGCATTCTCATCTCTACCCCGGTGACCTTCATTTCAGCATTTCGGTGCTATTGCTTCCCCATTTCCCAGTGGCAGGTCTGAGGCATCATCTCAGGCCCCTTAGTCAAAAACTTGTCCTACATCAGTGCCTCATCTGGGCATGGTGGCTCAAGCCTGTAATCTCAGCACTCTGGGAGGCCGAGACAGGTGGATCACCTGAGGTTAGGAGTTCGAGAACAACCTGGCCAACATGGGAAAACTCCATCTCTACTAAAAATATAAAAATTAGCCTGGCATGGTAGTGGGTGCCTGTAATACCAGCTACTTGGGAGGCTGAGGCAGGAGAAATACTTGAACCCGGGAGACGGAGGTTGCAGTGAGCTGACGTCACACCACTGCCCTTCAGCCTTGGCAACAGAGCAAGACTCCATCTCAAAAAAATAAAAAATAAAACTCAATCGATCAATCAATCAGTCAGTGCCTCTTCTGTCTAGCCTGTGAATCACGTGACCCAGTGAGAGTCTATGCCCTTTGATGCAGTTTGCTGTTCTTGGATTTGTATGAAATTTGTTGGTTAGTTGGCAAATAGGACACAGCTGTCTTCTGATTTAGAGAGTGCCTTAAACCAGTTACCTCCTACCTTAACTTGATCATTTAAATGGAAAGCGCTACTGCTCCAACAGAGCAGAAATGATATAAAAACTATTTCTGATGTGAGTATCTTGCCTCCTGAATTGCCATGGCTACTGGTGTCTCTGAGGGAAGAAAATAAAAAACAAAAACACAGGTTTTACAATTCCCACAGGTGGTAAACCTACTTTGCATTACTTAAGAAAAGCTTTGAAGGTGCAATGAGGGTTTTTAAGCTAATGACAATTTATGCCTAAAACATTACAATAATCCAACGAAATCAAATAGCATTTTAAAAAGTAACAATTTTATGTAGAAATTGCTGATAGCATCAACACATGCTGGGAACTTTACAGAT
The DNA here is from genome assembly GCF_000001405.40 of Homo sapiens. Classification (NCBI taxonomy): domain Eukaryota; kingdom Metazoa; phylum Chordata; class Mammalia; order Primates; family Hominidae; genus Homo; species Homo sapiens. The sequence goes on from NC_000003.12 coordinate 29,277,930, forward strand.
AATGGGTTATATCAGTTTTGGCTGAGGAGTCATTTGGCCTTTCATTTGTAAATAAGACAGTATTCTTTTCCCTTTAAGGAGTATCTAGACCATGTATTAATGAAAGAGTATTTATATCCTTTGTCCATGGTGGCAGAATTAGCCAAAGCAATCTTGGATTTTGTTCTTACAAGATAGAACTTGGAGGAGCATTAATAGGTTGTTTAAATGACAGCATTCTATAGTTGAAGATGACTAGATGTAGAATCTGAATATTTGGATAAAGTCCTTGCTGTACTGTTAACTATCAATTAATTAGCTTTCCATATCAGTTCTTTACTAAGGTTTATATGATCTGGCCCAAGGGTACCTCCCTAACCCCATTTTATGGTCTTTCCTCACTTGCTTCATTTCAGCCTCTGTGCCGGATCTTGCACATTCCAAAGACACAGTCCCACTGCAGGCCGTTCTGTACTTACTGTTCCCTGTGACTGGGATGTTTTTCCCCCATGTGCAGGCTGGCATTTGTTAAGCAGATCCAACATGGTACAAGGTGTTTTAAAAGCTTCATGTGTTTATCTGGGTTGGTTTTCTAAATAACTGTATGAAGTGAATAGTGATATTTGATGGATGAAGAAACTGAGGGAGATGAATGAAGAAGGGGCAGGATTGGAACCCAGGCAGTCTGGATGGGATCCAAGGCATTAACACGAAGTATTCTCACAGTGCACAATACCCAGAGAATGGTTCACACCCTTGCTTTGACCTTAGGAAAGCATTTTCCAAGGCTCTTCCTTGGAGAGCATTTTCCTATCTTGTTTAAAGTAGAATCTCTGTGACTTTGTTTCTCTTTACTCTGTTTCATATTTCCTTACAGCGCTTTGTATTTCCTGACATTATACTGCATATTTACTTCTTTATCCCTTTGTTTGTCCCCCCTTCCCCACTAAATATAAACTCGATGAAAGAAGGACCTTGTTCTGATTCATGTGCCTCTATATCCTGCACCCAGGTCAATTCTTGACCTGTAACAGGGACTGAAATGTACTGAAAGAGGGATGTAAGTCAGGTTGAAAAATTATTAATTATGTCTAACATTTTATTCTTCAGACATTTACTGAACACCCATTTTGTGCTCAACTCTATGCAAGTTTTTGGAAATATAAAGGCAAGTGAGAACAATGTGACCTCCTGCCCCCCTAGAGTTTAGAACATCATGGAAGAAACAAACAATAAGCAGGCAAATACATGTAGAATAAGCCTTCTATGAGGGCAAATATAAAGTGCAGCAGAGAAGGAAGGGTTTAGAGAAAGCTACTGTGAGGAGGTGATATCCATACTGAGACCTGAAGGACAGGCTGAAGGGTAAAAGAGGTGGAGATGGACTTGGGAGAGCACTCCAGGAAGAGGGAATGACAGAAGCCTCTGAGAGCATGTTCCTGTCCTGAAAGTAGCTCAGAGTGACTCCGGTATAGGATGTGAGGGGCAGAGTTGAAAGTCCGAGACTAGAGTAGAAAGCCAGGGCCAGACAGCTCGTCAAGTGTCCTGAAACCTATTCCAAAGAGTCAGGACTTTATTGTTTGAGAAACGTGACACCACTGGAGGATTTTTAAATCAGTGTCATTTTTAGTGTCTGATTCAGTGTACTGCCTTCAGCCAGGAGAGTTGGCAGTATTTCTATTTTATAGATGGGACAACTGAGGCCCCAAATAATACATTTAAGAGATAGGTGGGGTTGATTTAATATTCTCAATCACCATGTTGTCAGGGCCTCCTAACTCTTACCCTCTCACCCTCCATCCTTCCTTCCTTCTGATTGTTATTCTTGTCAAAAGTAAAACATAAAACTATTTACCTGCCATCCTTATTTTTATCCAAGGAACACGTATGCACTCACACAGCTTCCAGAAACCAGTTCCCCTCGGTGGAAGCCAGTTGCTTTAGGGGTGGTGCGGCTTGTATGTGGATGGACACCATGTGTGCACTGAGCCCAAATTCTCTGTTCTTCTTGACTAGGAAGCTGGATTTGTACCAGGGACCTTTTATCTAAATAGGAGACTCTGGGCTCAGGAGAACAGAGCCGACTTGACAAAGTAGAAAAGAGCTCAGTATTGGTCTGCCCACGCTTTGGGCATGCGTGAGCACTCGCAGCAAAACACAGCTGGCACATCTAATTTTAGCCTCGCCCGCCTTGAAAAGGGACCCTTTAAGGAAATATATTTTATCTGAAACAATTTGTATTATAATGTAGCAGCTGATAGACATGACAGAATATTATCATTGGTGGGAAAAAACTCTGCCAAGCAATTATGATTTTTGTTCTTTTTTTTTTAGATGATATCAGTAAAGTGATTAAAGCATCAATGCAACAAAATAATCATAAAGAGAGAGACAATGGGAGAAACAGATTTTATCTGTAAAATATCTGACGAACCTAAGGGGTCACTTCCTTTGATTTTTTTTTTTTTTTTTTTTACAAAATGGATGTATTTTAAAAAAGTTATTATTTTTGATATGTTCAGTTGATCAGTCCAATCTGATGACATGTGGCATTAATAGTAGTCCTGGAGTAGACCCTAAAATTTCTTCAATACTTAACATCCACCAAGTTTTCCAGGTAGTAAAAGGTTAGTTTCTCAATCAGCTCTTGGATGCGTCTGGCTCTAGCGTGTTAACAGATTTTGAAAGCATCCGGGACTTACTTTTTTCCCCTTTAACCAGCAAGGTTAGTTCCCCTGCCTTTATTTCTTTTCCTTTCTCCTCCTTCCTTCTTTCGTCCTCTCTTCCCTCTCTTCTGTGTTTTGTTTAGCAGTGTGGCTTACCTTGGAACTTGGCAAAAAGAGGAACAAAAAGCAGCTCTTGTGTGGGGTAGATGGAGGAGGGATAAGAAATAATCCACCGCCCGCATTTGAGTTCTTCAGGTTCAGTTCCAGCGGCAGCAGCGTTGCTGCAAAAATCGCTTGCTATTCGAGATAGCCAGCAGAGGGAATCGGAACTTTGCTTGCAGCAGGGGTTGAAGCAGCCTTTTTTTTTTTTTTTCTTGGAGGAAATACTGCAGCCTTCTGGACTGCGTACGCTGCTCCCTGGAGAGGCTCTCTCGGTTCCACCCACCGGCTGGAAGGAGGGGAAGTGAATGAAAGGACAGGACAAGCCCCGAACACCATGTCACTCTGGGAGGGAGACAGCAGCAACTAAGCTGTACAAGGTTTTTTTTTTTTTTTTTTCTTCCTTTTTTTCTTTTTTTTTTTCTTTTTCCCCTTTCTTTTTCTTTCTTTCTTTCTTTTTCTTTCTTTCTTTCTCTTTCTCTCTCTCTTTTTTCTTTTTCTTTAAGGTGGGGAAAGAGACAACCAAGAGACAGGAAGCTGATCTGCAAGGATTCGGAGTTGTGCTAAAAGGACTTTGATTTTTTTCCCCCTTTACGAACGCTGGCAATTGACATCACTACAGACAGCCTGGTTAGAGAACAAACTGCCTCATCCCAAGTGGACCCCGGCAGCTGGGGGAAGCCAGGCAAGATCTGGGAAGGCTGTGTGTGGGTGTTTTTTCTACAGATCTCACTCCTCGCCCTTTTTTTTTTTCCTTTGGTGTGTGTTTTTTGTTTTGTTTTGTTTTTTAAAAAAATTCTTGCTGTGTTGGAACTAGCGAGTGGTGGAGTCTCTGAAGCCTCATCAGTCACCGGGACTGTCAGGAATAGTGGTTTAAGAGGAAGCTCGGCCTGGGGCACTATACCCTGTCATCCAGTTCCCTGCCTCGGAGATAAAGATTCCAGCTACATGGGCAAACGCCTGGATCAGCCACAAATGTACCCCCAGTACACTTACTACTATCCTCATTATCTCCAAACCAAGGTATGGCTTGACCCACGGTCTGGCGATCAGCGTGGTATCGTTCTGCACTTGGGATGGGAAACAGACAGGCGTGTGAATTATTAGTTAACCCCCACCCCCATCACTTCTTCCTGCTTCTTTGAAATTAGTGACATACCAATGGAGTTAATGAGGCAGAGGAAGACATAAGAAGAAAGCAGCAAACCCGGAATTGTAGCTTTCTCTTTAAGGAGAGATAATAGTTTCACTTGAGTTCAGTTTCTTTGTTGTTATTTGGCAGCATAAATGGTCCTGATATCAGGAACGTCTTTTGCAGATGGGCACGGTTTTTAGAAAGCAGATCACAACAGTGATTACCAGGCACAAGAATATAATTTCAGGGGCTTTTCTGGTGAGCTGTTCTTTGATTGTGGCTCTAAAAGGGTTTTTCCCACTGGATAGGACGTGCAACGGTGGGGGTAACTCAAACTTTTAATCGCAGGGTATAGAATGAAAGAAGGGTGTGAGAAGGTATAGGGCTCCTACCAGAGTCTCTGAGAGTTTATTTTTATTTTTAATTTGCCTTGCCTATTTTATTTTATGTTGAGGATGATCAGCATGCTACAGACTGCTTTACAATAGATGTTCTTTACTTTTAGAAGATCTATTTTTCTGTGTAGCTGCCATGAGGAGGCCTGAGTCTTGAAAAGGAATGAAATGTAACTGATCATAATTGGACTTGAATTGGTTAAATACTTTAGGCTTTATGTGTGTGTGTCAAATGACCATTAGGGGCCCAGAGGCAAGCCCACGTAAGTAAGCAGTGGGCAGTACCTACCCTGAACTTTATCCTGCAGTTAAGACATGAAAGACTCTCAGGTGTGAAATCACTGCTCCGATTTGTCAATTAAATTGGACTTGATTAGGGGGAAAACATGTTAGCGGAGTGACCACCTCGAGTGTACGGGTGATATTATTTTGTATTGCATTAGCATTAGCCAGACTCCACCGTCTCCTTAATAAATAAATATGCCGAGAGTGAACAAGGCGTGCCTGAATGATCTATGCTGTCACCAGGACTCGGTGATGTGATTAGGGTTAGGTAATTCATGCTGTAGTTATCTGTCATTTATTTTGTCTCGTCCAGCAACGCCTATTTGTAAACCAGACTGGGAAGCAGACTTTCAGTATTATACAAAAGATTATTGCTTTGTTTTTTTCTTTTTCAATTGCTTTGTAATCCACCCTGCCCCTCCAAGGTCGACTCACACTGCTATTTGCCTTTGTGAGCATTTAGTTTGTGCTGCTGATGCTTAAATAGACTAGCCCTCCTGCTCGGTGCCTTAAGTTTTAACTCTTTGGGGGTGTTAGGTTGAGAATGCTGCCTGCCATTCCTCAAGGAAATGGCAGAGCAAGGACAAGTTAAAAGGGGAAAATTTACAGTCATTTCTCATGCCTCAACAAAACAAAAACAATAAACTCAAAGGTTGCATGAAAAATATCAGACATTCCATCCCTTTTACTCATTTGGCTACATTTTTCCAAGTGTTTCAAAAATTACACTTTGTTTCGGGTCCTTGTTTTCTACTATGGTATATATTCAGAAAAGAAACTTTAGATTGAAATGAATAACATAATTGTTTTTCTGTTTGAGACTTCTTTTAACCTATTACTAACAGGAAATAGTGAATGTTATGCACATTTTTTCAAAGACACAGGCTGCTGGATGAGCTATACTAGTAGAAAGTGTGTGCGAGAGAGAGAAAGATGGGGGGTAAAGAGAGAGAGTGGAGTAGTGAGGGAAAAGAGAGGAGCCTGAAAAATAGGGAGATTGTAGATATCTGTTTTGGAGTTCTATGTAGTTTAGTGTTGTATAGACAGGCGGCATCTGGATCTTGTTACTCTCAAGCTAGCCAACACCTTGAACTTCTGGAACATTTTTAAAGAAGTTAGATCCATTAGGCGTCCTATGTTGATATTTGGATAATCAGATCAGGATAGTAGGGAATATAAGATCAGCTATTTTGCCTATCATGGTAGTTCACATTGATTATTATGTTGTAAAATGTTGACAATGCTTTGAAGTTGTCCTGTATTGTTATGGTGGCTCTGAAATGACAGACATTAATAGCATTCCTGGAAGCTGAAGATGAGAAAATGTGCCCTGTTTTGAAACTTGCATAGAGAGGAAATGAGATGAAGAGTCAATGTGCAATCATATTTTAAAATGTGGGTACTGGGGATTTTCTGACAGGGTTAATACTATACAATGAAGTACCATCATGTTTCAGTGTAACAGGAAAACAACTGGGTTATTTCCACATCACTTTTTGTTCCTTCTACACTTATACCTCAAAATATAATTTATAATCATTTTAAATGAAGTACATGCTGCTTATATTTATTTGGTAAGCCTGGGTGGAATTCATAAAATCCACTCTTTGTAGCCTTGGCTTGGAGTTATAATCCAATTTGAAATTCATAGCTATTTAAAATGATGCTGATATGTCAATAATACTTATGTTTGATGAAAATAGAGTCTACGGTAGGTAAAAATCGTATTCTGGTGATAACATATCTTAAATTTTTCTCTAAATTGAGGTAGGTTTTCTTCCTGCCAATCCACAAGGGCTATTTACTATCATTAGTTTTTTGGGGAAAATCTTCATGGGATTTTAAAGGATTGAAATGTTTATTACTACATTATTTCAGAAAATGCACACATGCTGAACTCTCTTTTTCTACTTGTGTAATGATAAATACCTTTGCTATTTTTTAATGATAAAACAAAATGAAAATGAGATTTAAGAAATAAATGCAGATGTTTCCATTCCCTGGAATACATAGTAAAGTTTTAGAAGAACTTGCGACACTTCCCTGCCTTCTCTGCTCCTATTATTTTCCATTGCATTGGAATGAATCTCTCAACTTTGTTTCTTTAAAAGTAAATGTTTATGCTCCTTCAAATAATTTTTCAAATCCTTAAAATGTTATATATTAGAAAAATATACATGTAAGTTAAGATGAAAACCCAGTGGCTGACTCATATCTATAATGTGTAACAATGTTGTCATCCTGTGCTCCCTCTTTCACACCTCACGTCTTTAAAAAGTTGTCATTTGTCAATTTTCTTTTTGATGAATTTTTCTTTTTTTTTTTTTTTTTTTTTACCAAAAGAAGCAATTTCAAGGAGGAACATTACTTCGCTTAAGGAATAATGAAGAAATCTTAGTGATATGTTGTAATATTTAAATAAGAAACAACCGGATGAAAAAATAGTTTATCAAGGCAAATTTGCTGTTTGGAAGGGACACCCAGAATAATCAGCAAGTTTTAGAGAAAAAGGGCTCAAAAAATAGTTCATTAGCTTAATGACAAAATACAAAATGTTTGATTAGTTGTAATCCAACATTTTTTAAGTATTTTATCACCCTTTCCAAAAAAAAAACAACCTGTTGCTGTTGACTTATGAGATCCCAGCTGAATTTCATTCTGAATTTTTGAGGTACTTGCCGGGGTGGGGTGGGGGTGGGGGTGGTGGTGGGGAGTAGGTGGGGGTGGATGGGGGGTTCTTGAAAAAAAATTAGTCAAGCTAGGTAAGCTAAAAAGAAGAAAACCTGGTTACAGCCCGGTGAATTGATTTTTTTCCAGCCGAGAAATAGATATTTCTCTCACATATATTTGGAAAACTTTAGTCATCTTCATAAAACTTAAAAAGTTACCTAAGCACACACAGCAAGTTTCTCCTTTCTTCCTTTTCCACACCCTTACCAGTTCACTATGTTTCTACCAATCCAGTGCCCAGTTGCCAATGATGTTGCTCTCACATGAATTTACTGCATTCCCTTCTGGTTCCCCAGAAGGTCTTGAAGAAAGAGGTTCAGACTAGTGGACCCAAACAGAATTTCTTGGCTGGTGATACTCAGATTGTGTTCAGAGCCTGGTATGAAGAAGGGGCCAGGTGTAAGAAGTAGTTAATCAACTGCACGTTGATTTCAGGCTGAATATTCAACCATCTGCAGCCACCCGTCTCTAAAAGTCTAGCTGAAGCACAATTGATTGTGCCATAGAATGAGCAAACGCTTGAAAACACAAGTAGGTGAAGGAAGAGAGGCTTCCACGGAGCAAAGGATATTCTTAAAGATGTGAATGTACAGATCCTTCAAAAGCAAAACAAAACAACCCTGTAACACCCTCCTTACACATGAAAATGTAGAAAATCTTGCAGAGGGAGGGAATGAGTTTAGAATTTCCTTAGTACTTCCTGCCTCAGATTTGCATTGATATCCAGTTGGTAACTTGCCAGTTGTTTTAAAACAGCCTTGAAAACTCCAAAGTTCTGTTTTCCTTTGAAAGCCTGAAACATACAAAACTAGTTTTCTAAAATCTTCCAGCGATAGAATTTTTAGGTACAACTCCAAATATTTTCTTTCGCTTCGGGGGGTAATATAATAGCATGAAACTATGATAGCATGAAACTATGATAAATCCTGTTTGTCTCACTTTAGACTGTATAGAATTTTTAATTGGTTTCAAATAAGAGGAAAATAGAAGGAAGGGGCCATCCTTGTTTCTTAGTTTTGTTTTTTTTTCTTAACTCCCCCAAGCCTTCATTATCAGTGGGATTGAACACAATCCCAGTGCATGTTTTGCTATTTTTTTTCCATGATATAGACATTGTTTTTGCAACACTGAGTTTGGTGCCTACTTAAAAGGAGTAGAAACGTAAAAAGTTCATGGTATTTTCTTTTCTCCAGAATGGATTCAAACTTAAGGAAAATATCATGTATATTTAACAGCATCTTTCTAAAGCATTTTCCTTTCACTTTCTTTCAATTTGGAAAAAAAATAGCACAAAATTATAGCACAAAATTATTTCCATGAAGTAATAAAATGTATCTGAGGGCTGGGGGTAGGGATAATTTGCAGGGAGGGACACAATATAGAAGGGAGGATGCAAGTTCATTCTAGGTCTTTCTGGCTTCAGGAATTCTGGAAAGCTTCATTTTTGCACTAGTATGATTTTACACAACCTTTTTGACATTATCAGTCTTTTGGCAGAGAGAGTTCAGTCACAATTATGCCCATGTCAAATTCTAAAATCAAACCAAAACAACAAAAAAAGTATTTTCTTTTAAAATAAAACTTTTTTAATGTCAAACATTTTATTCAGAGTAAATGGTTGATGTTTATTCAAAATTGGCTTCAAGTACTACATTGAAATTGTTTTGTAACAGTCTCATAAGCCACAGCTGTATGTGATTAAATAGTGTAATATCAAAAGCATGTGAGAATAGACGTTTTTATGCTATAGCTATTGCACAGCAAGAGTGCAGATGGAACTGAAGGGAGACCAAAAGCGAAAATGTATTCATGTGGTGTAATACGTGTGTTGAGGATATGTGTTGCTATTTTTTGCAGTAGTGGGAAAATGTTGAACTATTTTGGATGTGCTTAGAAAATATCCTCTCGGAAAACGGAAACAGACATATAATACCATTTTTAAAATGTGGAGTGGATCATGCCATTTAATTAGAAAACACATAGGTGCTGAATAGATCTGAAACCAATTCAAGTGGAAGAATGAAAATTATTCCCATTGAGTACACATTCAAAAAGCAAAAGTGACTTTCTCATTTCTGTTTTGAAATTATAAATTTTTTTTTACTACTTTAATTTATGGAACTATTGTAAGAAAACCTTCATCCCATTGATACCTAAAGAAAAGTATTAGGCAATAAGAATCAGCAACTTACAGATGGCAAAATAGGTGGCAGTATATTGCTTTTTAAAGATATTTGGAAATATGATGCTCTTCAGTGTTGTATAAATATTGCTCTTTTCTTACCAGTGTTAAAAATTACAAAGATACACAAGGACATACAACTTTTGCTTCCATTTCTGTAACAGAGATGTTATCGTAAAGAGGTGTCTAGTTTTAATGAGGTGATTTAATACAGTGTTTTTGAAATAATATTTGTTAATAAAAATTAATAACCTCTAGCTTCCTAGAGATAATAAATCTATAGGATTAATCATACTAATCATCACTACCATTCATATGTGATTGTTTTCAGGGCCTTGAGAAAGCTTATAGAATTGGCTATTTTTAGATTTCAGATTTTAGACAGAAGTAATTTTAAAAAGAAAAAGAGAGTGGCAGACTGAGATGAGTTAAATTTTGCTTGGTTTTGTTTTTATTTTTTTTTATTTTAAGTTGATATTGGCAGATAATCTGGTCTTATTAAAAATGTTTTGTTTTATCCATGTAGGTTTATTACTCAGGGAGTATGTATTATGTGGAATCACGAATAAAATTTTAATAATTCAAAACCAATTCCTAATAAATATCAAATTTCAAAAGTAAGGATAATAAAAGAAAGATAATAGATCCTATCATTTTGTGGGGGAATTCTCTGATTTGTATGTCAATGCATTGGTTTCTAGGTTGGGTTCCTTCACTAGGATCCCTTCCATTGTGAGATAGCTGAGCCTGCTTTAGTATCTTAGTGGTATCTTCAGGTGACCTCGGTTTTGTGTCATTCATGAGTTTTTCTTTTGTTCCCAGATGCTTTCCACAGGGCAGATCAAATGCTGCTTTACTGGCTCTCTGGTGATTTGAAAAATTTAACTGTCTTCATCCTTTCACACATCTAAATCCAGTGCACTGAGAGAAACACGTCCATCACTTGGGAGTGGGTGGATAGAAGTTCCCAGGAGTGGAACAAAATGACAGCCATTCTTTAATCATGACCTTTTCCAGCTTTATTGTGGTGGTTACAATTTTTCTTCTGAGTGGGTAAAATTAAGGTGTATCCAAAAACTTAATTGTGATAGTATGATGCTTTACTTTTCCTCATTTAACTTCCTCTCTACAGGTGGTGCAGAGCTAAATGGTTATGCATGTTTGGCTAAACCAGTTGAGTTAATGAAGGAGACTAGAATTGCCACATTAAAATACTGACAACTTTAGTTTCATGAATGATTATAAGGAGTCAGTGTAACTATAACAATTAATGAAATATTATTTCGACTGAATCCAAAACCTACAAATCCGCAAAACCTACAATCTCTGAATCTCAGAATAGTAGCCTAGAAAACGTGGGAACTGAATACTGTGGTTACCTCAGCTATACTGTAGTATTGTAGGAGGGAAATAACTCCCCAAGGGCATATAAACAAGAACATTATCTTTTCTACTTTTTCTTTTGAGATTCCCTTCTTGTTTTTCAAAAAGCCCCTGTTAGCTGAATTAATGAAAGCAAATGACATATGCTATTTTAAATTATTATTTAAGCTTTGAAAAATCATACATTATTTTCATATAACTTAGTCCATAAGTTCCTATTATGCTTGCTTCTCTGAGTATATTTGGAGTATAAAACAAGGAAGATAATCCTTTGGGAAAGTTGGTTTCTGTTCATATCAGTCTGTGTGTTCATTTATTCATTTGTGAAATGGGTGAAATAACCCTGACCTCAACAATATATTATAGTGGCCTCTGCTATGGAAGGTATGAAGTTACTGAACTGTTAAGAGAAGGGTGGTCCATACATAAGTAGCAATGTTATCATTTCTGAAGCCCAACTGCATATTTTTATTTACTTTATTACAGACTCAGCTCTGAGGTGGGTAGCCTGTCTTTAACACAGAAAAGAGTTTAGGAACTCCTCAAATGTGTAAAGGCCATTTCTATTTGCTGAAGCATAGCTCTTCACCACTTAATCATTGAAAATTATGTTGTAGAATATTTAGTGATGGGGGAATGTTTATAATACATCAAATGGTTAAAACAGTTAACTATGTTCCTAATATTATAAAAGCATAAAGAATCCAAATATAGACATATAAAAAGGCTTAAAGAAAATATATCAAATTCTCAAGGAAAATAAAAAGTAAATGGAACCCGGAATTTTGTTTCATGAATGATAAATACAAAAGTGAGACTCGACTACATGCCTTATTAGTCAAGGGAACCCTAATAGTGCCCTTTCCTGTTGTGTGGAAAGTAAGGTATAATAGGAGAAAAGTAAATCTAACAATATTTTAAGTTTTAGGAGCTGACATTTAAATTTGTTTTAGACTTAACTTTCCTATCATTATATTGTGAGGTTAAGAAATTGGCATATATTACATTCAATATGCTAGATGCAAATGATCTTCTGGTCATCCCACTCTTAGCTGATAATTTTCAAGCTGAATATAGATCATGCATAGAATTTAATATGGATTTTTTTAGAGACAGCTTATTGTTTTTTAATCCTGTGTACTACTACTTAGTCATTTTCCCTGACTGATGACAATTTAATGAAAAGTGAAATAAAAAACAATACTAACTATCTGGTTTTCTGGAACTGGTTAAAATATATTGAAAGTTTTTCTTATGTATGTGAGTCATATTTGAGGCTATTGTCGATGTCTGTAAATTCTCATGTTGCTTCTTTTAACACTTGTCAATCATATAAATGGTATTCTGACACCCAATATATAACTTAAAATTAAATAACTTAGAATTCAAGCAAATATATTTTTTAACTAGTTTTGAGTAGGTGAAGTATTTGAAGTATTTAAGAGACTTGGAATGATTTTGGTGACATTATTTGCTAATAATTAATCTCATCTCCATCTTTATGTAAAATTTCAGATTGTTTTCCGGGATACTCAACAGATAAATATGTGACAGACCTATGGCCTTTAATTTCTTCTTGAAAGATGAGAAAACAACATTTCATTTTCTTTGACTTGGTGGGAACTACCCTTGGAGGGTGGTGACAGTTCATGGATTAACCCTGGTATCCTGTCCATTACCAATGTACACCAATTCTGACTGCATCTTTAGAAATAAGAATATTGCATTTTTAGTCTAAGGTAGGTAGGGAATCCTGGAAAGGATAAAATTCTGATGTCCTTTTCTCAATGTATTTCAAAAAAATTAACCACTGCTTTTAAACTTTATTATTTACCTGTTTAGGACAATTTGGCTTCATGTTAGCAATGGAAGTTTCTCTTTCTGACTCGTGTTTAACTTTGTTGTTGAGCTGGAAAAACACAAGAAAAGGCCAGTGGGAATAGATGAAAGAACATGCAGGAATTTCTCTTCAAGTTTTGCTATTTCCTGTAACAATAGACGCTTTTTGAGGCCTCCATTCCACATCCAAAGACACATATTAAAGTGCACTAACATTCAACACCAAATTTAATTATTTCACAATAATATGTTGAAAAAGCTTTTATAATTTTGCTCCTGAAACTCTGTGTCCAAGTAAATTTAACTGATATGTATCTGTGAATTTGGAGACATCTTGCATACATGAATATTCTTGCGAAGTGAAAAAAACCTAATCTACAAATCTTTTTCAGGTACAAAGAGATTATTAGAAGACTAAGTGGAACAATGAATAAAGTTGACAATGTATTATGTTTTTTAGATATGCATATAAATGTTAATTGATTTGGGTTTTGCAGTTTTTCTTTTCAGAGTTTGGAGTTAATGCATTTGTTTCCTTGCACCAGTGTTTTTGTAGGTCTTTAAGATGGTCAGAGCATCTAAAAAGCTGGCCATATCTTTCACTATTGTGGCCTTTTGGCACTCAAAATATCTCTGTATTTTAGTAATCCCAAATTTCCGGGGAGGGACATGTGGTAGAACAGCACAGTGTATTGGAAAATGTCATTAACATTCTTTGGCTAAAATATTTCAAAAGCAGACACATTGGATTGACCTTTGGCACTGAGAGCAACTGGGAGTTCCAGATCTGGGTGCCAGGTTCACAGAATTTTTTATTGCGTAATTGGTGAAATTGTTTACTAGAGACAGAGCTTAAATGTAACAGGTGTTTCCCTAGGGCACCCTCTTAGGGGAGTAGGCAAGAGGCAAATCAATGGCACAATACTTATTCTATGGCATAATTTTTCTCAATTCTTCTGTCTCAAAATAGGGTCATAGGTTTTTTATATGTATTAAAACTGACATTTCTTCCTTTTCCCCAGTTCCCACGGTTATTTACCTAGGATAATAACATCTCTTGGTGTCTAGAAGTCTCTCTCAGCCCTAGAGAATCTACGTGCCTTTTAAAGAACACATGTCTCTACAGGTATGCACACTGCAGCTAGACCCACTATCACTCTCACAAGTGGTTGGGCAACCTGAAGATACTGCTACTCCAGCCATAAGCCAAGTGTGATGGTTTCCTTCATTTTCATTCTTATCCCAGTGTTACAGGAAAATCAAGATCCCAAGCCTAGACATAGCCATCTTCTCCAATCTTATTCAGGAAATAATTTTTTCTCTCTGTAGCCCCATATATATCCTCAGACCTGAAAATTCACACCATCCCCCAATGCTGGAGGGCGAATTCTCTCATAATCACCCTATGTTTTGATTCTCTATCTAATTACTCAATTTTTCTTCCCAGCCCTCTAGACAGATCTCACTGAATTTCATCAGCAGATGCAATGAATCAGCTTTGATTGTCTCTCTTACACATAAAACAACAACACACACGCACACATACATTCCTGAAAACCTTAACGATTATTTTAATGGTTCAGATTTTCTCTGAGGCTTTACAACCACAGAGAAATATGGAGGTGCAAAGTGGTCCTAAGAAGACACATTCCTGTTCTTTCCAGTTATAATTTATTTAATTTTATTTTACTTTGCTGCTAGTTGGTAGCACAAAGGGGTGAGTCTTACCAAAATAGAAATAACTACTATTTTTTTACTTTCTTTCACAAATATTGTGGTACCTTCTCATGATCTGAGATACATTGACAGTATATTACGCAAGTTAGCTATCTACTCTCTTTTTTATGTCATTCTTGATAGCATCTTTTGGAAATCTTATTGATTAATTCTAATTCATCCCAAATAATTTCATAATAGTCGTTTAAACTGTGAAGAGTCTGATGAACCTCAAAGCTTTTAGTGATGAGGCTGTCAATAGCAGCCTAGTAAAAAAAGAAAAAAAGATGACAGTTCTACAACCTCAACCGGTTATTTATAAGAAACAGGAAGAAAGATAAAATAAAGAGAAGAAAGAGAAAATGAACTAAAGAGAAAGATTAAGGGTATCAGGGCTCAATGTACTTTTGAACATTTCTGGAATTTGACAACTTGTTTTCCTTTCCAAAGGCAATAGATAAGAGCTGTTTAGCAAGGAAAAGGTCATTTACAAACAGAAGAAACATGTTTGGGGAAAATACGTCAATGTAAATTCATAATTTGATGTGGAGGGGTCCTGTAGTTGAGACTTTTGGTCTCTTAGGAAGAAAATTAATGGTTATGTAGACAATTAGTGCTTTATTTTGTTTTTGCACTTGTTGCAGCATTCAGTAATAGCCAGCATTTGCTTTTGTTGTTTTGACTTACTCATCACTAGTTCTCAAGGGAGAACCTGTATAAAAGCCTTCTTGATGCTTTTGATTGGAAAGAGGGATGTTTTTCAGAAAGAGTCATTGGAATCAAGTTTTAAAGTGTATTTTTGATTTTCTGTATCTAACATATTCATATACGATCTGTATGTGCTCACAAATATAACCAGGAGCAATGTTGTTGTTGTTCTGTGTGGAAAGAATCTCATTCTGAGAAGGAAAAAGCAACATTAGTTGTGAACCCAGCAAAGCCGTATTGCCATGAGAACCACACAGTACCAACTGCTTATTAAACAAGAGTGAAGTTTGAGGCCACTAATGTGCCTGAGGACCCAAGGAGCAGGTCAGTTGAGGGTATGGGTGCAGTCATGCTTACTTACTCTGGGCTAACATAAGCCTTTGTTAGAGGGGAGGAGCCTGGTAAAAAGAGTGTCTAGATTTCAACATGGCCCATAAAAGGCTAGCTGCTATTGTTATTATTCGTGGTCCATCTTTTCTGCCAAATTCATTGTATGCATTTCTCCATCCTTGTTTTATTTAGGATGGCTGTCTGATGCAACCTTGCTTTAACATTGTGTCTTCTCCATCTCCCTGTCTTTCCCAGATTGTCCTTCCTAGGGCTAATATTTTTTTTTTCTTTGTTGTAGCTTCTACTCCTGTAGCCCTTTCTTGCTCGCCCTTTCTTCTTCTATTCTCAAGTTTTCTGCTATGGATTTGCCTTCTTTGTCTCTCTGCCCTCTGATCCTTAAATTCTGCTTCCTTCTTTTTGTTCTCTCAGCTTTCAGTCTTTTCTTTTTTTTTTTAATTATTGCTTTTTATATGTTTCTCTCTTTTTTTTACAAGGTACAGTGGGATTGGGTTTTAATTTATCTTTTTTTGCTTAGTTGTAAATTTATTTTTGGCTTTTCAAACATAACTGTACTCTTCCAGATCATATTTGTGTCAGAGTTAGTCTGTAAACAGTCTGAGAACTGGGACCACAGTTTTGATCTCTGAATGCCCTGCAATGTATAGTATGGTGTATGATGCAGATTAAGGTCATAAGAAAAGGTTTTCAGAAGGTATTAGTCTATCTTGTTTTGTGTGTCTTGTACATTGGTCCATTGCTGAAGGCAGTGCTTTTTTGAACCAGAGTTGCTTAATGTCATCTTCACCTCTGTGATGCTTTATGTCAAAAGACATCTTTTTTACATGTCCACATGGATACAATCTCTTGGGGTCCTATCTTTTTCACATTAAGCACATGGGTCACTTGGCTAGTACCCTGAGGCTGTTGGCTTGAGTTGGGTTACATTCCTAACTAATGGGAAAAACCATAAAACACAAGATGAGTTAAGTCAGAAACTAATAGAAAAAAAGAAAAAAAAAACATAGTACTGCATTATAAGTTGCTGGCAAGAAAGTCAATACACGTGCCAACTCAGTGAGGGGCAGAAGTGGATTTCAAAGACAAACTAAGTAGCTAGGATTTGGAACTGGGGGATGAAAGTAAGCAAATATGTCAGGATTAAATGGTAGTGGTGGTGGTCTGGAGAAGACTGGAGAGGCAATTCCTCAGCAATTGCCAAGAATATCAGCCCTTATATGTGGCTTCCTTTTATGGGTTGGCAGAAAGTTGGACATATCAGGAAACTAACTTAGCTTGAAGAACTAGGAGATGGTCTGAGTTTTCGGTCCATCTTTTTGTCAATTTTGTTTATTCAAAATCCAGGGTCTTGACTACAATAGTTCTTATAATAATATTGAACTGTTAACCAATTTTGGACTATAGTCCAGGAGTAACCAGCCATGCCATATACCTATCCAAAGCAATACCCAGATGGGTTTTTTAACTCAGAATTTTGAAAAGACTTCAAGTATCAGGTAAAAATGACAAAATACCCATTTTAGAAAGAAAACAAAACACAATTTCCCTGTACAATTACCTACGTGGGTATAAAGACATATCTAAACTAATGCAAGATAACGTTAGATGAAATTCTGATGTAAACTTCAAAGCTTTTCTCACTAAGGAATATCTGAAAACAATAACCCTGTTGTGGCTAAGAGTACAAACTGTGATTTTGGTTTGGACTTCTCTTGGTTTTTCCAAGTTGTGCTGAATCTCCTATGTTTGTTCTGCAGTGTTCTCCTCTGTCATACTTTTTTTTATTGCATTGAGGTCCTTATTCCCAATTGCAGAAAATTATATATATATATATATATATACATATATATCTATATATATACATATATATATACACACACATATATATATACATATATATATACACACACATATATATATATACACATATATATATGTTTCATGAAATTTTAGGGAATTTTTTAATTTCAAAGTAATGCATATTTTGCATATCTAGGGAAATAATTCAAGATACAGCGGGAAAATGTTAATAATCTCCCTCAATACACTACACAGGTCTTCAAGAGCTCTCTGAAATAACTAATATTAATAGTAAGGTGTGTGTCTTTTACAGAATTCTATATGCTCTTGCAAATAGCAATCTGACATATGTTATATGAGATCAAATTGAACAGGTTAACTACTTTTTCAATGACAAATGTAATTTAGATATTCTTACCAAGTTTTTAGATATTTCTGGTTTTTTATTGTCATATTAATTGTTCCTACTTTATTTGTACCACGTTTTATGCAAGTGTTGCCCATAGGTGGACATGCATTTTATTGCCATCATTTTGCCAATATGAATAATTCTAAAATATATATTCAGGGTACTTATATAAATACTAAAAATTAAATCTTTCATCTTCTAATTAAGTTTGCTTCCTTTAAAACACTGAAAATTGCCATGATGAGTTTCGTATTACACAAGGATTAACATCTCTCTTTGGCCCAAAAATTCTGTGCCCTGCAAGGTTGTCCTGCCCCTCTGTGTTTTGATGACAGGATTGTACTCTTCCTTTGGTAAGAAGATGGACTTCCTGATGGAAGTACAAGCTGAAAGGGAACCCTCACATTTGGCAGAAACAGGAATATCTTCCTTCCTTTGTGACACTATCACAGATCCCAACAAGCGCTTGGGGTCAGCAATTCTAGGATCTCATTACTTGGGGGCTGCTCTTTTGTGAAAGGTCAGCTTCCTTTGTCTGCCACCTTATATACAAAGTAAAAAGGGCAGCAGCAGTCAAGGACAATGTTAAGCAGCCCAACTCTTCCTAATAAATTTCAAAGCCCACTGAAATATTTTTGTGCTAGAACACATATTTTTTTCCAAAGGCTTTGGAAATCAGAATTTTTATTTTTACATTATTATCTTGGGAATGTGTACAACTGTATTTCTTAACAACCCTCATCTGTTGAACTTGTTTGGCGCTGCTTAATCAGTGTCAAGTAATGTCATGGTTTATCAATTGAGCTGGAAAAAGTGACTCTGTAAATCTAATGGACCTAGGTTAAATCTATTGTTATTTCCTTTTTCTAGCCTGTACTTGATATGTTTCTCACTTTGAATTCAAATGTTAAGATCAGAGCATGACAATAAAAAGAATAATACAAAAGTTAACCTATTTAATATGTGATGCTGGGATGACACAGAACTATTTGCTACCTAAAATATGTCTAGAAGATGGGAGATCATAAAGTCTCAACAGTTTCTTCTCCTAGAAGAAAAGTTAGACCAAGAATGTGTATTTCTGATAGTAGTTAATCCTCTTTACATAGTCATATTTCACAGAACTTAATCACATCTTTCCAAGTTTGATGGCCAAATCTCACATGCTTTGGAAACTCAGGGAGTTTTTCCTTCCCAAGGACCTGAAAAGATGACCTTTTTTTTTTTAAACACTTTAGTCAAATTAGCATTTTTTTTTAACTGCTGGAAGACTCACCATTTTTTAACCCACACTTAAAAATCATTAATATATATTATACTTAATATACATTTAGTGAGAGCAGAAACATTTTAACAAAGTCTGGAAAAGGAATTTAGTAATCAGAAACGAAAACAGTGTGGTTAGGTGAAAGGACTCTGAGTGTGCTAGTAGAGTAATAGTTGTGGGAGGTCCAATTTTTGATTCTACAACTTGCTTTAATACGATTTCCCCAGAGTTTCTTTACTTTTTAATATTTCAGCTTCTTGTCACTTCTTCCCATTACAAGAATATTTAGTTATTTGGTAAAAATGTCTTGAGGATCAATATTAGACTAATAGTAATGTGTTTCAGTGTTCGGTGAAGAATGCCAATATATTAACATATTATGAAGGTGATAAAATATAAATAAGAACCATTAACTCAAAGAGATTGTTATTAGTGATAATGGTAAGGAGAGGGCAATTGAAAAGCTTGGAATTGACTTGATACGTGAATATAATGGAGCACAAATCCTTAAGATGGCTCCGATCAATGCTATTCATTGAAACATTTCTTTGCACTTCCATTATGCTTCTCCACATCCATCTCTGCAATCAGCTGGATTGAAATCATATAGAGATTTGCTCTCAGTATTTCTTATACTTCTTACATGAATTTTCTTTATTGTTATTTTGTTTTGGAAAGGAGTGCAAGTCTGTCTCAGCACTCTATTCAAAACTCACCATATAGTCTGAGATGAATATATTGGAAAGTTGTCTGGTTCTTACATTGCTATATTTCACAATACTTGTACTTTCCTCATTTAAGGTTCCAGGATACCTTTTGTCCCCTAGAGTAAATAAATTAGAGGGGAGAAAAGGTGTCATTTTCTTGCAGCCAGCTTACAGAGTGCCAGCCCTTGCCTCCCTAGAGTGAAATCTCATGTTTAAAAATGCTGTGAGTGAGGCCAGCACTGGCTTTGGGTGTGGTATTGGGTTTTAACTAGATAATTCTTCAGACTATTCACTGGGAAATGAAGGAATGGAGTTTTGTTTTAGTTTTTTTCAGCTTAGCATTGAGCTTTCAAATATCTTCAAACTTGCTCACATTTAGCATTGCTAAACTTTAATTTTACCCTTTTGTTAATCTTCCTCCAATTACCATGATTGCCTTTACCAAGCTCTTCATGCTCAAAACCCAAGGGCAATCTCAAAGGTCTTCAAGCTATGTGATCCCCACCCCCTGCATGTGGTAGGTGTTTAATAAGTGTCAATTGACTGAATGATTGGTCTACATGAAAGTGGCTGTTCCACATCCTGTACTCGAATAATACTCACTGAGCAATATATTTTGGGCACTTAACCATTTTTGCCTTCCTTTTGGTATATCCTATTAGCTCTCAGAATGGAGAATCCTCCACTTCATCTTTCTTCTGCCCTCAGATCTTACAACAGTGCTAGTCAGTATCTATTGAATAAAGAGTGTATGGTTTAATTCCCTACCCTAGATGTCCTTTAATTGATTTTATAATCTTCAGGAAACTTAATAAAACCTCTTTGATACTTACCTTTGCTTCCCTTATAGTTTGCTTTCTTCCTTTTTAATAATTCAAAATAATGTTTCACTTTCAATTATAAAGATACTAAAGCTAAGACAAAAATATTAAGGTAAAATTCTCCTCAAGGTGTTTGGCATTTTTTTTTTCCGGGAAATATTTGGTTTCTTTTTGCTTACTCACATGTTTACTCTCAATATAAGACGTTTATCTCAATACATCTACCTTCTCCCACCCTTTTATGTACGTTTGGTCTCATGACGTTTTGTGAAAAAGGGAAATAAGATTTTTCAGTGTTTGTGCAATGTTCAATTTTAAGATCTTCTAGTCCAGTACTGTATCTACTCATTATGTATCCTATAGTTACTAATATTTGAGTTTGGTACTTGGAATATTAGAATGTGAAATAAAATGCTGTATCAATCAATACATGTTTCTGGAGCTCTCCCTATTGCCACCACTGCTTGGGGGTGGTTTGGACAAGACAGGAGTTATAACACGATTCTTGCCCCTCAGAAGTTGATAATTTATTTGAGAAAACAGGGAGGACTCATGAACAAAGGAGGGTAATCAAATGCTAAGTCATGCGACATTGACTTAAATTGAGGAGAAAGGGCAAGGACTGTTGGAGCAAGTAGACCCTTAAAGGGAGAAGACAGTCTTGGGCCAGGTTTGAGGTGGGCATATAGTTGGGCATTTGGTATATTGCTTAAGTAACAGCAGGAAGGGAAAGTATTCTTGCTAGAATAAAAGTAGAAACATAATACAGGCACGAGATTGGAATTGAGAAGGGACAATATAATGACAAAACAGACTTAGATGAAACAATGCATCAGAGAGGCACAAGGTTAGAAAGAGCACAGCAATGACAGAAAGGCTTTAAGAGGGCAGATGAGAAAAAGTTAATAGTGGTTTAATTTTGGGGTAGGGAGTGGTTTTGTAAGTTTCATTTTTAAGGCATAACCATGAATGAAAACAATGATAGATTTTTAATTCTTTATTGTTTTAATAAAATGCCTACATTTTGACTAAAATAATATGATTGGCCCTCCACATCTGTGGGCTCCACCAAGCGTGATTTCTACCAACTGCGGGTTCCATCAAGTGGGGGTAGAAATTATTTGAAAAAAAATTAAAAATAACAAAGCAATAGTAAAAATAATACAAATAAAAATATAGTATAGCAACTATTTATATAGCATTTACACTGTTTTAGGTATTATAAGTAACCTAGAGATAATTTAAATTATATGGGAGGATATGCATAAGTTATATACAAACACTACACCATGATATATAAGGAATCAAAGCATCTGCAAATTTTAGTATGGGGGTGGGGGTTCCTGGAATCAATCCCCCACAGATAATGAGGGACAACTGTACTTACAAATCTTCATATAGCAGAAAACCTACTACAATGAAACATAAAAAGCTAACAAATAGTCTTATAAAAGAAGGCCTGCAGTATATATGACAAAAGTTTAATATCCTAGATATAAAATTTGCTTGTACGACTCAATAGGAAAAAAAGGGAGAAAATATTCTAATAATAAAAGACACAAAAAAGCATAAATGAAGAAACAGAAATAGCTACCAAGCACTCAAAAATATATGTCACTAATAATCAAAGAAATAATAACCACGAGGGAGATACTATTTTTGCCTACTTGGTTTTTAAAGAGTTAAACATTTCCTAACAACCAGAGTAGACGGAGATGTTGGAAGACAGTCACTTTCACTCATTGTTCATCCTTAGGGGAATATTACTGAATAGGTGAATTTTGGATCTTTATTTGAGAGATAATGTATCAAAAGCTTTAAAAACATACATGCCCGGTTATATAGCAAAACCAATTCTAGAAATTTTTGAAAAGAGATTAAAGTGTATATCTACAAAGATGCTTATTGTCGCACTGCTTTTAACAGAGAAGATTATAAGCAATCTAACTGTCCATCAATAAAGGAATAGATTAAATGAATGACGTTTTATCTTTACAAAGAACTACTATGCAGCCATGAAATCAATGAATATGGATATAATGACTGAGGAAAATACCATACTGTTAGAATTTAAAATGTGACAAAGCAGTTTTATAATATGATTCCAAATCTTTCTTTGAAATCTGTGTATGTGTGTACACATTTATGTTTGTATCTGTATTTATTTGTTCCTATAAAAAATATAGGAAAAGTTTTGCGTGAGTTTTGGAGTTGCAGGCATTGTTAAATGCTTTTGAATATGCATTGATTATCACTGCAAAAATTAATATTGAAAATTAAGTTGTTTCCAAAAAATGATAAGAAATTAAGAGGAAACCAAGCAAAGAAGTAAGGATTTTGATGCAATTCGTAGAAGGAAGCCATTGCAAGTTGGTTAGTAGAGAGAGAAGTAACATATATAGAAAGTGCTTTGATTGATTGCTAGTATTTTACAAAAGGCAATGAAACAGAAAGTTAACATTTAGGAAATCAAGGTAACCCTGAGTAAGTATAGATAGGGAAGCACAAAACATGTGGGACCAGAGAAAGGCCAAAAGGTGGTAGATGATATGAAGATTGGAAAAATGGAGTCTGTGATGACTCTAAAAATAAAGACATTAATCCAGGTTTAAATATATTAATTATGTAACAATGAGGTATCCAGATGAAGATGTGCTCTAGACAAACAGAAAACTGAAGCATGATCTAAATCCAATGCTAAAAAAGAGACTTAAGTTTTGTCACCATGGAGGCGACATTTGAAGTTAATAAGTATGAATGAGATTACCAAAAGTGAGGATATCAAGCTACAATTATAGAGAGTGATAATTTATCAGAAAAGTCTAACAAGAGAGCTTTATTCTTCTTCTATTCTATCTGTGCTATGCTCTACTTATGGTTTCAGATTGTCTTCAACATCATGAGGATTGTATTAAGGAAATAATTCGTAACTAACAAGAATATTTGAGTGACAAGTCTCAGAAAGTTTAGGAAACTTGTTTAGCAGAAATTTAACCCCTCTTAACGTCTAAAATGTTATTTTCCAGGTTTTAGTTTGACGCTTATGTGCAGTTGGCCCCTGACATCCACTTCCTGTTTTGCTCTAATGATCCTTTAGTGTGGGTCTACCCAGTTTTGAGGAGTTTTTGTCAGAAAGAATGAGACAATTGGGCGTATTTTCTTTGTTTGCTTGCTTGAATTACCTTTTTGTTTGTTTCTTTGTGTTTGCTTTTTTGAATGACCGACTGACTGTTTTATCTGGGATTTGTTTCTGAAGTTGTATTTTAGGGCATTTGTTCTCAAACTTTAGCATGCTTAAGAAGCCTCTGAAAGACTTGTTAAAACTGATTTATGTTTCTTTCTTCTGGAAATTCTGACTCAGTAGGTTTGGGATGGGGCCTGAGAACTAGTTTGCATGATCTCCTAAGAGATGCTGATGTTGTGGGTCTGCAAACCAGAGGTGAAATTGCATTGTTGGAAGAAACATGATTTTGAAGCCCAATTTTATTTTCACGTAACGCTTTTTCACACAAAGACATATCCATCTCTATCACCAAGTACAATATTAAATTTTTTTTAAAAAGTTTTTTTGAAGACAGTCTTACTCTGTTGCCCAGGCTGTAGTGCAGTGGTATGGTCATGGCTCACTGCAGCCTTGAGCTTCTGGGTTCAAGTGATCTTCCTGCCTCAACCTCCCGAATAGCTGGGACTACAGGTGCATGCCACCACATTCATCCAATTTTTAAAAATTTTCTGTAGAGATGAATTATCACTATATTGTCCAAGCTGGTCCAGACCTCCTGGGCTCAAGTAACCCTCCCACCTCGGCCTCCCAAAGTGCTGGGATTACAGGCGTGAGCTACAGTGCCTGACCTGTTGAAATTTATCACTGGTGGTACTTTCTGATTATTGTTGTATACAAAATAGCCATTTACCTAGATTTTAATTTGCCCATAATTTAAATAATAAAAATTGTTGTTTATGTTTTACCCTCCCTGGCTCTGGTGACTTCAGACTTTCATCATGTGATTGGAAAGAAAATTTCAGGGAGAACACAGTGGATTGTCCCCACAATCTTGGAAAAAAAATATATATGTATAGTTTGTCTTCTGAGAGTTAAAATGAATTGATTTTATCAATAGATGCTGAAATAATATTTATCCAGGTATATGTAAATATCTAACTTAATCAGTAATTTTAAAATATATCTAAAGGAAGACTACGCCACAGAAGGTACTGACAGTAGGACAGATGTGTATTGCCTTGGCACAGGGAGAAGAAATTTCAATCCCAGAGTCCAAACTCCCTTGCCAATAGAGAGAAGTTCTGTGCTATGTGGCTGGGATGCATTATCACTTGTTAATCTGGTCTGGGGGAGAAAATGCTTCTTGCCTGTCTATTTCTTTATCTCTTAATTACATTTTATCAGCAAACTTCCTATGCTTTTATTTCTACAAAATGTAAATCTGTTGATCATAAAGGGATGTTTTATGTTGTGTATCGACAAATTAGTCTCCTGGGTTATACCTTAGTCTCATATGAATTAAGGTGACTCTGCCTCCAGGATTCTAATGATCTCAGTGTGTGCTAAAAGGTCTATTTCCTAAGGCCTCAGAGCTAGAGAACAACATGACAGCCAAGTGGTGGACCCCTGAACAGCCAACAGCCACACCTCAATGGAGACTCATCTACTTTTCTGAGCACTTTACCTGCTGTTTATTTGTTCATTCACTAGGAAGCAGAGCTATAGAATTTTATAAAACTGAAAGGAGCTTTGAAGTCATCAGGGCCAGCCCTTTCATTGTGAAGTTGAGGTCACAACCTTCCATTGGTGTCTGACTCTTATGAACCTGGTAATTGAAATAATTCAAAGGCTAGGTTCACTGCTCAGAAATATTTCACAGTGTTGTGAGGTGTTTCTCTTTTGTATTATCTTAGTCTGAAGTGTGGTGCTTGGCATCAGGTTCAGGTGCTAATGTAGAGTGAGAATCCATTCAACCTTAACCTCTAGGCCCCTTCCTTACTTTAATTTGAGAGTCACATATCTGCATTATAAAACCTGCCTATTTTGCTTACCTTTTCAAGTGAACTTTCATTGAATTTCCCTTTTTAACTTTTATAGCCTAGGATGGCACTTCTTGATAAAAACTGCAAAGAATAAGTCCTGTTGAGAGGAATACATTATTAAGAACATATCAAGAGAAAAATACATATCAAAGCATCAAATAAGTTAAATGGATTGTGTACTTACCGCAATAACAGACACAAAACATGCTTTCAAATATTCATTAATTAATAAAGGGGAATAGAGAAACTCTTTTCATAGCATATTAGTCCGTTTTCACACTGTTGATACAGAGATAACCGACACTGGGAAGAAAAAGAGGTTTAATTGGACTTACAGTCCCACGTGGCTGGGGAGGCCTCAGAATCATGGTGGGAGGTGAAAGGCACTTCTTACATGGCGGTGGCAAGAGAAAAATGAGGAAGATGCAAAAGCGGAAACCCCTGTTAAAACCATCAGCTCTCATGAGACTTATTCACTACCATGAGAACAGTATGGGGGAAACTGCCCCCATGATTCAAATTATCTCCCACCAGGTCCCTCCCACAACATATGGGAACTGTAGGAGTACAATTCAAGATGAGATTTCAGTGGGGACACAGAGCCAAACCATATCACATAGAGAACTCAGTATTTGTTTGCTTTTGTATATAGTCTGTTATAATAGAAAAAAAGATCATAAAAACATGATTCTAATCATGTGCTGTCATTTTTGGGTTTCAGTCTTTTTCTCTAGGAGATTAGTTACAAGGACTAGGGATAACGTATGCAACTTGCCCAGTGGATGGTACTTTGTACATATTAAAGTAATGGTAATTATATTTATGCTATATATTCTAAGTTAAACTGATATTTGGAATGAGTGGTAAAACTCTGAGCAAAGATAGATTTAAAAGCACTAGGAGACTATATCTGTACTCGCCACTTTTTAATGCTTCCTCTGCCTTCTTTAGATTCTCACAGCTGGATCAATTGATAACACAATCATGCTGACGAAGTCCTGTGCCCATATTGACTGACGTAAGGAAGGCTGTTACAGTTTTAATCTCACCACATAGAAGATCCCAGAAATAAATTACTCGTCCATGTATGGGAATGTTGTAATCTGGTCACAAGTACCAGCAATACCGCAGCACTCTCCACAAGAACACCCCTAGGAAACCATGTTGCCCTTGAGTTTTCATAGAATTGTAGTTCTCTCCTAGTCCTTACTCATTAACTGGTTATTCCACCGGATATTACCACCCACTTTGTGTTATGTGCTGTGTTTCATAGTGGGGTCTGGATCCCCTGCATTGTTCATAGCCATCTTCCTCCTGAATGCAATCTAGTCCCTTGCTGAACCTTTCCTTTTTCACTCCTCAAATTCTCAGATATGGCTCTTCACCAACTTGACTGTGTGTTCTTGATTTCTCTACCATAACAATATATATCCTCAGTGACTGCTTCTTGAAACACCAAGTTTGCTCTTACCAACTATCTTCTCTGCCCCTGCCCAGCTCTATGACCTCTCCTCCTCCTCACTCTTTCATATTCCAGTCACGATGGCCTTCTTTCTGTTGCTCCAATATGCCCAGACCTTTCAAGCCCCAGGACCTTGGCAAGAGCTCTTCCCTCTTCGTCAGTGGCCCCCTCTCCCAGCCCAATCTTAACATAGATGATTCTTGTTTTTCAGACCCCAGCTTAAATGACTTTGCTGACCACCTAGTTTAAAAGAATTCCCCAATCTCCATTGTTTTACCATATTTTAATTTCTTGCAATGCAATTTCCTATTGTTACTGGATATTTTTCTGTTTATTTTCTTACTTGTTTGCTAATTGCCTTCCTATTAAAATGTAAGGTCTACAAGAGCAGATATCTGATCTATTACATTCTTTGTTGTATCCCAAGAGCTGAGAACAATGGCTTGTTCTCAACACAATGGTAGGTGCTCAATACATACTCCTTGAGTGAATAACCAGCTGCCCCTCAGGTTTATGCCTAGACCTGGTTCTGTTCTCCCAGTTCCTACGCCAAATTGTATGCCAGGGTAGTAATCCCTTTGTCTCTGACAACAAAAATGGATCTACCCAACTTAGATACGTTGACCAGCCTCACCCACACACATACTGTAGCCAGGGTGACATTGATAATTGATGGTTATTATGCCCACCACAATTTTGGGATTTTCCTAGTGTTCCAGGAGGCACCTTGAGTTTACCTGAGCATGAAATCAAAATAGCTTGCCTATTGTTGATCCTTGAAGTTGTTTCCAGATTTCCATTTTACCAGAATTGAACTGATGATACTTATGCACATGCTCTTTAAGCAAAGTGATTTTCCAGAGGAAATTGCTTAGGGAAAGTTTGTGCTTTATTTTAAAACTACCTGAAGGAAGTTATCAAAATAGTAAACTGCATAGATTCAGAGTTTGGGTCCCACTGACTCAGCTGTCACAGAATAGTCAGAAGGAAGAATGAACATCAACAGACCAGGGAGCATTCGTTACTTGTTCTAAAAACACATGAAGAAACAATGGCACATGTGTCTTCACACTCCCATGCCCATCTGTTGCTTGACATATCTTTTCTTTTAGACCTTTAGAAAATCTCTGTTCTGAAAATCGCACAGTATGGATATTTGATTTTGCATGTACGGCATCTAGTGTTCCTTGTTTTCATAATTGCATACCAATTTTCATGTTGGAAAACTAATCTCCCATTGGATATGGTTTTGGTTCAATTGCTTATCAAAGGGTAAGGCACCTGGACCCAAGGTGGACTCTTGACTCAATCTAGGAATAGCAGCTGTTCTTTTCCAAGAAGATACATGTGGATTTATCCATGTTATCTTTAGTATTTCAAAGAGACTATTGGCTTCTTCAGCTTAGATCCTCAGACCTTCTCTTGCTCCTTCTCAGAAGCTTGCCTCTTCAGATTTTCCTTTGCTTTAGTTAACCTAGTTGGCTTTTGTTTTATTTTGTTTTGTTTTGACTAATAAGAATCAATTAGTGCCACTTGCAACCATAAAACCTTAATTCACAGAAAGTAAGTAATGTTGGACAATAATAAGATAAAGAAGTGATATTTAGTGTTATGGAGAAATACAGCAGAGCCTCAGATTTTTCCTCCCTTCCTTCTACATTTCTGCCAGAACCAGAACTATGTCATATCCATATACATAAGGAAGAAACACTAATTACTTCCAAAGAATGTAGAGTGTCCCTATAGAAGAGCCTCCCTGCAGAGGCTCCCTTCAGTTGATCAAGCTGAGGCTCTATCTGCTTGACTTTGCTTATGTTCTCCCGTTTGACTGGAGTCTTTCTCAGTTCTTTTTGCCCTGTTTCTACCTTCCATGTTCTCCTCATACACTACCTCCTATAACTAAGTCTTCTGATATTAAAATTAACCTTTTTCCTCTTCTTCACTGAGTCTTATTCATTTTGTGGACCCCATAGCACATAACCAAAAGCCTTGCATCTTGTTTCTATGGCAAAGCCACATTTAAATTTATTCGTTAGATTAATGAAAAAACACACAATTAAAAGAAAACGCACTGTTTTAAAATTATATTCACTGCTTAATTTATTGACCTTGTTTAAAATTGCTGCTAGTTCTATGCCTACTATTTCCATTTCAGTCTTCAAACTCAGGCAGCTTTAATTCTGTCCTCTCAATCATTACTTCCCTCCACTGACCAAATGTTTCCACCTGCATTGGTGTTCTTTCCACAGCTGGTCATAGAGCTCATCAAAGCATTGTACTTTAGCTACAGAAATTGTAAGTTGAGGGTTGGAGGAAGATCCAACTTTCTCCAATGTAAATATTTCTGCATTGCTTATAAGCAATTACATTTGTATGTTAGTCCTATTTTAAGTAGCTCACTTACAGCTGGTACTGAGCAATGAGTAAGCATGTGGTTCTCTATTTATAAAGTAGCCCCTAATCTCTCACCATGATAGGCCAGCTATACATAGTGGTCTGTTTTGAGAGAGGGGTTTTCTAGAGGTCAGGATTATGTGGCTAAAGAGCAGGGAAACCCAGGAAAATGTAAGTGATTCACCACAGTGTGCTATTGGTGTTTCCTTGGGACCATGATGTTGTTCAGTGCAAGGTGAAAGCCTGAGAAGAACAGATGAGAGACGCTGTTTAGAGTGACAGACATGTAGTAAGTGGCTGCCTTTGATTGTAGGATTTCAAGAAAAAATAAAAGAAAAACATGTTATTTATGGGTTCGAATAATATTACAATAATCCAAAGGTAGTTTTATTCTAGCAGTGTGGAAAATAAAAGCCTTTGTAAATTAATTGCTTGTCTATGATATGAGAAAGCACAGAGCAAGCGCTGTTGAACATAAATCAACTTGATTTATAAACAATTTGTTATTCATCTAAGATATTTAATAGTATATATTAAATTCATTTTGTTATATAAAAATTAATGAGTGAATGATTGGTAAATGCATAAATGGGTAAATTACATAAATCAAGAAAATTACCCCTCACACTTTTGCTTTTGAGTTAAATTTATGAAAAATGCACTAGATTCCTCACCACTAAAACTTTCTATATATTGGAAACCCAAGTTGTTTTTTGTTTTAACTAGCATTTTGTAAGCCCATTAAGTAGTATAAATTTCTGTTATTTTTAAATACTTGTCAGCAGTATGTTTTGCAATTGGAATGAATACTTAGACAAATAAATGTTGAGTTTAACTTCTCATAGAGTTACAAACTTCTCATAGAGAGTTCAGGAAGTGTTTGAATTCATGGTGGCTTTACTTCATTCACCTGTATGGTTGGGGACAATTCCATTCTAAATACATTTATTCAGCACCTGCCATATATCAGGCACTCTGTTAGGTTGAAAGTGTTGGCTCATTGGAGAAGACAGAGTTATTTTTACATTACATTTCCAGAGTATATCACAGTGTTTGGTACATAGAAAGCACTTAGTCAACAATGAACGTATAAGGGAGCTAAATCACTAAATGGTTTTAAGAAGAGAAAATAAATGCTTACTATGTGATGCAGAATATGGTTAGTGTTATATTTGATATAGGAACCTGCCAGGGCTAAAAAAAAATTTAGAGATTATGTAAGTCCGAAATATTGGTGAAAATTTCATGGAGGATGTGCGATTTGATATGAATTTTAAATAATTTATAGAATTACATGTAAATGTCTAAAGGAATGGTATGGCCAAAGGTCTGGAGTTGGAAATATATGTGCCTGAAAGAAATATAGCATAGTGATTAAAAAAAAACAAAAAAAAACAAAAAAAAAAACGGGAAAGTAAAACTGGGAAAGAAAATTTTGTCAAAAAAAAAAAAAAAGAAGAAAGCTTGATTTTGGAAGCTTGGAAAACCTTGAATGCCATGGTAAGGATGCTGATATATTTTATCTGGAAGATGATGAGCTCTAATCTTTTTTTTAAGTGCAGGTGATATTATCTAACAATGATTTCAAGCTGTTACCCTAACATTGGTTAAGACAGTAGAGCTAAGTAGAGAACTTGGAGACAAGTCAGAATTGAATTTATAGAAATAACACAGGTAACAGAACATTAATATCTGGCTTAGGACAGTTCTGTTGAAAGTGAAAAGGAACTGTGGAGGCAGCATTGGCAGAGGTTGACCAGTACTTTGATTCATGGGCATGAAGGATACAGAGCTTTCAAAAGTGAGTCCAAACGCATCCTGCTGGAATGACACTGAAAATGGGGTATTTCCACCTGAAAAAAAGAGGAGATATAGGAGAAAGAACAGGTTTTTGGAGACATGACGGAGAGTTAAGTTTTGGGCATGTGAATTTGGAAGTGTGTGTTAGTCTGTCAGCAATCTGTAGCTGCCTAGAAGTCTGCTAGAAATTTATCTTGAAGTTTAAAATAAATATTTAGATTTAATAATATTAAGAAAACAATAACACCAACAACAAACCCTTTGGGCGTATTTGTATCATAATGTACTGACACGTTAAATTCTTACAATAACTTATAAGGTGGGCACTATGATGTATTTTGTCATTTTGCTGGTATTTGGCAGTGATCATCACAGCACAAACAAGATTAAGAGGGAAATTATAGAAATAAAAGAATTGAAAGATAGAATCCTAGGGAATATGCAGTGGTGGGGGGGGCGGTGGTGGCGGTGGTGAGAATTTGTCACAGAGATGGAAGAAGCAGAAATGAGTATTATTATAGCAAAGGGAATATGAAATTTCATGCCAAAAGGAATTGTTAGGGATTTCATATATTGGAAAGAGTTTAAGGTGTCTGAAGACTGAGGGAAAAAATGCATTGCATTTAATAATTTGAGGTCATTGTTGATCTTCAGGAAAATAGTTTCAGCTGGAGGGCAGGTGAAGAAGGGGGTGAAAACTCAGAAGTGAGAACTAGAGGCATTAGTAGTGCAGCCAACTTTTTTAAAAAAGTTTGAGATTTAAAATTAGAAAAGGGGCAGCTACTAATGTGGGATAACATAATTAAGGGAATGGGTTTGTGAAAGAGGGAGGCTTGAGCATATTTGTGATCTGAGTCGAAGGAGGAGGTGGCAGTGAAGAATAGGAGATGTGAGAACGTGAGTAAAAAAATGCCATTAAAGGTAAATCCTGGGTCGAGGGGGCAGATATTGAACAGATCAAGGGCACAGGTGGAGCAATTGGCCTTAGAAAACCTAATCCATAATCACTTCTTTCTTTAAGAGAGGAAGAAAGAGATGGTGGATAAGGACAAAGATAAATTTTGTATTGGGATGGAGTAGAAATAGATCATGTCTGAAAACTTTAATCTCAGTAAAGTAGGTCATCCTCTGTGAATAAGCTGGGGGGGCCCGGATAAGGTCATATCTGGAGAGGCAAAGTCAAATTTGTCTTTCTAGTAAAACTTCAGGCTTTATAGTTCAATAATTAAGGATTTTGAAACACAAGAGACTGTTATTAAATGCATGGGAATTACATGTATGGTAGAATTGGATCCTTTCCACTGAAACACTTAAATACACTTGAATCTGAGATTTCAATCTTCTGTATTTTTTTTTTTGAAGTTTTGATTTTTAGTGAAATTCTAAAAACCTTGGTTAAGGATGAGAGGCCTATGAACCATATATGTGTGCTAACATTTTAAGATTTGTTTGTTTATTTTATGGGAAGATTTTCTCTTCCTGATGAACATAAAACCAAAGAAAGTCACAGGAGTGAATTCCTTCAGCCCCACCCTCCAAGTTGTTATTAGGCTAACGCTGAAGGGAAAGATCACTCAAGATGCGCTCCTTGGGGTAAATTGATGTGATGAAAATTTATTGTCATGTGGCACTTCAGGGAGCAGCATCTGGCATATTTGTCCCTGTTTATGGCTCTGACGTTCATCTGTTATTCTATTTTTCTTACATAGATTAACTAGTGTTTTATTTCCACTGAATTTTTCTGTTATTAGATAAAAGTGAAGCAAAGCTAAGCAAACCAAAACAAAACATAAAACCTTTTAGTCTGCACAGTCCAACTCCCAGTGAGTCCAAATCTATCTCTGATGTTTTATATCAATAGTGCCACTGTGTTATCACTCCTGAGTGCTGCTGCTTCTGTGGTCCATGCCATAGGCATTTCTTTTCAAATCACATCCTTGATTCAGTAGGTTAATGGGGCCAGTGAGCATGGCACTGGTTGATAAACAGAGCTAATAAGCAAAGCTAGACATTATCTTTTATGTGCAAACAGATTGGAGGTGGGTTTGTTTGTTAGGTTCTCTTATTATCTCCGGAGAGCTCTGGCAGGAGAATATCATTCTCCAGTTCTCTAATATACCTCTTCTCTGAATTGAAATTGAGATCTCCGATCAGCCTAGGTTTGAAAAATCTAATAACGGTTTCTGTACACTGCTTCACGCTCTATAGCCAGCCCTCAAGGAGAGAAAGACATAGGTAGAACAGAAAATTGGTCTGAGTGCGAGGTGCACTGCCAGATTGGTTGAAGAATAAACACTTGATATTCTAAGTTTGTGTCTCACACTACAATATGCAAGCCACCAAAAAATGTTGGCATTATGCTAGGAGATATGTGAATATGGCATGTGTTCCTGGGGTGCCATATAATTTAGATTCAGGTGTTTGGGGAAAGTTTGAGGTTTACTATTTAATTCACGTATTTGGAGAAAATTTGAGATTTACTTTTATAGGCTATTGGAAGCCACTATAGAGTAATAGGCGTAAGAGCATTGCATTGAAATCTACATTTAGAAAGGTTTGCTTGATTTTAACATATAAACTTGAATAGCGGAAGAGAAGATTAGGGGGATTGGCCATTTTAGTGACCTAGGGGTGAAGGAATAAGGGTATGAAGAAATAAAACATGTCCATAGCAATCATTAAATCAATCAGGGCCATCCATCATGTTGCAGCATTTGGATAGCCAGATGTATGCCCTTAGAGAGGCCTTGGTTTCCTTATTTGGAAATGAGAATGCTTGAGTTGGATCAGAGATTCCTAAGTGTGTTCCACAGTGTACTTGTGCTGTGAAGCACACTTTGAAAAAGAAAGGGCTCTATAATCAAGTCAGTTTCGTTTCCCATAGTCCATCTGCATGGTAGAGAGGCCTAACGCTGGTTAGTATACTAAGGGATTTGAGAAGGTCTGAAGGCAGGACAACTGTTTAAATTTCCTGAACCCACCCTTTCCTAAACTTTGTGAACATATAGTCTTGTGGAGAATAACACGTCTAGTGTTAATCTAATACTGGGGTTACATTCTAAATTTTAAGGCAATTATCAGAAATGTAAAATCCAACACAGCCAGTTATTTTTTTCTAGCATTCTGTTTCTTTTTTGTTGTTGTTGCATGTAAGATAATTTATGAATGTGCTTTTTGAAGAATACGTGCTCTGTTTTTAAAAACTTGAACTGCTCTCAACCTGACAAGAGGTTCACTTACATAGGGACACAAGAGAACAAAGAGTGATCAGGGGAAGGCAAATTCATAATTCAGAACTTGAGTTTACTGTCTTTTATAAATTTATTCATGAAATAGTGGTAGAATTAGTAAGTGACCACAAATTTAAATCACTAATTAATTCTCATTCTTTCTGAACTCTTGCACTCTCTCTTCTTTTTGCATTTATATCTGTGTATCTTTTTCTCTCCTTGTCTTTGTGTATCTATATGTCTCTGTCTATGTCTGTCCCTTTGTCACTCTCTCTCCTTTTCTCTCTCTGTCTTCTTTTCCCTTCCCTCTCCTTTTTTTTTTCTCTCACCTAAAGAGTCCATCTGCAAATATAGAGATGAAGTCCCGTAAATTAAATATGCATGTGCCGTGACTCCCTGTATTAACCTTTTGTAGAACTGCGCTTCCCTGGAAACTGTGGACTTTAGATAATCCCAAGATCTTTTGCCTTTGATCTGCTCTGCTCACTCTCTTCTCCTGGCTTTTGTGGATTCAGTTCTGCTTTTCACCTTGAACTTCACTGCCCCTGCAGTGCCATTCACGTGTACCCCATCATTTCAGGACAGAGGCATGGAGAAGGATGAGAGAGTCTGCCTTGTCTCAAGCCCTAAGCAAATAATCTTTGCATTTCTCCATCCCTACTTGGAAGGCATATTCTTACCATCTGTGGATCATATAATGAATGACTTTTTTGAAGGAATGTTCACATTTCTTATCTTGCTTGTTATACACATCATTTTTCAAACCTTGGAACGATGAGATGGCATTTCAAGTAAGGGTGGTCCCACAAATCAAATGTAGTGTGACTTTGGTTTCATTTCTTTGTTGAAACATCTGGTCTTGTTTAATGCACAACAAGAAAGAGGTAGGAAACATGTAAAAGTCCTTGCTGCCCTCAGCTCTGATTGCTTTCTCTTACTGCCATTGTATTATGAAACTCACTGCCTCGAGTAGAGAAAGGAAGTTAATTCCACAATAACTACATTTGCCAAGAGTCACTTGCATGTCCATGGGCATGAAGGCACTGTGTATATTGCTTTTCCAAATTCCAGTCTGGGACTTCTGCCTTGAACAAGGAAATTTGAGGCACAGGTCACTGGAGTCTATGGTGACATGATTTATTTGCAACAGTACCATGTTAAATGTCACCATATTAGGGTGGTGTGGCCACGGCTGCCCCTTAAGTTTTCCAGTCACAAAACAGCCCTTTTTCCCCTCAGAAATCCTAAAACTCCCATATAGGAACAAAATCCTACGCCTTATGGTACACAGACTTCAGGTTGTCAATATTTGTTAAAAAGGCATGATGCTTACTAGAGGACAGCATTGGTCTCCAGAGCTAGCCATGTGTGCCAAACAGGTGACTGGTTTATAGATGGATAGTATGCTTAATATAAATCCAATCACTTTTACAGTTGCTCTTGAATTCCAGCCTCAAGTCTTGGCCTTATTCCCTCCCAGAGTTTAGCAGTTGACTTTCGGCAAAAGGAAAATTCGGGATGAGTGGAGAGTAGTCAGCACAAATTAGATGGATTATCCTTTAACAAATACACAGAAATCTCCTTGCTGTTATTGCTTATCATCTTCTGGTTGCTTGGGCATTGGCAAATTTTCTTTCTTGGCTTTGTCTACTTTGCAGTACTGTGGTGGTGGAGGTATAGGGGTGGTGATAGTAATAGAAGTCATAATGATGATAGGCAAGATTATATATTCATCATACTTTATGCAACTCCCTAATCTTGGTGTTTAACTCAGTCTTCATAGCAACCTTGTGGTAAAAATCCCATGATACTGTATCCTACAAGTTTAGATGTAATGTAGTTGGCAGTTGGCTCCAGAATCCTTGAACTTATCAGCCAGCTAGCTAACTTTGGTCATTTCATTAATCTGGCAATAATACCTTCTCATGTATTATGGGATTGAATATTTTAGATTCCATGAACAAAAACATGACAGGGCTCACTGTCCTATTAGTATCCTCATTTTACACATTAGGAAATTGAAGTCTGACTTACTTAAAGGTCACTGCTGGAAGGCAGCAGGCATGTAGAGTCAGTGTGGCTCCAGAATTCATGCTTTCCATGACTGTGATACAGGCTGAGGTTTATAAAGTTATCTATGGGAGGGATAAAGCTGTTGCTTAAAGGTTAAGAGACCATGGCTCTGACCCTGGTTTAATTACAAGTACCCTGCATTTCAGCATTACATCCTGTTTTTATCTCGGGTGCACAGGGGTGGAGGGAACCAGATATGGTGTGCACAAAACCTACTGGGGAGCTGAAGCCAAGAGCTGGTTTGTTAAGTGGCCTTGACTTTGATTTAAGTATTTAAATTGTGTCCCAATTTGGGTCATATGAAGTGAAGCAAACCTAACTTCATGTATCAAACATGAGTGATGTCTTGTATCATGCTTTTCTGAATTAGAGTTGCTCTTTCCTTAAGTGCCTAAAAATGTCATGTGCCTTTGCTCAGTAAAGTGATGCCAGTAGCTGGCATGAGATCAGTAAGAAATATGCCAAAAATCACTGGAGCTTTGGGGAACCCAGGATTGGGAAACATTCTAAATGACTGTGGCCATAAATATAGAGCTCCAAAGTTTAGAGCCTGAAGCTTTTATGCCTAGGAGCATGGCAATCTCTGGTTTCATTATAGTCCTTGCTAAAATTTAACTTAAAAAAGAAAACAGATAAATTAGACACTATTGGCACCATTGAAAAACAATCTAGCATTATTTATCAATAACCTTAACATGTTTATAAGCTTTCATCTAATAACTTCATATCTGGAATAGTAAGAAATATATACATTCAGAGATGTTTGTCGTAGTTTTATTTGTTTCTTCATCATTTATTTCATTTAACTACAGAATAATATTCTAGTTGAAAAAAACCCAAAAATATGTAAAGTAAAATGTAAGATTCGTATTGCAAAAGTTCAACCACTTTTAACAGTTTGGTATATACTTCAAAACCTCATCCTCATTATATTTCTTCCTCCCCTTCTCATGTATACACACATACATACATGCATTCATGTACACACATACATATATTTGTGCACATGTATATACACATTTAGCTACACATATATACAAAAATATAATTTCCAAGAAAACTGTAAGGCTAGGGACATTGTTCAGTAACTTACTTTTTTATCATATTACGGGCATTTGCGTGTGTGAGAGAGAGCTTGTGGATCTACATAATTGTTTTATCAACTAGATGGTATTCTAGAGTCACGATGTACTGTTAAACATTAAACTTGGTAAATACTAAGATTGTTTCCAATTTTGATAATACAATCATGCTGCAGTGAACACACTAGTTGCTATATTTTGGTACATGTATAGGGGCATGTCCATGAATCAAATTTTAGGAGTAGAATTGTAGAGTCGAAAGGACACTTAAATTTTTATAGATCAGGCTAAATGCATCTCTACCCTACCACTATCACTGACACAGCTCTACTGATTCACTTTCCCACAAACAACATATGAGAGTCCTTCAGGTTTTGTTATTGTTCTTTTTCTAGCTTCTTGAGATAAATGCTGTATCTTTTATGTTTTATGATGAATTTACTTTAGACTGTAAATTTTCCTTCAAATGCTCTGTTGGCTACCTCTTATTGGTTTTGATAGGTATTACCGGGGTGATATTAAGAATATCTAAGAACCAGTAAAAAATAAAAAAATATTTCAGGAAAGAGGCCATCACTGCCTAGTCCAGCCATAAACAACTGGTATGGCTGTCCTGGTATGAATGTGCCAGATATCAGACATGTGACTCTCACTGGAATTCACTTCTTCTAGCCTATCACCCAACCAAACTCTACAATATGATATTTTCTAAATATGTCAAATATGCATTGCTTATATGACTTTGATCTGACTTTTTGTTTGTTTTGTTTCTTCTGGGATTGCTATTATCAATGAATCTGTTCATTAAAATTCTTACTCATAATTGAAAGTTCAGCTTAAATGATACCTCCCTAGCAAAGATAACACTCTTCTATGAAAAATTTTGTCATTTGGTTTGAACTTCATATGGTAGTTACTATTATCATCATCAGGGATGAGTGAACTTTCTTGTAAAGGACCAGATAGTAAATATTTTCTGCTTGCTATGTATACACTTTCCACTGTGCTCACTCTGCTCTATGTAACATGAAAGCAAGCTTAGTGATACCTAAACAAATGAGTTTAGGTGGGTCTGTCCTGATTAAATTATAAATTATAATTAAATTATTAAATTAATTATATTACAAAAACAGTTGTCCAGGCTCCGGGCCATACTTTACTAATTTTCATATTTTGAGCTATACTATTTAATAGCTATTATAAACTTCTCTAATCTTCTATTCCGGACTATATACTTCTTGGAAATGAGGCTTGTGTAAGTGGTGATGTGGCTTAACCTTTAATTCCTACGCACTCAAGAGACATTTGTTGGATAAGTGAAAAATGTTAACACCGTTGTTATTCACCTGTAGAAATTTTAGTGATTCTTAATATAAACAATGAATACTGGAGATATTGACATACCAGCATAAAATTTTTCTGAAACTCTAATTTGATGCCCAATTTGTATGTAGATTATTCCCTTGCTTGTGTGCTGGGTTTAGTTTATTCTTTGAGATTCATTCTTTTGTCAAAACGTTTTTAGGGATAAAAGGAGTGTAGTAAAAACTCAGTCAAATATTTGAAAAAGCCTTAAGTCAAAATATGATAGATCTAAAAGGAAGCCTATTCATATTGCGTACTGTGACATTTATTCTTGTTTAGGAAGCTTTATGTGGGTTGTTAATTTGTTTTTGGCTTAGGTAAACCAAGCTATGATAGAGTTGAGCAATGATATATTCAGAAAACCAACATAACTGGTGAAAGAATTTTTTTATCCTTATATTTTTTCTATGTCCAGATAGGATATTCTTTAGGAGACTTACAGTAGCATATTGAGTTTTGTTTGGTATTTCTCTCTGGTTTTCGGTGTTGCTTGAACCTAAAAGCTTTAAATAATCTGTAGATGAAAATCTCACCTATTCTATCATTATTGCGACAACAGAAGGAATGTGTAATGAATTCACAGCCATTCAGAAGCCGCAGAGGCAAAACACATATAAGCTGTTATTAATTGGATGGAAAAGACAAGAATTAATAAACACCCATAATATACACACACAGAAATACATAAAAATAAAGGAAACGCTCTGTAAATAATTAATTAATTTAAAAATTAAAAAATGTGAAAGAAATTGTGTATTTACATAGTGAAGATTTGAGAAGAAATAATTCTACCTATTGATCATAAAAGGTCAAAAAATACAGTAATGTCACATCATTTAAACTGTATAGTTCATCTTCCAGTAGTAGCAGGAGTTTGTTTTACTCATCTTTAGTTTTCTTCTTACAAGACTACACTCGTTTCACCCACTCATGGAAAGAACAGCTTGTCTTATCACCCTCCAGTGGAAATGAGTTATGAGCCTTTTATCTGGAGTTTACAGGACAGCTTTAACCTCTTTATAGTTGAACTTCAGTGATGAATGCAATCTTATTTTATCTTAGTTAATTTTTTTCCCAAGAATTCCTTTTCCTGTTCTGATTTGTAGGTACATACAAGATAATAATAGGAAAGATCAAATTACCCTATTTGGGATCATGTTAAACACTTTTCTATTGTCCTGCAAGTCTTCAGTATTAATTTCCTGTTTCTTTTTCTGTTCATATCAATCTAATTAGAAAAAGCAGGCATTTGTAACATTCATAATATTCTGGTGTCTTCACCGTATTTCAAAGAAAAGCTTGTATTTTATGCATCTTAAAATATTTTTGTGGGCTAAGTTGGTTTACTTCTTCTTAGGTTTATAAACTAGGCTGCCAAGAATTTTGCAAACTAGAAATGTAGTGACTGAGGTAACTTGGGTGTCAGTTGCAAGACAAAATGATCATTCACAAAGATGCAGAAGCCCTAACCTGGGTTCTGTGAGCAATAGCAGGAAGAGTCAGATGTACTGCGTAAGTCAAATGGATGGCCTTATTTGGTATCTGGCTAATATATCACTCTGGCTAATATATCACCCGCAGAATGCAAGGTCCTTACTGTTTTAACTCATCAAACACAAGAGGTCCTTCCCATGGAACATATCCTCCCCTGGCACTGATTAGCAATTATTTCCGAATGATTACCTTTGAATGATTGGACAGAGTTTATGATTTGCCAAAAGTCACAACCAATGTAGGTCATCATGGATTAGCTTCTTTCCTTTGACGTTTAATTAATTTATTCACACATTCATCATGTATCTTGTGCCAACTGTGGGCCAGGTATTGTGCTATGTGCTAGGGATGCCAACTTGAATGAGACAAGATCTGGAACCTTGAGAGACTTAAGTAAGAAATATGCAAATCCATGATTACATTACAATTTTATTAGTGCTATAATGGAAGCATGACTAGGATACTAGGGGGGCATAAAGGGATCAAAATCAGATTCAGGGAAAATACCCTAGAGGAAACAATATTTATACTGAATTTTGAAGAACAAGTGGGATTTCAGTTAGAGAGCATTGAGACAGCATTGTAGCATATATCAAAGAGATATAAAACAGGACCAGGTATTTAAGTAATGACAAATACTTCAGCGTGGCTTCAGCAATAGAAGCTAAGGGATATAAGTGGTAGATGTTGAAGCTAAGGATCCAGCCAGAGATCAGATCACAAAAGATGAAGATGATAAACTAGGAAGTATAGTTTGGGACAAAGTGACATAAGGAAAGGATTCACCTTTCTCATTTAATAGCATTCCAGCACCATGCCAATTCCGTGTCACACAACCACAAAGCTCTTCCCTTGCCTCGTTCAGTGCATTTCTATGGGGTTTGGGATATGAGCTTAAAAGTAAAGGCAGGACTCATTTCTCTAAATGGAATTCACATACCAACTGCTAAGAGAATCTATTCTTCTTTAACTTATTTCAGTTGTATCTCTTCTGTTAAGCTGGGGACCTACTCAGCCTGCCACCTTCTTGTGAGCAACTTCCCCTTTATCTGTACTGGTTTGACTGTATAGAAAAAGATGCAGAAATGCCGTAAGGGAGGCATAAGCGAAAATAAGAAAAAGCCAGCAACTACTGTGGGCCAGGCACTGTGCTGGATCATTTACACGGTACCTCATTTAATCCTCACCATGTCTATAGATATTATTCTCATCTCCATTTTACAGATAAGTAAAATAAGTGTCTTGCTTAAAATTGCACAGTAAATATGAAATTTGGATTTTTAACTTTAGTTGATCTGTTTCTAGAAAACCATTATTTGCATATTCTAATACTTCCTAGTCTGGGCAGTATTCTCCCAGATCTAAGTCCAAAGTACTTAGAAAAGTAATTAAATCTGATACCTAGACTTGTTTCTATTATATTCAAATTGTTCATGTCAGCACATGTCAAAGCTCTTAAGGACATAGGAAGCACCCTTTCCCCTTAAAACATTGCCTTCTTGAACTTTCTGTGCTAATATTCTGGCAGACACATGGTAGAAAGAATCTGTTTTGAGATTCTGGAGCCGGGTTTTAAACCTGGTGCTGACCATAACAATGTTTGAGATCAGACTCGAGTCAGTTAAGCTCTCAGGGATTTAGTCTCTGCCATGTAAAAGGAGGCAACTGACTTACCTCATCAAGTCCTTTTCCTCTAAGTACCTAGATTTTTGTTTTCACAGGTGAGACATTAAATGGGTTATTTAGATCACCTTTGCACAAATTGCTAGCTTTGTTACTGATGGATAACAAGAAGTTAATTTCACTCTCAGAGTAGACTACGGTCAGCTGCAAATATGAAGGAACGGAGGTTCTACAAAATAGGAGAACTTTCTCTGAGACCTCTGAAAGGTTCAGGCTGCCTGTTTTTATTGTAACTCTTAAATATCAAACTCCTTTTAAATGCTCTAAAGGAATTTCATGAAAAATGTTTTCTCCAAAGGTGAATAAAGGAGCCATTGACTGAGTAAAAAAATAAATACATGAATAAAGAATAAAAGCTGGATCATCTTCCTTCCTGGAAACATTCTATGGCATATTAATGGAGAAATTCATACTATCACAGAGAAAAATTTACAAACATGACATATGTAACTTAGAGATGTTTAATCCCGAGAAAAACAGTCAAAGAGAATTTTATTCACTTACAGAGGAATATTTTTAAAGGAAGGATTTGCTAGCAGATTGAATTTCTATTTTATGTTAGTTATTTATTAGCAAACTCATAACTTTGCTATTCAGGCAGCTTGGAGTCATAAGAGATGTATTATAAAAAAGCTATTATTTTTAGTTATTAAGAATTTGAATAAATAACTGTGGCCCTTTTTTGAAGTGGAGGGCTATTAAGAGGTACAGAAATGCAGATAAAAATACTCCTTAATAGAAAGGTCAGTTAAATATAATGTGTCATATTTAAAAGAATAAACTTTGAAGTCAGAGAGGACAAAATATGAGCCATGGCTCCAGTACTCTGTTTTTAAGATTTGTGAATGTAAAAAAAAAAAAAGTTTGGGGAAAATCTTTAAACTTTATTCCTGTGTCATGCAAAACAGCGAGTTTTGAGGAATACATTGAGTTAAGATATCATATACTTAGCCAATGAACGTACCAAATGACCCATACATCACCTGCTCAGTTCATAGGGCAGGAACCTTAAGATAGAATCTCATAGAACTCTTTCTTTCACTTATAACCTGAATAACCTATACATAATTACCTTGCTTTAAGTGTTTTATTGTACTAGACATGGGTTTTCCAAACTTTTATGATATATTAGTCCCTTTCATTGAAATATGTAATCCCAGCAACTTCCTTAGAAATGAAAAAAACTAATCATTTTGACATTATTACCTGGTGAAAAATAAAATACGACACATTTTTACTGTTTTCCATTTAACAAATGTTGTGCTCTATTCAGTTACTTCAAAGTTAAGTTTGTAAGCAACTTATAAAATATCTGAAAATAGAACAATAATTTGAACCCACAAAGATATCAGATTGCAATGCATATTATGTGGCTAAATTCTATAATTTTCCTGAGTTGTTTCTAAAGGATGAGATAAGAAAGAAACTCATGTTGTGAGCTTTCTCCACTTGTTATATTTTGCTTACATGAAGACTCAAATATGTACATACGTAGTTTTTCCTCTTGCAATTCCCTGTGAAATACTAGGGTCATTTTAATGTTCTGTGTAAGATGAACACCAATTTTATTCTCAATAGCAGTGTTCCATATACTTCTTGCATTTTAACAAGAGCTCCTTCATCAATCCAAATAATAAATTACAAGACCAAAAATGAAAGCAATTTGTACATCTGTGAAGGTCAAAGCCACCAAGCTGGCTGGAGATATTCAGCTGAGGGCGGTAACTACTGAAGTCCTGAGTTATGGGCACACTCGTCCTCTCTGAGTGCTGTGCATGCTCACTCAGTAAAAACTAAGCGGCTCTAAATGGTTTCCTTTTAAGAAGAAAAAGCATGTTTAGTGTGTTATTTAATTCAATGATTTTTCAAAATTAGATATTATAATGGATCCCAATCATGCCCTTAATAATGAGACTGTACAAGAATACGTGATAAAATTGTAGAAAAAGAAATAACAATGGTTTTGCCAGGCACTGAGCTTAGGGCTATATACAGTTTTCTAAAGGATGCTCCATCTATGAAGGGCTCTTCCTCTCTTTTATTTTTTTTTCAT
Organism: Homo sapiens; assembly: GCF_000001405.40. NCBI lineage: Eukaryota > Metazoa > Chordata > Mammalia > Primates > Hominidae > Homo > Homo sapiens. The sequence continues at coordinate 29,322,141 of NC_000003.12, forward strand.
TTCCGTCCTTCCCATTTGTTTTCTTTCTTCATTTTCTTCTTTTCTACCGTCTGGCTTATTTGAGTCAACCAACATTTACTGTATCCCCATGAAAAGCCAGACATCATAGGAGGAACTACGGATACGAGAAATTAAGGAGTTCATAATCTAGTAAAAATGTTGTCTGTGTTTTTTTTGTGTTTGTTTTTAATTTATCCGGAGTTTGTGTTTATTTACCTATCCATACATGAATTTATAATCACTTTGGATGCCTTAAAATACAATAATATTCTGGGGCCTATATCACCTAATGTAATCCTCCACATGCTGTAGACATGATTAAAATCCTCATCCTCTAACATTCAAATAGATCTGGTGAAAATAAAGTGTACATTTTATGAGTTAAAAATCATAAAATCTTAGTCCTGCTAGTCTTGATTACAGTTCTTTTAAAGTACCTAGTCCAGATCAAGTCAGTTGCCATGCTAATTAGTTTTCACATACGAAAAAAAAAAATGGCCATACTCCAGACACTGGTCTTTCTATTTCAGGAAAGATGGCATATAAGAAAACCTCACTATATGCAAAGGATTTGTGGATGGTTCCTTGGAGTTAATTTTCATGGGCTTTAGAAGGTATTTAAACCTCAAGACAAGGAGAGGGTTTATAAATGATTGACAGAAGCTCTTTAGCTACTCAAGTCCAAGAGGGTAGCACCTCTTAGCCGTTCAATGAATAGTATGGAGAATTCGAAGGGCTGCTTAGAACTCTAGGGCAGCCTATTTTTTGAAGATTATGCTTTTGACCTTTCTTGCTAGAAGTCATCCATCCATCTAATAAGTGTTATTTAAGGGCATACAGTGTGCCAAGAACGCAACTTGGCATCACCATGGAGACCATAAAATTCTAGTCTCATCCTCTCATCCATCACAACCAAGTAGAAGTTGGTGCTGTTAATGTCAAGAGCAAATCAAGAAGTCAAGAAAGACTGAAGCTCAGACACATTGTCACTGGTGTAATCTCCACCTTTGAAGGTGCTGCTCTGATATCAAATTTTATGTACAGAGACAAACACATACACAGTTGACAAAGTAACAGACATAAATTATTTTTATGTTTTATATGTTATTTTTTGAAGTAACATCAGGTATGTACTTTAGCTTATTTTTTCACACAAAGTTGATTTTTTTGGGTAATAACAATAGAATTTATACTAGTTGCAGAATTATCTACAACCACCATAGTAAAGAAACAAAGCCGTAAACTAGGTCGTATTATTACTGTTATCTTTTGAATTTTTGGACAGAGCTGATTTAATAATTTGGCAAACTTGTAACTAGGGTAACTAGAAAATGCTGAAATTTAAATCTATGTTATTTATATTATTTTGATCTTTATATGGCCTAAAAATGCAGGTTTAACTCCAGCACACATAGTAAAATTAACAGTAGAAAGAAACAAACATCAGAAGCCATATGTAATATGTCTGTGGTGCTCTTGACACCCCTCTGTCTTCTCTTCTGAAATGTGTATTCCTTCTGATATTGGACACATACAGTTACACACACACATACACACACACACACACACACACACACACACACACACCCCTTGGACTGAATTCTAGATGCAATTTTAAAAATCAATAATTTAGTATCTCTTCATATAATTCACACCCCTTCTTATTTCCCCCATGATTTTTATTTAAGCTTGTACGCAATTTTTGGCATGAACTAAGCTTTTTAAGACTTTATGCCACTGTAGGGATTTTTGGAAAACACTGATAAAGCCAATAAAATAACACACCGATTCAGATATTACCCTTGTTCAAACAGGGCTCTCAAATGGGTCCTATTTTCTTGGATTTGCCCACTCTGAAAAAAAAAAAAAAATTCACTGCAAGCTAAATTACTTTCTTTAACATACCTAGATTTTTTTTATTTTGTTTTTATTTTTAACTCTGGACTTTATTAAAAGGACAAAGGAATTCACTGGAGTGGGAATAACACAGATTTTACTGTGCAATGAACTTAAATGCACTTCTATAAAGTAAGTCATGAACACTGACTTCAACCTTTCATTTTCCTCAGGAAGGACCCAGTTAGAACCAGCAGTCACTGTGGCTGAGGGAAGAGGCACAGTATTCTGGTCTGGTCTAGGTTCTTCTTTCCTTTTTCAGTTTCTTTTTTGGTTCCTTTCTGTTTGTACTGCTCTTGTGAGCTTCTTATTGTTCAAGCCTCATAGCTATTTATGGATTATGCACAGTTTGGGCTAATATGATTAACATTTGCCTCAAGAGCCAGGTCTTCTCATGTAATTGGTTCTCTTTCAAAACACGTGGCCTCCGCCTGGATGACTGGCTTGCTACGTAACCTGGAACGGCCATGTCCTGGGTCTTTCTGTGCTGCATGTTTGGCCGTGGAATTTATTTCTTCTGTCCTGCTGGAGTGGGTAGGATTGTTTGAACAGGAAGAGTCACTTCCTTGTTATGCTCTCCCAGCATTGTAGAGCTCCAAGATGTTTCCCCTGTGCCCTTCCATTAAGCCCTTACAATCTCCTGCACTAAAGTTTAATCACTTCCCTCCTAATATCCTAAAGAAGACAAGAGCTTTCTCTCCTAATTCTTTCCTTCTCTCCTTTTTCTTTTTCTCTTTCCTTCTTTCTCTTTGCTTACCTAGTATTCTTTCCAGCCTGCCTGCCTATCTGCCTTTTCTTCTCTCCTTCCTCTCCTCTTCCTTTACTCTCATTATTCCCTTTGTTTTCCTTTTCCCCACTGTTATTTTTTTTTCTAATTTCATGTCATTTCTGTTATGAAAACTAGATCCCAGTTAATGGAGCTTTATCGTATTTGCACACAGATGAAAGAATACATGCATATAATAATGAATTGCTGCATTCTTTGTAACAAGAGAATATTGGAAACAACTTGAATGTCCATTAATAGGGGACAAATTGAATAAACTATGGCATGTCTGTAAAACAGAACTCTCTGTAACTGTAGAAAAGAATCAGGAAACACTCTATGTATTAAGTTGTAAGTATCTCCAAAATATTTTGTGAAGTGAAAAAAAGACATAGTGCAGAACATTTGTATTTTATATTTCGTTTGTGAAAAAAGGCGGTGGTGGGAAATAAGATTATATTTTACATTTTATTGCTCTTAGTAAACACCAAAAAATTTGTGTAGGAAACTATTCCTGGGTGTCAAGGATAGATGGGCTGAGGAATAGTAGAAAGGGAGATTTTATCGTTATACCGTTTTGTATTTATTAACTTTCAAAAGTGTGTTAATATATTATCCATCCAAAAAGTGAAATATAATAATGTAAACCTGGGAAGCCAATGTAAGATTCAGTTGAAAGAAAACTATCCCATTAAATGCATATATATATATATGTGTGTGTGTGTATGTATGTATATACATGTGTGTATATATGTGTGTATGTATATATATACATGTGTGTATGTATATATATACGTGTGTGTATATATATGTGTGTATATATGTATGTATATATATACACATACACACACACACACACACATACACACACATATGTATAAATTTGACATGACTGGTATAGTTATCCAAACTCACAGGTGTTCTTCTAGAATATTAGCTATCTATGGCTTAAATTATGTAAAATTGTCATTTTTTACTAAAAAACCATTTCAAATATTGGCAATTTCATACTATTGGCCTAATCTTTCCTTGTCTTAAGTTGAGGCATCAAAAATCTATCATCAGGTTGCCTGGGCTATTACTCTCTTTAACTTCATTCTTCTCCTGTGCTATAGAAACTTTTGGAGTCATATTTCATTAATTTCCCCAGGTCACCTGGATAGGACTATGAAGTGTGGCAATCCTGAATCACCTTTCCATCCTTGCTTTATTAACTTTACACTTGACTGTAGATTAAACTGTCATAATCTACCACTGAGATTATGGTGTTTTTTTCCTAAGAAGTCATTCTGAATCTCAGGCTTTCCTTGCAGGTCTAATGTCTTCATTGCCACCAAATTTATCTTTCTACAATGCAGTTTGACTCCTGTTTCTTTTTACTAAGTGCATCCCATGTCTTCTCACTGGCTACATAATATATATGGACTAAACTCCTTGGAAAGCATGCAATTCATCCTCATTCTTACCTCCACCCACTGATCTTTCCATAAACTCTCTAAACCTGTTCTTTCCCCAAATTATGATCCCCAATAAGTCTCCATGGCTTTGCTAATTACTTTCTGTTTATTAAAATGAGCTTCTCCACCTTCTATGTCTTGCAAGCCTCTTATTACCATTTAAAGGTTTTACACAAATAAGTGTTCTCTCTGTAGTTCTGATTCCCAACTATCCACAATTAATCTCTTGCTTATTTATGTTTCCATGGTCCTATGTAATTACCCCTATTATAAATCTAGTCATTAGGACCTATTCCAGATATTTGTTTATGTGGCTACCTACCTTCCTCACTACCTTCTGAGTGATTGGCAGCACAGATGAAGGTCTTGGTTATCCTTGTATTCCCTCGTACTGAGCTCAGTGTTTGGTATAGAGTTTTGTGATTAGTAAATATTGGTTTATTGAGTAATGCTTCAGTCTTACTACTGGCATCCTTTTTTTTTTTTTTTCGAGACAGAGTCTCGCTGTGTCGCCAGGCTGGAGTGCAGTGGCGCAATCTCACCTCACTGCAACCTCCACCTCCTGGGTTCCAGCGATTCTCCTGCCTCAGTCTCACAAGTAGCTGGGACTACAGACGTGCACCACCACGCCCAGCTAATTTTTTGTATTTTTAGCAGAGACGGGGTTTCACCGTGTTGGCCAGGATGGTCTCGATCTCCTGACCTCATGATCTGCCCGCACTGGCCTCCCAAAGTGCTGGGATTACAGGCGTGAGCCACCACACCCGGCCTAGAATCCTTTTGTATATGGAAGGAAGTATTTTAAAAATCCTTTTTAAAAAAGGTAGGAGACTAATGTTAAGGAAGGTTTTGGGAGTGGGGAAAGAAATGCCTTTACATTAAGGACATGAAAATTGAAAGTACAAAGCAGTCTCTAATTTGTTCATTATTTGCCATAAGGACATGATTTAGTTTTGAATGTATTCCACCAGGTTCTCTTTATCTCCTTTGCTTCATATTAGTGTTTATTTTGATGATGATTAAGGCAATATGCTACTAAGAATTGTGCTGTCTTTTTGTAAATTATGCCTGAAAAAATCGTGATTGTTCCTGTTGCTTTGAAGTCTTATGTTTATATTTAATTGTAAAAGTTAAGGCTACCTCTATGTGATAGACAGAGTGTTCTCCAAAAAATGCCCGCAAATTTGGAGTGGAGGATAAATGACAGTTTTCTCTTCCTACTTCTCCCTTCCTCCTTTTCCTCCTCCTTCTGTTACTTAATATTATCACTATTATCATTATTTTCTTCTAATCTGGAAATATAATAGCTTAATAGCCTAGTCTAGCTGAGTTGGACTTGTGTATTTGTTGAAAATATTAAGTTATAACTTTGGAGTAAATACTCATCATAAAATGAGAATGATTTGATGGTGTGTGTTCTTGTGTATTGCACAGACACATTACTGAGTGGCACATAGAGTTGCAGTGAGTTTTACTGTAAGGGAGTATTTTAGCCATCATGTCTTCCAAGGATCGCATGCCCTGTTTCCTAGGTCCTAATAAAAGCTTGTATTTATATGTAACTCACTATTGCCATTTCAGTTCATCAAGATTAACACCAAGGAGCTATTATCGATCACGTCAGAGTGAGGCAGGTAGAATGCTAGAATTTTTTGAGGATGAAATAAAGTGATCTTAGTCTCTGGCATCTTAGTTGTTGGGTGCCTTCCTTTTTCTTTTATCAGTAAATGATTGTTATCTATGACCAAAGAAAGAAGAGAAATTCGCATTATTTAGCATTTTGCCCACTTAGGTGGCACTTACTCTGATTTAGTCTATTATAACATCATTATGTCTTGCTAATGGCACCATGCAGTTCACTTCCTTCAACTGTTTGCAGAGTGCCTCTCCATTTAAACAACGTGGCACGTTTAAATAGTTTACTAGTACTATAACATTCTTGGCTTATTGTACATTAGATTTTAAAATTTAGAAAATTTTCTATTGAGCACAAGAATATATAATGGTGAGCATGACTTTAAATACTGAAATGAAAAGTCTGTGAGAACAATTATCTGTTTCGTTATGTGTTAGAAGTGGTAGATATGTTTTCTGTAAATGTGAATAAACTGAAATGAAATTTTAAAGCTTGTGGAATGAAACGACAAAAAGGACATTGGTATTACACAGTTTCTTTCAATTCCACCATCCCTACCACCCACCCAACCCTTCATCCCAGAATTAGTGTTGGTCTGTTGCTTTCCACGGTTCCATGAAATAGTTAGATGATTTAATAAGAACTTTGGAATATGTCCTCTTTTCCCTCAACCTCCAGGTAAATTTATTGGTAGTTAATGTTGCTAGTCTTTTCATGGCCTAGAAAATTGTTCTCTCTTTTCTTCACTTAGTTAACTTTTATTTTTCCTTCTAATGAGAGCTCAGGTCTTCCTTCCTATGCAAGGCTTCCCTGACCTCCATTGGGTTAGATCTCTCATAAAGGTGCTCAGAGCACTGCTTACTTGGCAAACCTTCAAATTCACATTTGTTTACGTGTTTATTTTTATTAGTCTTCCTTCCCTATTAATCCAAAAGCCCTATAAAGCTGAGGGCAGTCTTCAACTCCCTATTGGATTATTAATTCCAAGTATAATGTTTTGCACATACTAGTCACTGAGTAAATATTTTTGAAACATGAAAGAGTGTTCAGATGTGAAAACACTCATTTTTGGCTATAGAATATAATTTGGGGTATCTCCATCAAATGCATACCTAGTTATGATTTTATTAATTTTCTGCAATTTAAATCAGTATTGTTTCTTTACTCCGAAATGTAAATTAAGGTTCAGTGTTTAATGCCACTATACCGGGAAAATATATGTTTTTGGCTTTTAATTCCATAACATGTATTTTTTGCCCCTGAACTTCAATTAAATGTTCTCCAGTTGGTTTTTTGTGTTGGGGTGGGGCAGGGGGTTTGTAAGGTAACCCTTTTGGTTTTAGAGCATAACTGCATCCATACTTTTATAACCCATTTACAAGTGTTGTAAGTATATGAACCTTAAAATGTATATACAATTCTTCAAAGCTCATGTGTAATTAAAATCTGGAAGGGCAGGTGGTTGAGAGGTTCTAGTAATTTATTGTGTTACTCTAAGATAAGAATCAAAAATTTAAAAATCACAGGAGAGTCTATAGTTAGCGTGTATCCAATTGATATACAATAAAAGCCACAGGAAGCATTTATTAAAAGACTCATAATGAAACCAAAAGAAATAATCCATTAGGAGTTAACTCGCAGAATATCATATAGAAAACTGAATAAGCTTTAGAGAAATGTCTTATTCTTTGACTCTTCTTTGGGCAGAAGGTACTACAGAATATTAACTAGACAGATTTTCATGATTGCCTATTCAAAGAAAATGAAGTATTTTGATGTGCCATGCATTGAGTCAAGCTTAATGCATATTTAAGCACAGTTCTAGCATCTGAGTGGTAAACTGGTCTTTTACTCCTAATGGAATTTTTGTTCCTGACATGGAAAAAATCATGTGAAAAATTTTTATAGATTATATATATTATATGTATATTTTATAAATCATGTGAAAAATTTTAATATATATTAACTATATAATACATATTAATATAACTATATAATTAATATATATATTAATATAACTATAGAATTAATATATATATTAATATAACTTTTGTTATATTCACAAGATACTTTAAAATCTTATTCATTTCTCCAACTTCTAGAACAATTTTTCCTGGGCAACTATTCAAATCTTTGTGAAATATACATCTTACTCTATGACATCACTAGGGACTATAGCCAGAATAGACCAGGCATTCAGAGCTCTATGTCTGTACCACATAGACATCAGACAGTGTTTGGACAAAACAGATCTAACACTTGCAACTATTGCTAATTTTTGACCCCTAAATACCTAAGTTTGAATATACCACTGTGTGGGATTGCGGTCTCTATTTCTCCACACTACAAAAATCTGCCTTCCTGGATTCCCATGGTCCTGTTTTCAGAGTGGGTGTTTGTTTGTAGGTGCTAGCAGTATGTTTGTAATTCCAGTTAGGTTTGTCACTCAATAGCTTCTGCATTCAGCCATCTCTGTACTGGATACACTTTGGAAGAAGTAATAGTTAATAAGTAATATTTTAAACTAAACTACTTTATCTAATTTATGAAATCATTTGGGCTGGAAGAGCCCTACAGTGAAATACATAGCTCATCCCCTTTTCTGGAATAGCGGGATAGCTTATTATTGTCTATAAAAAATCCATTCTGGGTGGGTATCTATTCTCAGCCTTCATTATCTACAGTGATAGCAATTCCACAGCCTCCCTTGGCAGCCCTCCCTATTGCTGAACTAGCCTTGCTTATTAATCCTGTAATAATACCTTATGTTCTCTAAATATTGAAGCAGTGCTTAAGTTTCCCCTGCTAACTCATTCCTCCCTGCTCACCCTGTGAAATGCTTCTAGAGGGGGAATAATTATATAAGCACACAGCACCAAATGATGTGTTGTGCAGCCTTGTCCTAAGGCATTCTGCAAAGGGCTTGTTAGGATGGACGTTGTCAGTCCATAGAAAATTAAGCTATTAAATCTGCAGCACCCGGATGGTGATTGAATTGCTTGTGCCACTGGAATAAAGTTGCTTTGCAGACATATGAATTTCACAGCTAGTAGTGTCCTTCCCTTCCTGCATGCTCTAATTGTATTTTTATATTAATGCACTGATTTAGGGGCTATGTTGGCATATTTGTGCTGGTGCTGGGACAAGAGCATTGGCTGGACATTTCCTAGAGGGTGCAGTCCACAAATTTTCCCAGAAACCGAATTGATTATGCTGATGGGATAAGCCTGTCCTCTCCCATTTTCAACCAGTCTGTGCGCTGCCTGGTGTTGGCACTCTTACCCATATCTCTCTGAATACCTTTTTACTATTTCTGCACTCCCTTCATCTGCTTCTGGGTGTTTGACTTGTGCAGGCTAGCACTAGTGACTTTCTTCAGAGGACTGCCTTAGGACAGCTGGAGACCTGAGGTACCTGGGAGTTCCACGTCCTCCCTGGTGTTTATGAGAGCCCAGCTCCCTTTCCTTAAGTTAAGACGAACTCCAATATGTAACTTACAGCCTGTAGTTTCCCAGTAGGACCAAACTAAAGCTATCCTTTGTTGAATTTCACTTGAAAAAGTACTCTTGCTTGCCTTATTTCCCTTCTCTGTCTTGTTTCCCCATGATTTCCTTCCCAATTATCCGGGGAGCACTTCTTTAATAAATTTTACCCACAAATCCTCATCTCAGACCTTGCTTCCAGGAAACCAGACTTGAGACATCATTCCTTTTTCTGTGATCCATGTAGAATGTTATAGTCAGACTTCTCAGCCTCGCGTGGCTGACCAGATTTCTATGACTGTTTTTCTCTCATGGTACACACATTTGATTCTGTCCATGGAAATCACAAGGTTTTTTTCCAGATTCACAGGGGCTTGTCCATAATGGTGATTTGAGTTTTCTGAAATAACAAAACTTACTCAAACCCAGGATAGCTCCTTTTTTTTTTTTTTTTTTTTTTTTTCCGTTTGCTTTTCTCAAGTGCAACATCTCTCCTGTGCTGTTTCTGAAACTGGCTTGTTCATCTATTAGAGCACAGGCCACATACTATGTCCAATTATAGAATTTGTCTCTCAAACTGGACTGTGAACTCTTTGGGGGAGTATCTGGTCATCAGAATCCCTGACAAGCAACTCACATGGTGTCTTCCACTCCACAGCTCCTCCGTAGTTGGTTGCTGCCTTCTACTGATGAAAGGACTCAAGTATACCTAGGTTTGTGATAACAGTCTTTGTGACTGCTTCATTTTGATTAGCCTCTTCTGTTTCAGTTTATTCAGCCCAGCTCTGAAAACACTGACTGATTTATCTCTTTTAAATTTAATACATTTTCTATCCCCAATCCAGTGAATATCGGAATATCAGGATAATCAAGAACAAATGGCAAGTTAGGAAGTGATGCATTTGGAGACAAAACAACAAGAAACAGTCATGAACATTCTCTTGCCTCCTTTTGTTTTTTTTCCTAAGGTCTTTATTCACAAATGAAATGTTATTGTTTTTTCAGTTCTCTCTCTCTTGCTCTCACTCTGTGTCATCCTCAAATATGTTAGAAATATTAACTGAGAAACATGCTTTATCTAAGAAATGAGTATCTTTTCAAGAATGAATGCTGACCTGAATATAATGTGGAATTACCCTGGGCACCAAAGACAGCTTGCCTGGGCATGATTGTTCCGGAAGCTATTACTGAAATTTGGAACAGCACCCTCAATGTGGTGTCAATGCCTCCTTCAGTTCTGAAGTTTTGAAATAAATACTCGAAACATCCAGTTATACACCCTCTTTCCAAGAGTGTTTGCACATATTTGGTGCTCCTCAAGTTTTTCAAATTAATGTTGATGAAATAAAAGAGTGATCAGATGAATCTGGCACTATATTTCTTGCAAGGACAAGAAGCTATTTTTCAGAATCTTGCCCCAAATATATAATTGATAACATTGGAAAATAAATAAGGAAATTTTACTTCTGTTGCATGTTCCTCCAATCATTAGTAGACTGACTTTGAAATGAGAATTCAAAGTATAATTAAATAATGGCATTATTCTGGGATGACTTCATACCATTGTTGTAGACTAGCATATGATTTTACTAGTTATTATTTTCTCAGCTAGTCTATTAAATATAGAAAAATTTCAGTAACAGAAAATATTGAAAAATTTTAGAAACAGGAAAATCTAACCTTTTACCTAGTAACCATGTACTTTTTTTCATTAGGATTCCTCTTAAATTTGTATATGTGTGTATATAATCTGTATGTATAGTAATATTTGCATATGTTACTTTTATATCAGAGAGAAATTAAGGGAAAAGGTTCTGGCAAACTCTAAAACTATATTTAGTCCATCTTTGAATCAATTGTGTATTTCTTTCATGGCATAATCCTACCTGGTAGATTATTTCCTTTATTCCCAGAGGTGAACTAGTCAGTGATCATTTGCATCCAGTGCCCTCTCAAGGGTTTATGCCCAATTAGAAAGCAGTAGCACTATAATGTAGCATCAGCACGTATAACATTCAGTGCTGAGACGGTGGCTTAACAATTCATGGGGCTTGATAAAAAGTATAATTTAAAAAAAATTCCACTGCATTAACCCATTCTTCTTTAACTCTAAGACCAGACTGAGGGAAAAGTAAAACAGAACAAAACTGCTTTCAACCTACAGGGCAGTTTAAATTTTAAATTTATAGTGAAGCTACAATTAAGGTGATTTAGTATAGTCCCTATTCTCAGTTAACAACTTCCCTTTGGAACTAGGGTGGGTAAGTCTTGAAATATTCAATAAAGAGCGATCCATGTGACTAAGTTGAGTCGCTGTGTCTCCGTTGCAGCAGTGCAATGAAGCCTCCATCTGGAATGAATTCAGCATCTTTAACAAGTAAGAACAGGGATGCAAAGTTGTCTTTGTTTTCTTAGTAGGATTAGGCTATGATTTTTGATATGACAGACAGTTCTTTATAGGATACCCTGAAAATCCTATTTAGTATTTGTTTATGCAAAGAAATTTCTTGTTCAGTGGAGCAAGAGTCAAGAAAATATAGTAAGACAGAATGGTTAAGTGCTCAGTACTTCCATAATTAGAGAGATCTAGACTTGCTTGTATCTAGCGTTATGACCATAGGCAAAGCTGTACAATTCATACAATTTCTATGTTTTATTTTCCACATCTGTACAGCGGGACTATACTAGAGAGTTGATGTGAGAGTGAAAATTTAAAAATTATGTCTAAAGGGCTTATTAGCTTAGTACCCAACAACTAGCAAATGTTTCTTAAAAATGGTGCCTGTGAACAATAACAGTAAAGTCATAGTTGTTGCATTAGCCTTTTGCTTTTATTATACATCATTACTATTTAAGCTTTTCACAGTTCCGTTTGCAATACACATATAACTTAGTCCTGTAAGTTCATTCCAAGATTGAGAGTTAAGATGTCTTTACAAATATGAAAAAAATGAAGAGGTTAGTTTGCTTAAATTACTTGCTATTCCTAATTTTGATCAAGTGTTTTCTTAATATTTTGCATTATTTAGTAGCTAATTTTTCCCATCCTAAAAGTATGTTTGTAAATACTCTCGTGTCTCTATATTTTTAAGAAACAGTGTTCTGTTTTTATATTAAGCTTAATAGTTTAATTTTTTTTTGCAGCTGTGAGGCAGCAGATGATAAATCAAAAACTAATATTTTCAACTATCTCAAAAGATAAAAGTCTGACACACTAAATATGGACTAAATGAGGCTTATGGATGATTTATTCTAATTAGATATAAGGTAAATAAATGCTCCTGCAGTTGTGAATTTTATTAAAGTCAGGACATGTCGTTGTTCAGGCTTTCCTGCATTGCGCTTTAAAGAATCATTTGAAAATATTTTGGGTCTGCTGTTGCTGAGACAATATGGCTTGGCAGTGTATTGGTAACTTAATAAGCTCACCACATTTGTCATGCAGAAACTGTTCTTTATATGCAAAGCTGTCAGACAGATTGAGTGTATAATTCTTCTTCGCATGAAATAATATGATAAAACTCCAGTATCAAATTGAATGCTGTACTAGCGTTTGGAATCTTTCATGCATAGGTTGGAATTGTTTTACAATGGAAGCATTGTTTGATGACAAATACTCTTTTTGTAACATTCATCAGTTATGTTTTAATAGCAGGCATTTTCCTCCTGACTATAGGTCTGCCTTTTTTGCTGTTAACATACTGGAAAATGAAGCCTGCTTCTCAGTTATGTTTGACATTTTTTTTTTAATGGTTAACTGCTACAATTAGACTGCACTGTCAGTGTTGTAGATGTTTTTGTTCTTCCTACAAAAGACTATCCTATTGGATTTTGCCAGTTTTATGATAGAGCAAACATTATTTACTCCTTCCTGGTTTTGATTCAATCTCCAATGATAATGCGTACTGATACAATATTTTAAGTCTCACTTCATCACAGAAGAGAATTGCCTGGTATGTGCCCATATAATGCCTGTTGGTGCAAGCAGTGAGATAATAAATTAGCAGAAATTATGCATATAGTCCACGTGGCACATTCTAGAAGGTTAAGCATTTATTTTGGTCCGTGGCAGATATGCTCAAAGAACTCCCCTGCCATGTCAATTTCAAGGGTCTAAAAGGGAAAGAAATTGCTACAAATACATACACAGCAAATGTGCTTAAAGCAGCTCTTTGCCAAGCAAGTTCCTGTTACAGAGTGGCCTGGTGCCAAAGCTCTTCTAAGCACTCTACTGCTACTTAATGTATTTGGTATGTGGGAGAAACTCGTAACTCTGGGACTGCCCAGTGTACGGCGTCTGTCACGTCTGAAGTGTGAGCATTCCAAAGGCTCACAGCCACCCAGCTCAGAACTCAGCGGGGAAGACAGGAACAGGGGTCAGCCTGAATAGAAAGAGACTAAAAGATACATTTGTGAAATTTGTGAAGATATCTTTTTCTCTCTTCCCTCCTTCCTTTTTCCTCCCTTCCTCTTAATTCCTCACTTCCTGCCTCCCTCCCTCTTTTTCATTTTGTTTTTTATTCTGTTTTGTTTTTGAGGGGTACTCTGTTCTAAATGTATTCAAATGATTATAAAATATTCATGGCAATTCTTAGGACTGGGCCTGGCGTACCTTAATTTTTCAACTGATCAGCCTTTCCGGTTTTTCTTAACAAAGGAAAACCAGATCTTTTGCATCCCATAACTTCGTAGCAAAGCCTCCATCTGGAATGAATTCGGCATCTTTAACAAATATGTGTTCTCTATTCAAAAACTATCTAAAAATAGTTCTCAAACAAGTAAGAAAAAATATTTTGACATTTTCTTCATGTTTTGGGTGGTAAGCACAGTTTGAAACAGGCTTTCTGTTAATTTTCATAGGCTTAGGAGTGGATGTACTTTTGTGTGCATGTACAACATATTTTGCTCAAGGATGCTTTCTGATCCAAACTATACCATGGCAGTTGTGTTTTTTTGCAAGGCACAATTCTTAACATGAGTCAGCTTTTCCATCAAACTCAATTACAAGTATTCAAAGTAAAATGCTCAATCAAGATCTACTGACACATGCCAATATTGATTTTGCTTACGTAATTTTAGATGAAAAAAAAAACCATAATCAACCTGTGAGACGGTGTTTGTGGCCTCAACCCCAAAGATACTGATGGCAATGACTTTATTGCGGAACGAAAGGATTACTTTATAGGAAAGCTGGGCCCCTGTAAGAACAGTATCACTTCCTATAATTTATTAATCAGCTACCATGTCTTAGGCATCATGAAATGAAATATACATATGTGAATATTCTTATACAGAGATATATCTTGTCATTTAATCCTAAAAAGATATTATTAGTCATTCTATAATGAAAAAACTGAAGCTTGCAAAGTTGAGCAAATTGTCAAAGGTAAATTGGTTAAACATTCCAACCCAGGCCTGACACTGCCTGCTTTGCCATCATGTTTTCCTTTTGGAAAGACAAAAAAGACAATATGTTGATTTTTGGGGGTCAAATTCATATTTAAACAATTACAAATAAAATTAAGTCAAATTCCATGTACCTTCTCCTATTTCCTAGACTTCTAATACTCTTTGGTCTTTTAAAGTATACAGTTTTAGCAAATCTGAAACGGTTTTTTAAAATGCTCTAATTATAATTTCATTGTAACATGCTTAAAATTCTAAAATTAACTCTAGAGTATTTATATACATATAATATGGTTAATTATTCTTAACCCCCACAGCTTATCCCTTTTGTTATTTTTTAAAGATGATTTCACTTTAAAGTTGGTGCTCATTTATGGAAATATTTGTAAACTAATGAATACATTGCTATCACTGGAGTAATTTCTAGCACCCAACATAATGTCCTTGGGATATTTGATACAAAATGTTAAAAAATTATCCCTATTGATCAAAATTATTTTTCTATATGTTACCATATAGGTACTAAAATAGTACCTATATGGCCCTAGTAATCTGTAAGATTTAGGAATATATGGCTGGATGCAGTGGCTCAAGCCTATAATCCCAGCACTTTGGGATCCAGGGGTGGGAGGATTGCTTGAGGCCAGGAGTTGGCGACTAGCCTAGACAACATAATGAGACCCCATCTCTACAAAAAATTAAAAAATTAGCTGGTCATGGTGGCATGAGCCTTTTAGTTCTAGCTACTTGGGTGGCTGAGGCTGAGGCAAGAGGATTGCTTGAGACCAGGAGGTTGAGGGAACTGTGGGCTATGATCATGCTGCTGCAACCCAGGCTGGGTGACAGAGTGAGAACCTGTGTCTAATTTTAAAAAAAGACTCAGGAATAGGAATACACTAGGGAAGGTTATGTTTTAGATGTTCTAATGTGATATGAAGCTGCACAGAATCAAAGACTAATGTAATAATACAACCATCTGATAAAGCACAAATAAAAAACAACCTTACAATACTACTTGTCTCTACAAACACTGTGTTTCCAGTAAAACAGTTAGGGGACATGTTTGATAAGCCTGATCTTTCTAAATTACATTTGTGGTGCAAAATGATTTCTGGTAATTATAATTTAGGAAAAAGCAGGTCACTTGGAAAACAACTCTGTTGACTACCTTATAACCTTGGCTAGAATGGTATAAATGGAAGGGACTCATCTATTTTGACCTCTCCATTTTTGAGATGGGAAAATTGAGGCTCAACAGTATCAAGTGACAGAAAGCCTCAAGACCTAAGGCCAGTTAAAGATGTAGGGATCTGGGAACAAAATATGCATGCCATGATCTGTGCTGTTTCTTCTGTGTTGTGATTGGGTCTCTTTAAGCTTTTTTTAAAAACGAAGCTCCACATCTATTTTGTCTTTGATTTGCATTCATTTTCATATGCCAGTTATAAAGTATCAATTCTAGCATCTTAAATATCACAAATGAGGCTTAGAATGTATTTAATACTTCATCTATGAGTTATATAAAAGCAAATAAAATGTGTCATAATTTACAGATTGGTGTCAACTGAAGCACAAAAAAAGAGTAATTGGTTTGCCTTCAGCCCAACAATATGGTCTTTGTAAACTACAGAATAGAATCTCTCCTGTAAAGGTTTAGAATAGTAGTTCTCAAAGTGTGGTCCCTGGACAAGAAGTTTTAGCTCCATCTGGGAACTTGTAAGAAATGCAAATTCTCAGATTTCTGCTCAGACTTACTGAATCAGAAACACAGTGGGTGGAGTCCAGCAATCTGTATGTGAAAAGCTCTTCAGATAATTTTGATAAATGCTAATGTGTGAGTTACTGGTCTACTGGTCTAGATTATGCTGTCTAGGATTTCTCCTCTCCTCTCCTCCTCCTCTCCTCTCCTCTCCTCCTCCTCTCCTCTCCTCTCCTCTCTTCTCCCTTCCTTCCTCATCCTTATTCCATAAATAATTTGTTATTATTATTATTATATAAATAATTTATTACTTTTGCATGAGTAATGTCTCTTAAGAACCACCGTATCAGCTATTACTCCAGACTTCTGATACGGTTTAGAACAAATTTTGTCACCATGTTATGGTTGAGTGGAACAGCATCATCAATTTTGATATGATTCTTGGCAGGTGTTTTCCTTGCTAATTTCAAATGATTGCTTCACCTGTTAGTCTCTGCCACTCTTGCTACTAATTGTCATCTTTGCTAGCAGACCTCACTCAGAGGTCAGCCACTGTAAGCCAGGAGACTCCAGGATCCTCTAACTCTTGTTGGCCTCTCACCCCCACCTGTGGTATCCCCTGACAGGGCTGTGGAAAGGATGAGTTAGTAGAGGAAGCCTGACTTCTCTAGGGCCCATGCCGTAATTCTTCTGGAGATAAGTAGGGAAGCCTCATTCTTCAAGCTCTAGGCCCCAATCCTGTTTTCACCGACACTAAATTCACTTCATTATCCTTGTCTGCCTGAAGACAGACCAAGACAAATGGCATTTACAAATGAAAATCTTGGGGGCGGGAGCATTAAAGTGTGCCTAATAAGAAATCAGTTGTTCTCTCAGTGTTTCGTGTGCTGGTCTGAGCACCAGGAAGTGGCTGCAGGTCCTCGCAGATGTGGAATTTCTGAACTGAATTTCTGATATTTTGTTGTCCAAAAATAGTCGGACAGTACTATTTGCAGTCATTAATCATGATTATTAAGCAAAGGATCAGGAGAGCTTTACAGCTGTTATTTAACTCCTAATGACACTGCAGAGTGATTAGATCTCAGGTAGACTTTAACTTTTTTTTTTTTTTAAGAAGAAAGAATGATGTGGTCAGAACAGTCATCCCTTTTTAGTGAGGGGAATAGCGGTATTAAATAAGCAGTTGCCTCACAAGTACAATTCCTGGAGTTCTGGCAAGAACTGCTATCTAAAATAATATGTTATTCACAAGTCTCAGAAGTTATGTTACCCTTTAATAGAGTAAAAAATTTGAATGCATTAGTGGAAGATTTCAAGGATAATAGAAATGCCTTGAAAAGAGACGAACTATTGCCTTAAAGTCACAAGATGGCACAGAGTATGTTGTCTGACTATGCATCAGTGTAGGGTGAGCAGCACATTTTGTTGCCTGCAGGTAGGAGGAAAATGAGAGAAGTAGCATCCTTTGCACCTAAGGAGATGGCTGCCAAGGGAAAACGTTGTGCAAAAACACCAAGTTGGGGCCAGACACAAACATTGCCTTGCATTTTTGCTGAGGACAGGTCTCTACTGATAGATATCTTCTATTAAAGCACAATCCTAGATCAAAGTAATGTCAAGCACATATAGGAAGATATTTTGATAGAGTTTGTCTGTCTTCTCCCAGGACTGGCTACATAATTTGTGGAGCCTAGTTCAAAATGATAATATGAGGCTTCTGGTTAAAACAACAACAACAAAAATAAGTATTTCAGAGGTGGTAGCAAAGAATTAAACTAAGAATGGTGTCCCTCTAAGTGAAGAGCTCTGTGTACCAGTTTCATGCCCATGAAGCTGGCCTTGTCTTCCTTTAGCACATTTACTTTTTCTGTTTTTTATTTGGCCAATGGACACCGCCATTGGGGTGTTATCTTATGACAGAATGCAATTTTGCAAAGTCTAATTTTAAAATTGTGTATTAAAAGTTTTCCCTGGACTTAATGAAGGACTTTGAATACCCTCTCTAGTTGCCAAATAAATTGAGTTTAATGAATCTCAAAATCATATGTGTTCATCATATTCTTTATAGCGTCAGTTCCAAGTTTGTACTAGAGAGATTTGACAAAATGCCACATCTTTTCTTCTGTTCAAAAGTCAAATATCCTTAGAAGAGAGGAATACCTTTTGCCTGAATCTATTATAGCACAAGCAAAGCTGGTTTTACTGTAAAATCCCCTAAAACCAATTCTACTTTTTAGGAGATGTCAAATATCTTGGTTTTCTCTATGTGCTTCGCTTTTTCAGTTTGACAAGATAATTAGATCATAGTATTTCAGTGACATAGCAGAAATGGTAGCAAATAAAGTACATTTTATATTTTCTATCCCTCCTTCCTATTATATATATCATTTTTAAAAAGTTTAAGTTAAATCCTTTTTTAATAGATAAAATGCTATCTGTAATGCTTTTTAAATTAATTTAAACTTAGTTTAATAATTTTTAATATATTTGTCTGTTTTATTAGTTTTCAACATGTGAAATATCATTATCATAAGCGCCATACCACTCTTGCAGTGATTAAGGAGAGCCAGCCACTAGCAATAATCCTTTTTCTTGTTAAAGGAAAATTAATCCATGTAAATATGAAAAATCCCTGTATTTGTAGAAATAAAAATCCATATATAAAAATTCATATATACATAAAATGCTGTTATACGTATGCAGATATAAATAAATGAAATCTTAAGTAATGAAACTGACAAGTGGTAATTGCATACAAAATTATGAAATACAGAAGAATCAAAATGTTTTGTATATTCTCTCATTTAATTATTAACAACTCTGTGAAGTTGGCTTTATCACTACTTTGTCAGAAAAAGAGATTCAGGGAAATTTCATTATGTTGCCCATTGTCACTCACTGGAGGATTTGAACACTTATTTGTATTAATTCTAAAATCCGTGGTCTTTCCATACCACTCTGCCATCTCAAGCATAATATTTTAAATCTTATAAGTATTTTTATTTTATCATCTATTTGTATTTCTACTTTTTTATATTAAGTAATATAATAAATATTCAATTTGACCAGCAAGGTTATTAAAGCTCAAGGAGGTAAAGTGAATTGTCTGAGCTTGCTCATTTCTCTGGGAGCCCATCAGAGGCTGGAACATTGCACTGATGACCCCCAGCTCTGTGGTCTTGTCCCTAGACCTCCACTTGGCTTCTCTTCCTCTTACTGCTCTTAACTAACAGCATGCATTTGTCTTTAGTGGTTTATAATCCTTTATAAGAATTTCTGCCTATTTAACATATATGAAATTATTATTTTTCACCTCCCACCATCTAAAATAATAATTACCCTCAAACAAGGAAGACAAACTAAAGTCATTTTTTATTCTGAAAATGTAGAACTGAACTCTTCATTTTCAGTATGATGCCAAACACTACTAACTGGATTTCATTTAATTGGATTAAAACTGACGGGACACATATTCTCTCGAATGTGCAACCTCACCCCTCTTGCTTGATCTTCATAAAACATCATGTATTTAGTCAGATTGCATCCCTGGAGATACAGTTGGAGTAGCTGGTGACTCTAGAGAAGTCTGAAAGTAAGAATACGATTCTTGATGTGATAAGGAGATATATTTTTGAAGTAACAACATGGAATAAATCAAGAATAGTCTGTGCTGAATTTTGAGTTATTTCCAGAAGTGGAGGCTTCAGGTGTGAACAGAAAATGGAAACCTGGTTTTCTTACCAATTGATTTACTAGATCATCCGAGGAGATTTGAGACCTAGTTCTTTCTGCTACTCACAGATGTATGGAAGAGCTGCCCAGTCATAAAACCAATTTTGAGGCCAATTTCAAGTGGACAGATAATGGTAAATCTTTAATTAGTTTGATTATATTTTTAGCCAGTTGCCTTTCTGGATTTGGAATATGCTAAAAATTAATTTACCTGTGCCTTACCCATTGTGTCTATTATTGGCACCTCCCATTTCTATTTGAATAAGGTATTGAAAGTTTAGAATCATTGAAAAAAGTATTTTTATAGTATCTTTAAGAATCACAGTACAATAAATAGCTAATTTAAAGCTTGGATCGTGAAAACACAATGGATAACATATAGTATAACGTAGCTATATGCCGAGGATATTATCAAGTGGGTAGGGATTTATTTCCATAGTTATAAAAAATATAATTGCCTTGAAACTTATGTTTTACTTCTACTTCGATCAATTATATAGTCAGGTAAGTATATGTTAAAACCTATACGTAGTGGTTGAATTACACAGTTTTTCACACATTATACAAATAGTTCATTTGTTTGAGAAAGAGTTGAGGAAGATCCTCCAGCCCCTTCTCACTATAAAATTATATGATTCTAAGTTTATAAGATACAAAAAAGCCAAATAAATGGAAATTAATGGAAAAATTGATTTACTGGCTTGTGTGAGAGTAGAGACTGAAATTCTACTTAGATGCATGTTATGTATTATGTTTAAGCTATTTTAAAAGTAGGGCTATTAGGAAAGAATTTTAGTGCAACTGGTTTCTTATATAGTTGCTATTCAGTAGGATACTTTTGAAATGGTGAAAAGTTTGTATCTGTATACATAAAACTCAATTCAGTAATATGTTTGTATCCATATTGTTGATCTAATGTAGTAGTATAAAAACAACCTAAGGAAGAGCTTCCATGCGTACACAGAGGTTATGAGTTGTGGTCTGAGCGAAATATCTTTTGGGATTGGCTTATAACAAGTGAGTATTTGCATAAATAATGCCGTTTGGGGAGTTTTTTAAAAGAAATTTCTTAAGATATAGCCAGTTACCTAAGAAAATATTGTGTTTTCTATTTATCTAGTTGTACCGACACTGATAATGTTGAGAAATCTACATTAATTGACAAAGAAGAACAATGCAATTTGACATATTAACTACTTTAGTCTGAGTGAATTATTTTTGGATCTTTCAAAATAAACTTGCTACTTGAAAAAAAAATTTACATATCTGTCTAATTAATAGACTATAGTTTCCCTTAAATAGACGGCTAATATTTTACCCTTATTTATGAACAGTTTTTATTTTGTATGTAGTATCAAATCACAGAAAAAAAAATGTTCCTAACTTCAAAAATGGAAGACAACATGCCTCTCAATTGGAATACGACTTAGGTCTTGGCTGGAATGTTGGTGAACTGAAGGCACTGAGGAAAACCAGTTCAACCTCATTGTCCACTAGAAAACAGTTCCTTTACAGAATGAAGAATTAAATATGGTGGCATAAATTTAACTTTCCTGCTGCTTTTGATCCTAAGGTCACAACTAGTAAGTAGCAGAGACAGAATTTGAACTAAGACCGTTCTCTGCATTCCCTATTTTGCTATGCTATGTAGCAGATTGGGCTGCACACTGGTAGTTTGCCTCCATTATCCTTGCCCTTCACTACAATAATGGACTGCAAACATAAATAACAGTGTTTTCATTTTACAGATACAGAAATGGGGAGTGAGTACAGTACAAGTACTTGCCTAAGGGCATACAATAATGGGTGGTGAAGCTGCCATTTGGACTTAGATCTCTTTCCTAAGTCTCTATTATTGCCTATATTGACCCCAGACAGAAGAAATTACATTTTTCTCCCTTTTCTCCTCCCTCCCTCCTTTCCTTCTTTCCTTCCTTCCTTACGTCTGTCCTTCCTTTCATTAAAGCAAAGAAACTAAGCTCCCTCATATTTGTAAGGAAAGCCTTTTCATATCACTTTTATTCATCCATTATTTGTAAAGGCATGTTGTCGACCAGGTGCTGTGCTAGGCATCATGGAGTGCTAAACAGTTGTGAACACTGTCACAGTACCATGTGGTCTGTAGAATTTTATCACACAATAGCAATGGCTTACTTCCTGAAAAGTAGAACAGACACTCCAAAAAACGTAGTATTTCTCTTAACAAAACAAGGGCAAATTGAAATTGTCCTTGGTTCTGCTTCAGTTCAGCAGTTTTGAATCTTCTTTTGGGAACTGCTGGTAGAGAGCAAGTTCCCAATCATGGCTACTATTTTTAGCTTCATAAGACTCTTGTGTCTATAAATGATATTCCCTTTTTTGAGGATAATGTCTTAAATGCAGTCCAAAATCAATTAGCTATTATGTGCAACCAGGCTACCCTTAGAAAGGTGACTATCCTTTTTTGTATATATTTACCAGTATTTGCCACCCAGACCACAAGGCAAGGGATTGAGGTAGTCACTGGTATTTTTCTGGGAGTAGCTTAAGCTTATAATTTTCATGTACATATTTCCCTTTCTCTCTTTCCAAAAAGGATTATTTAAATTTTTCAACATTTAAGCATAGAGGAAATAAATAAAATAGGTTATCTTGTCATTTTCTCCATAAGGAACTTCTTCAGAAAAGACAGTGTGTAGACAGTCCCAGTGGCTGTCCCCTTTAACTCAAGCCCAGGACCTACAGATTTCTCTGTAGCTCAACAAAATGTCTTTCCACAAAGGGCTGGAGGATTCTTAATTATCAGTTGTTGAATTTCAGTCATCCTGATAACACCATTTAGCCAACTGTGATGGCAGCGATATTTGTCTTGTTAAAGACCCTGAAGTTAAATTACTGCTGTACTATTTTCCTTCAAGCCTGACTTGTTAGTTATGGTGGAAGTGAGCTATTGACTGGGGTCCTCCCATTCATCTATACTTCCTTTATTATTTTAAATGATCTCTAGAGCTAAGGGGCAGCAATTTGCATTATTTATTCAATGAATTCTACCTGATAGTCTTGTCTATAATTTCCCTTGTGAAGAGAACAGAAAGACTAAGAATGAATAAATTGTCTCTTGAAAACTCATGGCTTTATCTGCTTCTGTCACAGAAATGCTATAGATTTCAGTTTTCTTGACTGAGAAATATTTAATAACAAGAAGCTCTACATTCTAGCAGTTTAAAAGGAGGAGGATTTTTTTTTCCCCCACTCTTTGTCTCTCACTGTTTCTTCCTCTCAGCTATACTTTACCTAAAACCTTAATTTTTTCCCCCATTGCTTTTATGGGGATTCCTCTGAAAGACATAAAATGCCTCTCTCCATGAGAAGCCCTGTCATAGGAGACAGCTCTTTCCATCTGTATATTTTACTTGCCTTGCATGTAATTTTCTCATCCAAATGGAAAGCTCACCATGCTCTAATGAAACTTACTAGAGACTCCCAGAAAATTCATGTAACCAGGTTTATGTGTGGGTCTGATGTTTTAAGGGACAGACTGACAATTCATGGCCAGAGGAGGCCATTAAGGAAACAGGTTTGATTGAAGTCCCGACACAGATGTTGACAGCATAATTAAAATGATTAATTGGAGTAAGAGAAGTGTTTCAAACTAATTAGAAAAATGGTTTGGTTATACCCCCAGACTGTACAAATGGCCAGAGGAGCCAATTTTTTTATATAGAGAAGGGAAAAGTGAAGATGTATGTTAAAACAATGTCATTCTTCTTTTATCAAGAGGATACTGCAAAGTTTAAAACTATGATTATTGTTATGTTGGTTTTCCTGTGAGTCTTTAGGTCTATTATCCCAGCCCCTTTTGCCAGGTGGCTGACTGGGCATAGGCGTGCAGCCACGTTCAAGAAACAAAGGGAATACTTGCATAGAACTGGAGTTGGCCCATATTGACATAAGACAGTTCTCAATCACAATAACTATTTACTTGCATATTGCTTCTCCAGAGAGAATACAAGTACCCCAAATTACCATCAGATGGCTTAGCACATAGTAGGGCCTCAATATTTTGTGTGTTTGCTGAGGCAACCAAAGCCATATTTTTAAGTATGCCTAAATAATAGGACTGAGAAATTTTTCTTCCAGTTATGCTTTCATTTTCTTGATTATTTCTGTTTTATTGTGAATCCTAGTAAAGGCAATTCATTCTTTTTTTTTTTTTTTTTTTTTTTTTGAGATGGAGTCTTGCTTTGTCGCCCAGGCTGGAATGTAGTGGCGCGATCTCAGCTCACTGCAACCTCCGCCTCCCGGGTTCAAGTGATTCTCCTGCCTCAGCCTCTCGAGTAGCTGGGATTACAGGTGCCGACCACCATGCCCAGCTAATTTTTGTATTTTTAGTAGAGATGGGGTTTCAACAGGTTGACCGGACTGGTCTCGAACTCCTGACCTCAGGTGATCCACTCACCTTGGCCTGGGATTACAGGCGTGAGCCACCGCGCCTGGCCAGCAATTCATTCTTATATCTTCAGAAAACCTGAACTATCATGGACCAATCGGTTTTAGAGATTATTAATGAGCATTAGCAGGGGCATGTTTCAGAACTCTTTGCAGACACAATTTAGTTAAAACATTTCTTAGTTTCTATAAAAGCAAATGTATGCTATTGTGGTGTTGAAGCTCTTTGTACACAAAGTAAACATTACGTGAAAGAACTCCTTTGGCCTGCAAACATAACATTTAAATGGCTATTGACCATATGTTTCTAACTAAAAGCACTATGAAAAACAAGTTCTTGCCAGATTTCAGGTTTTTTTCTAGTTGTGCTCTGTGAAGCCTGGTGGTAGGTTTTCAGTTAATGCCTTTGGCTACATGAACAAGGAGTTTCACCAAGAATGTTGGGAATTCCTTTGGTGACCAAAAGGAAATATGAAGACTCTGGAGGCTGATGAGAGAGACAAATAATGGGGAAGTCATAAACATCATGCCAATTCCTGTCATTTATTTCATTTTCTTTTTAAAATAAGATCTGAAATTGTTTAAAAGAATTTTTGAAAAGCATCAAGTTAACTTTCTAGCACTTTTAAGTTTCATGTAAATCAGTATTCTTCAAGTGCCACATAAATATGTGTAGGTAAGTGTGCTATTTCTAGGTCTATAATATTTAAAGATATTTAATAAATAGGTTTCATTCGTTGCATGCAGGATGCTGACTAAAATTGATAGAGGAAAGGTCTAGGGGTTTGTTTATTTTAATTTAATACAATGAAATACACTTGTAATCCTATTAAATTATAGTCTATTTTGTATATTCTTGATAATTGAAGTTATTATCTATGGGTGTGTGCATTCGCGATGGGGGGAAAATGGTCTATTGGGAAGAATGGCATTTTGACAAATCACAGGAAATAGTCAATTATGTGGATTCCACGCAGTTTCCAAGGTTATGACAAAGATTTTACCCCTGAAATTCATGAACCATAGTCTGGAGGGAGTTTGGATGGAATTACAATTCAAGTGGTTTGTTTTGGGAGGAGTATAGGGTGGGGACAGAATTAAATGTTCAGTTTATTTCTCCCCACAAAACTCGCCGTGGCAGCACCCTTAAGAGGGAGAGAATGCAAACTTGTTTTCTTTAACACAAAATTTCTAGCAGTATGAAATACTGAAACATTCCGGATGATAAGGGCCTTAAAGCTTAGGTTTATGATCATAACAATAACCTATTCACATTAATATACTCAATAAAGTTGGCTATATACATGAAGTGCTAATGAAGTAAACAACAAATGAGTTTTCCAGGATGCTGCATACTTGAAATTTACTGAGTGTAGGGTCTCTTTATCAATAAAGTTGGAAATTTATTTTTTTCCATCGTTTTCCTCTTGTTTCAAGTCTCTTCACTGCCTTGTCATTTAAGTAAATGACAAGTAAACAACACATGAGTTTTCCGGGATGCTGCATACTTGAAATTTACTAAGTGTAGGGTCTCTTTATCAATAAAGTTGGAAATTTATTTTTTTCCTCAGTATTCTTGTTTTCGTCTTGTTTCAAGTCTCCTGACTGCATTGTCATTTAAGCTGTTAAGGCTGAAAATAATTCCCCAAAGGGGACATTGAACTAAAATATTTCAGGCAAATTTATCTCTAAAACTTTTAATCTAGTCAGGAAATATTAATAATCGATGCAGGTGGGGTTGTGCATAAAAGAAATGCTATAAAATGCTACATTGTTCATCGAGCATATAGTCAGACAAAACACTGCATTTACTGTCTCCAGAAAATGAAAGTTAATTTATGTATTTCATCAACAGACTTTATTATAGTGCCACATATTTGTGGTAGACTTAAGGCCGTGAGAAATTTTCACTCTTGACTTCTCTCTGTTAAAAAAAAAAAAAAAATCAAATCAAAACACTCTTTATGTTTAAAAATGGTTACAATACAGTAATAAAAATGTGGCTTACTCTTTGCTTTTCACTAATAAGTTGAGTAGCAATTGGCAAAAACCAAAAATCGTAAACTCCCTGAGCTCCAATTTCCTCCTTAATTAAATGAGGTCACAGAGACCAGGATCCACTTTAAGTAGCAAATTGAGGCTCAATTCCGAAATTAGAATGTGCAGCTCCCATTCAATAATCCATCTTTAATAAAAATGTAGATTAACATTGTGTCCCATCCTCCAGCCCAAGTCTGCAGTAGAAGGGACTTGAGAGTAAGATGCTTGGTGCTTCTTTTTCTTTCCTCTCTTGCAGTTCACCTCATTCTTCAACTGCTGGTTCTCATTTCTAACCCTGCTAGTGTCAAAGTGAGAGGGTAGGGGAGGACAGGTGAGGAAGGTAGGGAAGTTCGTACTTGACTTTCTTGAGATGGCTTTGTATATTCTTACCAGGTCTCTCTCTTTCTTGAGATCTTTCTTAGGCTCCTTTGAGGCCTTTACTGTGGATGTTTGAAAGCACATCTGTGACATTGATGATAGATTTTTCTCCAGCTCTCTGCTCCCTTTGCACCCCGTGGAGATCTACTCCTAAAATTCTCTCTGCAGGAATCTCATTAGCCTCCAGTGGTTTTCCTGGACAGGAGACAAAAAAGCTACAGTCGTACTCTCTCTATTCCTCTGTAACCCACATCTTGTCCAGGGACATTGATCCCTGGCTCCAACAAAGTCTGAGAATGCAGGTCAATCCCAATACAGCTGCACCTTTCTACTTTGTGCCCAAAGCAGTTCATCAGTTGCTTACTTTGTCCTCTATGTTTCCTGTATAGGGACCAATCACAGTTCACTTTGCCGTATTAACTCAGAGCAACATATTAAGCTCTTGAGGGGTCCCTCTGAAGCTCCTCTGTCTTAACTTGAGAAGCAAGCACAGAATAACTTTCTCCAAACAGATCTTTAACACAAGTCCTTCTTCCTGGTTTCATTGGTTTGCACTAATTTTTAATCCTCAATGTAGATTTTAGGCCATTTAGCTCTCTGTCACCCTACTCTGACATTTTGCAAATGGTATTGTATCGTGTGTCTAACAACTCAGCTGTCTGCTGTCTGTTTTATCTTGGTGCCTCAGTTAAAGAATCCAATGTAACATGCTGTTGCAAATGAGTTAAATTCCGATAGCCTTCAGAACTAATTTTTTGTTTCTCTTTGTGAATCCATCCCATGAATCTCGATTTATTCATAAAAATATAGTTGTTCAGGCCGGGTGAGGTGACTCACGCTTGTAATCCCAGCATTTTGGGAGGCCAAGGTGGGCAGATCACCTGAGGTTGGGAGTTCGAGACCAGCCTGACCAAAATGGAGAAAACCCCATCTCTACTAAAAATACAAAATTAGCTGGGCATGGTGGCACATGCCTGTAATCCCAGCTACTCGGGCGGCTGAGGCAAGAGAATTGCTTGAACCTGGGAGGCGGAGGTTGCAGTGAACCGAGGTCTCACCATTGCACTCCAGCCTGGGCAACAAGAGTAAAAACTCCATCTGAAAAAAAAAAAAAAAATCTAGTTGTTCATTTTGAACATTTTTGAAAGTTAGGGATTTTTTAAAAAACTGTCATTATAAAATTATGGCTAAGAATTAAGGGATGACTGTTCCTGCTAGTTAGCATGGTTCATAATTGGTTGTTTTTTGTTTGTTTGCAAATTGAATGATCAATTGAGTTAGGTTTGGTTCTTTCATTTTAGAGATTGCCAATATATGTAAAATTTGTCTAGACAGGGATTGATGTCCACAGAACAGAAAATCATATAGGTAATTATATAAAGTAAACTAATTTCAGTTAGTTTACTTCATGTAAAATAAGTGAAAACAATTCAATCTTAAAAGGTCTTCATGTGACGAAATTGCCCTAAGCATCTCATGTATGTATAAGGCACTATAGTAGACAGTACAGGGGCCACAGAGATGGAGAGAACTAAGCTCCCTCTCTCCTGGGACAAAGCTTATGCTCTGCTCTGAAAGTGTCTGTCTTGAGTGAGCCTTAATCAGCATCGCGAATATGGAGTATCTTAGTTTCTTTTGAATGGTAATCGATTGTTTAGGGGAATAGTTTTAAATTTACTAAATAATGTGTTTTTCTTTTAATGTTAAGGAATATAAAAAAGGACCCCCAAAATGTTTCATAATCTACTGCACAGATAAGCCTTTTGCCATAAAAGGTAAAAGAAAAACAAAGTAAAAACAAAAAACTATAATGTGCATGGTAAAAAAAAAAAATTAATACTATGGAAAGCTATAAAAGGAAAAGTGGACATCTTCTGTGCCATTTTCTCCTTCCAAATCTACCATTAACAATTCTGCCTGCTTTTCTAGAAAATATTATGTGTATATATATATATTTGCACATATATAAAGTTATTATAGATATGCCTATACCAACTTGCTTACTTGATTTCTTCCCTCCTTTCCTCAGTTGTTCATTTTGCTTTTTCTCTTAAAGCACTACCTCATTCTTTTTAATAGCAACGTTGTATTTGCTGTAGTTAATTAGTCCACTCTTATGGAGGCTTTCATTGGTAATACAAATAATGACGTGATGAACATTTTCCTGCAAATTTCCTTATGAACCTCTAGGATCGTCTTCTTAGGATTAATTTCTCTAAGAGTTGCTGTATTACATCAAAGAAATCCTGAGTTTTCTGTTATTGTAATAGAAATTGCTAAACTGCCCATAAGAAATTATCCATGCATTTACACTTCACCCAGTACAGTTTTCTGTGTTTCCTCATAATTGCTCTAACATTACAATCACTGTATTTACAAATGTTTGCCAATCTGAACTGTGAAAAACACAATCTCTTAATTTTACTATATATCTACTTCATTACAAAGGAGGATAAAATATTTGTATGTTTCTCCTGGAAGCCTACCCTTCCTTACAGATTTTTCACTTTGTATTGTCTTTTACTGACTTTTTTGAGTTTTTTTTAGATTAAGGAAAATACATATGTATTTGATAAGGCATTGCATAGATTTTCCCCAATTAGTTTTCTGCATTTTGATTTTGCTTATGATATTTTTGCCATATAGAAGTTTAAAATATATGTATAATAATATCTCATATGTTTTTCTTTTGTGCTTTCTAGGTTTTGATGTCTACTTAAACACCTTTCCCACCAAAGCTTATGAATAAATGCAACCATTCTTTCTTCTAGATTTTTTTTGTATTTATTTTTATATTTTAGTGTAAGCGATGGAATACACATGTACGTGCTCATACATTGCATACACACACACACGTACCTGTGTATAATTTCAGTCCAATCAACTGGACCTAGAGTCCCAACACTAATTATTGTAATTATTGAATAACTTCTCCGTGTATACCGATTTGAAATTTGGTTGCGTCATTATGGATTTAATTCTCATATGTTTTGGTTATATTTCTGAATTCTTCTATTTTTTACATTTGCTATAGATCTATCTCTTCTCCAAAAAAGAGTATTAAAAATTATGATTTCATAATTATTTTTAAGACTATTCTCCCTTCTTGATTCTTAATTTTCAAAAATTTTCTGCAACTGCGTCTTTTTTTGAGACAAATATTTTGTTCGTTTTTGCAAACATACACTAATTTATGGATAATTCATTTGGGCCTACATTTTACTTATAAGTTAATTTTGAACAATTTTGGCTTCTTTATACATTCAGGTCCCCCTTTTATAGTGCATGATATATCTATTTATTCACTAAAATATTTTATGGTATGTGGTTGAATTTTAAATTTCTTCACTTAAGTGATATAAATTTATGTTAGATTTATACCCAGTATTTTATATTTATTTTTAACTGATACATGATACATATTTATAAGGTACATGTGATATTTTGTTACATGCAGTAGAGTGTATAAAGATCAAATCAAGGTATTTGAGGTATCCATCACTTTGGGTATTTATCATTGCTATGTGTTGGGAACAATTCAAGTTTTCTAGCTAGGTTGAAATATACAATACATTGTTGTTAAACATAGTCACTCTATTCTGCTGTTGGATAATCACTCTTATGCCTTTTGTCTAACTGTATGTTTGTACCCATCAACCTACCTCTCTTTATCCCTCTTGCACCCATAAACACTTCCCACCCTGTAGTTTCTATCATTCTACTCTCACTCTTTATGAGATCAACTTTTTTAGCTCCCACATGTGACTGAGAATATGCAATATTTGTCTTTCTCTGCCAGGCCTATTTTACTTAACATAGTGACCTCCAGTTCCATCCATGTCACTGTAAATGACATACATTCATTCTTTTTTTTTTTATGGCTGTACAGTATTTCATTGTGTATATAGTATTTTATGTTTTTGCTTGCTATTGAAAATTGGTTCATGCCTTCATTATACTTAATACGTTTAAATGGCAATTTTATATATTGCTTTCTTATAGAATAATCTTAGTGTTCCTAATATATTTTTAATTTGATATTCTTGGGTTTTGTTAGGTGTAATCACATCACCTAAGATTGGTGATAAATATGTCTGATTCTGGCTTCCCATTTCTGCAACTCTTTTTCTTTCTCTTATCTGATTGCATTATCTAGTACCTCCAGAGCAGTATCAAATTATGGCACATTTTTATTATGTTCTTCATTATAATGAGAACAATTCTTATTTCCCCATTAAATGTGATGGTGGCATTTGACTTTGTGTGTATTGGTACAAATAAACCAGATATTTTTATTATCAGGAGTTTTTTATTATTAATATTAGACGAGCTCTGTGTGCCATTTTGCGTTAAAGGAGTATAGATTTATAGAAACATTTATTTCTTAAATAGCTATAAGCTACTTTCTTTGCTTGATTGAAGCTGGGCATTTTTGCTGTTCTTTTGCTTATAATTAGGTCTGTAGGAAGGAAGATTTTGTAATCATGCTTCATTTTGCCATCTGAAAGGAAAAGTCTGGTGGGAATATTTTAATTATTCATCATGGAATCTCTGTATAGCAAATCAAATAGAGTTATGTATTTTTTACTTGATGATTTTGCTAATGTGGTTCTAATACTCACAACTTAAGCAACCAAAAACAACCAATAATATTTTAAAACAACATAATTAATTATTGCTTGAAAGTTTCTACCAAGGGGCATATGGACTTCTATGAGATCCAATTATAAACCAGGAAAAAGAGAGATCAACACTTGTATTTTAACACATATGCAGTTTCTTATTAGCAAAATTTCACTGATAAACATATGCTAAGTTATTATAGATGTGAGCCAAAAGTTCTTTAGAAGTAGGTATATTCTGCATTTGAACTCTACAGCATTTGAAATCACATTGGCTGACACGAATTAGTATTAGATCTGGAAACTTTGCCAGTAATTCTTCTAGTCTCCAGGAAAAGTGAAAGCCTTTCATTTTGGTTTTCTTTTTGGTTTGTTGGTTTTGCTTTCATTTCTGATTTTTGTTTGGTGGTAGGTGCTTTTATGAAATACTTTTTTAAATTACCCTTACTATTTATTGATTAATTGTTGGTAATTATTAATTATCTACCTTTCTTAGTGTTTTTCTTCAAACTCTGCAATTAGGAATACCCACATATTGGAACATTTGCTACTCTATCTCATTCCACATGTGTGTGTATGGTGTATATATGTGTTTACATATTTGTGTATATTAATTTCCACAAGTATTTTATGCCCATAAATATTCATGCCATAATAGACTTTTGTTCATTTATGATGCAAAAATTAACTCTGAAGCAAACTGTATTCTTGCTTCTCATGGTCACATACTTTCTCTCTCTGTCTCTAAGCTTTGTTAACCTAGTGGTAAATTCTGTGGTACCCATTTGCATGCATACATACGTGTGTGTGTGTGTTTATGTGTGTATAGATATAGACATAGATATAGATATTCTTGACTATTTGTATCCATGGTGCACGTGTGCACGTGCGCACACACACAGACACACACACACACAAGTATGTATACATGGAATAGCAAGTCTCTAGGGGCTTTGCTGAAGTTAAACCAAGAATTTCAATATATGATACTACTACTAAACAGTATCAGGCCCTGCGAACATGACACATTCATTGCCAACATCAGGACACCTAATAGAGTGGATACTGACCAAGGGGGTGTATTCTTGCCCAGATGATACTTATTTAGGCAATGCCAGTGTTGGCTAATTTCACTTTTCCTTCATGGCCTCTGTCTCTCTGTTACTTATGTAGCACTCATTCTGTGTCAGACTGTGTTCTAAGAACTTCAACTATATTAACCTTACTTAACTGTTAAAAAGACTTCTGAGATAGATACCATTTATCCATTTCATTTTCAGGTGGGAAATTGAGGCATAAGGCATTTGGGCAATGTGTTCAATGACAATTAAACAGCTAGAAAGTGCCTGGTTAGCTAGGATGTAAGCCAGGCATTTTGGTTCCTGAGCCCACACTCTTATACACTGTAATACTATCTCATTCATCCTGCTGTAATTATTCATTTAATTACATGAGCTCCTGCCAGACTGCATGTTCTATGAATAAGGGGCCATGTCAATCTTGCCTGTCTTTCTATCTTGTGTCATCATAATGCCTGGTAGGTAATAGGGAATACATAACTGGTTTTCACTTTTAATTGAATTAAAGTAAAAGTTTGTCTCTATAAGATCCCTTTTCATATATCTTCCTGATAAAAAACCTGTTTAATAAGCTGAAAAGATGAGGTTTCATTAAGAAGAGGTGATACAGAAAAACAACACCATATTTTTCTAACTTATGCCTCATCTGGCTTACTGCTTAGTTCCCATTTGTCATCAGTGCACTTAAAAAATTATTTTGAAAAATTGCCATTTTTAATATCTTTGGAACTTCCTAACACATTACCTATTTTTTAACCAAACGAGGTGATTCCTTATGGGAAAATATATACAGCAAGAAAAAAAAAAGGAAAAAATGTTGATGATACCTGTTTAATTGGGAAATATGTTTGCATATTTATTATATCTCGGAAAGAAATGTATGACTTATTATAACAGCATTTAGTCTTCCAAAATATCAGTGACTCCACAGTATATGCCTTCATTTCCAAAATGAGGGGAAAAGCATTGAGTGTATAGTACTTCCTTTTTTTCCCCCACAAAGAAAAAATCATAGTGGAAATTACATTGAAGAATAATCTGCACAAAACAAAAAAGCACAAATCTTATGTTTCTGGTTCAGTGACTTTTGATAAAGGTAACCCATAATTACTAACCCAATCAAGATACAGAACCATTCTGTACCTCTGGAAAGTTCCCATAGTCTCCCTCCCAGTGAATCTTCCCTAGTCACCCCTTGGTAACCATTGATAGGATATCTATCGCAATAACTTAATTCTGCCCATTCAAGAACCTCATTTTAAACCTTACAAAACCAGAAGTTATTGAAAGAGATGTGATTGTAACCATCTTTGTTTTTGTAAGGACCACGAGTTAACTACACGTAGATATATCATCCAGAGAAAAGTCCTGATAAAAGTATAATCAGTGCAAGTTGAATTCACAGGTAAGGTTTACTGTAGACGTGGAAGGGTGTTTCAAAATTACTCTTGAGAAACAGGTCTCAGGCTAACAGTTTCTCTCACCTCTGTTGCATTGTCTCTTTCTTTTGAATAACTACTGTGTGCTGTGGTTTCACAAACCTCTCAGTAAAGTAGTGATGGGAAAATACTTTTGTTCTATGTTTTGTTGACCTAGTGGTAAATTCTGTTACCCAGCTGTCAAGCAATTAGATTATAATAATGAATATTTTCTTAAGGCAATTTATTGGGCCAAAGAACCCTGTGAATAAATAGTAGTATCTTTTATTTTCAGAGAGCCTAGTTAACATCCCTCCACTTGCTAAAACTAGCCAGAATGTGATATTAGTGACTTTCATTCTATTAAATAAGCATTCATGATTATCCTAAACATTCTTGCCAAATGTGCATATGAAAATAGCATAGCCACTGTAATTGTTAAGTCAGTCAATTTTTCTCAAGGACTGTGTTGCTTTAAAAAGTTAGTAGTGTTTACACATTCATGTGATTGGTCTGAAGTTTACATGCTAAATAATATTTACTGTGAAAGATGTGTGTGTTTGTCAGTGGATGTGTGCATATATTCAGATACCTAATATGACCAATGTGACAAGGGACCCCATTTTTTTCTGCCATAAATTAAGGGTTAATGATAGCATTTATTGCATTGAGCTGCTGAGAGGACCAAATGAGATAATGCATTCAGAAATGTTGAGTGTTATTTGGTTTGGAAATTGATAAAAAGGGCAGGTCTTACATCGAGTGCAGCTTTACAACATATTATCCATGCATGATTACATATAAACAAAAATGTTTAGTTTAGAAAGGGAAAAATAGTGGGTACAATCACAGTTTTATTTTATTTTTATATATATATTTTTTATTATCCTTTAAGTTCTAGGGTACATGTGCACAACGTGCAGGTTTGTTACATATGTATACATGTGACATGTTGGTGTGCTGCACCCATTAACTCGTCATTTACATTAGGTATATCTCCTAATGCTATCCCTCCCCCAGCCCCCAACCCCACAACAGGCCCCGGTGTGTGATGTTCCCCTTCCGGTGTTCAAGTGTTCTCATTGTTCAATTCCCACCTATGAGTGAGAACACGCGGTGTTTGGTTTTTTGTCCTTGTGATAGTTTGCTGAGAATGATGATTTCCAGCTTCATCCATGTCCCTACAAAGGACATGAACTCATCCTTTTTTATAGCAGCAAAGTATTCCATGGTGTATATGTGCCACATTTTCTTAATCCAGTCTATCATTGGTGGACATTTGGGTTGGTTCCAAGTCTTGGCGATTGTGAGTAGTGCCGCAATAAACATACATGTGCATGTGTTTTTATAGCAGCATGATTTATATTCCTTTGGGTATATACCCAGTAATGGGATGGCTGGGTCAAATGGTATTTCTAGTTCTAGATCCCTGAGGAATTGCCACACTGACTTCCACAATGGTTGAACTAGTTTACAGTCCCACCAACAGTGTAAAAGTGTTCCCATTTCTCCACATCCTTTCCAGTACCTGTTGTTTCCTGACTTTTTAATGATCACCATTCTAATTGATGTGAGATGATATCTCATTGTGGTTTTGATTTGCATTTCTCTGATGGCCAGTGATGATGAGCATTTTTTCATGTGTCTGTTGGCTGCATAAATGTCTTCTTTTGAGAAGTGTCTGTTCATATCCTTCACCCACTTTTTGATGGGGTTGTTTGTTTTTTTTCTTGTAAATTTGTTTGAGTTATTTGTGGATTCTGGATATTAACCCTTTGTCAGATGAGTAGATTACAAAAATTTTCTCCTATTCTCTAGGTTGCCTGTTCACTCTGATGGTAGTTTCTTTTGCTGTGCAGAAGCTCTTTACGTAGATCCCATTTGTGAATTTTGGCTTTTGTTGCTATTGCTTTTGGTGTTTTAGACGTGAAGTCCTTGCCCCTGCCTACGTCCTGAATGGTATTGCCTAGGTTTTCCTCTAGAGATTTTATGGTTTTAGGTCTAAGATTTAAGTCTTTAATCCATCTTGAATTAATTTTTGTATAAGATGTAAGGAAGGGATCCAGTTTCATCTTTCTACTTATGGCTAGCCAGT
Organism: Homo sapiens; assembly: GCF_000001405.40. Classification (NCBI taxonomy): domain Eukaryota; kingdom Metazoa; phylum Chordata; class Mammalia; order Primates; family Hominidae; genus Homo; species Homo sapiens. The sequence continues at coordinate 29,358,275 of NC_000003.12, forward strand.
TTTCCCAGCACCATTTGTTAAATAGGAAATCCTTTACCCATTTCTTGATTTTGTCAGGTTTGTTAAAGATCAGATAGTTGTAGATGTGTGGTATTATTTCTAAGGGCTCTGTTCTGTTCCATTGGTCTGTATCTCTGTTTTGGTACCAGTACCATGCTGTTTTGGTTACTGTAACCTCGTAGTATAGTTTGAAGTGAGGTAGTGTGATGCCTCCAGCTTTGTTCTTTTGGCTTAGGATTGACTTGGCAATGCAGGCTCTTTGTTGGTTCCATATGAACTTTAAAGTAGTTTTTTCCAATTCTGTGAAGAAAGTCATTGGTAGCTTGATGGGGATGGCATTGAATCTATAAATTACCTTGGGCAGTATGGCCATTTTCATGATATTGATTCTTCCTATCCATGAACATGGAATGTTCTTCCATTTTTTTGTGTCCTCTTTTATTTGGTTGAGCAGTGGTTTGTAGTTCTCCTTGAAGAGGTCCTTCACATCCCTTGTAAGTTGGAATCCTAGGTATTTTATTCTCTTTGAAGCAATTGTGAATGGGAGTTCACTCATGATTTGGTTCTCTGTTTGTCTGCTATTGGTGTGTAAGAATGCTTGTGATTTTTGCACATTGATTTTGTATCCTGAGACTTTGCTGAAGTTGCTTATCAGCTTAAGGAGATTTTGGGCTGAGATGATGGGGTTTTCTAGATATACAATCATGTCATCTGCAAAGAGGGACAATTTGACTTCCTCTTTTCCTAATTGAATGCCCTTTCTTTCTTTCTCCTGCCTAATTGCCCTGGCCAGAACTTCCAACACTATGTTGAATAGGAGTGGAGAGAGAGGGCATCCCTGTCTTGTGCCAGTTTTCAAAGGGAATGCTTCCAGTTTTTGCCCATTCAGTATGATATTGGCTGCGGGTTTGTCATAAATAGCTCTTATTATTTTGAGATACATCCCATCAATACCTAATTTATTGAGAGGTTTTAGCATGAAGGGCTGTTGAATTTTGTCAAAGGCCTTTTCTGCATCTGCTGAGACAATCATGTGGTTTTTGTCATTGGTTCTGTTTATATGCTGGATTACGTTTATTGATTTTCGTATGTTGAACCAGCCTTGCATCCCAGGGATGAAGCCCACTTGATCATGGTGGATAAGTTTTTGATGTGTTGCTGGATTCGGTTTGCCAGTATTTTATTGAGGATTTTTGCATCAATGTTCATCAGGGGTATTGGTCTAAAATTCTCTTTTTTTGTTGTGTCGCTGCCAGGCTTTGGTATCAGGATGATGCTGGCCTCATAAAGTGAGTTAGGGAGGATTCCCTCTTTTTCTACTGATTGGAATAGTTTCAGAAGGAATGGTTCCAGCTCCTTCTTGTACCTCTGGTAGAATTCATCTGTGAATCCATCTGGTCCTGGACTTTTTTTGCTTGGTAAGCTACTAATTATTGCCTCAATTTCAGAGCCTGTTATTGGTCTATTCAGAGATTCAACTTCTTCCTGGTTTAGTCTTGGGAGGGTGTATGTGTCCAGGAATTTATCCATTTCTTCTAGATTTTCTAGTTTATTTGCGTAGAGGTGTTTATAGTATTCTCTGATGGTAGTTTGTATTTCTATGGGATCAGTGGTGATATCCCCTCTATCATTTTTTCTTGCATCTATTTGATTCTTCTCTCTTTTCTTCTTTATTAGTCTTGCTAGCAGTCTGTCAATTTTGTTGATCTTTTCAAAAAACCAGCTCCTGGATTCATTGATTTTTGGAAGGGTTTTTTTTGTCTCTGTTTCCTTCAGTTCTGCTCTGATCTTAGTTATTCCTTGCCTTCTGCAAGCTTCTGAATGTGTTTGCTCTTGTTTCTCTAGTTCTTTTCATTGTGATGTTAGGGTGTCAATTTTAGATCTTTTCTGCTTTCTCTTGTGGGCATTTAGTGCTATAAATTTCCCTCTACACACTGCTTTAAATGTGTCCCAGAGATTCTGGTACATTGTGTCTTTGTTCTCGTTGGTTTCAAAGAATATCTTTATTTCTGCCTTCATTTCGTTATGTACCCAGTAGTCATTCAGGAGCAGGTTGTTCAGTTTCCATGTAGTTGAGTGGTTTTGAGTGAGTTTCTTAATCCTGAGTTCTAATTTGATTGCACTGTGGTCTGAGAGACAGTTTGTTGTGCTTTCTGTTCTTTTACATTTGCTGAGGAATGCTTTACTTCCAACTATGTGGTCAATTTTGCAATAGCTGTGGTGTCGTGCTGAGAAGAATGTATATTCTGTTGATTTGGGGTGAAGAGTTCTGTAGATGTCTATTAGGTCTGCTTGGTGCAGAGCTGAGTTCAATTCCTGGATATCCTTGTTAATTTTCTGTCTCATTGATCTGTCTAATGTTGACAGTGGAGTGTTAAAGTCTGCCATTATTATTGTGTGGGAGTCTAAGTCTCTTTGTTGGTCTCTAAGGACTTGCTTTATGAATCTGGGTGCTCCTGTATTAGGTGTATATATATTTAGGATAGTTAGCTCTTCTTGTTGAATTGATCCCTTTACCATTATGTAATGGCCTTCTTTGTCTCTTTTGATCTTTGTTTGTTTAAAGTGTGTTTCATCAGAGACTAGGATTGCAACCCCTGCCTTTTTTTGGTTTCCATTTGCTTAGTGGATCTTCCCCCATCCCTTTATTTTGAGCCTATGTGTGTCTCTGCATGTGAGATGGGTTTCCTGAATACAGCACACTGATGGGTCTTGACTCTTTATCCAGGTTGACAGTCTGTGTCTTTTAATTGGAGCACTTAGCCCATTTCCATTTAAGGTTAATATTGTTATGTGTGAATTTGATCCTGTCATTATGATGTTAGCTGGTTATTTTGCTCGTTACTTGAAGCAGTTTCTTCCTAGCATCAATAGTCTTTACAATTTAGCATGTTTTTGCAGTGGCTGGTGCGCTTTGTTCCTTTCCATGTTTAGTGCTTCCTTCAGGAGCTCTTGTAGGGCAGGCCTGGTGGTGACAAAATCTCTCAGCATTTGCTTGTCTGTAAAGGATTTTATTTCTCCTTCACTTATGAAGCTTAGTTTGGCTGGATATGAAATTCTGGGTTGAAAATTCTTTTATTTAAGAATGTTGAATATTGACCCCCACTCTCTTCTGGCTTGTAGAGTTTCTGCTGAGAGATCCATTGTTAGTCTGATGGGCTTCACTTTTTGGGTAACCCAACCTTTCTCTCTGTCTGCCCTTAACATTTTTTCCTTCATTTCAACTTTGGCGAATCTGACAATTATGTGTCTTGGAGTTGGTCTTCTTGAGGAGTATCTTTGTGGCATTCTCTGTATCTCCTGAATTTGAATGTTGGCCTGCCTTGCTAGGTTGGGGAAGTTCTCCTGGATAATATCTTGCAGAGTGTTTTCCAACTTGGTTCCATTCTCCCCGTCACTTTCAGGTACACCAATCAGATGTAGATTTGGTCTTTTCACATAGTCCCATATTTCTTGGAGGCTTTGCTTATTTCTTTTTATTCTTTTTTCTCTAAACTTCTCTTCTCTCTTCATTTCATTCATTTGATCTTCCATCACTGATACCCTTTCTTCCAGTTGATTGAATCGGCTACTGAAGCTTGTGCATTCATCACTTAGTTCTCGTGCCATGGTTTTCAGCTCCATCAGGTCCTTTAAGGACTTCTCTGCATTGGTTATTCTAGTTAGCCATTAGTCGAATCTTTTTTCAAGGTTTTTAACTTCTTTGCAATGGGTTTGAACTTCCTTCTTTAGCTCAGAGAAGTTTGATTGTCTGAAGCCTTCTTCTCTCAACTTGTCAAAGTCATTCTCCGTCCAGCTTTGTTCCATTGCTGGTGAGGAGCTGCATTCCTTTGGAGGAGGAGAGGCGCTCTGATTTTTAGAATTTTCAGTTTTTCTGTTCTGTTTTTTCCCCATCTTTGTGGTTTTATCTACCTTTGGTCTTTGATGATGGTGACGTACACATGGGGTTTTGGTGTGGATGTCCTTTCTGTTTGTTAGTTTTCCTTTTAACAGTCAGGACCCTCAGCTGCAGGTCTGTTGGAGTTTCCTGGAGGTCCACTCCAGACCCTGTTTGCCTGGGTATCAGCAGTGGAAGCTGCAGAACAGCGAATATTGCTGAACAGCAAATGTTGCTGTCTGATCATTTCTCTGGAGGTTTTGTCTCAGAGGAGTACCCGGCCTTGTGAGGTGTCAGTCTGCCCCTACTGGGGGCTGCCTCCCAGATAGGCTGCTCGGGGGTCAGGAACCCACTTGAGGAGGCAGTCTGCCCATTGTCAGATCTCACACTCCGTGCTGGGAGAACTACTACTCTCTTCAAAGCTCAGTTGGAAATGTGGAAATCACCCATCTTCTGCGTCACTCACACTGGGAGCTGTAGACTGGAGCTGATCCTATTCTACCATCTTGGATGGAGTACCCACAATTTTAACCTAAATGATTTCTTCCAAAATTCCATAGTTTACTTTTTAGATTGAGCCATATATGGTGTACTGCACAAGTGGATTAAGATATTTTAAGGTATTTTTAGGAGTAATTTTGACTATACTTGAGCTAATTAACGCTGACGTCGAATCTATTCCCTGGCAAAAGTAAACTCCATTGTATTCCTGTTCTTTAGTCCTTTTGGTAGAAACCCATTTGGGATATTATTCCAACATATATTATCTATCTATCTATGATCTTGCTTTGTACAAATACATAAATAGATGATTCCCTTGCTTTTGATATTTTGGGTTGAGTAGAAATTTTGCCCCTCTCATCTGTCCATAAGGTTGGCCTCATCTGTGTGCAAGTCTGACCATTATATCTGACAATGGCTTGAGTGTCTGCTTTTTTAGTTTTGTGCTCACCTCAAGGCCTTTTTAGTTGAACTTGGCCTCTCTCCATGCTTTGGCCTAAATCTGAGGGTTGCCTTATTACAATCCTTCAGGAGACTTAGTGTGTTATTCAGAAAGTTGGATACAATGTGTTTATTTTACGATGCATTTGGGCAGAAATATGCCTGGGAAGAATTGAAACTAGATTGTTCCTTATTTTTGTTTGTCTACTTTGTGACTCAGTGCCTTTACTACAAATAATCATGACGAGATCAGCAAGATCTGGTTACTATCTAATATGATACCTACAGAGACTCTCTAATCCAAGGCTTTATGAAACATCAAAATGTGAAAAGGATGATGAAGGCTTCACTAAGTAGTGAAAATATTTATACATTACCACAAAGTCAATTGACACTCAAATTAAAACAACTATTTGCCGGGCGTGGTGGCTCACATTGTAATCCCAGTACTTGGGAAGGCCAAAGCGGGTGGATCACCTGAGATCAGGAGTTTGAGACCAGCCTGGCCGATATGGCGAAACCCCATCTGTACTAAAAACATAAAAAATTAGCCGAGTGTTGTGGCATGCACTTGTAGTCCCAGCTACTCAGGTGGCTGAGGCATGAGAATTACTTGAACCCAGGAGGCGGAGGTTGTGGTGAGCTGAAATTGCGCCACTGCCCTCTAGCATGGGTGCCAGAGTGAGACTCTGTCTCAAAAACAATTAAAAAAAAAAAAAAAACCTGTTTTTTAGCAACAGTTAAAAACAGCAAATATTTTAAAAAATTGATAAAAATTTTTTTTTGCTATCAAATAGGATAGAAATTTAAAACATATTATTTAATGTGGCAAAGATGAGCAGAAACAGTTACTTTCATATACTATTAAGTATAACTTAGAAAAACTTTTGTGTTACCACTTGGGAATATTCATCAGATTTTTAAATTCATGTTTCTTAGGGCCAATATTTCTACTTCTAGGAAGTGGAATGATATAGGTACAGGAATGTTTATTGCAGGCATATTGGAACCATTACATGTCCAAAGTGAGGGGGAGGGGCGATTAAATATAGAACAGATGCGTATATGGCATTAAAAATTCTCAAATATATCATTAATCGAAAACAATTCTGCAAAACAATGCATATAGAGTGATATGTTATATAAAAATTGATTTGTGAGTATATATTTATAAACATTTACAATTGCATAAAAACATTAGCAGAGAATAAGGGGGATTCAGGGAAGGGTGATAAAGGGGAGAAGAACAAACATCAACAGAGGACCTAATTGTGGCAGACCGTGACTATATTTTATAACTTAGCAGAGCTTCCAGGGGTTTTATCATAAACACAGTATGTCTTATCTAGGTATTCTTATGCTTCCACAGCAAAGTATGAATAAGTATTTAAGAAGACAACCTAAATATATTAATTGAAGCTTGCTGGCTAAAGTTGGCTTCTTTTCTGAGGAATATATATGAAGGTAACTAGCAGCAAAACATCATAGATAGTATCAGTCTTGGGCCTTCTTCACATACTTTACATTTTCCCATCTATAAAAAGATGCTTTGGAAACAGCCATGAGAGTCCTTCGGAGTAGCCCAATCTCGGCAGCCTTATTAGATGCATAGATGTGTGTCTCCTGGTGAGAGTCTCATGCTGTGAAAGTCATTAGAATAATAAATTAAACTTCTTTGTACACAGGCTTTTTAAGCTTCAGGTGCATATCCTTTTATGCCTTTTCCATTTTCTTATAGCTTGAAGTATTGAGATTTTTATTGTCGACCAATTGCTTCCTCCACAGTTTTGCCAGCATAATGAGTTCGTGGAGTCACTGATGCCTAAAATAATTTGTGGAGTTTGGTTTGAAATAGCTCCACGTAGTCCTCCTTTTTCCCAGTTCCTAAGAGCTAACTAAAAAGATAAGACCTAGTTAATGAAAATAAACTTCTCAAGGGTCAAAATGGAATATCGTATAAAATTATTTTTGATATTTTATATTAGGATGTGACTACAGGTTCCACTAATGTTAATATCAAGATTATTCAATAGTACCTATTTATATGTGTGGAAATTATTGCATAAAATTTCAATTTTCACATAGATTTTGGAAGAGGCCTTGGCTGCACCAAATGGAAATTTTATAAATGGAATAATATTTGTGGGAAAGCCTTCAGAAAGCAATAACATAAATTTAACATTAAGCTGTGCCTTTTAAAAGTAATATCAAAGCAAATTAGGAGATATATATATATATTCTTTAAAAAATTTTTTAGATATTGCCATTCAATTTAAGAAATTCAGTGGAAAAAAACATTTTTCCATCATTCATAATGTTAGCATGGATTATTTTCTCTCTTCGTATCAAAGAAGTAAAGGAAAACAATACAACATTACTTCTTACAATGGTGATTGACATCTGGATCTTCTAGGCTAAAATTTGAAAAAAAAATATTATTTCAAACTACAATGAACATGAAACAAAAAGACAGTATTCTTTGCGTTAAGTCTCTTTGTATTCGTTCCCTCCGGCCCATACTCTAAGAAAAGATCACCTTTGCTCTCTTAGGTATCTCTGTTAGTCCTTAATTTCTCCTATGGATGCAATGTCCATTGCCCTGGCCGCCTTCAAATCATTCTCCTTCACTTCTGCCGTTAGGTACATGCAAATGTCTACTGTATTTCCTCTGTTACTGAATGGAAAAAGAAATCACCTTAATTTAGCTTCCAATTTTTCTAGTTCCCTAAATTTTATTTTGAAACTTCTTGAACCTTACATTTTCATTGACTTTCTTCCAGTTTTTGAACACTGCCTCCTTAACATTTGTGAGCTGTGGCAGGTTCTCACCAGTTTACTGTACTGAGTACTCTCTGGGAACCTCATATTTGAATTAAGTGATTTTACTCATTTGCTCTTATTATTTTGACTGAAGGAAAAAAGTCACATAGTATAATTTTAGCAGAGAGGATGTGAAGTAAGAGTTGAACCAACTTTAAGCTTTAAAAATATTCCACACTGTTGTATGCATATAAATTTGAGACAGATAAAGAAATCCTTCTTTGTAAAAATGTAACTAAAGTCAGGTTTATTTTTTTCATATAAAGTGCCTAAAATAATTTGTGAAATTTGAATTGCAAATAGGATATATCATAATTTAAAAATATGATTACTTTGTTAAGTGATAGTTGTATTATCAGTGCCATGCAGACATTACCCAAACACATAGATCTAGATTGATCAATTTGAGAACTATAACATGAACTTAGAATCCTAAGGAACAATGCCTCCAAATATGTGTTTCTGAATCCTTTTTTTGTTTGTTTGTTTTTTAAACAGGGTCTTGCTTTGTTGTCTAGACTAGAGCACAGTGGTGTATCAAAGTTAACTGCAGCTTCAAATTATTGGGCTCAGTCTTTCCACCTCAGCTCCTGAGTAGCTGGTACTACAGCTATGAGCCACCAGGCTGAGCTAATTTTTAATTTTTTTTTTTGTAAAGACATGGTCTCACCATGTTGCCAAGCTGATCTGGGATCAAGCGATCTGCCCGTCTCTGCCTCTCAAAGTACTGGTATTATAGGCATGAGCCACCACACCTGGCGATATCCAACTGTTTTAAGAACTAGAGGGAATGCGGTATCTCTGGGGCCAAGAGTTCCCTGTACAGCCCGAATAGCAAATCAACTACTTTAACACAAATAAAATTAGATTAATCTTCCTGCATCATTTTATTCCTCTTTCTATAGCGGGGCTGTGTCACTTTTTGATGACTTTTTTGCCATTTTTAAAAAATCTATAGCTTGACATGAAAATAAAAGTCAGTCTCTAATAGAAAAGCATTTTGGTCCTTGATCAAGTAATCAAAACAATTATAAAGGCTGATCAGCAACCTAGATGTCTAATAATGGGGAAAATATTATATAGAACACAAAATGATCTTTGGTAACACATGGAAGAACTAAAAAGGTAAAAGACTACAAATTTGTATATAACATCTAGTGAAAATTGTGTAAACATTATTTCTGAGTTGAATATACAGTATTTATGGAGAGAATTGAATGTGCTTAAAATTTTGATATGTTTTTCCATTTTATGAAAAAACTGGGAAATGTGAATTAAAGAAAAATTAACATTCATTTCATCATTAATTGTAATAGAAAAATGATTTTACCTAATTCAAATAATATGTAAGTATTCAGTTATTTTACATATCTATGTATATCTATGCTAAAACATATATTCAAAAATGTTTTTAATAACCTGAAAAACAGTTGGGATATATTAAGAAAGCAACATACAATGTGAGTGTCTACGTGTGTGAGTGAGAGAGACAGAGACTGAGGCAAGAAATAACATTTAATATGATGTTGAAAGGAAATGTGCCAATATAAAAGCATTGGTATAATCACAGATGTTTTTAATACAACTCTCCATATTCCAAATTGGCTGTTAACATATATTGATATTTATAATCAGAAACACATAATAAATAGTATGTTGTTTACAAATAAAGCATAATACTCAAAGAATGTACTATTTTTAAAATAATGTTGGTACTTGCTTATAGGAATATAATTGCTTTTTGTTTATTGCTGACTTTCTGTAGTTTCTATTTTTTCCTATAAAGAACATGTATCACTCTTAGAAGAAAATATAAAGTTGATTTTTAAAAAGAGGCAAATAATATTCCCCTATGCTTAATCAAATATTTTGATGAAGTTAGAAAAATAAGACAGTAATGCACTTTCTCTACAACTCGATTATTACTAATCAGGAAGGACAATAGTACATTTTATTTTATTATGCTTTCTTCCTCTGTTCTAAGCCAATAGATAAAAACAAAATTAAGAAGGATATGTTCAAACATCCCTAAGAAAAAAAATCAAGATTTCAACTTGGATAGAAATAAGGGAAACATTGCTACATCTTTCTTTTATACATACAGACCAGTTTGCACACACAACTCACTGAAACTGTAACTAGCTCTTCACATCCTGCATTAGTAGTCAGATAATTGTAAAATGTGTCTTTGTATATAGATATGGGATACTTATGTGGCCATCAATTTAGTTGACTTTCTATCAAAATTGAGAAGTTTTATCCTGAAATAGCTTACCAATGGAAGTTAGAAGTGGGTCTGACATTGCATTATTTGGTGGAAAAAACCATCAAGGTCTGTGCAGTAAAGCTGATGCAGCTCTGTGAACTAGCAAATCCTATTAGTACTTAGCCTGATCACCTGGGAAGATGAAATTGTCCTTACTGAGATGTGGAAGGCTGAAAGTGAAACAGGTTGATCTATATTTATTGGAGTATTGCTGGGTAGAAAATTTGTCATCACGTTATCCCCAATGCCTAGTATCTAGGTATCTAGTGGCACTTAATAGGTATTCGGTAAATATTTGTTGAATGAATTCCTGAATTCTAAAAGGCTTCAATCTGAGCTATTTTTCACATCACTACTGAAAAATGAGAGTTCACAAGGAGCTGTTAAAAAAAAAAAGGTCTTCACTTTCAGTTTAAATAGAATGAAGAAAAATGAGATTTTTTTAGATTTTTTGAGTTTGTGACAGTCTCAATTTGTATTAGTCTTTTTTTAAAAATCTCACAAATATTTATAGAGAAAAAGGAATGCTTATATACTGTTGCTGGGAATGTAGATTAGTTCAATCATTGTGGAAAACAGTGTGGTGATTCCTCAAATACCTGAAAAGAGAAATACCATTCGACCCAGCAATCCCATTACTGAGTATATACCCAAACGAATATAAATCGGTCTACATACATGCATATGTTCATTGCAGCACTATTCACAATAGCAAAGACATAGAATCAACCTAAATGTCCATCAGTGGTAGACTGGATAAAGAATATGTGGTACATATACATCATGGAGTACTGTGCAGGCATAAAAAAAGAACAAGATCATGTCCTTTGCAGGAACATGGATAGAGCTGAAGCCATTATCCTCAGCAAACTAAAGCAGGAACAACAAGCCAAATACCATATGTTCTCACTTATAACTGGGAGCTAAATGATGAGAACACATAGACACATAGAGGGGAACAGCCGGCACCGGGGCCTACTTGAGAGTGGAGGGTCAGAGGAGGGAGAGGATCAGGAAGAATAACTAATGGGTACTAGACTTAACACCTGGGTGATGAAATAATCTTACAACCAACCCCCATGACACAAGTTTACCTATATAATGAATCTGCACATGTATGCCTGAAATAAAATAAATTTTAAAAATCTCACAAATGTTTATATTAGGTTGGTGCAAAAGCAATTGTGTTTTTTGCCATTACTTTCAATGGCAAAAACCGCATTTACTTTTGCACCAACCTAATAGTCATTTAAAGGAAACTTCTTAAGCCAGTGTCCCCACCTCAGATTCTCAGATCATCACTCCTTAACACACACACACACACACACACACACACACACACACACACACACACTTTGAGTGAGGGTGAGGAGGAGAGAGGGAACAATGAAGAAAAAGTTCTGCTAATTAAGGGAACTGCTGAAGTTTCAGCTAGTCTTGGTGATGGTTGAAATAACATCAAGGAAAGAGGGAATATAGGAAAGACAGGTGGGAAAATGATTCAGAGTCTAGAGCTAAGGGACAAAAAGAGACAGAAAATATGGGGAACTAATGTGGAATAGATTATTGATCCTAGAAATAAATGTAGCTAAAATTCTTTCCAGTAAAGAGGTCCCAAATTGGTGATAGGTGGGACTTTTAAAGGCAGCCATTTTTATCACACTCTCCAATTCTACCCCGATTTACAGTGATAAGTTTTCTTAGTAAAGAAGCAGCTTTGTCTGAAACTTCAATTCCAAACCTCCGAGACTTTGGCTTAATTAATCTGAAGATACAATGCAGACACCAGCTTTTCTTTCAGAGGTTATTTTAAGTTTAAAATTATGTCTTCCTAACAAATAGCCCAAAGAAATGACTTCGTGGTTTTCCTTTCGTACATTCAGGGATGATGGACAGCCCGGCCTCATGACAGGTGTTCCAGGAGGTCTTTTTAATTGACTTGTCTATAGATGTAAAGAATTTGAACAACCAAGTTGTCTCGTATTTTCTCTATCACTTTCCTGAGGGACTTTTCTTAAGAGAACAAGTGAACTATGATGTCATTATGTCATTTATTGGTTTTAGTTGGACTTTGTTGAGCCTATGAACCTGTTTGAGATATAGTCATAATATCTTGCAGCTCATGTCTGAAAATTTATGTGAACACTTCACAGAAAGTTCTGTTCAGGTTGTACATCCATTTTCATGTTAGATAACTTGTTTTGGGAGTTCTGCCTCTTAGTAAATTTATTGCTTTTGATAATGTGTGGAACTTTTAATTTCTATATTTTAGTTCTTTTTAGACTCAACTATGCACACCCTTTAGATTTAGTATTTGGCTTTTAAGGCATATTTAGACCAGACCCTTTCTATTGGTTAATTGTGGTATAAACCTGGCTCATCCACTTGTGAGACTCTTAGATTCCAAGTGTCTAATAAATCACCAGAGGAGGAATAATTAAAAGCTTCTTTCAGTTCTAGTATTAAATCAACAAGGTTGCCTGGACCGTGCTTCTAGATGTGCTGTAATTTATACTATTAGTGTGGATTGCTTTGGTTTTCTAAAAATAATAAATGACCCAGTGAATAGCATTTGGCCAGAGGCATACAAGAAACAATCCATAGTATATAGATTTGTTCAATGGCATTTAAAAGACCTTGATTAGAATTCAGTCTGGGCTGGAGTGATGAGAATGCTGTTTACTGATGTCTGTTTGAAGTCTCCCTACATGGCAGAGGCTAGAGGGATTCACAAATAGTAACATTTCTTAACTCCAATGGCTGGATCCAGCTGTCTGGAAGAGCTGACATTTTAAAAGAGAGGTACAAAAATGTCTGAATGTCATGATTGCTAATGTCATTTTCATGATTTTATTTTTAAGCGATCTTTGTTTGCTCCGTGCTCTAGCAATGAGCTGGGTTAGAATTCCCAAAACGCTGTGTTAAAAATTCCTTGTGAAAATGCAGTGGTTTTGTTCATGGAGTGGGAAGTGTCTTCTCTGACAAAGCTGTTCACTCATACCTGTGGTTTCTGCCACCCAACCTAAGAATCATTTCAACATACTTAATGTTTTAAGATTGGTAACACAGGGATAGAGGAGAGGCAGGGAGAAGGCAGGTACAAGCCAATAAGTTTGAATAGTTCATCTTTGAAACAGAAACAGACATTTGATTGGTTTTGCCAGTGAGCCTGGGAAATTCCTAGTGTTGAAAAAGCAAAAACATGTACTTGATGGTCCAGACAAGTTTATGAACCAGAATGGGATTTAAATATCTAGCTGTAAAATTATGTTGGAAACACACAGACACACACATGCTTTACTGAGTGAGAAAACATGTAGGAAGTGCTTGCAAGGAACTAAGGGACACCATGCACCAATAACCATATTAAAACATGATAGTGATAGTGTTTGTTGTTTATATAAGCATATGTGTGAATATGTATGAGTGTATATGAGAACATGTATGTGTCTGTGTTTGTATGGGTGTTATTTTAAAGGAAGGTATGACATGGCACATGTAACATAAGTAATTTTGTTTTATTGGTTCCAAGGAAGCCTTTACATTTGATCTAAGTTTCTCAAGAAAGGTCCAGAGTAAAGATAGATATGATACTCTGGAGGAGAGAGGAATTAAAACCAGCAAACCTGACTAACCCAGAGCTTAAAGAACTAGGCGATGTTTCAATCAGTTTCATTTACAAGAAGTTTTTTTTAAATTATTTTTCCATATCCTCGTCACCTTTAAAAGATTCCTCTATTCATTTATTTCTTCATTTATTAATCATTTGAACATTTTTAAGTAACAAGCATGTATCAACATTCTGTTTGATGGGAGAGATTCAAAGATAACTTCTAGATCACAGAACAACAAGCATAGCCAAAAGGCACCTGGTAAGTAGGGGGAAGAGGAAGACACCGTAGAAGTGCACATAAGCTTCCAATGATTGCCGTTAGAATGCAAGTTCAAAGGTGTGAAACAGTTAAGTAAGAAACCCTGTCTCTACTAAACTACAAAAGAAATGATCTGGATGTGGGGACGTGCACCTGTAGTCCCAGCTACTCAGGAGGCTGAGGCAGGAGAATTGTTTGAACCCGGGTCGTGGAGGCTGCAGTGAGTGAGATCACGCCACTGCACTCCAGCCTGGGTGACAGAGCAAGACTCTGTCTCAAAAAAAAAGAAAAAAGTTTACCAAAGCATTGATTTTATTTTATTTAAAAAAGAACTTTAATAATTCCGGGTTCTATTTGTTTTATAATGAGATAAGCTAAAGTGTCATTAGTTTCCCCTTCTGATAAACAGGATGTTACCTAGTAAATAATAAAACAGAAATATTTCAGAAATTTAGGTTGGAAACTATTGAAAAAAAAAATAATGGTTTTGTTGGGAGGCAAAGTCCCAATGTCTCTTTGAGCCAATAAGCAACCAAATAATTCAACTTGATTTTTTAAATTGCACTGTTTTTATGTATTGGTTTTTTTGTTCCTCTCTCTCAATTTTACTGTTATTCCTCTAATAATAAATGTCTCGGGGAGACAAAGCACATCTTTCTTGTGTGATGGGAAAAGGGAAACTACTAATTGAAATATGTACTCTGCCTAAAATTAGCATTGCATAAAATGGAAAAAGGACAAAAAGATTTGTCTTCAAGTTTACTTGTCTATAAAATGGGAATGATAATAGAACCTGCCTAATAGCATTATTGTGATGTTTCAGTGAGAGAGAAAAAAAAAAACAAAAAAGAAAAAACGCCTTGAAACCATTAGAGTGGCGCCTGGAATATAGTAAGTGCTCATTTATGTTATCCCTATTTTATGCTTATATATTATTAAACCTAAATATAAATTTTTAAAACGAGCAGGAAAAATTCTAAAACTGGGCACACATAACTTTCTCTGGGTTTTTAATACCACAAAGCAGGTGCTTGAAATTACTTTCTGAATTATTGTATGATGTTTCTCATATTACAGTTACTGTCTGGAGGCCACATGCATGTGGTGGTGATGTCATGGTCTCTTTCTGTGTTAATCTTGAATTCCTTCTGTCCATTTGCTTCCAGAACCCACTGATCATGGGCAATCCAGTGAGTTCTCAGCACTGTTACTCAGGGTAGAAGCAGCTTCTGAAACTGAGAAAAAAGAAAAAAGATACTATTTGGTCATGCCAAGGATAATCCTCCCCCTAAAAGAAATTTTGGCTTCCCAATAATACCAGCTGGGTGTTCTCCCTAACTTCTGGATGCACATATGTAAGGAATAATTGTGATTCAGCAAAAGAAAGTGAATGGAAATGGAACAAATTGAAACAATTAACCAAAAGATGCAGAAGGGAAACAAGAGTCAGACTTGACCCCTAGACCTTGTGGGAAGGAAACCCTTGGTGTTGGTTTGAAAAATGATAATGATCAGTTTCTGTTTCCAGACTGTTATCAGTGGTTAAGGTCCTTATGATTTGTGCTAGAGACTGGGAAAGAATGCTAACATGAAACCAAGCAAACAAGTAGCAAGTAATTGAGCCTTGAGGGATCCCTTTGGAAAGCATCTTGTCATTTAGAATGATGCATTTTTGATATTCTTCTAGCTGGTTTCTGAGTGCCTGTTTGCAGGAAATGAAATTCTAGGCTTTGCAGTTTGAAAAGGGTTGTATAGGGGTGGGTAGTGTTCTCAGAAGTAATCAAAGCTTTTTTAGTATTAAAGATGACTGTGGAATGTTTAGAGCTAGAGGCATAATGATGCAAATCAAATGGCGTATTAGTATCCTGCCTAGTAAATGTGGAAGCCTTAAAAATTCTGCTGGTGGATGGGTGGTCAGCATTAGAGCATTAGACACAAGGCACTGGGGCAAAGAAACCCAGAAGGCTGTGCACTTTTGCTGGGAAAGAGAGTTTACTGTGAGGGCTGAGTGGGACAGCAATGGGCTTGCAGAGAAGGGGAAATGTATCAGCCTGGGGACTATAACCATTTGACTTTTCTCCATCTGCATGTAACAACCAATCCAAAACGGCAGAGATCAGCAAGAAGAAGAGACTAACATTGTGAAGATGGATCATTCACAACCTAGATAAATAGCCTTTTAGAAAATGTTGAGTTGATTTTATAAGGAGAATATATCAGTAAAGATGTAGAAGTTACTGGTTTGCTACAGGTAGCTCAGACCAGCTTGTGAGAGATGAGTTTTTGATTTCCCAGGAATTTTTCAAGCTGGTTTTGAAACAGAGCCAATATTAAAAGTTACATCATAGAAACTTGGATAGAAACTTACACAGATAGTATGTAACTTAGTGATGGCTTGAAAGCAATTTGCATTTAGTAGAAACTGTACTTTGGGTACCCATACAAACATTCTGTTTTTCACTTTCAGTACAGTAGTCAATAAATTACCTAAGATATTCAAGACTTTATTATCAGATAGGCTTTGTGTTAGATGATTTTGCCCAACTGTAGTCTAATGTAAGTGTTCTGAGCATGTTTAAGTTAGGCTAGGCTAAGCTATGATGTTTGGTAGGCTAGATGTATGAAATGCATTTTCAACTCGTGATATTTTCAATTTAAAATGGATTCATTGGGATGTAACCTAATAAAAACTTGAGCAGCAACTGTATTTGAATAAATTACAGTATACAGAAAAGGCAATACTCAAAACTCATCACGTCATAATAACTGTACTATGTTTTACCATTATCTATGCTTTGGCAGCTATTTACATGTATTGTGTCTGTATGATGACAACTATATAATGAGGTGCTACTGCACATTTCTTTCCAAACCTGCATTCTATAATGTGATGTTGGTGGCTTGAAATTGGCTTTCCGCTACAGTAACCAAAACAGCATGGTACTAGTACAAGAACAGAAACATAGACCAATGGCACAGAATAGAGAACTCAGAACTGAGTCTGCACACCTACAACCATCTGATCTTTGACAAACCTGACAAAAAAGAAGCAATAGGGAAAGGATTTCTTATTTAATAAAGGGTTGGGAAAACTGGCTGGCTATATATAGAAAATTGAAACTGGACCCCTTCTTTATACCATATAGGAAATCAACTCAAGTCAGATTAAAGACTTAAATGTAGAACTCCAAGCTGTAAAAATCCTAGAAGAAAATCTAGGCAATAACATTCAGGCCATAGGCACAGGCAAGTATTTCATGATGAAGACACCAAAAGCAATTGTGACAAAAGCAAAAATTGACAAATGGGATCTAATTAAAGAGCTTCTGCACAGCAAAAGAAACTATCATCAGAGTGAACAGACAACCTACGGAATGGGAGAAAATTTTTGCAGTCTATCCATCTGACAAAGCTCTGTTATCCAGCATCTACAAGGAACTTAAACAAATTTCCAAGAAGAAAACAAATAACCCCATTAAAAAGTGAACAAATGACATGAACAGACACTTATCAAAAGAAGACATACATGCAGCCAACAAACATATGAAAAATGCTCAGTATTACTAATCATTAGAGAAATGCAAATCAAAAGCAGTGTGATACCATCTCACAGCAACCAGAATGGTTATTATTAAAAAGTCAATAAAACAACAGATTCTGGCAAGGTTATGGAGAAAAGGGAACACTTTTACATGTTGGTGAAAGTGTAAATTAGTTCAACCATTGTGGAAGACAATGTGGGAATTCCTCAAAAACCTAGAGAGAGAAATACCATTTGACCTAGCAATCCCATTTGGTATATATCCAAAGGAATAGAAATCATTCTATTATAAAGATACATGCACGTGCGTGCTCATTGTAGCACTACTCACAATAGCAAAGACATGGAATCAACCTAAATGCCCATCAATGATGGATTAAATAAAGAAAATGTGGTACATATACAATATGGAATACTATGAAAAGGAATGAGATCATGTCCTTTGCAGGGACATGAATGGAACTGGAGGCCATTATCCCTAGCAAGCTAATGCAGAAACAGAAAACCAAGTGCCATGTGTTCTCACTTATAAGTGGGAGCTAAATGATGAGAACACATGAACACATGATGGGGGAACAACACACACTGGGTCTTGTCAGAGGGTGGGGGGTGGGAGGAGGGAGAGCATCAGGAAGAATAGCTAATGGATAGTGGCCTTAATACCTAAGTGATGGGATCATTTCTGCAGCAAACCACTCTGGAGCACGTTTAACAATGTAACACACCTGCACATCCTGTGCATATATCCCTCAACTTAAAAGTTGGAAATAAAAAAATAAAAATGAATTGGCTTTCCATTTACCCCTTTGATTGCCCTTACCCCTATCCATATGTAAAGCAGCAGCAGGGTGGTGATTCTGAATGTTTCACGGGAGCAGTTAAAAAGACACAATGTGGGCCGGGTGCGGTGGTTCACGCCTGTAATCCCAGCACTTTGGGAGACTGAGGCGGGTGGATCACCTGAGGTCAGGAGTTCGAGACCAGCCTGACCAACATGGTGAAACTTCGTCTCTACTAAAAAATACAAAAAAACGACCAGGCGCAGTGGCTCATGCCTGTAATCCCAGCACTTTGGGAGGCCGAGGTGAGCGGATCACGAGGTCAGGAGATGGAGACCATCCTGGCTAATATGGTGAAACCCCATCTCTACTAAAAATACAAAAAATTACCTGGCGTGGTGGCGGGCGCCTGTAGTCCCAGCTACTCAGGAGGCTGAGGCAGGAGAATTGTTGAACCCGGGAGGCGGAGGTTGCAGTGAGCCGAGATCGTGCCACTGCACTCCAGCCTGGTGACAGAGCGAGACTACGTCTCAAACAACAACAAAAACAACAACAAAATACAAAAAAATTAGCCGGACGTGGTGGCGGATGCCTGTAATCCCAGCTACTCAGGAGGCTGAGACAGGAAAATCACTTGAGTCTGGGAGGCGGAGGTTGAAGTGAGCCAAGATCATGCCATTGCACTATAGCCTCGGTGACAAGAGCAAAACTCTGTCTCAGAAAAAAAAAAAAGAAAAGCAAAGAAAGAAAAGGCACAATATGTAATGCTATTTGCTAAAGTCAGCCTCTTTATGGGTCTTTTGTTGACTTCTTCTTTAGTGGCTCCACTTCTTAGAAGTTAATGAGCAATTCCTGCTATAGCAGCAGAGCCTCTACCAAAGCAGGGGGACTTCAGGGAACCACTGGTTGTCAGATGTGCTGGGCGTGAACATGAGCGTGAACAGAGGAAAAGTGTCTGATTTAACTGGTCTCGGGTGAGGCCTGCATGTTGGGATGTTTAGAGGTTCCCCAATGATAACTAATAAGAAGCCAAGGTTGAAAACCACATCTAGGCCAAACTGCGATTAATTTTTGCCTTCCACCTCCTTATCAATGTCCTCTTTCCCTTATGACCCCGCTGCCTACCTGACTCAGTTGCGTCCACTTTCTCTGTGAATCTTCCTTTACCTCCACGTTGGCTGCCAGCTTCAAGATTGCATGCCCCTCTGAGCAGTTTATCTCTAACCAAGAGAGGTATTCCTTTCCAAGAGTTCCATTAAAAGTCCAAAGGAGAAGTTAATTGGCCTGACTTTGGACCATGTGTGCCCACCTCTCAACCAATCACTGTTATCAGGGCAGTCATCCCTTTGTCCAGCCATGCTCCTGTATCAGAGAAGCACTGCCATGACAGATATTGGGCAAACTGATATATGACCCCCAATACTGGGTTTGGTGCTCATTCTTGTTAATGCATGTGTTAAGGGTTTCATTCTAATCATCTGCAAAAAAGTGATTGTTGTCTTTAAAATGTTACCAAAACTAGTCTTTTAGCAAGAATCTTACTAGAATAAAATGGCTCTTGCTACCTGTATTTTTAATCAGCCTATGTATATTGATCCCATTCCTGATATTATCACCTTAATATATAACAGCCCCAATTCCTCTTATTGAGCATTGGTTGCTAGGGAAAGCAAAAAGTTAAGAGAAAACTACTGAGATTTTCTCTCTAATTTGCCTCTGTCTGCCTCTAACTAGCTTAGAGATCTTGGACAAGTCCTTTAACAGTTCTCTGTCAGCTGCTTGGACTGTGAAATAGAGATAAAAGTACCTGTCTATTTCAGGCCGGGCACGGTGGCTCACGCCTGTAATCCCAGCACTTTGGGAGGCCCAGGAGGGTGGATCACGAGGTCAGGAGATTGAGACCATCCTGGCTAATGCAGTGAAACCCCGTTTCTACTAAAAATACAAAAAATTAGCCGGGGGTGGTGGTGGGCACCTGTAGTCCCAGCTACCTGGGAGGCTGAGGCAGGAGAATGGCATGAAACCCGGAGGCGGAGCTTGCAGTGAGCCGAGATCGCGCCACGGCATTGCAGCCTGAGTGACAGAGTGAGACTCCGTCTCAAAAAAATAAAACATTAAAAAAAAAAACAAAAAACAACTGTCTATTTCATAGAGGTATTGTGAGGATTAAATGAGATAATGTTGATGAAGTAATTTTGAAAAGCATATCAATGTGCAGCTGTAAAGTTTTATTCATATTTACCAGCCAGGCAAGTAGTATTAGCTGTTATAAGTAAAGGTAAACATCCAAGTGCATATGTTCAGATGATTATTTTTAATATACATTTTCTCCTGATATATATTCTTCTAGTTGCAGATCTGATTGGGTTGTATATTCTGTCTTTGCTAAAACAGAATTGTATCGAAAATCTTAAAACGATTTTTTTCCAGTGATCATTCCTAATCATTAAGTGTGATGTCAAAATTAAAACAAAAAAATATATAAAACCAAAATGCATTCATATGGGAATATACTTAATTTATTTTCCAAATAAGCTCAATGGTATTTGGGAGACTATCTCTCATTTGATTTCTATAACCTTTGAAACAAGTCTGCTGACTTAACTTTCTCAGCCTCCAGAGCATTATCTCTGTCTTGTCTGCAGAGAGATTTTCCTTTGAGGTCAATCTCTGGATCTTCCATGGTAAAACTCCTTTTGCCATTTTCTGTGCTTTCCTCTTGAGTTTCCTGAGCACTGAACACACATATATATGTACATACAGGAATGCAGGGACATAGGCCCTCACATACAGTGCAAGTCACATTTTATAAGGGTAATTTGTTAAATGGTATTTCTCTAATTCTTAAAAGCAGTGACTCAATGTATTATTCTAACCTCTTTCACCTAAGAGTTCTGATATGTAGCTGTAATCCAATAAATCTCCAATGCATGATTGAATTAGAGAATTTTTTAAGTTGATAAGAAGTTAGAGTAACTAGAAAAAAAATGGGTCTTTTATTTTAGATTAATAGAGAAATTTGCCTCTGTATTAATCCATTTTCATGCTGCTGATAAAGACATACCTAAGACTGGACAATTTACAGAAGGAGTTTTATTGGACTTACAGTTCCACATGGCTGGGGAGGCATCACAATCATGGCAAAAGGTGAAAGGCACGTCTCACATGGCGGCAGTGCAGGGAAACTCCTCTTTTTAAAACTATCAGATGTCATGAGACTTACTCACTATCATGAGAGCAGCACGGGAAAGACCTGTCTCCATGATTCAGTTGCCTCCCACCAGGTCCCTCCCACAACAAGTGGGAATTCAAGATGAGATTTTGGTGGGGACACAGCGAAGCTATGTCAACCTCATTGACTGAACGTATTTGCTAAATATACTATATACCAGGTATCAAGCTGGTTATGAGATTTATCAGCGAAGACGACAGGTGCTGCCTTGATCCACATTGAAGTAGACAAACAACACATTAATAAATCATTTCAGTCTGTGATCAGAGCTCTAAAGGAAATAAGCAAGGGGTGGGAATAGAAAATAATGAGGAAGACTTAATTTAGTCAGTATAGTCAGGAAGGACACTCTTAAAAAATGGCCTTTCAACTGAAACCTGAAGAAATAGAATGAATTTGCTTTGCAGAAACCTAGAGGGAGGACATTTCTGACAGGGGGAAAGAGCAAAAAAGTATGAGGATTTGCAAGAAGAGAAAAGGGGAAGGAAAATTTGTGGCTTTTATGAAGCTTAAAATAAATAGTGGGTACTCTATTATTCAAGGTCTTTCAGCCAGGTTAAAGAATATAAAGAATAGTGAGAATCTAGTAGGTATTTAGTAGGGGAATCTCACACACACACACACACACACACACGTACATCTATAATAAGCTAACATGTTATAAAAAGTACAGGACATTTCTTAAAAATATCCTGTAATTTTTATAACATTAGCTTATTATAAATATGGTTATTGGCATGGCAAGGAATGCCAGTATTTTCTACTATCTTTTATATGCTGCTGTACATATTTTGATGTATACCAGTTGCAAAGCCAGCCATGTAAGTTAAAGTGGCATAATTGTAAAAAATCTAAAATGTAATGCTTATAATGTGCTTGGTATTGTTCTAATTGTGGTAAGTTGCATTGCATGTTTTAACTAATTTTAATTATCACAACAAGCCTGTGAGGTAAGTATTGTTTTGTTACCATTTCATAGATAACGAAACTGAGTCATAGAGGGATTAGGTAAATTGCCATGTCACACACATTTGTAAGCAAGGGATGGAGCCAGGAATAGGGCAGGTCAGTGAGGCTCAAATCCCATAGTCAAAATCAGTGGTATTCAAAGTGTAGTCCACAGATTGATGCCAATTTGTGAATTATTTGTCACTAGTCTATGATAAATACAGAAACTGGAAGTAAATGTGTGATGATTGGCCTTGTCCTATTGAAAAACCTATAGACCACTTTGAGTGTAGTGTGGAATTGCATGGGACATGAACTACATATGAGTCAGGAACTGTAGGAACACATTTCCATTCATGATGGATTGGAGATAAGTGGTGCTTCACCTCAGATAATTCAAAAGTAATGCTCTAAACTACATGCTGTGCCACCGTAGATGAAATAAGGTGTTAAATCTTCTCTCCTGTGTCTCTCGATACTCCATATGATACATCATGTGCAAAAAGTGCCATTTGTAATTTGCCTTGTGGAAATTCATTTTATTTTTTTCTTACCTCTTGCACCTGTGAGGAAGTGAGTATGAGAGAAAGATCCAGAAAGGGGAGAGGTCATATGACCCCCTGCTCTCCACTGGCATTGACAAGTAGTAGATTGGGTTCCATAGTATGATAGTCACTTTCCTGCAATCATTCTTCAACACCTCTGGAAATTGTGAGCCTGTAAGAGAAGCAAGGAAGTGTAAGTGCTGAATACTTATCAACATCCTACCTGGTCAAGTGGTCCAGAAAGCTTGAGCATAGTGTTAAATGGACCAATGGTATGTGCTACCTTTTTTCTCTACTAAGGTAATAATGTACTCTTCTAGCTGTAACCTACCAGCCTACAGAAATGGGGTTGGTTTTGAGGTTTGGATAGATCCCTGTACTGTTATTATCCTGAAGTAGGGGTGGGGGATGCTGAAGAGAGCTTCACAGTGCCATCTTTGTATGTAAAAATGGCACAATTATCCTCAAGTGAAGAAATAATGTAGAAAGAGCTGAAGTAGTGCTTTTTCTACCACTTTGCAGAAAATTAGTGTCAGCAGCACATTATTCAGAAATCTTTATCTTTTAATCTACTATGCTAACTCTTATCATATCTGCCCCTGCCCTATTGCTTTAACTAGAGAGGTTTATTTTGTTCCCTTAGCTAATGACTCTATCTGGGTCAGACATCACATATGTGGCACCTGGGTGGAAGTGCTGAGTTCATTTTTGTCTTTTTGTTATTGTTATTAACATCACCTCATGTGTTTGGCATTCTGTGTTGGCTGTCGAACCAGATTCCTCTTCCTTTCCTGAAAGAAAACAGGGCCTAGCATAGGAACAGCTTCTATCTTTCTTTCCTTCCCTGTATATCTCTTTCTTTCCTTCCCTGTCTATCTCTTTCTTTTTTCCTTAACTGGGGAATCAGGAAACTTCTGATGAAAAATCAGTATCATAGTGTTGAGTAAATATTGTGAGTAGACAGGCATTTCCTTGCAGTTTTGAATAGAATCATACCCCTAATAAAGACATTCTGAAGGCTTATAATTCTCACAAAGTCCAGATGTTTCTACAAACAAGGCAAACATGGAGGTAAAATGTGGAATTTTTGAAAGACGTTTAGTTCCCATGTTGTCTTAGTCAAAAACAATGAAAATTTCATTTCCAGTTAACCATCAACTACCTTCAGTAGAAGACTAACATCTTCCTTGGGCAGTTTGCTTCATGGATAGTAAATGGAGGCAGAGAGCAGTTATTCTGCAGCACACAATGCCATGAATGCTCCCACATATGTAATAATGTATATGTAAAAGCATGGATTTGTGCAGTATTGATTTCTTCCTCAACGCTTACTACTTCCTGCCTCTTTGGTGTTGCAAGGTTTTGTCTGTTGCTTTAGTATTTAAATTGCCTCACTTAAGAAATGTGCCCATTATGTGTGGGGGAGAGGAAGGGTTCCATGAAAACGAATGCTCTGAAGTATTTGAAATTCTTCTATGAGCACCGAAGCACTGCAACTCACACTGCTGTGTTCACCAAAATCCTGGAAGCAACACGCTGTTTTGACTTGAAGAAGCAATACCAAAATTATGAAGTCATCTAACATCTTTCCAATTTTAACACAGACTCTAAATATGTGGCAATTCAGTATTTTATTTTTCGTTTATATCCCCTTTCTATACTACCACCGTTTAAACTAACAAAGTTGTTCTTTACAGTTTTAATATAGAATCCAGAGATGAGACATCCTGGATTTGTTATTTTTTCTCCTATTTCTTTTTATAACCCTATTTAAGCAAATTAACAACATCTGGGTTGATTAATGAACAAGCCACACATACTCATAGGCTCATCTGTATGTACATATTATGAATGACGCCTCTGATCAGGAAATCAAACAAGCAAATGAGAAAACCTGTTCACTTGTTCAATGGGTCAGGTGTAACTGTCAAAGAGCATGACTTGGGGAAATATACCCTTCATCTGTGCTCTGGCTTTTCAGGCCCCACAAGCAGCCTCTAGGGCAACAAGGTCATAGATGATGTATTCTGTTAAAATAACAATGCCTTTTATTTTAAGGACACTACTTATACTGGGAAGGTGATCTTTTCCAAGATAGCAATTACCAATGTGAATCCATAAATAAGTTAAAAAATTATGTTTTTTGATCATAAGAATTGACACTTGAGTGGAAATATTCCTCTGATTAGACTAGCTTGGTTTCTCTCGTCACTTGTCTATGTAGGAAGAATTACAATGCAGAGCTGTCCTTTTTGATTTTGCCTCTGATATTGAATGCAAATATTTTGGCTATCAGTCTTTCCTAATGCTACTTACCCCTTGAAGATGGGGAGAAAAGCTGAAGAAAGCTATTTCTGTAATCTTAATATTTCTTCCATGACACTTGTAAATTGATTTGCCAAGAAGGGTAAAAAAAATCAATGCAGATGGCTAGTTAAGTTTATTGTGGTTCAGACTCAAACTGTTGTATGTGGATGTACACTTGGGAGCCAAGGAATAGGGATATATTGTTAGTGTAAAATATCCAGTTCCATACTAACTTATGAACTCTTTTAGGTCATTCATCTTATTCAACTTCATTCCCTGGCACCTCACTTAGTACCTGGCAATGTGTTGTAGTAGCTAAGAAAATGTGCGATCTGGACTCTGACTATCCAGGTTCAAATTTTTGCTCTTCTACTTACTAACAATATGATCCTGGATCGTAAGTTTTCAGTGACCGTAAGTTTTCAGTGTCTTTAGCTGTAAAATGTGGGCAATACTATTATTTAACTCATAGAATTATTATAAAGATTGAAAAGGCAAAGTGTGAAGTACTCAGCCCATAGTGAGCAACCAGTATATGTTAACTATACGATAAGTATTTCTTTACTCACCAAATTTTGAAATAAACCATTACCTGAGGTGGTTGGTAATGGTGAAATTATAATGGAAGAGAGCTGGGCACAGTGGCTCATGCCTGTAATCCCAGCACTTTGGGAGGCCAAGCCAGGTAGATTGTTTTAGCCCAGGAGTTCAAGACCAGCTGGGGCAACATGGTGAAACAGCATATCTACAAAAAATACAAAAATTAGCCAGGCATGGTGAGATGTGCCCATAGTCTCAACTAATAGGGAGGCTGAGGTGGGAAGATCTCTTGAACCCGGGAGGTTGAGGCTGCTGTGAGCCGTGATCGCACCACTATACTCCAGCCTGGGCATCAGAGTGAGACTCTGTCTCAGGAAAAAACAAACAAACAAACAAATAAAACAATTATAGTGGAAGAGAATCTGAACATGAAGATGGAATTCTAACCTTGCTTAAGAAGTAAACATATACACCAATAATAATAATAATAATAAGAAGAAGAAGAAGAAGAAGAAGAAGAAGAATCCAGAAAGACTCCAGACATAGGAAATAACATCTGACATGATTTGAAAAAGAGTAGTGAAGTGAAATAGAGGCCCACAGCTCCTCTTTTCTGGTATAAAACTTTTTATTGAAACTACCTGTGTCGTAAAACAGGGAGAGAAGTTTTGCTACCGATAATGATAATTTGATGCCTTAACTGTATTAATATAGCAAGTGTGACTCAAGGATGTCTGGAGTCTAAATATAAAGGTCTGAGAAGAGACATGACTGTTTCAGAGGTTTAGAGTGGTAAAGCCAATAAGTGGTTTCCGGCCTTCCCAGGCCACTCCGCATAAAGCATCCTCACTCCCTGAGGGCCTCTGACATTCCTCAGTGTTGTGAGCGGGGAAGAGAGAAATGCTTTTTGGTTGGCTCAGATTACCTTGTTCTGGTTAAATGAAAAAGTATTAACATACGTTTCTTGTCACCACAATTCCAGCTGTCCAAGTCAGTGCTTTCGGAGCAGAGATGTATGATCTTATAACTCCTGAGGTTAAAAAAGAAATGTGTTGCCGAACAAACCTCCTCATCTTTGACACCCTGTTTCCTGCCTGTTGTGTGTGACAGGAAGGTAAAAAGGTAAAGACTAAACAGTAGATACTCTTCAGTGAGTGGTTAGTCCAGCATTACCTGATGGTGTTTAGTATTTGCCATTCTGAAAGATGATCAGAAAGCAAACCCCTTAAAGAGAAAAATTAACCAGTTTGTTTTGGCAGGCTATTCTGGAGCACATGCTAAAGTGACCACAGTTGTTTTTAATGCCCAGCAGACCTTCGCAACTAATCCTATTACCGCAGGACTCCCAGGACTGTCTGGTTAGCACTCCCCACAGATTTGTCCACTCCCATTTCTGACCCCACAACCAATCCCTTCCCTTGGGCCCTCTGGAACTCGGTCATACAGAAAATCTCCTTTATCCTCAAATTTTCCTGAATTTTTTGGTTTCACTGTTTTACTCAAATTCAAACTTGGATACCCCAGAAGACACTACTTCCTCTAAGCCACCTCAAACTGGGGGAGCATAACTGCTGGTGCCAGTGGGCCTTCTTTATTGTAGTTTCAGATCATTCTCATTCCATCTTCTGTGCAACCCCCCTCTATGAGTCTCGTGGGTCTTTGGACTATGTGACTCACTACCTCTCCTTACTTGATTCACTGTATCCCATACTGACCTTGCCATATTCTTGGAAATTTTTGCACCGTGGCCTCTCCATTCTTTGGCTTCTTCTCCTCCATTGATTTTATTCATATTTTGCCTCAGCCACACATGCAAAGGACATATCCTAGACTCTCTCATTACCAATTACTAAAAACCCTTCATAATTCCTATCTCAGGCATCTTACTTTTGGGTCGTTTGTTCCTATTTTAGCAGCTCAACACTTTGAGCATTCTGATACCAACACTTTCTTTAAATCTCATTATGAACTATGGCATCTATTATTTTTTCTTTGTTGCTCATTTTCCTCATGTCCCAGCATCTCTTTATACTCTGCTTAGATTTCGTGAAAAGCCATTATTTCATGAAAAACTGTTCCAAACTACCAATGTCTGTATCCTTATACCGTTGCTTATATAAACTCGCTTGTCCCTCTCTCTTCTTTCTTTAAATGACTCTGGTAAAATCCTAATTATGGTATATCCAATTGACTTTTGTTTTACCTGCATGTACACACCTGAACAGAGCTGGAGAAAAACACTCTATCCTGCTTAACAGTCTCATTTTAACAGCATGACCACTCGCTTACCTTAAGTGGGTTCTCGGTGCTGCCACGCAACCTATTATATTTTTCTAGTCTATTTATTCTCCCATTCCATAATGATGACTATTTTGTACATTTTCTCTCCTTTCTGCCTTTCAATATTTATTCCAGCTGTTAACTTTACTATTTCATTAAAAACAGAGAATCAATGGAAAGAGAACTTCAAAATGATCCCACTATAACACCTCCCAACCCTTCCATACTACCAACATGTATATCCTTATACTCTTCTTTCTTTCATGTTACTGTGGATGAATCATGAGGGTCCTTCGTAGCAAAGATCATCTCTTCTACTTGTGCACTGGATCACATACCTCTTCTGTATACAAAGCAGCAATTGTTGCTCTCCTGAAACATCAGTTATGTTTTTCCTTTTCAACTGAATTATTTCTACCAGCATACAGACATGCTGCAATGCTTCCCATCTTAAGAGAAAAAAAGCTCTTGGCTCCATTTCATTTTCAGTGACTGCCTAATCTCCACCCCATTTTAAAGCAAACTCAGTAAACGAGAAGTCTCTACTCACTGTTTCCACTTCCTTTCTTCCTGTTCTCTCCTAAAGCCACTTCAATCATGTTTTCATCTCCACTACTCGAGCAAAATGATTTTTGTCAACGTCATCAAAGATCTTTATGTTGCCAGATCCAATGGACCATTCCCATTTTTCATTTTACTTTAAAATCTTGGTAACATTTGATACCCTTGATCAACTCTTCTTTCTTAAAACTTGGATTGTGAGACAGTCTTCTCTTGTGTCCCTCATTGCTTACCGGTTACCCCTTCTCAATCTCGCCAGCTTGATTTCCCTTATTTCAATTCTAGGGGATTCTGGCGCTTAGTCCTTGGATCTCTGGATATCTTTATCTTCACTCATTTCTTTAAGGAGCATATATAAATTTGCTTCTTTAAATATCACCTATATCATGATGATCCTCAAATTTGTATCACTATGGTTGACTTCTCACCTGAACTCCAGGTTATAAAAAACTAAAAACTGCATTTTCACTTTGGATGTTAAATAGGAATTCCAAAGTTAACATGTTCAAAACAAGTCATTATTTTCCCCAAACCTGCTTTACTTTCAGTCTTCACAATCACAAAGAAAAAACAACTCCATCCTTCTCACTGATTTAGCTAAAACTTTGATTGTCCCCTTTTTTCTCACCTGTCACATAGAATTTTTCAGCAAATATCAATGGCTCTACTTGACTGTTTTTCACATTTCCGTCTCTGTAATCCTGGTCCAGACCTACATAATTGCCTGCCTATGGTATGGCAATACATTTTTAACAGCTAAACCTGCTTATATCCCTGCCTCCCCACAATCTGTTCTCCACCGTGCAGCCAGAGTAAACGTTTTAAAATGTATAGATGGCCGGGCGCGGTGGCTCACACCTGTAATCCCAGCACTTTGGGAGGCCAAGGTGGGCGGATCATGAGGTCAGGAGATCCAGACCATCCTGGGTAACACGGTGAAACCCCGTCCCTACTAAAAAATACAAAATAAATAAATAAATAAATAAAATATATATAAATTCATGCCATGCTTTTCTGCTACAAACCTTCCAAAAGTTTTGGATCTCATTCAAAGTAAAAGAAGAAGCTTTTGTAAATATCCACACAACCTTGCTTCTCTTCTGTGTTACCTTCTTCTCTCCTAATTTACTGCATTCTAACAGTGCTGGCCTCTTACCTATTTCTTAGGCTAAGAGAACCCAAACATTTTTCCTACCACTCCCACCCTCATTTATCTGTTTGGTTTATTTATTCAGGTCTCTGATGAAATGTCACTCCATCAGAAATAACTTCCCCAACCAAACTGTCTACACACACACAGACACACACACACACACACACACACACATGTGTGTGTATGTATATATGTGTATATTAAAAAATACATGTGTATCACCACTCCCTTTACCCCTAGCTTTTCATATACCTTTACCTGCTTTATTTATCTCCATATTCTAAAATCACTCAGGATAGAGAAATAAGCGGTTTGCTTGTTGTCTGACTCTCTGTAATAGAATGTCAGCTTCAGAAAAGTATAAACTTCTGTGTGTTTTATTCATTGCCAGATTTTTAGCACCTAGAAGAGTCCGTGATATATAGATGCACCATAAATATTTGTTGCATGAATAACTCACTGAATAAAGGTGTATGAGCTTAGATTTGACTGTTTATCTTTTTTTATCACTGCACTATAAAACCCAAGTTTGGTTTCCAGGAAGGCCACGTTAAAGAAACACTGTAATTAGAGAGTTAGATAATTTGGCATTGAGGAAACACCACTTTGCCCCCCACTGCCAATCTGTGCACTGGCAAAATTTTTTTTCTTTTTTGAGGCAGAGTCTTGCTCTGTCGCACAGGCTGGAGTGCAGTGGCGCGATCTCGGCTCACTGCCAGCTCTGCCTCACGCCATTCTCCGCCTCAGCCTCCCGAGTAGCTGGGACTACAGGCAACCGCCACTATGCCCAGCTAATTTTAGTATTTTTAGTAGAGACAGGGTTTCACCATGTTAGCCAGGATGGTCTCAATCTCCTGACCTCGTGATCCGCCCGCCTTGGCCTCCCAAAGTGCTGGGATTACAGGCGTGAGTCACTGCGCCTGGCCCAAAATTTTTCTGTTGCAATGAGATACTACTATTTTCTTACAGAAAGAGCTTGCAGACCTGATGTCTCCCTCCCATTTATGTAGACACATCATCAGGCAGTTTGCCTCAGTATTGATTTGAGAATTTGAGAGGAATCATCTCTTGATTTTTTAAAATTTAAAAGTTTTATTTAATTGAATCCTTTTGGAGAATTATCCTACCTTAGGAAAAATAGTGAAGACATAACAGCAGAATCAGTTTGGTGCTCCCTCTAGACAAGCAAAAAATAAAAGTGTATGGAAGATCTGACTCTCACTGTCTTCTCTTCCCCTCTGATTGCCCAGGTATATCTCTTAGCCATGGGTTCTCATTTTTCTTCTTTGCCATTAGTTTGGCTTTTTTATTTTCTCTGTTAACACATTCCACCCTTGAGATTGCTGTAACAGTGATCTCAACCTCTGATAAGGTAAGTTTATAAACTTAATGAGGAAAAAATGGGGAAAAAGGTCACTCTTCTGCTGCAGAAGTGCGCTTGGCTTCTCTTGGTTTGCTGCCTATTCACTGGCATTAAGTACCTGAACAAATGTTTTATCACAGACAGGGAACTGTTGAGGGATGTTCACAATGCATTGAACATCCTTAGGCATAATTTTTATGTGAACTGGGCATCCTTAAATACATTCTGACTCCATGATCAGATTACCAGAAAGTGCAGGTCCCACTCACTATCTTGATTCAGCATCTCCCATCTGGCCAAAGTTGAATTTTACATTGAGTTGGATGGTGATAAATATGCTTAGCAAAAGTATATTCGTTGTTTCTGAAGTTCTCTGTGCTGATAAACACTGGCTGGGACTAGGGAAGTGGGCCCCAAATAAAACAATAGCAATAATCCCCAGACTGCTTGAGTAGTGGCAGTCTTTATTCTTGTTCACTAAATGGAAGTTGTAGTTTAGTTTTATTTCTCTCATAAGGCTCTGCTGTTTGAGGACTCAGCTTTGGGGCCGTTGAGTGCTTATTAGTGGTAGCTCCAGAATTGCTTCATAGAGGTAGAAATAGGGAATGGGGCGGGGGCTCCTGGTGGGTGGAAAAAAGGGTAAGGGACTGCTACTGAAAGTGGTCACTATACTTTATTTAGATTTTATATTTGTTTGTGATGGCTTTAGTAGGGATTGATAGGCAGTGCATGTGCTGATGGAGATAAAAGAGGCTCTAAAAGACCCCTCCTACAAAACCCCTTGATACCACTCCTGTGAAAAACATCAAGTTTTGATTTTTGTTTGCATGGC
The DNA here is from genome assembly GCF_000001405.40 of Homo sapiens. NCBI lineage: Eukaryota > Metazoa > Chordata > Mammalia > Primates > Hominidae > Homo > Homo sapiens. The sequence continues at coordinate 29,390,133 of NC_000003.12, forward strand.
TGTTATCAAATTCCATTTTGAATGAGTAACAAAGCTATGGGAGACTTTTTAAACTCTTTTGAAAATTGAAGATTGTAGGAATCCCCCTTTCCCCATCTCTTCTGCCTATGTAGACATCTTGGGGATTTCCAAATTCAAGATAAAATGTTATTGTTCTAAAATAAATAGATTTGGAAAATGTGGTTTTGACACTGTATTTACCAAAAAAAGTTCTATTGCTACATATTTAAAGAGATATTTTATTATTTTAAAAAGCTGCATAGTCAAATAAGCTGGGAAGGCCCTGACTATCAATGCATTTCATTAAATCTAAGATGCTTTTGATTATAATATAGACTGTTTTAATGTACTCCTAAGAAAAATATACTGCCAATTAGACTCTGCTTCTACTGTAAGAAGCATCTCCATATCAAAGTTTATTTAAAAAAAAAATGAAAAGACATGCCTTTGAATTTATGAAATATAATATATACAACCTTTCTGAAGAGCCCCATGGTTGATTAGTGTATCTTAGGTTCTGAGAAACACTGCAGTAAAAATATCTGTTAAGATTTCTTTAAACTAGCATTTCCCAAACCACCTGATTAGCCATTTGAGTTTCTATCACACCACTCTGTCTCATAACATTTGTTAGAATTTCTTTGGCTCTTTCACTGCCAAGTTGCCTTAATGTGAGGAGGCATTGAAAATTGGGATTCACCCGTAACTCACTGCCATGCCCAAGGAAGGCATTGCTGCTGGAGGCGTAGTGGACATTAACACTGCTTTGCAAGAGGAGCTGAAGACCACCCTCATCCATGACGGCTACCATGGGGAATTTGTAAAGTAGTCACAGTCTTAGACAAAAGCCACGCCCATCTCTGTGTTTACATTCAACTGTAATGAGCTTTGTATGTCAAGTTGGTGGAGGCCCTTTGTGCTGAACAGCAAATCAACCTAATTAAGACTGATGACACCAAGAGACTAGGAATCGATAGTGGCAGAAACCCCAAAAAAATGGTTAGTTGCAGTTGTGTAGTAGTTAAGGTCTATGGCAAAGAATCTCCGGCCAACCATGTCATTAAAGAGTGCTTCAAATGCCAGAAATGAACAAATAAAATGTTGGCTCAAAAAATTTGAAAATAACATGGAATATTATCCAATACAAGCATGGCAAAGGCAGGCTATCTATTGAAATATTTGAAGAAATTCTGAGAAAGAAAAGAAATGAAAGACAAACTTGAAAAAAAACAGATGGAGCAAGCCAGGTAGAACAACTGTTAAGAATCCAGAAAAACAAAAATCAAAGAAACTATTCTAAACAAGCTATCAAATTTGTGTGACAAACTGTGACTTCATGGAGAAGAGTTCAATTAGAAAAACGGTGGAAAGGAGATTAAGACTTTGATTGGTGAGAGTTTATGAAGACTGACACAATTTAAAAAGCTATTATAGTTATTAATACACTCTTAGCTATAAGCTGAGAGTATTCCTAGCATGCTATTTAAATCTGACATCAGGCAACAACCAAAATTATATTTGTGTAAGTCATATGGGAAGGGTTAGGGAGGGAGACAAGTGGCTCACCCTTGGGAAAAGATGTTCATATCAACTTTGCAGTCTCTACTTTCTTATCTGTAAAGTAGGGATGAGCAAAATTGAACAAGATATTTAGTTTTACAAAAATAGTCACCCATATTATATAAAAATATGATTATTTTTGTAAAACTCAATACAGAAATGGAAACCGATGACATGCAACCCATTGACAATTAAATGAGTTGTATGAGATTGATTTTTAACATAATAGAGGAATTATAGCCATGATAAATAAAGTTAAATTAAGAAAACGTAGAGGCCTGGCATGGTGGCTCACGCCTGTAATCCCAGCACTTTGGGAGGTCGAGGAGGGTGGATCACTTGAGGTCAGGAGTTCAAGACCAACTTGGGCAACATGGTGAAACCCCATCTCTGCTAAAAATACAAAACTGAGCCAGGCATGGTGGCACAAGCCTGTAGTCCCAGCTACTCGGGAGGCTGAGGCATGAGAATCACTTGAACCCGGGAGGTGGAGGCTGCAGTGAGCCGAGATTGTGCCACTGCACTCCAGCCTGGGCAACAGAGGGAGTCCCTGTCTAAAAAAGAAAAAGAAAACGTAGAGAAAAATAAAAGGTAAGATCTATTGCCAAATATATATAAAACATATACAAACCAAATGAATATGTGTATGATACTACCTGAAATAATCTTATTTTTTGGTTACTTGTTTATTCCATCTCATCCACCTGGAAAATATCACTCATGAGAGTAGACTTTCTTTTTTTCATCACTTTATCCCAGCTCTTATGGTTAGTTCCTGGAATATAGGAGTCATTCAGTAAATATTTGTAAAATAGTTGCAAAGTAAATTAATACATTAATGAAATATAATTTAACCCCACCATTTAGTACTTATTATAATTTGATACTGTGTCCTCCTTAAAGCTTTTAAACCTTTGCTTAGTAGATAATATTTTTCTCTGGAATTTTTTAAAATTGCAAATAACAAAATATTTTAAACTGCAAACCATGATTCTACAGTGGAGAGAATGTTAAACACACAGACATACACACAGACACACAAACACACATAAAAATTGCCTTAATATGATTGGTCACAGTTATACATCTATGATGGCAAGGATGACAGAAGAGAATCCACTGCTATGTTGGGTCAGGTGAAAAGAGATCATGCCAGTCACTTCACTGCAGTTGCCCTTTGCCACATTATAAGATGGCATAGTGTCTACAGAAAAAAAAAAACAAGAAAAAAAGGAAGACTTATCTTCTCCCTGTTACAATTTTTCACCTAAATGTCAGGGTCAGATTCACCCTGCTGAATTTTTTTTCCTCCTTTCTGTGAAAGAGCCACTATTTCCACAGATTGCTTTAACAATGAGTAAACTTTTGCTGGTTTATGTGTGAAAACTACACTGCAAAGTACCTTATAATGTGCTTAACTATTAGCAGAACATAACCTTTTCTATGACTTGTAATATAATATACTGTGTGGACTTATGACAGATATAGCCCATCTCTATTATAAGGTCCATTCTGTGACCCAGAAACTATTTTGGATTCTGAGAGTTTAAAAAATGCATGGGACTACCTGCCAGGAACTCATGGTCCAGGATATGATACCAATATGAAAATAAATACAGCATAATGTATTAAAGAAAAGGAATGAGGCTTTTGAAATTTTTATAAATACAGTACAGTGTTGAAGAATTAAAGAATTCTGGCAGCGATGGCTTAAGAGGTGTATATTCCAAATTGTATGCACACACACACACAATTAATTAATTTTGTTATTCAATGGAAAATCATCAGAAGGAGAAAATGAGGACTAGTGGATGATGAACTACCCAGATGCCACTTAATAGTATCATATTTAACAAAACCAGGCTTATGACATAGGACAAAAACTCTACTGATTCTATTAAAATATAAGTCAGGTTATGTGACTCCTGTGCCCCAAACTATCGGGGGAAACAGCCCCCAGTATTTCAACGTAGGTTCTTTTCTATTTTTCCCTAAGTGTCGACCCTAAGTGTTGAGAAGAGAAAGAGTACAAAGAGAGAAATTTTACAGCTGGGCCTCCGGGGGTGACATCATGTATTGGCAGGTTCCGTGATGCCCCCTGAGCCACAAAACCAGCAAGTTTTTATTAGGGATTTCGAAAGGGGAGGTGGGTACGAGCAGGGAGTAAGTCACAAAGATCACATGCTTGAAAGGGCAATAAAAGATCACAAGGGCAGAGATGCAGAGCAAGATCACAAGGCTAGAGCGAAATTAGAATTACTGATGAGGTTCCATGTCCCACTGGGCATGCATTGTCATTGATAAACATCTTAACAGGAAACAGGGTTCGAGAGCAGACAACTGGTCTGACTAGAATTTGCCAGGCTGGAATTTCCTAATCCTAGCAAGCCTGAGATCACTGCAGGAGAACAGGGTGTATTTCATCCCTTATCTTCAACTGCATAAGACAGACACTCTCAGAGCAGCCATTTAGAGACTGCCCCCTGGGAATGCATTCCTTTCCCAGGGTTATTTCTTGCTGGGAAAATAATTCAGCAATATTTCTCCTATTCGCTTTCTGCAAGAAGAGAAATATGACTCTGTTCTGCCCCACCCCGCAGGCAGTCAGACTTTATGGTTATCTCCCTTGTTCCCTGAAAATCGCTGTTATCCTGTTCCTTTTCAGGGTGCCCAGATTTCATATTGTTCAAACACAAATGTTTTACAAACAATTTATATGGATAATGCAATCATCACAGGGTCCTGAGGAGACATACATCCTCAGCTTACGAAGATGACAGGATTAAGAGATTAAAGACAGGCATAGGAAGTTATAAGAGTATTGATTGAGAAAGTGATAAATGTCCATGAAATCTTCAGAATTTATATTCAGAGATTGCAGTAAAGACAGGTGTAAGAAATTATAAAAGTATTAATTTGGGGAACTAATAAACGTCCATGAAATCTTCACAATTTATGTTCTTTGCCGCAGCTTCAGCCGGTACCTCCTTTCTTGGTCCCTGACTTCCCACAACACCAAACCATTTAAAAATTCTCCTAAGTCCTCACAGTGGCCTCTAAGGCCCTCTGTGATCTTTCCAGGCACCCCCCTGTCTTTGATTGCCTCTCCTGTTACTTTTCTGGTTCAGACTGCTTCAGCCACAGTGGCCTCTTTGCCGGACCTCAGATTTGGCCTTTCTTCAACTCTTTTCCACTCCGCATTCCACCTGTTGGGAACACTCTTTCCTCACATAGCCACACCTCCTTCCAGACTTTGTTCAAAAGTTCAATCGAGTCTGCTCTGGCCACCCCACTTAAATTTACAAACTGCCTCTCTGGCCCCTTTCAGCAATGCCACCTCCCAATCTCCCAGTATTACTCTGTTTAGTTTTATGTATGCTGGGTTGGGGGGGTTAATCTGTAAAGAAGAATAATTCATGATCTGTTCAAATCCTCATTACCACTTTCTAATCTGAATGTGAAAAGCATCAGGAGCCAGTTATCAAAGTATCCCTCTCCTCTCCATTGCTAGTCATTTTCTACCACAAGTTTTTTCTAGCCACCATTGGAACTAACCTACAGCAAACTTCTGGAATTAGGTATTAGCTTGTCAACTGACAATACCCACAAGGATGTGCATCTGAAATTTGTGTGTGAGTGTGTTTTATGTATGTATTTGTAAAACGGCATGTAGGGTATGGGGAAAACACTGGGTCAGTGGTCATAAGAAATACTTAGGGTCAAATCCCCATCTGTAAAATGGGGGTAATTCCTGTTCTACCTAATGCACAGAATTCCCATTAGATAAAAATGAGTTAGTGTATGCCAAAATGCTCTTAATGCTGGAGAGTGCTATGATGCTTCTCCATCATTGTCATTAGAGCTACATTTAAGCAAATGCTTACATTTGATAACACCTTATATCTTTATAAAATGTTCCACTTTCAAAAGCAATAAGCAAGTAACCATTGTTTTCAAGTGAATCATTGTCTTAATTTTCTCAAAAATATTGTTGGCATTCTTGTAATGGTTAAATTAAAAACAAAGACATGTTTTAAACATTAAAGATATTAATGTTAAAATTTAGATTCAGAGAAGGTCAGTGACTTATCTGTGATCAAATTGCTACTAAGTAATAAAGGGTGTTGAGTGTGTTTTCTGCTCCAACTTGGCTTCCCACATAAATAATGAAACATATAATAGGGTAAATATGGATGGAGGCTGGAATTATTGGAAATCAAAATACAGAAATATCAATGGACAAATCTAGGGAAGAGAGTTTGATGAGGAGCAAGATATTTGCATAGTTTTGAGGCATCTCTTCATAAATTGCTTTTTAGTTGCAAGCTGAAAAATTGTAACTATACAATGGAAACATTAGATAACAATTTGATCAGGTGATGAACATCAACAATGAGGCGCAGGTGGATATCATGTGCCTATGGATAGAGGCGCAGCTGGATATCATGTGCCTATGGATATGATTCTCTGAGAAGGACATAACATAACTTATGTATGTTCCAGCCACGAATCATGCATAATCTGAATTTGATCACAAGGAAACATTAGATAAATTCAAAATAAAGAGCATTCTTCAATAAAACAAGCCTATATTTTTAAAAAATGTCAATATCACAAAAGACAAAAACCAAAGACATGTTCCAGGTTAAGGGGGACAAAAGTGACATAACAATTAAATGCACTGTAACTGGATGCTGTATGGCAAGATGGAAAATGCTATTATTATTATGGGGTTAAATGGCAAAATTGGAGTACTAATTCTAGATTATTGTATCAATGTTAGATTTACTGATATTGATAACTGTACTATAGTCTAATACGTGAATATCCTTATTCCTGGAAAACTCATACTGAAGTTATTAGGGATAAAGAACCATGATTTACCAATTTCACTCTTGGACGGTTCAGGAAAAAAATGTTTTTAGATAGTTAGATGGACAAATAAATCTAGATCTAGACAGAGCAGTACATTTTATTAAAGTAAATAGGGCAAAATATAGTAGGTGAATCTAGGGAAAAGATATATTCTTGCATTTTCTTTGTACTATTTATGCAACCTTTCTCTGTTTGAAATCATTTCCCAAAAAAATACTTTTAAATATAATGAGGCACAGCAGTTGAGGCTTCTGTTTATTTGACTCATCTGAAAGAGTTTATTTTCTTTAGTAAATACCTAACTTACAATCAGGCAGGGACGTTTTCTCTTGGGAAGGTAAGATGTTTCGTGCATAAAAGTAGCAATACAGAGGTGTTTGATATGACAATATTTTACTGCATTTTCATTTTTTATTATTTATTATTAATGAAATGCAGTTGCCTTTGTAGCCTGCTGAGTGTTTAATAATGAAATTGTGCATCATTCATTTTCAAATGTCTGTGCCTCGTATGTGTTAGGAACATGAATTCAATATGAACTTCAAATCATTTCGTAAAGGGAGAACTGCAGATAGAGTTAACCAACTGATGCTCTTTAAATGCATGTTTATATACACAATTTCCAGGATGACATGGCAGATTAGGAGTTTGTGTGTTATATGTAAAGTACCTATTCATTGAGCTTCTGGATATATGGTTTTAGATATCTACTTAAGTCCTCATAATATAGCATGGTTTAGGAACATGTTTCCTGTAGTCTATGATTGAATTTATTCAGTTTCAAAAACTGATTATATTCTTCCTTAAAGTTCCAAGGTTCTTTATGTAAATTCACATCAATTAGTTCTTAATTTATGATGGTCCGATCCCCCAAATTGGCCTTGGTTTTAAACGCTTACTGTGTTGAATGGTTCTCCCAACTTTTACCATTGTACTCAGCATGTTCAATATAATACCTATCCTTGGCTAGTTTGGAATGAGGAAGTGAGACTAACTTTAACCCTAAAGAGAGGAACAGACCCCTAAGACAGCCATGTCCCAAAACTCTTCCCCCTCACATGTCCTTCTTCTCCCATCCTTTCCTATTATCCTCTTCTTCTTCAACTTGCTCTTCACCCCTCCCCCTTACAGCTCTTCTGTTCTAAACTCCTTTCCATTTTATTTTGAGATGAGATCTTTCTGTGTCACTCAGGCTGGATTCGAACTCCTGGGCTCAAGCAATCCACCTGCCTCAGCCTCCCGAGCAGCTGGAACTATAGATGCATGTCACTGTGCCTGGCTACATTTCTCTATTTTAGCCACAAGTGAGCTGCAGACAGGTGATTCCATAGCCATAGGGTCTCGATCTCCCATCAGTGACAGAATAAATAAAAGATGCTTCCATGATGAGCAAGTATTCAAACTATGATAAGGAAGGATATGAAAGAGATTACTTCTAAATCTCCTTATGGCCTTTGGGAAATTATAGACATAGCTACTCTCAGTGCTGTTAGTGAATTTGCAGAATCTAGAACCCAGATTCCTTCTTTACAACTTAGTGGCTATATGAGCATCATAAATCAACCTCTTTGAGTCACAGACTCCTCATCCATCAAATAGAGGTAATGATGAGATGAATTCAGAGGACACTTGAGAGGTGTGAAATACTGTCTAAGATGCTATTTATATTGTCATTGTGGCCAGCAGTGTTATTTCTTTAATTTCACTTTTAGGGTAGTTTACCTCTTCAACACCAAGACAGTCTTTACAGAACCTTTTTGACTAGGGAGCAGGATGGATACAATTTGTGTGAAGGAGCTTATGTACAAGAGAGGCAAATTCCTCTCCCTTTTTCTCTCTGGTCATCAGGAAGGTCTCAAGGACAAGTGTCTCCTCAACTGCACATCCTAGAATCATGTGCCAGCTATTGGAGTAAATAAAATAATCTTTTAACTGATAAACAGATCTTGGTTTGGCAAAAGTCAGATTTTTCTGTGTGTGATTTGAAAACTCTTCTGAATTAGAGATGAAAAGATCTTTCTCAGGTCTTCCCTTTGGCAGAGTTCCAGCTAGAACACGTGGTCATTGACCACCATAACTGTTGGTGACCAGGATGTCTAGAAATGCTGTCAAGATGGCTATGCAGTGAAATAGTGTTCTTAGTGCTTACAAGATCCTTGTCATGTGCTGCAGGTGCCAAGTGATGCAAAAAATGTTTACATGCCATGAATAAAACTAAAAGTGCGAACCTCAACCAGTCTATTTTTATAGTGGATCTACACACAAGAGGACACTTACAAAGGAGATAATGTAATTTAGCTCTGGGAACTCAGCTTTAAGAGGACGATTGGTTTTGTTTTTATGTGTTTTTGCTTTTTTAGAATTTTCTGCTGTACATCTGGGAAATGCTTATTGTGAGTGTGAATCACTTAGTAGCTCTCCTCAGCGTTTCCATTTTGATATTCCCAGGCTGCCAGTGCTAAGCAGTGTTTCTGGCTGAAGCTTTGAAAAATCATTTTTTCCTATCAAGCCTTTTCTCTACTTTAGCCCTGCCTCATTTCCCTTTCTTGCCTCTAAAAGTTTTAACTTCCTTTCGTAAATTGCAGGGCATAATGACTTCAAACAAATAAAGTCCAAGTCTCAAACAGCTATGGCCCCACATGTGTGTGTGTGTGTATATATATATAAGCAAATATGCATACATCCACACATCTATATATGTTTTCAAACCACTGGCTTATATCAGTAATAGTTTGGTGGCAAAGTTCCTGAATTTCAAGGTGGATTTCAAAACTCCATTTCTTCCATTTGTTGGCTTAGGTACAATGTAATTGAGCATTGTGATTAACAAATACAGATTCTTGGCTATAAGCAAGAGCAAATCTATCTATTAAGAGCTTGAAAAAATTGAGGTTTATTTGCCTTTTAGAAAAGAAGGCTGAGACAAATACTCTAGGAATGAATTGCTACTGAAAAGTTGCAAACATCCATGGCACTTCGGCTTTGGCCTCATGGTCTCAAAATAGCTGCCGAACTTCCAGCATCATGGCCTGATTACATCAATGTCCTGAATTTTGCCCATGTTAAAGGCTTCAGTAAAGCCAAAGGGGAACAAAAGCCAAATATATTTGCCCACTGAATCTATTACCTTGATTAGAAAAGTAATATTTTTTTTAACCCAATAATATCTGCTTAGCCAATATTCAATTATGCCTTGTTGGCTAGAAGTGTCATAAAGCCACTCCTAGCTAAAGCACTGATAGGCAGGTAGAGAAGTAAAATGAAGGACAATGGCTAAATCAGCTAAAACTAATTGTATTTGTCACAGATCCCAAGAGAATTATAGAAAACTACATTTTTTTGTTTTGCTTTATTTTAGAATGGTCAAGAGATAAAAACTGTAGGGATCAAATTCTATACATGTGCCAGGTTGCTGAATTCAGGTTTCAAGGATATGGAGCAAAAGTATGGTAAAGGTGTTGTAGATGCAGAAGCAGAAAGATTGGCACACCCAAGCAGAATATTTGGCTAGAGCAGTAATAAATTTTTTAAATGTCTACTTTCCAGCCCTTCTGGGGAAAAAAGCTTGATAAACCTATTGATAAAATTAAATGATATCTGTATTTCATTCTGAGATGAAGAGTTAAATTCAAGGCATATTTATGGGCCACTTACTGAGTTCACAAGCACTGTGCTGACACCACAGACATTCTGACACATGCTACAATATGATGAACCTTGAGGACGTTATGCTAAGTGAAATAGGCCAGGCACAAAAGGACAATTACTGTACAATTCCACTTACGTGAGATGGCTAGAGTAGTCAAATTCATAGAGACAAAAAGTAGAAGAGCAGTTAGTTACCAGAGGCTGGAAGGAGGGAGAAATGGGTATAATTTAATGAGTAAAGAGTTGCGACTCAGGAGGACTAAAAGTTCTGGAGATGGATGGTGGTAGTGATTGTGCAACTATGTGGATGTACTTAATGCCACTGAATTATTCATGTATTAATGGCTGACATGGTAGATTTTGTTTATTCTACCACAATAAAAAACAAAGACAAGCAGAACAAAAGCGAGGTAGCTGCAATCAATTGGGAAAAGGACCTACTTATTCTTAAACCAGGTGGCATAGTGAATAGGTGAAAATGGAAGTTGGAAATGACCGTGGGGATCAACAGGTTGAAAGGATCATATTTGGTTAGCCAAATGGATCTTGATAGATGTTTTCAAGTTTTACAGGTGAAATGATTGGGGCGATGATGAGAAATATCAGGAACTCCATGACACTTCTAAGGGAGAATAAGTCCACTGCTTTGCCTGAGTATGTAGGATAGACTGTAAACAGGAGATTTTTGGACTGGAGAGTTGAGTTTGGAGAATAAAAGAATATTGAGGTAAAAATGTAATTCATTGCAAAGTTGGAAACCATGGAAGGTTTTAGGATAAGATCTTGATATAATCAATATTGCTGTGAACTTAATTAGTGAAGCAGTGCAAATAATGTGTGGGAGGGAGAGCACGATACAATAACAGCTCTTGATTTTAACTGCTGGTGTCATATGGGATAAGATGAAACAAAATTCAATATCGATTGAGGCTTCAATCCAGTTCGCTAGGAGTTGTCCCATTTTCTCCCAACAGGCATACCTATTAAAAAGAAAGAGTTTCCAGAATTTTCCCTCATTTATTGTCAAAATAGCTCACATTAATATTATTTAAAATTTGGTGTTTTATGTTGGTACAAAATATGTTTCAGTAAGATATCATCACATCATTAATACAGTGAAGTTATAAACTGTTATGTTTACCTCCACAAAAAAAACTTGAAATCTAACTAGGCTGTCCCGCGTTTACAGTCTCTGCATTTACAGCCTAACATTTCTCAGAAGGATGAAGAGTTTTAGGACAATATATACCTCTTCATCATGAGAAGATATTTAATGCCTTCACTGGTGCAGGGCTACAGGAAGGGATGTTGCTTCTGCTGACTACTGCTTTCTTAAACTTAGGGCATGTTTTAAGAGGAAAAGTTATAGCTAGACTAGGTTGGCTTTTCATTTAAACAGTGCTAGTCGCTTTGGTGTCATAAAGGAGCATGGGCATATAGAATGACATAGGTGGGAACTTCTGAATGAAGATGGGGGAATGGAATTTGCCTTCTTTTCAAATACTGCTGATAAGTAAAACCAAACTTAATTTAATTTTATTTAAACTTTGTGACACAGGGAAGTTCCCTTTGCAGAAAAACTTTAGTGCTTAGGTTTGTATCATTTTCAGTGTTCAGACAGCTGCTACGATTCTTTACTATCTTGTAGTCATGGCTATGATGATTAATTTTTTAAAACTTGAAAAGGGGGAATTGCCTCAAATTAGAGAAAGACAGCTTTGAACAAGTTGCCCAAGAGTAAAGCATTTTACACATCAAGAATGTTAGTGAAGCTGCCGATACTGTAATTTAGATAACAGCAAAGATACCAAGCTGGTGTGTGTTAGTTGTTGAGACATGTGGGTGATTGCCATTTTCAGTGTTCTTTATTTTATGCCACAGTGTTGACTTTTTACATTGACGGTGATGAAAAAAAGCCCTTGGTAATATATTGAAGACTAGGCTTGTGGATATATGCCTGAAAAATTAGTAAATGCTGTGGCCTTCAAATTGTAAGAGGCTCCTATGTAGGAAACATTATTCTAATGAAGAAAAAGCTTATCTGGAGTATCTTTAACCAGGAATTCAAGGTAGTACTGAAGACTCCAACAAAACCATGATATTAAGCCAAATGCACAAACAGCTCAATTGCCCACTTTAGAAATCAGTCCATATATTTTAAGGGATTGTGTCTTATTTGTTTTTGTATTCCCTGCAGATTTTGTGTGCAATAAACATTTCTTGAATGAACAGATTAAGCAGTGATGTAGGTTTTTACAACACCAGAAATCAAAAATGTGAGTAAAATTATCTAGTAGTTATGAAATGTACTTTGACTTCCTTTATTTTCTAATAATGATGGCAATGAGTTAGCTGTATCAATCTTTACAGAGATATCTTAGAAATATTTCCCCATTTGTTTAAGACATATTCTTGATTAGAAGTATAACTGGTCAAAGAGCTGATGATTTTGAAGACCTCTTCTGTGTAGTTGGTCTTGACTCCAAAATGTAGCATTTGATTGATATAGAACTAGTATTAAATTTTATGTTTTTCAAGGGGAGGAATGATGTTCTGTACAATGTTTGCATTCTGTGGCACAGAACTTTACATCATATAATACTGAAGCTGGATTGATAAAGAAGAATTCAAATTGAGGGCTAGGATGATAAACTGGAGTTTATGGACACAAAATAACTCAGCAGTTCTAAACAGTAGGAGACAAAAAGCACAATGATCATATACAATAGTTATCTTCTGTTTATACTTTACTTACTGAGCACTTAACTTGTACAAGGTCCTGTAGCAACTGAAAAAAAAAAGTATAAGACGATCATAGAATGATTTAAGGTAAAAGAGTACATGGGATGTGGGGCTGAGCTGCTGGTTATAAATGAATCAGACAAGATCTGTTCTCAAGCCAAATAAAAGAGTAACAAAGTTAAAAAACAAACATAAAAAAGTATTCATCTTCTAATTTCCTATAGTTCATTAAGAATTGAATATATATTGAATATATTTTCTTATCTTAGCAGGAAAATTCTTGACCACACCTAAGCTAAGATTCAGGTGGAGAAGTCAAAAGGAAAAAAACTGTATGTAATATAGATGGACGTATTTCTTGGTTTCATTTAAGGTGCTTGTTTAGATCAAACATGAGAAGCACCTTATGTCACTTTAAGTTGAGATGTGGCTGTAGGATGCAATATTGTGGAGTGTACAAACCAGATTTGGCTCTAGGAAGAGTTAGAGCCACTTGCATAGCTAACTTTGCCATCTTTCTATCAACCAGGGAAGATGAGCTGGGGAAAAGCCAATCTAGAACATGTAAGAACAGCACCTCCAACTTTAGGCCCAATCATAAGGCAGATCAGACTGGAAGAAGCAATGGGATTTCTAAAAGGACATTCCAGGGCTGTTGAACTGTCGGAATCACTGGAAAGATGATAGTGAAGTAGATGGAACAATAAATTGCAATTAAAGTTGGAGAAAAAAAACAATAATTATTCCTTCTTTTCTTTTCTGTCATTATTAAAAAGTGATTGCAGACTTGAGATTAAAGATTTCTATTAATAAAAAAGAAATTCCTTGCTTCTGCTTCTAATCTTTGAAAATAATAAAGGAGCCAACATATTTTTAAAAGTGTAAAAATCCATCCCCAACACAGACAATGCTATGTAGTTCTGAAACTGCCCAGTGATTTCTTTCTTCTCCCATATGAAACTTTTGATAATAGAAATATGAATGACTTTATGTTTTGATATCAACATTCTTCTCGAGTGGATTATGTGGTATCATCATAGATTGGATGAGAACATGAATATTCTGTACAGACACCAGTATCCTGGGCCCAAAAGGGCTGATGTCCAGCAGTGCTCCTCAGACTATCGAAGATGAAAATTGAATTTTCATTTTCAACCTCTTGCAGGCTAAAATGAAATCAGACACTTGGATGACATTATGATATCAAACCAGCATAAAAGTTTTTAAGTCCTTATTCTCAGTTTCTATAATTGATCTTACTGCAGACTGGTCACAGTTTTGAGTGGGACCAATCCGTGAATCACACTGAGATCACTGATTTAGGGTTCTGGCTCTGCTATTTGTTTTTGGGACAGTGGTTTACCCTTCTTTTCCCCATTTATAAAATGAAGTGAGAACATATTACATGATTGCTGAAATCCAATGATTCTGTTTGTATTTTGATGCTATTTTCTTTTTGCTGGTTAAGAGACATATGTTATAGGTACAGCTTACTATCTAAATGCTCTTTGTTAGGTCCAACTTATATAAATGAGTGAAGAGCATGTTTTAGCTGAGAGTTTATAGGCTATATTTCTGTAGGATTTTCCCTTAATTGCAACACTATTTTCAGAGTAGTGAGCTCTTTTGTTTCCATCAGCTACTTTGAAGAAAAATATTACTTCCTGGGTAGCTCTGGACTCTCCAGTGAAACCCCTTACTGCCATGCCCTAGGTAGGATAATCATGATGAGTTAGCAGGTTGGTCTTGAGTGATAAATCTTCAATTTGCCTTATTAACAGAGATATGAGTGTTGGGTTACAAATAGGTCAGTTCTGAAGATGGCAAAGTACCTGCAAACTGAATACATTGGTTTCCTCTTCTCTCCCAATACCTCTGGTGAAAAAGTACATACCGAAAATATAGCAACAAATATGTGACTATAAAAATTGACAAATAATATAGTCTTGCATAGGAATTTAACTGTGGAAAGATTATAAAGCCAGACTGCTCTTTAACCCTTTCTGAATTATAATGAATGGTAATAAAACTAGGCATGGAAGAAAACATTTATCTAGAGTTAAAAACCACAATAACCATGGATAAATGATTGTGCTTAGTCACTTCTTGCCTAGGGTTTATGTTTTAGAATGTGTTTTACTTCTAGGACCCAAACCCAAGTTTTCATAGATTTTAAAAAGTTCTTCTCAAAAGAGAGTTAGATATTAATGGGAAAGTCAGGTGTTGTTCATGAATAAGTTATCTGGAAACTTTTATGTTCTCTCTGAGAATCCAAGAGAATCAAAACTTTCTCTGAGAAGACAGATCCTGCATATCGTTTAACCATGTTTACGCTTTTGAATGCTAACTTCCAGGCTTTGTCTATAATCCTGTGCCTTTGTTAAAAAAATTCACAGACAATTTATTTGCCAGGTCATACTTTTAAGAATTCTTTATTTTGTGTGCCTCTGAGAAGAGAAAATGTTTTTCCACCACTACTTCTGAATTCATAAATATTCTTGCCTGTATATTATTGTTTTTGTGGCAAATCAGGGTACATTATTTTCATAGTGGATATCCTTGATTGTTGGCATACTGTAATGCCATTTGCCACATACGTGGCTGTAATGTGGCTTTGGTAAGGTGGGAAGGAGAGAATATGTACTAATCAGGTGAATGGGTCACACACACACACTTACGAACTTGCTTAACTGCATCTTGCTCCCTCAGTCTGTAAATTTTATGGCTATTGTTAAGCTACCTGCTTCATTTCTCACCTAAAACATGGGGGAAAATTCAGCCATTTTATCTATACTTGCAGTTATTCTAAGGTGAGCTTAGTGACCTAGGGATTGATTTAGAAAATGTATTTGGTTGTTTTGGTTGTATGATTTGCCACTATCTGGGAAAGGTGGAGAGGCTATGCAACTTTTGAATGTATTTGCTATCTCTTAAGAGGTGTATTGGATTGGATAGATTGAAACAGTACTTGAATGTCCTCACAAAAATTCCAACTGAACCCACACATGATTTTTCCCCTGCTGCATATCCTAATTGTTACATTTTAAAGAACTAACATAATTTCTGGAGTGTCTTCCAGAGAGATGCAAATAAACACCCAGACTATGTTTAACAAACCTTAAAGTTATACTGTCAGTCATTGTGATGTTTGCCTAGAGGCAAATTAAATTAGGTATCTTCGGTGCAATTCTGAAGGAGACATTCATTCAGCATCGAGATCTGCTCTTGATGTGTTAAATGGTTGTGGCTCACAGTTGTGCTGTCTCCAAATTCATTCTGTTGAGACTGACCTTAAGATAATGTAAAAAAGCAATTAGTTTTAAACAGTAGGAGTGCCAACAGTGTGAAAGAAACAAATTACACGGTGGGATGATATTTTTAGTGATTTTTAAGGAGATTATTAAAAATGAAATCTGTACTAAAAGCTATGACTGTAGCTTTTAGTCACAAAAACTGACACAGAGCAATTCATTTATTTCAAACTGCTACAACTCCCTGAATGACAATCCAAGCCCCTTTCTATGTCTGGCTGAAAGGTGGTCTGGCTCATTAAACCACATCACAACTCCCCTGAATAATCAAGCCAAACAGTTTTTACACATGATTTGTTAAGTTCTACTCCTTTGCCTTGTCATTCAATATTTGAGCAAATATTTATAGCACACATATCATGAGCCAAGACTGGGCTTGATGTTGAAACTGTTTTTTGTAACCCTAAGCTAAACCCTGAACTGTGTTAAAAAATACAAGTTTATATGCACATACACATACACAAACATATATTTATAGTTTAATACTTTTTTTCATTAAACTAATTTTTTAGTTTTTGTTGACTACTTTCAGTTAGAAATCCCAAAATATTATTTTACTCCTTTGAAATTGTTAAGTAGTAAAACAATAGTTAAAATAGGCAGAATTTTTAAATTTGAAAATCAAATTTGTTGTCTGCATCACAGTCACTTACCTATATCCAGGTTTCTTTGGCCAAGGAAGAAATGACCTTAACTTTGTGAGTTAGATTACTATTTTTAAGCTCATATTCATGAAACTTAGATGCATGCTGATCTCCTTATAGATGGGTCTCCAGGTTGAAGTTCTGACTTGATGCAGAAGCTATGCAATACATTTTGTAGAATCAATGTACATTCCAATGCAGTTCAGTGATAAACTTAAAAACAAGAACAATACAAATGATAACAATGACCAACAATCACTGCACACTTGCTCACTGCCAGGGACTGTTCTAAAGTGGTTTAACATCTGCTCAGTTCACTGGATTATCACAACTGCCTAAGAAGGTTGATACTGGCCTTATTCTCAGTTTTCAGACATGGAAACTGAGGCACAGAGAAGTTAAATAACTTCTCCCAAAGTCACCTGACTAGCGACTGAGGTGTATGTACACGACCTTGGCAGTCAGTTTCAGAGTCCCCATTTCTTACCGCTGCATTCTGTGGCTGAACATTAAGGGTGATCTTTCTTATCAATCTACTCATGATAATTTGGTTAAAATATACATAGTCAAAAATCTTAGTCAAGGCAGCTACATTATGCTTATAATTTGATTTAAATATGCATATTATATAATAAATGCAATGTGATTAAATTATGTAGAGTCAAATAATCTTAATATAGAAAGCTGTTTTCAGGGCCCAACCATTTAGCCAGGTACTTAAATGTTTCTATATCTTTCTCCCTCTTCCCTCTAACAGATGATTGAGTTAGGCTTGAGCATTACACTTGCTTCTGTGGCTGAAATGCCACATATTTCTGCCCTGTTAGCACAGTCTTATTTTACAGTCAATGCAAATGATTATCCCCAAAGCTTGTCTGAATAAATCAATATCATGAAGTTATGCTGTTGTAATATTTTTGTGCATAAATATTCTAACTTGACTAATAATAGAATTCACACTATTAATGAAAATAACATTAGTAAATAAATATTAATATCCTTAAGAGACATTATGGAACTCAGAGGAGAGCAGTCCTAATTTACTCAATTTTCAAAGTCATTAGAAATTAGGAAAATTGGCTGGGCACGGTGACTCACGCCTGTAATCCCAGCACTTTGGGAGGCCGAGGTGGGCAGATCACGAGGTCAGGAGATCGAGACCATCCTGGCTAACACGGTGAAACCCCGTCTCTACTAAAAATACAAAAAATTAGCTGGGTGTGGTGGCGGGTGCCTGTAGCCCCAGCTACTTGGGAGGCTGAGGCAGGAGAATGGTGTGAACCCGGGAGGCGGAGCTTGCAGTGAGCCGAGATTGCGCCACTGCACTCCAGCCTGGATGACAGAGCGAGACTCCATCTCAAAAAAAAAAAAAAAAAAAAAGGAAGTAGGAAAATTATGTAAATAAAATGTTTCTGTTTAATGTACATTGGAATCACAGATCTCTTTTGACTTAAGTTTTTGATTAAGCACTTAATCTGTCTGTGCCTCAATTTCCTCATCTGTAAAATATTTGGAACAGTGTATGACATACCATAAGCACTATAAAAGTGATGGTTTAGGAAAAAAAATCTCTAAGGGTCAAGAAAATGTATGACCTATTCTTTGTACTTAATTGTTACAGAATAGACATTTGATAATGGTCTTTAAATTACCCTGTACTTTTAGGGGGGTTATATGTCATAGGCACAGACTTCTGACTCTCTAATGTCATTATGATACACTTTTTTTATATATATATTTTCTTTCTAAATCATAAAATGAGTTTACAGCAGCAGACCCCAGCTTTTCTGAGAAGTACCTACACTGTTATATTGTGTAATCGCTGTACCAACTAATATTTTTCGTCAGAATATGTACAATACAGAGTTGAAGAATCTGTATCAAAATGATCAGCTGTGATGAGCCTGAGCTAGAGGGCTTTTTCACAAAGCATGTTTTGTTCTCTGGTGAACTTATATTAGACCATGGCTGCCAACTTAAAATTCCTTTCTTTTAAGGATGCAATGTTGCATAATTAGTCTGCTATTGCAGTCAGGATGCTTGCACACTTTATTTTACTCCTGGTATAGAATGCAATAGACTATCAGAGTTGAAAGGAACCTCTGAGACCATCTAATTCAACTTGCTCGTAATATAGATGAGAAAACAGCCTCTGTCAGTTTTAATGTCGCACAGCAAGTTAGCTGTCCATTAGAATCTCAGAAATAAGTTTCATTTTAGAAAATCTCAGTTATTTTCTGTATAACAAATAGAAATAGATAAAAAAAAGTAGCTAAAAACAATAACTATTTTTTCTAATGATTCTTTTCATTGACAGAGCAGGCCTCTGCTCCACGTGGTACCAATTGGGGTTACTCCAGTCACTGAAGAGTTTGGCTGGGACACCTCAGTTGCGGCACCTCAGTACTTCTCTACCTGGACTCTTTTTTCATATATTATCTCATTCTCCAGAGTCTCTCCATGTGGCCTCCCTCTCTAGAAGGATATTCTGGGCCTGAAATGACATATGTTTCAGCCCTAACACAACACAGTCTTCATTGCAGTAAGTACAAATTATTGTCCCCAAAGCTTGTCTGAGTAAATCGACATCAGGAAATTATGTTGTTGGGATTATTTCCTTACAGCATAGTGGATGGGTTCCAAAAGGCTGAGTAGTTGGGTTCTAAACTACTTAGTTATTCTCTTGGGAGCATCCCAGGATAATAAGCTCCAATGTGTGGGAGTGCTTATCTAACCACTGCTTTATCATACTCGTGACTATCTTTTGGTTGCAGCAAATCTATGGCTAAACTCAGAGCTAATGTGAGAGTATACTGGACTGGGGTATGAATTATGGAAGATGTGGTTCACTTGAAGCATCAATGTGCCTGCCTATCAAAATGGCAGATAATTTATGTGGTCAAGGTCAAGGAGCAAGTTGCAGTATGTAACACATAATGTAATGCTACTTAAATTAATTGATTTTTTTTTCATTACTTCAGTATACTGTGCACTGTTATGGGTCTGTTATTGGATTGCAGAAAAGTTGAAACTTTCTAGAATTTGATGAGCCCTGGGAATGTTCACATTGGTTTTGGCAGCCACCGTTTCTTTCTTTCAGGTAATGAGATTGTACTAGAGTCAGGCAGCTCTCAACATTTCAACATTCAAATGTTTGACCATAAGACCAGAAAAGATCCAACATATTTAATAAAAAGTGAAGGCATGGAAATACTATTTTGGATATGTTTCACTAATAAAAAGAGCAAGACTTCAGTATTAGCCTTCTATTGGAATGTAAATTATTCTGACTTGAACCCACACTGAACTGCCTGCAGCCTGTAACTTAGAAGGAAAAAACAAAGTGCCACCACTGAACTGCTGGCCTTCTAACAAATATCACCTATTAGCATTCA
This sequence comes from Homo sapiens, assembly GCF_000001405.40. Lineage (NCBI taxonomy): Eukaryota > Metazoa > Chordata > Mammalia > Primates > Hominidae > Homo > Homo sapiens. Next base: position 29,410,308 of record NC_000003.12, read on the forward strand.
CAATGAAGGCAAGCATGAATCAGCATGAAAGTATACCCTATATAAGGTTTCTTTTAGCTTCTCTCAAGTCTTGACACACACCTGTGTCACTGACAGCTAGTATGCAAATTGCCTAAAAGCTCCATTAGGCTAGTCTAGGCAAGGAAGCCCATCTGTTCGTTCCGTGACACTTTCCCTCCTAGATCCTCATGTGGGAATATGTCCTTGAGACATGCAGATGGATGAATTTGCGCCAGTGTCTGGTACCACCAACCTTAGGGGAAGTTGTCACTTCTACTTGCTTTATTGCCTCTAATATTTGATGTCCTCTTCCTTCAGATGCCAAAGAATAAAATTTTAAATCTAAAACTTCAAAGGGTGGTGAAGGTTTTTAAATTCTGAATAGAAAGTACATATTACTTTTTAAGCACAAGAAAATGGAACATGATGAGCCCTCTGTTTAAAAATTATGGTATTCACTGGGTGTTTTTCAAAGCTGTGTGTGTGGTCTGGTGTTGACAGGAGAGAACATACAATTTCAAATTAGCTAGTGCTTGTCAGCTGTTGCTGATAGCTGTTGGAAGGTTTTGGGAAAGACAGGGGCACGGTGATATTTTGGCAAGCTTGCCTATTAAGGACATTTGCTGGAAATGACTTCATGATTCCTATCCCTTTCTTCTTAAAAAAAAAAAAAAAGCAACACAACTACATGTAAGCAATTGGAAAAGGAAATTCAACCACTTTTTTCTGGTGGTTTTTTGAGTAGACTCAAGTCTCTTGCCCATCTCAGATTGAAATCCCCAGAGAAAAGTTAGAAGTGGCAACAACATAATCAGAAAAGCAGCTATCCTTTGATATCTGATATCCATTCATCATAAACAGGCTTCTTTCATTTTGTTAATCTGGCCTAGCAGAAAGATCTACTCATATTTCATTCTCAACGAAGGTAAGGTGGCATAAAAGTAATGGTAATCTCACCTCCTGGGTAAAGAAAACATTACAAATCAGAAAATCGTTTTTAGAAGCATACAATAACTTGTAATCTGGAACCAGAAAGATAGATATTTCCTCTTTTGACAAATCCTCATTCTATAGCAAACAATGTATAAAGACATCTGACATGTTTAAGACAGGACAGAAATGATGCTTTTGATCATTTTGGCACTAAAATGATTCATGATTTTATCAGATTAGCGCCTGTTTTCCATTTTTCAGGAAATGGTCCAAAAGACATACTGTTTTTATTGACAGGACTTCCAAACTAGTTATTATTTGCTAATAATGTTGTGTTAAAAATCTGAGCAGAGTGTCTTGCCAGAGAGAGAGAGAGTGAAACTTTTATGCCCAACGGTGTTTGGATGAGCAAGATAATTACACCCTTGTCCATAGCAGATGCTCTGTTCTTCGCTTTGGCAGTTTCCCTGTTCAGTGTGCAAATAATTTTCTCTACTAAAGTTGGTAGCTATTTGCTACAAATATATTGCTTTTCCAGCAAAGAATGGATCTTTTCCATCACCACTCACAAATAGCAACTGAATTGACTGGAGTTTTTATTGTTTCAAACACATACACAAAACTGATGTGAAGCAGAAAGAAACTCATATGAATGCCCCATGTCTGTCAAAGGATGTGAATAAAATAAGTTATTTACCAAAATAGTTGAAAAACTACATTGTAACAATGATTTGAACTTATTTAAATTAAGACTTTTGAAGAAGTCAATGTTGATAGTCAAATATTTTTAAAATTCAAATGTGCATTTAGTTAGTTTATAATAGAAAAGACACTTATTTACATATATTGCAAACATCTTATGAGCTCTCTTAGCCCCTCTATTTCTGTAACAGGCAAAATTCACTTTGTACATATATAGTGAGACCAAAAATAAGGAGCTCATATTCCTCACAGTTTTGACAGTCATGTATGACTATGCTTGAAATGGGTGGGTGTATTCTCCCTGGCCAGTGATGAACGAATACATTTCCATAAGCCACTATGCTTGCTTTTTGGGTAGCCCAGATGCTGTGGTTTTGTCTGTAAGCAGTATGCTTGCAGGTGTTTTGGCAGAGAACTGCAGAAGGAGAAGGGTGGAGAAAATACATTTATTATAGTTCCCTTTTTTGTTCTTACCACAGCCCCAGAAGCATAAAGGCAAGTAGAACCACTCCTCAAGTTGCCATGTTTTCATAGATACATAAGGCAACATATACTTATCTAATAAAACTAATAATATAATTGGGGGTTAGGTTGATGAATTACCCCTGAGTCTCCCAAGAAGAATCATTGTTGACTAGACTTTTATGGTAAAATTCACCTTCCAGCCAAAGATTAATTAAGTGCCAACTGAAAGATTTTGTTCCAAGTATGTATATGTAAGTGCTGAGAATCAGAAGTGTGGCTGGCTGCGTGGCCTGTCCTCAACTCTTCAGCATTCCAGGGGTAGAAATATCTACTGAAGGACAAAATGTTTATCACCAGCAGGGACATGAGAAAAAAATGTCTCCTAGAACCTTAAGCAGGGAGGAGATAAATCTGTCTATGATAAAGGTTTCTCAGAGGAGGTGAAATTTGAATCCTGCCTTCAGGATGAATAGGCTTGGCTACTGGGGAACCAGGAGGAAGGCATTTTATATAGAACAGCAGCAGGAATCAGGAGGCAGTAGACTGCTCATTTTCAAATGGCTTTTTCAGAGCATGCTCAAATACTACTATTAGGTTAGACGGCACTGAAAAGAGAAGATGGCCCTGTTTGGACATTAATATTATTTCTCTTCTCACATAAGAAAAAGAGAGGCAGCAGAAAGCCAGGCGCGGTGGCTCACACCTGTAATCCCAGCACTTTGGGAGCCCAAGGCAGGCAGATCACTAGGTCAGGAATTCGAGACCAGCCTGGCCAACATGGTGAAACCCTGTCTCTATTAAAAATACAAAAAATTAGCTGGATGTGGTGGTGTGCACCTGTAATCCCAGTTACTCAGGAGGCTGAGGCAGGAGAATCGCTTGAAACCAGATGCAGAGGTTGCAGTGAGCTGAGATCGTGCCACTGCACTCCGGCCTGGGCAAAGAGAGTGAAACTCCATCTCATTCATACATACATACATACATACATACATACATACATACATACATACATACATACACAGAGTTGCAGCAGAAAAGCTAGGAGAAATGCAGTATAATTTTGTTAGGAATACCAGATAATGATGTGTATGTATATACTAATAAGAATTTAATAACTCAAATATTTGGAAACATAATTCTAGTTTTATTTAATAGTTACACTGGTGTTACAAGAGAATATCAAACATGGTAGGATAAACAATGGTACAGTAGGATTCTAGGTACATCCAGGGTTAAGTAAGATTAGAAATAACTTTCATTCACATAAGACATAGGAGGTCATTTTTCCCTTGGATCCTCAGTGCTGGATTTCCATTTCCGTTTCTAGGTGAAGAGAACTGAATTGTGTAAGGGCCATTCACAGAACTTAATCACTGCTTAAAATGTTGTATCAAAGTTATAAATAACTGAGTAGATCCTGTATGAAATTGGGAACTTCCTTTTCCATAAGATAATAAATGCCTGCATCAGGGACATGGTCCTTATTCTCTTTTTGTTCCTTTTACTTAAACTTCTCCCTTACTGGCTGCTATTCTATCCTCCCTTCTCTAATTACACATAGACACATCTATGCTTCCACCCTCTTTCTCCTTTCAGAATGTGCTTAAACACACTTAGTAAAAACAGTCCATTTTGGGATATCATTTTCTCCTTGCGCGGGAGTCTTTTAAGGTTTTAGGATGAAGCATTATTGACAGGTAACTTGTGTCCTTTCTAATCACTGTTGAATCATCCCTGCAGTTTCTGTGTTTATTCTTATGCCTGATCACATTCGATAACAAAGCTTGTGCAAAATCAAAAACAAAAAGGTCTTGAACTGCAATCAAATAAAGGGGAGCTACCTGGTTAACAAATTTTACAAAACATTTATTGGAAAATATATCTATCCCATGAGATAGGACACAGTCAAAGGACCACCCACTTTCTCCATTAACATGTGGATAGCTGTCTGCTTCTTACTGCACTTTCATTCTCTAAAAATAACCACCAAGGTCTTTTAGTGAAAATAAGTAAGTTGGAACCAAAAACAAAGGCACAACATTCTTCTCCAAATAAGTTGCTCAGAAATGCTTTTTCGTGAAACATAGTTTCTAGCATCTTCCATTTTCTTGCTATTTATCCATGCTTGGAATTACTTCATTCATTAGTTCTGACAACGGATTGTATTTGTATCATTGCTTGACAAATGTGTTACATGTTTCAGTCTTAAAATATTCCACTCTGAGCTCAGTGCTGCATACTTGGGAGATAATGTTAAATCAGCCTCGCGACACACTGCTGTCATCATGCCAAATAACTCAGGGAAAAATGATAAGGGTATAAAGAGATCAATAAGGCAAGAAAATCTGTGCTTTCAAAAGTAAGGCAAAATATGAGAAAGACTATCAGTCAAGCATCGGGGCATAAATAAAGCAAGAATATGCCACGTTTAGGGCACCGTGATGCTACAGTGAGCAATTATCCCATGAGTAGTAAATTTCTCTTACGTTTGCCTAACACCTTTATTGTAGGTCATTCTAAAATGTAGCCATGAGATTCACCGGCACATTGATCAGCCTAGCATTGCTCTTTTTTCTCCCATAATAGAATAAAATGAGGATATGGCTGATAAATGCTGAGAAGGACAATTCCCAGACCATTTAGATGTGAGTGGCCACACTGGAGTGTTCTCCCTGTGTAAGAAAGATTTATATAACGCACATTTTTTAAAATATGAATTATGCAAATACATTTCTGCCCATTGAGATGATATTACTCAACAGGGCCCTCGTAAGTGCCCAGTTCTGTTGGATGTTTAGACAGAAAACAAGCAAACTGTAGATACCGGCAATTTGGAAATTAAATCTTTTATTGAGTAATAGGTACTCAGGCGTGCATCAGGAAGCAATCGTTTTTCTTTTTCAGCAAAGAGCATTAAATTATTATAAATTTGCAACAATAAATGGAATAGCTTGCAGGCACAAGACAGTAAATTTATGAACATTTGAAAATAGAAATTTATTTTTGTGTGCTAATGGTCAGGGAGACTGTGAAACTGGCCCAGAGCCCTTGAATGTCAGTCTCAGGAAGGTGATCTATAGACAGTGAAGAGAATTTCAGGATTGCTTTTATTAACATGGGGATGAAGTGTGAAAATTAATTTTTGTTGGGGGAAGATAAAGCTTAAGGCTGCATGTGGGATAGATTAGAGTACTTGGAGCTTGGGAACAGGAAATACAATTTGGAGACAGTTACCTTAATCCATATGTGAAGTGAAGTGCTCTGAATAGAAATAGTAGAACGGATGGAAAAGGCAGATGTGGGAGACACTGAGAATGCAGCATAGGCAGGACTTGGGGCCTGGCTAAGACTCAGTCATGACAATGAAATTTTTTTTTTAAATGATGTATCCAGATGTTAAATTATCAGTATACTGTATATCTGTGGAAAATGATTGCTGAGTTCAAGTGAATATTCAAGGCATAATGTAGGATGAAATTTTCATGCCATGATATAACACTTGGAAGTACCCTTCAGCATGTAGAGCCATCAGGAAAAGTGTCCAAAAAAGGACATGAAGGGGCATGGGCTAAAACACATTGTAGACAGAAAGAACAAGTGGAAACGCATAGGAAAAGCATGGCCTCTGACTCATTCCTGTGGACTATTTAGAATTAAACATCTGTTGCTTTCAACTTTCTTGGTGCTCTCCCTATTTACCTTAAGTCATTTAGCTCTATCACACGAGATACTTACATCTGAAAATGGAAGATCACCTCTTGATATGACAGAGAGATAGAATTTTCAGAACACCTCTTGGTGTGTGGGAGAGGTGGAGAGATGGAGGTGTGGCTGGAAATGTGAGATAGTGCAGGTTTGCCTAGAAGCTGACAAAATTTAGGCTTTAGGGTCCCTCCTTTTCCCCAACCTCTTCTATAATCTTATATCTAATCCTGTATAATCATTTTGTATTCTTCTCAAAAATGGTCAATGGCCATCCAAAGTGTATAAAATTTAGATCCCACAAGATCCACATTCTTTCCTTAACTGGCAATGTGTTTCCATGGTTACATGGATTTGGAAAATTTGTAAAAGAAATGCATTTTAATCACAACTGGTCCTTGTCTCTTTTCACACTAGTTTCCCTATTTGCATTTTTTTTTTCCTTGCAGTGGTGGCAGGTATTTTGGAATTTAGCTAAGGGTAAGTTGGGTAAGAGATGCATTTATTTTGAATTCAATAGGATCCATCTTTGTGTTATTGCTAGCTGTTTTGTGGTCTGAATGGTTTCCAAGAATACTCATACTCCTCACTGTACCAGTGTCTTGGGCATTGTGGCAGGAACGTGCTGGGCCAACTCAAGGTTCTATTGTGATAGGAATGTGGTCTCTGGTGCCCAACACTGGAAGGATGTGGGAAGTAGAAGAAAAAATCTGAAGCCAGAAGCGAACTCTGTGCAAAATTCATCCACATTGTTATGCCCAAATTTACTATCCTAACCTTCCTACCATTCTTACCTTATAACAAGTTATAAGCTATTACCATTTATGAGTTGTGAAGCTGAAGAAAACATTTCTGAACTATCACTAGAAAAAAAAGTGCCTATCAGCTGTTAGAGGACAGGCAGAATTATCTGTCTCTAGATAATTCTCCCTGGAGAAAATAGTATGAAATTACTCTCATATAAAGAGACAATCAAAAGGTTTGCAGCAAAAAAGGAGAGGGGATTATTTCTGAAGTGTGTCAGGGAATTAATATTATTTTCTACATTTTTTATTTTCATGTTGTTCTTCAGCTTTTTAATATTAGTGATATGTTGAAATTTCGTTTTTATTCTAAACAAATATTCATTTTTTAAGTAATTTTATATTTATAAATTTTATTCTTTTTTTAATGGGTCTCCAACATTGTATAAACTTAAGGCACAACAAGACCTGAGTTTGTCCTTGGGTTCAGGGGACACCTTAATTTTCATAATCAAGTATGTAAACTTAACCTCTGGCTCATCCATGCAGTCCACGTAGAGTTAAATATCTGTTGCTTTCAACTTTTATGGTGTTCTCCGTTTTTACCTTCAGTTAGCTCTCCCTAATATTATCTTAATTCTCTAATTATTATAATTTGGGAATATCCTATGGGTTTATATTAAGTGGAATATATTGGTATCCCTTAGTATGCTGTACCCTAATTCCAGTTAAAAAGAATGTCCCCCTTTCTGCATAGCATAGTATTTGAGAAATATATTTAAACAGACTTTTAAAACTGTTTCAAAACAGAGATATGTGGTTCAAAACAAAACAACAGTGGAATATACACCAAAGTCGGGAATATCTGAACATGGAATATTATTCCATTTAGAGAAGTTTGAGAATTTAAACTAGTTTCATTTCAGAAAAGTATTTTCAGAAGTGACACAATCCGGTGAAATAAAGTATATAATCAGAAGTGTATAATCTACTGACAAGGAAAGGAATTGTCTATCGTTTATCAATACTCTATTATATTTTGGTAAAACAAATGTAAACATTATTTTTACTCCATCTCATAATGGAACACATAAGATGTGTTCTTGACTAACAGGAAGACCAACCATTGGAATTTAAGCTTGTATAATAGGCAAAATTATAATGTCAGTGATTATTTTTCTAGTTTTCCCCTTTGGGTCTTCAATAAAAAATAATCTATATCATTAGGCAGGGATGAGATATTGATTGGTCACTAAAACTAGCACATCAGCTACAAACATAACTTTCACTTTCTTCCCATTCATAAACAAGTCATTATTTGACCTGCTGGGATGTGATAAGAAGTTCAAAGTAAATGGAACACACTAGGTCATGCCATTCTCAGTCTTCTAATCAAGATAAAATAAGTGCAGAATATACTTCTTTTTTGTTATTATCTGTGTCATTGCGCAAAATTGTAAATTGGGTCCAGGATAGAAACTGGTGGCCAAAATTAGAGGTGTGTCTATTTGTCTCTCTGAAATTGCTAACATATGACACTAATTGACTTTGTCAGAATCCTCAGTGCTAAATGAAATTAATGACCAGTGGAATCCAAATAAATAAAAGGAAATGTGCCTTTGCGTATAGCATAGCCAGATTCAGGATGAATAGACAGTCAATGTTGCAGAATATTATAATACTCCAAAAAGTGGTTCTTGGCCAATGGTGGGTGTGCTAGAATCTCACTCTTCTGCATGACTAAACTGGGAGGATTTCGGCATTAAAAAAAGAGCTCTGTCTCTGTGATGTAGTGTATACTTTGAGAATCTTTGCTTTCCTCTGCTGAAATAAGGACATAACTCTAGAGGGTGCCTATTTTCATTGGGTGAAAAATATTCCTTTGCTAAAAAAAGTCTTTCATATGAGTCTACTGATGGATCTTAATTCATTTGAGTAAAAGCCACCATGCTAATAGCAAAAGTCCTATGTTGTTAGTCCTTCTCTCATTTTATTTTTATCTGTATTATTACTAAAGCAGTTTTCTCCCATTACTGCAAACCACAAGGAAAAGCAATCAAATTGATTACATTTATTGTCTTCGAGAACTCCAGTTATAAAACTAGACCATTCCATCATTCTATTCATTGTGATACTTAAAACTGTCACTCTGGGTAGTAAAATGTGTTTTCCTTTATTATAAAGAATACAGTTTACAGTAAAATAACTGGACATTCTCACAAGAATTAGCATTGGATGCAGGTGCCATTTTTTCCTGTACTCTATGCTTGATCAAAAGGCCAAGAAGCAATCTCCTATACTCTTAATACAGGTAAGTATAGACCATATTTCAGTATTCCAAGTTTATCTATTTATCTTTTCTTTGCTTTCTATGCTGTGCTGTGTGCTGAGAACTCTGTATTAACCCCACCTGTATAAACTGTTCTACTTTCATTATCTTAGGACTTCAAGGAGTAATTGTCACTGGATATATTTTAATCTTTAAAATATTTTCTCATAACAGCATTTATTGTAATATTATCATTGAATTTATCTGCTGAATTCTAATTATCTGTTCTATTTTACACATGTTATAGTGTAGGTTAAATTTTTATCAATTACCTGAGAATTAGAAATCTCTGGTCTTTGTTACATTATCATAAATTTTCTCTAATTAGATCTCTTCTTCAAGTCGAAATTCTGGATGGAAATTCTTAATACCAGTAGTGTTAGGAAGTTGACCTATAGATAAAAATATTTTCTCTACTTACAAAACTATCATTATAGTAATATAGTACATAGTAACATGGTAATATAATGAGCTGTAATTCTAGGCTGCTTCACTGGTTTGTAAACTTAGATCAATTATCCATTATTCGCCAAAGTGTTGGGTTCCATATGATGTTGGCTATAGGGAGAAGGGGAGAGCGATGCATATGTAAGTTTGTGTGTAAATTAATATATAAATCTTGCTTATTAAAATTTTGAACTTCACAAGCTATTATTAAGACCCATTTCCTGAATTTAAGGAATACTTACACCACTACCAACATGATTTTAAGAAGGCAGTTTGTATCATTACTATTGTAGTTCATGCTATGCTTTTTGCTTTGGCGATGGATGCTGTCTCAATTTAGCTTCTTACCGTTGGTGTCTCTGTTTTCATTCTGCTTAAGATGTAGTCAATTTTATGGCATTAATGGTCTGCCCTCTGAGAGCTTACAGTAGACCCTGAGCATTTGTAAAGCAAGAAATGATGTTAGTAAAGATACTTTAATTGCGGGGAGTTCTCTGTTGGCTGGTGAATAAGGACGTTCTCTTTGAGTTCCACCTTTCTTTGAGAAATTTTCATGTTTCCTGTACTTTTCCTCTATTATATCATGGAAACTTACTAAATCAGCCTGTGCATTCCGCCCACATATTCCCTCATGGTGCCTTCCGGTCCTAGCAGCTGAGCCAGGGCCATCAATAAATCTTCTTCTTTTCCCCCAAGATATTCCTAGTTGCTTCTTTACTATTCATTCTTGTAATTCCATTCATCTGTGTGTATCATTTAGGATGCTGGGCAGTTGCATCGCATTTCACCTAAGGTCACATCCTGATGGGATTTGGTGGGATCCTAGAGCTGGCTAGGACCACTTGTGAGAGCTGATTGTTAAATTCTCCGAAATGACGTGACTCAGTTGTTAGACTGCTTAAAGGTAAAAATCAGTGGTGTACTTAGGTTTGTTTTTTTTTGTTTTGTTTTGTTTTGTTTTTATCAACATAGCTATAAATCAGGGCTTTTCCCTTGTTTTTTTTTTCTCGCAGAGTTTCAGAATACTTGCACACCACTAATTGTGAATAGTTTTCTGTTTTGATTCCCCACTTCTTGCAATCTGCCTTTTAGTGCATAGAGCAAGCACTGAGGCTTCTTTAAGGGAAGCAAATAAATGATCACTCCTAGAACACTCTATGTTATAGTGATTGTACTTTAGAAAAGGCTATTATCGGCCAGGCACGGTGGCTCACGCCTGTAATCCCAGCACTTTGGGAGGCCGAGGCGGGTGGATCATGAGGTCAGGAGATTGAGACCATCCTGGCTAACACGGTGAAACCCCGTCTCTACTAAAAATGAAAAAAAAAAAAAAAATTAACTGGGCGTGGTGGCGGGCGCCTGTAGTCCCAACTACTCGAGAGGCCGAGGCAGGAGAATGGCATGAACCTGGAAGGCGGAGCTTGCAGTGAGCTAAGATCGCGCCACTGCACTCCAGCCTGGGCAACAGAGCGAGAGTCTGTCCCTAAAGAAAAAAAAAAAGAAAACAGAAAAGGCCGTTATCACTATTTGCCAAGTTTTACATCGTATTCTTCAACCAAAGCAAAAACAAAACAAAAGCATCCTCTGAATAATGGAGATGTGTAGAAAGTACTCTGGAATGTATAAATGTATTACTATCCCATTCTTATGCTGTGGACTATTTGCTTCAGCTACCCTAGAGCATCTATCTTATGACTTGTTAGAAATTCGGGAGATAATTAAACTGAAAAAAACAATTTAAGCCATTGTTTACCCACAAAATGTTCTTGCAGGGGAACAATTTTTTAAAAATCTAATTATTTTTAGTGTTAGGAGCCATGAAATTAGTATAGTTTATTTCTTGTATATAAAACTCCTTTTAATTAAGTGCATGGATATTTAGTAGTTGGTGTGTTATTTAACGTATAAGTTTTTTCCACTGACAGTTAAATATGTCTTATTTTAATTAGTACTTTTACAACTTTTAGATATTTCTCAGAATCTGTGTATTCTAAGAATGACTTCCCTTATAAAAATTTATATTTGTCTTAAAAAATTCTTCTGAGAGTCTTGTCATCAGCTTATCTGAGAGCATTCTAACTACTATCAGTAGCTACTATTAGTAGCTCCTCTCAGTAGCTAGAATAATACCAACTAAACCTAATGTCCCATTAAAGAAGGACATTCTTTGACTTATAATCTAGAGAATTTCATTCTGACAAGCATCAATGGACTTTTTACTTTGTATCATGAGATTTTAAATCACACAAGCCAGAGTTGGCTAGATCAGTCAACAAACCAATATACCTGTTAACCAAAAGAACGTTACTGTTCATGAAAACAATCCATATTATAAAAATGCTTTAGGATTTATGTGATAATAATAGCTAGCATATATAGAATGCTGTGTGCCAGGTTTTATTCTCAGTGCTTTACACACAATCACTCACTTGAAATGGTTAACAGTGTTCTGAGGTAGCTATTATTTCAATTTTTTGAGATGAGGAGATGGAGACAAAAGAGGTGGCATAGAGGTAAAGCAAGATTTGAGCCTGCGTTGTGTGTCTGCAGGATCTATGTCCTTAGACACTATACAATGACAATAATGTTCCTTTCTTCTTCCTGAGCCTATGAAGAGTATACCAATCAAGGGCAAATGCCCTTTAACTGCCAGTCTCTGAAGCTCAATTACTTCTTTAAAAAAGGACAATAGCAATTTGGAGAAGAAAAAGCAGAACTGTCTTATTACTAGGGATAGTTCCTTCTCTTATGTAGAATATCACCAGCCCAAAAAAAAAAAAAAAATCTCCAGTAATAATCACACAAAAAAGAAAAGATGCATCTGGAATTGGATGTGCCTATATTCTTTCGAGAAATTCTCTAAGGTTTGAGGTGCATTGACTTAAAATATACTGAAAATGGGAGTCCTCATAGAGGTTTATAATTAAGAGCAATAGAAGTTTGTGTAAATATTTTATAAGTTTCTTATTATAAAAATTATAATAAATTTGATAATGTAAATTGCCTAATATTCATTTTATCATGAGGTATTTTTTTCTTAAACTTGAACATTAATTTATTCTCATAGTTACCACCTCACAGCCCCAAACATAATAAATTTTGAAAATGTATTTATAGAAAATTATCTGTGCAAGTGCTCATTTCAATCTTTACAATGAAGCAATTACTTTGCATGTATTAATTCCTGTCACATTTTTGATCTGTGCTCTAACATTGTCTTCTTGAGGAAATTATTATGTTTTATAGTTCAAATTTCTTAGATTTAGGACTTCAAAGGCCTAGGTTCTGTTCACATTTAATTTTGCTACATCAATAAAATATGAATGAATTGGCTAATAAAGCAACAAAACTATTTTATGTCATGGAATATAGGTTATCGTTTATGAAATTGCTGAATTGCCCTGGTAATTCACTGTAAGAAAACCTTCTCCTTTTTTTGCCTTGGTCCTGTTTGGACAGAAATAAAATTGGTAGCATGTGTGTTACATGGAGGATGGCAGGGTTGCGGGGGTGGTTTCTCTTTTGGGATGGCAGGTAAAGTAGATTAAATGGTATTGAAAATGCTGAGGGCCCCAGGCAGGCAGCTTGTCTGCCAAAGAGAGACACATTTACTCTGTACCTACAGCTAATCTTAATTTCTATCTTTTCTTGGTATTTAGCAATTTTACAATTTAGATGAAAGTTTGGTTATTGGTTAAAAAGAGAAAATACACCTTTTCCCCTCAAATTATATTTTTACTTCCTACAAATCTTTTAATAATGTGCATGTTTGGTCAGGGGAGGTATCAGTTGAAAGAGAGGTTTTATATGCCAAAATATAAACCTACTTCTTGAGTGTGGGAGGAAGCTTGAATATGGTTTCTACTAAAAGGAGATTAATTACATTTTAAGAAATTCCTGTAACTAGTAGCATAGCATAGAAACTGTGACCATTATTTCATCAGCACATAGTATGGGAGATTATATGTTGTAGCTATAAGAATGATATATATTAGCATTGTCCAGTAGAACTTTCTGTGATGATGAGAATGTTCTGTGTCTACCTGTCAGATACAGCAGTCAGTACCCACGTATGTTTTTCAGCATTTGAAATGTAACTAGCGCAACTGAAGAAATACATTTTTAAATTTAAGTTAATTTTAATTAATTACCTGTGAATTTAAATAGCTGCATGCTGCTAATGACTGTCAGATTGGACTGTACATATTTATATTTAAACCTGGAGTTAACGGAGGTGAAGACTGCTTAGCTTCAGGTCCTGGGTATGATGCTGAGCAGCTGAACAACCTTGAAAAGTCGTTTAACCTCCCTAAGTCTCAGTATTCTCTTCTTCAACATAGAGATAATAATAGTTCTTACCTCTAAGAGTTCTGAGATCAGGAAATAAATCAATGAGCATAAAGCTCTTAGAATTGTGCCTGGAATATAATGTATGCTCAATAAACTTTAGCCATTGCTATTCTTATTTTATAATCTTTTGTAGATATTGATGAAGTAGAAACTGAAAAAGTATGGAAATGAAATAGCTCTAAAGTAATAAAAGGAAAATGTCCTGAATGGGTATAATTTTAGGTGATCCTTGAGGAATATGTGGGATTTGGATAAATAGAAAGTAATTACAGGGTGACCATACACCCTGATTTGCTTCAGACAATCTCAATTATTCCTTGTGTCCTGGTTTAATTACTAACATCCCCCTCTTTTGCTCTCAAATTTTCCCGGTTTGTAAGATAAATATTAAGTCACTGTAGAATTAGATATAGGAGTACAGCCCAGGCGTTTCAGATGCAGGGAAGATAACATATTAAGGTATAGATGCAGATGTGACTATGGTGTGGTTTGAATGGTGAGTACTGGGAAGTAGAAGGAAACAGGGATACGTGTAGGCTGGACACATTATGGAGTTGGGATGAGAACTGGTATAAGGAAATTAGATTGGATTGTATATGCTATTTGCACTATTGTTGAATTGCTCCTGTGTCAACATAGATTCACTTTCAGAAAAGCAAAGTTCCCATTTAATTGGACAAAAATATTTGGTGTATCAAAAAAACCTGATACTATTTTGTGTTCTGATTGTATTTCCATTACTGACAGTAATTTTCGTTATACGTAATTGGGAACAAAGTGTGTTATTTCTATCATCCCTTTGCTACAAGTAACCAAATCAGTAATATGATTGGTTAATATGGAAACTAGTCAATTAAAATGGAAAATGCCTCATTATTATCTGAAGCCATGACTTTCACAACTGGAGGAAACTTTGCAAGAGTTCATTTAGTTGCAATAAAGTATTATCACTGAATATTTTATGTTGCTCTTTAAGCTACATCCATTGTAGCTTATCACTGCATATTTTATGTAGCTCTTTAAGCTACATCCATTGGTCTTCATTCTACTTAGGAGGGTGTACATTTTAAAAAAGCTAGGGGAGGCCAAGCGCGGTGTCTCATGCCTGTAATCCCAGCACTTTGGGAGGCCGAGGTGGGCGGATCACAAGGTCAGGAGATCGAGACCATCCTGGCTAACACAGTGAAACACTGTCTCCACTAAAAAATACCAAAAAAAAAAAACCCCCCAAAAAAAACAAAAAAAAAAAAACAGGCGTGGTGTCACCCGCCTGTAGTCCCAGCTAGTTGGGAGGCTGAGTCAGGAGAATCGCTTGAACCCAGGAGGCAGAGGTTGCAGTGAGCCGAGATTGTGCCATTGCACTCCAGCCTGGGCGACAGAGTGAGATTCCGTCTCAAAAAAAGCTAGGGGAATTTTAATTGTTGGCAATATTACTAATTGTAATTTTAGGGAAATAGAGTATTAGACTGTAGGAAAAACCCCGTCTCTACTAAAAATACAAAAAAAAAAATTAGCCGGGTGTGGTGGACTGCACCTATAATCCCAGCTACTCCGGAGGCTGAGACAGGGGAATTGCTTGAACCAAGGTGGTGGAGGTTGCAGTGAGCCAAGATCATGTCACTGCACTCCAGCCTGGGTGACAGAGCAAGACTCTGTCTCACAAAATAAAAAAATAAATAAAAAATAGAGATTATGGGGAAAAACTGAACTAAAATATTAGGCAAATATATCTTTCTTATTAAGTGTAAGAATGTTACTCTAAGCATAATTGTTGTACATTTCTGAAGACCTCTTTATCTCTGATTGCATTTGACATTGACATGGTTGGCTAGCCCAGAAATCTCCATAAAGAGTTTCTGGTGACCTGTTCTGGGTTTTCCCTCATTGCCTACTTATTCTAGCTCATCGTGAAAGCAGGCATTTGGGTTGATCTCTGAGGTATTCCTTGGACAAACACAGCAGATATTCCATTATGGTCACTTTCAGTATTTCTGGAGAATGCTCTGATTCTAACAATTATTGTTCATATTGTAGCTAACACTGTAATCTCCAGCTGGGGAACACATCATGGCTCATTATTCCACAAGGAACCAATCATTATCAATATTGGAGTCCTAGCATTTTGGGTTATTTTCAAGGTATACACTTGACTTTTTAAACTAATTCCATAAGCACTGCAATGTCTGAAGTATATGTTAATTTTGTTTGTTTGTATTTAAAGAGATAAAAAATTAGTCAAATTAAAAGAAGAATTGGGCAAAGACCAGATGTCACTGCCATTTGAAAAACTGATAATCTTTATAAAACTCCATTGATGTCATTTATAGCACCACTTTTTGCTAGCTTATAAATTTATTAATCAAATTTGTTTATAGGTGCTTGAACTGAACAATAACTAGTTTATTTGTGTTTCCAAGTACCATGAATTTTAAAATGTCATTTAATATCTAAGCCTCTGAATAGAATTCAATGACTTTAAATTAAACCTATTTGTAAATAGCACAGAGCAATGTGTGATTATGCAATCTGCTGAGGTTTTCAAAAACTAACATTTAGAGCAAAAGTGAATCTCATTCTAACAGAATTTTAATAAAAACTCAGTAGTGATTTGTAAATGCTTTGAAACCAATTAGCCATCCCATCCACAATGATTGTTTCATCACAGCTTAGTTCTTAATGAAAATGGCAAACCACGGTTCTAATGACATAATTTCATTTCAAGAATAGTGGCTTTCATGTTTAAAAAATAATTGGCTCTTTAGCACCCCCTTCAAGGTGAATTACTCCAACTAGAACTGAGAAGGCAACGCTCATATTGTGGGTCTGCCTTGTGATGATGATAATGACAATGGTAATGATGAGAAAACAAAGAATTACTGAATATTGGCTCTGTGCCAGGCCCTGTGCTAAACATTTGACACATAATTTATACATTTTAGCTTCACAACACTCCAATGAAGTGAAATAATCATAATTCCTCTTTCACTCATGACAAGAGGTTTAAGTGCCTAGTTAGTGGTGGAGCTGGATTCATAGTGGGTAATCTGGAGCTCTTAAGCACCATGTTACCACTGTTGACAGCAGCTATTACCTAGGCCAGTTGATAGAGAATATTCAAATGATTGCCTTTCATGAGGAGTTTTGTCTTTTATTGCTTATTTCCATATCTAGCTTTGGGTAGGAAAAGAGAAGTAGGACAGATTTTCACCAAACTGTTACAAAAGACATAATTGAAACAATTGTTTACTATGCTTGTATTCTAGATAATGGAGAGGCAATTGCCTAGCATAAAATTGCAAAGCCATAATGTATGTGGTTCATGAAACCATGGCTGTAATTGCATGGCTTGCCTTAGATATTAATTTAGCTGCATTTGTTATTACTTGCACAGAGAGTATTCATATTCACCCTCATTTAAGGCTATTATAGACACACTAGTGACTACCACAGTTCTTATCGTGTCCACTCTCTCACGTTGTGTTCACACTAGAGGAGAGGTCTGAAGAATAAAGGTTATGTGGAAATTACACTATCAAGGAGATGAATCCAACAGCCTGCAGCAGTGTTATCCAGCGAGCAATGGATTACATGTGTACGTGCAAGCTAAATAATGTATGATTTAAGACAATAAGGTAGTATGTATTCATTTTTGGATAGTAAAAGAGATGGCATGTCAGTCCCTTGGGAGATTTTATCCAGGGCTTTACCCTTGAGTGGATAAAAAGAGTACAAATTCTATTGCATAGGAGGTGAATAAAAACAAACTGGGGAGACCATCAGCAGAACAGACTGCTGTGTGATGGAGTCCAGAGCTACTCCAAAACCACCAGACCAACTGCCTCAGGATCCTGCCAGCAACCAGATGCCGGCAATAGAACTGACTGCAGTTTGGCATCAGGGCTCTGTGATTTCCAGCCAAGGGGAATTGCATGCAAAAAATATTTAAAATTCTCTTTGTAAAGAATTATGTTTTCAATCAGAAGGAGAAGTATGTTTCAGACTTAGTCTGCTGCAAATGAAATGTGGCATACTGACATCTTGGTTACAGATGGTGGAACTGCGTATGTTGGAGGGGGTGAATGCCATGCGAAGTTGAACTTTGGTTTGGTGGTAAGGTTTTGTTTACGGTTTTTTTAGGCCATTGAGTTAGTATCATTCTGTGAGGGGTACTGTACTGGCCTTTCAAGAAGATGGTCTGGATCTACTTAAAATAGTGATTCTCAACTGGAAGAGATTTCCCAACCCTACAGGGGGACATTTGGCAGTATCTGGAGATATTTTTGGTTGTCACAACTTTGGGAGAGGGCAGTGCAACTAGCATCTAGTAGGGAGAGGACAGGAATGCTATAAACTATGCTACCATGCACAGGACAGCTCCCTAAAACAGAGAATTATCTTGTCCAAAATGTGAGTGGTGCCAAAGTATGGAACTAAGGTTTAAAATTATCTGGCTCATATATATTCACTACAACCCCGCCTGCAGACAAGTGTTCATCAAATATAGTTTGATAGTGTATAAAAAAATTGTTAAATAATTTGCTTTACTCTATTGATGTGTGAGCAACATTTATTGAATGTCCCAAATGCTTTCTGTTAAAAAAAAAAAAAAAGAAGAAAACACAACTAACCTTTCTCCAAACCTACATACCCAAACCACAGATTTTACAAATGTAGGAGGACCCAGTTGATTCACTTTTCAAACTTGAAAAATGAGGTATATGAACAAAGCACACTAAATGAATCAGCTGTTTAGGAAGATCTACAAGCCAGTTCATTTTCCTGTTATTAAATAACAAACCATGAATCTTGACAAATGAACCCACTTGTTTGACAGTATTTGAAAAACTCATAACATGCTTGGTTCTGATGGTCACTTCCCCTTTGAAATTACATTTTAAGATGGACTTCATTTAAATTCTGATAGAGAAAAAGAGCCTTTTAACCTTCATTTTGACTGTCTGCTGTTTATCATCA
This sequence comes from Homo sapiens, assembly GCF_000001405.40. Taxonomy (NCBI): domain Eukaryota; kingdom Metazoa; phylum Chordata; class Mammalia; order Primates; family Hominidae; genus Homo; species Homo sapiens. Next base: position 29,428,953 of record NC_000003.12, read on the forward strand.
TCATTCTTTCCCTCCTGCTGATACTTAGATGCTCCAGAGCTTTTGCCAGAGCATCATCCTCCAGTGTTTACTTCAAGGAAGTGTTTATGTTTATTGGTGTCCATATAATTAAGAGCTAAAGTTCTGCAGTGTTGTGGGAGACTGCGTGGCTTCTGGAGTCAGAGTCCCTGGCCTCAAGTTGGGCTCCAGCTGTGTGACCTTGAGAAGGTCATTTACCCTTTTTGTGCCTCAGTTTCCTCATTTGTAAAATGAGAAGAATATTATTTGCCTCATTGTGCTGTTGTGAAGATAGCATATAAAATGCTTAGCAAGCACAAACGGATGCTACCTATAATTATTAGGATTACTATTTTAGGAATAGCATGTTTCACAATGGATGCCAATTCATCTTATTTCATTTCCTAAAGAGGACATTGGCACTGATCCTCTGAGATAGCATCCCTAATGTGTGGCTGAAGGGCTTTAGACCCTATTCCATAATCCCTAACAGAACCTTCCAGCAAAGCTACAATGACTAAACATCTAAGAAAAATCTGCATACTAACCAAGCATATGCAGCTGCAAGAGAAATCCTCTATCTCTCTTCTTCAATCAGAGTGTCATCCAAAATCCCCTTCTGAATGTGCCATTTCCACCGCTTCTAAGCTGACACTGCAAATTCATAGCAACCCCTTGCCCTGTTATAGCACAGTGTTACAGTGTTCAGTAACCCCAGACCGTAAGTACTCTCTCCTCCTAAATAGGATTTATAAAGTGTGACTTTGAGCAATGTAGCAAAGTCAATTTTATCTGCAGGAAAATATTTTTCTTTACTAACATTTTAAAATCCCTTCCTCAGTGCTCCAAAATGATTTAAAAGCTAATCAATGATAAAATCCCAAATCCCTCTAAAGACAAAGAATTGAGAAAGGAAGCAGAGCCACTTTAATCAGTAAAGGGGCTGCTGTGACCCATTAACCCCTAGAGATTATTGACACTTCTTTTATTTATTTATTTATTTATTTATTTATTTTTTAAGATTCTGTAGTTTGGTCATATGTCTTTGGCAGCAAGAACATACAAAATCGCTTTTGCTTTTCACAAATTAATTCATTTAGGCCTGTGCATTTGTCAGGCATTCCGGGAACTTTCTGCCAACATTTTGTTGATTAAAGGATGTGTATTTGGAATATGGGTGGAGAGGAAGGAATTTATAATTCTTAAAACCAAAGAATGATTTATAATGCTGACCGCTACCTGAATCAATCAGTGCATCATCAACAGATAAATGAAATACTAAAGATAAGGAAGAGTTCCTACACTGGGTGTTAAAATCTGTGGATTGATTGGTTCAATAACACCGAGAAAATCGACCGCTTTCAGCAGAATTTCTAGAATTTACGAACAAGGATATGACAAAGAAAACCGCCTTTTTGTATTTTGTTCAGAAAGCTTCTGAAATACATTCTTTCTTCACAAGTCTGGTGCTTCCACTCCTAATTATAAATTACATATCTCACTTCAGTGCACACAAGTTCCTGATCCTCATCCCAACTTCGGTTGGCTTTTGACTATTTTGTTAATTTTTTTCCCTGTGAATTTGTTGGGCCTTTTGGAGGACACGTTTATTGCTTTAGGCATCATGCAATTTACTAAATGGTGTTCTGGTTATGGAAATGCTTACAAAGAGCCCTAGGGGGGAAAAGAATTAAGTAAACACATATTGATCATCCTGTAGCTGGTGCTTTCTTATTTGATTAGTCAAGGACTCAGTCTGAACTGGTCCTTCTAATCTGTGATACATAAAGCTGGAGACATTTTTCTGGCTCCCTGGTGGTTTTAAAGGCTAAACAAAGTCTCATTTTTGAAAAAGCCTGAATGCAGAATGGAATTCAAAGAATTTGGAGAGAGGGGAGGTGAAAGTGGTAGCAAACAGCTTTAAAAAGGCCCTGGGAATTTTAAGAGAGTAAGGCATATAAGGGAAGTAAAGAGAAATCTCATCTGACCCATTATGAGATACACCAGGAAGCCACCTCGGCAAGCATGTACTGAACACCTACTGTGTGCAGGACTTGTAAAAGAGGTAGAGCTTAAGTTTTGTGAGGATTCCAAGAAGCTAAACAGAATACTTTATGTCAGGAAATAAGTCATAGTTTTTGATGCTAGCTAAGAAACTTGAGCTTTCTGTAGATATTAAATTTCAAAAGGCAATGAATATATTCTATTTAATCCAAATACCAGGAAAAGAAGGTTTTATCCTGTATAATTCATTTTAAAATTCATTTTAAAATTCTATGTGAAAAATGTTGATACTAAAGCAATACTAAAGAATAGTTGAGAAAAATGTTTCTTTCTTTCTTTTTCCTTTTCTTTTTTTTTTTTGACAGAGTCTCACTCTGTCGCCTGGCTGGAGTACAGTGGCGCAATCTCGGCTCACTGCAACCTCTGACTCTCGGGTTCAAGTGATTCTTCTGCCTCAGCCTCCTGAGTAGCTGGGATTATAGGCACATACCACCATGCCCAGCTAATTTTTGTATTTTTAGTAGAGATGGGGTTTCACTATGTTGGCCAGGATGGTCTTGATCTCCCGACCTTGTGATCCGCCCTCCTCAGCCTCCCAAACTGCTGGGACTACAGGCGTGAGCCACCGCGCCCAGCCAAAAAACGTTTATTTCAAAGAAGAAATCTGGAGGCTCTGGGTTTTGCTCCTGTCATGTCTATTCTTTCACTTGTGCATTTCTCAACTGTTGGTCAATGTGTGTTTGCGTTGCACAATTTTCTTTCTTTGTTATTTTTACTTTTTATTTTTTCTGAGACTGGGTCTTGCTCTGTTGCCCAGGCTAGAGTGCAGTGGCGCCATCATGGCTCACTGCAGCCTCAGCCTCTAGGGTTCAAGTGAACCTCCCACCTCGGCCTCCTGGATAGCAGAGACCACAGGCACATGGTACCACACCCAGCTAATTTTTGTGTATTTTTTATAGAGATGGGGTTTTGCCATGTTGTCCAGACTGGTCTCGAGCTCCTGGGCTCAAGCAGTCCACCCATCTCAGCCTCCCAAAGTGCTAGGATTACAGGCGTGAACCATAGTGCCCAGTCTGGACAATTTTCTTATTCCCAACCTACCCTGCCTTCCCAAAAATAAGGGGCATAAAAGGTGAAACATGATAGAAAGCTTGAAGCTCGCTGCATATGAGATGGTACAGTCTCTGGCTGAGGGAAACAATGGGAATTCAGAGAAAAGGAGGTTTCCAGGAGGCTGTTTGAGATTTTGGTGGCTGACTGTATTCTGAGATTTAGAATTAAGAAGCAGATAAAGCTAACACCAAGTTTTCTAGCATGGAGACTGGCAGAACAACAGCAACATTGAAAGATATGGGGTAATTGTATTGGGTGGCTGGTGTGGGGAATTGGGAATGAGAGAATAGGTGCAATGGGTTGCATGTGATATACTGAATCTAAAGCACATTGTCTTATAGACAGTGGGAAATAGGGACTGACCAAATTTAAAATCCTGGAAGGTGTAAAACAGATTACTATTGCAAGAAATGAAGCTGGGTACTGCTAAAACTTGGCCTTCTTTCTCTAAATGCTAAGTGCTGTCTTTATTCCATTTTTTATTATATATATAGTAACCTAAATATTTCTCAAGCACCTACTGTATATCAGGCACTAGGCTACATACATGACATACTCATGTATGGTTTGACACATTCCCTGCTCTCAGGAAACACAGATTACTGTTAGAGGCAGGCATTAAATAAGCCAAAAATAATTAAATAAGACCCAATACACTGAAAGCTGTGAAGGAAAATACCAGAGTGTTGTAGGATGATACTTAATTTGAAATCAGAAGGATGGATTAGAGCCAGCCGAGTAGAGTGGGGCTGAGAATGGGAAGGGTGAAAAGTTGGGAGTACCACAGTGTCTGGTCTAAGAAGTGATTGGAGAAAAAGTCTGATAAAAAATCATGTGGAGCTTTCAGGACTTTGTAATAAGTTTGGTGGGAAGCCACTGCAGGATTCTACATACAAAGTTTAGCTGTCTGTGATTAAGGCCACAGTCAGTTCTATTTCCAGGACATCTCATTATTTACCCAGACCCACTAGGCCTGTCAATTTGGTCAGCAGCAGAAGTTTTGGGATGAAAAGACATACTATTTTCATGTTGAATATGTTTCTTGAGGTTTTTTTTTTTAGAATGAAACTGTAGAGACACAAAGTACATTTTTTTCCCTCAGATTATATTATTCCTTACCTTTATGCCATGGCACAAAATGTATTATAGTTTGACCTCATCTGAATACTTACTTGCTAATGTGCCAAAAATGTGCTGTTTGACAAAGACATACCTCCCAAATCTGATAAAATAGCTAAAGACTCTTCATCTTCAGATGAGAACCCAGCCCAAAGTTTCCCCACTGGAATCTTGATGAATGTGCTTATTTTGTTTTTGGGTAGCATTTGGGGTCACAACTGAGAAAATCTGGGACAGTTATATAGGTTGATATTACTACAAGACAGATACAAACCATGAATATTCATATTATTGTTATTTTTGCTAATATTGTACACTTATTAATTTCTAGGAACCATTTTGTTTGCATTAACTCAACTTTTTGAAAAAATCTTCTAACTTAAGAGAGTACCGTTATTATCTCCTTCGTATTAATGAGAATGCTGCTTCTCAGAGAGGTTAAGGCACCACTTAAAGGTCACATAGCCAGTAAGAGGCACAGCAGGGACTCAACCCTAGACAGTCAGTGTTAGTTGAGAACTTTTGAAGATATGCCTGTATAAAAAAAGAAGCATAATTAGTAAATATATATCTATGAATTCTGGTATGTATAATTTTAAAAACCCTCACATTGTTTATTGCAATTTTCTGGGAGTCATTTTATCATTTTAATTTTGCCATATAATAATGTAATGAATTAAAACAGCGGTTCTCCCAGGGGGAGATTCCTACCAGCACCAGGGAGCATTTGGCAATGTCTGGGAATATTTTTTGGTGATCACATCTGGGGAATGGGCATTACTAGAATCTGGGAGATAGAGGCTAAGGATGCTACTAAACATCCTACAGTGAACAAGGACAGTGCCCACAACAAATAATTATCCTGTCCAGATGGTTTATAGTGCCTAGGTTGGGATCCTGGATTAGAGTAATTTAAAGAGGATCTTGAAGGTAAGGAAAGAATGGTAGCTCCATCTTGCAAACAAGGAACATTCAATGTAAAGAAACGATTTTGGGAATATGAGAAAGAGCTAAGATGGTTTCATTCATTCAGTCATTCATAGAATCACTATTTATAGGAATGATTTCTTTGTATCAGGAATTATGCTGAACAGTAATGTTGAGGAAAACAATAGGAGGGAGTTTCTTTGGAGAAAAGGAGGGAACAAGGTAATAGAGGGAAACCAAAGATGCTTGGGTATTAAAGGTAAGCTAGGGTCAGAGTTTATTGCCAAAAGTGACTGTTTTATTTTATTAGGGAAGAAGATATGCTACTTTACCAATCTAAGGAGAGTCACTATAGTCAGAGACAAGTTCAAATGCCATATGCTACTGCCAGGAGCACCTGATAACTGTTTTTTGTCCCTTTTATGGCTGACTTATGCTGATCTGAATGGAGGGCCAGGGCGGGGGACGATATTCTTGAATGCAACAGAGAGTAGTGATATAAATGTGTGTGTGTATGTACGTGTGTGTATTGGAGAAGACGCATAGCTTACATTGATTTCAAGTTGTGCTGCTGGCCTGTGAATAGGTGCTGGCTTTTGTTTTTCCAGTAACAGCTTTTTCTGTTTCCAGCAGTCCTATGCACCAGCTCCCCACCCCATGGCTCCTCCCAGCCCCAGCACAAACAGCAGCAGCAACAACAGCAGCAACAACAGCAGCGGGGAACAGTTGAGTAAAACCAACCTGTACATTCGAGGCCTCCCACCAGGCACCACTGACCAGGACCTAATCAAGCTGTGCCAACCGTAAGTGTCCTTCTGCTGCCCGTGCTGTTTCTCACTCCCATACTTGCCTTGGTGGGCAGGATGTGTTATTTCAGTCAATGTACTCATCCACTGGTGTCTCAGTGAGGAAGACTCTTCTTTACAAACAGGACTTAAATTTGAGATTCAATGCTAGTTTATTTTGGGGAGTGGAATTGGTTTACTTTTTGTTGTTGAGTGGAAGTTCTTGAGCACATATACATGGAAATGCTGGCTGATTCATAGATATATGACCTGCAAGATGAAGATCAAGTAATAGAGTTACACTCTCAAACCATGTGGCCAGTGGAGTCATTGATGAGTCTCATGAAATAAACGATTTTCTTGAGAAGTATTAGTGAAAGGAATCTCAAAAACTCAGAAGCGGTGGATTTCAGGATTACCTCTTGTGTTACAAAGCTTTTCTGGCCAGTGCTTGGTAAATGTCCGTTCAGCCAGGACCATGTATTTGGAGAAGCATAAGACTAATCCTCTAGTTTCTTTGAAAACATCTGCTGCCTAGTCCAGTGAAGCTATCTCCCACCAAGGCCAAGGACCACACTCACTAAGTAGTTTTATATTTGCTTGGAAGCTTGGAAATGATTAAATCCTCTTCAAAAATGTTTTCATGAATCTACTATCTACCAACACTTATGTCATTAATTCTCTTATTTCTGTGCAAATAAAAACATATTTAAGTTCACCTTCCCATAAAATTAATAATGAATTAAGAATCATAGACCTGGCCGGGCACAGTGGCTCACGCCTGTAGATCCCAGCACTTTGGGAGGCTGAGGCAGGCGGATCACAAGGTCAGGAGATCGAGACCTGACTAACACGGTCTGGCTAACACGGTGAAACCCCATCCTGGCTAACACGGTGAAACCCCATCTCTACTGAAAATACAAAAAAATTAGACGGGCATGGTGGCGGGCGCCTGTAGTCCGAGCTACTCAGGAGGCTGAGGCAGGAGAATGGCGTGAACCAGGAGGCGGAGTTTGCAGTGAGCCGAGATCACGCCACTGCACTCCAGCTTGGGCAACAGAGCGAGACTCCGTCTCAAAAAAAAAAAAGAAGACGAATCGTAGACCTGTATTTTTTGGTTAGTATCTGATTATTTTCAAAATAATATTAGAACATATATTTGTCATTTGATTGTGACTTAGCTGTGTATTTTTAAATTTTAAAAAACTATTACTCAATTGTTATTTTTCTCTTTTGCAATGCTTTTTAAAAAGCCATGAGGATATTTATTTTGTAAATGTTCTGACCTCTAAAATATTGAAAGAGGAAAACAAAGCAGAAAATATTTATTTGCCTTTGTCCTAGATTTTAAGATTGGGAATACATATCAACACAACAGAAAGTGGCAGATAAACCAAAATACAAATACATAACTGTCTAATTGTTTGACAAAACAGTAGGTACATTAGGGTTGGAGTCCCCTGTTGCTACTGAGTGCCTTGATTTGTGAAAAAGGCAAGGCGGAACCTTGAAAGATAAATATATATATTTTTAAATTTGTTCAAAAAATGTTAAATGTGCCAAAGCTCAGACATACAAATATACGTTAGATTTTGGCCCATAGAATATTGAGGTTGAGAATCAGAAGATAAATAACTCAACTTTTTCTTTTGTTGTTTAAAAAATCTAAACTCTATTTTGAAAAGCAAGGTCTTTGAAAATGTGAAACATTGTAGACTTTATGATAGAAGGTTCAGGTGAAGTAAAAAGAAAAATAGCTATTGTTCTTAATTTATATTTGAAACTCATTTATTTTTAAGGGTAGCTATTAGGGAAAGGTTCTTTCTTACTGGTCTTTACCACTTGTAGAGCCTGTTGACACACAGATGTCTGGGCCCAAGGAATTATGATTCACTAGGTCTGGGGTAGAGCCCAAGAATATGTATTTCAAACAGGATCTTTAGTGTTGTTGATCTTTTGTGAAGCACTTCTCTCAACAGTCTTGAAGAACACCAACTATTTCTATTGTATAAAGTTTCACTAATTGATGAGGGTAGTTGAGATGGAATTTTGAGTGTTAAAACCTGTTCAACCACTGTGTAATCTTGAGGCATATCACTTCCTCCCTCTAAGCCTCAGTTTCCTCTTTCTTAAAAGACTGGGTTGGTTTTTATTATTTCTGTGTTTACTTGTAGTATCAGCAGTGTGCTGGAGCTGGCTCTGACTAACACACTTGAGCCAATTGTTACATATTCAAGAATTTTGTTAGCAATCTGTTACAGACTTGGTAGCATGAAATTGGCCCTTGTGGGAGTATTTATAACACAGGAATCAGCACATCCTGCAAATCAGAGCTTTTTAAAATTTTATTTTATTGAAAAGCTGCTGTATGAACACACCACTGATGTAGCATCATACTATGAATTGCTGTGTCAATATCCATTTCTGCATAGAATTGCCAGAATTTTGTAAATGGAAATTATTACTTAAAAGCCTATATTGCCATTTTTAACTCAGAGATGTGGTAACACAGAAACATTGTTGAGGGAATAAGTTTTGTTAATGTTTTTTATGTGCATTTGATAAAGAATATTAAGTGAACAGAGGATAATAGTTACTTGTTCATATTAATATTTGTCAGCTAATAAGATCTGGCCCATTTATTGTTATTGTAAAAGTGTTTGTGGGTTCTCCTGTTACAGCAGTGATCTAGAACTGGGATTTATTGCTTAGATTATTTTTCCTAGAGAATCTTAAAGAACTGATGTGATTGGGCAACATAATGTAGTGGAAATAACTGTGCACTAAGAGATCTGTCTTTCAATCTTGGCTATGCTATCAACTGAGTCTTTGGCCTTAGAGTAATGACTTTTTGCCTCTTAACGTTGGTTTCCCCCATATACAAAATAATGGATTTGAACTCAACAATCTTTTATGTTTTCTTCATTCTAAAATTTTGATATTTGATTGAAGACCTCATTATTTATCTGCCAGACTTACTCAAGATTACCTTTTGTATCTTTCTCCAATCCCCTCGTGCAGTGTTGGCAGGGGCACAGTCAGAATTTATTCAGCTTCATGGGTATGACCTGATGGCTGAAAAAACCTTTGGTAAGAGACCAATGCAGGTCATTTGTAAAACCTTGCTTGTTTCTCTCTCTCTCTCTCTCTCTCTCTCTCTCTCTCGTAGTGTTGGCCTCTCACAGTGCTTGTTACCATTTTACATTAACAGTCTTCTAAAGATTAAAATCACTTTCCATTCCTGTACCTCATCTCACACTTTAAAATAATTTCACTCACACAACAGATAATTTTAGTAGATTTAAATGAACTTGCCATCAAGATTCATTTTCCATATTTATTTCTATGAAATTATAAGCACTTTTAGAGTTAATATTCCTTATAGGAAATGCAATATTTGCTAATATCCATTGTAATAAAATAATAGAAAACAGATACACAAAACAGCATATTGTCTTTTTTTAAAAAGGCATAGACATATTGGATTTTCTGGTATTAGTATATTATATCCATGTTAATGCTAATGAACGGTAAGAAAATTGTATTAAAGAAAAAGAAATTGCATTATTTCTAAATATATAATCTGAGAGCAAATTCTTATTGAGGAATTCTATTCACATTCATCATCAAAACTTCTATGTTCAGATCACAAGTAAAATCAAAGAAAAGAAGATAAGACTGAAGAACAATAAATATAAAGAATGATTTTACTCTATGGAAAAATCTAGTTGTACCTATGTTTTGGATGAATACATTATACTGTGCGTAGCGTAGAAAATAGTATAGTTAAAAACCTTGTAATGTCTTTTTCTTGAGACACCTTAAGGAACTTTATTTTGTTCTCAATCAAGAAATATTTACAGATTATATCCTGCATGCCTGTGGTGAGGAGTCAGTGGTGAGTAAATTTAGATAAAGGAGAAATATTATATTCTACTAGGGAAAATGGGCATCAATTAAATATATGATCTGATAAAAAATTGCAACTGTAAGTGCAAAAGAGAGAGGAGCATGATACTAACAGATTTTTTAGCACAAGATTAGACCTAGTTAGGGCGATTAGCAAAGGTATCTCTGAGGAAGTGACAATTGAGCTAAGATTAGAAGGATAAATAGATTTAACTAATCTAGAAAAAAGTGGAAGAGCAGCCAGGTAAAGGAAACATTGTGTGCAGAGCCAAGGGCTGGAGGGGGCATGCCAAGGACAAAGGGCTAAGAAAAAGCCACGTGACTATAGCAGAGAGAAAGAGGTAAAGTGTGGGGCAAAATGAGCTAGAAAACACGAAAGGACAAGATGATTCCTTTGGAGATGATGTTAGAAGCTTGATTTATCTTAAGAACAATGGAGGAAATCATTGAATTGTCATAAACAGGAAGTTCGCATAGCTATATTTTTGTTTCAAATAGGTAACTCCAGCTGCAGAGTACGGAGAAGTGATCCTCTGAGATCAAGGAACAATTAGAGTAGGAATAGTTGAAAAGCTGAAAGAAGAATGCTTTTTGTTCAGAGAAGAGGGTGTGAGAAGTAATATTAGTGGTGGTAGAAAAATTATGTGTGGTGAAAGATTTTGTCATATGCATTCTTTTTTCCGTTAAAAAGCAGGGACATGGGAACAATTAACCAAATGAACTTCAAAAGAAACAGCAAAGTAGCACAGAATAGAACCCAAATGAGTTGATTTTTAGTTAATCTCTTTTTATTTATTTATTTATTTTTATTATTATTATACTTTAAGTTTTAGGGTACATGTGCACAATGTGCAGGTTAGTTACACATGCATACATGTGCCATGCTGGTGTGCTGCACCCATTAACTCGTCATTTAGCATTAGGTATATCTCCTAATGCTATCCCTCCCCCCTTTTTCTTACCCAGTCTTGAACGGGTCATCAATATACTGTTAAACAATTAAATGGCTGTAATATTAAAAGCACTAAAGGCAATGTAATAAAAACTAGGAATCCAACTGATTATACAGATTTACTCATGGATGGATGATCAGTTGAAGACTACTGACAGAACACTTGGATCATATATATCCTTTATGCTTATCTCAGGAAGACCAGACGGAAGTCGGAGAAGATAGATTTGGTTTAAGAAAGAGAGAGAGAGCATTGTAACTTTTTTGAGCCAGATAAAATATTTGTAGTGTAATGATTTTTTACATATAAGTTATATTTTGTCCTTCCAAGAAATTGGTAACTTCTATTTTATGATTCTGAATATGCCCTGGAAACACATTTAAATTGTTCCTAAAAAATAAAATCAAACGTGCATCATAATGGGTAGCATTTACAATGGAAAAAAATCATTATTGTATTTATATTTTCCACATCTACAACATATTTTATCTAACCATTTTGTGGCTTATAAATTTGATTTAATACAATGTTCTCAGGAAGCCCCAGCCAATTGCCCCCACTTTCCTGTGATTGACTGCTATGGAGTTAATTAAAATATTGTGAAGGAACAGAGTGCATTGTTTTTCTATTATAAAGTAAACATGCCGCTGCTAAGGCCACTTGAAACAGAATGCAGGAAAATAGAGGGAAACTCTTGGGTAGGTACATACATATTTCCAGTCCTTACCAGAAGAGCAGGAAAGTCAACTGCCCTGCCCCCACACTTTTCTCCGTAAATGTTTTCTTTGCTCAAGTCATGACACCCTAGCATTTCCCCCTTTAAAATGAAACTCTGAATGTCACTTTAACATTTAAAAAGAGAGGGGAAACACCCACAATGAAAAGCCAGAGGAACGAAATAGAAGTGTTTGCGCTGGAGAGCCGAAGGGTCTGCCCAAGCTAATCTCCCGGACTTTTACACAACCCTGTTGGATGTCTCATTATAGTGCGTGCTGAACGCTGAATAGTAAGAGCCAGACTCAAGTGCCATCCAGGCTCCGAGCGCAGAGTCCATTATACATGGTGTCAGACAGTTTTGACAAATGCACCGACACAATCAAACCTTTTATCAGTTTAAAAGTAACCTTGTCACAATAATCTGTCAGACTGTTCAGATACAACTAAAGGAAAACAAGTCATCATGCACTCCAGGGTAAACAAGTAAATAAGAAAAATGTGACTGGAAATTTTTAGAGTTCTTTCTTACTGTGTCATTGAAGATTTAAAAGTTTCCTCTAATAAGACCCTAGGAAATTTATTAGTAGCTGTCTTCTGCAAGTCAGACTCAAATTACGCAGCTGCTTTTGAGATGTCATAAATCTATGTGGTGGCAGGTGTGAGCAGGAAGTGAATACTGGAATCTTTAAACCCTGCCTTTGTGTATTTTAAATGAGAGAGTGCTTTAAAGACCCAAAACACGATGTTGGAATTCCTTGATTCAGCAGAGATTTGACAATGGGTTACGTATATTCATTCAGATTTGGGCAAAATTATGTTTGCCAAGCATCTGCTGTAAACTAGACATAGTATTTGATTAGTACTAAATAATTGTCATTAATAATAGGTTGTTATATTTATATATTTACATTAACACAGTTATTGTATATTACATGCCTCATACTCTACTAAGTTTTTAAATTATTTAATGTTCAAAACTTCCCTATGAAGTGGGAATAATACTTTCTTTAAACTGATACTCAAAAGGGTTAAGAAACTTGTTCAAATTTATGCAGCCACCATAGCCACCAGGATTCAAAATCTGGATCTGACTTCAAAGCCGATATTCGTAATCACTGAAACATTCATATAATGAGAATAAGGGTGGCATAAATCATAGGTTCTCAGTTCCATGACTACTCGTGAGAATCCCTTAGGGACCTTCAGAAAATAGGTTTGGACCTCAAGTGTTCTGATTTAACCAGTATGGGTCAACCTGGATTTTGGGATTTTTTAAAGCCTGCTCAGATAATTCTAGTATGTAGCAAAGATTGAGAACTTTTAGACTTAATGATGCTCACACAAATCGGAAAACATAATTTAATCCCCTGTTTTAGCTCTCTTACTCTGACTTTCATAGGCTCTAGCAATTTCATGGGACCTACCACTGTGCTTTCAATTATCCAGAAGTATTAAAAATGAATATTATTGTGAAAATTTGGGGATGAATTTGATTTTCTGATAACAAACTGACATTTTAGATTAGGCACATGGATAATAAAGCCCTGGAATATGCCTCTAGAAGTGTTTTCAAGGATGTCCTTGGAAGAATCTTACTTTCCTGCTTTATATAATTTCCAAAAGTCAAACATTTATTCAACATTCTACTTTTTAATAATGTTTGCATTTAATTGATGATTAAGCAAGAAACTCTTCCTATTTTGACTCATATGATTAAATTTCTATATATACTTACATTTTTTTGCCGACTATAGTTTAGTGAACAAAAGTCCAGTGAGTCTTAAAAAATAATTTACATCTCCTAGTGTTTTGGGGGCATCCTAGAAATTATTGTCCCACTGATTCATTGATCACTCATTTATTATTGTTTTTATTACTTTGAAGAATTTTCTGCTGAATGTTTACATATCTCATGATCAATTTAAAAATATACTTAAATTCCTGATAGCCGATGATATTTTTCCATATCTATCTTTGGAACAGAGAAGAGAAAAATAAAAATAAAAAAATCATTGAGAGGACCAATTGACTTAGTTTACGATCTTGATGGTAGCACAAAAAAGATGGAGATGTAAAAAGATGTGATCAACTCTTTCTGGATGTGCTGAGTAAACATCTGGAGCTCAGAGAGGTGGAATTCTAGGCAGATCTCATGCTGAATGCCTGAAAATTTGAGGGACTTGAGTTTTAAGGGCGGGACTCTGGCAAGTTCAGATGGCATCCTGGTTTTCTATTTGTCCAGTGATTTTTTAATTGATAAATACAGCTGACCCTTTTTAGTCCTTATTTTAATTAAGCTCTCTGTTACTTGACCCTGTTGACCCCTCCTTTCTTCTCCTATGGATGGTAAATTCCTTTTGCCTGGATTTCCTCTTACCTTTTGGAGATTATTCTTTCTACTTTCTCTTCTTCTACCTGTCTCTTGAATATTTTGGAGTTTTCTGGAGATTGGACCCCTCTTTTCACTCTATAAACTGTCTGCTCTTTATTACACAAACAACATCAGCTATTCTAATGACTAATAATTCTATATTGTCCACCATCAACTATTTGTTTAGTTCTGGATCCATATCTCATTATTCCCTAGACAATTCCAGTTTTGTAACCCAAGAGCTATCAAATTCATTGTCCAAAGAGGGTTATTCTTGGACTTATCCCTTCTTTAAGGGATCCCACTATTCTCTATGTGAATAGTGGTCCAAATAAAAAATCTTGGGGTAACTCTTTTCCCCAGTCTAGAATCAATTTCCAAGACCTCAACTGTTTGATATTTATGATACCCAATAGCTCGTCTGCTTCAGTACTGCCATGGTCTTTTTACTCATTTATTCAAACGTACTTATTGATTGTCATCTGTGTACCAAGCACTGCAGATATCTTAAGGATTGGTAAGTTTTTCCATATAATTTGCATTCTAATGGATAAAAATGATATATGAATAAATAATTAAAAAACATTAGAATATGTAAATGTCATGAAAAGCAGGTTGTAAGTAATGACTAGGAGGTTACTCTAGACTATGTGTTCTCTTTAATGTGAGACTTCATTTGCAGGAAGGAGTCAGGCAGATAATATTCAGAAATAATGCATTACAGACATATGTAAGAATTTGGCCAAAGCTTGAAGAAAGAAATGAGCTTGTTGTATACAAGGAACGTAAGAAAGGTTATGTATTCTTCTGCAAAGAATAGATTTTAGAGGAGTACAAGAGAAGAAGCAAGAAGACGAGCAAGGAGGCTTTTGTGGAAGTACAGGAAGGAGGTGGTGATGGCTTGGAATAAGATCACAATGGTAGAGGAGGTTAAGTGGGATGAATTTGGAATATATTTTGGAGATAGTTTTGATAGCATTTACTCATGAATGGCATATGACAAAAGGGTTAAGAGAAAGAGAAATTAGGGATAACGCCTTAACTCTTAGCTTGAGCATCTTGAGGGATGACTCCTTAACTCTTAGCTGGAGCGAATATGGAGCCATTTCAGAAAATGAAAAGGATTGTGGAAAGTGCAACTTTGGGTGGACAGAAATCAAGAGCTCTTCTTAGTCTTGTTATTTTTGAGACTGTATTATACATCTAAAATGAGCTTTGCATTGGGAGTTTAATATCTGATTCTAGTTTTCAAAGTGAAAAAGTAAAGGATATAAAATGGGAGCCATAAGCATTATAAATGGCTTTTAAATCCATATTGATGAGACAATAGTGTGGTATCTAATATGTACTACAGACTGTTCTAAGTATTTTGCACGTGAGTACTTCATATTACATATGTTAACTCATTTAGATGTCATGCCAATTCCCATTTTATAGGTGAAAAACCAATGACATGAAGAAGTTAAGTGACTTTCCCAAGGTCACACAGCTGGTAATTAGCAAATCCAGGCTTTAAATTAATAAGTTTTGTTTAAGAGCCCCATCTCTTAACCATGATCCATACATAGGGAGTGTGTATAACAATAAAAGAAAATGTTCACACAACTTGAATTCTGAGGTTCTAAGAGAATGAGAAACCAAGAAAGAAGTTTATAAAGGAACAATCAGTATGGTAAAGGACAACCAGGAGTGCAGGAGTGTGCTATACCACAGCAGCTGAAAGAAGAAAGTATTTAAAGAAAACAGAATGATGAAATGTGTTGAATACTTGCTGAGAAGTCAAGAAATATAGGGAGAGAGAAGTTACATTTGGGTTTGGCAACATCGAGGTCATTGGAAAACTTGAGCAGGAAAGTCTTTGTAGACAAGTACAAGCTAAAAGCCATTTGAAGTGGTCCTTTCTTCATCACTCAACAATTCTTTCAAGCGGAAATATATGCCTTTTTTTTTTTTTTTTTTTTTTTTGCTCCATCTATACCAAAATAGTCATCTTTCCTAACATTCCTCCCTTGATCTTCTGGTTTCCTCTATCATCTCCATCTATCTCTGTCTCTGTCACTATCTCAATTTCTATCTTGTTCCATTTCAGTAACTCCTCTTTCTTTCTTTTCCTGTCTGTTTCCTTCCCTCCCTACTCCCTACCAATCTGTACTGTATCCTTAACCGAAAACTTTTGAGGACAATAGATTTATTCAATTCATTTTTTTACCCCTAGTACCTAGTACACTTCCAGATTTTTAAGTGGTAACTGATAAATATTTAATGACAGAATGAAGCCCAAATTCATCAGTAATATAAAAATGATTTTATTGGACTTACATCATAAAACTTGTTCTAAGGTAGAGTTTGAGTTTATATTGGGAGATACAGGAAACAGCATTTTATCTTAGATGCTACATCCAATGTTGTGCCACTGAGGTGAAAGAAGGAAGGTTCTGAATATGAAGCTCTTTTATTGTGTAGATCCCAAGGAGAGTTTTGAAGGGAAGCCTCAGGATAACTTGAATCAAAAGAAACAAATAAGGATCAATACTTTGCTTACTCACTCAATATTGCTGCTGAGACAAAAAAAAAAAACTGTTTATTTTTGCCTGAGCCGTCAGGTTTCAGCTGTCAAACAGATCACAGTGTTCCACCAAATCTGCTAATTCTATGTCTAATTTAAGTAAGTTGGACTCGTTGAATGGTGTTTGCTGAATTTTGTTTTTTCACAGATTTCTCTTTGCAATCTTTGACTTTTAGGGGCACACAATAAGAAACTGTTGGTGAAAAAACACACAGAGCATATCTGTGTATTTGGCATAATAAAAATGAAAGCTTTTTATCTGAAAATTGGCAGTAGTATGGTATATACACATTGTTTAATCATATGATTGAGAATAAGGTACAGTTAAAAATTATCCTTAAAAAGAAAATTTTAAAAAACAAATTTTTGTTTTATTTCTTATCTGTTGTCATATTCGTTATATCTCTAACACAGTAGTATCTCTTGAGAAACAAGCACTTTGTTTTACACGGTAAATATGTCCACAGATTTTTTGAAAATAGATTTTTTGTTTTAGTTTTTTAAGCCAACATTATTGAGGAGTAAAATTAAGTGCACTCATCATAAGCATAGGATTTGATGAGTTTTGAAAATGCATGTACCTATGTAGCCACGACAACAATCAAGATATAAAACATTTCTATCATCCGCAGAGATTTTTTAAAATATAATCATATTCTAAGAAGTCCACAATTTAAAATCATCCTACTTAAGAAAACAAAGAGACGGCATAATACCATCACAAGAGTAGCACAGAATTTTGAGTCCATTGTGGGTTCTAATTGACCACTTACTCATTGTGAAATCTTAATTAAGTCATTGAGACTTTCTGGGCTTAATAGTTCCAGGTACATGTTAAGCCCTCAATAATTGTTCATTATTGTTACTCACTTATGCAATCAAAAACATTTATTGTAATTCATATTTTTATATAGCAGGAATAGTTAAATAAAATTCACCTGTAATTTTAAGAGTCTTGTATTCAAAAAGCACATATTTTGATTTTTATATTCCTATCTTATTTGTATATTAACTGAGATTATACGTATTTAGTAACCATAGATCCTTATATTATCTTGTAGTATTGTGTATCATCACCACTATACATAGTACACTGGTATATTTTACAATATGAATATTCATGGTATCAGAATAAATACATACAATTTAGGTTGCAGTTAAAAGACTAAAATTAAAATACAGCATAAAACAAATTTAAAAACACAGTTATAGTGCATAAACATGTCATAATAGTATGCTTTGATAGTAAAAGGGAAGTTTTTGAACCAAAAGGATACCAAGCATTTCAGTTCTTCAATATAATAAAGCAGTTTAAAACATGGTAATCATAGTCAACATGTGTCTATCAGTGATATTCTGATATCACTTGGATTTTATCCCTGAATCTATAGATTGAATTTGACTTTAGGGTGAATCAGTTCTTATTAACTAGGTGTGTTTTTTACATAGCATATATTTAAGGAGTGTTTCTTCAATGCTTCCATTAAGCAGTCTTTTTTTTTTTTTTTTTTTTTTTTGGAGACAGAGTATCACTCTTGTTGCCCAGGCTGGAGTTCGTGGTGCCATCTTGGCTCACTGCACCTCCGCCTCCCACGTTCAAGCCATTCTCTTGCCTCAGTCTCCTGAGTAGCTGGGATTGCAGGCATCTGCCACCACACCTGGCTAATTTTTGTATTTTTTGTAAAGACGGGGTTTCACCATGTTGGCCAGGCTGGTCTCGAACTCCTGACCTCAGGTAATCTGCCCACCTCAGCCCCCCAAAGTGCTGGGATTACAGTTGTGAGCCGCTGCACCCAGCCAGCAGTCTTTTAAAGAAAATTTTGTTTATTAAAAATATTCATTTAAGTAATTACAGTAAATTTAGAATCAGGAAGATAGATGCTTAAATAATATCAATTATTGAAATATTCAATTATAAATAGATAAATTCAGATGCATGTTAAACTTAGTTTAGGTTGACTTGTTTCTCAGAAAATATAGAGAGCTTGATATTTCTATTCTCTGTCACATCATTATGAGGGCCATTTTGGCACCAGAATGCCTGAGTTCAGCTCTCAAACCTATCAATTTTTAGCTGTGTCTCTTTAGACAAGTTATGCAACTTCTCTGTTCCAAAGTTTCTCTTTCTACGAAGTGGATATAGTAATGCTACCTCCATTTCTTGAATAGTAAAGATAGTTAAATGAGTTAATACACAAAAAGCACTTAAATGAAGCCTGGCATGGAGTGAGTACCCAGTAAGTATTAGGATTATGAGAACTTACCCAATATAAACTGAAGTTAATTTGCTCCCAATTTGAAAATTGTGTGTAAAACTGATGGCCATTTTGTTCAAATGATTTTTTACGCTGTACTGAAACTCTCTATTCAAATATACTTCTAATGTCCTTTCGAGCTCCTGTGTCTGGTCATTCTTTAATTCTAGACCTTGTGTATATAAACAGAATGGCCTTTATTATTTGGGCCACAGACCTTCGTTTTTGATCATTGCAGCCTTCCACACATGAGTTTTCAGAGTCACCAAGCCTAACATTATTCGTTTACCTGCAAAACTGAGCCTTGCTGATTCTTGCACAGGAATCTCGGGAAATCAACCAAATTTAAGATAAAGAATGGACTTGTTTCACTGATTCATGTTTCAACATCATGGGACAAACAAGAGACATAATCTATGGGTGACCTGCATGTCTCAACACAGAACAGTGGTGCAATTGCACAGTGAACTCTCTGATCGCTACAACCACCTGCGTGTTTTATTGCATATTAGGTGTCCTAAGGACACTTTCATGACAACAAACCAGAAAAAGGCCATAAGCAGTTCAAGTATGAACTTGAAATGAGGTTATCAGAGTATGACTGTAAAAGGCTCTCCCCATTTCAGAATTTAAGAGAGGAGTCATCCTGAACTGATAATGAATGACACCTCTGAGGAAGGGAAAGGAGGCGTATTTCCAGGGAATGCTTTTTATGTCACAGTCATTTTGTTTGAGCAGAAAGGGATTTGCTGTCGGTCTTTAAATAAACAGTTCTTTGTTCTCTGCCTCTGTGTGCGACTCTTCTTTCTCTAACTCTAAAGCAAAAGGCTAGGATTTATTAGGATACAACTTTACGCTAAATCTGTGGAAGAATAATGCATTTGTATTCACTCCATGTTTGAATTGCAGCGAAAAGGACAATTATAGTCAGAGTTGACATTTTAGTGAGTGCTTTGTACCTGGTATTGTTAGAAGCACTTACAGGTAGAGTGGTCTACTCTTTCTGGTTTGCTCAGGACAGTCTCAGTTTTACCATGTAAGTCCTACATCCTGGGAAACTCTTAAGTAGCAGGCAAACTAGGCCTCCCGTTACAAGTATTATTTCATTTAATTATCAACCCCTCCAATTCCCAATGAGGTAACCTTATATTCTTTTGCAACTAACAGAACTGAGGCACTAAGAGGTTAAACAATTTCTGAAGTTTTAATACTTACTGACATTTACTGCAAGTGACTGAATGAGAACTCAAACCCAGACATTACAGCTTACTCTGTTTCTCCCTACCTGGGAGTAACTATTGTAATAAACACTTAAGTTGTTGAACTAGACCTTACTCACTAGAACTCTGGACTTGGGTACTTCAGTCTTGGTGGATGTAAGGAGAGAAGAAAAATTATTTCCACATCATTTGTGGATGACACCAAACCATAATGCTAACTTGTCTCAAAAATGCTTGTCAGTGGCTACAAAGGATTGTCTTTCCGAACCACTAATTAATCTGTAACCAATTAAGTACAGAATTCTAACAATACAACATACCTATAATTTGCAGGTTGTGTAGTACCTTGCGTAGCAGCTACTTAAGAAATAGTGTTATGTCTAGTTTGGGGAAAAAAACTCTTCAGCAAAAATGTGTTTTGTTTGTGTTATATCCTTTCTTACTTTCAAAAAAAGAGCAAGAAAATCTACTCAGACAAGTCACGATAAAATATCTGCAAATATAAAACCACATTTCAAATGGAACTTACTATTTATTATTTACCAATGTGATATAAATGCCCATTGATGCAGTTTAAATCTTTCTATCACTTACTGCCTATGTAAACAACCAAATGTTCTTACTATAGTAGTATAATAATTCTCAGACTTTGGGATTTAGAAAACCAATAAAATAACAAAATAAGAAGAGGAGGTCAGCATAGTGTTACCACTTTTTAATTCTATTAAGCAATGTTAATTAAACAAAACACTTACTATTATTTACTGGCCCTCAGATTGACTTTAAATTTACCATCACTGGCACACTTCTCTTAAAAGTTCGTTTTAACGCTAAAAGAGCCATCATTTTAGTGTCATGGTTGAAAGTTAAATCGTATCCCAACATACTTCAAAAATAGGAGTTATGTTACAAAAAATAATTTGGCCCACACAGTTGTATTACATGCACTTGTTTTTTTGGTATTTATATGTTAGTTTGTGACACTAAATTCAGTGCAACATTACATGGGGGTCAGTTTTCCAACTTGCTCCAGAGCTTCCTATTTTTACCACAGTAGATGTAGAATTCCATTTCACATCTGCATGTTGACAGAAATGGAGCAGCATATTTCATGTTATTTCAATTGAGAGTTTTCTGGGAAAACTGAGAGAAGCAGAGGAACCACAGCCCCCAAGCTAGTGCCAAGAAGGAAACAAACTACAGCGGGCCTAATGTCTGTCTAACATGGCCAAGGGGAGAATGGATTCTTGGCTTAGGAGTGGTTATGCCCACTACATCCAGAGTGTACAACTGCCAGCATGGAGGGAATGAATTTGAAAGACATCCATTGGGTCAGGGAAAATGTGAGCAAGGATTGACCACTGGTATAGTGGCTGGGAATGAGTAGAGCTGAAAAGTCCCTTCCCAGGTCAGCCACCAAAGGGCTCCATGGTCTGGCAAGTCCTTTTACCTGCCTAAGTTTCAGTTGCCCCAATGTTTTTATGGCCTTCCAAACTCCTTTCATTACTCAACACAAAACTGTTTGATTTCCAATTCTCTTAAGATCCCTCCTTTATGCTAATGAACAGTGCACACTAAAGTATTAATCAGTTTTATTGAATTAGTAGATTTGTCTTTTCAAGCACACCATTAAGTTTTACCTGGATTTTAGTCACAGTGGTTTCACCTAAATTCAAAATCCTATGTTGCCTCTTTGCACAGTCCTGCTTGGCATTGATGCTAATTGCTAAAACATTGAAATTACCGCAAGGATATTATTCATCTTTTGTTTTTGAATGCCTTATTCATAGGGGTAACTTTTAAACCTGATGAAAGGTATGTATCCTAAGCCTAAACCAGGGTGGTAAATGGAAAACAAACAAACAAAAAATAGCAGATTATGAAGGAATAAGGGAAGCATATACTTAATGTGTCAAAAATAGTGAGGCAGATTTGAAATCTGTGGTTAGTTTTTCAAAGCAAGTACTATGCCCAGTACCCACCAGCACGTAACAGTCTACCTCAACACACAGATACACACACACACACACACACACACACACACCCCCCACACACACACATGGTGTCTATATGCTTGTCAACACTTTCATATTTGGGAGCTGTAATTTCCTCAAAGGTAGGCACGGTATTGTCTTCATCGACTCCCCCACATTTAGTTCAATGCTTACCACATACCAAGTGCCCACTAACACTTTGTGTCAACAAATGTTAACTGTTGGAATTAATTTCCAGATCCTGCGAATGTTTCTGACATCTTATACTCTTATCAATTTCACTCCTAGGACAGAGGGAAAGAAATGCATTCCACAGAACCAACACTTTACAGAAAACTCAATTTGTGTTAGTACATGTTTGTATATTAAAATTATAGGATGAAACTTTTTTATAACCTCAAAATGCTGAACCAAATAGTTGAAAGGGTGTAGGTGATGGTGAAGATGAAGAAGCCAAAGATTATTATGGGACATTGTCTTAGGTACTTGCAAGAATTAGTGCTAACTCCCCCCTTTCTAGGCTTTTTAAAATAAAGATAGTAAAGGTAAAATTTGGGGACATCAGGAAATGGTCCACAGAAAAAAGACCACTCAACCAGCATCTTAGTGTCTCCCTAATATATAATTAAGCAAAATTCAATATTACCTACAATATCCTCAGCTTTCCCTTCTACTTATGAGGATTTTGTGGTTTTTGTTTTTTTCAGATATTTAAGTAGATCAGGATCCTTTACTTTTTGAGAGGGCAGGCATGGCAGGTTTTGCACAAAACCACTGGGGAAGGAAGGATGCTGTCACTTTTTTTCATCTTGGATCAGAACTGATTGGCAGTGTGCTTATTCATTTATGCCTACAGTGCTTCATTTGAGATGGGCTAATGGACAGGTACCTGGATATTCTTTGCTAGCCAGCTTAGATAGTAAATATGCAACTGTTTTTCAAGAAAGTTTCCAAGCATACCACGTTCATGTTGTTGCAGCATATCCTGTGTGAATCGTGTGAACAAATCATGGTGTAACCCACCTTAAATTCAATAACACAATTTGCTAATCCCCTTTGTTTCCCCTGAAAAGAGGAGGAAAAATCAAAGTTGCATAGTGAGTGTTATGAGGGATATTTTGCATGAACAAACACAAATTAGGCCATGGACTTTCAGAGCAGTTGTTTTCTGGATCTAGATGTGTCCATTATGCTTGAAGGATGTCAAGTTATACATTTAGGCATGACGTCAGATAACAGGGATTTTCCTGTGTAAGAAGCTCGTAGTCTCTGGCTGTGATATGTACAATATATGGCTCCCTCTCAATAGGAAATGTCCCTCCCAGTTGATTCTCAGCTTATTTAACTCTCTGTTGTACCTCCTATTTTCAACAATCCTCAGGGTGTGTGGACGAGTTTTAAACAGAGCATAGATATACAGTCTTGCCATCTGGATCAATGGAAGCAAAAATGAGAAAACCCATGGCTTATTACCTGCCTCCTTTTTTTGGAGGCTTTGACCTGGTTCTATTTAAGAGCATTCTCATATATTTTACTCTGTGATCTAGAATCAACAAATTTCTGCAAAATCTATACCAAAAGCAAGGTTTCTTGAAATAATTGGGAAAAAAAGAGAGATTTAGGATTTCAAATGTCAATAATTACATTATTCTGACACCTAGAATGCCCGTAAGCCAACTTCAAGTGTTGTTTGGTATATTTTGCGAAAAGAATTGAAACCAGTCCAGGAAAGCTGGAGATAAGAAAGAGTTTCAGCTGTTGAGCCACAGGAATCAGTTATTATTAATGTCCCATCAAATTATTTGACATTTATTTGCTTGATTTTATGTAGGGGACCTAGGTTATAGTTTATGAAAACAGGTAAAAACTTGCAATAAAATGGAAAGAAACATACATTGTCACTATCCTTCCTGAGTAGCTCAAACCAGGAATTTTATAATAAACAGAATAAGTTAAGGTAAAGCTGGGTCCTCAACAAGGGTTCTAAGAGGTCACTAAAATTGCATGCAAAATTTTGAAAGTATGCTTGAATATACATTTTTCAGGGTCAAGTTTACATAGCCTGAAAATGTTTTAAAAATTGGTGTAAATTTTAATGCATTCTGGACGTATAGAACCTAATACTTGTAATCTTGCTATTAATATGTTGATACATTGGAGAAAATCTACATATTCACAGAGTTTACACTGAAAGCTCTTTGAATCCCCGCTGCTTCCCTTGCTTGCTAAGACAGAAGCCTCAGGGACAAGGGCAGCTGCTTCCAGGATGTGAAATTTAGCTAATCTCAAATGTTTGACTTTGAACTCATTTGGAAGATATGTTTTAGTATGTAGCATTTGCTTTTCAGCCATTTTCTCTGGAATGCTTTTACTCCACTTAGGTAAAGAAAACTGGGACTTAGGGCTTCCACAGGAAGTAGATACCACTGGATTGGATTTTAGACAAGGAAGTGTTCTGTGTCTCTGGTTTGGCACAGCCTGGTGAAAATTGTTGAACTGCAGCATTTCAGACCTGGTGCCAGCCTAATGGCTACATGCCAAGATTACTATTTGGCGACAAGCAGCCAGACAAGCAGCTGGTTATTGCAGCGAATCCGAGCAGTGTGCCTGAGGCCATGTCTCTGTTGCCAGATCCCCCAACCCAGTTAGTAACCAAACCCTTGAGGCTTTCTCTGGGTTTGTTCTCTTCCAGCCTCATGGTGGGCTTTGGCCTGGCAAGGGTCGTCTCCAGCAGGTTGTCCTGCATGCGTCCTGAGCTGTGGTGTCTGGCTGGAATTAGGATGCTTATAGACCACGTAAAGTTAAGAGATTTCTTGGCAGCTGTGGCTGACACTGTGGGGGCACTGGCCAGAGCATGCTTGCACTAGAGGCTGGCTGGAAGAGGGCAGAATCAATATGAGCTGCTGGCATTCCACGCTAGCCAGGGGTGATGAAGTGACAGCCTGCTGGCATCTCCCTTTGGCCCTGCTGGCATCTATTTTGCACTGTTCTTTGTGAAAAGTGCTAAGACTGAGGGACCTGGTGAGCAAACTTGTCAGAGGAAATGAACTGGAGGAGGTGAGGGAAGAGAAACTGGCCCACAAGATAGAGCCACAACCAGTGACTGTAATGATAGTAGCAATAGGTGATCACAGTCTTAAGTAAATTTTCTCTGTATTTCCAAAGTGGAAAAAAAATTTCTTCCCTAGGCATTTCAACTCCCTTTTTCTGCCAGAACTTCTGGACCTTGAGAATAGTTTGATGTTAAGCTTTTGGAAGGGAGAAAGTATAGCTTTCCAGGAGGCCCCAGCTCCCTGTAGGTATTCCCCTCCTGGGATCTGGCACC
This sequence comes from Homo sapiens, assembly GCF_000001405.40. Taxonomy (NCBI): domain Eukaryota; kingdom Metazoa; phylum Chordata; class Mammalia; order Primates; family Hominidae; genus Homo; species Homo sapiens. The sequence goes on from NC_000003.12 coordinate 29,454,208, forward strand.
ATCTGTAAGTTTGCTGCAGCTGCTGATGAATTTAAACTGAGTTAGCAGGAGTTGGGCACAGCATATTTAGAAAGCACTCATCCCTCTTCTTTTGTTGGGGTGGGAGTGAGGAGAAGGGACTCTGGCAAGATTAGTTTCCCTCTGTTCACTCACAGACACCGTAATACTGTTTGCAGCACTGTGTCCTCCATGTTGATTCCTGGGTAATTCTCAACATCTTTGAAAGGATCTGGTAATTTCTCCCAGGGAAAGTTGAAGTATACTACAATGGTGGATCTATTAAAAATATTGGCATGGAAGAACAAGAGCTCTATTGTCTCTAATCCGCGTCACCACCCAGGACAAGCACCAACAGGACGCTTTCTATGAATCGTGTCTTTTATTCCACATATGTAATCACTTTCTGGAACTAAGTTTATGACTAGAATATCCAGCACTTAACATAAATGAAGTAAGTAGAATGAGAGTATAGTTTCAATGGTATTCTGCCATGGTAAAAATTTTCTGTTGCCTTTTCTTTGATTCGATACAGTGATAACTCTTTTACTTATTTGAACATTTATCCAAGAAACCTTAATGTTGTAGCCCAACATATAAAACAACCCTCAGGGCTATCTAGGTCACAGACAAAGCAGAGTCACATACATAGTTTCAGGAAAAATTCTATTAGTAGTTTAATGAATACTTCATTTCCAAATAATTTTATAATATTAGATCTGAGTGTTTTTTAAAATGTAGCTATGCATTTCAACGTCAAAATAGCACATTGGTATTTGGCATTTTTGTTCATGAAGTCATAGTTGAATAATTTGTGTTTGAGCCTCTATTTACTCCATCTCCCTCCCTATCTATCTGTTGAACACTCACTCATACCTAAGAAACTCACATGCATTTCATAATGCACTCTACATTTTGTCTCCAATTTTTGCAGGATCGTTCGCCACAACATACATGTATGTTCCCGTTTCACTTTGCCTATATCTCGATCATCACAGTTTTCACCCTGTGTTCTAGTTCTTTAATACATTTTCATCTCTTCTGTTAGCCTGAGGATTCTGAAAGCAGGAATTGTCTTATCCTTTATTGTATACATTATGATTTTAGGGAAATTAAATTGTATAGTAAATAAAAATTAACACCATTTACAGCAAGTACATTTAAAGTTTGAAATACAGAGGTAGAGTCGATTCTTGTTATTCACAGAATGTTTTTCTATGAAGTCACCGCAAACACTGGATTATCAAATATTGAACCAGAGCTCCTGTGGAAAGTGTAGGGTAAGATTCCCACAAGCCTCTGATCACAACTTTCTCATCAACCAGTTAATGTGTAACTGTTTTGCATGTTTCTGTTTAAAGACACCTACTTAATAGATATTGTTAATTCATTGACATTTGTCAATCAAATCAAAATTAAGTTTATAATTTACAAACTCAAGGCCAAAGCACTGTAACTGATACCTGAACAAAGCTTATCTAATACACATACTTTCTCAGGAAGGTGCATCCTAGCTTCCTGGCACTTAGGAACACACTAGAGAGCACTTTACCACTACACGTGGGGACCATTTTAAACAGCAAAATCACACACACGCACAAAAAAAAAAAAATCACAAAAATGTGAAAAACATGGCAGTAAATAGATCCCAAAAAGGATACTTGTTTACGATAAGAGAGCTGAAACAAGAAGGCAGACCATCACCTTGTTCTATCTCAGATAAGAATGTGCATATCAGGCTGTCAAATTTTTCACCACACTGTACATGTCGTCAAGTGACCTCAAAACTGCTGTGAGTACTGATTTGGGGATTACAAATAAATGTTAGCAAGTAGGCAAATTTGCAAATACAGAATCAGTGAATAATGAGGATCAACTCTATTATGTATCGCTAATATTTAATATGATAGTCACCATTTTATTTAATCCAAATTAAGTGTGTCATGGAAATAGGCTTAGTTTCTGTGGAGTATTTTATAAATAGTAATTAAAAAATTTTATTTGAAGTAGAGTTTACTTTAAAATTATGTGATATCCAAAGTATCCTTTATTTATCTTGAGTGTTTAATTCAGAAGAGTGAGAAAATTTTAAAACATGTGTTTTCCACTCTCCCTGTAATTTGCTCTAATACAGAAGTTAATACCATATTATACTAAAAATAAAGTATAGAATGCATAAAGGCACATCACGAGCACAAATATCTGCACAATGGATTCACAGCAGCAGCGATGAGCTTGGCTCAGAATAGAATATGGATACGCATCTTAGTGATGATAATTCACTCCGGAGAACAATCCTCTGCAATTTATCCAATCCACTGTGTGCCACTGGATATATTATGTACAACTTTTTATTCATACTATGTGGGATTATGAACAATATCAGGATTCATTAAGATGCCTAGGAAAGTAAAGACCATTTTCACAGTAATAGTATTTTTTATAATAGGAAAAAATGGATATTGTATTTCTAAGATATTATTCAAAAATATTTGCCTACATGAGTACTTGTGGGAACTAAAAAAATTAAACTCTCATCTTTAAGTAAGTGTGTTCAATGTAAAAATCAAGTGTTTGCATGTGAGGGTGATATAAGAAATACATGGTAGGGCATAAGTCCTGACAATACACAGGTGAAGAAAGGCATAGCATAGGAATTTTAAAAGTATATAACTAACTTTTACACAAGGAGGCTGGACATAAAGTACTGTGATAAAGATTGAATCAGAATGAGAAGATATGGATAGGATCTTTTGAAATGGTTCTTGTAGGACAGGTTGTATTATGATGGTTATGGTGAGCCACAGGAAAAAAGCACACCCATGGGACAGCACAGCCATGCTCAGAGTCACACTTCATCCCAGGTAGAATAGTGTATGTGAGCCTGTGGCATGAGTTGACACAGTCAGGTTTGACTCACTCAAATCAGTAATCTGGCAGACATCTTCTACACCTCCCTTCTTCTCCACCTCCATAGTCAACCAGTTGCCACGTCCTAACATGTCTATCTTCTAGATGTCTCTCGAGTTTGTTCATCCCTTTCTCCTCATCCTTCCTTTGACTACCTCCACCTAGGTCTCTGCAGTCTCTTACTCCAAAAGCCTCTTGACTATTCTCCTTGTCTCTAATAAAGGCCCATCAATCTGTTCTTCACACTGCAGTTAGAACCAACTTCTCATGTTGTCAACCATATAATTTTACCGGTAAGCCCAGAACCCTTTAAAGATTCTCACATGGCCTGAAGCAGTGGCTCACACCTGTAATCCCAGCACTTTGGGAGGCCGAGGCAGGTGGATGGCTTGATGTCAGGAGTTCGAGACTAGCCTGGTCAACATAGTGAAACCTTGTCTCTACTAAATATACAAAAATCAGCTGGGCGTAGTGGTGCATGCTTGTAGTCCCTGCTACTCAGGAAGCTGAGGCATGAGAATCATTTGAACCCAGGAGGCGAAGGTTGCAGTGAGCTGAGATCTTGCCCCTGCACTCCACCCTGGGTGACAGAGTGAGATCAGTAACAACAAAAAAGATTCTTACAGTTCTTGCATGTTATAAAGACAATTAAATACAGGTTGCTTCCCCATTTCCTTCTCCAACCTTAGCTCTTACCATTTCTCAATTTGCACTTTTTTTTTTTTTTTTTGACATTAAGCCCTCACCTCAAATAACTATGATTGCCAGGTTGTCTTTTGCCTACAGGCTTTTATAACTGCTGTTTCCTTTGCTTAGAGCTTTTTATCTTCCCCACCACTCTCCTATCTAAGTAACTTCCACTTACCTGTTCAGATATTAATCTACATGCCAATTCCTTTAAGAAGCTCTTCCTGACTCAGAAATTTGATCAGATAGCCTTCTGAATCTTTCACATAGCACCTTGTCCTTAGTCCCTATAGAATTAATTCACAGTTCATTATGATTATATATTTAAATTATTGACTCCCTTCCAACCAGACTGTAAGTTTCTTGCAGATGAAGAGTATGTCTTATTTATTACTGAGTACTTTCCAGTATAAATTGAAATAACACAGTGACTGGCAAATGGGCTAGTGAAGATTTCTGATGGAAAGAGAGTGCTACACATAGATATATAGCCAGAGATGCACAGTATTTATCTGTATATTATATGTTAATACTCAGATGGTTCGTAATGACTCATGGTTTATTCTTTAAATTAGATAGTAATTATAATCATCTCTGGGTATCCAGAGGGAATTGGTTCTAAGATCACCCCCTTGGATAACAAAATTTTAAGATACTCCAGTCCCTTATATAAAATTGCACAGTATTGGCATATAACCTAAACACATCCTCCTGTATGCTTTAAATAATCTCTAGATTACTTGTAATACCTAATAAGATGTAAATGCTATTCAACAGTTGTTATGCTGGGTTTTTAAAACTTCAAGTTATTGTTGTATTGTTATTTTTTATTGTTTTGGGTTTATTCCAAATATTTTCAATCTATGGTTGATTAAATACAGGGATGGGATACAGAGGGCCAACTGTACAGAAAAAAGACCTATTATAAATCTTGATAGGACTAATGGAAGAGCATTTAAATTGTTTTTCTCAACATATACATTGAATTTGCAAGTTACTTATGCCTTTGTTGAGTGGTCAGATGTAAGCAGGATGAATATTACCACCACACTGTCAGCTAAGCATATTATCTTACACTACTTCTTACAAACATTTAGTGTTATATCTTCTTTTATTCAATTTATCTAATATTTTTCTCTACAATTAATGCATTTTCCTATTACATCATGATGTGAGAGAAACTGGATAGAGAAATCAAATGAAACAGCAATCAGGAGATCTTGTTCTTACTCTCTTACCTTGGGAAGGTTAATCTGACTGTCTGCTGAAGAAGCTGCTGGGATGAGTGTATCAGAACTTGCAAGTCATTTGTTCCTCTGGACAACTGTGTTATTACCACCCTATTATGTGCAAGGCACTTTCCAAGATTCATTGATAAACATACATCATATTTTCTTAATTATCATTAAGAAGTGATTGATAAGTTTTCTTCGTTTGAAATTTCACTCCCTCCCCTGTGGTTTTACAGTTTAATAGCATACGATTTCATGATAAACTATTAGAGGTAAGGGTTCTCTTCATCAGTAGTCTCATCATGTAGAGCTTGACTAGCATTTAAGAACTTGATTTCTGTTCTCTTTTTGTCCCTTTGTCAGCTGAATAATTTCATAAGCATATAACAATCATCTAAAATATAAAGAATGGCATTATTTATTATCCACCTGTTTAACATTCCATAAGGACAAATTATACTCTTCTTAAACTGTCTTCTGCTTCCTAGGTATGGGTATTTATCATCATGAGAAATATTCATTCATTCAGTCTTTCACTCATTTAGAAAACTTGCTAATCATCAGCTCGTTTAAGCCTCTGTCATAGGTGCTGAAACAAAAAGTGATTAGAGTAAAGGCCCAGCCCATGAGGACCCTAGAGGTGAGTGGGGGAACCAAGGGAAGGACATAATCACAAGAGTGTGCTAACTGCAAAATGCATGATTTCGAACTTAAAACAATTTTGCCTTAGATGCACTTCTGTAATATAGGCCCTTTGGGTAAGTACAGTAGAGAATTTAGAGCCGCAATTTGCTAACATGAAGCAAGAACTTAGAACTGAGGGAACCATAGAATCCTAGAGTTAGAGTGTGCATTGAAACATCCAGTTCAAACAATTTGCTAAAGCTTGAGTTTACTCAAGTGCCAAATGGTCCACTAGCTTGGCTTGAATACTTCTAATAAGACACACTCCCCACCTCCTTTCATGTGGGTCTTGATCAACTCTTGTTGTTTATGAATTATTTTCTTGTAATGAATCAAAATACATCTTGCCACACAGAACAAAGTTAATTCTTCTTCAGCATAACAGCCTTGCAAATATAACAAGGTAATTGTTAGTGACTTTGAGCCCTTTCTCCAGGCTAAATAAAATCGATACACCATTGGTAGAAATATGTTCACCATCCCAAAGTCTTTTCTGAATATACACAATAGTACAGAGTTTTTCAAAGTGCCAGTTGCAATCAGTGGGTAGTGATTTCAGTGCAGTGGATGAGATTTAGAACTGAATAAAATAAAATACAAAATGTTTGTGTGTTTTCCACATAGTAAGCATAGATATTGTTTCATGAAATATTAATTTGTTTCAGATATGTGTTCATGGTGGTGTTTCTGTGTAAACTGACTCCCAAAGTAAAATGTATTTTTTAATGTGGGTCACAAGAGATAATATAAAGTAAAATAAAATGCCACTGATGTATCTGGGGTGAGGTCTATGAATTGCATTTTTAATAAGCCCCCAAGTTCTGATGATGATGATCTATAGAGTCCACTCTGAGCACTGTTGCACTAAGTGACAACATGAAGAGCTTACATAAGAGCTGAGCTGAGTAAGGACAAAGGTGTCAACCTACATAACAAATTTTATTAATGCTTAGTAAGTGTATTAGTAATGCTTAATTTCTTTTGTATTTTTAAGTGAAACTAAATACTTGTAGAAATTGTAATAATGTGCTTCGCAGCCCTCTTTGGAGACAATGGAGATGTGGGAACAGTGCTAGAGAGGGAGGCTGGGTTAGAGATACAAACACTAGGACTCTCAGAGAACAGTGTCTGATTCTCAGGAGTTATTAATTTAGGTTTGCTGACCTCAGAGAGAGTATGACCCATCTTAGTTTTCTAATATATCTTCCCTAAACTGCCCTTAATTCATCTGGCGGACAATGTATACTGAATGGTTTGCTTTGTTTTATGATCTCACCATTGGTTTCATCTAACTGCTCCAGTCCAAAGTTGATTTTCCTTAACAGAAAATGTCAATGCAAAATAGTTCACAAATTTTACTCACTATTTGTCATTTTCCAACTTGATTTTCTCATTTCCTTGTTAATGATTTACCATAACATTTCATTTTCTCCTCTTCTTCCTTTCTTGTGCGCTTCATTTTATCTTAGAATCATCCAAGGGCTGCTTTTGGGAACACCTTCAGTGTGCAATATGCTTACAGTTTTGAGGGATTTCCCCAGCTTCTAAAGTTGGCTTTCCTTTCAAAGATGTATGCTTGGCCTTATGCCTATGCTTCTTTCCTCACTGTTTTCTCTTCTCCATTCCTGAAATTCAGAACCTTGCTCACCCTTACCTTTGCAAGTCTTCACAACTCTCTATGCCATAGTTCCTCTCTCCAGGACTCTTCTGTTGTTCAGACAACAAAAACAAAGTGCCAATTTTGGTTTCACACAATTCCAAAAACTGTTTACAAACTGTTAACAATTGCAGAAAGAAGCTTTGATACACACAAATTGAAATGGCCTGCATCTTGGTAATATTACAACACCGTATAGGACTGAGCTCTTGAAATGTGTCCAAGAGTAGGAAGTGGTTTTTCGTTTGTGAGATATTTGTGAACTTTTAATATTTTGGAGTATAGCAAGAGGAAGTCTAAACTTATGAGTTTATACCTGCCACTTATGAGCTTGTAAATTTTGGGTAAGATACTTAATTTTCTGAGTCTCTACTTCTTTCTCTCTCTCTTTTTTTTTGAAACGGAGTCTCACTCTGTCACCTAGGCTGGACTGCAGTGGTGCGATCTCGGCTCACTGCAAGCTCCTCCTCCCAGGTTCATGCCATTCTCCTGCCTCAGCCTCCCAAGTAGCTGGGACTACAGGCACCCGCCACCATGCCCGGCTAATTTTTTTTTTTTTTTTTTTTTTTTTTTTTGTATTTTTAGTACAGATGAGGTTTCACCGTGTTAGCCAGGATGGTCTCGATCTCCTGACCTCATGATCCGCCCGTCTCAGCTTCCCAAAGTGCTGGATTACAGGCGTGAGCCACCGCGCCCGGCTCTACTTCTTTCTCTTTAAAATGGGGTGATAATACATGATGAGATTGAGTGGTTTAAATACATGATAAAATGTGAAGAATTATACTCATGGAAGGTTCTGTGCTAATTACCAATGTTCGATTCCTGAATTACAGGTTCATTTGTTAAGTTAAATCTAATTTCTCTACAGACCCTTTGTCAATGTCGTTATCATCAACTTCAGGCTGCATGCCCCCTTTTAGGAGAGGCTGTCTTCAGTCTGTGCTATGTATTGATTTAATCTTGCTGTGAATTCCAAATATTTAATGATAAATCACTGGCTGCTTTCTTGCATGTACATTATCATATGTTGCCTCCTAATTCAATGATGTATCATATTCTCATTTACTTCTGTTGTCCATGTATTTATTAAGTATTCTGAGCAGTCTAGGCTAAATTGTTGGCAGTTGCCTGGCTGTGGACTTGGAGCTGATCCTTCTCAGTTTTCTTGACTGTTTCTTAAATATCAGTTCTGGGATAATGCTACCCACTCTCTCTGTGTTTCCCAGTGTTACTCAGACCTTAGAATGGATATAATACTTACTTTACCCCTGTTTCTCTTTTTTAATTTAACAATAACAATAAAGCTATATTTGATGTATGACAAATGTATATTCATAGATTGCTACCACAGCTGAGTTGTTGAGAATGATAACTCTATAACCCAGAGGGATGGAGTTTGTAAATTAGAGCTCTTTAATTATTGGTTTTGACTTAAGAGACAAATGACACAATGACTTAAGAAAATGAAGTGGCAATTATAAATTAAACCTATCTTTCAGATAGCTTCAGTTTTTTAGAGATGATCTTCAGTCATTCAACAAGTTGGTATTAAATGTATATGACTAGTGTTTTGTTAAGTGTTAAAAACATAGAGGGAAACTATAGATATAATGCTATTGTTAGGAATTTTTAAATCTCATGAAGGGAAAGGCACATGAACTACTAAAATCTGTGGAAGAAAAGTACACAGTATATTTTAAAGAGATCTGATTTAAGCTGGAGAGGAGGGGGACCTCATGGTCAGGCTTCCATGACAAGGTGATATTTAGACAATATGTGTCTCCAGAGCTTCTATTCAGCACAATCACATATTTGTTAACATTTAACCTATTTTTAGGTAAATTTGAGGGCATTGTTGGTGCTCAGATGAACAACCAATGAGTACTTGTACCTATATCAATGTAGCTTTAGATTAGCAAATAAAAAAATTGCAATTTTGCATTTCACAGCCCTACCCTAATGGGAAATACCATTCAAACATTTGGTTTAACTATGTATGAATCTAGCTTTTGAGAAGGTTGAGGTAAATATGTTGAAATCCAGAGCTACATGTGTGGTTTTTGAATCATTCTTCAGAGACAAGGTATGTTCCTTCCCAGGCATAGAATCTCGCCATTGCTCCCTTTCCAGCCAATCCCAGTTCTGTCAGCAACGATTACTCATGGTCCTTCGGTTACAAAAAATACAGGGCCACTTGTCAAGATATCAGAATACTAGGATTATGTATTTCTGGTTAGTTGAAAAAAAAAAAAAAAAAGCAGTATGGAAGCAGAAATGCCTTAAAGAGAGAGGGCTCTATAGCACTACTCTGGGTCCTGGCAGCTGGAACCCTTAGCATTAGTCCAAGGTAACATCAGTGGAGTGGACATCCTCATTACTTAAAAATACACTACAGTCGACACTCCCTGTTTCTTCCTTCTTTACCCCCTAACCTAACCCCACACTACATACTACATTAAACTATCTTGTGGAAATAGGTAAACACAATAAGAAAATAGAGTGTTATCCTGTTGCCTTTTCTATTCCTGGATAACTAGATGCTGCCCTGCCTTCCATTGTACATATGAAGATACAATTCAGAATTGACAGCCACCTAAGCCTGTCAAATACATTGTTTAGTGAAACGTGGACCAATGAAAAATTTTCTACACAATGCATAATTGAGGTCTTTGAGACCTTCAAGATCTTTAGTGATCTTGTTTTTTCTCGGGCACCTGCAACCCTTAACTTGTGTACAAATTGACCACAATTTAATGAAAAATCAGCCTGACCACTACCCAGGGCTCTAGGGGTTTCTAAAATATAAAGAAATATAAGAAGATTAGAAAAACCATGCGTAAGTCTGTGGTTGCAGCCAGTAAGACTGGGAGGTAGGAGGCAAGGCCCTTCATGGTCTTGAGAAATGATAGGTGGTTGGTTTGTAAACCACCTTCTAAGGAAGCTGAATAGCCGACTGCAGGGTGTTTAGTTTGGTTCAAGATTGTCAAAAGAGCCATTTGCTTAATACAGCAGAGGATAGACTGAGGCTCACTCTCCTTCTTTTTTCCCTAGTACCTCAAGCCTTTCCTTTAAAATATCAAATTTGAGTTTGAAGGGAACCAGATTATTAGTTGACTAGGGCTTTCAAATGCATTGTTAAACCATAGTTACTCACAAGTAAACTAGAAATAATCTAAAGCCAGGACTTTGTCTTGAAATCTTTTTTAAAAAATTTCTGTGGCATTTGGTATACCTTATAGGTATCAAAGAAATATTTGGCAGAGGATTGAACTCTCTATGACTGTCAGGGGATACAGGTGATTGATGAACATCACAGGTTGAATGTTATTCATCATTCAGGAAAAAAATACACTGAGATCAAGCGCTACTTTCTCTGGGAGGCCTTTCAGACTTGTCCTCCTCTGTTCACCCCCACCTTATTCCTAGCTTCCAGCATAGATGTATCCATGACTGCCTTTGTTCCCTCGTGATGTCTTATCTCATGTATTTCAATCATGGCCACTCTGTATCAATAACAGAATATTGGACTGATTTATTTTCATGTCTGTGAACCTGAATTCACCTATAAGCATTTTAGGGACAGAACTCACATCTGATTCATCTCAGTATTACAAGGACAATGATTGGAACAGAGAAGGTACCAGATATGTAGTTTAAAATACGTAAATGAAGAGTAAATAATAAACATGATAACAATAAAGACATTAATTTATCTAGTGCAATCTCATTTCTCTGAAGGAATGTACAGTATCCACAATGAACGATGATGATAACACAAGGGCCTTTGAAGATAGAAAGTGGAAAATGTGAATCTGGATGCTTTTTAATTTTTTTCCTGTGTTCTAAAAAGCCACAGAAGAAGTCATGTGAATAAAAGACATAAATGTTAGTGAATGGATTTATCATTTTTAACTGTGCCAGCTTCTTGGTGTAATGCTTGAGCATTAGTAGTTAGGCAATACATTTTAATGAGTGTTTCTAACTTACAAGTGCATATTTAGAGGTGAGAACACTGTAGCACTTAAATAATTAATAATAAATAGTTAATATGTTCCTCCAGAGTAATATGTTCCTCCTTCTATTATCTCTGGCCTATTGGACGGTCTTCATTTATCTTTTAAAGAAGGCTTTAGGGTTTGGGACCCAAACAGATGGGAATGTGCCCTTATTTTTTTTTTTTTTTCTGTAAATCTAGTGAGCCCCTGAGCTGAGGGGTCTTTCAGAACGCGTACTTTGTATTTGTAGGCTCTGGTATCTATATACTGAAAAATACTTTCAGTTGCAATACTTTATGTAATGTCCTAAAAAATGTGTTTTCAAAGACAGAAATCACTGCTATTTAGATGGTTTATTTTTCTAGAGCAAATAGTTCATAGTATTGACTTTCTAAAGCTATGTTTCTGTAAGTGTTCTTTTAGTCATGCAAATTCTAAAGTCATTTGAAGGGGATCTTACAGATGTGCTTTGTTATTTTATTTTCTTAAATTCCATCCTAAATTGGGTCTGAGCATATTATGGTGGAATGGACTAGGAGTGAAAGATTGGTCGTTCTGGTTTGCCCTGGGCCATCCAAACAGCTGTGTAAGCAGCAGGTCCTGGAAATACTGGGCTCACGATTTTTGGATATGATTCAGTGATCAGCATGACTCCACTGCAGGACCTCACTCACTGCTTGTAGCTGTTTCTCTGTGGTCATTCTGGAAGTCAAAATTCAATATGAATGCCTTGTGAGAAATGCTTTTAATGAACTATAAAAATCAGCAGTCTGAAGAGAAGGTCATTTCTGATACAGTGATTATAGTCATTTCTGCACACCAATGCCAATTAAAGACTATAGATATGTAACAAGCAGGAGACACACACTATTGCAACGGCAGCTGAATTATGACAACTGACAAAGCACATACCTGGAAGTTGGTGATTTCGCTATGAAAAGCAGGGTTCAGCCTCCTGTGTTTCACACTCGTCTTTCAAGTGCCCTCACAGTGAACTCTCCAAAATGCTTTAATTTTAAAAAATCATTTTGAATTCATGGACCTAGTGATTGTTTATATATTTTTTTAGCTCCTTCAGAAGATTAAATATTTAAGATTTTTTTTTAGATCATGGATTCGTGCAGCTTTTGAATTCTTTTGAAATAAAATTGCTCTTAATGAGACATCTGAAAACATGAACAAACACTGAAGAAACAGAGTTCTCCAGAATAATGATGCTATTGTTAAGTGATTGAATAGTTGGGAGATTAATATCATGGTGTACTGGCATGTTGGTTAATTCTAGCCATAATTTAACTGTAAAACCTACTTAAGGAAGCAGGAGGCTGAACGGCATGTCAAACACAAGGCACCCACACATAGAGCTCAACACAATAACAAATTAAGCACTGTTTATGTACAGACATAGTTGGCCTTATGTTTTTTTTCTTAATCTGTGATTTAGGTAATAATTGCACTATAATTTTAACTCTCTATGCAGTTTGAATGTCTGCTTAATTGTTTTATTACCATTGTATTCAGTGATACTAATTGATGGTGCCAGTGAAATTTAGCTGTGTGTCCCTAAGTCTTTATGCACATAAGACTGGCATTGATTTAGTCTTGATAGCATATATCCTGTTTCTGCTAGATTACTCTAAAATTGTTTGACCAAAGGCTATGGGGAAATTTTGGCCCAAGTGAAAATGTATAATTTAATTTGTGAAGAGTTTTCATATACTCTAAGCTTGGCTTTTCTTTTCCTTGAACATTTTGCCAAATTCCCTAAATGAGACCAAAGTGCCTTTTGCTTAAATTTTGGCATACCATGAAATGTCTTTCTGTATTAGCTATAGATTATGTGAACCTGTTGCTGTACAAAATCATGCAAAAGGGAAAGAAAACAAGAGTCTCATGTAAAGTTCAAATGTACCATTTAGCTACTTCAGTTTTAGTAATTGCAGGGTTTTACTAACCTGAAAAGTTATCTTGACTCTTAACACAAAATTAATTTCTCCTTGTACCTAAGTTCAACAAAAATGCATGGAATTTCATGAGTTTGCGTTTATGTGCTTACATACATATGTGTGTCATGAAGCTGTGTTTCAGACAGTGATAATAAAATATCCTTAGTGATCTAATTAAAATGCAGATTCTGGTTCAGTATGTTTGGGATGGTGCTTTATAACCTGCATTTTTAAGAAGCTCAAGGTGATGCCAAAGCTGTTGTTCCACAGACCACACTTTGAATACCAAATGTGAATTTGGTAAAATGTTCAAGGAAAAGAAAAGCCAAGCTTAGAGTATATGAAAACTCTTCACAAATTAAATTATACATTTTCACTTGGGCCAAAATTTCCCCATAGCCTTTGGTCAAACAATTTTAGAGTAATCTAGTAGAAATAGGATATGTGCTATCAAGACTAAATCAATGCCAGTCTTATGTGCATAAAGACTTAGGCACACAGAGCTAAATTTCACTGGCACCATGTATTAGTATCAGTGAATACAATGGAAATACAAAGCTAAATTTCCATAATTTGGAAATATTAGCTTTCCAAAAATATGTAAAAATATGATACTATTCACTTGAATAAGTGAGAATCTATTAAGAACTTTTTTCTTGGTAGAGGACTAAATAATGCTTTACCTCTTTGCCTGTTGGCTACAGTTTAATCTTTCAAGGAATGCTATTGACACTTTCAGCAACTTGGTTTCTCCCCATTACTGTGGTCTCATCTATATAAATGTATATATGTGACAATGAAAATGGCTTCAGGACCATGAAAAATTCCATAAATTTGGTTGCTTTTATACATTTTATGGTTTTTAAGTGAACTTAGGAGTCTACCGGCACTCTACATGCTGAAATTGTTGATGTGCTTGAAACATTCCATTCATCAAAAAGAAACAGTGGACCAGAAGATCTCTATGTCCTCTGGCTTCTGTGGTGGCAGATTCCCCAGAAGGCTTGCGGTTTGATGGGACTTAAGCTTGTTTAGATAACTGCACACAATACCCATATGTACCTCCAGAAAGGCTCAGCTTTAAATGCAGCCATTACACTTAGAAAAACATCATGTGGCATTAACCTAATCTGGAATAAGTTAAGTAGCTTACCCTAAGTACGTGGTAGAATACCGTAACTTTGTAGGACTGGGCTTTGGGGCTTTCCAGTACAGAAAGCCTTATAATATGTAATCTTTGAGAAATAACTTAAGATGGACACTTAATTGTATCTTCTAATTTTGTCTCTGTATTAACACCGAAAACATGGTTTTATTTGTACTGTTAAATATTTATTGCTTGGATTATTTCATACTCTCCTAACTAGTTTATTTCACATAAAATTGGCTTCCTTTTTCTTTTTTCTTTTTGTTTTTTTTACTGATGTTTGCTTGACAGTCTCATGAATTTGGTTTTCTAAGCTAGAAAAATCTTCTTCAGACCTAATGTAAATAAGCTACCTGAAATTAACAAAAATCTTATGGAGACAGAACCATCTAAAGAAAAAGTGTTTGAAAATGAGGATGCTCTCTAGATAAAGTCATTTTCTAGTTGCTATTTTTGTGTGTATATTATAACCAAACACACACACAAACTCAAGATGTTCCTCCAAAAGCATGGTGAATTATAGAGAAATGGTGGGACATAATATTACAAACATTTGTTCTTTCTAAAAATCAGACCACATATTGGAACTAGTTTATGACTCAATAAGGTTACAGTTCAGCATTCTCGTAAATAGCAGGGAGGCCTATCTTGAAATGCCTAATTTAGATTTGTCCATCAAGTTTCATTAATGCATTATTTATTATTCTGTAAAGCCTAGAAATCTTACAAATAGTGATAACATTTTAACTCATAGTATGGGAAATATTAAAGAATTCTGCATCATTAAACATTGGTAAGGCTGTGGAGAAACTATTATTCTGTTGGTAAGACAACTACTTTGGGAAATGTGTTCTGCATGCTTCAATGATCCCACTCCTGAGCAGATACCCTAGTAAAACTTCTGCACATTTTTACCAGTAGATAGATATGAGAATGTTAATAACAGCAATGTTTATAAGGACAAAAATAAAGGGAAGGTGTTTGGATAAACCTAAGTGAAAACAGATGGGAGATAGGATAAATAAGTTGTGAATTATTTGTTTAATGGGACTCTATAAACCATTGAAAATAACAGAATTGCAGTCTCTTACACCATCATGATTGAATTCATGATTAAAAATGTTAAGTAAAAAAAAAGTTGTAGTAAAATATGTAAGCTATGGCTCATTTAAATAGACAACTAACATGGGAAAAACTAAACCATATATATATATATACATACGTATAAGAAAACAATAAGAAAGACAAGGGATATTTTGTTGCAGAGGGATATTTTATTACAGAACACAGGGAAGCAGATAAAATGTCTGTGGGGAAAAGTGGAAGAAATGAGGTTGGACAGAGGCAAGCAAGAAAGTTCACAACTAAGCCATGTATTCTTTAAATTCTGTCATGTGTTAATTTTTAATTTTTTACATCTTTTATATATTTATAAAAAGCCTTTCACATATTTAATACTCATGTATATATAAATATATACATACATATTTAAATAATTTATATGAAATTATATAATATATAACCTATATTATATAAAATTATATAATATGTAATTCAATGATTAAAATATATAAAAGAATAATATACTGATTATATTTAATTTAAACTTCAATAATTAAATATACTGAAATATAATAAATTATAACACAAATAAACAAGGTAGTATTTGTATATAAATAAACTAAAATTTAAAGATATCCATGACTAACCCCAACTTTTACCTTTTGCCTGTAATGATGCGGAAAATGCATGTTTTAAGTTTTTTGAATGTCTGTTTTAAAATTGCAATTTGACAGTAAATACTTTAAAATACCCAGCAATTATCTAACATGCAATTGAAATTCTATAGTTTCAAAGATCAAAAGAAGTCTTCAGAAGTCAAAGACTCAAAAGAAGTCTTCAGAAGACATGTCACTTCTTACATGTAGTGAATGAATTCTTTCATTGTATCAACAACTTTAAATAGCTATATCAGTTATTCTCTAACAAGATTAAATCTAGTTGCTTATTGACTCCACTGTAGTGTTTGTAGGAAGAAGTCTTTCTATAAGCACACATACATACAAACACCACAGATTTCCATGCTTTCTGATTTTTTTTTCTAGAAACATGTAATTTACAGAAGGAGGCAATATAGGCTAGCTCAAAAGATACTTATGGCAATACTAATTATAAAATAACCAGTAGACATGTACATTGGTAAAAATCAGCTGCTGATACTTGCATTAGTTTGAAGTTTATTGGAATGCTTATATACCCTGGAATGAAGATATACTTGAAATAAAAATGACAGTAAAAATGAATTAAATGAATTGTCACTTATATATTCCTGACATTTTTTGGTATTTAGTAACTTATCACAATCAATCAATAAACAAACACACAAATAAATTTAATAACTAATAACTACTGATTCCCTCATAAGTGTGTAAATTATAAACCACCCAGTGAATGGCATTAGTTACTGCTTACTTAATGCCTGCTTGTTTGTGTGTGTAACTTGCCCTGATAAAATTTTCTAACAGTACTAATAGATATTTATATTAAATACATTGCTTTTGGCACTGGTCAAACTTAAAAGTCACGTGGACAGGTATGGAAAGTGTTAACGCCAGATACAAAATAATTTATGTAATAAGATTACCACTGTGTGAAACACACAAACAAAAAAATATATAGAAAAGAAAACAACATAGCATATCTGTGTGTGAAGGAGTTATAACTAATTTACATGTTTCTGTTTTTCTGCATTTTCCAACTCTGAGTTTATGGGATATGTTCCCTCTATATTGGCAAAAATAATCAACTTATGTCAGTACTCAGGTAAGAAGTAAGCTGAAGACAGTTAAGAGAATTTCATTTTTATGGGCATGCAATGTAGCTTTTCATTCATTTAATGTTAAGGAAAGTAGAAGCAATTATGTTCCTGTGGCATGTGAAAAGTACACACGACATAAATATATCAACTTTTACTTTGGCTTCCCCACGATTAAAGTTAAGACAAGCGAACAAGAGGCCACCTCTTGAGCAGAATATATTTCATTTTGTTGTTAGGTGAATTCCATCATGTAATGCACATCTGTAACCACAACCTATAATCCAATTGGGAAAAATCGTGTAGCCTTGAAGGGAACCTACCTGGTAATAGAATCAGGCTTATTTATAAGAAATAAATATGGGCATACAGCTTATATACTATGCATCTCAAAACTACTATTTTTATTGCTGTAATGAATTTTATATCATGAGGACTTAGTTTTTTTTTTTTTTTTTTTGGTAATTACTGTCCTTTGATATGGCTTTCATATTGTGTCTTCTTAGACACAATAAAATCCAATATGTTATCTGATAATTTATTCTCATCTCTAATGTGTACTTCTGTTTGCATATTTTTTCTTTATTCAGCTTGTGTCAGATGGTTCTAAATTTAAAAAGATTTTAGGAACTTTAAACATAACAGTTAAATTTCCTGGGAGAATGATGAATAGAAAGCATTTCATACTTCTCCATGTCTATGTATCTCATCCTCACTAGAAAACATTGTTAGCTTCTGCCATCAATGCTACTACTTTCCACACATTTTTATTGAAAAGTAACAAGTAGATAGAAAATTGTACTAATCGTCAGTGTATAGTTTGTATTTTCACAAACTGAACACATCCAAGTAACCACCAGCCAAATCATGAAACAGAACATGCCCAGCATAGGAAAAACCCTTTATGCCTCTTCTAATTTTTTTTTTTTTTTTTTGAAATGGGGTCTCGC
This sequence comes from Homo sapiens, assembly GCF_000001405.40. NCBI lineage: Eukaryota > Metazoa > Chordata > Mammalia > Primates > Hominidae > Homo > Homo sapiens. The sequence goes on from NC_000003.12 coordinate 29,472,228, forward strand.
TCTGTCGACCAGGCTGCTGGAGTGCAATGGCGTGATCTTGGCTCACTGCAACCTCCACTTCCCCGGTTCAAGCGATTCCCGCCTCAGCTTCCTCAGTAGCTAGGATTACAGGCGCCCGCCATCACGCCCAGCTAATTTTTGTATTTTTAGTAGAGATGGCATTTTACCATGTTGATCAGACTGGTCTTGAACTCCTGACTTCAAGTGATCTGCCCACCTTGGCCTCCCACAGTGCTAGTGTGTCCGGAATTGGTGGGTTCTTGGTCTCACTGACTTCGAATGAAGCCGTGGACCCTCGCTGTGAGTGTTACAACTCTTAAGGCGGCGCGTACCTTCTGATGTTCGGATGTGTTCGGAGTTTCTTCCTTTTGGTGGGTTCGTGGTCTCACTGGCTCAGGAGTGAAGCTGCAGACCTTTGTGGTGAGTGTTACAGCTCTTAAGGCGGCGCGTCTGGAGTTGTTCGTTCCTCCCAGTGGGTTCGTGGTCTCGCTGGCTTCAGGAGTGAAGCTGCAGACCTTCGCGGTGAGTGTTACAGCTCATAAAGGCAGTGTGGACCCAAAGAGTGAGCAGCAGCAAGATTTATTGCAAAGAGCGAAAGAACAAAGCTTTCAAAGTCTGGAAGGGGTCCCAAGCGGTTGCCATGGCTGGCTGGGACAGTCTGCTTTTATTCTCTTATCTGGCCCCACCCACATCCTGCTGATTGGTAGAGCCGAGTGGTCTGTTTTGACAGGGCGCTGATTGGTGTGTTTACAATCCCTGAGCTAGACACAAAGGTTCTCCACGTCCCCATCAGAGTAGCTAGATACAGAGTGTAGATTGGTGCATTCACAAACCTTGAGCTAGGCACAGGGTGCTGATTGGTGTGTTTACAAACCTTGAGCTAGATAGAGAGTGCCGATTGGTGTATTTACAATCCCTTAGCTAGACATAAAGTTTCTCCAAGTCCCCACCAGAGTAGCTAGATACAGAGTGTCGATTGGTGCATTCACAAACCCTGAGCTAGACACAGGGTGCTGATTGGTGTGTTTACAAACCTTGAGCTAGAGACAGAGTGCTGATTGGTGTATTTACAATCCCTTAGCTAGACATAAAGGTTCTCCAAGTCCCCACCAGAGTAGCTAGATACAGAGTATCGATTGGTGCATTCACAAACCCTTAGCTAGACATAAAGGTTCTCCAAGTTCCCACTAGACTCAGGAGCCCAGCTGGCTTCACCCAGTGGATCCCGCACGGAGGCCGCAGGTGGAGCTGCCTGCCAGTCCCGCGCCGTGCGCCTGCACTCCTCAGCCCTTGGGTGGTTGATGGGACTGGGCGCCGTGGAACCAGGGGTGGCGCTCGTTGGGGAGGCTCGGGTGCACAGGAGCCCACGGAGGAGGGGAGGCTCAGGCATGGCGGGCTGCAGGTCCCGAGCCCTGCCCCTCGGGGAGGCAGCTAAGGCACGGTGAGAAATCGAGTGCAGCGCCAGTGGGCCGGCACTGCTGGGGGACCCAGTACACCCTCCGCAGCTGCTGGCCCAGGTACTAAGCCGCTCATTGCCCGGGGCCGGCAGGGCCGGCCAGCCCCTCCAAGTGTGGGGCCCACCAAGCCCACGCCCACCTGGAAGTCCAGCTGTCCCGCAAGCGCCGCGCGCAGCCCCGGTTCCCGCTCGCGCCTCTCCCTCCATACCTCTCTGCAAGCTGAGGGAGCCAGCTCTGGCCTTGGCCAGACCAGAAAGGGGCTCCCACAGTGCAGTGGTGGGCTGAAGAGCTCCTCAAGCGCCACCAAAGTGGGAGTCCAGGCAGAGGAGAGGCCGAGAGCGAGCAAGGGCTGCGAGGGCTGCCAGCACGCTGTCACCTCTCACTAGGATTACAGGCATGAACTACCGCGCCCAGCGCCTCTTCTAATTTTTCATCTCTGCCAAGGATAACCACGATCCTGACTTCTAATACATTAGTTTACATAAATGCAATTGTAGACCATACACTTTTGTTTATCTGGTGTCTTTTGCTCCGCATTGTTTGAGGATTCACCCACAATTGTTGCTTGTAGCTCCAGTTTGTTATTCTCATAGTGGTATGGTATTCCATTGTTTGAATAAACCTAATATATTTATCTGTTCTATTATTAATAAGCATTTGGGTAGTTTCCAGTTTTAGGCTGCTGATGAATATTCTTATATTTGTAAACAGTTTATGTTTAGTACAAGGGATTACTACAAGAAAAAAGAAACACAGCTTCCCTAATAATTTTATCTGATGTGGATGTAGCAGAAAAAAGATTCAAGTTTAACTTTTCTTTTAAGTTGATTGTTTACATAGGATTAACATCCTCATTTTTGCCTATTTTACAACTTATGTTGAACACCTATTTTGTGCTGTGTTTTGTGTGATGACTGGGTGACACAGACAAGGAAGGCACAATTTATGTTTTCAAGTAACTCTCAGAAATAAGTATGCGCTTACCATATAGTAGGGACAGTGCTACGAAGAGGCGTACTGGTCTAGAAGAAGCTTTTAATTCAGCTAAAAGAAAGATGGTGAGTGAAATATTTATAGAGGAGACCATTAAACTAAAATTAGACAAAGCAAGTTGTGAGTAGAGAGGCAGGAGGAAAGGAAGAAAATTCTTGGCTGTTGGAATTGCAACATAGCAGGGAACATTTTAGATACTTCCCATGATTGAATTTGGTTGTATTTAAGGGTTCACACTGGGGAGTGATGGAAATATAAAGAATAGAAAGAGAATCTGAGCTTAGTGGGGAAAAACTGATATAGTATAAATAAGATATATAAAGCATTGTGAAGGGCTAAAGAATTATTAAAACACAAGAAGCTTCTTGCATAATTCACTGAGATAATATTGCAACCCAGCTGAGCAAAGTGATACATATGGTAATGAAAGGTTTATTAAGGTTTATTATGGTATAAATAGTGTCTGTAACGGATGCTTAAGGCATAATTAAATACCAAAATTAAGAGGAATAATTAGTCAAGTACAATGCATTTGTCAGTAAGTGATTGGCTTTAATAAGTTTCTTTTCTTTTCTTTTTTTTTTTTTTGGAGACAGAGTCTTGCTCTGTCACCCAGGCTGGAGTGCAATGGCGTGATCTTGTCTCACTGCAACCTCCACCTCCCAGATTCAAGCAATTCTCCTGCTTCAGCCTCTGGAGTAGCTGGGACTACAGGTGCACACCACCAAGCCCAGCTAATTTTTTGTAGTTTTCGTAGGGATGGGGTTTTACTGTGTTGCTCAGGCTGGTCACGAACCCTTGAGCTCAGGCAATCCGTCCAGCTCAGCCTCCCAAAGTGCTGGGATTACAGGCGTGAATCACTGCGCCCAGCCAATTTCTCCTTTTCTTATTTACACCACAATTAAGAGTGGTTGGTCTTATCTTTCCTCCAGGAACATTACCAAATCATGAAACATTTACCGTATATCTACTAGACATAAATATCCTTTGCATCATAAACGTATAAAGCACGGGGTATCTCCTAAAGGATTATGGGATGTGATAGGTGCCTAAGTACAAAGATTCATAGTCATAGATATTTCAAGAAAGTATGAAAGCAGTGCTTTGGATTGTGAGAGTACAGAAATCAGGTCATATTGAGAGCATTATGTGGGGCCATGTGTTGGAAGTTAGATAAATATATTTAAGCTTATTAAAAAAAAGAGTTGATCTGGTAAAAAGATCTATAAGACAACATTACATCCTTCCTGGCATGCAGAGAGTGGCTGAATTTTTCTTGCATTTTTCCTTCAGCCCATGACCCTCCTAAATGGCACAAACAAAAAGGCATCCTAGGTGTGTTCTTTGTCATGTAAAACATCCCCCACTGACTCCCTGTGGAATGAAAGGCATGCACTCAGGGGAGTGTGCACACCTGCAGTAATGAGAAGGATTAAGGCAAACAAGTGAACCAGAAGTCACTGATACTTCACTTGAGACAGCACTACACAAACTTCACAGTCTACTCTGTTTCTTGATTATGCTTTATGGAATCTAATTATAACATAAGCCTGAAATTTCTGACCAATAGGCAATTAAAAGATTGTGCATGACCCCATGAACTATTGTTTTTGAGTATCTACTATAAGCCTATTATTGAGCTAGAAGACTTTACATACTCTTTTAGGTCTTCTCACCTACCTCACCACCAGTAAGGTAGTTATATACATTTTACATAGAATTTTTAAAGTTCTCTGGATTATACAGAATCTATAAAGCCAATAATTTTCACATAGGTAGTTGAACTACACCATCGATTTATGCGATTATGAATTATTTAGCTAAAGACTGGACAATGGGCTCCCTAGTATAGTTCCACAAGGATTGATCTTTTGGAGTGACAAATAACAGCTTTACCTAGCATGCATCTCAAAATTTAATACAAGGAGATTAACGTATTGACAAAATAGCTGTGGTCTCTTTCACTTGGGTACTTCGTCTTATACATTTTTAGAAATAAGAAAAACAGAGTTATTTTGAATTAAAGCTGGCCTTGATTTTATCTTTTCTGCTTTTTCTATGTATGTAATTTTTAAAAAAAAATAAAAATCACCTTCATGGAACTAGTTATTTCTGCATTATATGGCTTTGTGTATTTTGCCTTTTGTGGGTTCTGAATCTTTAAATGAAGCATGCATTCTTGTATTACTTAATCACAGAAATGCAATTTGAGTGTTACGAAGCTCAGAAAGATTCTACAGACATCTCAAAACTGTCATTCTTTTACAGACAAACCTCCCTGAGAAATACATCATTGAGTTATTTGTATTAGGTACTTATTCATAGTAATACTCAAAACTGCGTATCTATTAAAAAGCTTACAGCAGCTGCTACAGTACACGGAATTTCTCTTTTAGCATTTTAACTCATTTTTTTTCCTTTGAGTGTCCTTGAAGTTTTAAAAATAATACAAATTTCATAAAGTATTTTACAGTCAGTATTTTTAAACTCTGTTTTCGTTTGACCCTTGAGTGATATTATAGCTCACTCTCTTAGTGGATGAAATGAAGGAAATGTGCTCAATATAATGTATAAAAAGCAATGTATCTTTATCAGCAGAGTATGCACTTTGTCACTTTGCAAAATAGGAGGCATATCACTGTACCTGGACATACTTGACTCCCATAGCCATCCTAATCATCTTGTTTCATGTTCAAGGTGTAATATATGGTATCCACTAATCTATTCACTCATTTAATGGGCATGTATTGATCCCTGTGTGTAGGGTCAGGGATATAACAAACAAACAAACAAACAAACAAACAAAATTATGCTCTGCTCTTGAAGAACTCATCCTCATTGTTAGGATAAGAAAAGATACAATATAGTACAATACAATACAGTACTAATAAAATACAGCATTTTATCACTGATACAATTAATGATCCAATTGCCATCTCTAATAATAAAGATATGCCCAAAATCCTATTGGATCATAACCACAATTAAAATTAGCTACTTGGGGATGAGAAAAAAAAAATGAGAGATATGTCAGTTGAGTAGGGATGAGGAGAATGAGGTTAGTGATATAGATAATGTTTATTTTTTCTTTTTCTTTTTCTTTTTTGAGACAGGGTCTCACTCTGTCACCTAGGCTGGAGTGCAGTCGTGCAATCTCAGTTCACTGCAACCTCTGCCTCCTGGGCTCAAGTGATCCTCCCACCTCACCCTCCTAAGTAGCTGGGACCACAGGAATGCACCACGATGCCTGGTTAAGTTTTGTATTTTTTTCTGTAGAGATGGGATTTCACCATGTTGCCCAGGCTGGTCTGAAACTCCTGAGCTCATGCCATCCACTGACCTTGGCCTCCCAAAGTGCTGGGATTACAGGTGTGAGCCACCACACCCAGCGCAAAGACAATTTGGAGGAGGTTAGAATGAAACTAAGTGACCCATGCCAGGCTTGGGAGCTACCACCTCATTAGCAACATATAACTTCTTTGAAAACCTAATATGTGGTTTGGAACTGTGCTTGCAGATACAGTGAGAACCAATTGTCAGTCTATTTGGGCTACTATAGCAAAATGCTACAAACCTGGTGGCTTATATAATATAAAAATTTATATTTCACAGTGCTGGAGGCTGAGAAGTTCAAGATGAAGGCAGCAGCTGGTTCATTGTCTAATGAGGGCCCCATTTTCTGGTTCCTAAATGGTGCCTTCCAGCTTTGTCCTCACATGATGGAAGTGACAAGGTAGCTTGCTGGGCCCTCTTTCGTAAGGGGACTAATCACATTCTTGAGAGCTCCACCCTCATGACCTAATCACCTCCCAAAGGCCCCATCTCCTAACACCATCATATTAGTGATTGGGTTTCAACAGATGAATTTTGGGAAAATACAAACATTCATACTGTAGCACCAAGAATGTGCTATAAACAGCTGACTTCCACTCTACTGAAATGTGGCTCTGAAAATGGTTACATATGTTGCAGATTTAATGGAGTTTTCTCTTAAAACTGAGACTGTAGATGATGTCAGGATTTTCAGAATCAGATTTGATGTCTTCTCAAATAGCAGATGTAAAATCTGCTGTGAAGCTATGTTTTCCATTACGTATTCGGTTGATGTTGGATACACAGTTGTACTAGAATGTGCTACATATTGTGAAGCCATAAGCTGCTTCAAGGAACAAGTTTCTTTAGAAGGAAGTTCTAACAAGCAGTGGTAAATATGCAGCTATGTTATTTCCAAGGAATGTTGGTAATTTTTCTGCGTTTTAAAGGACTAGTCATGTCCAAAATTTGCAAACCTTACACATGTTTTTTTGTGGCATCTTGACTGGCCAGAGGACTTAATTTTATCTGAGCTTATTCACTATACATAGGGGCAGCATGAAATCAAAGAAAGAGTAAGATTTTGAAGCCAAATGTAATTGAATTTAAATATAAGCAATATAACTTAAGTGCTGCATGAACTTAGTCAAGTAACTTAATATACCTAAATTTAATTATTTCATGTTAAATAAATGAAAATAATATCAACTAATTATGTAGGCATGAGAATTTGCAATAAATATGTATACTGCTCTCTGTCACATAGCAGGTGTTCAGTTAATAGCATATGTAATGTATATGTGTATGTGTATATATATTATATATATAATATACAATGTATATATACATGTAATCCAATCATTAGTGGGTGTTTCTGATATGGAAAATGTTATCAGGTCCATAAAAATTACTGAGAAATTTAAAGATGTTCATGGAGGCTTATTATGCATCAAGCTCTATACTGATCTGGGCCTCTTTAAAATGAAGGTCTCATTGAAGAGAAAATCTCATGGGGGAATCAACAGACAACATATAAAATAATAAATATATAAATAAAGTACTGGGTGCTTTCATACAGGCTGTGAGCACAGCAGCTATTCAGATTTGAGAGAAATAATTGGTGATCAAATAAGTCAAAACATGGAATTTAGTTTTGAAGGACCTGTATTATTTAGCAAGAAAAGGGGAAATTAGACAATAGTTCCAAGATCACAAACAGATTCTTCAGGCTCAGTCAGCTTGGAAATTTTTTTATTTTTCCTTTGCATTGCTTTGTAAAATCTCTAAGCCAACCTTAAAAAATTGGGAAATATTGCCTAAAAATCAAGGTCTTTCAAAAAAATCAGAAGGCCTGGAAATGCTGAGATTATATTTGTTTATGGTAATACTGGTTGAGCTGACAAGCAGATGTCACATCAGTTGAAGCGTAAGTTCTCCAGGTCCTCATGGTCTCTATCCAGTATCCATTTCAATACCTGACTAGTTTCTGCCCTAAAAATACTTTCAGAGAAAAGAAAAAGGCGAAGATGGTGAGTTGAACTTTGTTGTGTCATTTGAGATGATCATTCAGCATACAAGGAGAAATATCTAATAACTCTAACTGGAGATTCAGGACTGAGGATTGAGGGCGAAGGCAGATCTGGAGAGGAAATTTTGAGAGTGAAACACAAAGAAATGGGAATTCAAAGCATGATAATAAAGAAGATTTGTAATACAGTTGTTCTTAAAGTGTGGTCCTGGGATCAGCTCATGCCCAGTCTCAGACAAACTGAATCAGAAACTCGGGGGTTGAGGCCCCAGATTTATAAGAAGCCACCCAGATGTTCCAATGCACATTACATTTTGAGAATTATTACTGTAGTGGATATTGTAGCACCAAAACTCAACTGGACTGAGGATTCAGCTTGTCTACACACACTTTCTGGAACATGATGGAAGAGAAGGGGTAAGTGATGGAGATAAGGGAAAAAGTACAGGCAAGAAAAAAAGAACCAGATGAAGGTAATGCATGGATCCCAGGGAAAGGATATTTCAAGAGGAAGCTATTTAGGAGGTCAAATGGTGCCAAGAAGTCAATGCTAGTAACTGAATATTTTTACCAATTAGAAAGTTACTGTTCACTTTTCAAAGTATTGTTCCAACAGAAGTCAGTGTTTAGGAATTAAGCAGAAACTGGATAATACAAAGAAAGAAGTAGCTTGAGTAGAGCAATCATTCAAGAAAAGTCTGGCAGTAAATGAAAAGAGAGACACCCTATGATAACCAGTGTATGGATGGAAAGGATTTGCACATGTTTAAGGGCAGGCAGAGGGGAAAGAGCCCTGGCATTTGGGAAAAAGCATGTACATTTCAGAGAAATATAGGTGATAGATAGGGGAACAGGTCACAGACATCACAGGGATGAATACCAATTGGGGAGAAAAGGAGAAGCAGGTCTTCTTTTGAGACAGGAGAATGGCAGGTGGCACTAGAGCTGAGAGGCAACAAGTGTTGGCAGAGCCTGGACTCTGTAGCTGGTCTGTCTGAGATTGGATCCTGCTTTTGCTACTTCCTAGTCATGTGACCCTGGGAAAGTTACTTACCCTGTGGCTAGCTCAGTGTCCTCATTTGTAAAATGTAGTTAGACATAGTGCCTCCCTCATGGGTTTGTTGCAATGACTAACATGAGTTGAAAAATGTAGAGAACTTAGAAAAAGGGCTAGTGTCTAGGAAGTGTTATAAAAGTAGGTGCCAGCTAAATGAAACACAGTGGGGTGGAGATGAGAGGCTTTGAAAGGGATACCCATGAATTCCTGAGAGACCTTTAAAACCTCCAAAATCTGAAAGCCACTTACATAAGAACTTGAGAATTGATACTACATGGTTAGGTTCTAGAAGGCAAATGGTTCTGGAGATGGGGTACTGTTCAAGATCAACTATGCATGAACAAATGAGAAGTTGATGGCAGTGAGAACCAAGAAATGGTCAAGATGTGGTCAACCAGGTATAATGGCTTTCTTGGGTGATGGCCAGGAAAGGAGACAATAGAAAACAGGGTTGAATAGAGGTACTGAAGTAGAGCGGTGGATCCTGGTGGAAAGATTAGGAGGGACAAGCATATGGGAAGGTAGTGGAGACAGCATTCAAGTGGCCTGGAGAACAGTCTGAGCAAGTAACTAGGTATTGGCAGAAGGAGACTGAGTGAGTGAAGAAGAAACTGTGAATTGACTTGGAGTACAAATTAGAAAGCATAAATGCTAAATCATGTGCTTCCTTGGGGCCTCTAGAAGCATTGAACGGGGACATACTGGCTCTATCAAATGGTCATTAGATACTAGTGTCTGAGTTATTATTTTATGCTATACAGTAAATGTATAGGTAATAAGGGAGGGTTTAATAAGAGAAAGGAATCAATTTTAACATGTCACACATTGTGCTAGGAGTTTTAATACATACTATTTTATTTCATTTTTACAGTTGCTATAGAAAACAGAACATAGTAATCATACAGATCAAGGAACAGGTGCTGAGGGGTTGAGTAATTTGCCCTAGGTCATGTGGGTGGGAGAGTTCAGATTCAAGTCTATATTAATTGATTCTAAACCTCATCCTCTTTCTATATTAGTTGGCCAAATATTAAAGAATGTTAAATATGCTGAAATGCATTGGAATCAGTTGTAGAAGGTACTCAGATGCATGTGAGGTTTCTGACTCTATTGGTATGGAAATCCCTTTCTCATAAACTTTCGCTAAGGTGACAGGTTATATATATCCCCAAATTACATAACCCAACTATATAACCTAAAGCATAACCCAAGAGTTACTAATTCTGAGAACCAGCAAATAAGTGATTTTCTTTTGATTTTAGAACTTGAAAGTATGCATTTTTGGTCTGCTATTTTTGTGCCAGATTTACATCTATTTCTAATTAAAGAACAAGGAAAGGCACAAACCAGTTACTAATCATTATCTGCTTGCCATTTTTCCTCACAAGATTTTCACTGTAATTCAGTCAAACTACTACTTAGCAACTAGTTATTTCAAGTGGCAGAAGAGATTTACATAGGCATTGCCAATGTTTTCTTTGGACTTTGTTTCTAGAAGGTATCTGAAAGCAAATTTCAAAACAGCTATACTTGAGTTGTAAGTTGTTACTATATTGGCTAAATGAGGAATATCATCAGGCAAAACTCTGAAAAAGTACACAGTCTACCATTTTCTTTCTTTCTTTCTTTTTTTTTTTTTTTTTTTTTTTTGAGACGGAGTGTCGCTCTGTCACCCAGGCTGGAGTGCAGTGGCACGATCTCGGCTCACTGCAATCTCTGCCTCCCAGGTTCAAGTGATTCTCCTGCCTCAGCCTCCTGAATAGCTGGGATTACAGGTGTGCACCACCACGCCCGGCTATTTTTTGTATTTTTAGTATAGACGACGTTTCACCACGTTGGTCAGGCTGGTCTCGAACTCCTAACCTCGTGATCTACCCACCTCGGTCTCCCAAAGTACTGGGATTACAGACGTGAGCCGCCGCCCCCAGCCTACCATTTTCAATTTAAAGTATTATATGAAGGAAAATTTATTTGAAGTTTTAAAAGTAGTTCTCCATATCGACAGAAAGTTCCCTTAGTCGAGATCGAGACCATCCTGGCTAACACGGTGAAACCCTGTCTCTACTAAAAAAAATACAAAAAAATTAGCCGGGCTTGGGGGCGGGCGCCTGTAGTCCCAGCTACTCGGGAGGCTGAGGCAGGAGAATGGCGTGAACCCTGGAGGCGGAGCTTGCAGTGAGCCGAGATCGCGTCACTGCACTCCAGCCTGGGCGACAGAGCAACTTCGTCTTAACAAAAAAAAAAAAAAAAGAAAAAAGAAAAAGAAAGAAAGTTCCCTTAGTCTCTGGAGTATTGCAAATAACAAACCACATTCTTTGCTGTTTGTGTGTTAGTCTTTTGGAGCAGTGGTTCTCAAAGCACCATCAGCAGTATCAACCTTACCTGGGATCCTGTTAGAAATGCAAACTCTCCAGGCCCACCTCTTTATCTACTGAGTCAGATTTCTGGGGGTGGAGTCTAGCAACCTGTGTTGATAAGCCTCCTAAGAGGTTCTGCTGCCCGTTAAACATGGAGAACCACTTACTTTGAGTATATCAAACTCGAAATGCTGTTTGTAGCCCTAGGTTCCTGGTGAAGCTCTTTGTAGCATGAAAATAGAAATTTGCTAAGTAGTAATACACTGACGTGAAAAAAGACTCATTTTTTTAACAATTGTTTTTCTAATCTCTAAGACATATAAAAATCATTCCTCATTGACAAAATATTGCCCCTTCTTCAAACACTTCCTCTTCTAGGAACTTTTCTCCAAATCTCCCAGCTAGATAATCTTATTTTGTGTTCTTTGTAAGGTATTAGCCCGAAATAGTATGTTAATAAAAGACGTTTTAGTTTGCACAATAGACATGTAAAGTTTACTTGGTGTGGATGCATGATCACAGTTTGATTATCTCTCCGGGGAAAGAAACACTGCCCAGATTACAAGACCAAGGACCAGGTTCTGGATTATTTGTTGTCTGCTCTTTGTAACACTGTGAGACTTCTAGGCTTCTGTTATCATACACAAATGTTAGATGAGAAAGAGCTTGAAGGTCTTAGGTAAGAGCTTGGAAGGGACAAGTGCAAAATCATTGAGCAAAGCATTTTAGAAAGGTGTCTTGTCTGATGAATCCTCTCACCTCTGTTCTTTTTGCAAAGCTCAGGAGGCCTTGGAGAGAAGATTATTGTGTTAGTTTGTTAGAACTGCCATAACAAAGTACCACAGACTGGGTGGCTTCATGAAAATATATTTTCTCACAGTTTTGAAGTGGGAAATACAAGATCAAGGTATTGGCACCATTGCTGCTTCTAAAGCCTTTCTCTTTTTCTTGTAAATGGCTGCCTTCTCTCTACGACTTCATATGGTCTTTTTGTGCCTGTCTCTGCTTATAAGGACAACAATCATATTGGATTCGGGCCTATCGTATAACCTTATTTTACCTTAATTACCTCTTTAAAGGCTCTGTCTCCAAATACAGTCACATTCTGAGGTAGTGAGGATTACAATTTTAACATATTAATTTTGAGGGGACAAAATTCAGTCCATAACAATTATGCATGACTTTGATGACCCATTTGTAGATTGAACTTGTTAAAACTTCAGAATATAAATGGGTTGTAAACTTGTAGGTGAAACGTGGCTGATGTATTCCATCAGAGAGATAGCCCTACAACATTCCAACTGGGTCCCTAAAGCTACAGATATGCTCCATTACCATCCTCAAATGCCAAAGAATGAATGAGCCATCTAGAAGTAGGCAAACAACCACATTTGCTAAAAGGCTAATGTTTCATCCATTAAATAAATGTGATACCTTTTTCTAGTCTGGTATCAATATAGAAGGCATGTGAAAAATGAGTTAGCTGAGAGTTAATTGACTGCGGAGACTCTATTTTCAGTCTCTGCCTGTATTTTTTGAATTAATATACACAGTGGGTGATTCAGCAAAAGGGTTTAAAAATAAATTCTTTATTGAAGGATCCCACCAATTTGATGTCTTCATAATTCATGAAGAGTAGACCCATAATAACTCTATTTTCTCTTCAGCTTTGAAAATAAAAGATGCCATTAGTTTAAATTAGGCTTGTATGTGGAATAATCAAGTGTATCAACAAATATAGTTTGACTCAGATGCTGTTTAAGAATAAATGCCAGAAAAGAACTGGCTATTTCTCTTAAAAAATTAAATATGAAAATTGTATTGACAAGCTAGGGTGAAAGTGTTTTAAAAAGTTGATAGACAATATATACATTTATAAAATTATGAAAACTCAAAAATGTAATAAGCAAATAGTTACTGTAGACTAGCTACTCTTTTAAAGCATACTCTTTAGAATATAAAGAAAATAGAATATAAGAAATATCATTAGAGACCTGGCTGTATTTGAATATAAAGAAAATGTCATTAGAGACCTGGCTATATTTGTAGAATACATGAGCACTCAGGATAGTTGGTGAATATGTAGGTATGGGGTTGCCAAAAAGCATCTTTGCAATGCTGTATTAGGGAGTTCCTACTTTGGCTAGAGAAGGCCCACATAGAAAGAACTATAGTGTAAAATATATTTACTTCATTTATTTATTTCCCTTGAAAAGTTCAAACCCCCAAGGAAGTAGACTGTGGATAGTATTTTATCTCCTCTAGCTGTAAGAAATGAAAGGATAGATAAGTGAATTGGATTTGTCTGAAAGCTTCTGGAGTCAGGAGGCACATGGGACTTGTGCTCAGGTGTCTATTTCCAGGCATTATTCAGCAATTTGGTCACATAATTTTCTCTAATATTAGATTTCTGCTTCCAATGGTGGGTGGCATAGTTGAAGAAAGAACTTTATGAAGACATAAGGTCTTGATCTAAACCCTAAGAAGGGAAAGAGTAAGTAAATGAGGTTATATACCTGAAGGCATACTTTTTTACTTCAGAAATTTTTATTTTCCTTCGGAGTGTATAAAATCATGTACTTTTAATCTGCAGAGTAGTTTTCATTCTAATCTACTAGTATACTTTGATAAAAGCATAATTTCATAGGTATATTACATTCGTGGGTCTCGTGTTTATGGTGGTTACGTCTTTAAAAAAAATCTAAACCTTATTTATCTACATCAGTTGTTGACTTTGCAGATCACAGAGAATACAGAGCCAGTCATGCAGAAAGTACCTGTTTGTCATCCTGAGAGTTCAGACATGAACTGTAACCAGTGGCCCATTAAGTACCTTCTCTTGTTGTTTAAAGCATATCCTAGCTTTGCAAATTAATTGTTAATGCAGAATGTTGTAACGGAGCCATGGAATGAAATTCCTGTTACTCCAGTCATAGTAGATGTTGCGTCAAGTACTCTGAGTTGTGTTCCATTGTTTTGTGATTCTGTGCTGTCGGAAAGTCTGGCCTAGAGAGTGTTTAGAAATAAGGAAATCAAGAAATAGTATGGTTTGCTTTTTTGGACTCTGTGTGTGATTTTCCATTGATAGTAATATTGTAATAATTTCTGAGAAATAAAATTCTTTTTCTTTGTTTATAAAAAAGTTACTTGTCAAAATACTCACAAATGCTTTCCATAAGAAAACATTTAACATTTTTTGCTGTAAAAGTGATTACATATACTACATTTAATGCAGTAGAGGACATTCTTGTAATATTGATACAGTAGGACAATATGCATGCCATTGACTATTGTTAACAGTCCAGTTGTGAGATGAAATCCACTATGAAACACAGTAATGTTTAATTTCATATTTAAGACAGAGCTAAATTTCAGTTTAGAAGGTTCTTATATAAAAATTTCAGGAACACCTTTATAAACCAATTAAGAAGGATTTTTGTCTTAAGGGTTTATGTGCCTGGTGTAAGATAGTTATACCTGATCTAATTTTTCTTTCTTTTTCTGATTTTTACTTCTCACATATTGTATTAATGGTGCTTGGTGTGGAAAAAAAAGATGCAGTGACATTTTCTTCTCTTATCCCTTATTTTCTACTCTAAGATACATATAATTTTGCAAATATTTATTTACCTTAATAGCTCAAACCTAGCTAACATTACAGCTAGTTAATGGGTATGATTGTAGGTACGATGAATCATTGTCTAGTAAAGAGACTGTTCAAATATGATTTTATTTTACTGGTTATTTTCCCAACAGAGAGACTCTTGGGGTGAAATAGAGCTCCAAAAAGAGTGTTTTGGGGGAGATGGGAAAGGGAGGATTGGGAGTTTTTAAAGGGAATAATCTCGTGTGGTAATAGGCATGAGGTAATAGTCATTTTGATAATATGAAACAAACAAAAAAGCTTCGAACAGGTGAGTATCTGTACAACTAGGTAGAGTGAGAACATAATGAAATCCCTAACATTTAAAACTAACGATGTAAACTGTAAATGTAATTATCTTTTAGCAAATAACTTTACATGTCAATTTTCTCAGTGGAATTTTTTGACAGTCTAAGTAGTAATGTTTGAAGCTTTGGGGACAGAATCTTTACCCCCTTCCACTTCTCATCATTCTCAGAGAATGCCGAGGGCTGGAGACATTTTTATATAGCTGATAGCAGGGAGAGCATCATTGGAAGAAGAGCTAACATTAATAATACTTACTCTGTGTCGGCCACTGTCCTCAGCACGTTAGGTAAACCCCATTTTACCTTCACAAAAAGCCTATAAAGAAGACAATATTATCCTCATCTTATATACTTACAAAAATATTTATATCATTACAAATAATTCAAATCATTATTTAAATAAATGTATTTATATTATTATAGATGATCAAATGATGCAAAAAGCACATATTACTTACTTAGCCAACCAAATATACCCAGGCTAAATTAGGATTTGAACCATGATAGTTTGGTGTCTCCGTATATTCTTTTAACTACTATATTACATTGCTCCTGGAGCCTAATATAGTGGATTCCCAAAGACATAAATGTTGATTGAACTAGGAGATTTGACATATTTAGCTTCTCATTTTTGCAGATGAAGAAACTGTGTCTTAGTGAAGTTGGGTTAAACTCTGCAGTGTTACAACACAAGGTGAGAGTCAGAGCTGGATGCAAACCCTGTTCAGTCTAGCACCAAGGTCCATGCTTTCTTCCATGAATCCACAGAGTGCGATTTACTGTGATCACAATCACATGTGATCCTCTTTTGGCTGCCTGTGACAGCCTGACAAGTTTATTTTTGAAGCTCAACCCATTGCTTACATAGGGAAGAACATTCCTAAGTTATAAAGAAGAACTGGTGAAAGGACATCATCCAGGTGTGAAATGGGAATCCAGAGCTTGTTTTCTTGGTTTATGCATGCTCAGTTGTGTGTGCCCCGATGTTCATTAGAGTGTTTTAAGTGTCTTCAATGGGTTACAATAACATGGGTTTTTTTCTCTCTCTCTCTTTCAGGTATGGAAAAATTGTATCTACAAAGGCAATTCTTGACAAAAACACAAATCAGTGCAAAGGTATGTGTAAGGGCATCCGTACCCTGAAATCTTGCCTATGCTATCTGATTAATGGTTCTTCCATTGTGGAGGTCCAGGTACCAGCTGCACAATGATCACAATGCATAGTATGGAAAACCTCTTTAATGATGCCAATGTTTTGATAAGTTGTATTTCTAGTAACATTGCTCATTCATTTTTTTCATTAACAAACAAAATGAAAATCACAAATCAGAACAAGTATCAAATTGCTTCAGCATAAAACTAAATTACCTCCTAACAACTTTGGGGTGTCTGATGTGAATGATATCATCAGTGATGCAAATTGATTTCCTATATAAAAATGAGGAACTCTGGGGAAAACTTCCCCATGCAAAACACATTTTAATTTCTCTGTTCTTTAAAGCTTTAGCAACATTGGTTGACTATGAATAAATTTACTGATGGGCCTATTGTATTAAGCTTCAGCTATAAGCATCTCAGGGATTTCAGAGTTGGTATCTTATTAAGACAGGCTTTTGGTTTTCCTGGAAATACTTCTGAAGTCATTGGACTATATCTGTGGCTCATGTTTCTTCATGTCTGGGAGTCCTATATTCTTTTAAAATTTGCATTAGATTAATTGTGGAACCTGTATGGTCTCTCTTGCATGACTCAGTTCTTACTGGAAAATTGGAATGCTTCTTGTAACATGCTGTTTGTTGTTCCTTTAATCTAATCTTTGTTGTAACACTGAAATCAAGAAGTATAGCACAGCCACGTTCATTCTAAACACTGCCTCTATTTCATATACAAACATAATGTGCACAAGTTTTAGGAAAGAACACTCAGAAACTCCTGTATATGTATCTCCTCACCTACTTGCATAATGGTAGTCAGATTCAATTCAGCAATTAAAAAAATAAAAACATTCCACGTCTTCTATAAACTCAGAAATGAACTACATATTACAAGACAAAGAATAATATGACATGATTTCTTCCACCTCATAGATTCAAGTCCTAGTTAAAAAGACACCAAGAAAACCAAGAAACTAATTCTAATATCCTTATTAGGATTACTATATCACCTTAATATATGTGAGGGTGTAACAGCGGTATCTAAAACAGAATTATCGACAAACCACTGTTAGAGGAGAACATAGAGATTTCTTTTTGGGAAATGAAGTTTATAAAGTCAAGGTAGAATGGGTGAGCTTGGGACAGGTGGATGTTCAGGAGAGAGAATTTCAGAATGTAATTGAGTAGACCCACGTAGCTGTAAAAAAAAAAAAAAAAAAAGTACTGCTGGGCGCGGTGGCTCACGCCTATAATCCCAGCACTTTGGGAGGCTGAGGAGGGTGGATCATGAGGTCAGGACTTTGAGACCAGCCTGGCCAACATGGTGAAACCCTGTCTCTACTAAAAATACAAAGATTAGCTGGGCACGGTTGTAGGCACCTGTAATCCCAGCTACTTGGGAGGCTGTGGCAGGAGAATCGTTTGAACCCAGGAGGCAGAGGTTGCAGTGAGCCGAGATTGCGTCATTGCACTCCAGCCTGGGCTACAGGGCAAGACTCCCTCTCAAAAAAAAAAAAAAAAAAAAAAAGTACCAGTGAGGACAGAAACAAGAAAGGGGTTAAAATTGTGTAGGTTTTTAAATGATATCCTGGATATTTTAAATTTAAAATTTAATTTAAAATTAAATTTAATTTAAAATTAAAATTTAAAATTTTGAGCAGACAAAATATGATTCTGCAGGTGTTTCGTAATGTTATTTCAGCAAAGGTGTGTGAAATTGAAATATAAAGGGAGGGAGTGGAAACAAAAAAAAATGTAGGCTTTAAAGCCATAGTACAATAGAGAAATTAGAAAAAAATCAGCTTAACTATTACTATTAGGGTAATAGGAAGGGGTTCACCATGAAAGTTTTTAAAGGTAGAGTTGGCTATTGACTCTAACAGTGAAAGAGAGGAATGTATGAAACAAACCCTACATACATGTTGAGTCTTCTGATTGGGAAAGATGCCTGTGCCTCTTGGTGAGGTAAGAAGTCCAGAAGTAGTAGTAGTAGGTTTTGGGGAGAAGGTGTTGGACATGCTGAGTTAGAGTCTCTGGCATGGCAACCATGTGGAAGATGTCAAAGAGGAAATTGTAAGAAAGCCCAGGGCTACAGATGCTGACTGAAGTCAAAGGAATAGATAAGATTACCAAAGAATAATGTGTAGAAGGGGAAATGGAGTGGAGTGAATTAGGGTGGGCAGTTGAGAACTTGGAGAACATTTGAGAAGAAAGCTGGGCCATGGCCAAGGGATGTTCTGTCACTCTTGGCCTGTGGGAAGCATGTGGCATGTTAGAAGCATTAGAATGCGAATTATAGTGCATCTAGACCTGCCCAACCCATATACAAAGTCTTGGGTCAGACAGTTAATAATATTAATCAAGCACCAATCAGAAGCACAAATACTGCACAGGTAAGCAACACCTGGAAACCTCAATAGATAGACTCATAACCGGAGCGGTCAATATGAAGGGATACTTCCTTATGCAGAGTTTTGCTCAAGCATGCTGATATCTGTTGTCACAGTACAACTCTGAAGACCACGAAAATGTAAATTGCCAACATGCAAAAACTGTACCCTTCTATAACTGTGAAGGTTTGAAGAAAAAGGGATGTAACTAAAAATGGGCGGTCAGGGTCTCCATAAGCAAATTATATAGTGGGAGCGTGGGTGCTTATCAGGACAAATTATACTATGGGTATCCTTATCCTTACATCAGCTCCTAAAATCCCTATCCACGCTATTTTGCAACAGCTTATTTAATTTTCTGTTTCTGTAGAGAGATTCCTAAAATCAGTGGAAACAGGGCCTGTGTGCTATAGAAAACTTACCTCCAAAGTGGGATGTGTGAAGGGTGATACAAGACTGTTTATTGGAGAGGCTAAAAGAAAATATTAGAATTTACATCTCTCTTTGTTTTTTATATCAACTTTTTGTGAACATTACATATTAATATAATCTTACAAATACATAGATTTTAAATAAATATGAAAATGTTGAGTTTGCTGCTTCAAAATACTTTTATCTCTAGTGATATGAATACTGGTCTCACCAATAAATATGGAAGAAGAAAAGGAGTAAGAGAAGGAGGTAAAAAAGGAAGGAAGAGAGGGAAGGAGGAAAGACGGGGCTGTGGAACAGCCTAGGAAAATCACTTAAAGAAAGGCATCTGTAAGAAATTGGACAGCGGTTAGGCCGGGCGCAGTGGCTCATGCCTGTAATCCCAGCACTTTGGGAGGCCAAGATGGGCGGATCACAAGGTCAGGAGATCGAGACCATCCTGGCTAAAACCGTGAAACCCTGTCTCTACTAAAACTATAAAAAATTAGCCGGGCGTGGTGGCGGGTGCCTGTAGTCCCAGCTACTTGGGAGGCTGAGGCAGGAGAATGGCGTGAACCCAGGAGGCGGAGCTTGCAGTGAGCTGAGATCGTGCCACTGCACTCCAGCCTGGGTGACAGAGCAAGGCTCAGTCTCGAAAAAAAAAAAAGAAATTGGACACCATTTAGACCGTTTGCCCTGAGGGTAATACGAAGAAGGCAAAGTGATCGTGTGTCCATTATATGCTTATAAAAGCCTCCCATTGCCTTGCTTATCCTCAGCATGTAGAGTCTCTGCTTAGCAGTGGTGAGTGAATCACAACCTTCATCAAGCACATCATGGGGGAGGTGCCCTGTAAGTCAGCAAATCATGATCAAAAATATACTACTATCCCTTTCATGTTTTTAGAAAAATACTATTTTAATGATATGCCGATGTATATTAGAGTATTTTCCTTTCAAAAAATAGACCTTGACATAGATATGAGAAGATATGATTAGAAAGACAGCAATTATAGAAAATTGTGTATAATTGTTCATGATGACCAAGGGAATAATAGGAGAAAGATATGAGGTCATGGAAAGGTTCAAGGAACTGATAAGAACGAGTATTGAAACAATCGTCTAAATGTTTATTGGAATTGCCAAGAAATGAAACAGGAGTTGTATTAGAAAAAGTGACTAATCCAGAAAGTATCTGCGGAGAAATAATGGGATGGGAAATGATACTAGGGATCTGTAGACCATGATGAAAATGAAGACTAGTTGGTTATAAAATTTGATGATGTGAGATTCTAAATGGGAGATTTTAGGTAGGGGAGAAACCATACTGAGAAAGGAGGAAAGTGGACTACCACTTACAGGTCCAGTGGGAGGAAGGATATGGGAGAAAAAAAAAGAAACAAAACTCAAACTTGAGAGGGCTACAAAGGAAGTAGTGTCCTCAGGGTAAGTTAGGTAGTGATGGGAAACATGCAAATTAAAGCAATATGCAGTGATAGTTTATAACCCCTGAAGTAGCAAACATTATAACATGTAGGCCATTCATGCTGTTCACTCTGAAACTGGTTCATCCATTCTTCATTGGTACCATGCTAAATCGGTACAGCTTTTTTAAAGTCAGTATGGAAACAGCAATAAAGAGCATACAGTTGAAACTAGTTAGTCTGTTGAGAATATTTATTCAAATATGTTATCTAAACATATGTTTTAAATTATGTATCTACGTACAACTTTGAGCACTCTCGTTTTCCTTACTAGGAAAAAATATAGGAAGCATCCAAATTCTAGCTTATGGAGCATATACAACTGTTATGTAGCTGTTAAAATGGTAGTCATAAAGACTAGATTATGCCAAGCCTAGAAAAATGTTTATTATATGAAGTTAAATCAATATAAAGGGATATAAAATAATGTGTACACTGAACATGGAGCTATGTAAATATTTGAGAGTCAGGATCAGTGTGGTTATGACTGTGGTAGATCCAGGCTGCCTGGGTTGAACGCTGCCTCTTCGCTTAGTAGCTGTGTGACCTGTGGTAAATTAGTCAACTGCACTGTGCCTTCTGCAAGGTAAGAACATCAGCAAAGTAATAACAGAGCCTCACTCACAGTGTGTTGTGATGATTAACAAAGTTAATACATGGAAAATGTTTGACGATATCTCCTGTTACTTTTGTATAAAATACTGGCAATATCAAGCAAGACAAAAATGTTTGTTTTAACATGGTGGGCTTATGGGTGATATATTATTATTATTATTATCTTAACATTTCTCCAAATCTGTTCTGTTTTTTTGGGCAAGAAAAAAATACAGCTCTTGGAAAAATTAAGCTGGTTTTAATTATGTTTATATTTTGATTGTTCTTTCTATGGAACCTGAGTAACTCATGACTGTATGGTTCTTCGTTTTTGTAAAATAATTCCAGATGAAAATAGTGAAGAATTAGGAGAGAATAACATGTTTTGCTTTTTAAAATAATAGGCAGAGATTGAGTACTTCTTGACCATTGCTTTATTTAGGAAAGAAATTACAGGATGTGTGAGGTGCCTTTTTCAAACAAAATCATTAAGAGCATCAAGACTGTCGTCATTAGAGGACACAAATTGGATTTGGTCTTCTCTGTGACACTTGGTTTTGAATCCTTTGCAACTTTATCTCCAGGCAAAGGCTATACAATTAAATCTAAACATTATGAACTGAAGGATTTGTTTATTTTTATTTTTAAAGACATGATAGTAATTCAATTCTTCATTAGCTGTTACACGTACAGCATATTGTGTGTAAGTTAGTCTTTACCAAGGTATGAGAAAGTCCATGAACTTGTCTCCTTAGAGATAAAAAGAAAAGGTATAAAAATTAACCTAATGCATTAAACCAACAGAATTGAATCCTATTTTAGCATTTAAAAGAAAAGCTTTTATGCTCTCCTGAATCCCACCCACACCCTGTAAGTTAGGGACAGTAGTCAGGCCTAGGTAAGCTTACTCACTTTTTTATTCCGGAAGGGGTTATCAGGAACTTTCAACATAACCTCTCGTTTTCAAGATTATTCTTTCTTGGGTGGTGGCTGCATCAGCTTTCATTCCGTATAATATGACAACATACAACAAAGCAGTCACCATCAAGCCAAAATGACCAGAAATTGCTGAACAAAGCGAGTAACAGCTCCAGATGGGGAGTAATGAAAAACAGACCACAGTTCTCATTCAGATATTCAAACACAAGGACTAAATAAGAGCTATTGTACAAGACACAGAGATTTGCACTGCATTTTTTGCTTGTTTGGCTTTTGTTTTCCCCCATGTGTTTTCCTTCTGGATCAGTGTATTTGCTAAATTAAAAAGTCAGGGAAAATTAAATGAAAGCTATTGGAAACAAGGTGTAAATCTTAAAAGAATTCACTTGTCTATGCCTTCCTGCTTTTGAAGGTTGGTTTCCCTTTTCTCCCTGCACCCACCAGCCTTACCACCATCATATTTCCGACAGGCTATATGTTTAGAGTAGAGGGAATGAGTAATGGATATTCCGTAGAAAGTTTCCATGCCTATTAACCATAGGATATAAGAGTAGATAGAGTGTGCCAAACATACCAGCTCACTTCTGAGGGTTTGAAATACTCTCTTTTGCCTTTGTTGTCACAGGCTGGTTAAATTATATTTATGGAGCTTATGTTACCTTTGACATAACATTGAGCCCTTAAAATCAAAATTGGAGACAAGTATCCAAAAGTTCTGAAATCATCCATGAAGGATATTCATTCATTCATTCATTATTAAATAAAATCATAAATTGTTATTTCTTCTATAAGAGAAATAATTCTGCATATGACACTTATTTTATAGAGAGGATTTAGAGCCCATCTAGATTGTCTCAGAGAGTGGTGTGACTTTGTTACTGGACTGAATCCATTTAGCAGTTCTAAACTCACAATCATGTTATACATTTTGAAAGTATTTCTAGGTGAATAAATATTAGGCCATACACTTGGATGACTTTGGAATTCATCAATTTTATTTTACTTTTCTTGTTTATGCACTGATGGAATATTTATACATGTGAGGGAAATACATATTTCTTTCTTTTTTTTTTTTTTTTTTTTTGAGACATAGTCTTCTTCTGTCACCCAGGCTGGAGTGCAGTGGTGCGATCTTGGCTCACTGTAACCTCCACCTCCAGCAATTATTCTCCTGCCTCAGCCTCCCGAGTAGCTGGGATTACAGGTGCGCGCCACCATGCCCCATTAATTTTTTTTTGTATTTTTATTAGAGACAAGGTTTCACCATGTGGGCCAGGCTGGTTGAACTCCTGACCTCAAGTGATCCACTTGCCTCGGCCTCCCAAAATGCTGGGATTACAGGTGTGAGCCACTGCGCCCGGTCAGAAATACAGATTTCTGTGTTGAACCCCCTGAATCTGGAAGGAGGGCAGGATATTATATTTTGTTATATGTTTAGGTAGAGTAATTACAGGACATGAGGTATCCTTTACCTATGGATTAGTTTTAACAAGTGACACTGACATGCATTTGTGGTGAAATGTTTAAGTGGAACTATTTAACTCTGGCGGATAACAGACATTTCCAGGGCTGGTCCACATGGAAATCAAGCAAGTAAAGGAAGAAACCAACACCATGGAAAGCCTCTTTTCTAGTACCTTTATTTCTTGAAAGCAGTGGAAACTAAAATAAATGTTCTGTGAAATTTATGAGTGTGAGGAATTACATTTTGAGAAGAATAATCACCTCCACCAGGTGGGCTCACAGTCTATTGAGCAAGAAGCTCATGAGAAGCAAAATGGCTTGAAAAACACATTTATTCAATTTTCATATAATGGGATTAGGTATACCCCGCCCACATCAAAAAAAAAAAAAAAAAAGAAAAAAAGAAAAGACAAAAAAAAGTTATATTTTAAATTATATTTCTCTTTGGAATATGAAGTGTGTAATATTTCCCTAGCCTTTTTTTGTGAATTTTACTCTAATCTACTCTAGTATTAAGTTTACCACCAGTCATAGGTCATCAATATATAAACTTGAAGGTTTGCTTTATTTGATTTTGATATTGGCTTTTGTTTTCATTTCAGAAAAGGTTAGCATATGCAGGAACTTTGGAACCTTCATTAGTGCATCAAGTTTACTCAGAATTGTCCTGTAGGTACATTTTACGTAGAATTTTTATCCTGTGACTCTTTTAAGAAAATACCAATTTTTCTTGTCTTACAGCCAAGTTCGGAAAGAATATCCACTTTGATGGTAAATGGTCTTTATTTGTTGTCTACAACCCAACCAGACAACTACAACTAAAGGCAATACTTCTGCCAAAAATTAGCTTTCCAAACTTATTATTTCCAATATCAGGATATTAATTATGTTATGATTATTTAGTGTTAACTTTGAGAAGTCCTTGATATAAATGTAAAACAAAATAGGTATTTATGTTTTGGAAGTCATACAGCTACACGTTTTTCAGCAGGTTTTATAGCTATATATTTACTCAGCATTTGCTTGTAATCACTTAATATACATATTAGACAAAAGTAAAATTATCCACTAACATGAAATATAACATCAGCATTGCTGTTTTAAGCATCAACTTGTGTTCAATAGCCTTTAGTATTGTAACCTACTTCCCTAATGCTTTTGTACATGCAGAACGTGCAGAAATGATTTTATTGGGAAAACTTTTTTTTTTTTCTTGTTTTTTGAGACAGAGTCTCACTCTGTCACCCAGGCTAGAGTCTCGGCTCACTGCAACCTCCGCCTCCCGGGTTCAAGTGATTCTCCTGCCTTAGCCTCTCAGGTAGCTGGGACTACAGGCGCATTCTACCATGCCTGGCTAATTTTTTGTATTTTTAGTAGAGACGGGGTTTCACTGTATTAGCCAGGATGGTGTTGATGTCCTGACATCATGATCCGCCCGCCTCAACCTCCCAAATTGCTGGGATTACAGGCATGAGCCACTGCGCCTAGCCTGGGAAAACATTTTTAAAATAATTGTTGAGGAATATAAAACAGCTTAAAAATAAAATGATAGAGTTACATTACTTTCACCCGTAAACCGAATGTTACTTTTACTAATCCATGTTATCTGACTAAACAGAAACTGTCGTCCAGGTATTCTGTTTGCTTCCTTGCTCCTGTCTTTCACTTCCCTATTTTAAGAATTTGACTCATGTCGATAAACATAAAATGCTCTCTCTTCCTACCTCTAGTAGTCTATGTAAATTATTGCTTCCAAAAGTCACCTTCTCAAAAAGTCCTCCAAGACTCTACTCATCCTATCTAAACACCTTTACAAAACCACTTCCTTTGGGCACCATCTGTGTGCAAAGATCTAAGGATACCCCATCTCTCATCTCTCATGCTTTTATGATTAGTTTGTGTCCTTCCTCTAGATTATAAACTCCCTGGGACCCAGGTAGTTAGGATTATTGCCGAAGTATTGAGGATGCAGGACAGTTCTGAGTAGTCACTTAGATCCCAGTGCTTTACCTCTGTCTCTGAGACCCTTTGATGTTATATCAATGGAAAGCACAAGCTTGGCCAGGTATGTGTTCCATAGGCCTGTACAGACAGGAAGAGTACCAAAGACATACAGATGCATATGTTTCTCAGAGTTATTCTCTAAAAGTATTCATTTTTTTTTTTTTTTTTTTTTTTTTTTTTTTTTTTTTGGGAGACAGAGTCTTGCTCTGTTGCCCAGGCTGGAGTGCAGTGGTGCGATCTCAGTTCACCGCAACCTCCGCCTCCCGGGTTCAAACGATTCTCCTGCCTCAGCCTCCCAAGTAGCTGGGATTACAGTCATGCACCACCATGCCCAGCTCATTTTTGTATTTTTAGTAGAGACAGGGTTTCACCATGTTAACCTGGCTGGTCTCGAACTCCTGACCTCAGGTGATCCACCTGCCTCGGCCTCCCAAAGTGCTGGGATTACAGGCGTGAACCACTGAGGCCGGCCAAAAGTATTCATTCTTAATTCAGAGTACTTATTTTGTTAATGTGGAGTTATTCTTTTTAATGGTTTAAAGCTATTTTTGTTCATTAATGATTTTATTAATACATGGCAAATTGTATATACTAATGTATATTTAAAATGATATACAAAATATAATAATGTATAATGCACAAATATGATATATGTGTGTATTCAGTTCACTAAAATTTATGTAAACTTGTAATACTATGTAAATAACCTTTTAAATATAAAAAAGACACAGTTCTTCAAAAATTTTCTAATTGAAGTCTATACCAAGAAATTCTCTAAGTTATGATCTTAGTTTCCTTGGACAAGGCACATAACATCTCTGAACATCTGTTTTTCAACTGTCAAGTGAGGTTATCTACACCTGCAATACAAAGGTATTTTCAGAACTACATGGAACCATGTTTGTTATATGCCGGGCACATACATCAGGCAAATGTTTCTATGGCCTTGGACTTGGATACCTTCTAGGAACCAACTTGTTTAGAGCTTGTATGTAACTTACATAATTTAATGCCATTCTGAGTACATTTTAACTGTAAGAAATGTGTGTTTTATGAATTGACTTGTGTTTATTGAGATTAGCTTCGTTAATAGCAAAAAGTATAAGTACTTAAAGGATGTCTTAAAGGTATGAAAGATACCTTTTGGTGTTGGCTATATGATAGCTTCAAGATTTTTTAGGGCCTATAAACCTGGTGTGTTTGAGATAAAGCAAATTCCATCGCAGTGACAGGTGATGGAATTCATTCTAGTTGAGTTGTATAGGTTCTGGGAAAAAAATTTTCTTTGTTCACTCCTTTGTTATGCTATTCACTCTGTAATATTGTTTTACAAGTTTAAAGGAAAAAAATGCCTAAAGATTCTTGACTCCTTAGTTTTTTAAACTATGGTAAAAGCATCTAACATTTAAGGCATGGTCAATCATCATTTGCTTTGGTGCTAGCCATTGTTCTTATTATTAGTTAATCATATTGATTCTAAATAGCTATTCTTTTTCCTTCCCTTTAGTAAAGAAAAGAGAACTCTGGGGTATGAAAGAGAAAAACTCATGTACATAGCTGAAAAACAAAACAAAACAAAACAAGCTACAAAAACCTAAATAGAGTTTGAAAGGTGAATGTACCACTTGATATGCTTCTTCAAAGGACTATAAGTGAGCTCAGATGCCTGCTTATCTATAAAATATTGGCAATATAAGTACTTTAATATGATCATTTTAGAAACAGGTATAATTTTCTCCTTGAGTTGTGGAATAAGAGAAAATTACAAAGTTTTCATTTAATTTCTACTTCTCTTAAGAAAAGGGCAGTTTATTTTCACTGCTAGGCATACAGATAGACCTATTGGTCATTCAGCGGACACCAGCCCTGAATTAGCAGAAACCTGTATCATAAAGCATATTTGGAACACTTTTTCTATGCCACTTTTAAAAACACAATTTCTTTCGATAAACAATAGGAAGCTTAAGCTGCAGATATCACAGCTGTTCATATTCTCAGATCTCGTCCACAATTCAAACAGCAGCAGCTGAAACAAACGATTTTAGGGAAGCAACTGTCAAAAAACACACTGGGCCTTGGGCTTAAGGGTAGTGTGAAAAATAACCATATTTGAGATATACTGAATGAAATCATGTGGTGAAATTCCACGGGAAATATAAAGCACATTGGAATTTATGTCTTTGGGACACATGCTGCAATAGATAAACCAAAAACTGTAGCTTTTAATCAATGAGAAGGATTTTCTTTTTTTTTTTTTGTAAAAAAGAAGAATTACATAAGGTAGAATTTGTAGGCTCATTAAAAAAAATAGTATTAAGACACTGTGGCATAAAATTTTCTCAATCTTCCCATACATTCTTTTGAATGACGAGGGGTTCAAAGTGAGAAAATTCCTAATTTCACATCTAAGATATAAGGAAATTATTGGTAATACTATTTCTTTTTATAGGGAAGCAGATGATAAAATTGAGAATATGACAAGAGGACAACTTAACAAGTCAAAGATTCCCGTATAGAAAATAGAAATTTTCTCAGTCTATCTCAATTTCTGGCTATTGTTTTGAACCAAATAAGAATAACTCCAAGTGAAATATAAATATATATATATAATTTTATTATATATACATATATTTACATATTTATTCTACATATATAGTCATGTATTACATAATGATGTTTTGGTCATCGACAAAACTCATATATGACAGTTGTCCCATAGGATTATACCATGTTTTTACTGTACCTTTTCTATGTTTAGATATACAAATACTTATGATTGTGTTACCATTGCCTACAGTATTCAGTATTGCAATATGCGGTACAGGTTTGTAGCCTAGGAGTAATATGCTATACCATACAGCCTAGGTGTATAGTAGGCTATACCATCTACATTTGTGTAAGTAAACTGTGGTGTTTGCACAATAATGAAATCACCTAAGGACACATTTCTCAGAATGTATTCCCATTGTTAAGTGATGCATGACTGTATATAATTACATGTGTATGTCAGTACATCTGTGTGTGTGTGTGTGTGTGTGTGTATCACAGGGACAAAACATTTATGAGGTATTTTTATTCAAAGAGAGTTTAAAAATTGTTATATAAAGATTTACCTAAAAGTTTATATTTTAGTTTAATAAAATGTAAAAAGGAATCTTGAAATGAAATCCCCATAGTTCTTTGTAATTAAGCATCTGCTATGTTACATAAACCGAAAAGTCCTGGGGAAGTTGTTCTGCCTTAGGGAGTTGTCAGGTTCTTTGTGGTTGTCTGCTGTTGTGAGAAGTAATTTAAGATAAGTAAGAACAAGTTAACACTGCATATACAATTATCTAATAAAAGCTTGTTCAAGCATTGATATCATGTGTATATGTTTAAAATCTCCATGAAAGTTTAACACGTCCACTTTGTATTTGCCACATATTATGTCTTATTAATATGGACTATTAGTACAACTAAGTACATTCCTTTATGGTGTCCAGGTCAGTCTATATTTCCACTCTGTGCGTCTTTCAAAAGTTACTAGTTTAGAGCCAACCCTTTGTCTCTGTTTACTGTTGCAGACATTTTAAAAAATTCATATAAAATATATCTTTCCAGATAAGATGGTTCCAGTTTACAAGTGATCTTCTGTAGACAATAGAAAGCCAGTATCACACGTAAATTTGTGAAAACATCCGACGCTGTTGCAAGCCCGAGGTTAATTTATCCGTTTTAGGAGGAAGACTTACGGTGCTTCTGTTAACCGCAGCCATTTGTTGCATCAAGGGTCAGCCCTATCTGCATTAGCATTTACCAACATCTCTATCTTTTGTTTCCTGTCTGAGTTTACTTAAATATGGAAGGTAAACTCTTCAACCTATCTCCCATCAGCCTATCAACCAACCAATCAGTGGACCAAATAAAACAGACTAAAGAACCAATACCCAAACTCAAAACATAAACATAAAAATACTCAAAAAAGAGGGGAAAGTCAATCCTAAGGGGAGGGATCATGAATGGTGTCTTTGGCTTGCTTGCCCAGGAGAGACGCCCTACTTAACAGTGAGCAGAAAATGAGTAAACGAAGAGCTGTGTAGTCCTCAGAAAAATGGTTCGCGGTAGTTATGGTGTCAGAGATATATTTATACTAACATACTCTGCAGCTCAGCCCCATGAGCATACTGAGTCTAGAAGTCTCTTAGAACATTCCTGTAATTCATCAGAAGGGCAAATTTGTCTAGGGAAGGAATTTTGTTTGGCTACAATACTGTTAAAAGTATTTAAATTAGAATGCCTTTTAGCGGGACCTAAACTATCCTTTATTTTCTTAAAACCAGCCCGCTTCACTCATTTGTATACCTGCTTGGCCATTGAAGACATGTGCATCTTCAACTTTCAATAGCCTATACCATTGTTGAATGGACATCAAGTAACTAACAAAATTATTATTATTCGCATTTTACTCATGAGGAAACAAACCAGGAGATGCTGTGAAATGTGTCAAACATCAAATGGTCATCCAAACCTAAGTCTGTCTAACTCCCAAAGCATAGGTCTCTCCACTGTTTCACTCTTTCTCCCATAAAATAATCCCAATAAGTAAGACTAGAAGTAAATGATCCTGGATGTTTTTAATGACAATTAGACACAAGCACAATGTTTTGAGTTCGCATAAAGGCAGACAATTTGATAGAAACATGTAGTAGTTCTTATTCTCCCACTTCCATCCCACTATAAACAGTATCGATTAGGGGTTCTAGTTCTGTTTGTCACTGAATATAGATATAAAAACATGGAGCTGGCACTATGAAAGCACATGTTCCTTTTGAAAATATTTTGATCATTTTGTTCCATTTAAAATCATTTTCCTTTTTTATATTTTGAGAATGGTTTTCTGCTAACTTCAATTTTGCACTTATGTTGGCAAATGTCTAGCTTTCTATCTAGGTTAACTTTAAAGTGAGCTGCAGTTAAATAAATTTTAAGTGGGAAAATAGCCTCAGAATTATTGTGGTAGAAAGACAAGGTGCAGCTGATACTTTCTCTTACTCTCAGGACTCAGAATGAGCCATGTGCTTCTTTAAAGGGCCTATGTGGTCGTTTCAGAGCAAATGCTCTCTTTCATCTTATTTAAGTTCTGTTTGGCTTGCCTCCCATATTTGCTCAGTGGGGATAAGGTTAAGACCTCTGAGGAGGCCACTCTATCCCAATTACTTACCCAGTCTCTTTTCTTTTCTTCAAATAGCTTGCGTGTAGTTGTGGAGAATGTTTGGGGGTCATTATCTTCTTGATGGATGAATCCAGAGATAAACAAACATTTTCTATTTGAATTCTAAAGGTATGATAAAGTTTAATCCAAAGACTTTTATGTTTTGAATTCATCCAGGCACCAATTCTTGCAGCAAAACATCCAAACGCCTGCTAAGGCCAATTATTTCTTTTGAAATCTGGTTTTTCTCAGAAAGTTCTTCCCCCATCCACGTAGTTTCCTATTGTCTCAAGTTGCCCTCCAGCCTCTAATTCTTACCGAGATTTACCTTGTCATTCATTCCCTTCTGTCCTTTACGGAAATGTTAAGCATCTGTGCTCAGTTTTTTTCAACAGCTATATTCAAGCACATGCTTTATTTCCTCGTACTCACTCTAGATTCCCCTGTCCAAGTTTGAGTCTGAATTTTTACAGTGTTTAGATTCTAACTACATTTCTTTCTTGCCTAGTTCCTGAGTGGTCTTTCTCTGGCCTGACATTCTACTTCCAGGCACCAATCCTAATATAACTGGATCCTGCTTTGGGAACTGTAAGGAGGATTGTTTTACTTCTCCAACACCATTGTCTGTGTTAATTTTGCTGATAGGATTTTTATAGGAAGCAGCATAACAGCAAGGCAGTCATTTCATATTTGTAACCAAAATCAAGTAATTCTCAGGTAGACCACAGATGTATTTTTTCCT
The DNA here is from genome assembly GCF_000001405.40 of Homo sapiens. Taxonomy (NCBI): domain Eukaryota; kingdom Metazoa; phylum Chordata; class Mammalia; order Primates; family Hominidae; genus Homo; species Homo sapiens. Next base: position 29,503,756 of record NC_000003.12, read on the forward strand.
GCTTCTTTGAAGCTGAAGATCGTTTGCAATAGGTGCCTATAAAGTACCTCTGCAGTGGAAAAAATAACATCCTATGTGGCATGGCATCCCTGTTCCTCCATGGAAACCACAGTTAGTTTTGACATTGCCAGAATTTTTGAATTTTGGGGAGAAGCTATGGGGAAAAAATGTAAAGGCTTTCTCATCTGGATTTAACTCGAGTTAAAGCATTACCTGAAGCTCTGTGCGGCCTTGTTTGGGCTTTGTTCTCTAAACAGTTTGTAGATGATTGTGTTCAGAATTCCCAGCCCACATTAGCTAACTGCACACATGTGGAAACACAGAGAGGCTATGACCTTTAGATCCACTCCAGAAATACAAACTTGGTCTCTAAGTTTAGAGAGGAAATTCTTCCCTCTCACTAGCCAGGATCTGGGACTGATGTTTTGCCCAGGTCACACATATGTCTGAGCCGTGCCAGTTAGTAGGGGAAAAAAATGACCTCTTGGGTAATTTGTACGTCATGAAGACTTGGCTCTGTCTTGGTCCAGGGAGCAGCAGCTCATTTAAAGTGCACAGGACCTTATGAGTTTTAGGGGGCCACAAAACATGAACCCAAATAAAGTGGAAATTTGTGATGATTGGTCTATGAGAAGGCAACCATAAAAATAATTTAAGAGGCAGTGAGCAGGCCTCTTGCCTTTTTTTCTGTCTGATTTATTTATTTATAAAATTTTAATTGGAAAATTAAAAATTAAAAAAGGTTCTGAAGGTAGATTCCATTTCTTGGCTATTGTGAATAATTACTACTATGAACAAGCAAGTGCAGATATCTCTTTGGCATACTGATTCTATTCCCTTCAGATGTGTACCCAGTAGTGGGATTGCTGGATGATATGGTAGTTCTATTTTTAATTTTTTGAGAAACCTCTATACTGTTTTCTCTAATGGCTATACTAATTTACATTCCCACCAAGAATGTGCAAGGATTCCCTTTTCTCCACATCCTCATCAACATTTATCTTTCATCTTTTTCCTAATAGCCATTCTAACAGGTGTGAGTTGATAGCTCATTGTGGATTTAATTTGTGTTTCTCTGATGACTAGTCATGGTGAGCATGTTTTCATATACCTGTCGGCTCTTTGTATGTCTTCTTTTGAGAAATATCTATTCAGGTCCTTTGCCTATTTTTAAAATTAGGATATTGAATTGATATATGTTAACCCCTTATTAGATCTATGGTTTGCAAATACTTCCTCCCGTATCAGACATATGTTATGTCTTCACCATGTTGATTGTTTCCTTGGCTGTGTTTTTCAGTTTGATGTAGTCCCATTCATCCATTTTCACTTTTGTTTCCTGTGCTTTTAGTGTCATGTCCAATAAATAAGTGACCAGACCAATGTCACAGAGCTTTTCGGCTGTGTTTTCTTCTAGTAGTTTTATAGTTTCAGGTCTTATATTTACATTTTTAATCCCTTTTGAGTTGATTTTTGTATGTAGTATGAAATAAAGGTCTAATTTCATTCTTCTGCTTGTGGACATCTAGCTGTCCCAACAATATTTATTGAATAGACTGTCCTTTTGCTCTTGTGTATTCTCAGTACCTTTGTCAAAACTCAATTGACTGTAATCACATGGATTTGTTTCTGGGATCTCTATTCTGTTCCACTGATCTATGTAATAGTTTTTATGCCAGTACCATACTCTGTTTATTATTGTAGCTTTGTAGTGTATTTTGAAGTCATGTAGTGTGATGCCTTCAATTTTGTTTTTTTTTTTTGTTGTTTGTTTGTTTGTTTTTACTCAAGATAGCTTTGGCTGTTTGAGGAATACTGTGGTTCCATATGAATTTTAGGACTTTTTTTTATTTCTGTGAAAAATGTTATTGGAATTTTTATATCAATCACATTTAATCTGTAGATTGCTTTGGGTAGTATGGGCATCTTAATAGTATTCTTCTAATCAATGAACGTGAGACATGTTTCCATTTATTTGTGTATTCTTCAATTTCTTTTATCAATTTTGGATCTTTTTTTAATGTACAGGCCTTTCATCTCCTTGGTTAAATTTAATTTTAAGTATTTGATATTTTTGTAGTGATGGTAAATGGGATTTTAAAAATTGCATTTTTGGCTATTCATTGTTAAGTGTACTTAACATATATTACTATATTGTATGTTGATTTTTTATCCAGCAATTTTACTGAATTTGTTTATTAGTTCCAATAGTTTTTTGGTGGAATTTTTTAGGCTACATTATAGATAAAATCATGTTACTTACAAACAAGGATAATTTAACTTCTTCCTTTCCATTTTGAATGCCCTTTATTTCTTTTTCTTGCTTAATTGTTCTCGCTAGGGGACGTCCAGTAATATGTTCAATAGAAGTGGTAAGAGTGGGAATCCTTGTCTTGTTCCTAATCTCAGAAAAGAAAAATTTCAACTTTCCCTCATTGAATGAGATATTAGCTATGGTCCATCATATATGTCCTTTCAGGTATTGAGATACATTCCTTCTATACCTAATTTGTTGAGATTTTTTATCATGAAAGGGGATTGGATTTTGTAAAATAATTTTTCTGCAACTATTGAGATTATCATATGGTTTTTGTCCTTCATTCTGTTAAGGTGATTTATCATATTTATAGATTTATGTATGTTGAACCACCTTTACATCACTGGAATAAATTGCACTTGATCATGGTGAATGCTTCTTTTAATGTGATGTTAAATTTGACTTGCTAGTATTTTGTTGAGGTTATTTACATCTATGTTCATCAGGGATATTCGCCTGTAATATTCTTCTCTTGCAGTGTTCTTGTCAGGCTTTGATGACAGGAAAATGCTGGCCCTATAAAATGTATTTAAAAGTATTCCCTCTGCTGCAATTTTTTGGAAGTCTTGTTTGAAAAGTATTAGTATCGGTTCTTCTTTAAATGTTTGTTAACAGTGAAATCATCAGGTCCCGGACTTTTCTTTCATGGGAAAAATGTTATTACTGTTTCAATCTCCTTGTTATTGGTCTGTTCAGATTTTCCATTACTTCATGGTTTAGTCTTGGTTTTTATGTTTTAGTTTTATGTGTCTAAGAATGTATCCATTTTTTCTAAGTTATCCAATTTGTTGGTATATAATTGTTCATAGAAGTCTCCTATGATCCTTTGTATTTTTGGTATCAGCTATAATATCTCCTCTTTCATTTCTGATATTATTTGAGTCTTCTTTCTTTTTGTTCTTTGTTGGTCTAGCTAAAGGTTTGTCAATTTTGTTTGTTTAAAAAAAAAAAACTCTTGGTTTTGTTGACCTTTTCTATTGTTTTTCTAGTTCTGCTTCACTTATTTCTGCTCTGATCTTTGTTTTTTTTTATTCTGCTAACTTTGGCCTTAATTTCTCTTTCTTTTTCTGATTCCTTGAAGTTTAACATTAGGATATCTCTTTACTATCAGCTGTATTTAAAAAAAAATGAGGTTCTTTTATGACCTCATTTCAAGAGTCAATAAACTTTCCATACTCTTTAGGTACATACACTAGATTATGTAATTTTTTTCTACAGAAATAATGTTTTAGGAATAGAAAAATTATACACATGAATGCAACCTTTGCTTTGTATTCCTGAAAACTTGGAAATAACCTAATATGCACAAATAGAAATGGCTAAACTCTGGTTAAAACTATAGAGTATTTTATAATTATGTAAAGGAAAAATTGTTAAGACTCTGAGGCAGCATGGAAACCTAGCTATAGTATGATATTAATTGCGAAAAAAAAAGACAAATCTATGTATGCTCTGCTAATAACTAGGTCAAAATGTGAAGTATGATGGCTTCTGACAATGTTTTTACTTGATATGTGTAATTATCAGTTGACATGTCTCTCTCCTCTGCACTGTGACTTCTTTGATGGGGAGAGCATATTTTTCCATATGTGCAAAAACAAGACCTAGCACATAATATGAGCTAATAAATATTTCTGAATTAACCCTTGAAAAGGTAGCAAAAAAATAAAATTATATAATTGTATCCATGATCTGACCACAATTCTCTAAACATAATGCATTTAGAAGGCAAAGGTCTAAAGGAATTGTATAGAAGTGATTACAAGGGTTCTTGTGTGGTGAGGTATTGATTTTTCAATGTTCATTATATGTTTAAAAAATTCTCCTATCTATAATAGAAAACAACAATAATGACTAAAGTAGTATTAGCACAATTTAGCAATACTGAGATGCAAGAAAAACTCATTTTTTCAATAATGAGAAAATATGAAGATTCATATTGTCATTAAAATTCAATTATATATGTGAAATTTTGAATCTCTGTTATTTGGAATGAGATGTCAAGAAAGAGAAACTTCTAACTACTAATCATAATATAAGGCCTCTCGTCATCTGGCTTGTTCTCTCCTCTCTAACACCAGAAATAGTGTACATTTGTATAATATAATCTATTTTTTCCCCATATCTCCTTCTTTTTTAATTATTATACTTTAAGTTCTGGGGTACATGTGCAGAATGCACAGGTTTGTTACATAGGTATACATGTGCCATGGTGGTTTGCTGCACCCACGAACCCATCATCTACATTAGGTATTTCTCCTAATGCTATACCTCCCCTATCCCTCCACTTGCCAACAGGCCCCAGTGTGTGATATTCCCCTCCCTGTGTCCATGCGTTCTCATTGTTCAGCTCCCACTTATGAGTGAGGACATGCAGTGTTTGGTTTTCTGTTCTTGTGTTAGTTTGCTGAGAATAATGGTTTCCAGCTTCATCCATGTCCCTGCAAAGGACATGAACTCATTCCTTTTGTGGCTGCTTAGTATTCCATGGTGTATATATGCCAAATTTTCTTTATCCAGTCTATCATTGATGGGCATTTGGGCTGGTTTCAAGTCTTTGCTACTGTGAATAGTGCTGCAGTAAACATACGTGCGCTTTTTTTTTATAGTAGAATGATTTTTAATCCTTTCGGTATATACCCAGTTACGGGATTACTGGGTCAAATGGTATTTCTGGTTCTAGATCCTTGAGAAATCACCACACTGTCTTCCACAATTGTTGAACTAATTTACACTCCCACCAACAGTGTAAAACCGTTCCTATTTCTCCACATCCTCTCCAGCATCTGTTGTTTCCTGACTTTTTAATGATCGCCATTCTAACTGGCGCGAGATGGTATCTCATGGTGGTTTTGATTTGCATTTCTCTAATGACCAGTGATGATGAGCTTTTCTTCATGTGTTTGTTGGCTGCATAAATGTCTTCTTTTAAGAAGTGTCTGTTCATATCCTTTGCCCACTTTTGATGGGGTTGGTTTTTTTTTTTGTAAGTTTGTTTAAGTTCTTTGTAGATTCTAGATATTAGCCTTTTGTCAGGTGGGTAGATTGCAAAATATAACTCTTGAGTGTAGGGAGTATTCACATTCTACTCCATGTGAATAGCATCTCTAGAATTATACAATGAGCAACCTATGTGGCCATAGTGATGGCTCTGGTCAATTCTTATCTCTTACCACATATCCAACCAACCATACCTAATTATTTACATGCCACATGGAAAAATACTTTGGTGCCTGTTCTCTTTGCCTGTAACGTAACAAGCACCCCACATTTACTAATAATGACTAATATATAGTGAGCATTTTCTATGTACATAAATTATTCTAAGAGTTTTACATATATGATAGCAGTTTTTTCAAATTGATATAATTATTGTCTTCATTTTCTAGGTGAAAGAGACAAGGAACTTGCCTAAGTTGCCATAACATGAAATAGCAGATTTGGGATATAAATTCAGGTCTGCTTTGTTTTAAAGCCTGGGTATTTAATGTCTCACATGTCATCCCTCTTTTATGCTGCCTGTGTGCTCTTCCTTGACTTGCGAGACTCAGCTGATAAATTCCTCAAAGCTTTCCCTGTGCCTTCCACGCTAGCCCAAGCTGCCTTTGGTATCCTTCCTCTATATCCCTTAATACAAGTCTGTTCTCCCAAAAGTATACCCAGAATTTAGCAAGCTGTGTATAATCAGTGATTTTTCTTTATTCATGTTTCACTTAAACTATGGGCTTATCAAGAGTGAGAATTGTACACCTATTCAGAACAACAACAAAGGACTGTATCGTATTCATTTCTTGTTCACTCATGCTTAGCACATGCTTTGCACGTGAAGTAGTTGTCCAATGCATGTCTAAAAGAATAAAATGATGAATGGCTTAACCACATCTCAGATTCTCAATTCATGGTTATAGCACAAAAAAATGATCATGCATGTGATTTTGGCTGTGATTAGAAACTGGGATAAAATTGCAGCCATTTATCACAGAGATGGAATAAGCACAATTTCTTATTAAGTACCTGTGGACTCCATACTTTTGCAGATACACTGCTTCTTTAAACAATGCTTTAATCACAACATTTGGCTGCTTCAAACCTGTATGTGACTTGTTATTTCATTCTTTATCAAGTCTGAATTTCTCAGTATAGATTTAAAGAGCACTGATATCATAGATCAACCCATAGTGATTTTCACCTTGTTCTAATATGTATCTTTGACACCAAGAAGACCAGTCACTTTACTCTCCCAACGCGCTATACTTATACCACCATTCAGTCTTTACTCAGCTCATACTCCAGCTCATTATTCTTCTTCCATTCTAAACCTGACTTAGATTATTAGGCAAACTTAAATTCTACTTACTTTATAGAGGGTTCCCTGCCTAGGTTAGCTCTTGGTAAAGTCCCTTTTCTATTGCCTATGTCAAATAATGTACCATATGATACAGGTTGAGTATCCCTTTTCTGAAATGCTTGAGACCAGAAGTATTTCAGATTTCAGATTTTTTTTTCAAATCATGGAATATTTGCATTCTAATTGAGCATCTCAAATCCAAAAACTCAAAACCCAAAATGCTCCAATAAGCATTTTCTTGGAGCATGAATTTTGAGCATCATATAAGCAACTCAAAACATTTCAAATTTTAGAGCTTTTGGATTTCAGATTTTTGGATTAGGGATGCTCAATTTGTAATATTGTTGACTATTTGCAGCATTGCTTTAGTTATGTTAGCATTGTTTATTTTTTCCTATAAAGATATGAGCAGATGCTATGCATTTCTCTTGTTTAAAATTACAAGTTATTGTGTGCCCACTCTGTGCTAAAATCTATTCTGCATGTTTTACAAATATTTTATTATGAAAAGATTTGAGTTTCCTTTTGGTTAGTGATAAAGGAGAAAATCTTTCAACAGATGCCATGAGAACTGATTAAAATAAAAAGTTAATTTTGGCCGGGCGTGGTGGCTCACGCCTGTAATCCCAACACTTTGGGAGGCCAAGGTGGGTGGATCACTAGGTGAGGAGATCAAGACCTATTGGCTAACATGGTGAAACTCTGCCTCTACTAAAAATACAAAAAATTAGTGGGACATGGCGGCATGCACCTGTAATCCCAGCTACTTGGGAGGCTGAGGCGGGAGAATCACTTGAACCCAGGAGCAGAGGTTACAGTGAGCTGAGATCGCACCACTGCACTCCAGCCTGGGCGACGGAGAGAGACTTCATCTCAAATAAAATAAAATAAATAAAAAAGGTTATTTTAAACCAAATTTCTAAAAATAAGTGTGATTCTCAAATTTAACAGTGATCCTAATAAGGTATATGAACAGGCGATAGCATAAAACTAGTTCTGTGCGTGGGTGTTTTGTGTCACTTTAATATTCAGTATATAACATGTGGAGAACTAGTTTTACTTTTCCATGGTATTTGTTGGTGCCTCTGTGAGTCACGATGTTGGGTCTACTGATTCTAACTCATGTCAAAAGACCTCAACTTTATATTTAGCCCAACACTGCCAATGTCTGCTGTTGGAAATAAAGGGGAGCCAGGCAAAAGAGTTTGAATCAGCACAAATAATTAAAATTATGGACCCTACTCATAGGACCATCATACATAAAGAATAACACCCCTTTTGCCTTTATTTGGAGAATATTACTCAACCACTTCACCATTTATAAGAATAATAACAAAAATGGGATTTTCACATTATGACTTTAAAGTTGAAGGATCCAATTGTGTCTTGGGAAAAAAATGAAAGCATATGTATCACAAGACTAACTGAAAACAGAAATTTCATTTCTGTTCATATTCAGAGCCACTTTGTTAACACTGTGCTCCTGGGTTTGGAATTCCCTGGAGAGAAGAAGTTAGAAAGTAAAAGGCAAGCGTTCCCAGTAACATTTGGTTTAAATTTGCATGCAATTAAAATCTTATGTTATGGTACTAATATTTTTTCCCTTTTCTGGTTTCAGAAACACTAGGTGTTTCTGACACATTTAGTAAAAGCCTCCTTTTCCTTATCATTTCTGACTCTTTATTCAGATTTACTAAAAATAAGAGTCAAGAGAAAGAAAAAATGGGAAAGTCTGCACAATGAAAAGGTGGTCTTCCTTATTTTTCATCAGTTAGTCAGGATTATTTACCAAGCAGAGGACTGCTCTGTCATTTTTATACTAATTTAATTCTAAATAAATATATCAAAGATTTCTAAATGTTGGATTTAGGCATTTGAAAAAGGTTTTAAAAACAGTAATTTATCATTTAGCTGCAGCATGTGATAAGTGCAATGAACAAATTTTGATTCATCTGACATTAGTTAGAATTAAATTATTATCTAGAGATTATAAATGTTGCATTAATCCTTCTTTAATTTAATAATTAAGATTTATAAGTATTCACAAATATATCTGGAATAAGTAATTTAAAAAGTCTTAAAACTTTAAGATTTGATATCAGGATATAAACATAATTCTATTTATTTATATTTTCCATTTGATATTTGATCCATCCTACTTTATGACTTTCTTTTCATCAAGAAACTGACCCAAAGACTTGAGGATTACTACTAAGGACTTTTCAGGGAAAATAAAAACGAAATAACCCACACCAAACAAAAAGCGGCGGTGGTACAGCCATAATACTTCCTGTTCCTTGTAGATCAATCTGGGACAAAGGCTGTCTAATATTTCAAATTCTGTGGCATGTGAACAATACTGTGTGCACTGGGCTTCCAACCTTGGCATTTAGAATGCATATATATGAGCAGAGGAAAATTCCAACAATCTATCCTTTCTTTATAATCTTGCAGCAGTTCCAAAAGTCCTTAGCTGAAGGATATATTTGGAAAGCGCTGCTTGTCTGCTCTCACCACATTCAGGTAACCATTCCAGAGTTCTTAGGTTCCACTTGAGAGGTAACTTGCTATTACCATTTGTGCTATGTGTCATAAAAGGGCCCTATTATTTTCAGCAAGACCCCTCAGCAGCAGTTCCAAAGGAGCAGCTAGAGATTTGATTATATAGGTCTCTCTCCTGAACACATCCTTTCGCATTTGACATTTACACTGGTGGCGGATTTTTATGTAACTTGTTAGAGAGCAGTCTGAACCTTAGAAAGGTGTTAGTCTTCCTAGAACCCTCTGGCAAAGGAAAATCTTTTATTGGACTTAAATGTTTTGAGTTGAAAACTGTACTTGTTTGATTGGAAAACCTTTCAGGGAACAGATTTCGTTATTTTTCTAAGCTAGGCTGCAGGAATTGAGCCGAAGATATCACTAACCAAAGACCTGAGAACCAAAGGAAATGACTCCAGTGTTTAAAATCCTTTTATTTCCTCTGTGAACGATATCTCTGCAACTGAGATGAACCATTCCAACTGGCCCCCACCCAGACTTTATGGGAACTGAGATTAGGAAGTTGTATGGTCACAATAGTCACTGTACAAATTGCTTTCAGTTTAAAAACCTCAAAGTTCTTGACAAAGCCATAATTTCTTGCCACATTTTATTTTTTCACATGGGTGACTGATCTGTCATTCATTAATTACCCTGCCAGGATTCTTCAGTTCTTTTAGAATGATCTATATATATAATAATTTCATTTGGGAGGAGGACACAGAGTTTGTGAGAAGTATGCAGGGTGCCTGTAAAATTTGTCTTTGCGAGACACCACATATTTTGCCCATTTCTGTTGCCTTCTATTTGAAAAAAAATATTGTTGGGCCACAGTCAAGCTTATAAAAATGTGTTCTTTTCCTTTCCTAATTTCATTCTATACTTTCCTTCTTGCCTAGCTTTTCCATAGCTGAGATGAATAAAATGTTGGATGTGGTCTCAAAATTCAACACTCCTGACTTCCTTTGACACAATCATGCCCTGGGGAAATAGAATCATATTCATAACTCTCTAAAGCATTCTCTGCCCTTGCTTTCTCTACCCAGGCTGGAGAATCTTATTAATCTTTCTATTCCTTGTGCCTAACACAGTGCCTGGCATGTTTGAAGGCACTGATTTATATTTAAACGTGAAGTAGCCTAGAATAGGAAGCATATAATAGATTGGTAAAACATAGAGTATGTAAGGAAGGGATTATTACACACTTTAAAAAATCAGGGACTGTTGTCTGAATTAAACATTGTTAAGGATGTAGCAATGACACAATTCTCCATTCTTCTAAAATTTTTAGTACTTCCCTATATTCGTCTCTGGGGAATTTATGTGGCAGAATGCTCTCTCACCATGTTTGGCAACCTAAAGCTACTCAGACTTCCTTAGAGGTAGTCGCTCCTCTATCTCAAAAGCTTTCTTGACAAGAATGATTTGGGTTGGATGGGGATTGGTAGTAGTTTTCTCATTTAACATCTGCAACACATATTAAAATGAACTTTAGTAACCTGACATTTAGCACTGAATGGGATTTACACATACGAGTTGCTCAATCTAATGTGATTTGATCCAACATTTGTCAAACATGTACTTTTGGAAAAACACTGTGATTGACACTGAGGATAAGAAAAAGGAAGCGATTTATCCCCAAATGCTCAAGGGGAGGAGAGATAGGTGCATATATATATGTGTGATAGGCACATATATATATATATATATATATATATATATGATAGGCATACATATATATGATAGGCATATATATGTGTATATGATAAGCATATATATATGATAGGCATATATATATAAGCATATATACGATAGGCATATATATATATGATAGGCATATATATGTATATATGATAGGCATATATATAATAATATGAGGATAATAGCTAAAAATAATACCTAACTGTCAGTGAGTACTTTATGCATGTCAGATTTTCTTCTAATAACTCCAGATGTCTTATTTAATCCTACAGAGGCCCTTCGAGGTAGATGTCAACGTTACCAGCATTTCACAGATGAGGGTAATGAGCCACTATGTTCAAGATCAATCAGCTTCCAAAGTCACAGAGCCTGATAGAGTCCAGGAAGTTCCCAAATATATGCTCTTAAGTACTATGCAGTAGTGCTGTAAATAACATGCTCTTAGAAAGAATGAGGAAGTGGTCAAATCGACCTTAAGTTTGGAAAAGGCTTAGGTGAAAGCTGCAGGAGGAAGGTAGTATTTGAGCTTTGCTCTCCAAAATGAATGTAAGTTTATCTAGCAGGGATAGCAGGAAAAGATTTACCTGGAAAAGGAAAGAGCATGGAAATGGCAGAAAGTTGTTGAAGTGCATGACATTTTCTGATGTCTTCAAAGTGCAGTGCTTGCATAAGGAAACAGTAAGTGATATAATCTGAATGCAAGCTCGTCTTATGGTGAAGGGTCTTGCATCAAGGCTAGGGTAAAGAGCTTGTTATAAAGGCAATGGAAACCAAGGAGAGGTTTATAGGCAGAAGAAATAATATGGCCAGAGTAATATTTTGGAAAGTCGATTCTGGCAAAGAATTTGGAATGACAAAGAAGGAAGAAAGCTAGATGCAGGAAGACAGGCTGGAAGGATGTATCCTTTCTCTTGCATTCATGTGCTAATAATAGAAAGAATGACTAAACACTGACTTAAACTGTTTTTCACACCGCATAAGAAGGAGACTGAAGGTAAGCAATCCAGAGCAGTAGGGTGACTCCATCTAGACACTCAGCACTTGGTGTGTACCTTTCACTTCCTGCCTTTGCCTTGTGGTTGCAGAGAGCTAGTCCACTTTAGCATTACATTTGCAGTACATGCAGGAAGACCAGGAAGGCTAAAGGGCAAAAGACAAGTGCCAGCTGAGTGTGTCCTTGTTCAAAAGCTTTGTGCTTTTATAATTGGCCCCAAACTGTAACATGGTCGTGGGTTCTTAATACCCAAATGATGTTGGAAATAGTAGTTTTTATACCTAGGCACATGCCAAAACAGAATGCCGGTAGGGAAGAGAATTCCGTCAAAATTGATATTGGAATTGTTTATGTGAGAGTTGAAGAGGACATGGACCAGGGACTTTAAGGGTACAAAAGATAAAGTGGGGACAGGATTTAGGAATGAGAATCAGGAAGACATGGGGACCAATAAGATGAGGCAGGCTGGGAAGGGGATTGATCAAGGAAGATACTGTTGTTTCTGACTTTGGCAACTGCATCTGTGATGATCGTTTTAGCCGAGGTGTGGAGAATCAAGTAAGATCAGTTTTTACCAATAAAATAATACATGTGATTCAAGATATATTGAGTTTGATGTATTTCTAGGACATCCGATGAAAAATTTGGTAAGTTGATATAAACAGGCCTAGAGGTCAGGAGATGACGATCTGAGTGTCAGAATAATCTAAACCACAGAAGTTGATGAAATCACTAAGAAAACACATAGAGTGGCATAAAGCCTGAAGACTATGGAGAGGAAGTTTTTTTTTGTTTGTTTTTGTTTTTTGGTTTTGTTTTGTTTTTTGAGACAGAGTCTCACTCTGTTGCCCAGGCTGGAGTGCAGTGGTACAATGATGGCTTACTGTAGCCAAGACATCCCACTTTAGCCTCCTGAATAGCAGGGAACACAGGTGCATGCCACCATGCCTAAGAAGGTCTCACTGTGTTGCCCAGGCTTGTGTCTAATTCCTGGCCCCAAGCTATCCTACCACGTCAGCCTCCTAAAGTGTTGGGATTATAGGCATGAGCTACCACACCTGGCCAAGGAGAGGAACTTTTCAAGAGCAAGCTGAAAATATCAGAGAAAGGGGAGCAATATCACAAAAATTAGGAGTAATATTTTTAAAATGAAATGCTCAACAGTATCAAATACCTTAGAAGATTTAAGAATGAAAGGAGATGTTGAGTTAGCAATTAGGTTATCATTAGTGTTCAGTACATGTTGAAACAATAAATGCATTAAAACATGAACTTCTAGCCAGGTATGGTGGTGCAATCCTGTAATTCCAGCAATTTGGGAGGTTGAGGCAGGTGGATCACTTGAGCCCAAAAGTCCGAGAACAGCCTGGGCAACATAGTGAAACCGATCTCTACTAAAAATACCAAAAAATTATCTGGGTATGGTGGCACGTGTCTGTCGCCCAGCTACCCAGGAGGCTGAGATGGGAGGGTGACCTGAGCCCAGGAAGTCAAGGCTGCAGAGCGTTTTGGTTGCGTCACTGCACTCCAGCCTGGGCGACACAGCGAGACCATGTCTCTAAAAAAAGAAAAGAAAAACATGAAATTCTCATCTGTGTATGTGAGGTGATTTCATATATGTGTGTGTGTGTGTGTGTGTGTGTGTGTGTGTGTGTATATATATATATTTTTTTTTTGTTTTTTTTTTGAAACAGAGTCTCGCTCTGTTGCCCAGGCTGGAGTACAGTGGCGCAATCTTGGCTCACTGCAAGCTCCACCTCCCAGGTTTACGCCATTCTCCTGCCTTAGCCTTCCTAGTATTCAGGACTACAGGTGCCTGCCACCACGCCAGGCTAATTGTTTTGTATTTTTAGTAGAGACGGGATTTCACCTTGTTAGCCAGGATGGTTTCGATCTCCTGACCTCGTGATCCGCCTTCCTCGGCCTCCCGAAGTGCTGGGATTACAGGCGTGAGCCACCGCGCCCGGCCCTACATGATCTCATATTCTTGCAGAGACAGTTGTCTACTGCTACTGTCCACTATTTCTATTGGACAGTATGATTTTCTAGACCTAGGGGGAATACTGGGTTTTTGTTAGCTGTTTTATCTTACAGAAGATGTTTTCAATAAGTTAAGAGAAGAAATCATATAGAAGTCAAGGCAGATCAAAAACCTATTGAAAGACAAAAATTGTAGTTGTGGGAAAAAAATGTCAAGGAAATGGGTACATACTGTGAGTAAAGTTCTAAGTGAAGTCACTGAATTTTCTATTTTATTTCCTGTTCCTCAGAAATTCTTTATAACCTTTTTCTTCCCCCTAAATAATCATTCTTGTAGCTTTTGTAAAACTGTCTTATCTTAGGGTAGCTAAAAAGGCAAAAAGTAGGCCTGTTGTGCATAAGTAAGAGTAACTCACAATGCCTACATTTTTTAGATAATCCTTACCTCTTATCTCTTTCTGAGAGCAGGGCATTCATTCACATGCACATGGGTATATACTGAGTGACCATTAGGTGCCTGATACTGTACTAAGCACAGGTTATTGGGTGTAGCTAGCACCTGTATTACTGTCAAGAACTGCAACTGTTTGTGGTTAAATTTGGAGAAATACTAAACCAATATCCACCCTCCTTCTGTGGGCCTATACCCACTTAGAAATTAATGTCTTTTGGAAACTTATAGATAGAACAGTTGTTATTTTATGAGTTATCATGTCATGGCATTGGGTACAAAACTAATGCTTCTATTTCTTGTTTTAGTCAGTAAAGTAGCCAGCGCCATGTGTGGACATGTAAATAATAAAAATGCCTTAGGAAATATACAGAGATTTTATTGTTAATAAATGTGCATGGCTATCTCCTGATCTATTGTATAGTAAAAGAAGGTCATTATTAAAGGTGCATCCTTTAACAGAAAAGAATATGAAAACATTTATGTTTTCAGGATCAATTAGCAACTCTCTTTTCACCTTGGCAGGACATGTCTAAAGTTTAAGTAGCCATTTTCATCTCGTCAACACATTTCATACCACTTTCTTTATTCATTTTTTAAATTTGGTACAATATTCCAGCTCATTCACAGTTTGCAATTTGCTGAAGGCAGAGGTCTACTTATACACTGTATGTTAATATGTAGCAGAGATGACATTCTAATTTTGTGTCTCAACTAGCAAAGTATCCACTTCCCTTATAAAGAATTAATTATGATGTTCACTAAAAACAAAAGACAACTGTAGATGATAGGGCTACTTCTGTGAGCAAAGCTGTTGGGGGCCTGGAGTGAGAAGAGAAATGGGAAGCAAGTGATTGAAAGTGGACATTTTATATTAGTAAGATCGTAATGAACCATTTGAAGGAAAGTAGAATACGCAGAGAGCAAATTCTGCGCTTTGAGTGTATTTTCGTGTTCCAAAAGAAAAAGTAATAATAGCATGAACTGGCAATGTGACAGTGAAATTACAATGTCTTCTGTTGATATCTGTAACGTAAGTTGGTACAACCCTTCTAGAAAGCAATTTGTCCATGTTTCAAGCCCCATAGATGTGTTACCTCAGCATTTACACTACTGCAAACTTATTTTGGTATAGAAACTTATCCAAGAGAAGAAGAAAGCCATCTGTAGAACCTAAATGAGGAATTATGAGGACTAAATAAGGCGAGGGCTGTGTCAGTGCAGATTGAGGGAATTCAAGAAGGGTTAGAAAGGCACATTGACTCCGTTGGGTGATGGAAGGGACAGATGTGGGATGCAAGGTGAAGAAGAGGAAGGAGCCTAGAACGACCTCCAAGCAACTGTCTTGATTCATTCATTGAGAAACAAAATATAAAAGGAGCAAAAAATAGAAAGGTCACAAACATTTTGCTTTTGAAAACAGTCTGAAAACCACTCAGTCCTATGCCATTCTCCTCAGATGAGGGTGTGGAACTCAGAGGTCAACCAACAGAACTCAAATCTTAGTTAACTAATTGACTGGCAGTTCTTTTGCTGTTTGGTTTCTATCTGAATGAAAAATCTCCTGCTTGGCTTTCACACTTCCTGTCAACTAGACCAATTAGGATAACATTAAGGGATAGATTTTACTATGGAAATCTCAAGCTTGGACCTCATTTTCCCCCCAAAATAGTATCAAACTGCCTTGTTATTATTAAAATGGGAGCTTTACGATAGCATTCTTAAGTATGGTGATTTTTTTACACCACATAATAACTTTTACTGTGATTTATTGAGTCTGTGGCCAAAAGTCTGACCCTTCTGTTCTAATCACAGTTGCCAGATAAAATACAGATGCTCCAGTTAAATTTGAATTTCAGATACATAATGAATACATTTTTAGTACTTGTTTCATATAAGTATTTTTATTATAATGTGTCACATGCAGGTATTATTCATTGTGTATCTGCAATTCAAATGTAACTGGCCATCCTGTATTTTTATTTGCTAAATCTGGCAACCTAGTCCCAATATTAAGAAGGTCCATTCATTCTAATGATCTAGACATAGCAATGGTAGTCAAGGAGCCAAGTGTAGCTACTGAGCACTTAAATGTGCTTAGTCCAAACTGAGATGTGCTGTGAGTGTAAAATACAAACCAAGTTTTAAAAACCTACTATTAAAAAGCGTGCAGTATCTTGTTAATAATTTTAAAATTGATTGCATGTCAAAATAATAATATTTTTTATAGCTAGGGTTAAATTAAATATATTTAATTTTACCTGTTCCTTTTACTTTCTAAAAATTCGGATACTAGAAAATTTGAAATATTTGGGGCTTGCACTACATTTCTATTGGACAGTACTGATTTTTTAGATTTAAGGGAAATACTGGTTTTTCGTTAGCTGTTTTATCTTGCAAAAGATGTTTTCAGTGAGTTAAATATACACCAACAGCATAGAAAGTGAACAAAAGTTGTGCAAGGTTTACACAAAACAAGTTTAGCCAACATAAACTGAGAAGAAGGAGAGTATATCTTCATTTCGATACATATAGTTTAATAAACACGTAGGGAGGGTTTTTTTAGATCAGAAAACACATATGCACTATATACAAATTAATATGAAGGATGTATTATGCTTTATTCCTGTGTCTCAGCGAAACATTGAAAGTGCTGATTTCTTTGTGATATTAAAAATACATGTAGTATTTCTTCATGGGGTTCCAGTCATAATTCTTTGGTGTTTCATTCTATTCAAGGAGGTTAAAGAATCTTACAGCATAGACACCTAATTTGGAAGGAATCTCAATGAAATACCTGCTAAGGTCAAGGTTCATGTCAAAACTAATATTAACTGTTCTCTCTGCCTGTAGAGTGCTTTCCACGGAGAGTCTCAAGGGTTGTTCCTAACTGTGTTCAGGTCTCCGCTCACATGTCATCTCCGCTCACATTTAAGAGGCCCTCCTCTGACTTATTATCTAAAATAGCACCCTGTCACTCTCTCACTCTTACCCTGCCTTATTATTTTTTTCCATAATACTGACATCCTATTTTATCCCACCCCATCCTTGATTATATTAATATTTAAAATTATAGTAAGTAGTTTCTATTATTTTTCATCTCCCCAGAAAAGCTTCATGATGGCAAAGTTGTTCACTGCAGTATCTTCATAACCCACAGAACTTATGAACCCTAGTTCATAGGCAGTATTGTGATCCTATGAGCTCTCTGATATTTCCTAGTACATTTATCATTACTTGTTACTTAATATTTTGTTGACATCTCAAAAACTGAGTCTTTCCCATTTTGAAAAGCAGGAAAATATAACTTCTGAATATCTGCTCATTTGCTTTCTCGTATTGGGCTTCTGTACTGAGTCAGACACATGGTAGATACTGGGAATACAGCAGTAATCCTATAGCCAGGTCTCCAGGACTCAACAAGCTTACATTCCTGGAAAAATCTCACTGTTACTGGGAGTAAACTTTCTTTCTGAACTGGCATACCAGAAAATTGAGTCCAGGATGTACAAATCTGTGCTAAAAATTTTGTTTGCTACTTTTTAAGTGGACTTGATAAAATATGAAGCACATGCTTTGTGTTCAGCCTGTTCTTACCTCTTTATGTACATTCCCTCATTTATTCTCACTGTAACATGGAGTGCTATCATTATCTTCATTTTTCAGTAGAGGAAACTGAAGCAGCGAAGGCATCACTTGCTCAGGTCATACAGTCAGTAAGTGGCAGAGCCATAATTTGAATCCAGAAAGCCTAACTCTGGAAATTTTTAACAACCCTGATACATAAGGTTAATGCAGCTGACCTTGTGTATTTACTAAAAGATAGCTACTGTTGACCTCTTCATTGAAAGTTTAAGATCATGAGTTATTTAATTTGGTTTGGCCATGCAGTCAGTTTGGAATGTTCTTTATCTTCATCTTAACATAATCCAGTTCATTTTACAAGACCTAGCATGCTATAAAATTAGCGTTTAGTTAGGAAAATGGAAACACATCTAGGCAGTTTATGAAGAAGATTGTTTGCACAGAGAGGAAAATCTAAGAAGCTAAACAGTCTAGAGGAGCAATCCAGAGGTTAGGATAACAGGGAACACTGGCCCACCTAGTTTTTTGTTTTGTTTTGTTTGAGACAGAGTCTTACTCTGTCACTCAGGCTGGAGTGCAGTGCTGTGATCTCGGCTCACTGCAACCTCCACCTCCCGGGTTCAAGCAATTCTCCTGCCTCAGCCTCCCAAGTAGCTGGGATTACAGGCCCCCACCACCATGCCCAGCTAATTTTTTGTAATTTTAGTAGAGACGGGGTTTTATCACGTTGGCCAGGCTGGTCCTAAACTCCTGACCTCAGGTGATCGGCCCGCCTTTGCCTCCCACAGTGCTGGTATTACAGGCATGAGCCACTGCACCAGGCTAATATCTAGGTTTCGAGGGATAGTGGAAGGAAGTGGGGTTACAGGAAGCTGCTACCAATCCTAGGTCTAGAGGATTGTGGCAGGAGATGGGGTTACTATTAAGTCAGAAGGTGGAGCCATCTAATGAAAGCTAGAACCATGACAGGGCTGCCAGGTGGGAGTTGGTACCAGGAGGAAACACTGTAGGAGAAAGAAAAACCTTGACTTCTCCTTTTCTTCAGTCTTTTATTCGTCTGCCAATACTACCCATTGGCCAATCCTACTGGAATCTAGTTGACAAAGGAGTCTGGAAAAGGTAGATTTGCAGGATACAGAGCATGAGACTGGTTCTATAGACCAACAGGGAGTTGGCCAGCACACATGAGGTGCTGTTTTGTGGAGCTGTCATTTAGAGGTCCTCTGAATGCAGAATTCCCATGACCCTTACTTAGTACTTCTCTTTTGCAGCATTGTCGGTGTAACAGTAGTGCTGAGCACACAGTCACTTATTATCTACTAGCACTGCTATGAGTGTCATTCATATAGTAACCTCATTAATCTTACAAGAGCCTTGTGAAGTAACAAAAACTATTATCTCAATATTCCAGATGGGGAAACTGAAGCACAGTAACATTTTCTTCAATATCACACAGTTAGTAGCAAAACCTGAATTCAAATCCAGACTACCTGGCTTCAGCGTCGATTCTCCTAACCACTACCCTCCACTGCCTCTCAAGATTTTTTTGTCTCCTTCACCTTTCTAACTCACTGAGCACCCAGTAGTGGGCACGACGTAGCAGGTGCTCATTAAATACTTGTTTGAACAAAATGATTTTCTAATTTTAATATTATGTTGTAGTTGCTTAGAATCTTAAATTTTTATAGTCACTTGGGTGTGTTTTCCAAACTGTTCTTTTTTTTTGTTTTTAATGTTTCAAAAATCCTACCTCCCAGTCTGACTGTTCATTTTTATACTTTTTCACCTTCATAGCTGAATGTTTAGTCTGGAAAGCAGCATCCACAGGGTCAAATATCCAGGGTTATTTCCTGGATATCTTCATTGGACATCTCCAATGTTACCTAGGGAAGTGATACTGCAACAAAAAATACTTCTCATTGATAGGAACAGAACCAGTTATGATTCTTGAAGCCTTAATATTATTGAGGCAAGCAGTCTTTAAACAGCTACTTTCTGTTGTCAGTCTGCTATTGATGGCTTACTAGACTTTGAAAGTTTTACATAGATGATCTCTTTTTTTCTTTTTTGCCTTTTAATAGTTGAGACAGGGTCTCACTTTGTTGCCCGGGCTGGAGTGCAGTGACATAATCATAGCTCACTGCAGCCTCTACCTGTCCAGCTCAAGCAATCCTCCCACCTCAGCCTCCTGAGTAGCTGGGATTACAGAAATTTGCCACAAATCCAGGCTAATTTTAAATTTTTTTTTGTAGAGATGAGGTCCCCGTATGTTGCCCAGGCTGGTCTTGAACTCCTGGCCACAAGCAATCCTTCTAGCTCAGCCTCCCAAAAGTGCTGAGATTATGGGTATGAGCCCCTGCGCCCAGCCCATAATCTCTTTTAAATGCCCAGTACAACCCTATGAGCTTCCTGATAAAATTTTCCAATTCACTTACTTTGTATCCTTTTTTGTTACCCAGTTCTTTTTCCAACTATTACCATGTCAAATTTCAAGATGAAGAAACAGGTTCATATACCTCAACCAGTAAGTCGCAGAAAGGGGATTTGAACTGGTATCTGTCTAACTACAAAACTTACAGAGGTTTCAGTGAAACTCAATACCCCATAACATGAAATCATGCTGTGATGAGGGAAATGCAGCTTTTCCTTATGATGCCTGAGAACTGATGATGCTTTTTTATGTACACACTGTACACTGATTTCATAAAACACTTTAACCTGGAAGATATGAGTGACTCCCTTTACATTTTTTTTTTTTTTTTTTTTTTTTTTTTTGGAGACGGAGTTTTGCTCTGTCTCCCAGGCTGGAGCGCAGTGGTGCGATCTCGGTTTACCACAATCTCCGCCTCCCGGTTTCAAGCTATTCTCCTGCCTCAGCCTCCTGAATAGCTGGGATTACAGGTGCGAACCACTGCGCCCAGCCAACTTTTGCATTTTATTTATTTATTTTTTTTAGTAGAGGCAGGGTTTCGCAATGTTGGCCAGGCTGGTCTTGAACTCCTGAGCTCAGGTGATCTGCCCTCCTTGGCCTCACAAAGTGCTGGGATTACAGGCATGAGCCATCACGACCAGCCTACATTCTGAAAAAATGACCTCTTGAGAGGCTGGGTGTGGTGGTTAATGCTGTAATCCCAGCACTTTGGGAGGCTGAGGTGGGTGGGTTGCTTGAGCCTAGCAGTTTTGGACTAGCCAGGAGAACATAGTGAGACATTGTCTCTAAAAAAAATTTTTTTTAATTAGCTGGCATGGTGGTGGCATGCATCTGTGGTCCCAGTTGTTCAGGGGGCTAAGGCAGGATTGCTTGAGCCCAGGAGTTCTAGGGTGCGGTGAGCTATGATCATGGGACCGCACTCTAGTCTGGGCTGCGGAGTAAGACGTTGTCTCTAAAGAAAGAGAAAAAAGACCTCTTCAGGCCACAGAGAGCAAAGTAAAGCATCTGAAATACATTTACCTTTTTTTCCTTTAGTGAGGAAAAACATTAACAAACATTTTAAATGTAACTGGGAAAGAACATTTAAGAAATTCATGCCCCTCTCTTGTATTCCAGCTTTCTTCTAGTTGGGTTCTGCATATGATTGTGTTATTAGGGACTATGCCTTTAAAAATGAAAAAATAAAAATAAAAAGGCCATGGTTAGCCTGTGAGCACATTTTTTTATTCTGGCTCTGGCCACAAGAACCAAGTTTGACTAGGCTCTGTATCAAAATAAAATCCAGAGAGGCATTCCTAAACTTGGACCTTTTGTCCACACTCACTTCCTGTTGACCGAGTGACATCCCTTCAGCTGGCCCTCCATCAAGCTGTTTGCACAGAATAGGGAGCAGTGTTTTCAAGGGCAGCAAATCTTGCAGCTTATTAAAAGTAGCATGGTATGCAACTCAGATGCCAGTTCTCTTTCCTTTTTGGGTTTCCTTGAGTCCAAAGGTCAATAGGAACACAGAAAAGCTCAGTGTATTGGTTTGTAATTCCACTCCCACTATGGCTCAATAGTACAATATATTCAGATCCTTGTCTCATTGAGTTCTTCAATCTTCAATCTTTGTTCCCTAAACACAGGCTTGTGTGAACATGCTATTAGCTAGCAGGGTTCAATTTCAGTATTAGGGGTTACATTCAGTTTCAAGCTCCTCACAGTTGTCTACACTGGGTATGAATCTGGAACTGCTGCCAATTTTCTTTGAGGGCATTTTAGTATCATTATCTCAGTGCTTATGCTATTATCTCTGAAGTGTTGTTTTCCAGCGATTTTCTGCCTCTAAAAAGACAGGATGGTTTAGCCATTTTATCAATGAAATTTAAGCATGTAGTGTCGCTGACTCTTGTGATTTCCTTCACTTCTTTTGTTCTACTACCTACCTGAGGAAATACTTTAATATTTCCAGTGAGAAGGCACCTTAAGGGAGTCTCTAACCGCTCAAAATGTGGTCTATAGAGGGACAGCCTGGGCATCATCTGGGAGCTTGTTGAAAATGCTCAATCTTAGGCTCCAGCCCATAAGTGCTGATGTAGATCTGAATTTTAATAAGATCCCTTCTTGTTTCACGAGCAAGGTAAAGTTTGAGAAGCAGGGGTCGGGCGCGGTGGCTCACGCCTGTAATCCCAGCACTTTGGGAGGCCGAGGCAGGTGGATCACGAGGTCAGGAGATCGAGAACATCCTGGCTAACACGGTGAAACCCCGTCTCTACTAAAAAATACAAAAAATTAGCCGGGCGTGGTGGTGGGTGCCTGTAGTCCCAGCTACTCAGGAGGCTGAGGCAGGAGAATGGCGTGAACCCGGGAGGCAGAGCTTTCAGTGAGCCGAGATCGCGCCACTGCACTCCAGCCTGGACGACAGAGCGAGACTCCATCTCAAAAAAAAAAAAAAAAAAAAAAAAAAAAAAAAAAAAAAAAAAAAAAAGTTTGAGAAGCAGTGATCTGGCCCACATCTGGTCTTCTAAGCAATTCTGAGAGGGATTTTAGAGCCTCTTTTTAATACTCCCAATAATAGAGATGCCACTGGTGTAAAATTTGCTGGACAGCTAAACTCTGCCTACTTATAATTTCTACACTTAGTCTTTATTTCATCTCTTTAGAGCAAATGGAATAAGTCTAATATGACCCATCTAATATTTAAAGATAGATAACGTTTCCCAACTCCTCACCTCCAATTCCTCCCTCTCTTTCTCTTTCTCTCTCATGTCTCTTTCATTGCCTGTTGCTTACTCTTCCCTCACCCCTCCCTTTATCTCTTTTCATGCTAAGCATTTATTTTCAGCCATTCTCTGCTTTGCCTGGCTTCCAAACTTTTCAACGTGACCATTCCTATTTTATTAATGGACTCTAGTTACCAACTTGTCAGTTTATTATATGTGTTGTAAAAAAGTGCAGGGGCTATTTAAAATTGTAGAACAGAGATCTACTGTGCTGATTCTGAAATATTTAAAAGCGTTCTCTTGGTGTCTACCAGGCCATGATATCTAGGAGGACCCAACGAGTGACAATAGGGTTTCAGACGTGATTGTTAGGTAGAGTAAAAAAAAAAAAAAAAAAAAAAAAAAAAAGATGGAAAGTAGCCACTTAAATGAGAACTATGCTAAATAGTACTAAAGCTTCAGTACTAAAATACAGAATTACAATTTGAACTTCCATTAGCTACATTCACTACCTAATGCCATGTAAACAAGTAAAGTCCTAAAGTAGAATTTAGGCCATTCTTTTCAGATCTAGTGCATTGCACTAAGATGATTAAATTAAGCTTCAGAATCAGGAAGCAGTTGGCCGGAACTCAGATATTTGTGTGAATCTGGGCCTGAATTTTTGCTGAGCAACTCCATAACCAGGGGCTCAGTATGTATGAGGCATATCTTAATTTCTATGTAAAAGTCTGCTGTACACTTTTCATGTTCTGCATAAATCCATCATCCTGAAGTCCTAGGTTATATCACTTTTCTTAACTGTTGGTTTATATTTGGCAAAATGTCACTCAAAGAAATATCAATTGATAACACCACTTTAATTTAATGTAGGAATGCTTCCTGATTTATAATTAGACTTTTCACACAGAAATAGCAGATACATTGGTGTGCTGCACCCATTAACTTGTCATTTACATTAGGTATATCTCATAATGCTATCCCTCCCCCCTCCCCCTACCCCACAACAAGCCCTGGTGTGTGATGTTCCCCTTCCTGTGTCCAAGTGTTCTCATTGTTCACATGCAACAAACCTGCACATTGTGCACATGTACCCTAGAACTTAAAGTATAATAAAAAAATAAATAAATAAAAATAAAAAATAAAAAGAAATAGCAGATATAATCTAAAAATTCTTAGTGTATTTTTTTTACCCTCAAATACTCAAGCACTGCACTGGTGATTGATTGTAAAGAAGCATAAACAAATCAGGTTAAGTGATCAAGAAATGCTAAACTTGTTGAAACATCCACAAATGCAAGCAAGATTTTTTTTTTTTTTTTTTTTTTGAGATATGGTCTCTCTCTGTCACCCAAGCTGGAGTGCAATGGCATGATCTAGGCTCACTGTAACCTCCGCCTCACAGGTCCAAGCAATTCTCCTTCCTCAGCCTCTCAAATAGCTGGGATTACAGGCGCCAGCCACCACACCCGGCTAATTTTTATATTTTTCGTAGAGATGGGGTTTCACCATGTTGACCAGGCTGGTCTCAAACTCCTGACCTCAAGTGATCTGCCTGCCTTGGCCTACCAAAGTGCTGGGATTACAGGCTTGAGCCACTATGCCTGGCCCACAAATGCAAGCAAGCTTAACAAATACCTTTAAGTGCTATATGTAGTACTAGATCTTCTAAAAATGTATACTAACCACATCAGCACACATTATTCAAGTGTCTTTGATATGTCAGATGTTGGTCACTTAGAATGCTCCTGACCTTAGGAATATTATCAATTACATTTTCATGATCATTTTATACTTGTAATTTCTACAGCATTTTATGCTTACTCCAGAATTTGTTTTTAACTTTAGGTATTTTTGTTTAGAGATTTAAAACCTGACTTTTGATGGAGTACCATATTGAAAAACATCTGAAAAATTTAAAAATTGCTTTCTTATATTATTTTATTTTGAGATGGAGTTTTACTCCTGTTGCCCAGGCTGGAGTGCAATGGCGTGATCTCGGCTCACTGTAACTTCTGCCTCCCAGGTTCAAGCGATTCTCCTGCCTCAGCCTCCTGAGTAGCTGGGACTATGGGTGTGTGTCACCACACCCAGCTAATTTTTTTTCTTTTTTTCTTTTTTAGTAGAGATGGGGTTTCACCGTGTTGGCCAGGCTGGTCTCGAACTCCTGACCTAAGGTGATCCACCCACCTTGGCCTCCCAAAGTGCTGGGATTACAGGCATAAGCCACTGTGCCAAGCGAAAATTGCTTTCTAGAAATTGTTTTAGTGGCAGAATAGTCATTTGCTCTTATGTTGTCTTCGAGAAAAAATAAAATCTGTCATTGATTTGCTGCTCATATTTTAGAATTGAAAATGAGTATAAAAAATGTGAGCTTATGGGAGTGTATTTATTGATCTATTGTAACTGTTCAGACAAGGGGATAAGCACTTTGTGATAGAAGACCCAAAAACCTACCATATTTGAGAGGTTTTCTCATAAACAGGATCTAATCTTCCAAATTGTGTCTATAACTTCTAGAATTATCATGAACGTAGTTTATGGCCATGGGGGCAAAAAGGGATGGAGAGAGGCAAAATTTGGAGACAGAAAGAAGGAAAAAAAACAGATGAGCACAATTTGCATACACGTTTTATAAATTCATAAAATTTTACTTTTTTGAAAACGCATGATTCTGTGAGAAGAATTTAGTCTTTTTTATACTTTATTTAATCTAAATCTAAAAAAGAGCTTTCTGTTTTAAAGAGAGCAGAAACTCAGATATACATAGAGTATATATATCCCATAGATATTTTGATTTTTTTAAATATAAAATACATTTCAAATTTTTCATATAGGCCATTCCACTGGGAAATAGTAAAACAACATGAGCACTATAGATGTGAGTGTTTTGGTGAGGTCTAAGGATCAATTCCCTAATTGTGCTTTATCTAAGAATGGATAAAGTTTCATTTTCTATTCTGTGAACTGGAAGCAAAATTCACAAATATTACAATGGTGAAATTACGGGATTTTTTAAGTTAATGGCATCTATGGCATTGTTTGTAAAATTCCAGTAGCCCTTCATAACTGCATATGGATAATTATTGGAAGAAGAAAATAAATATCTGAAAAAAACTGATATACTACAGGATAGACAGAGAATTGATTTCACTTCCCAATACTCTAGGTAGGGTGGATGGTATGCTTTATTGGATAGTAAGTAAATATTTTCTTCATTCCAATATATTTCATTGTCCTCTTGAGATTTGCATTCCCTCTGCTAGGCATCCCCTGCCGTACACACTCTGGGAACTTGTTCTTACACCTCAAAAGCCTTTTTTACCCCAATACTCATCTAAGCTGACCTATGTATAGCCGGATCCAGAGCCTTTTCCGTTTTAGGCTGTTTGTCTGAGAAATAAATGCAAACCCTCTTTTATAAAATTCATATTTGTGCAGGAATTAATCAACACCGATTCTGACAACAGCTGAAACAGCACATTGTAAACATTCCAGAAAAATCAAATAATATAAACCAAATTTAGAATTGTGAAATTTCCACCCCAGAAATTTGGATATGTGGAAGTAATAGCTACCAAAGAAAATCACAATGATAAAACTTGATGTGGACTAAAAAAATACAATTTGTAAAATGTGCATGAAAAATAACTGACCCAGAAAATAATTTCCATAAAGTGAAATGAAAATGTTTTGATAGCACGTATGTAAAATTGATAAAGAGATGGACTTGGCTAAATGCAGTTGATTTTGGAATATACTTTATGAAAGTGTTTCTGCCTGGCACGGTGGCTCACTCCTGTAATCCCAGCACTTTGGGAGGCTGAGGCGATTGAATCACAAGGTCAGGAGTTCTAGACCAGCCTGGCCAACATGGTGAAACGCCATCTCTACTAAAAATACAAAAAAAAAAAAAAAAATTAGATGGGCGTGGTGGCGGCTGCCTGTAATCCCAGCTACTCGGAAGGCTGAGGCAGGAGAATTGCCTGAACCCAGGAGGCAGAGCTTGCAGTGAGCTGAGATCGCGCCACTACACTCCAGCCTGGGTGACAGTGCAAGATTCCATCTCAAAAAAAAAAAAAAAGTGTTTCAATGCTTACATAATCTGATCTAAAAGGTTTTGTATCCATAAACATGTAGTTAAAATGTCCCAAAAATGGTGGGATCAGAATACCCTTTCCTCTCAAGAGCTTAATGGGTTATTCCTCCCAGGGATACTTATGTCTTTGCAGAGCTCAGATTTGTTAAATGTGAGAGTTTAACAAAGTGAAAAGTTAACAGTGAAAATTCAACAGTGCCATCCCCGAGGACAGTTTCATCCAGTGAGGAATGGAAACTTCGTATTTTGTTACCAGGAGAATGGTGGTCAATTCCCTTGCTACTCAAACGTCTACAAAACAGGAGCATCAGCATCACCTGGGGGCTTGCCAGACAGGCAGACTTTGTATCAAACCAAGTGTACTGAATCAGAATCTGCATTTTAACAAGATCTCTAGATGATTCTTATGTACAATAAAATTTGAGAAGGACCGTTGTAGTCAAATGCTGTGTAAGTCAGGCTTCAACCATGAGACTTACATGGATTGTTTTCATTTCTGTTTATTTCAACTAATGACTCCATGGTGATGCCACCCACATTTATGCTTGTTATGAGATACGTCTTTTATTCTTCATTTGCTCAATTTTTTCACTTCATTTATGAGGAAACACAAATGATATGATTTGAAAAGAAAACCTTGTCATCTCTTTCAGAGCGGAATTTTGTAGCTAGAATATTTATAGAATACGAGACACTGATGTTCCATGTGTCCTTGTTTGCGGCGTCTGATGTTTTTGTTGTTAATAACCGCCCTTCCCTTGGTGTTTGAGCATCTCAAGTGTTCTTGCTGAGGCAGCAAGGAAAATGCAGTTCTGTGCATCTGCAGGATGTTTTCCTGGTAATGACTATGATGCTAAGCCTCTATCCCTCTCAGTATTTATCAAATTTGGACATAAACTTCAGGAACAAAAATAGAACTTGGACCATGAGAGTTAAGCCACATTTGGTTAACCCATTTGGGGATCAGTGTAAACTGTCTTTTGTCACGTAGCAATTCCCTAGTATTTTCCCTCTTTTTCCATTACTTGTACATTCATCTAGGAGCCTGACTGACTATTTTGGTCTCCAGTCCATTTACAGTGTTCCTTGGAATAACAGAAACGGAGCCGTTCTAAGTCTTAGGAGGCTTGAGTTAGCATAGTGCCTGATAACATTGCAGCCATTCAATACATGTCACTTGTTTCCTCTCTTTTTTTCTTAATATTAATAACTAGATAGTCACTTTGATGTACTGTTTAGGTCTTCTATCTTTCACTTATCTGCACAATGAAAATTAGACAGAAAGATCATTCCTGATCTATGTATATATGATCTTTCAGTCTTATTTTAATTTCGCATATATATGTATATATATATATATGTATATATATATATATATATTTCCATAGACCTGTTATGCATATTATTCATGGTGCTTTTTAAGTTGGTACGTCCTAAGACAAGAGTCCCTTGGACTACCAGTTTTCAACATACATTTCTTAGGTACCATTCTGCTTTGGGGGAAACTGAGTGAACAGGGATCAGTTTCCTCCTTGCCAACACTGTGCCCACTGTACATATTATGGTTCTTTATAAAATTTTGATTGGAAAAAGTTTCCAAGCTCTTACAAATAAGTGTGCAAGACCAGCCTGCAAAACATAGTAAGACTCTGTCTCTACAAAAAAATAAAATTTAAAAAATTAGCCAGGCATGGTGGTGTGTGCCTGTATCGTCGCTACTCAGGAGGATGAGGCAGGGAATTGCTTGAGCTTAGGAGTTCCAGGTTACAATGAGCTATGATTGTGCCACTGCCCTCTAGTGCGGACAACGTAGCCAGATCCAGTCTCTAAAAATAGCAACAAGAATAATTGTGAGACCTGATTCTTTAAGAAGTTAAAAAATCATTAGTGCAAAGCAACTCAAAAACACTGTAATGGGAAGTAATGTAACACATTTATGTGTGTGGCCTTTTCACTTCTGTGAAGTGAAAAAAAATCAGAAAAGCATGGCTCCTAAAATGTCTTTTGAATGAATTAAGCCACTGGATACCTATATAAGTAGTATTACTTCGATTTTTGAATTTCTACATAGATCTTTTTTTTTAGGTACTGCCTTAAAAGTTTCTGATTACTTTTCTCTCACATGCCTTTATCCTATTTTGAATTTTTAAAGTGCTATGTTTTATGCCAGTCAATTATGAAGTTATCATAAACCAAACACATTTAGCCTAAATGGTCGATAGAAATTTCTTCTTTCCAGGTTCATTTTAATGCAGTTATTTTTAACTACTATTACCTATTAAATGCCCCTTCTGGGCTAGGTACAGTGGCTCATGCCTGTAATCCCAGCACTTTGGGAGGCTGAGGCAGGAGGATCATTTGTCCCCAGGAGTTTGAGACCAGTGTGGGCAACATAAACAAGAACTCATCTCTGTGAAAAATAAAAAAAAAATTAGTGAAGTGTAGTGGCATATGCCCTTAGTCTCAGCTACTTGGGAGGCTGATGTGGGAGGATGGTTTGAGCCCAGGAGTTTGAGGCTGCAGTGAGCTGTGATCATGCTATTGCACTCCAGCCTGGGTGACACAGTGAGGCCCTATCTCAAAATAAAAATAGGGCCCGGCATGGTGGCTCACACCTGTAAATCCCAGTGCTTTGGGAGGTTTCAGCAGGTGGATCACGAGGTTAGGAGTTCAAGACCAGCCTGGCCAACATGGTGAAACCCCATCTCTACTAAAAATATAAAAACTTAGTGGGGCATGATGGCACATGCCTGTAGTCCCAGGTACTCTGGAGGCCAAGGCAGGGGAATCACTTGAACTCGGGAGGTGGAGGTTGCAGTGAGCCAAGACTGCACCACTGCACTCCAGCCTGGGCAACAGAGCGAGGCTCCGTCTCTAAATAAATAAATAAATAAAGCCCCCTTTGGAGTTTATACTTCACTCATTTCTTACTATAAAGTTTAAGAAAATCTATTTCTAACCTATTTGTTCTGCTGAACATTAAATGCCCTGTGATTAAAAGCCAAGTAAGTATTCACCAAGTGTTTCTTGATCAACATTATGGGCCACTCCTTAAGTGACTCCTAAATCCGCTGCATGTTCATGTCCATTTTGTTCATGGAAATGTAAACACAAGAGTAATTAAACACTGTGACTCAAATTAAGAAAGGTGACCAGGCTGATGTCTGTCCTTGTAACTTCATGAGTAAAGTTTCCTATTTATCTTAGGCTCCAACTTCACATAATAATAGCACCTGCCACCTGTAGATGCAGCAATGTTTCTGAAGGATATAGTCTTCTTTCTTCTCAGCAGTGTGGGGACAAAGGTCACGTTGCAGCAACATCCTGAGCTAAGCCTTTACTACCAACTGGATTCTACTTTGAAACTCAATCAGTTATCCTTAAACAAGAAATCTGAGTTTCTGCGGAAGGAAAGAGAGTAATAGCCAGATACGTCATGCCTCCAAAATTGGTAACTGAAGTGGCTTTCCCTCACATTTATCTTGGTTGGGTGAAACAAGGTCATAGGTTTACCTCATTATTTTAAGAGTTATCTCATTTTGTAATTATTATTTAAATTCATACTCTGTAATAGGGAAGAAAACAATAAAAATGTTGTCTTTCTTACAGGCATATCACAGGTGGGAGATAATTTACATCTGTTAAATATGATAATTTTTTCCTAAAGGTTCTTTACACCTTGAGTTAGCATTAAGATATTTAAGATGGCCTATTTTAGATTTATAGATTTTGTTGGAATTAGTTTAACCTTTTGGATCATGAAGATATTTAGCAGTGGGGATTTAGAATAATTTATATCAAATCTTCTAGATGGTGACAAATTAATTATACTTTAAATAAGCCCTGATCATTCATCAGCCTTCAAGTTCAGTTCTATAGCTTTCAGCAGCATAGCTGACATATTATCCACTCGTGTCATATGTCATCATGCAAACTTCGTGAATTATAACTGTAACATTAATTGGATGAAAGTTTTCTTGATGGGAAAGATTATTGATTAAATGGAGTAATTTGAAGAAAATAAAGCCCAACACAAATTGAGAAAAGAAAAAAAAAACACAGTCAACAATAGGATATATGGTAGCAACTGGTTTTATGGACACTGCTAAACTAAATACCAAAGGTGTATTTTATTCCTGTGAATAAAACTGAGTGCAAATAATGGAGGAATTTAGCAGAAAACTTACAAGGTCATTTACCTAAGGGTTCTTTATGATGGAATTCCGTTGTCAGAAAAAGGGGTTCATGAGTTTTTACCAATTTTCCTTAGGGGTTTTTAGAGCAAGTTTGAATGGAAGCAATAAAACGTATCATCTTATATAGCAAAAATATTTGTGTGCTAGAGATGGTAATGACTACATTACAATAAAGATTTTGAAAATGTCACTTTGTGTTTGTTTTCATCTTGATAATTTGTGTGAGATTGTAAATGCATCATTCTGTAATCTCATTGGCTGGATTGTAAAATCATTTCCCATTAAAAGTTTTTCATTATATGTTAAACTGTAATGAAACTGTTCAAATTCTTTGACTATGGCTAAAAAGGAGCTAATTGCCATCACCAGTAAATTCATTCTGCCTTTTGGGTATAAAATTCTCCTGATTAACTTTTTCTACCCTCTCAAGATTTCTGGAGATTCAGGATAATGGAGTTTTCTTGGATCTGGAGTTTGACAAAACCTAGTCTACATCCCAGTTCCTTCAACATTCTCTAGAAGCACTAGTTGTAAAGAATTTGTAAGACCTATAAAACAGATGTCTATCAAATCAGGCATTTAAGTATGAGTTCAATGATTGAGATCATTGCTCTTTTTTTTTTTTTTTTTTTTTTTTTTTTTTTGCTGGTAAATAGCAGTTAAATTGCAACTGATCAAGAGGTATTCAGGATGGTGAGTTTGGACTGCATGGCTCCCTTCATGGACTCATTTATAATTTAAACAAGTGTTTTATTAGAGTTATTTCCCATTTACTAGTTAAGTGATTTATTTATGGTCTATTCAGAGTCTATTAATTACATACATTTCAGAATAAGTAGCAAATAGTCATTGTAATAGTTTCCATAGTGTACTAATCTTACTCCTCTTTAAATTTCGTCTGAAGTTTTGAATCTTCACAGAATTAGCTAGACATATATGTTACCCACTACAAATGACGTCTGAATCTCTTAACAAGGATGAATAAAAAGACCTGAAAAGTTAGCATGGTGGGTACTCTCAAACTATTTTGTTTTTTATTTGCATAGCTTTCCTAAGTAAAAAATGTCTGGGAAAGGCAATGCCAAGAATCTCTTGGTAGACAGGCATGCTCCACACATATACAGTAGGAGCCAAACAGTCATTTATGGTAATTTCATTAAATGGAAGCTTGATATGCAAGGGAAAAATTTTTGTATGTGCATGTGACTATTTTTCAATAACCAAGTAACACTAGTATTAATAACATGCTAAATCAGCATGTATTAATTTTTTTTCAGACTGGCCAAAAAAAATTTACTTCCAAGATTACTGAATGAATATTAAGATTGCTTATCTTGACCTTCCTTATCACTGCGTCATGTGCTGCATCAGTTTTGTTATTGTTCTTTGTTCTGTTCTGATGTTTACTGACTTGGAACATATGCTATTATAACTACACCACAATCTCTCTTCTATTTCTCTACCATAACCTTGCAAGGGGTTAGGCAAACTTGGAGACGTGTCAGAAGAAGAGCTTACCAACCTCATATGTTAGCCGTATTGCACAGCAGTACTGCAGAAATGAGCTGCAAATTCCAAGCAACATATTGAGTTTGTGATTTATTTGTTTTCCAGGCAGGCCAATTAATTGTTTTGCTGTGATGCTGCCCTAAATTGTAAATAGAAAGAGCAAGAAAATGAATTGTCACATTCTGTGCCTGTGTCTCTTGCTACTTAGGATGACAAAAGCAGTTTCTGCTCCGACTGCAAGTGATATTGTAAAATATGAGAATTAGGCTGGACCTAAATGTGTTGGTCAGTGTGTTTCAGAGGTGCGTTTTAGAATGGCTTTAAAGACATTGTACTAAGACTTTACTACCAGTAGGTTCTGGAGAGAATGTTATAAGACAGGAAAAAGGAAAATAATTCTTATTTCATGCCTATCATGTGTGCTTTCTTTCTTGAAATGATGGAAAATGATGGCTTCCCCATATTTCCAAACTGATTTTTTCAAATAGATTTGGAATGTTTATTATATTAATAAAAATAAGTGTTTTTAGATTTTTACTAAAGGGGAATGAAAGAGAAGGTAAAAAAGGTAAAACTGACACATGAGGGAAAGTAGTTTGTCAGCTGAATGGACTATTGGCACATTTTCATTAGTTCCAGTGGAATTTGAAATGGTTTGTCAGGACTCTAACTTTGGCCCTAAAGGCACTTGGTGAAATACTGTTTTATTTTACTTGGT
The DNA here is from genome assembly GCF_000001405.40 of Homo sapiens. Classification (NCBI taxonomy): domain Eukaryota; kingdom Metazoa; phylum Chordata; class Mammalia; order Primates; family Hominidae; genus Homo; species Homo sapiens. The sequence continues at coordinate 29,537,325 of NC_000003.12, forward strand.
AAATAATAAGTATTTTAATGGAAGAACATTTTGGCTTTCACATCTGCTCCCTCGTGGCAACAGCAATTTGAAGTCAGTACATGCTACTGAATGCCATGAACTCTTAAGAAATTACCAAAATACCTTAAACTAAATTTCTTAGGTGAAAGTTGTTTCAAAGAACGATTGAGCCATTGTCACAGGAACCAATGCAGGAGGCTTTATAAAAACACATTTTTGGTCGGGCGCGGTGGCTCACGCCTGTAATCCCAGCACTTTGGCAGGCCGAGGGGGGTGGATCACAAGGTCAGGAGACCGAGACCATCCTGGCTAACATGGTGAAACCCCGTCTCTACTAAAAATACAAAAATTAGCCGGGCGTGGCGGCCTGAGCCTTTAGTCCCAGCTGCTGGGGAGGTTGAGGCAGGAGAATGGCGTGAACCCGGGAGGCGGAGCTTGCAGTGAGCTGTGACCGCGCTACTGCACTCCAGCCTGTGGGAAAGAGCGAGACTCCACCTCAAAAAAAAAAAAAAAAAGAAAGAAAGAAAAAAAATTTGCCCCGATACCATGACTTTGAATCTTTTCCATTTCATCTTCACATTGTGAGTCATGATGAACTACTAATACAATATACTGGCAATATTTAAAGCCTTGTATTTGCTTTTTGCATATATATTTAAGTTTTGCAAAATTTTGGAAACAGGGAGCAAATAATTTTATATCTTGGAAAGTAACCTGGGCCTGTCATATTAACCCACTGCTTATGAATGGCCCTAGGGTAACATGTCATTCACATTCTTGGGCAGCTTGTCACATGTCACAGAAAGCACTATAGACTTACATTGGATTTGACTCAAGAAACATGAATAAAGATAAATGTGGATAGGTAGAAGATAATCAAATACTGGAACATTTATGGTGCTATCAAGCACATAAACACATTTATAAACTGTTTTGGCCTCTGTACAATTTATGCGCCCTGGATTTTCCCACAGAAGTTCTGAAGTAACTTACAAAAAATATACTTTACAATGAATATGAAAAACTCGAACTAGAAATAGTAAACCAAGAGCACTAACAGGAAGAGGAAAGAGATATATACGATTATTGAGTGCGAAGTTTCCTGGCAACCCAAACAAAAAGGATACAAATAAGGAACATCGTTATCCTTATTATAACTGAGGAAGTCCCTTAGCAGATGCCAAAGTTTTTCCTGGCAGAAATGTCTAAAAGATGTTCTTAATTTGTTTAAGCAAGAGTTGCTTAGAAGCAAGTGAGTTTGAATTTGTCTGGTGCTTAAAAACAGTGTTATGGGTAGATTTATGTTTCCAAATTATAAGCTTTGGATTTTCTCAGTATTACTTTTATAAATGCCATCATATTACAAAGAGAGGATAATAAGCATCCAGTGGGTCACTTTGGTAGACTTAGTCCTTGTGGTTAATGAAGGCACATGTTGTCCTGCAGGCAGTATCGTGTCAAGCCAACCTGGATTCATACTGAGCTGTGTGTCCTTTGTCAAGTTCTATGACTTCTGTGACATTCCGTGATTTTTTTATTTCTGTAAAATAAGAATGCTCAATTACATAGTTATTAAGATTACATGATAAAATATATGTAAAAGAGCTAAGGTTATCACAGTACTGTCTTAACCATTAACAGCTAAAGATGAAATAACCCCATTTTTTTGCTTATTTTCCCTTCTTGTCACTAATTTCAACTTATATAATGGAGGAATAACATATACAAAGAATGAATATAATCACAGAAATTATAACTGAAGTCTGGGCTTCTGACTCAGTTCCATTCTGCATACACTATTACAGCTGTTTGGGTCTTACAGGAAATGAGTTATTATGGAGATATAGGCTTCCAAAGCTAAGCATCTACCCTTTTGGAAACAAAATACATTGTCGATGCAAAAAAATAAAGGTAACTATTTATGATGAAATTCAGTTTCAAATTGGATTGCAGCCTTCCTTGTTTTTAAAGGTGAATGGACCAAGCAAAAATAAACTCCTTTGTAGCAATTTAGAATCATCAGGTTTTATTCTGCTTTAATATAGAGCAAACTCTGAGTACTTTATGGTCCTTGAAAAGTTGGTCCTACACAAGTAGCCTCAGCGTCTTGTGCATTTGGTTATTTGGAGGTCAGTCTGTTCCATTTACCAGCCCTTGAAGCCCTTTTACCTCCCTCCAGCTTATTACATCTAATCTTCTTTGGACTCAAGATCAGATAACTAAGCTAACTTTAACTGTGAATAAAAGAAGAATCAACAGAATCTGGTCATCCAGGTATCAAGTACCCGAGTTTTTAATACATGAACTCTGAGACTTCTCTCTTAGTTCTTTGGAGCTCCTTTTGACTTTTAATTGCTAGTTTTCACTGTGCTCCAAAAGGTGAAATGTTATTCTATTTTTCCCCAGGAGTTATTAAAGACTGACAAGACATCAGGAGTACCCCACATGCACAAAGTTCAACATTATCAAAATTTTTGAATACTCAAATATTCAGTTATATTCACTAATAATTATAGCTCTCTTACTAAAGTTTACTTTGGATTATTCACAGAAGGTATCAGTTTATTTCTTGAAGAATTTGAGAGAAGGAAATCATCTTTTTCTTGGTAGGTTTGCTCAAAGGTTTAGCAATACTTATCATTCAAACACTCTTTCTTATGTCTCACCTAGGTGCCTCTTGGTAATATTCTGTTGCTTTTTTACTGGGTTTCATTCACGGTAAAAATGAAAGATATTTTAAAACAACCCCTAAAGCATTTTAAATTAACTATTTAATGTCTAAGTTTTATGTTTCATTTTAACTACCATGCACTTAAGTATTTCCTTGTCCATAGGCCATACTTCCTAGTACACATAAAGGGGATATTTTTATATCTCATCTGTTCTTCAAATCAAAACAGTAATAAGTGCTTCCCAAATGGCAAACAAATTCTAAGGATGTAATAAACTGTATACTTCCCTGATATATTATGACAACAGAATTTTTTATTTTTAAAATTTGTTTATATTTCTTTATTGCAACCTTTGTTGAAATTTCCATTAGGCAGTTAATTTACCTCTTTTCATTTGACTCTACTCTATAAGGCTCTGTATTCTATACAACATTTGTTAATTAAGAAGCAGTGGTTCCACCTAATATTTCTGATGTGTTTGTAACATCCTGGATAGTATCTAGAATTCTTCTAGTTCTCTGCTAGCTAACATATATTGTTTTTCTGATCTGTGCTGAGCTCTGGAATCAAGGCTTTACATACATGATGTTACTATATTGATATAGTAACTCTCGAACACAGATTAAATTATAATCCTCCTCGTACAGATGAAGTAACTGGGTCCTGAGAGGTTAGGTAACTTGTATCACTTAGCTTAGTAGATGTGTGAGCTAAGATTGCACCCAGGCTGTGTGGACTTTCCCCTTTATGCCAATACTCTGAGTGGTGCTACTGACACAGGCCTATGGGTTTCGGTTGATGTCTGGGAGCAGAAAACTGCTAGCTATACCCATAATATTTCTTTCAGAAAGAGCAGTGGTGATGCAGCTTTGGGCTCATCGCAATTTAACATAGGGATGGATTTCTTCACAATTTTTGAGTTTTTTCGGGAAGTGTTTCCCTACTCCCCTAAATTGCCTTATTACTCTCATGCAAATACCCGCAGCTAATCTTGTATTTGCCCCTGATTTTAGGGTAATGAACTGAGACACAGAAAACTACATAGCCCATTGTGTGCCTCACACGGATGTGAAGTGGCCTAACCGAATTTACCCTTGGTGTCACCTGTAACTGTTTAAGTGGGTAGGCCTAAATTTTATACTATTAAGCACTAAATGAATATAAAATATGACTTTAAATGCCATCTACATGTGAAAAACTCCCAAAAATGTATTCGGAGCTCAGACTTCTCCCCAGAAATGCAGCCACACATGCCCAACTGTCCAGTTAGCAATTCCACTTAGGTGACCAATAGGCCTAACAAGCCAAAACCCATCTCACAGTTTTTCTTCCCAAACCGGCTCTTCTTGGAAGCTTTCCTAACTTAGTAAAAGTCAACTCTGCTCTTCCAGTTGCTTAGGCCTAATGTCTCAAGTTAGCCTCAAATTTCTTTCATTCTTTTTTTCATTGATGCCCTTCCCACCACAGTATAGCAAACAACAAAGCCCACTGGTCTTAATTTCAAAATACAAGCTGAATCTCACCTCATTTCAGCACCTTCACTGCCACAACCTCGTGTAAGCGCAGGTGTCTGTCACCTGGGACCTTGCAGATGCCTCCTAAATTGGTGTCTGGCTTCATCCCTTGCCCCTCTTCTTTTTCTTCTCAACTGACAACCTAAGGGGTCATGTCAAAATGTCATTCCTGTCCTCAAAACAACTCCAGTGGCTTCCTGTCTCACATAGAGTAATGCAAGGCTTATGCCATGGCTGGCAAGGTCTTACATCTTCTGTCCCCCACCTCCTCTGCCCCTTGACCTCATCACTTTGCCCCCACCTCACCTGCTCTATTCACTGCCGCAGCCCTCAGCCCTACTGTCTCCTCTGCTTCAATGCCCCTCCTTGGTGTACATGCTTGCTCCTTCCCTCTTCTAGGTGGTTCCTCAAAGGGGTTTTCCTCACAGTGAGTCCTCCTCATCCCACCCCAGCTAAAGGATCAAATCTTGTTCCATTTCTCACTATCTTTTTCCCCTTGAAAATTATCACAAATATATGTTTAGCATATCCCCATTATCAGTTGTCTGGGTTCCCACTGTCATGTAAGTTCTATGAAGGTAAAGACTTCTTTCTGCAACAGACCCTGTATGTCCAGGATGTAGAACATTCTGGAAAGTGGTGGGTTCTCAAATATTTGTTGAGAGAACAGTGAACAATTACTGGGTGAGATTAATAATTCATCAGAAAATAATAACTATCCCCCTTTTTGCTTAAAATAAATGTAGAAAGTGATGTCTTTTCATTTTTAATACTTTGCCCATTTTTTGTCCCTTATCCTAACAAGCAGGTGGTATTATTCTTCACCCAAAATCAAGAATTATCATCTCCAATTTTTTTTTGTTTGTTTGAGAAAGAGTCTCACCCAGTCGCCTAGGCTGGAGTACAATGGTGCAATCTCGGCTCACTGCAACCTGCGCCTCCCGGGATCAAGCGATTCTCCCGCCTCAGCCTCCTGAGTAGCTGGGATTACAAGCACTTGCCGTCACACCTGGCTACTTTTTTGTATTTTTGTAGGGACGGGGTTTCACCATGTTGGCCAGGCTGGTCTTGAACTCCTGACCTCAGGTGATCTGCCTGCCTTGGCCTTCCAAAGTGCTGGGATTGCAGGTGTGAGCCACCACGCCCAGCCCATCCCCAATTTTTAAATGGAAAGGGATGTGACAGTTTTCTCCCTATTAAATACTCAGTTCCCTCTAATAAGTCTTGAACTATTTCTAGGTTGACTGACAGTTGTAAAGTTTAAATAATTCTTCCTTTCTTTTATTTTAACATCACCTAGGGGCATTTATGTCAAAGACTAGCCTCTTGCTTTTTGTAAAAAGATCAGAGAATCTCTTAAGTAACCTGTAAAATACTGTTCACCATCCTTGGCAAAGGTAAAATTTAATAGTTCATAAGAGTTTTCAGAAGCAATGCAAATATTTTTAAATGATTTAAGTTTAAGAGAAATGATAAAACATGGGTTATAGTCACTGTGGGAAAGAATCCACTGCATAGCGTCCCCTCTTTGAATGAGAGAGACTTTCTAGAAAATGGGCAGAGGACAGAGACCACCACATATGGGGAAGGAAGCAGAGTGAAAGCCATGTTTCTCTTTGACCTCCAAGAGACATTTCCATCAAGTTTAGGATTAGAGGTGAGTATTAATATCCAAAGATAAACCTAAGTTCTGTTACACAAACCAGGCAAAGATTTATATTTTCTGAATGCAATTTGAGATAAAACTAGAACAAATAATATGAAGCAAGAAAAAAAAAAGGCCAATAAAACCACAATTCTCCATAGTCTTTGAACAGTTTGGATTGTCTTTTAGAAAAAAATGTTCTGAAAAAAATCAAATATAATTTGACAATTCATATTTACAAAATAAATAAAAGGATCAAAAACACTTAGATGGCTGGGCAAGGTGGCTAACGCCTGTAATCCCAGCACTTTGGGAGGCTGAAGCTGGTGGATTGCTTGAGCTCAGGAGTTCCAGACCAGCCTGGGCAACATAGTGAGACCCCCATCACTACTAAAAATACAAAAAGTAGCCAGGTTTGGTGGCGCAAGTCTGTAATCGCAGCTACTCAGGTGGCTGAGGCAGGAGAATTGCTTGAACCCAGGAGGTGGTGGTTGCAGTGAACTGAGATTGTACCACTGCACTCCAGCCTGGGTGACAGAGAGAGACTCTGTCTCAAAAAATAAAAAATAAAAAAGTAAATCACTTAGTTGATTCTCTGCTTTGTCACAGAAAATGTCACCGTGCATTGCTTAAGGTGTGTTCTGTAACCTGATCCTGAAGGAACTATAAGGTACATCGTTTTTTTCAGGCTCTTGTCTATCTTCTAGAATAGTTGTAATATTCTTTAAAATAGAAAATATAATTATTGGGATAATTAGGATATAATTATTTGGGTAATAAAAGTATTAGAAGGAGATTGGTATCAAATAACTGTTCATCATCCTATTGATATTTAATAGTTTATTTTTATAATCATTATGGAAATAGTGAATACTTTTTAAAGTAATGTAATTATTTATAATAATAAGAGAATTGTCAAGTTGTCATTGCTTCCCTAACACAGTATACAAAGGAAGAAGAAAACGCTGATCCAATTCTATCTTACATTGTGACTTTAGTATTCCAACTAGATTGTAAAAGACAAAAGGTTAAAGATTATCTACTAATTCAGTTTCACTTTTGCTAGAGTTTAATATCACACATGTAATGAATAAAGTAATAGAAAGGAAGGACATTAGGGGAAGTCTGGGGGAAAATAATATCTTAGAAATTACTTATTAATTCATGTTCAATTAAATTTGTTTTTCACTGATGATAAAATCAAGTTGCCTTCTTGAGAAGTCTTACAAATTTGTTTTTTTTTAGGAGATGTCAACCCAAAAGGTCACCTATTTTTTATATTAAAAACTAACTTTGGAAATTTTCAGAAATAAAAGAAAAGATCACTAAGCTGAGAATCCAAACACTTGACTTTATTGTGAAAGTAATTGTTAAATGTTACCTGTCTCAGTGGTATTCTCTGGATTTCAGTGATCTGCCTGTAGAACAAAAAGGTGAGGCTAAGTCTTCATGACTTTATATAAGATTTCCAGTACCCTCTAATTGCTAGGAGTCCCACTCGAGAATATCCTTAGATAAGAAAAAAGAAGGGAGTGAAATGTAAATGTGTGTGTGTGTGTGTATAGTTGATGATAGCCTTTTATGACAAAAGAATGGTCTGTATTAGTGTTCAGCAAACATTTTCTGTATATTTAAGAATGGTGTGGCTGTATTCCAATAAAATTTTGTTTACAAAACAGATAACAGATGGGATTTGGCCCATGGCTATATTTTGCCAACTCCTAACTATATATGCTAATAAAGGTGTTAGCTGGTTTAGCCCTTTGGATAGGCAATATTGAGGCCAAATCAGATTTTATGTAAGTTCCTAGCCTTTGACACAGCAATCTCACTTCTAGTAACTTATCCTAAGGGAATATTTGGACAAATACATAAAGATATTATCTGTAAGGACATTTATTATAACATTATTTATGACAGCAACACAATGAAAAGAAACTAAAAGCCTTTCAATAAGAAATAAATTATGTATATTATGGTTTATTCCTACAGTAAGATACTACATATTCAGTAAATGATGTCACATATTTATATGTACTGATGTAGTATAATGTCCATAATGCATCCTTAATTGGAAAGAAATAAGCTATAAAACATTAAGTATAATACTATTCTGGATTTGATGATAATCTCCAGATTATACGATTAGAAATAATTTCATTTTCTTAAAACTCTATGATGTTTTTGTGTATACTATATTGCTTTTATAACTAGAATAAAAAAACAGCAAAGGTATTTCAATTTGGGAAAAAATGTGTAACAGTAAGCAGATTATTAAATTATGATGAAGCAGATACTTTCAATAAAATCCTAAAAATCTCATAGCCCTCTAAATAATCTTACATGTTGTTAATTTAGTTTTTACCATGGGAATTCACACCCTTAGACTATCAAAGAAACAGGCATTTCAGCGCTATGTTGAAGACAACCATCATGACACAAATTATTCAAAAAAGAAATAGTGTGTTGTATTTAACATTACAATTTAGGCTCCTCTCAGTTTGTCTTAAGAGAAAATAAAAGATGCTTCTTGCCTTCTTGTCTTTTTTTTGTTTTGTTTTGTTTTTTGCCATTGTAGCTACTGCCAATTGAGACATTCTGTAGTTTTTCTCAGATTCAGAGAAGAAAATATCTCACAAGTTTGTTCATCCAACATTGTAATATGAGTTCTTCAGATTCCTAGAGAAAGCTCAAAGGCTGTCCAAATCCCCACAGCTATGGCCATCTCTAGTCTTTTGATTTTAACTATACAAGGAAATTCTTATTATGAAATCTTTTTATGAATTATTTTTAAACATTTTTTAACATTTGTAATGTTAGTTTTTCCAAGGAAAACTTTGTTGTTAGCAGCAAATTTTTCCAGAATAAAACGCTGACAAAAAAATCAGTAACTTTTTAAAAAGGCTTTATTTAGTGCTTTATATGTTGCTGGCACTGTTTGATGAGACGGGTTTGTGTGTGTGTGTGTGTGTGTGTGTGTGTGTGTGTGTGTGTGTGTTTCACATGAAATATGCACATACACATTTATTTTTTATTTAATTTAGCTACTTTAGCTCATTTAATCTTCATGACAACCCTACAAGGTGCATTTGCTTATCATAAATTATCATTCATTTTATGGAACAGAATGAGGCATAGAGAGGTAAAGTATATTGCAAAAACGTACACAGCTAGTAGGTGGCAGAGCAGGATTCAAGCGCCTGTAGGTTGTGGTATAAACATTTTCCTCAACTGCCTCACAACACTTGCTATGTAGCCTCCACAACTGTATGACTCTAACTGATGGGATACGTACACATGAAAAATGGTTAAGAGGCCATATACAGCAAAAAAGTTTGTGCTGTACGACTGCTTATATGCACCTAAAACAAACAAACAAAAACACTGGTGTGCTTACCTTAAAATAAACTTGAGACTTTATTACAGTTCTGGAAGAAAAAATTGTTTTTCACAGACCTGAGCTAAATTTTTGACAATGTATAAACATACATGAGGGCTAGTAGCACAGTGGGGATGCCTTGCAAGTGTAAGTTTTGCTAGTCTATGATTGCATTGGGCTGGGATACAGAAATTGCTACTTAGGAACACTCAAGAGATGTTTGGTTTTTGAGTAGACTCATTTCACCTTGGAATTCAAGGTGTTTTAAGAGACTTTGGCACCTCTTCCTACCTGAATCAGACATAGTTGATGACAGCAAGTCTATAACACCTGTAGACATGGAATCTATCTAGAAATCTTACAAAATGTCTTCCGGTAACAACAAATTATGCTTTATTTAGACATTTAGACCTCAATATTTTATTAAGTTTTATCTTTTATATTATTACTGTATTTTTTAGAGACAGGGTCCCACTGGTCACCCAGGCTGGAGTGCAATAGCACAATCATAGCTCACTATAACCCAGAACTCCTGGGCACAAAGGATCCTCCCATCTCAGCCTTTCAAGTAGCTGGGACTACAGGCACATCACCATACCTGGCTAATTTTTGTAGAGACAGGGTCTGGCAACATTGTCCAGGCTGGTTTTGAACTCTTGACCACAAGTAATCCTCCTGCCTCAGCTTCCCAAAGCACTGGAATTATATACCCCCTTTAAATTTTGCAGAGAATTTGCCCTTCTTCATCCTAAATGACATTCAGAAAGTCATCAAATTACTGTGGGTGACAATTATAATTATCATTCATTATCACTCATTATCACTATTCACCAATACATTGTAGGTAGTAACTTGCTTCTCACTTTCAGAAAGATCCTGAGCAGCTGATCTATCATTACTCTTCTATCAATCAGTTCCATTAAGCAATTGGAAAATAAAAAAATCCTCCCCCCGCCCCACCATTATTATAAGCTCCATTAGGAAAGACAAGAGGAAAGAAAATGGAAGTATCCAATCCTTAATAGTATTATTTATATTTAATTTTTTCATATTGCTGAGGGATATTTTCTGATTCAGGGGATTCACTGGCCATAATTACATGCACAAATAGCTAAACAGACTCCAAATGAAAATTTTTAAAAATATATATTTTTTAAGGAACGACTTTTCATTTCTTAGTCCAAGTCTTCAGAGAATAGTCTGTACAGATCTGCTAGGAGCAGAGTCAGGTCATACTAAATTCAGTTGATTGATAAGCTTGTTTGTGGATTGATTTTTTTTTTTTTTTTTTTTTTTTGACAGAGTCTCATTCTGTTTTCCAGGCTGGAGTGCAGTGGCACAATCTCAGTTCACACAACCTCCGTCTTCTCATGTCTCAGCCTCCTGAGTAACTTGGATTACAGGCATGCACCACCACCCCTGGCTAATTATTATATTATTAGTAGAGACGGGGTTTTCTATGTTGGCCAAGGCTGGTCTCGCACTTCTGACCTCAAGTGATCTGCCCGCCTCAGCCTCCCAAACTGCAATGAGGATTACAGGTGTGAGCCACAGCACTAAGACAGATTGAAATTTTTCTTAGGAAAGAAATCCATCCATAAAAAGTTAATGAAGGTGACCAGGCACCGTGGCCTGTAGTCCCAGAGCTTGGGAGGCCAAAGCAGGAAGATTGTTTGAGGGCAGGAGTTTGAGACCAGCATGGACAAAACAGTGAGACGCTTGACTCTACAAAATAGCAATAAAAAAAATTAGCTGGGCCTGGTGGCATGCCTGTTGGTCTAGCTACTCAGGAGGCTCAGGTGGGAAGATCTCTTGAGCCCAGGATTTCAAAGTTACGATGATCTATGATCGTGCCGTTGTACTCTAGCCTGGGTGACAGAGTGAGACTCTGTCTCTTAAAAACAAACAAACAAACAAAAAACAAAACGACGTTAATGAAGGATGTAAGTAGGAATGCTTATAAAGTTTATTAAAATAAATATATATGATATATGATTAAACATAAAATACTTTTTAAAGGAAAAAACCAAAATGACAAATAAGAACAATAACAACAGTACTTTATAAGAAAAAGGAAAACTGTATCGAACCTGAAAACCAAGCAGGCTTCTATAAACTTATTGTTGAATATCACATGCTGGCTTCCAAAAACGTCATCTAGTATTAAAGCTTCAAGTCACCAGTGCATGTAACCTCTCTCCAGTCCTCAACATCCAACTCTTCATTCTGCAACCACTTCCCAGAAAAGAAGTCTTCTCAGTTTACCAAGCAAACTCTTAACCCAATATTTCTACCACCAAGAATATAGAAAAAACAATATGCCAAGCTTAAGAAAGAGAATTTTGGCCAATAATTGTTATTTTCACAGTAAACCTAATTCTCAAATGTAAAAATGGTAAAACAGAATGCAAATTATTTTAAATTTGAGCAAGTCTTTTCTTTTGAATAAAAAATCACCAAACAAATAATCAAGAAAACAAAGATATGTACACAAGCCCAAATTCTCCTTTTCCCTCCTACTTCTGTTTTTTTTTTTTTTTTTTTTTTTCCATCCCTCTCCATTCCACCCTCACATCTATACTTATATCTTCCTTATGGCTTACTTGAATTTTCTTGCTTTCCTTTTATATTTTTCTCCTTCTTTTCCCCCAGTTCTTTCTATTGCCAATATTTGTGCCTTCTTTGTGTCTCTCAGTGACATCTGGAATTGTACTGGTGGCAGATGCAAAATTTAGGGATGAATAATATATCTGTGCTGTGTTTACAGAAGAAGGTGAGCTAGGACAAGACTGCTTTTGGTCCTCTAGTCCTGGTCATTTTGGGCTCAGAGGAAAATCAAAGAAAACAAATACAATTGGATTGATTTTTTTTTTTTTTTTTTCTGAGACGGAATCTCACTCTGTGGCCCAGGCTGGAGTGCAGTGGCATGATCTCAGCTCACTCCAACCTCTGCCTCCTGGGTTCAAGCAACTCTCCTGTCTCAGCCTCCCGAATAGTTGAGACTATAGGCGCCCACCACCATGTCCAGCTAATTTTTGTCTTTTTAGTAGAGATGGGGTTTCACTTTATTGGTCAGGCTGGTCTCGAACACCTGACCTCAGGTGATTCGCTCGCTTCAGCCTCCCAAAGTGCTGGGATTACAGGCATGAGCCACCGTGGATTGATTTTTAAAAACATTAACCAGAAAAAATATTTTAAGCTAGCAGGAATATATGGAATGCTTAACAAGGCTGGCAGCTATGCTAGTGCACAGAGAAAAAAAAAATCTAATATATGGTTCTTGGACTTAAGGCAGTAAAATATTTTTTTCTAGCTTTACGTGACCCAACAACAAAGTTCCCTGGCAGATGGTCATATTATATACTACTCTCTTGTCCTATTGCTTATTCTGTGCTTGTCCTTGCTCTTATATATATATAGGCATTAAAAAAAATGAAACAAAAACAACCAAACATAAAATTAATCAGCTCTGGTGGTGTCAGTTCTCATTTCCAAACATTCACTGCTTCTCCCTTGCTCCAAAGTAAAATGGAAACATCTAACTTGCCAGTTGAAGCTCTCAAATATCTGATCTCATTCTTCCTTTCCAACATTAAGCTCCATTGGTTCTGTTTTAGTTAGGACAGCGTAGGCTTTGCAGCAGTAACATTTCAGTTTTTTTCTGTGAATTCAAGGAACATTTATTTCTCACCAACACAAAGTTGTATCAGCAGATACTCCCTTCCATCTGGTAAGTCACACCGTGAAGTTCTTACCACTTTGTAATGTTACATTTCATAGGGCTGCCAGATTTATAAAATATAGGATGCTCAATTAAATTTGAATTTCAAGTAGACACAATGTTTTTAGTATAAGTATGTCCCATGCAATATTTGGAACATATTTATATAAAAAGTATTCATTGCTCATCTAAAGTTCAATGTTTTAGAAAAATGATTTAGTGTAATAATAGTATAAAAAGTTTTCAGTATTCAAATAGTATAATAGTAAAATAATTCAGCGTATAGTGTATAATATTTATAATGTAACATAAGACTATTATATAGTTTATAATACAGTGTAATATATAGTATACAGTATTATAGTGTAATAGTGTAATAATTTTGTATAATAATTTTTGGTATAAATCTGTTTCATGCAATATTTGGGACATGCTTACACAAAATTTTTTTGGTGTTTATCTGAAATTTAAGTTTAAATGGGAGCACTGTGTTTTATCTGTGAACCCTGCATATTTTGGCAAGTGTATTTCAAGGTTACAGAAGCCAAGAGAATAAAGAAATGGAGCATCACTGACACTTTATCTGCCTTGACCCGGAAGCAGCACACATCACTTCTGCTCACAGTCCTTTGGACAGAACTGGTCACATGGCCTAAGTATAACTGCAATGAAGACTGGGAATGTAGGGCAGATCATGGAGAAGTGGTGTCCACTAAAGTCTCTGCTACATTCTCTCTATGACATTTATACATCAAGAGAGTGATTACTTGGCAGTAGAGAGGTCTGGGAGTTCTATGGACATTTAAAGAAAGAAACAATGTCTTTCACGTGAGATGCTATCGTGGAGATGAAATTTAAGCCTTGATGGGCAGGTAGGAAGAAGTAAAATAGTGTAAACCTTGTCATGGAGGTAAGAAAGGCAGAACATAGAAATGAAGTGAACATTTTTCTGATCACATTTTGATTGACATATAGATCTTTTGAGATTTGTCCATCATCTCTACTCTCATCCTATTAAAAAGAGGATTTAATTTTAGATTGACAGATGATGTCCTTGAAGATGATCAGGAAACATGGGAGAGAGCATTGCAGATTACAGATAAATTTGTCAAGAGAGTTATAATACATAACAAAATAAGATAGTAAGCCCCAAATTAGATGTATTCGCTTATGCTTTCATCCATAAAAACCAGGGAAGATCTTGTCAGATGAACAAATCTGAAGTTCTTGGAAGTTTTGGGTAAATGCTTTAAAAATTAGAAAAATAAAATAGGGATAAAGAAAATAATCAGTCTCGATTGTATGTAAGGTCTTACTTGCATATTCGTCATAAATTCAGCAATTTGTAAGTGGCAAGTTTTCATTACAGGACATATGTCTTGTTCTTATTGAAATGTGAGAGGAATAATATGGAAGATGCTAGGAAAAAACATATTTTACTTTGTGAAAAATTTAAAAAGTAATCTGACAATTCAAGTGTGACGAGGTATCCAAATCTATCTTTTTGTTTCTGGAAACATTCAGTGTACCAACATAAAGTAAAAGGAATTATCATCACAGACACCTTATAAGATGTACATGTCACTTTATCCTGTGAACACAGGCCCTTTGCTCCTGGAAAAGAAAGATAGAAAGGTTTGCCTTCCCATTCCCTGCTGCACACGCAGTACCTGCTGAACCTAATGTTAGTTTGTCTTAGTAAGATATATTTGCAGTCTTCACAAATAAAAATTGTTCTAACTCACAAATGCTTAAAAAAAAAGAAACACTGCATGACAAATTTACTTCAAGATTAAATGCAAATTTGAATCAGGAGTATATTTCAGGGATTAATTGATGGAGTTCTGAAAATCAAGTTTAAAAATAAAAATCTTGATACAACAAACCATGGCTTTTGGAGGTGAAAGGAATGTTTACTCTTGCTGAAGTTCGTTGGCAAATCTCCTCAGAACATCATGAAGAAAACATATTTCAGGACTCAGGACTATGTTATCTTGATGTTTCACATTCCTGCCTCTTTGGGAAGTTGTAGTTATTATTCCAGAGTCTCGGGAGATTTGCTGTAAGATCTAAACTGCCACACTCTCCCTTTTTGAACTAGACATCCATAGTCAGGGTATGTATTTTAAGAATGCATATCTTTAATGAAAACAGTCTTTGTACTCTAGAATCTTCCCCGCAGCCTGACTCTGAAAATGGCCTGGTCTTCTTTTCATTTGATTTTTACAATCCAAGAAGTGTTCAGAGGAAGCGTTATATTTCTCTTTAAAACACACTGAGCATAAATTTAATTGGTAATAAAATGCATCAACCGTCTTCTCTAAGCAAAAAGTGAATAGCAGTAGTGTTATTCCGATGGTTTCTCATTGAGCTTTTCCTTCTTCACAACTTTTATTGGATATTGACTGAAGAAAAGAAAATTAAAAAAAATATAATCACAATGCTCAACACCTCAGAACTGAAGGGTTTTGTTAATCCCTAAGACATTATAACACCAAATGGAAATGGTGAACACAAAATATATGTGTTCTCTTTGCTTGTTCAACTTCTTAGGGCATTACACTCTGGAGTTAGTAAAATGTATCTCTAGGTAGTATCTGGGTAGTAAATGGTATCTCTAAATACTATCTAGAGATAGTAAATGGTAGAAGTTCAATGAAGCTATATGACCCTGAGTTAGTTCAAAACCTTGTTCTGCCACTAGCTATATAACCCTGGGTAGGTTAACTTACTACTCTAATCTCAGTTTGCAACCTGCGAATAGGCCTGATAGTGAATAGTATCAGCCTCATAGGCAGTTTTGAGCATTAAGTACGTTCATATCTGTGAATTGCTTGGCTCTTTCTGTGTCTTGCCCATAAGTTCTTAGAAAACATGAAAGCATATTGCTTTTATTCCCAAGTTACTAATGTGTATGTTAGAAACATTTTTCCTATATATGATTATTTTCAACTTTTTAGGTTTTAGGCAGATTTAGTTATAAATACTGTTTTAAGGTCAAGTTTCCTGGGAAACAGGCTACGAGGCAGAGATTTGCAGTTGAAGTTTATTATGGAGTGTAATTTGGATCAACAGTAGTAGCAGAGAGTGAAAGAATCAGGAACCAGCAGAAGGAGAGCCTGAGCTGTCACAATATCTCACAATCCCTTGATCTGATGGGTTGGAATGGCTCTTAAGGTTGTCCCAGTTTAGACAGAGGGGATCAGGTCTTTTTACACCCCTCACATTGATGAGTCCTTGAATGCAAGATGCAGCTCTGGATGGGAAGGGGAATAATCTTGGGCCAGGTGGCTCTTTTGGGCTGAGGGTGCTGCCCAGATGGTGACTCATCTGGCAGCTGACATTCACCAAAACGATCAAGAGCTGGAAGAGTGAGTGTCCAGTCCCAAACAGGGCACCTAGTGATGCACCAGTGTACCATCACATGTGCATATATAATATTATTTGCATTCATTATGAATGTCTCGATTTGTTTTGTAATAGATCTCCCAGGCTCAGATTGAGAAAAACATAAAACAATTTTTATTACAATACCAAAATTAACTGGCTAATTAAAAAAAAAAAAAAAGCATTTTCCTAGGCATTTGCCTCCTTATCTCCTGAAAGGTACACTGTGTGAATTTTAATGTTTTAGCTTGTCATCTTTTAAGTGTGGATACAATCTCTGAATTTGTGAGTTAATGTTTGAACATTTTATAATTACTGTAACCTTCTTCCAAATCTAGCTTCCTATGAGCCTTTTGTTTTCATTTTTCATGGCATAGATAGCATTATAAGAAAAATAAGGGGACTTTTAAATGAAACTTCATTATTCCATATTAAGATATCAACTGTATTTATTTTTTCTAATTACCACGTTCTCCTTCCTAGTATGCTAATGTACCTTATATAGGCATATTTATAGTAAGTAGTTTATATTAGTTTTTATTTAACTTAACATTACATCCTAAATATTTTCATGTGACTAATTTTTACAATAGTAATTTTAATAGAAGCACAAGAGTCCAATGAATTGATGTGCTATCTATTGCTTAACTATTCTCTTAGCCTTTGGCTTTCAGCCTATTACCAGGTTTTGCCTACAAAATCATACTATAAGTTATACATTTTCTAACTCAGCAATTCAGTTAGATTCACTAAGCAGTAACAGTCAATGCTGGCTCATGCTATTAAAAGGAGGCAGACATAACAAACATAAAACTTAATCTTTCCCTCAGAAGTACTTATGAATGAAAATGAGAGACTTATTTACTATAAATGGAAGTAAATAAGTATCCACAAAATTAAACATGACCAGTGATATGCTGGACCAGAGATAGGAGCAATTATTTCTAATTGTGCAGGAAGAAAAGACTTCATAGAGGAGGAAGATTTTAAGCTAGGCTTTTCAGGATGTGTAAAATTTAGACAAGGAAAAAGGATGATCAGGGCATTTTGAGCTAAAATAAAAGTAACAGCAAGATAAAAGGATATAAAAGCAATTTACAGATATAAGAAACTATGAGTCATCTGGTACGGGTGGCTTATATGAGATGAAGAGGTGACAGGAAAGAATAATTTAGAGTCATATATTCCAGGAACTTGACCTCCATACTATAAAGAGTTTCAATTCCTCTGTAAGCAAAAATATAATTTTTTGAACCGAATAGGGCCATGATTAGATTAGTGCTTCAGTAGAAAGATGGTTGCATTGATATGAAGCAAGGTAGAAGACTTATATCCCTGTTAGAAAGATATTGCCCAAGTTCAAGGAAAGTTTATTAACTTATTCTTTTATTTTTTGTTCTTTCCTTCATTCATAATTCATGAGTATATAATCACCTTAGCAGGGTGTTAGACCTTGGGGCTGTTAAGATAAAAATCAATATCTATTTAAAATTATACATTTGTTCAACAAATATAAATTGAGAGCCTACTTTGTGCTAGATGAATGAATCAGAGCAGAATTTACTTCAGTCATTGACCTTAAGTTCTGAGTCTGAATAGTGCATAGCATTTGGTGATTACAGACCAATGTGTTAGAGATATGAATAGAACACTAAAGTCCTTCACTATGTGACATTTCGCAGAAGAGATTATACAGACCCTCTAAATGATCCTTCATCCCAACCGTTCTCTTCAATGAAGCATCTCTGTTTGCTTATATTTCCCCTCTTGTCTACAAACAGAAACAAAGTTGAAATCTGGAAATCCAAACTTAAATGATACAGTATGAAGGCCAAGTAATCCGTCTGCTTGAGGATCTAGAAGGAATTAGAATACTTTGAGACTTTTCATGCTGTGTTGCTGAGTTTATTGAAACATTTCTACTTTTGTGAGAAAACAAGGTGCAAGAAATCAAGCCATCAAAATGCAAAATAGAATCTCAAGAAATCAGAATGTTTATCCAGTAGCAAAAATCTCAGGAATTTATTGAGATTCTGTTGTGCATTTTAACAGTGTTACTCCTAGTCTAAAGTGGAATTTGGTTCTGTCTCCTGCTCCTCCCATCTGTGGGTTGCCCTCAACTTTGTTCTCACTCAGACATAGACCAGGATACC
This sequence comes from Homo sapiens, assembly GCF_000001405.40. Taxonomy (NCBI): domain Eukaryota; kingdom Metazoa; phylum Chordata; class Mammalia; order Primates; family Hominidae; genus Homo; species Homo sapiens. Next base: position 29,555,796 of record NC_000003.12, read on the forward strand.
ATGCTATTGTTACTCTATCACTTAGGTTTCATAATCATGAATCAACCAATGCTCCAAAGAAAACTGCTCTGAGAAAAGACATATTTCAAAAGCTTTTTCAGAACTAATGTAGTAATAGTAATTCATTCTTATATATTACCTGCTACGGCTAAATCGAATGCTTGATAAAATATAAGAAAGCTCAAACCAGATTACATTTGAAATATATCATTTGGGAAAACATGTTTTAATTTGAAGACACATTGAAAGTGATTAGCTACATTAAAGATTTCAAAATATGCATTGTATTATTCTGCCGTATCATAAGTGGTCTATCAGCCACAATAAAGTTTAAAAAAAAAGCTTATATCCAGGTAAATCATCTTTTGCTTTGAAAAGACAAAATTATTTCTCAGAATTATTTTCTAATTAATGTAACTTTATTTGATAGGTCAAGGCAGGAGTTAACTACCTTTCTGTTGGTGTAATTAGCTTCCCATGTCTCTGGAGGAGCTAAGTATATGCAGATAAGAAAATGAACAAGGTAAGCCGGGCGCGGTGGCTCACGCCTGTAATCCCAGCACTTTGGGAGGCCGAGGCAGGCGGATCACGAGGTCAGGAGATCAAGACCATCCTGGCTAACACGGTGAAACCCTGTCTCTACTAAAAATATAAAATGTTAGTCAGGCGTGGTGGCGGGCACCTGTAGTCCCAGCTACATGGGAGGCTGAGGCAGGAGAATGGCATGAACCCGGGAGGCGGAGGTTGCAGTGAGCCGAGATCATGCCACTGCACTCCAGCCTGGACGACAGAGCAGGACTCCGTCTCAAAAAAAAAAGAAAAAGAAAATGAATGAACAAGGTATTTAGAGAAGATACTCTCAGTGCTCTGCACAGATCCCCTTGAACAACTTTTAGGTCTTCTGTGAGCCCCTCCCCAGACTTGAGTGTATTTCTGTTTCCAATTGCTAGCACCTGTGACTGTTCTTCCTAGGGCAGTTCTTAGGTTACTGGAGCTGCTTTGCCTGCAGACAAACAGAGCCAAGAGCCTCTAGAAGTCCAAGCATCTCTTTCTTTCCCAGCAGTGGCTCATAATGACTGTCTATTGCCTGAATATGAAAGCTCAGCTACCTTGCTTGGGTTGGGATAAACTCTGAGGTATGACGTACACTCCACAGCTCCCTGCAAAATTAGGCCAAAACCACCCTCCATGAAACTTTGTTTGAAAGTGTACCCTTGCTTGACTGCTTCTCTTTCTCTGTCTGCTTCTTTCTGTCACTCAAAGTAGGTTTTCCTGGAAGTATTTCCTTAATAAATAGCTTTAATATAAATAATTTGTTCCAGGGTATGCTTACAGGGAAGTCTGAGAAAGTATTTCTGCTTAAAACATCTTTTTCCTGTACTCCACATTTTGCAGATATGTTCTGAGTTAATAAATCTTTTAAGCTGTGTAAATATACCCTCTGAGAGAGAAGAATAACAAAACAGAACATTCCCAACAAACTAAAATGACCACAGATCCAGTAACTAAAATTCAACAACCAGATTGCCTGTGTGTATGTTGTTTTTCAAGGTAGCCAAGGCATCATGAGCATCTCTATCAATGTCATTCTTTCCATACCCAAAGGAGTGCAATTCCAAGATGTTGAAACTGCTGAGACCAAGCTCTGGCTGGAGGTCTAATTTCCACAAGTAAGACGCTTAGGTAGCAAGATAGAAAAGGAGACTTAGTAGGAGCATTTGCTTGGAACGAAGGATTTTAATGTGTTTGATTGGTTCAGAGATCAGATGCAGAGCAGAGGCTACAAGAGCAAACCACTGTTCAGGATACTCACACAAAGGGACTGACACTGGAGCTGATCTAGCTGCAGTTCAGCTACAAATCTGATTGGGATTTTAATCCAGATATTTAGAGCATACAGGTGGCCTAAAGGAAACCTACTAACCCTGTCTATTTATAAAAACCAAGTCTGGGTAATTTTCTCCTAATTTTGGATAAATGGTAAACAAACAAACAAAAAACATAGTACCCTATGAAAGCCATCCAGTAGCAAAAATGAAAAGGAACAATGTCCTGAAGACAAGAGGAAGAGCAGACCTCTGAAGATTATTTATAACAGGAACCAGAGAAAATTTAAAAGACTGTTTATCATACTTAATCTGATTTAAGAAGTCATTGCTTTTAGTAAACAGGAAAAGAAAGCCACAAAATAGACAAGCTGAGATAAAGGGACAACAGGATGAGATGAAAAGAAGACAGGATATGAGGCCAAGGCAACAAGCTGGGATGAAATGGGAGCTCACAGTGAGATAAAGGAGGTGCCGAGGGAGTCCAGCAGAAATTCAAAATTAAAACCATTTTCATGTCAATTCCTCCATATACATACACATCCCATAACGGCACATAGAAGAACAGAAGAAAGTAATAAAAGATATACAGGACAAGTGAAGGAGATACAAACGAAAAATTTTGAGTTTCTGGAAAGAAACTAGATTAACTGGAACAGAAGTAGTAATTAAAGATGCAATTGAAGAAAACTGTCCTAAACTAGGGGGTTGAAGAGGAAAGGGGTGGGGGAACTAGCAATGCAGATTACAGGGGCTGACCATGATCCAGGCAACATTATTTAAAGGACAATTAGACATATATCCTGATATTTTTAAATTATAAGAAAATAGATTGAGATGCATTCAGAAACAAAAAATACAAGTTATCTATAAAGCAATTAATATTTACTTGGCCCCATAGAATAACTTGTAACACTAAATTTCAAAGAATGATGAAGCAGATTTAGAGTAGTGTTCATTCATTCGACAAATAAGCTTCTAGTGTGAGCCCAGCATTGTGTTGGGTACTGAAAATACAATAATGTAAACTCTTAGAACCTGAAATGATCTGTATATGGAATTAAAGGTAATTCGTCATCACAATTACATAAAAGGTTTATGTAAAGGTATAAGCATCACAACTATTTATATGCTGGGCTCTACCCTGCAGTTTCTGACTCAGTAGGTCCAGGACAGGTCCCAGTAACTTGCGTTTCTAAGTTCCCAGGTGATGCTGATGTAGCTAGTACCAGAATCACACATTGAGAACCACTGATTTGCATTAACAAAAATTTGCGAGGGAATAGAACAGAAATGTTCCACTGCAGTGGAATTATTACATCATTTTAGTCACTGAAATAAACAGCCTTAAAGATTATTTAATACTGTATAAAAATCACAATCACACAATATTGCATAGATAAGTCAGTGTGTGAGACTTGACATATTAAGCTCTTTACAGAAAGTGGTTAAAAAAGGAAGAGATAGCTATCCAATGAACAAAGATAGTGAGGAAATCCAAAAATTGTTGCCAGTGATTATCTCTAGACTATATCCTTATAGTTAAATATTTTCATCTTTTTACTGTATTTTCTAAATAATTGTGCATTAATTTTATATTGAGAAAAAGAAAAAAAATCTCCAGAAGACCCAGTTCAAATATTGTCTTCTTGGTAAAGCTCCTACCAGTCCCCTATACCATTAACTCAAGTGCCAGCTATGAATTCTGTTATTGCACCATAAAAGCATTCATCACCTTCTTTGTCTTTCATTAAAAACTAACTATTCTAATCCCAGCTACTCAGGAGGCTGAGGCAGGAGAGTCACTTGAACCTGGGAGGTGGAGGTTGCAGTGAGCTGAGTTTGTGCCACTGCACCCCAGCCTGGGTGACAGAGGAAGACTCTGTCTCAAAAAAAAAAAAAAAAAAAAAAAAAAAAAAAAAAAAAAAAAAACCTGACTATTCATGTTAGTACTTTAAAAGTTCTGAAGAGTCTCAGTTTTTAAAAAGGCTTGTTTATTCTTGCTTGTTCCAGGATTTTCAAACTTGTCTACAAAACTATATAAACCATCTATTAATGTTCTGCAAGTAAGTGGTCCACACAGTGGAGTTAGCCACCAATTTGCATTTATTGAATGAATGAATGAATGAATGAAATCAATGAACCAATGAATCATTGCCTAAAATACACAGAATACCTATTTATTAATATGTTTCCTAGTGGTGAACCTAAATAAAGAGCTTTCTTTCAAAGGGCATTAACAATTTTACTTGTGTTTACTTATGCTTCTCATTTCCAAAGTACTCAAGATAGAGTGTCTCCTGGGTGCAGGGCATTCTGACATACAAAAGCATCTTATTTTACATGGTCTTATGTCAGCCAAGTGTTAGTGCATTACATCCTCACTTATCTCAGCCTTCAAAAATATTTAAATCACTTGTCATAGATGATTGTGTATCTACATGATCATTATTTAAATTTAACCAAGAGTGATAATTTCATACAATATGGGCAAAAAATGATAATAGGAGAATCCAAGCATCCTCTTACAGAAACATACAAATACCAGATGGAGTTTCCTGCATTTTGAAAGTTGATGACACTGTATTTCCAAACAAATATTGTATGCCAAAAATAAGAGCCCATCTGGAATTTTATAATTAATTATTTTCTCTGCCAAAAAATTTCTTCCCCACTTTAGTGGCTATATTCCATCCCATTACTAACTCGGATCATGGGATTTCTTATGGTCCTTTATGTTTTTCAGGAGTTACATACAAATATTTTAAAAGTATGGAAATATTTGATAACTTAGCAACAAAAGTAGGATGGAATGCAATCAGATGTAAACAGCATGCTTCCCAGCACAAACATACATCACCAAAGACAAATAGAAACAAAAGTCTCTGACATAAGGGAACAGTCATTATTAAAATTTAAATTCACTGTTATTTTCACGTAAGGGTTGCAAAATGCTTCTCCCGCAACACCGCATATACAGCAAGTGGCCCCAAGTAGTTTGTTCAATAACATACAATGGAATTAAAGAATGTTGTGATTTTGAAAGAGAAGAAGAATCCGGGGGTGACTGAAATTAAAGATGGTCATTTTGTTGTATAAACTCTGTTTTTTAAATGTCTTTCTTTTAACTTTTAAGTGCAGGAATACAAGTGCAGGTTTGTTACATAGGTAAACTTGTGTCATGGGGGTGTGTTGTACAAATTATTTTGACACCCAGATATTAAGCCTAGTACCCATTAGTTATTTTTCCTGGTTCTCTTCTTTCTCCCACCCTCCACCCTCTGAAAGGTCCCAGTGTGTGTTGTTACCACCTATGTGTCCATGCGTTCTCATCATTTAGCTCCAACTTATAAGTGATAACATGCAGTATTTCATTTTGCATTCCTGTGCTAGTTTGCTGAGGATAATGGCCTCCAGCGTCATCCATGTTCCTGCAAAAGACAGGATCTCATTGCTTTTTATGGCTACATAGTATTCCATGGTGCCTATGTACCACATTTTCTTATCCAGTCTATCATTGATGGGCATTTAGGTTGATTCCATGTCTTTGCTATCGTGAATAGTGCAGCAGTGAACATACATGTGCATGTGTCTTTATAATAGAATGATTTTTATTCCTTTGGTATATACCCAGTAAAGGGATTGCTGGGTCTAATCCCTTTAGACCAAAGGATACTTCTTTAGACCAAAGTATTTAGGTCTTTGAGGAATTGTCACACTGTCTTCCATAATGGCTGAACTAATTTACACTCCCACCAACAGTGTATAAAGTTTTCCCTTTTTTCCACAACCTTGCCAGCATCTGTTGTTTTTGTTGTTGTTGTTGTTGTTGTTGTTGTTGTTGTTGCTGAGACGGAGTCTCACTCTGTTGCCCAGGCTGGAGTGCAGTGGCACAATCTCAGCTCACTGCAACCTCTGCCTCATTGGTTCGAGCAATTCCCCTGCCTCAGCCTCCTGAGTAGCTGGGATTACAGGCACACGCCACCACACCCAGCTAATTTTTGTATTTTTAGTAGAGATGGGGTTTCACCGTGTTGGTCAGGCTGGTCTCAAACTCCTGACCTTGTGATCCGCCCGCCTCGGCCTCCCAAAGTGCTAGGATTACAGGCATGAGCCACCATGCCTGGCCCTTGACTTTTTAATAGTAGATATTCTGACTGGTATTAGATGGTGTGGTTTTGGTTTCCATTTCTCTAACAATCAGTGATATTGAGCTTTTTGCATGTGATTTTTGGCCACATGTATTTCTTCTTTTGAGAAATGTCTGTTCATGTCCTTTGCCAACTTTTTAATGGAGTCATTTGTGGTTTTTTTCATAAACTTAAGTTTGTTTTTTTAGATGCTGGATATAAGACCTTTGTTGGATGCATACATATGAGAAACACAGTGTAGTATTAACTGATAATAAAGAGAAGCCTTTGTAAAGTTAGTGTTCTTTTTAAACATGATTTAGTTATTCAACTTTAGCATCCTGTAATTCTAATTTTCAGAGCTGGAAGCCTTAGAATATTAGAAATCCAAGATTTTGAATGATTTTTGTTTGTTTACAACAGCCAGACATATCCCAGGCAAGCAATAGAATTTAGCGTGGCTGGATGGGCCCTGCAATAAACTGATATAAGCATGAGCAAACTGAAGAAAACGGCAGCCCCTACTCAGTGATAGTTAACTATTTTCACCCAGGCTTACTGCTGCCCGATCTTCTGATTGTTAAAGAGAAGCTGAAAATCTGATTCTTATCTGAAATTTCTCAACTTTGAAAGTACGTTTCAGAGAATTAAAATGCATTTAAAAATTTTAAAAATAGTGCTGACCAAAGAGATCACATCTGTACACTGGCTCTACTACATGGGCCACTGGTCTACAAGGAAGAAACTACGATGTTGATTATGGAGTCACCTGTGTCAAGTGAGGACTTGCTACCTCCAAGGACTATTCTAGGGGTCTACCTGAACCAAGGAATAACTTATTTTCCCTTCGATATACTTGATATATGGTTACTTGGTTATCAAGTTCCAAATATACTGTTAGACCTTTTGAGGATCTATCTTGAGTTGTTAATTGCCTTCAGGGAGGATCTGCCGGTATCACCTTTCCTCCTTCTCCATAGATTGCTCCTTGTGCATGTATCCCAGCCTAGCTATATCCTGCTCTAACCCATACTCACTCATCATAAGCATAGGTTATCTTTGAGTAGAAGACTAAATCAATCTCTAGGCAAAATTATTGTGTGTTAAAAATATAATTCCTACAGGGGAAGCCATTCTTGAAATATCAACATTTCTAGATAGTTTTGTGTTTTTAGCTTAAAGATGCCACTTAAAGTACTGGAGGTTGGAGACATGTCTGGAAGAAAAGCATAGAAGGAAAAAAAAGGCAGAAAGAGGCAAAGTTATGGGGTTTATATGGTTGTAGATTTAACGCTTTGATCTGGAAAAGACAGTGCAGGACATGGTCTCCTGTGATTCTGGCCTATGAATTGATAGATAAACCTCTAGAATAGCAGGTCATTGTAAAAGACTGCCTTTTCCCAGTCATAATCTTTCTTCTATCCCATTCCCAAAAACCTTCCTGAAAAGTAACCTATAGGTCTACAGAAAAGAATGTTATTATTTCATAAATCTGAGCCAGAACTATTTCCATTACTTTGAAAGATGTAGAAGAAGAAAGACACATATTAACGGACAAAACACTCTCCTAAATTGCTTGGATATTTCAAGCTTTAATTCTATTGTCAATTACCTAAAATGACTGTGACCAGCATGGGTCTGTTCATTTATTCAACCAATATTTCTTTAGTACCTGCCACATTCCAGACATTTCTGCAGTGGGTAAAGACACTGTAGAGATTCAACAGCTAGCTGAAACCTCAACCAGTTTCAGGCAATTCTTACATCTTTGATCTTTATCATCAAAAAAGGAGCCCATAGTACTAATTACACGGGAACAAAACACTTTGATGTATTTTTCACCTATTTATTCAATTAATATTTATTGAGGGCTTACATTATACCAGTTACTCTTCTAAATACAAGACACCAAAAAATAACTTTTTAAAAAAACTTCCTGTTTCCATTATGTGTAAATATTATAATTGGATGTATATTTAATAGAAAATGTTGACTGGGCGTGGTGACTCATGGCTATAATCCCAGTACTTTGGGATGCCAAGACAGGAGGACCACTTGGGGCCAGGAGTTAAAGAGCAGTCTGGGCAACATAGAGATACTCTGTCTCTACAAAAAATTAGCCAGGTATTGTGGCATGTACCTGTGGTTTCAGCTCCTCAGGAGGTTGAGGTGAGAGCATCATTTGAGCCTGGAAGATTGAGGCCGTAGTGAGCTATGGTCACACCACTGCTCTCAACAGTGTGAGATGCTGTCAAAAAAAAAAAAAGAAAAAGAAAAAAGAAGAGAAGAAAAGAAAGAAGGAAAGGTAGAAAGAAAAGAAGGAAAGAAAATGTTTCTACATTTGTGATTGAGTCTTTTAAAACATATGTATGTCACATGAAACCCACCTGCATAATTTCACATTGCATATGTAGCTAATCTATATTACAATAAATTTTTTTTAGGCCAGGAGCAGGGGCTCATGCCTGTAATCCCAGCACTTTGGGAGGCCAAGGTGGGTGGATCACCTGAGGTCAGGAGTTTGAGACCAGCCTGACCAACATAGTGAAACATGTCTCCACTAAAAATACAAAAAATACAAAAAATTAGCTGGGCATGCTGGTGGGCACCTGTAATCCCAGCTATTTGGGAGGCTGAAGCAGGAGAATCACTTGAACCTGGAAGGTGGAGGTTGCAGTGAGCCGAGATCGTGCTATTGCGCTCCAGCCTGGGCGACAAGAGCAAAAAGTTCATTAAAAAAAAAAAAAAAAAATTTAGTTCTCTGAGACTAGGTTACCTTATGTACAAATTGGAAGTCATAATATTAATAAAGTTATAGGACTTAAATGAGATAAACTAGGAAAAGAAATTAGTATATAGCATATAGTATGTAACCTTTATTTTTATTATTATGTAAATATTGATATGTATATTTTGGACACTGGAGTTTGGTTTTGTCTACCTCAAACCAGAAGGTTTACACTACCTTGCAGAAACTTCGTGGGAGAAGAGTTGGAATATTTCCCTCCAGCTGTACCTTATGTTTCAGAATAGAATTCATCCTGCTGTAATGTGTCAGCTTAGGCAGGTCAGTTTCTTTAAAGACAATGCCATAGTTTGGGCTTAGATACAAGTCAATTCTATCAATTCCAAGAAAAAAAAAAGAATATCTTTAAAAATCAATCTCAAAATATTTCATCGAAGCTGTTGCTGCTTTGCTTCCTAGACAAGGATGCTTTAGGCAGCAGGAGTTTCCTTTAGATTTTTTCATCCTTTCCTTTCTCCTAAGGGCAGAAATTAAGCATTCTTAGGTTGATCTTTTTCTTCCTTGTGTAATTCAAGACCAGAGGGAATTTCAAGCTTCCTGTTCATCAGCAAAATAAACTGATATAAAATGAAGAGGGAAATTTATTCTCCCCTCATCACCAGTTTAGGAAAGGAAAGTTAAATTATGTTCCAAACGTTTATCTTGTATATGGTATTTGATAAGTGGTTGAAGGAGCTTATTGTACAGTGTAAAGGAGAGCTCTCAAAAACTTAGAGGGAATGAGTTATTAATGTGTTATAAATGCACCATAAAGAAAAAACTTCTGGCTTGTGACACTGTTTGTGAATTTTTGTGTGTTTGAAAACATTTCCAAGGTCATGTTTTTAAGGGCAGGACTTGAAAACAGTGATTTCACTATGGAATTCTGGCATTCTCTAAACAGGACTTCTTTGTGAGCACCCTTGATCTTGGTATTTTTTGTCTCTTCAAGATGAGCTATGAGCTCACCTATTTTTGTTTTCCTTCTGCTGAGCAATACTGTTCCTGGGCTCTTTTGTTAAGTCACAATAAACTAGGCAAGCAACCAGGAGGTCCTTGACACAAAGTCCTTTATTGATCTGAAAACCACACTGTGCTAACCTCACCTTAAAATCCTATAGCATAAATCTCTAGTTCCTCAAAAACAGCCAAAGTATTAACACCAAAACACTAGATATCCTTGTTTTCAATGCATATTTGACAATTTAGAAAAGGTAGTTCTTTATGAAAAAAATTGTTTTCTTTTTAGTTTTAAACTTTTATGTCCAACATCTTCCAGGTCTCTCTTGAAGATAAATGTTTTGCCCTTTTGTGCCAAAGAGCACAAAAATACAGTCAGGCCAATGTCATGATTGTAGGGTTGGAGTTGCAAATTTAAAAGATTCTATGATGCTCCTTAAATTATAATATAAAAGTATTTTATAATAAGAGAGGCAAGGAATTGTGTATCAGAGAGTTATGAGAATTATAATGCCTGAAGTTATATATGTGACCAAATGAAAGGCTTTTAATTTGTTAGGAATTTGCTCATTCATTCACTTACTTATTGACTCGTTCATTCAATGGCTAGTATGAGCCAGAATGTGTGGTAAGATGATATAGTTACAAACAAAACCATTCTGTTCTCTATGATCTTGGCACTTACAGCCTCTTAGGGTAAAATATAATAATCATATAAACAAATAAAATAATCCACAAATTATGCCCACTGCAATGAAGGACATTAACAGCATGCTGTGATAGACACTAATGGAGGAGAAGAATTCAGCTCCTGTACAATCCTGGGGAGTGAGTGCTCCAGTCAAAAGCAACAGCAGGTGCAAAAGCCTCAATGTGGCCAAAATATAGTAAAGCAGTAGAAGAGTAGCATGCAAATTGATGTAAAAATTGTGAAGCTCTACGTAACACATAGGTGATGTTGCCTGTCCTGCACTGTTCTACATGATACCTTCCCCAGTGTCTCCACTTTGGTCAAGATTACATGTCCCCGTTAATTGCTTGAATTCACCCTTTACTTACCTGTCCCCAAATATTTGTTCATACTTGAATGCTATTTCTCCCTCATGTCTAAATGTTGTCATTCTGCAAAGCAAAATGCAAAAAAAAAAAAAAAAAAAATTAGGGAAAAAGAGTATACATTGTGCGATTCAATTAATGGAAGATTCTAGAAAATGCCAAATTCATCTGTAATGACAGATGCCTGGTTGCTGGGGGTGTGTGTGGAGGTGGCTGCAAAGAGGTACAAATGGAATTTGGGGGATGATGAAAGAGTTCTGTATCTTGATCGTTATGGTGGTTATGCAGGTGGATTATCTGTCAAAACTCAACAAACTGTACACTGAAATGGCATTTATCATATGCAAGTTATATCTTAAATAAGTTGATTAAAAAGTTATAGAATAAGAAAAACAATAAAAAGCTTAAATTCATCTTCTCCATTATCTCTCTAATAAGAAATAACCTTTCTTTCTATCATCATGGCATGTACTGTTCATGTGTTATAGGTTTTTGTATTTGTGATAAGCATACCACATAGAGCCCTCAGTGAATGTCATGATGTTAAAGTGACTATTTCTTCATTGGGTTTGCATATTACCTTATGAGAGAAATCACGTCTCATTTGTACTTTTCTCCCCCCACAGCACCTAGCTTAGAATACATAAAAGAACCTCACTGAGCATTTGGTAAATCAATAGCAATATTTTTATATTTACATCCTGACTGGTTCCCAAAAAGGATGAGCAGGAAAAGAAATTGATTTCCAGGAGTTGATAAATGAATAGACTGTTCTTGGCACTGGAGCCCACATCCTGTCTCCATATGTAAAAATTGGTGGTAGAAAAGGGTTTTCAACCTACCTTCTTCACACTCATGCTTACTTACTGATTTAATGAAATGCTTGTGATGGTTTCTGTGTTCTCCAGTAGGTAAACGCTATACAGACCCTCTGCATTATCCTTCTTAATAGTCCATTATTCCTCTGTAGAGAGTCCAGTGGTAGAATCAGCGTTGTCAAGCTGCAAGGAGGGGACACAAAAGTGTTATAGGAAGGTGACATTTATGCCCCATTATGAGTGAAGGAAAATCGAAGGAGCAATAGTGGTCTATTGCATAACTGCCCCTGTTGGGTTGTTATGAGGAGAACTGTGTAAATCAGCCCTCGTGCTTATCCTTGAGAAATTCTTTTTCCCCTTTCCTCATAGCCTCTCTCTGTGCAATTTTTGGTGTTCTCAACTGGCCGATTACCTAGAATATTAGCTTTTCAAAATATGACACAGAAGTTCACCAATTCCTTCCAACTCATAACACTTTAAAATTGCAATTCCAAATTATTCCTGTAAAAATAGCTGATCTTTATGACTCCTAGGGGATTTCTTATTTTAATCTGAAACCTTCAGAAATGGTTCAGTTTTGTGAAAATGATGGGGGAATGTCTGCCCTTAGCAGTTTTTGTGTTCAAGGGCAAATCAACCTCTGTGCTTGCTAACTTTAATTTTCCAAGGGTTATGAGACTTTAATTTGATTCTTTATCCAGTGTGCATAAAATGTTCACTGGAATTTGCATAATACATTTATTGTATAATCATTCTTCACATTGGTTACCTGCTTCCTCAAATGAACATTACTTTTTTAAAGAGATGAATTAATGTAGGGCCAATTTGAACTTAGTAACTAAACAGAATTAAATATATCTCTGATGAACAAACATAAAAGAGACAGGGAAGGAGAGCAGATACTTGTTCTGAAATAGGCTATTATGAGAAAATAGCCCCAGTCCTGTATTTTTAAATATTCATTTTGTACATATAGGCAGGAGAAGAATTGCTGTCTTTAAAAATATAAAGATTTGTTATGTGAAGAAAGGAATACATTTGTCTGGTTTCTCTTAGAATGTATTTAAAACAAACGAATTAAATTAAGGTGCTAAATTTCAGCACAGTCTAAAAAGATGAGGGAGTTGGAGAGAGAAAATGCCTTTGGCATTAGGCCAGGTGCTTTAAATGCACTTAAATTTATTCAATGCCCAGAACCGACATAGAATTTAGGTAGTGTTATTATTATCCTTATTTTTGGTTGAGTGTTCTGTGCCTGAGGACTCATTGCTATCAAATAGTGGAGCTAGTATTTGAATCTAGACTGCATGATGGCAACATCTGTGCCTTTCAACTACAACAGTTTTCTCTGAAATACACTTATCTCTCATGGACTGCCTTGGAAGACTGTGTACTCCCTAATATTAGAATTGTCCAGGTGGAGTTTGGAGGAGTGTTTGGCAAAGAGATTGTAGGAAGATTGGAAGATCCAATAGAGGTTCAAGAAGATGACTTTTAAGATTCCCATTCTCTCTATAGTTTTATGAGAGTAGCAGGTGCAGTCCTGACTTGCTGAGTGGCTTGTTGCAGTCCAGGGAGTCTCAATCTTTAATGTGCATATGGCTTTCTTGGGGATCTTGTCAAAATGTACAGCCTGATTCAGTAGACCTAGGGTAGGCCTGAAATTGTGCACTTCTAACAAGCTCCCAAGTGATGCCAACATTGCTTTTCCACAGCTCACATCTGAGCAGCAAAGTAGAAAACCTCTCAGGCGAGGTGCTTTTGATTTCTGCTTGCAGAGCCATTTTCCTAGTTTTTCAGGTCTTGACCGTAGTTGGGACAATTATATAAAAACATCCTAAACTAAACAGTTCTCTAAACTGTATCTGAACCACCATGTCCTAGGATCCTGAAATGCTGTTTTCCTTATACAATTAGGATACTGCCTAGAGGAGAGATTTCCTCTGTAAGTCATGAACCTCCAGCAATTTAAAGGGACACGAAAGAGCTGATACCATCAGCAAGCATACTAATTTACAAATTACATCAAAATGTTCTTGGAGACAACATATCTTTGTTGAAAAAAAAATTCCACTTTCAACTTATAAATAAATATGTAATCATGGTACAATTACATGACTATTCAAACTTTTGATATCCTTTTTGAATCACAGATCTCAAATTTTGTCTCATAAGATTCTGATATATTTCCAAAAATCCTTTGAGATGGATCCAACTTAATTACAATGAAAAGAAAAATGGGCTTCCAATCCCTTGTATTTCAAGAGATGGGTGTTTGAATTTGATCTAACTGGCTTCTGATATCTTTGGCTTGCAATGCATGAAAGTCTTTTTTTAAAAAAAAGATCTTTGAATGAAACAAAAAACTTAGGAAAAATCATTCTCTAAAGTCTAGGAGGCTTTGAAAGCATTGCCTATTTCCATTTCATTAATTTTAAAAATCTTTCCAAATCTTGGAATAAAATCAGTTTTGCAAGTTAAGAAACATTTAGCTAAGGCAAACTGTATAGCTCAGAAATCTTTCAGAAAGGGTTAGGCAATTGGAATGCTGAAAATATTAGATTGATGGGATTATAGAGATCCATATTTACCGACCAAGAAAAGCAGTTGCTTAGGGAAAAATCAGATGTTAAAATTGTATGTATAATCTGATATCATTTTGGCTAAAATAAGGAAAACAATTTTATTAAAAATTTATTATCTTGGATGGTGGCATCATAGCTAATTTCTCTTTGTATTGGCTGAATTACTATAATAAAATTACATAACTTATAAAATTAGAAAAAATCAATAGTCATTTTCTTATTTTTGAAATTTTAATTTTTGTGAGTACATAGTATGTATATATATTTATGAGGTATAGGAGATATTTTGTTACAGGCATGTAATGCATAATAATCACTTTATGGAAAATGACGTATCCATGCCTTCAAGCATTTATCCTTTGTTTTATAAGACATCCAATTCTTTTAGTTATTTAAAAATGTACAATTAAATTATTTTGACTGTAGTCACCCTGTTGTGCTATCAAATACTAGATATTATTTATTCTTTCAAACTATTTTTTGTACCCTTCAACCATCCTCACCTCCCCCTCATCCCCTGCTACAGTTCCCAGCCTCTGGTAACCATCCTTCTACTGTCTATCTCCATGTGTTCAATTGTTTTGATTTTTATATCCAACAAATAAGTGAGAACCTGCAATGTCTGTTTTTCTGTTACTGGCTTATTTCACTTAATGTAATGACCTCCAGTTTCATCCATGTTGTTGCAAATGACAGGATCTCATTCTCTTTTATGGCTGAATAGTACTCCATTGTGTATAAGTACCACATTTTCTTTATCCATTCATCTGTTGATGGACACTGAGGTTGCTTCCAAATCTTGGCTGTTGCAAACAGTGCTGTAACAAACATGGAAATGCAGATATCTCTTCAATATATTGATTTTCCTTCTTTTGGGCATATACTCAGCAATGGTATTTCTGTATCATATGGTAGCTCTATTTTTAGTTTTTTCAGAAATCCAAACTCTTCTCCATAGTGGTTGTACTAATTTATATTCCCTCCAACAGTATACAAGGGTTGGTTCCCTTTTCACTACAACCTCTCCAACATTTGTTATTGCCTGTCTTTTGGATAAAACCATTTTAACTGGGCTGAGATGATATCTCATCATAGTTTTGATTTGCATTTCTCTGATGATCAGTGATATTGAGCACCTTTCCATATGCCTGTTTGCCATTTGTATGTCACCCTTGAAAAATTTCTATTAAAATATTTTGCCCATTTTTGGTTGGATTATTATATTTTTTCCTATACAGTTGTTTGAGCTCTTTGTATTTACTGATTATCAATCTGTCAGATGGGTAGTTTGCAAATATTTTCTCTCATTCTGTGGGTTGATTCTTCACTTTGTTCATTGTTTTCCCTCACTGTGCAGAAGCTTTTTAACTTGATGAGATCCCATCTGTCCGTTTTTGCTTTGGTTGCCTGTGTTTCTCCAATGTTTTCTTTTAGTAGTTTCATAGTTTGAGGTCTTAGATTTAAGTCTTTAATCCATTTTGATATGTTTTTTGTATATGGTGAGAGACAGGGGTCAAGTCTCATTCTTCTGTATATGGATATCTAGTTTTCCCAGTACCATTTATTGAAGAGATTGTCCATTCTTCAATGTGTGGCTTTGGCACCTTTGTGAAAAATGAGTTCACTGTAGGTACGTAGATTTGCTTGTAGATTTTCTATTATGTTCCATTGGCCTATGTGTCTGTTTTTATGCCAGTACCATGCTGTTTTGGTTACTATAGCTCTGTAGTATAATTTGAAGTCAGGTAATGTGATTTCTTCAGTTTAGTTCTTTTTGCTTAGAATAGCTTTGGCTATTCAGGGTCTTTGTGATTCTGTAGAAACTTTAGAATTATTTTTGCTATTTCTGAGAAGAATGTCATTGGTATATTGATAGGGACTGCATTGAATCAGTAGATTGTTTTGGATAGTATGCACATTTTAAACAATATTGCTATCCAATATCCAATCCACAAACATGGAATATTTTTAATTTTTTTTGTGTCCTCTTCAATTTCTTTTATCAGTGTTTTACAGTTTTAATTATAGAGATATTTTTCTTCTTTGATTAATTCCTAAGTATTTAATTTTATTTTTGACTATAGTAGGTGGAATTACTTTTTAAATTTCTTTTTCAGATTGTTCCCTGTTGGCATATAGAAATGCTACTAATTTTCGTATGTTGATCTTGTATCCTTCAACTTTACTGAATGTTTATCAATTCTGATAGTATTTTTGGTAGAGTCTTTTAAGTTTTTTCAAATATGAGATCGTATCATCTGCAAACGAGGATAATTTGACTTCTTTCTTTGTCATTTGGATGCCCTTTATTTCTTCCTTTTCTGACTTCTCTAGCTAGAATTTCCAGTACTATGTTAAATAACAGTGGTGAATGTGAATATCCTTGTCATGTTCTTATAGGAAAGGGTTTCAGTTTTTCCTCATTCAGTATAATACTAGTCATGGGTCTGTCACATATGGCTTTTATTATGTTGAGGTATGCTCTGTCTATACCTAGTTTTTTGAGGGTTTTTATTATGAAGAGATGTTCAATTTTTTCAAATGCTTTGTCAGCATCAATCAAAATGATCATATGGTTGTTGTCCTTCATTTTGTTGATATGTTGTATCACATTGATTGATTTGTGAATATTGAATCATTCTTGCCTCCAAGACGTAAATCCCACATGGTCATGATGAGTGATCATCTTAATGTATTGTTGAATTCAGTTTGCTAGTATTTTGTTGAAGATTTTTGTGTCAATATTAATCAGAGATATTGGCCTGTAGTTTTCTTTTACTGATGTAACTTTTTTCTCGTTTTGGTATCAGGATAATACTGGTCTCATAGAATGAATTTGAAATTATTTCCTCCTCCCCTATTTTTCAGAATTGTTTGAGGATTGGTATTAATTCTTCTTAAGTGTTTGATAGAATTCAGCAGTGAATCTGTTGGGTCCTGGGTTTTCCTTATTGGGAGACTTTTTATTATGGATTCAATCTCATTGTTAGTTATTGGTCTGTTTAGTCTTTGGATTTCTTCATAATTCGATCTTGGTGGTTTGTGCATATCTAGGAATTTATTCAGTTCCCTTTGATTTTCCAGTTTATTGGCATATAGTTGCTCACAGTAGCCATTAATGATCCTTTAAATTTCTGTGACATAAGTTTTAAGAGCTCCTTATTCTTTTTTATTTTTTCTTTTGAGATGGAGTCTTGTTCTGTCACCCAGGCTGGAGTGCAGTGGCACAACCTCAGCTCACTGCAACCTCCGCCTCCCAGGTTCAAGTGATTCTCCCACCTCAGCCTCCCGACTAGCTGGGATTACAGGTGCTTGCCACCCTGTTTGGCAAATTTTTATATTTTTAGTAGAGATGGGGTTTCACCATGTTGGCCAGGCTGGTCTCAATCTCCCAACCTCTGGTGATTTGCCTTGGCCTCCCAAAGTTCTGGGATTGCAGGCATGAGCCACCATGCTCAGCTTCCTTTTTCATCTCTTATTTATTTCTTTATTTAGGTTGTCTTCCTTTTTTTTCTTCATTAGTCTGGCTAAAAGTTTGCCAATTTTGTTTATCTTTTCAAAAAGCAAATGTTTCATCTATCTTTTGTATTATTTTCTTTGTTTCAAATCATTTATTTCTACTCTGATCCTGATTTCTTTTCTTCTAACTTTGCGTTTAAATCATACTTGCATTTTTAGTTCTTTAAGATGCATCCTTAGGTTCTTTATTTGAATTTTTTCTTATTTTTTGATGTAGGCACTTATAACTATAAACTTCCCTCTGAGTACTGCTTTTTCTGTATTCCATAGGTTTTGATATGTTATGTTTCCATTATCATTTGTTTCAAGAAATGTTTAAATTTTCTTCTTAACATCTTTATTGAACCACTGGTTATTCAGGAGCATATTGTTTAATCTCCTTGTGTTCATATAGTTTCCAAAATTCCTCTTGTTGATTTCTAGTTTTATTTCACTGTGGTCAGAGAAGATACTTGATATTTTTTCCATTTTTTAAATGTTTTAAGGTTTGTTTTGTGACCTAACACATAATCTATCCTAGAGAATGATCCACATGATGAGGAGAAAATTGTGTATTCTGTTGTCTCTGGATGAAATGTTTTGTAAATATCTATTAGGTCCATATTTTCTATACTGCAGATTAACTCTGATGTTTCTTTGTTGAGTTTCTATCTGGGAGATCTGTCCAATGCTGAAAGTGGATTATTGATGTCTTAGCTATTATTGTATTGAGGTCTACCTTTCTCTTTAGCTCTAATAATATTTGCTTTATATATCAGGGTGCTCCAGTGTTGGGTGCACATATATTTAGAATTGTTATGTTCTTATGCTGGATTGACCCCTTTATCATTATGTAAGGACGTTCTTTGTCTCTCCTTGCAGTTTTTGTCTTGAAATCCATTTTTTCTTATATAAGTGTAGATACACCTGCTGTTTTTTGGTTTTCATTGTCATGGAATGTCTTTTTTTTTCCATCCCTTTATTTTCAGTCTGTGGGTCTTTATACGTGACGTGGGTTTCTTGTAGGCAACAGATTATGGAATCTTATTTTTTCATCCATTTAGCCATTCTATGTCTTTTGATTAGAGAGTCCATTTACAATCAATGTTATTATTGATAGGCAGGGACTTATTCTTTCCGTTTTGCTATTTGTTTTCTGGTTGTTTTGTAGTCTTCTCTTCCTTCTTACCTTCCTTTCAGTCTTCCTTTTAGTGAATGTGATTTTCTCTGACGGTATGATTTAATTTCTTGCTTTTTATTTTTTGTGTATCCATTGTGTGTTTTTTTGATTTGAGGTTACAGTGAGGCTTCCAAATACTATCTTATAACCTGTTATTTTAAACAGATGAAAACTTAACACTGATTGCATAAGAAAACACACACACACACACACACACACACACACACACAAGAAAATTAATAAAAACCCTACACTTTAACTTCATCCCCTGCTTTTTAACTTTTTGTTATTTCTCTTTATGTCTTATTGTACTGTCTGTATCTTGAAATGCAATTGTAGTTATTGTTTTTGATTGGTTCATCATTTAGTCTTTCCACTTAAGAGTAGTTTACACACCACAATTATAGTGTTATACAATTCTGTGTTTTTCTGCATATTTACTATTACCAGTGAGTTTTGTAGCTTCAGATGATTTCTTCTTGCTCACTAACATCTTCTTCTTTCAGATTGAAGAACACCCTTTAGCATTTCTTATAAGGCAGGTCTGGTGTTGATAAAATCCATCAGCTATTTTTTCATCTAGAAAGGTCTTTATTTCTTTTTCACACTTGAAGGATATCTTTGTCGGATATACTATTCAAGGGTAAAAGTTTTTTTTTTTTTCTTTCAGTACTTTAAATATGTCATGCCACTCTCTCCTGGCCTGTAAGGTTTCTACTGAAAAGTCTGTTACCAGATGTATTACAGCTCCATTGTATGTTGTCTTTTTTTCCTCTTACTACTTTTAGGATCCTTTCTTTATCCTTGACTTTTGGAGGTTTGATTATTAGATGCCTTGAGGTAGTCTTCTTTGGGTTAAACCTGCTTGGTGTTCTATAACTTTCTTGTGCTTGAATGTTGGTACCCTTCTCTAGGTTTGGGAAGTTCTCTGATATTGTCCCTTTGCATAAACTTTCTACACATAACTCTTTCTCTACCTCATGTTTTAAGGCAAATAACTCTTATATTTGCCCTTTTGATACTACTTTCTAGATCTTGTCAGCATGCTTCATTGCTTTCTACTCTTTTTTGTCCCCTCTGATTGTGTGTTTTCAAATAGGCTTTCTTCAAGCTCACTAATTCTTCTGCTTGATCAGTTTTACTATTGAGTGACTCTGATGCATTCTTCAGTATGTCATTTGCATTTTTAAACTCTAGAATTTCTGCTTGATTCTTTTAAATTATTTCAGTTTCTTTGTTAATTTTTTCTGATAGAATTCTGAACTTTTTTGTCTGTATTATCTTTAATTTTTTAAAATTTCCTCAAACAGCTATTTTGAATACTCTGTGTGAAAGGTCACATGTCTCTGTTTCTCCAGGATTAGTCCTTCATGCATTATTTAATTCATTTGGTCAGGTCATGTCTTCTTGGATGATTTTGATGCTTGTAGGTGTTCATAGGTGTCTGGACATTGAAGAGTTAGGTATTTATTGTTGTGTTCATGGTTTGGGCTTGTTTGTGCCCATCCTTCTTGAGAAGGCTTTCCAGGTATTTGAAAGGACTTAGGCCCTCAGCCCAATATTTCTGTGGTTTTTGCAGACTCATAGAGGTACCACCTTGGTGGTCTTGGGTAAGATCTGGAAGAATTCTCTGGATTACCAGGCAGAGACTCTTCTCCTTTTCCTTTACTTTCTCCCAAACAAATGGAATCTCTGTCTTTGCGCTGAGTCACCTGAAACTGGAGGTGTGGTGATGCACTGGGATTGACCCAGTGTGGTTCCTGTGGCTGCCATCAATGTGACTGCTGGATCAGACCTGAAACCTGCATAGCACTGAGTCTTGCCCAAGGCCCACTCTAACCACTACCTGGCTGTCACCTATGTTTACAAAAAACCCTTGGCCTCTACAATTTACAGGTGGAAAATCCAGCCAAGTTTGTGTCCCTACCTTCAGGATGGCAAGTTTCCCCAGGCCCCAGGTGGGTCCAGAGATACTGTCTGGGAGCCAGGGATTGTAGTCAAAAACCTTAAAAATTTGACTGATGCTCTGTTATACTCCAGCTAAGCTGGCACTCAGTCCACAATATAAAGTTCTTTCCACTCTTCCCCTTTCCACAGGCAGAGGAGCCTCTCCCTGTGGGCACTGCCACCACTGGCCCATTGAGGGGTTCTGCCAGGCCACTGCCCATGTTCCCTTAAAGCCCAGTGACTCTTCAGTCAGCTTGTGGTAAATGCTGCCAAGCCTGAGACTCACCCTTCTGAGAAATTGGATCTCCTCTGGCCCAGGGCAGGTCCAGAAATGCTGTCTACTAGCCTAGGCCTAGACTTAGTGACCCTAAGAGCCTGCTTTTTGCTCTATGCCACAGTGGCTGAACTGGTACCTAAGACACAAGACAATGTCTCCTTTACTTTTCCTTCCTCTACATCTCAGAGCCCAAGGCCCATAGCAAACAACCTGGGTTTTGCTGCTGGTTATTCAGGGCCCAATGGCTCTTTAGTCAGCAGGTTATGAATCCTTCCAGGACTAGGTCCTTCCCTTCAATGCAGCAGGTTGCCTTTTGGCCCAGGGTGTTTCTACAAATGTCATCTGAGAGCTAGGGCCCAGATTAGGGGGCTTAGTATTCTGCCCAATGCCCTATTCTACCACGGCTGAGCTGGTATTCAAGACACAAGGCTCCTCTTTACTCTTTGCTGTCTGCCCCTTAGGCAGAAGGAAGGAGACACTTTCATTGCTGTGAGCTGCCTTACTTATGGCTGGGGGAGGGATGGCACAAGCATTCCTTTAGCTGCCCCGGCTGGTGTCTCCCTAGGTCTCATGCCATGCCACCCTAGTCCTCTGGCTCTGAGCCCAGTCCAGCACTAGGAGTTGCATATGAGTTGCAGTCCCTGTGCCCTTGACTGCCTTTCAGAGTTTACCTAGGTCCCCAGAGCACTTTGGCCTGTGATGGCAAGGCTTGCCAGGAAACTTGGGTATCAACTGATGAGATGGATGATTCTTCTCTGGCTAGGTCTGGTCCAAATGCTCCCTCTGTGTGTGGGCATTGGCTGAGCCCAGTATAGCTTTGCTCTCCACTGTGGCAGGGCAGCACTGAGTTTAATGTAAAGTCCCCCAGTTGCTGTATTCTCCCTCCCTCAAATGCACAGACTCTTTGCTGCATGGCTCACTACCTGTGGTGTTGGAGGGGTGGTTTTGATGCTTCAGGACTGTCTTTCCTGTTCTCCTCAATGTCTCTTTCAAGATATGAAGTTAAAATTAGGTACTGGGATTGCTCACCTGAGTTTTGGTCCTTGAGATGATGCTTTTCTGTGTGCAGATAGTTGCTAAAATTTGGTGTTCCTGCTGGGGGTACAAACTATGTAGGTTTCTATTCTGCCATTTTGTTCTATCCTTTATCAACTATTTATTTTAGGAAAAGGAATGTGTGTACAATTGGAGAGCCATTTACAAAATCTTTACTACAAATGTTTTTGATTTTATAATTTGTGATAACAGGAACTATACTTTTATAACTCTATAAACCTCTGGGTGTCCCTAATACATAGAATAGTGAGAGCTCGAGAGTTAGTTTTAGTTGCCTTTCCAGGTAGGACCATCAGAAGGAATGACAGAGCAGTTTGTTTTGAAGGTAGACTAAAGCACCAAGGTCTAGGTGTAAGGGAAATTACGTTTTACTGAATTGTGTTTTGTTTGGCTTGTTTTTGTTTTTACCGTGTACATTTGTTACTCTCGATTGTGCATATATACATATAAGTGCTTTTTTTATTTTTAAAACTCTAATACTTAGTTAAACTTGTATTTGATATGTCAAGTGGGATGGAGAAAAGTAATCTGGAGTATAAGAAGATGTAGAATCCACCGTGTCTCATAGTGACAGGGACAGTATTTGAGGATATTTATTTAAAATATTTGAAATAAGGCCTATAAATGTGTGACTGAAGAGCATATTCAATCAAATATGAGTATAAATTAGGAAGTGCACAATTGTAGTTAGATAGAACCTTTTATCAAAGATTTTGAAGGGGGAAATCATGGATGGAACCCTGTCCCAGGAAAATGCTAGTGTGCAAAAGCACACACGGCTCTATAAGGAAATTTAGATCAAGTGACAAGTTGGCGGAGGGAATATACAGAATGTACAGTATGACAAAAACAAAGAATCACAGGTAATACATGCTTCTTTTTTTTTTTTTTTTTTTTTTGAGACGGAGTCTCGCTCTGTCGCCCAGGTCGGACTGCGGACTGCAGTGGCGCAATCTCGGCTCACTGCAAGCTCCGCTTCCCGGGTTCACGCCATTCTCCTGCCTCAGCCTCCCGAGTAGCTGGGACTACAGGCGCCCGCCACCGCGCCCGGCTAATTTTTTGTATTTTTAGTAGAGACGGGGTTTCACCTTGTTAGCCAGGATGGTCTCGATCTCCTGACCTCATGATCCACCCGCCTCGGCCTCCCAAAGTGCTGGGATTACAGGCGTGAGCCACCGCGCCCGGCCAATACATGCTTCCTAAAGGGGTTACCCCATATGTAGAATTCACTTTTCTTCTTTTCTGCTCTGAACTATTTCATGTATCTTTCCGGGTTGTTGCCCAATTTTATTATAATGGTCTATCCTCTAAAGATGAATAGGTGGTAAAAAGAAGGATGCTTCGGTTGTGGGGAAGAGTAAGTAGGGATGAGTACAAGCATGCTTCCCAGGCCATTTGCTGAAACTATTGAGTGTGAATATGGATTAAAGTACCTGGGAAGAGGTAGGGGGCTTGTCCTCCAGTTGATACACTGAGGTCATTACCTCTATTCCTTGTATGGAGGAATAGTCTATTGTTCTACCCATCTGTAAGTCTAGAGCAAGGGGGAGGGAAGAATGGGACAGCCAGGAATGAAATTTTAGTTAGGTTTGCCTATCCTAAATTGGGGCTGGGGTTTCTAGAGCTATAATTAAAGTGTTCAGTCATAGCCCACTTTTGTCATAATTATAAACTTGTTGGAATTGTTTTATTAATATGTTGGGCTTGCTCATGCAGTCACCATTACACACTTGTACCTCCTGCTGTTTTGATGGTAGAGACACACAGGACCAACAGCTCAAACAAGACATATATTTTATTTGTATATTTGAACACTGCATGTTAGCAAAGCAAAGCTTTGCTAGATGGTTCCCAGAGGTTAATCTGCCCATTTACTGCCAAGTACGCTGCTCCTTAATCTGTGCAATATTATAATAAAATAATGGTTGGTCTTTGGCAAATCAGTAAGTTTCTTTAATCTCGATAAAGCATAGTGACTGCACTAAGCCCATAAATAATGATTCTGATACTCATTTTGACTTTATTCAGTATAAAGAAGCAATTTCTCTCATTTAAAAATCAATTGAACATGATGAAGAGGAAAGTGAGTTTTGGGATTTGAATTTGTGTTTAGTTTAATAAGATTTTTTGTGTAACATAAATGGAATGAGAAAGTGTTCCATTTTCAAGTGCCGTACTACTAAATACTTTGCTCTCTAAATTTGTCTGTCTTTGTAATTGTTTTATTCTGCTAGGAAATACCATTGGGGACCTATTCCTTTTCCCCAGTCCTTATTTTTGTCATTTGTGTGCAAAATATATTGAGTTTTCCCCCACCTGGAAGAAACAGTTGCCATTTTAAAATACTAGCACTTTTTTCCCACAATTTATATGGTAGTGATTACTCTCTATATCTTGTACTTAATTTCAAACAAACTGAGAGACAGAAAGATAGACTAATTCATACATATATACATAAATTTAGAATATGGATAATTTTACCATCATGGCACTTACTGAATGGAACCTGGCTCAGTTGTTCAGCTCTGTTGACCAGAGCTGTACACCCTAAGCCATACATACTATACGGTATAAAATTAGTTCAATAATATGAAGATAACTGTGTCTATATGCCATTTAAACATAAACTCCACTGCATTTAAATTTATTTATCAACTCTACTAGACAATAAACTCTTTGTCAAGAAAAGCCATGTTAGAGTTTTTTTTTCCTTACAGCATCTGGCACTATCTTCCTTGTATGTAGTAGATGCTTAGTAAATTTAATAATATAATAATAATAATAATAATAATAATAAAAGGAAGATCTCATTGTGGTTCAAAAATGTCACTAATAATAGGCAAATTCTTGTTCCAAAAGCTGATGTCTTATTTTAGTATTTCTGGCACACAAATTTCAGAATGCTTAGGCAATTAAACTGGAATATGAGGGGACTCCAGTGGAGCAACCTGTTTTCTGTATAGTGGATATTGTTACCCATGTTATTTTACTCTGTTTGCTAAGTGTCTGAGGCTGCAACCCTCCCTGTTCAGGCAGTCCATATGTGGCTTCTTTTCTGTATCAACTCCCTGCATTTTATATTTTTAAGACATTTGAAAGCATAGGTGATTCAGACTATAATGGCTTAGAATTTTTCTCACAGTAAGCTCTTTTGTCTCTGGCTTTTGCTTTTCAGCAGGAACTATCTTTTGCCTTTATTTTTTCACAAATCTAAGGTAGACCATATGGCTATCATATTGGTTCCCCTGTGGTATCCCGGCTTTACTATAATGATCACTCACAGTAAATGGATACAAAAGAAGATACTGAAGAAATGAGTAGGTTTTCTTGTTGTTTTAAAAGAAAAGTTGCAATAAATATATCAATGCTGTTATTTCATTATCTTCTGTGATCACATAATGCAAAGAACTAGGAAATCCAATAAGGAAAGATAGTCAGCAATAACTGAATAGTTTAGGGATACAGTAGAAATACAGCAGAAATACAGAGGTATGGAGGCAGTCTAAGTGCCATCAGACTTCCAGGCAGCCTGCAAACCACCCCTCTCTCCCTGCAACTCAGTCATCCTATTCTGAGCCCAGACAACAGCCACAGAGTATTGCTAAGCCCAAATGGAAGGTGGGGAAGGATTTATGGAAAGGTGATTCATTGTTAACATCTTCAACTGTTAAACTTAAGTAGAATTTCAGCTGAATGTATATATAATTCTTAGCCCAAATGTTTGCTTTTTCTGTTTAGAAATCACATTTGACTCACGGTTGGATTGTCTTTGGAAGAATTTGGGTGCTACACCAAGCCATCTGTGTTTCAAGCGAGATTTTATGACAGTCATTCTGAAGAGGTGGAACAATACAAATGTGAAATTTAGTGTGCAGTTACACTCTGAGAGCAAGTCTCCTTGGCTCACTGTTGATGGCCCTGCAAATCTAAAGCAGGAGTTCTAGTTTTATCATTACTTTCCCCCAATACACCCCAACACACACACATAAAGAACAATCCCAATGTTGGTAAATAAATAAGCAGTTTAAATAGAGAACTTAAGGAGCCCACAGCAACACAGAAGTATAAAATAAGCTTTTGAAGATGGTAAAGAAACATTTAATGAAATTTCAAATGGATTGTCACGCAGTGGTTCAACTGAATGGCAAAGGTCTCAGGGAAGATGTTGCCAGCAAATGCACTAAAGGAAACAAATAAGAACCATCTGGACACTACTATTCTTTGTAGAATTCCATTATAGATAGATAGATAGATAGATAGATAGATAGATAGATAGATAGATACACACACACATACATACAGTTTTTTCTCTACAGTCACCAGGCTTGTAGTGCAATAAAAATAGCAAAACTTTAAATTAACACACAGGGTTTAAAACATTTCAGGAAAGCATTGATTATATCTGCCAATGGAATGAGTGTATTTGGCAAATGACCTAATTATCACAGAGCTGGTTCTTTCTCATTGCTCTACTTCCCGCTAATTGCAGAACTGCTGGCCTTCTCCCCCTGACAAGGAAGAAAAACAAGGACAGGAGTGTGTGGAGAAAACAGTGACATTCAGTTTTAATTCATTTGAACCTGCTGCCAAGCTTAATTATGTAATTGAGAGAGTGAGACGGGTGGGCTTACAGCCACTTGGGCCAGAGTTTCTGATGGTTAGCATTTGCCAGTGTTGTGTTGAGGATTTTAGCAGTTACCGGAAAGCATTATTAGCTGAAGCTGAACTAATCTCCCTTACCCTTCTCCTCACCAGATGTAGGTACAGAGGTTGCTGTTCCCAGACTTGATTATTTGTCATTAAGGAAAACAAATTGAAAGCAAATTAAAGTGGCTTTATTCCTTGCTAAATCCATCATTATTCTTTAGGGGCAGTCTCCTATTTCATTTTGCTTTCTTCTGATTGTGATGTAGTATCTGCTGTCATGTAAAACTCAGTAATGCAATGTTTATTTCTAGAATGGGAGTATTTTTCAGGGTTACTTGAGACATTTTTACATAAACTTCTATTGTAACTAGTGAAAGTGTGTATATATGAAAAACACATAATTTGGTGAGATATTTCTGATTTGGTAGCTTATCCCCTATTTTTAATTTTATTTATGAAGCCTTTATCCCCCTTGGCTTGGAACCATCAATACAGATATTTTGTACAAAAGGGCCAACCTCTCTCTCCTCGCTGGCAGAATGACTCTTTATAAGTACGCTTTTTTCAAAGTTTAGCCAGAACATCCCTGATTCAGAGAACTCTCAGGGTGTCTCCTACCCTCACAGAAATGTCCTCCGTTCAGATTGAAGTTTAGTCCTGGAGGTCAACATCTTGATTTTGTAATATCCTGTGTACCATGTGGGGGTGGAAAGGAGGAGAAGAAGCCAGAGAGAAGGCACGCTAGACTAAAGGGTGGGAGCCATAAAATAAGAGGCTGCCTGCTGGGTGGCAGCATGGCTGAAACAGAACCATGACCACTTAGCATTATGTGTTCTTTATAGCCCAACAGTATTAATAGACACTTTTATCAGTTAATCCCCATCATAATTCCATGAAGTAAGTTAACATTTTTTAAACGTGCTTTCCATTTATTTTCACAAATATTTATTAAGCATAGGCTAGATGTTAGGTACAGTCCCAGTACCTGGGGTAATACAATGAAACAACACCTGGTAATGGAGAGTGCTCTTTTTTCTTCCAGGTACAATGGGTGAAGGGGAGGATCCTTGTCTGGCGAAGGGCAACACTTTCATGAAGTTTCTAGATACGCCCACCCTTCTACTCTCTCAGGAATGTTATTCTATAAATTATCCACTTGTCCTCCTGTAGTTTTAATCTATTTTCTGCTTGATCTTTCCTATCAATATTCAACATTCAAAAATGCCAAGAACAGTATCTGTCCTGTAGAAAGTGGTCAATAATGATTTGTTGAATAATTTACATGAATACTCAGCAGTTTCCTACCCTAGCTTCACACTGGAATCAGGTGGGAAATAGACACACACACACACACAGACAACCATAGCATCTCCTATCTTAAAGCAAACAAACAGAAACAACTCAGTTGACCTTAGATCCCCTGCTAGCTAAATCTGTTTCTTAATTCTTCTTCCCAGCCAAGATAACTGCAAAGAGGCCTGTAAATCCTCCTCCTCATCTTGCTCATACTCTTCAACTACTCCAGCAGACTTCAATCCCCATCACTTGCCTAAAGCAAATCATGATAGTGACATCATGTTTCTAAAGACACTGGGCATCTTGAAGCTATCTTCTTGCTCAAACTCTCAGTAGCATTTCACATAATTGATCTCTCCCTCCTCAGAATACTTTCTTACCTTGGATTTGAGACATCTGATTCCCTTTTCATTTCCTTCTTCCTCTCTGACTCTCCAGCTTTCTTTGCAGTCTTTTCTTCTTATGTAATGCCTAAATGCTGAAGTTGTTTGAGTTCTAATCCTGGACCTATTTCTTTTATACTTACTCTGGGCATTTTTGACTATTTCCTATTAATAACATCTATATCTTTGTGCTGTTGTCCTCCTATATTTCCAATTTCATCTCCATTTCTGAGCACCAAACTAATATATCCAGCTGCGATTTGACATTTCTATTTAGATGTCTCGGGCATTTCTGACTCAACATGTCTCAGACCAATAATTAGATTTTCCTTCTCCCCTGCTGGTTCTTCCTTGAGTCTTCCCATTTCAATAAATTACATATCCACTCACCCAGTGGCTTATGGCAAAAACAAAACCAACCAAACAAACAAAACCAGTGGTAATCCTTGTCTATGTCTTTATGTCTTCCTTCTTTCCAGTTCAGTCAATCCATTTACAAAGCCCTGTTAATTCTGCCTCCAAAATATAACTCAAAGCATCCATTTCACCCTATTTCATTGCCAGCTGCCTTTCCTCTGGAATGTTGCAATAGCCCCTAAGTCATCTCCTGATCCCATTCTAGCTTCCCAGCTCCCCCGCAACATTGCAATCTCAATTTAAAAATGCAGATCATTTCACACCACTGCTTCTTTAAAACTTTCAATAGTGAACAATCAAAAATTAAAATCTATATTATATGCTGTCATTTACTTTCAAGGAAGATCTGCAATTTTGTAATTATATATTCATTTGTATGGTTATTTGTTCTTATCCATCTCCCAACTCAACTATTAGTTGCATGCATGGGAACTGAGGTTTTCTCCCACCACTATATACCCTTTGCTTAGTGCAGTGCCTGAAATAGAACTTTATTATTGAATGAATAAATAAGCCGATGAACGGATGAGGAAGATTGGCCAACGTGTAAGGTACAAGGTGGTTCCCATGTCAATCTCATCTTAACTCATCAACTGCTCCATTGACAAATGTACGATTAAATGAGCTCAATTAAATTATCTTATATGGAATTGTTTTATTCCATGCCATTTAAGGAATTTTCAAGAATTGAGTCCTTTCTCTGATGGGCTTCAGAGGCTACTAGCATAGTTTACAACGTAGGGATATAAAGCAATTCATGGTATGGTGTATTTGAAAGGACACATGCAGACTTTACTTCAAATCCTGGATCTGCTCAATGAGTGGCTTGTGATTCTTGTCAAGTTGGATCACCTTACCCTAACCTCAGTTTCTTCATGTGTATAATGGCACGAAGCCAGTAGTACCTGATGTTATTATGACTTCACCAAGTGCCAATGTGTCAACTACCTAGCACAGCAACCGACATGTGAGAGATGACATCCAGATTATAGTTTTGCTTTCTTCTCCCCTTGACCCTATTTCTTGACTATTACTTCCACTTTTTTTTTCTATCTTACTCATCTTACTGGGTAGTAATACTTACATTACCCATTTAGTTTGATTTTGTAGGGAGAGAAGAATTAGCAGTACTTACAGAACAGGCTTCCTTTTGGATTAGAAATACAAACTTCACAGCTTCTCTGCCCAGCTTTTCAAGAGCATTTTACAGTACACTGCTGTGTAACAAGTTCATTTTACGATAACATGCTGGGAGGGAGAAAAAGAAGACGAGATTCGAGGGGAAAAAATTAAAAAGTTAATTAAAAGAAACAACTTCGTAATTGGATTCCCTTGCACTCTTCTTTGGTTATTTTGGGGTGAGAGGAGGTGTCACAGTACACCTCCTTAGTAGGTTAGTAGGTTTGCTTCAGTGGCTCACCTCAAAACTTCTAAATGAGATAAGTATAAGAATACAGATGATTCCCTGCCTGACAGATGAGAAGAAGTATAGGATACATATGGTGAGCTTGTTAAGCATGCCAAACAAAGCTGTCCTTATACTCACTCTTGAGCATTTATATTTCAAAATATTCTTGGCAGTTAACATTACTGTTAGGCTAAGCCTTGGACTATTAGCTAGCTTAAGGACATACAAAATGGACTTTTCATTGATGCCGTTTTACTATTTCTTTGCTTTCACCATATATAGACATCCACACAAGCACACAATCAGAATAGCATAGGAAACTCATATACCCTTTTCAGACTGTACACTAGAAACAAATAAGCAACATAGTATTTCTTATTTTTAAAAGAAACATGAATATTTATGTATTTAATCATTCTTTTTCACAGATCTGTACGAGTCAAAATAATTTAAGATGCTATCATTGAGATAGACAAGATAATGGAAGAGCATGGGCTTAGTAATCAAATGGAACTAGGTTTTAAACCCTCTCATCCACAATATTTACTTATTCATGAAGTCAACATGTATTTATTGAATGCCTACTGTGTGCCAAGCACTACTGCAGTTGCTGATAACCTTTTGCGAGTTCTTATCATGGTTTTTGTTAACATCAATATTTGAGGTTTTGAAAATTAACTTTAGGGAGAGAATTTTCTATATTTTCCAGCACTTTGTGTACCTCACTTTTGCCATAATCCATGAAGAAAGAACACGGTTAAACAGTCTATTATCTTACTCACCAAATTAGGTTAAATTGGGTTACTGATTCTACACCCAATCTCCAAAACAATGGCTAGAAAATAAGAGTTACTATTTTATGTCTAGAGACATTATGATGTTATCTCTCCCAAAGCATTAAGGACCACTAATCTAAGAGCCTAATGTTCAACCAGGGTAATATGTCAGAAGAAATGAATGCAAGTCTATCTGTAAACTTGTACTTCATCAGTGAAGATAGAGATTCAGCTTTTTGTGAATATTAACAAGGGGATTTTGTGTTTTCACAGGTTATGGTTTTGTAGATTTTGACAGTCCTGCAGCCGCACAGAAAGCGGTAGCATCTCTCAAGGCAAATGGCGTGCAGGCACAGATGGCTAAGGTAAGATTGATGTTTAGGGGTGTTTTTTTTTTTTTTTTTTTTTTGTGTGTGTGTGTGTGTGTGTGTGTGTGTGAAAGAGAGAGAGAGAGATCAGGAGGAAGGAAGAAGGAGAGATTAAATATTTCTCCTTTGCTCTGAGCTCACTCAAACGTGGAGTTTGCAACAATTTGGTTTATATTTTCTTGTTAGGGAAAGTAAGAAACTCCACATTAGGTTTGGCTTAGGAGAATCTGTCTGGCTTATTTCATTGTTTCTTTGCCTATATTTATTATTGTATCTTTTGTTATGGTAACCTCATTAGAGACTTAAGGACACTCGTGAAGTGCTCTGTTCTGCTTGAGAAAGATGGGGTGTGTCTGTGTGTATGTGTCTTGGACTTCTACTGGTAAACAGTTTTAGAGTAGTAGAATTATCAGCAACTTGTCTTTGATAAACTGTGTGCTAAAAAAAGTGTGTGTTCTCTTAGCTGGGGAGAGCTGATTGTTGAATGATGGGGTTGTCTGATCTGTGCAGGGAAATGAGTTTAACTGAAGTGTACCGTGTCTGTACTGCTAGAATTTCACTTTGGCCTTTATATGTAGAGTTTTCTAAGATACTTTTAGGTATTAATAATTTTCAATAATTAAGTATCATTAAATAGAATATGTATTCTAGAACCTTCTACCTGAAACTGTAATGTATTTTATTATCTAAGAAAATAAGTTAAATTATTTACAATCCTTTTGTGTCCTGATTGCAGTGGTGGTTACAAGAATCTATACCTGATAAAGTAACGTAGAACTATATATACATATTGCGCCAATGTCAGTTCCCTGGTTTTGATATAATCATATAAAATGTAAAATTTGTAGAAACCTCATGAAGGGTACATAGGCTCTCTCTGTACTATCTTTGCAATGTCTTATAAATCTATAAATATTTCTAGCTAAAAAGTCAAAACAATTGTTTATAACATGGATGCTTATTAGATGTCTGCTTTAAAATGATGGCCATTTAGGATTTATTCACCTGCATCCTAAGTCTTTAAATATTCTTTCTGATTGATAATAGTGAACTTATTTATCTCTAGATTCTATAAATTTTAGGTGGAATGGCCAACAGACCTTGAAATCCTGATCTAATGTATTCATGCTCTGCTCGTGTATACATTTAAGTATTCCCATAAGAGTTGAGTGATAGAATGATAAGGTAGTCAGATTTTCAGTTATTTAGATTTTGTTGAGATTGCTAACATTATTTGATAACATTTTCCAATTTTGACCTCAAATAACTAGAGGTAAGATATTTGGTTTCTTCATCTTCAGTTGTCTTCTAGTGAACTGATACAGACCATATCTGTTAACCTTTTGTTGCAAGTCACTTCCCATATAGATTACTTTGGTGAACTCATTGTCCTTTATGACACATGACTAGTTGTTCAAGGCAGAATAAATTTGAATTCTTTCAGCTGTGTAATGTATTCTTCATCAAGATTATGCCTAGAAGCTTTGGATTTTTTTCATGGACTAAGATTGATGAAGTTAGCATTTTTAATTAATAAGGAAATTATATACATGTCTTGGTTTAAAGGTTACTTGGCAAAGAGTCAATGGCATTAAGTAGTGACTTCCTATACCCACAAAACAAATGATGAAATGTAGCTGTTAGGTATATGTAAAATAAGTAACTTGAATCTGGACTGAAAGTAACACCTACTTCCAAGAAAATGAATAGAAAAATGCTTAACGAAAAAGTTGTTATTGGAATTTCTTGATCTATTCCATTGGTAAACTCCCAAATCTGGAAGTTAGCAGATTGTAGCACTTTAGAA
Organism: Homo sapiens; assembly: GCF_000001405.40. NCBI lineage: Eukaryota > Metazoa > Chordata > Mammalia > Primates > Hominidae > Homo > Homo sapiens. The sequence goes on from NC_000003.12 coordinate 29,589,016, forward strand.
GTAATGAAAACAGCATGCATAATCTCCACCATTTCAAATGTCCTCAGAATATGTATAGTTAGTTGTTAGATAAAAACCACTGCCATCTTGTGTAACAGGAAAAGAAAGTTGACACTGATTTTATAACTACTGGGGAACCATTATGAATATTTTCCCTCAGTTTCCCAGCATTCTGCTGCACTGAGAATCCCTCTTTCTCTCTCTCTCTTACCCACTCCCCCGCACCCTCTGACTCTTTCATTCTCTCTCTCTAATCACTGATATCTCACCTAGTCAGAAGGCTATTTGATTTGGGGAAATATTTTAAAGACCTCCTAAAACGATTATTTTTCCTAGCCAGCATTTTGGCCATTGGCTCACGCCCACTGTACAAAAAATGAGATTCCAATTGGAATGTTTAAAGTCACTTTTATTTCTGTAGTCTGCTCAAAGATTTTACCTTATTAATTCTGCTGCCTGTGAAGTTAATTCTTATTCTCTTAGCTTTAGACTCATATCTGCCTACTGGAAAACTTTCAGCAATGAATGACTCTGTAATTTAACTATCTATAAGAAAATAAATAGGCTCCCTTTGAGAATAAAATAGGACAAGCTTGACCACCACTGTATTAGCAGATTTCTCACTGAGCTATTGGATTTCATGGCATTTTCCTCCTTTGTCCTGGTGATAACTATTATTTATTATCATATAAACCTGCAGTCTGCTGGGTGTGTGAAACTTGCACTATATTTTTGGCCATTTAAGTATCTACTGAATCACCTCTTGCATCCTTGTTCTTATCAATATCCTACTATGCAGGTTGTGGTGTCACATTTAGTGACTCCAGCATTTTAAAATAAAAATATTACCAACACTCTAGTTTCCCAATAGTAACCTTCAGCTAACATAAAACTCTCCAAGTGAATTGTCTTATTTAGCTAGCTTATTCCAGTGTGTGCATATGGAAAATCCAACTGATTTGTCAACCAATAGCAAGTTACCCAGGAAGTGGTAATTGATTAATAATGAATTACCATTAACGGAGATGAACATTTTTCTGTATACTTACTGTTCTGCCACAAAGGAGTTTATTTATTTTTTTTTGGTATCAAAAGTCATGTTTCTTTTAGGAAATCAGATTCAGAATATTTTAGTAATACATAGTGGTTAGGAGCATAGATTTGGAGAGAAGTAAACTTGGCCTTGAATCCTGGCTCTGGTACCACCTGGCTGTGTGACCTTGGCTAAGTTACTTAAATATCTCTGAACTTCTCTAATAATAACTCTTAGGTTAGAGAACTGCTGTGAGAATTTTAAAAAATACATTAAGTATTTAGCATAGAGCCTAGATCATAGTAAGAATTTAGTAAATGTTAGTTATTCAATAAATATTGTTATACATTTAATTCAAATTTGCTACTAAACCTTCTATAAATCATAATACATGTTTTAAATGTGTTATTCCAAATTATTTTCTTTAAAATATATAATAAGTAGCATCAGTCAGCAAACATTTTTTATTGCCTACTCTGTCTAGGCAGGGTACTGAATATTGGAGAATGAAGATTGAATAAAAAATTCTTTTTTTTTCTGAATGTTTAACACTTATTCTATCTCCTGAATTGCTACAGCTCCAGACTATGAATTTTGGCTGTTACTGTTCTTGGCAACTTCAGGATATAGAGAAAAAACTTATTGGCCAAGGAATATGTGTCTCTATAAGCATGAAAAAAAGTGAAGAAATCCCTGCTAACAATAAGTTAACTTGCAGATATTTATTTTACTCAGTAGGAAGAAGGCCATAGATAGACAGCAGAGGCCAATTCTTTGGGGTGCCATCAAGGATCAAGGCAGCTCTGCCATCTTTTATCCCTGGCTTTTATGTCACACATTTATAAGATGGCTTCTAAAGTTCCAGCTCTTGTATCCACAGTTAATCCAGGAAAAAGAGAAAAAAGCAAATAGATGAAGGAGCAGTATGGCTGATTTTGTCCTTTTAAAGGTTTTTCCAGAATCTCAAATCAGCAATTTGTGCTTACAACTCAAAAGCCAAAACTGAGTCATATGATTTCCCGCTTTCTTGTAAGAGAGTATGAAATGATGAGTGTTTCGACTTCTTTGCCTCTGCAAGCAGAGAAAATTAATAATAGTCCATCCCCTTGGCTATCCAGCATCCATGACATCAATAAAGGTGACATGCATACATACATTTTAGGTGGCATGCATTAATTCTTTCCCAAAAAGAACCCACCTCAAAGCTGTGATTGCATCTGGTGACTCGGTTATCTCCAACAGGCCCATGGCTCCTCCTCATAGCTCAGCAAGTCATACCTTTAAAAGAGAAGTTATCTGTCTGAATTCCCGCAATGTAGAATGACATAGAAACAACAGGATACATGCACTTAAAGGAAAATGACTATTTAGGAAAGGAGAAAATGGGAAGCAAGCCTAAATTATTGATCTCAAATACATATCAAATCCTGCTAGGTGGAAATAGAATTCTTGAGTTGTCAGTGCAATAAGTTCCTTGGTTATCCAATCACATAACCCCTGATTCTGTCATCCAGAGGGATCTTACTTGCCCCTTATTCTCTGTGGCCTCATTGAGGCCTCGCTGGAGAACTGCACAGCTTTGGAGGCTTTTCCTGGATATATTTAGAAACACTAGAATGGGTCTACATATTAAACAGTCATGAATTATTACCAGCCAGTCCTTGAGTAATCTCAGGCTTAACAGACATCTTTCTTATTTGCTTTCTGTCGATTCCAAATATGAGTAAACACAGTATATCTTATTCTAGAGGAAATGTCCGCAGAAAAGAAGTCACTCCCTCTCAGGGCCTTCAGATAAGACTTCATCAGGTGTACTACCAGACTGCCATTACAGTTCCCAAAGGTGATTCATTTCCAGTGGGATTTGTAGAGTAAATCTCAGTTAAGCAATCACAAAAGAGACTAAGTGTCCCAGAGGATGTCAAGTAGCTTGAAAGGCATAATGTAAAAATATTATATCTACCATGGCAGAAAACCAGATTGAGACCAGAGGAAAGGACTTCACTTATAAATCAATGACCTTGACAGTAGTTGTCTTCGAAAAAAAAATAAAAAAAACCAGTGGATTTTTTACTTGACATATAAAAAGATGAAAAGTCAAAATCAAGGAATATACAAAAGAAAATATTTTAAATTCAAACACACATACACACACACACACACACAATGAATTTACAAAATATATCACCACAGTGAAGCCATATCAGTTATATTCCAGTAGAAGACTTTTAGTTAATTAAGGAAGGGTGTATAATTTACAAGAAAAAACCAAACAACCTCATAAAAAAAGTGGGTGAAGGATATGAACAGACACTTCTCAAAAGAAGACTTTTATGCAGCCAACAGACACATGAAAAAATGCTCATTATCACTGGCCATCAGAGAAATGCAAATCAAAACCACAGTGAGATACCATCTCACACCAGTTAGAATGGCAATTATTAAAAAGTCAGGAAACAACAGGTGCTGGAGAGGATGTGGAGAAATAGGAACTCTTTTACACTGTTGGTGAGACTGTAAACTAGTTCAACCATTGTGGCAGACAGTGTGGTGATTCCTCAAGGATCTAGAAATAGAAATACCATTTGACCCAGTGATCCCATTACTGGGTATATACCCAAAGGATTATAAATCATGCTGCTATGAAGACACATGCACACATATCTTTATTGCGGCACTATTCATAATAGCAAAGACTTGGAACCAACCCAAATGTCCATCGATGATAGACTGGATTAAGAAAATATGGCACATATACACCATGGAATACTATGCAGCCATAAAAAAGGATGAGTTCATGTCCTTTGTAGGGACATGGATGAAGCTGGAAACCATCATTCTCAGCAAACTATCGCAAGGACAAAAAACCAAACACCGCATGTTCTCACTCATAGGTGGGAATTGAACAATGAGAACACTTGGACACAGGAAGGGGAACATCACACACTGGGGCCTGTCATGGGATTGGGGGAGGGGGGAGGGGGGAGGGAAAGCATTAGGATATATAGCTAATGTAAATGACGAGTTAATGGGTGCAACACACGAACATGGCACATGTATACATATGTAACAAACCTGCACGTTGTGCACATGTACCCTAGAACTTAAAGTATAATAAAAAAAGGAAGGGTGTATTCAATAGAATATTCTAGACCATTTTACCAAAGTGCAACTATTGGCCTCATAATGTGGCTTGTCTACCAAAGCTACTCTTCTGAATGCACAGGTATATGACAGGCATTGTCAGCCACACTCCTGTAGTATAAGATCGTATTAGTAGTTTTTGTTTTTATCATTCCTAGGTAAAGCAGAAGAAACAGGCTATTTGCTATTTATTGGTCACTACAGTGGGATGGAGCCTCCTGGTAAACATAGAGGCTTCTCAAGGGCTCCCTATGTAGGAAGGAAAGAGGCATTGTTCCAGGGTAACTTGAGCAGGCGATTCGAGAGTTGTTTCCTGAGACTGGGTGGGAAACAATCAATACTTTATATAGTGATGGACAAGGGCTATCTGGGGATGCTAATGTTCCTAGAATAATGTCCATGTCTTTTTGTTTGTTTGTTTTGCAATAAGATCAAAGGATCAGAAATCCCTATATGCTATCATTTGTTTGTATCCCATTTTTCCCCCATGGGGACAAGGGCTGTAGGCTCAAACTGAAGCAGGAATCTCTCATTCTCCTACTTTCGCAACACATTTATGTTGAACACCTGCTATCCACAAGGATTGTTCTACATGCTACAGACATAGCACTGAGCCAAACAAAGTTTCATGAAGTTCACATAGGGTATTACAAAAAGTAACTGTTATACAAAGAGATATAATTTATTAGATTGTAACAATTGGTTTGAAGAAAATTAAAACCAGTTACAGTTACAAAATAGGAGATGGAGATGGTGGTTAAATAGGATATGGAGATGGTAGTATTTTAGGTACAATGGTCAGGAAAAGCCTTTCTAATCACGTGACATTTGAACATGTATCTAAAAGAAATGAGAGGAGAAAACTATACTTATATTTAAGCAATAGTTATGAAAAATTTCTATAGTAATTTAAAATAGACCAGACTCTTTAGTGAGATAGCATCTTTGGGTTTTATTATTGTCTATATCCTGCATCTTCATAACAATAGAAGAGTTGCATAAACTACCATCATTTCCCCCCTTTTTTGTGGGAGTTGTCTGGTTTCAAGTCATCCTAATATTGCACTGTTTGGAATTTTTTTTTCATGTGAGTCAAATTCTAATTGATCAGTAAATTTTTATTTCAACACTTACCTTCTTCAAATCGTGTTGTTCTATTGTTGTACCAGTGGGTGTAAGAATATGACAAGACACCTTCCTCTACAGTTGTGGAATGCACTTTAAATAACTGTGATTCCAAAGAAAATCATTCTGATGTTGCTTTTAACATAGTTCATTACTCTTGAATGACTGATGCAATGTAATGTAAACCTTGCTCTATCTCATTTCCTAAAATGAATATTTGTATCATTTGCTCCTGTGGGATACATCTTCAACAGACAGATCTCTCTAAAAATATATAAGTATTATTTTTCTCATGATTGAAAATTTTAAAATTTTCTGTAAAAGAAATACTTACTGGCTGGTCTTTTACATGTCTATAAAATATTTGTGAATATCTGCTTTGTTGGCTATGTCAATTTGGCTCAGTTTTTTTCCTGATCCAAATGCTGAATGCAGGGATTCAAAACTCAATATTGAAATTGTCAGGGTTGATCTTAATCCTATTCATTAATTATTTGAAGTTTTTGAAGCAGACTCATCTAAAGTTAAATATTTGTATTAGCTTATATCGAATGATTTCCATAATCTGCCTGTGGGTACTACCCTCTGCTTTTGCAAGGACTCTACTATGTCATCTTAAGTGAAACAGTGCATATGTATACTAGTAAAATTCTCTGCTTTCCTAGCATTGGACAAAAACAAAAATCAACAAAAGAATTGCCTCAGTGTCTTAAACTGGGATCCCTACTAGTTGACTAGGCACTTAGTTACTGAAGGATATGTGTGGAATTCAAGTTCTTTTCAACCTATAAGAAATATCGGCCAGGTGCAGTGGCTCACGCCTGTAATCCCAGCACTTTGGGAGGCCGAGGCAGGAGGATCACAAGGTCAGGATTTCAAGACCAGCCTGGCCAACATAGTGAAATCCTGTCTCTACTAAAAATACAAAAAAATTAGCTGGGCGTGGTGGTGGGGACCTGTAATCCCAGCTACTCGGGAGGCTGAGGCAGGAGAATCACTTCAACCCGGGAGGTGGAGGTTGCAGTGAACCAAGATCGCACCATTGCACTCCAGCCTGGGCGACAGTGTAAGAGTCAGTCTAAAAAAAAAAAAAAAAAAGAAAAGAAAGAAAGAAAAGAAACATCAACACTTTCAAACTTTCATCCTGCCTCTTTGAAGAGAATGTGTCCACAAGCTGATCTGAGTCAATTACTCATTTCTGGATGTACTGTTGAGAAAACCAAATAATGAATAGTCTTCATTCATGGCTTTAATAATTTGTTCTTAAAGTTGAAAGGAAAAGGTATTTTCTCTAAACACCATTGTTGTCCATGGGGTGTGCCTAACTAAAAGTACTGCTTTGTCCCACGTAGATTCTGATCCCACTGAAAAAGACAAAGAAGTATGTCAAAATAAGAAAACTATTGGTTGTATGACTGCTGGTGTTACATTAGGAAAATGTGACTTAGGTTTGTGAGGAAAATGAATCTTTCAATAGCGAATGTCAAAATTTGGTTTAGCCATTCAGTCACAGGGAGTGCCGGACAACCATGTGTCTCCCCACCCATGGATGAGATCTTTACTTCTTATGATACTAGGAGGAAATAGTGAATGTGCTCTCTATTGGCAGTTAGATCCCAAGGACAAGGGAGAGAGCAATGAGCCACGCTTGCTGAGCTCTTGCTCTCAAACTCACAAGACCGGTGAGTTATTATTTCTCCCATTTGGAAGTATTATGTAAGTGGACAAGTAAGAGAAGGACCAGGAGTGTTACACCACTATCTTTCCATAAGAAAGTAGAAGCAATGGAAGCTTTCCTGGACCCAACTATGTAACCAACTATAATTGGCTTTCCTGCTTTCCTGGCCCCAACTTTTAACCAACTATAATTGCTTTCTGCATTTTATTTTTATACTGTACTCTAAAAATGATTGGATGAATTGGAATGGTGGAATTATATAATATATGAATTATGCTAAATGGTTGAACATTTTAACACTGAGAAAACTACAGACTACCGAGGTTCACGGTCCACCTTCTGTTTCTGTGTAATTTACTTCTGGTGTGCTCTGAGATGCTCTTCAAGTCCTTTAACTATATCTATTCTGCAAAAAGGCAAGGAGACAGACAAACGGATGCAGGGAATAAAGGAGATTATTTCTTGAACATCAGCCTTAATGCTGGTGAATAGGTTAAGTGCTTTTATAATTATTATCTCATTTAATTCTTACTAGGGTCCTTGGAGGTAGGTATTATTATTCCAATTGTACAGGTGAAAAAATAGGAGATGTCCCACATTCACTAAGATAGTCAAGTGGTCTTGAACCCAAGCCTTTCTGGTTCCAAAGCCTTATTCTTTCCAAGGAGATCATAAGTCTGTTAATGCTGTTTTCTAGTCTCTTCAGCGGAGCTTGGCTTTTGAATTTCTGAAACGGAATAACAGACTGGATAAAATTATTAAATCAGTGAACTGCAGAATCTATTAGAGTCCCTGATATACATAGTGGGGCTTCATGAATCTTTGTGGAATTAATGAATATGGGAATGAACAAATGAATAATCAGTACTGGTTATATTTTAATGGTTTTCAATTCTGATAAATTTTTGTGACCTCAAACTGAATTTTGCACAGAAATAGTCCTTTAATTCACTATCCTAATGAATTATTCAGAACCTAATTCCTGAGCTCACAAACAATGGTTCAATTTAATCCTTCTAACTATTGACTGGTGGAATGGGACAAGATGGACATCTTTGTTTCTTCAGAAAATAGATGACAAGAATTTGGAAATGAAGACCAATAACTCTTATATTTTAGAAGTCTTAAAGAAATTGGGTATACACTTGCATATATTTACATGTGTATGCACACATATACATTCCCAAAATACATGTTTTTTTAAAGATGTTTAATTATCACAGGTAGCTATAATTTTTCCATGGAATAACACAATAACTAAAACATGTTTGATAGTTCCTCAGCACATCTGACTTTTATTGAAAGTGAAACCTAAAGATAAGTAATAAACAAACTTGAATGATAGGCCTCTGTGATCTCTGGTTTTGTGTGCATGCTATATTTATTACACTATGATGTGTATCACTTGGACACTTGTGAGAGCTGTTCACAAATGCATACAGTGGACACACAAAAACAAAACAGAAATGTGAGTGTTGTGAAAAAGAAGGCAGCATACTCAGTTTAATCCTCTTTTCCCACCGTGTCCAGGACACACTTTTTAACTGCTATTTGAATGACTTAACCACACCGTGAAACTTAGAGTCTGCTGGCTAAATCAGTGGGAGTTGACATTCCAACATCTGTAAGCACATTAACTCCTTCTTCATATCTAAGAAGTATTCCAAACTTAAGAGAATATTCAACTTTAGAAAATGGTAAAATTCAAAACAAAACCAGACTTTTTTTCCCTATTGAAATGGATTTTTTTTTCACTTTTCTGTGAAAGGACATTAGCAATATCATACCTTTCTATAAAGGAAATAAAGTTTTAAATGACGCAATATTAAGAGCTCATTTTTTCATACTCATGAATTACTTTTAGCCTAAGGATCCATTTGGAAATTATATTCACATATCAAAGATAAACTGTCTTCCCTGGTGTTCATATTTAAGGTAACTGAACAAAGTTGCTTGATGAGACCAGCACAAAATGAATTTTACTCTTTTCTGATTCAAAGGTAAATTTCTTGTAAGATGATAGACATTACTGAAATCATCACCGTTAAAAAATATAAATCACACTCCATGAGAAGAATGACATATTACTTGTGGACGAACACTTACCAGTGTATTGTTAGATATCTGGTTTCGGAAATATCCATAGTTAGACATTAATGTAAGAAATGTCACTACCTTATAAAGACACAATATCAAACAAAGTTAAGTTTATTGGATACCAGAATGCAGCACACAGAAGTCTGTGTTTTAAATTCCCAGAAAATATTGATTTGCTAATGTAACATCATTAAAACTGTGTACCCAGCTTCTGGCTTTATATATTCCCGAGGAAGCCACTCCCAATTTCCCCATGAAATATGCAAAAATACAGTAAAGAATGATCAACAACTACCCTTGAAAGACCAAGGTTAATAGGCAACGGATTTCCAGAAAGACTCAAGGATTTTATAATTACTGAGACAATCTTAGAGCAAAATTGAGATTCTTAATATCTCTTTAGTCTATACTTAATTATTTTATACAAAAGTCCTGTTTTTCTTATTCTCTCTCCCTTACTTAACTTCTAGAAGATAAGATTACACACAAACACACAAACAAATACATATCAACCATATCATATTGTCAAATATAGGCATCTGATATTGCATTCATTCCTGCTGAGTATGATTCATTTGAGGAGGTGCCTTCATCATCTTTTTTATTTTTCTCTTCTTCTGTCTCCCCACCTCCGTCTAAGAGCCATCAGATCAGAGTCTCTAAGAGCACAATCTGAGAATGTGTATTTTAAAAACATTTCTCCTATAATACCTAATGCTTAACTGTATTTTTTATAAACTTAGATTTTTTTTTAAAAGGAACAAAAACCTACAAGGAGGAAGCCAGCTTCAGTGCAAATTCAGTAGGGCAAAATGAAGAAACATTAAGCTAAGGAGCAAAGAGAACTAAGTGAAGTGAAGTATTAGAAAGAATAAAAATTGTGCAGTAACAGAACTAAATTCCATATTGGTGATAGTCGGGGCAGAATTGACACCACAGAAAATCAAATTAATGTCTTAAAGAACTGATTAAAGAAGCTTTCCCAGTATGCAGGAAAATAAAGGTCAAATTATCAAAAGAATGAGAGAAAACATGGCAAGCATGGTGGGCAGAGAGTGGAGATTTTTTTTTTTTTTGGTAAAGCTACTATTTGATAACATAATAGGGTATCTGTAGCCAATAATAACTTTATTATACATTTTAAAATAAAGAATATAATTAGATTGTTTGTAACTTGAAGCGTAAATGCTTGAGGGGATGGATACCCCATTCTCCATGATGTGCTTATTTCACACTGCATGCCTGTATCACAGTATCTCATGTTCTCTGTAAATATATAATCCTACTATGCACCCACATAAACTTTAAAAAAAAAAGATAAATCTAAAAAAAGAAAATAGAAAAAAAAGTGAGTGGCGGTCTAACATAACAGTGAGTACATCATCCAGAAGAAGAAATAAGAATAGCTGAAACAGAAGCAATAAGCAGATACATAAACTAAAGACATCTTTCCAGAGATGACATATCCTTTCATGGAGATTGAAAGGACTGACCACATTCCAATCAACATGAAAAGACACACGTCCACAGGTGTGTAGGCTTATTAGAAACGTAACTAAATTTAAAAATAAAAATGTACAAACATTCATGTAGCAGGGAGGCTTGGTTAACTAAAAAGGAACAAAACCTAGCTCTTCGTATATATTCAATATAGGGTTAAAACTCAGAAAAGGATAGAATAATGATTGCTGATTATGGAAGATATGATCACAGAATTGTATACTCAGACTTCTGCGTGAAGCACAGAAAGACTCTCCATTTGAAGTGCAAAAACTGATCTTAATCCATAAAGTATTCACCCAAATCAGGAAATATACTAAAAGACAAATATAGTAAACAAAAAAAGATGTAAGCATACAAGTCACATATGAAAATCCACATTATAAATCATCATAAATATTACTAGTAGTAAAATAAATGTAAATAAAAAACCAAGATACTATTTTTACTATCAAATGTACACTAGTTAAAACAAATAGAGTAATGATATTTTGATAAAGTTACGAATTGTTGTGGAAATGTGAATTGGTTTGACTTTTCTGAAAATTATTTTTAGTGTTTGAGCTGTTAATTTCCTTCTAGAAACCCACCTTAAAATCAAAGGTGCAGAATGCCAATATTTGCACGTTTGTCCCTTCAAACCTCATGCTGAAATTCGATCCCCGTGTTGGAGCTGGGGCCTAGTTGGAGGTGTTTGGGTCATAAAGGTAGATCCCTCATGAATGGCTTGGTGCTCTCCTAACAGTAATAAATGAGATCTTGCTCTATTAGTTCCCACAAAAGTTGGCTATTAAAAAAAGCCTGCCACTTTGACCTTCTCTCTTGCCGTGTTATCTTTGCACAGTCTGGCTTCCCTTTGCTTTCTGTCTTGAGTGGAGGCAACCTGAGGATCTCACCAGATGCCCAGTCTTCCAGCCAGCAGGGTCATTAGCTAAATAAGCCTCTTTTTTAAAAATATAAGTTATGCAGCCTCACGTATTTCTTTTAAGCAACACAAAACTGACTAAGACACAGATCACACTCAGTTGTAGCATGAGTTGTAAATGGTAAAAATTTGAGCAACATAAAGTAGCCAAAAATAATCCTGCTCGACAAAGTCTCTGCAGTGTAGTAGCTTGAAAATTATGGCAAAGCCATCAACTGCTGCCACTTAAATAGCATTTTTTGAAAGCATATTCAATCTTAGGGAAAAATGGTCATAGTAAAAGTCATACTAAAATTCTGTAGGTAGGGAAGTGGGGTCATTTTTTTCTTCAATAATCATATCTGTGTTTTCCACCTCTCTAGAATGAACATTGGTCACTATGTAATGTAAAAATGACAATATCATAATAAAAAAGATAATAAATGTGATCTATAAAAAGTTACCTAGCTGATTATTCAGAAACCAAACCTGTCACATAGCATGTACTGGTTAATGGATTGTCAGAGCATGAACAGTGATGGAACCCTGTTGATCAAATGCTGAGGCAAATCAGCCTCTTTAATTAGGTACTGATTGTGACAATTGAGTTCATCCTAATAAAATAGCATAACATACAATATATATTTATTACTTATTTTACATAATAAAGATGTATAAATATATAAGTACATATAAATATATGAAAATTATTTACACAATGCTATGTTTCTTGAGCACATATTATTTAGGAAATGTAATTGTGATGTTTGCTAATAACCATCACAGAAACTATGAAATTCATATAATTCTTTATGCTGAATCTAAGTAATAAAAGTGTATATGTCATCTTCGAAATTATGAAATTGGGGGGCCCTCCTACTCTATTTAGTAAGCTGTTAGGTTCTAAAGGATGTCTAAGATAATGAATAACATTACTTATAAAGGTTTGAAACTTTTCAAATGGTCTCCATATAGAGACAGACTTTTGGGCTGGAAGAGAGCATAAAGAAATACTCAGTATGATGAAGTGATATGCCAAGGTCAAATGATGAACACTATGCATTCTAAAAATTAAAGGACTTGTGTTTGCCTTAATAAAATATTGCCAATAATCCTCGAGTATTAAAAAACAGACTACCCTCCTATTTTACTGTTCTAATGTTTCACTGTGCAAATAATTTCTAATTGTAAACAAAGTTGTCACACTATCTTGCACATTAAATAAACCATTAATTAGAATACTGTGAGGGACAAAATGCTCTGGTCACTTAAGTATTTAATTCAGACTCTCAGTCTTTTTTGTTTGATGATGTACTTTTTAATTTATGCCTTGAAGTCACCAAGATAAAACAGAAGAGGAGACAGTGGTGACATTTGCTTATGAGTGAGCATAGGCTGTGAGGTCTTGAGTAGAGTTAAGAGGGACCATATGTATTCCTTCCCCACCTTGGGAACTCTGATTAGCCAGAAAGCAGCATTTGTAGATTAGAAATGAAGAAAATGACAATTGTCATTCATTTGGACACAGTCTGATCTCTAAATAAATCCCTTAATGCTGTGTGGGAGTTTCCTGGTGATTAGTTCTGTTTCATACTCCTCTTGCTGCGGGCAACTGAGTCCTCCAAATTTTAATAGAGTTTTGCCAGCATAATTGCACGGTACACTGACACAAGTTAGTTTTTCTTTTTTACACATTTTCCTTCACTTGAACTTTCTGGCCATTTTCCACATGCATTTGACAGAAGAATTACAAATATAGAGTGTTATTATATCTTAGATGGAGGAAATGGTCCATGGACCCATGTCTGAAACGTTCAGTCTTGGCAATCAAGGCTCTCACCTCAGCATTTGCTGGGACACAGGAAACCAGCTAATGGCTGATAACGTCCAGGAAATTAGTAACTTGTGCATATGGTAAATGCTCCAATCCCAGCCAAATGATTTGTTTAACTGATGGCTGGAGTTCTCATAGGGACTGTTAGCACAGTGGAATAGTTGGGTTTTATTAACTGGACTATGTGCTAATCCTTGTTGTTCCCTAGTTGAAGAATGTAACCATAATGCAAAATACAATGGGAAATTGTATATCCAGAAAGTAAAGATGTTAAAGGCACCAACATTCTATACTCCAAAAGAACTGATTTTTTTTGCGTCAACATTATTAGTATCACAATTTTCTTACAACTATTATCTTAGTTCAGAATTCTATAAAATGAATTATGCATACCTTTTTGTTATGGTAAAGACATTAAATACAATGTCACTTTGCTTAACATCTTATTCCTATCTGTTAATTTTGTTAGGGACAGTGATGATTATAACCTATTGCTTGCATTCATTGATTTTCTACAGAGTATCCAGATATCAGGACAGCCTTGTGCTTTCACATGTTGTCTCCCTCAGGCCCAAGGTCAAGTGGCAGTTCCTTGGGAAAATCTTACTGACACCCAATTCTAGGTCACGTTCCCCTTTTTATCTGTTCTCATAGAACCTTCTTCATTATCATAGGGTTTATGTGACAATTTGTAATTTAAATTTTGTACGGGAGACTATTGGATTACTGTTGCTTTTCCAGACTAGAGTATAAAATATAAATGCAAAGATCATAACTGTTACCACTCCCACTGTATATCTTCTGAACCAACCACAGTGCCTATCCAGCAAGTAGCAAGTAATAATACTTGTTGAATGAAATAACTCCATGTGGTAGTCGTTAATGTCCCAGTTTTACAAATGAAATAATTAAAGCTCAAAGAGCCTAATTTATTAAAATCATACAGCCAACTGGATGTCAATATCCTATCTCATGTCTAACTCCAAAACCATTAATGTATTAGAGCTCTTTCTTTTTAATTGAGTAGGACAAAGAAAGAAAGTACTGCAAAATTCATATTTCCTTTTATAACAAGGTTGAAACCTTATCTGTGCAATCTTTTAGAACACTGGTTCTCAACTAGAGGCATTTTGCCCACCATAGAGGACATTTGGCAATGTTTGGAGACATTTGTGGTTCTCTTGACTGAGAGGAAAATTAATATTGGCATCCACTGACACTATATGATGCATGCCAGAGCCCCTCCACACTTCATTGGTCAGTTCAGCTACCTCCCTCTTTTGTTTCCTTTCTTTCTAGCTTCCTTTATTGATTCATTCAGCATAAAGCATATGCATAGACTGCTTAGTGTATAGAAAACCAATAACAAGTAAGATACAATTCCAGACCTGAGGAAACTTATGGTTTATAGGAAAGTGCAGATAAGTAAGTAGGTAATTATTACCCATGGTAAAGAGCTACCTAGAGGTGTACATTCAACTGGCCACTATGTTAATACTGAAGCTAACACCTGAACCACTGCTTTAGAGCCCTGGTTCTCAACTACAATATCTATAAACATTTGTAGTGGTCACAATTAGGGCACAAGTTGCTTTAGAGCCCTGGTTCTCAACTGCAACATCTATAAACATTTATGGTGGTCACAACTAGGGCACAAGTTGCTACTGGCATCTGTTCGGTGGGTAGAAGCCAGGATGCTGCTAATCATACTGCAATGCATTAAATAGTGTCTCATTTTTGCTACAATAAAGAATTATTCGGTCTAAAATATCAATAATGTCAAGGTTGAGAAACGCTATTTTGGAATAATAAAACCAGATCATTGTGGTTTTGCCATTGCATTTTAAAAAATCAATCTTAATTTTCTTGCTCTCCATAATTATTTTTTACATATTGTAACTAGCAATATAATTGTGAGTGTATAATATTTCATCTTATAAGTGACAAGAAACTATATGATTACTTATTGGAAACACCATTTTTAATATCTTTAATGACATGTCATACTAACATTTGTAGTTTATTGTACCTCCTTTCTTTTAAACTTCTATCATAGTCCAACCTTAAGCCTTTGTGACACTTCTATTTTTTAAGTTTAGTCCTTGGATGCTATTCCTTTTGGAGGCAGAATCCAGGCCTGGTGCCTCATCATCCTTCCTATAGAGTTCTGCACATGGTGGGCTCTCGGATTTTTATTGAATGTCTCAAAGCAAGTTAATTCTCCTTCAGAGGCTAGGCAACTAAATGTCGTGGGAAAGAAGAATCCAACTGACTAAAATAGATATCATGCTACAGTACCTGCAAATGAGCTCAGATATTAAATTTTTGATCACTAAAAATTCCTTCAATTAGAGTTGGAAACCATATATGATTATGCTTCTGGATAATTTGCAATGGATGTTCAATTTTTCTTTCAGGAAACAGCTCTGTTCCTTTAGTTTTTAATATCTATCACTCAGTAGATCTTAGCAGTTAGTGATCATTAGTTTTCCTCCAGGGATAGACTACTAGAAGAGTGGAAATTTGGTTGGCATTTGTCTACCAGCATATCTTTTTAATGGGGTTAGAGCATGATAGCAATTAAACCTTAGGTGCTTTGAGATATCTTTTGGCATATTGGATATGTTGACATCCTCCTCCAAAATAAAGCAAAAATAAATCTTATAATGACTTTCTTTTCTTTATTCATACACTACAACTTTCTCATAGCTTGTTTTGTAACTTGCATTGAATATTATGGTTCCATTCCTTCTTTGTATATTTCAAGCATAATATTTATATTCTCCTTATATTTTTGTAAATTGTTTATCCTCCTTTGCTTTTCCTCCTTTGAAATACAATCTGAAAACAAGTTATGGATTAAAGGAAGCCACTGTGCAGACTAAAAATTCTTAAACTGAAGAAAAAATGAAACATTTTACGATTGTTTAGGTATTATAGGCATTGACTGGCTAGTAAAAAGGTCAATGCACCAGCAGAAGGTTGTATACGCTGTTAACAAAGGCAATTCCTCATGAAATGTTGTACATTTCAATATATAGAATCATATTGAATAATACTATGGAAATTCCTTTGAGTTTTCCAGAATTTTAAATGAAGTAAATTTATACGCTTTCTATGTTGCTCTTAATATCGATGATCCCAGATTATTGTGTAGATTAGGGAACCACCTACATACTTTCTGTACTTCATGGTAGATCCTGGTAGAAAAAGAAATGAGGTTGAGAGTGAATGCAGATAGCAAGGGTTATCCAAAAGAATATAGAAAAAGTAGAAATGGAAGATAATGTAATATTATTTCATAAGTTGATGAACTTGTGAGGATAAAAATGAATTTCAGTTATGCTTGACTTTGGCAGTTCAGATTCTACAAGGCGGGGAACAGTACAGCTTTGGGACCCTTTTTTAATATTCTCCCTAAGTTGACTTTAGTGGGTGGATTTAGTATACCATGTCAAGAATGCTAGTACTGATGATTTGTGTCCTTTTGTACTAATGTTGCTAACATGTTCATTGCACTTCCAAGAAGATCGTCACAACTATTTAGAACCTGGTCAGATATAGCAGTTTGACCTTAGTATGTGGTTTTCTTGCATTTTCCCCTCTTTCTGGCTTTGTTAAGACATGAAACAAGGTAGTTTTTTTTTTTTTTTCTAACTCCTTGGAAGTGTATATATATCTTATGAGTTATACCATCCTAGCTTTGGTGAAACTCACAGTTTACAGTTTGACCTTTCTTAGTAAGTAGGAGTTTTGCTGAATCATACTCCAGTACTGTGAGGTTGCAGATTGTCTATTCCTTAAGTCTTTAGGTTGCTTAATGATAAATTAAATAGGGGATGGCTGTCTTTTCTCACTCCTAGATTTTATTCACCACACACTCAGTGGTGTAATAACAATCCCTTCGCATTGTCATATGATTGATGTTTAAAGACCCTATTATTTGGAACCTGATTCCCATCAAGGTTTATGCAAATATTTATGGATCACTACTTGGCTTACAGGATGCTAGACATTCTGACATGGTCACTTGTATACCAAAAGATTTTACTGACAAACATTTCAAGTGTGTTTGACTTATTTTGAACATCAACATAAAATTTACTGGATCCCAGAGGATTTCAATAACAAATAGAATTTGGAATCAGAGCTGGAGTTGGACACATTTTGCTCATGTCATTAGAATCTTCCTCAGACTTCTCAGACTCTCTTTGTATAAAGCATCCATGAGAAGCTGTCATGTCTAATTTCTTATAATAAGTAGGGTCAATTTCATGAGCAGAACATATGACTGTATTTTATATATGCAATATAAAATCACAACCAGACATAAGTGGACATGGGAAAAAAAACAGCAACCAGATTAAACATTCACAGCTGTTTCTGAGTTTTTCTGTATTGTTCCTTTACTATTTGTTTATTCATTCTTTTATCTTCTAGTGCTCACTTGCAGACAAATGTTGCCCATGCCAATGTTTCAGAAAATACATGAGATAAAACATAGAAAAAATTCTATCCATCAATGTGCTATTTTTTTCTTTGAATTGAAAATTTTTCCATTGTATTAATTTAGAGTGAAATTTTTCTCATGTAAAGCATTCTATAATATGCAATACAAACAACAGGCAAACTATGCCAGATAAATTAATAAATAAAATAATCTGACAGAGAAAAAAGTACTGTTTGCTTCACAGTTTCACTAAACCTAAATATTCTATTAAAGTCAGTGTATGGAGTATGCTGGAAAATGGCAAACATTCTGTGTGGGTTTCAGAATTGCTGTATTGGGTACATTTTAAATATTTGGTTATCATGTCAAGTTATTACACATTTTAGATATTTATGATTATTGAGATTTCAATAATAAGCTATTAAATATTTTATTTAAAGTTCCATTCTATTTTTTGTTGCCTTAGTCCCATTGGGCTGTTATAGTAAAATGCCATAGACTAGGTAGCTTATAAACAACAGAAATTTATTTCTCAGAGTTTTGGAGGCTGGGAAGTCCAAGATCAAGGTGCTGACAGATTCAGTGTCTGTTGAGGGCCTGGTTCCTGTCTCAAATGGAGCCTTCCAGCTGTGTCCTCACACTGTGGAAGGGGCAAACAAGTTCTGTGCCTATTTTATAAGGATATTATTCCCATATATGAGGGTTCTGCCTTTATGATCTAATGATTCCCAAAAGGCCCCACCACCCAATATCATCATTTTTGGAGTTACTATTTCAAAATAAGCATTTTGGGGGGATGCAACATTCAGACCATAGCAGCTGTACAATTGGCAAAAGGATTGCCTGTTTTTAAATCTCTGAATTTGATTTTTTTTCCCAAATACCTTTACTAGAAAGAAAATTTAAACATTTTACATTTTTACTTTACATGGAGAAAATTCATGTCTTGCTCTGTTGTAAGTTTCATATTATTCTCTGTTTAAAGTTCCCAATCAGAACATATTACAACAAAATCTAACCAATTAATTAATTGTTTTCACTATCTTGATCATAAATTTTGTATATTCCTTTACAATATTAATTCTTTGCTGCTAGTCTTAAGAAAAAAATAAGCTTTGTGGAAAAAGATAGGTATATGCATATTTTGTGTATATTTTGCCTTTACTATAGAATTTATGAAACATACACAAAAGCAGAGAAAATAGTGTAATTTACATGGTACGAGAAATCTCAACATGCCCATCATCCAGCTTCAACATTTATTCTACTATGAATCTTATTTCATCCAACTATTTTACCACTTTCTCACTCTTCAAGAATACATTATATTATTTTATAATATTTATAGATAAAATAATATGTCTGTCTATATCCCAGACATCATATTATTTCACCTATATATATTTTACCATTTGCCTCTACCAGCCAAGAATTGGTATGTATTCATCATCCAGATTGAGGTATTTTTTTAAAGCAGCATTAACTTTTGTGGAAGTATCGTAATAAGACGGAATATTCTGAGTTAAAATCAAACAAATCTTTCCAATTAAATAATTGAGAATTAGCTAGAAAAATGACTTAAAACTTAGTGTAATAAAGCTAGTAGAATATTAAAGATAAGGCATAACACATTTCTTCTTACATTCTTAGTTTCATTGTGATATAAGGATTAGTTATATGCTGCTTAAAGTCAAGATTATACAATTACACAGAAAATGTTCCAAGCTAATCCCTTGGGGTTGATTTTGGCTGATAGTCTATTATTTAGATGACCAAAGATGACAGAATATACTTCTTAATTTACATGAATTACTCATCTAAGTTTTATACATAGTTTAACACATGCTGCATGCATGTATTAAACTGCATGAACGAGCTGAGATGAGAGAAGAATATAGTCAAGGTAAAAATGAGGAGCTAGATACATTCACCAAAACTGCTTAGGGAAAGTATAGCTTAATTTACCCTTTAACTAGAATAGCTGAGAGGGCAAGAGATCCAAATAGTCCCTGAGTGAATGCAGAAACTGAATGTGCTTAATGGCATATTTTTGTGTGTAAATACGTCTCTCTTCTGTGCTCCTTGTTTGCATTAGGGAGAATAGTAGGGGGAGGCAGAAGTCTTCTCTTATGTTAATAGAAAGTGTGGTTTATGTATTCCTTATAAATTTCATTCATATTCTTTATGGGCAGCATTCACTGCAGAATGTTGGATGAGTGGAGTGCTTACTTCTCACTATCTGAATGTTGTAGAACTAGTTATTTTTATTTCCAAACTGTTGTGGACTGATGCTTTTATAAAATATAATAAAAATAAATTACCAGAAAAATAAAATAAAGGAAAACAAAGATATAGACATAAAACTCATCTATCAAATGAATATAAAAGTTTCTAAATGCTTACTCTGCATTTCTGTCCCTGTTTCTTCTGAGACAGGTTAACGAACACTTTAAGTGAAGATGACACTTAATGTAGTACTGGTCCAGACTGTTGATCCATATGTAGAGGTGACAACTGCAGTATTGGACTGGCAGTATGGCACTGTCAATGACCAGGAAGCACAGACCTCAATGAAAGAACTGATGAAAGGGTCCTGGGTGCCCTCTTATCTATCCTAGGTTTTAACTGGATTGTACAGTGATTCTGGGCATCCTAAGGGAGGAGTCAGGTGAATGAGGCAGTCCAGAAGACACTTGGTAGGGGGAGGGTTCAGTCAGCAGCTGTTTTCCAACAGGTATGGGTGGAAGTATTTCACTATGTAAACAACCAGCATAACCATACACAAATAATACTAGTGCCTATCAGTGGAGAATCTGTACTGCTGTCATCTCTACATTTATAGATACTGGAGAACAGGGAGCCTCTTGTTGCCTCTGTGCCTGGCAAAAGGCCTGATACATGGTAGATGCTGAGTAAATATTTGTTGAGTTGATGGGTGACTGATTGAAAGAGGTTTGTAGAAGGAATTCTTCCCTTTTAAAATTTGTATTAAACTGTGATAATTCAGACACTCAAATAAGGTGTGTATATGTCAGTGTCAGGATGTGCAGAGCTTCCTTTCTAATCAGATGCAAGGGGATTCGTGCACAAAAAGGGAAACAGATTATTATTGAACCCATGTCCAAGTCAAAGAATTATTAATATACATTTGCTTTGAGGTGCACGTAGAGCTTTTCTGTTCATTTGACCTAATCCTATTTGCATGTATGCTGCTAAAACATTTCAGCCTTTTCTCATAAGTAGAAACATTAATTTTAAAAATCAATTTTACTTTGAATTAAAGCCTATTCTAAAATAAGTTCCCTTTAAATCTTTATTCTAAATATTTTAGATGACTTATTTTTTATTTGAGGACAAATATCCAGGGAGATATGGGGTATTAACTGATGAAAGATGATACAAGATAAATGTGGACCCTGTCGTGAATACAGGTACACTCTAGAATGAATATGACAGATTAATGTACAAACATCAGCTAGAAACAGTAGCAAACTAATGTAAGGCTAAATACCTACAAGAAATAAATTTTATGCAGTAGTCACCATAATTTGTCATGTTCTTTCTCAAGTCCAGGCCTATGGATAAGACTGACTCTCACCACCCTCTGTTACCCACCTTGATGAAGTAACACAAAGTCATTTTTCAGATGTCTGTGTAGATGCCACTTCTTGCAGGACCATTTTGAGGGACAGTGCCTCCACCCATATTCACTTATCGCCCCTTCTTTGAGCCTTCCTTGATCCTTTCTAGCTTCTTGTAATTAGCCTGTCAAAGGCCTTAAAGCATTTTTGCATTGACTCTTTCCTTCTGATCTCTCCCACACTGTTAGCCTCATAACTGCTATGCAGGAACTGAAATAATAGATACCAACAGAAAGATACATAGTAGATTGTGGATCTGTTAATGAGCCTTCAAAAAACTGAATGGTCTTATTTAATTCCTAGAAAACACTCGCTGGTCTCATTCTTGCTGACCCCAGCTGTGAATAGAGCATGACACCATATTTTTGAAGGAGAAGTACTTCTGTAAGAGAGTCATGCATTCTGGTATAATTTTACACATATATTTTTAAAATGACACAAGCATTAATGTATCTACACACATATTTTCTACCACAGATCCCTGACCTTTCTGCCTTTCCTTAAGGGAAAAAAAAAATCATCCTTCTTCTTATACAGTTAATGGGATTTGTCAAGTCTTTGGTGCAGACATGTCTTATTTCCTGAGTAATGAGATACTTCCATTTGTGGTAGGGCATCTTGTTCTGCCCCAAATGAGATATGCCAAGCCAAACATGAATTAGAATGCTGAACATTATGTCTTGTGTGTTTGTCAGGTGTGTGATCTATTTCTGAAAACCCAAATGCAGTTCAATGACATATTTTACTATTTGTGAACTTTACCTTCTGTTAATATGATTGAAGCAACTGGAAATGGAAATTGTCAGGGCAATTTAACAAAGAAGCCCTGTAAAACTTATTAAAGTCCAGGTAGTAAAAATCCGTTTAGAAGGCATATTCTTCAAACCTGAGTTTTATTTGGTAAAACACGTTGGTGCCTGACCTTTCCAGAAACATACCAAAAAGGAGTCATTTAGAGGTCCCTGTTGTAAATTGTAAACAGCAGCCTGATCAAATTCGGCTGTATTCTGCTCACAGTATATGACAGAATGTATGAGTACACCAAACAGACAGCTAAATGACTGGGTATTTGGATGAGTTTGATGTGTATTTTATGTAATTGCATACTGTACAAAGCAATAAAAAGTCAATCTTGTATGCCAGAAAAAAATGCAGGTATTGAGTGAGTCAAAGAATCTTCATAAGTTCGTAATTCAAGTTAATCTTTCAATGGATAAAGCCAGAGGGCAGGAGCTCCGTATTCATAGACAATTTTAAAAATTCTGTAGTCAAGGTTTCAGGGTAGAAGACCAGAATTGTTGCACATTTTGTATATTAAAACATATTTTTAGGAAATACATTTCCAATGTTAAAAAAAAACTAAAAGTTTTTAGAGTGTGAAATACAAAGTTAAACTTCATTCCTCATCCATCTCCAGAGGTGATCAATGTTATCAGGTCTCATATGTGGATCCAGACACTTTCTGTATTTATCCAAACACAAATGTATCCTCCCCAATGTACATATATTAATGGTAGTACAGTATAACGGTTATGAATGCAAGGCCTACAGTCTAATTCCTGGGTCTCACCCACCGGCTGTGTGATCTTAAGTATGTTACTGAACCTCCCAACTCCTCAATTTTTTTGTTTGTAATGAAGAAAATTATAATATCTATGTCATAGGGTTGCTGTGAGAATCTAGCTTAGAAGAGCACCGACTTTACTGAAGAAGTATTCGACCAAAGTTAACTATTGATTGTTATTATGAATAACAACATAATATTCATTTAAATCAAGAGAATAAGCATATATATGTAAATAGTGATTGCACATATATATATTTTCATATTTATACAAATGTATACCTGTAGATACTGGTCTGCAACTTGCCTTTTGACATATATCTTGGACATGTTGTCATGCTACTATATATAAAGGTTTATTTGTAATCACTATACAGAATCTTAGTTTATAGATATGTCATAATTTAATTATGAGCCCTGTATTAATGAATATCAATTTTTCCCAATCCTCTGCTTCATGTGAAATGTTTTAGTAGCATCTTTGTTTGTACATGACTGTGCTTTTATAAAACTGTATGTGTAGGATAAATGCATAGAGGTGGGTCTAAGGGAATATGCCTTTACATTATTGGTGGTTAATGACAAACATTCTACAAAATTTGTGCTAAGTTTTTCTTCTACCACCAAGATGAAAAAGTAGCCATGTAAGGGAGATGTTTTGAGAACTGCTCCTTTAAGGCCCTTTTTAGAATAAATGGTTATGAATGAAGCACCAAGATAGAAGAGGCCACTATGGAGTTTATGAAATCAGGCTTAATTAGTAACACATGATTGCTTTTGCCTTTTTGGCCAGTAGTCACACATCATAAACCAAAGCTTCAGTGGAGAATTATATTCCAAACATACAACTTCATTAAAGTCGGAAAGAAATATTACAAATGACAATTTTCACAACCTTAATATGCTATTTTAAAATTGCATAGGTATCATATTAGTCTTATAATTATTGTAATTAATTTTTAAGGACATGAAATAAGGAATTTGGATCAAGCTTAGCTTATTTCATGTTCTTCTCTATCTGCCTTGCCTTATTAGCACCAGGGCTGCATTCGTGTGTGTATGACAGAGCTCCATGCTCAGTAGGGTCCCACACATGAACAATGCTTCATTGTTTTCATCTTGAAATACTTAATAATTTTTTTAATGTAATAATACTGCAATGAACATGAGAGTGCATCTTTAACATACTGATTTCATTTCCTTTGGATATATACCCAGTGGTGAGATTGCCGGATCATATGTTAGTTCTGTTTTTAATTTTTTGAGGAATCTCCATACTATTTTCCATAATGGCTGTCCTAATTGACATTCTCCCTAACCATGTGCAGGTGTTCTTTTTTCTGCACATCCTCTCCAACACTTGTTATCGCTCATCTTTTTGATGACATGATCATCACATGAATGCTTTTTGATGGACCCTCATGTTCATTTTGCAATGGGTCACACAATTTTCCTATAGCCAGTCCTGATGAGCAATAATTACATTTCCTACTAATTAGCCTGGCTCAGTTGAAACACAGAATATTTGTTTGTCTTTTGAGAAATGCCTTGTGGTTGTGCTCATACTTTATGATAAAATAGCATTATTTAAAATATATGGAATATCAGCAAAGGAGTGTCACTCAATCCAAAATATATAAGAAGCTCAAACAACTCAATAGTAAGAAAATAAATAATCAATTGAAAAATGGGAAAAGGACCTGAATAGGCATTTCTCAAAAGAAGACACATAAATGGCCAACAGGTATATTAAAAAAATGCTCAACATCACTAATCACCAGAGAAGTGAAAATTAAAATCATAATGTGATATCACCTCATACCTGTCAGAATGGCTATTCTGCAAGTTTTGGAGAGAATGTGAAGAAAAAAGAACCCTGTACACTACTGGTAGAAAAGTAAATTAGTACAATCTTTATGGAAAACATTATAAAGATTTTTTGAAAAATTAAAAATTGAACTACCATGTGATCCAGCAATCCCGCTGCTGAGTATATATCTAAAGGAAATAAAATCAGTATGTGAAAGAGATAACTGCTCATGTTCGTTGCAGCATTATTCCCAATAGCCAAGATACAGAATCAACCTAAATGTTCATCAATGGATGAATGGATAAAGAAAATGCAGTGTATATACACAGTGGAATACTATTCAGCCTTAAAAAAGAAAGGAATCTTGTAATTTGCAACATGGATGAACCTGGAGGACAATACATTAAGTGAAATAAGCCAGGCACAGAAAAACAAATACTGCATGATCTCACTTATATGTGGAATCAGAAAAAGCATAAGAGCAGAGAGTAGAATGATGGTCGCAAAAGGCTGAAGGAGGGTGGACAGGAATTAGAAAGGCGGTGGTCAAAGAACGCAAAATTTTATTGACAAGAGAAATAAGTTCTAGTTATCTATTGTACAACATGATGATTATTGTTAATAACAATTTATTATATACTTGAAAATTGCTGGAAGAGTAGATTTGAAATGTTCTCACCACAAAATGATAAATATGTGAGGCAATGCATATATTAATTAGCTTTGTTTAGCCATTCCACAATGTATACATATTATGAAACAAAAATAAAATAAAAATTTATTAAGTTGATACAATAAATCAATGGGAGAAGGATGGACTATTTAGCACGGGAACAACTGGTTGAAAACTGTAGAAAAATTAAATTAAATTTGCTAATAGCCTTATCTCATATATCAGTATAAATTCTAGCTTGTTAAAGAGATAAATATAAAATAAATATGTGAGATCTCTGGAAACTATGTTTTCAAAGTGTGTCAGTCAAATAATACAGAGCTGTGAGAAAATAATTGTGGATGAGACTTGATATAGATCTATTTTAAAGGGATCCTATTCTGTGAAAAATCAAAATGACTTGCATTTACGTAACTGTTTACTCTATAAGGGAGTAGTAGAATATCACTATACATAAATGAGTTTATTTTCCCACTCAAAGTGTTAGGCCAAATGAGAAGTTGCTCATTTTCTACTGATGATGTATGCTTTAGAGATCTAATTATCCAATTATTCCAATTTGAAAAACAAAACTGAAGCTCAGGGAAATGTAATGATTTGTGTTCAGTGACAGCACATTAATAGCAGATCTTGAACTTGAACTGAGTCAGCTTCGCCACCTTCTCTTTCTTCACCAGGCCAGATTTTCCTGCCACATTTTGATAACTGGTTCCAGTTGGAAGCAATTACCACCATAATATTCCATGACTGGATTCTCCTTCCTGCTATACAAATCAAAAGCAATTAAAGATCTTTCAAACAACTGTGGAAGATGAGAGCTGCTCATGTCTTAGAATTAGAATACTTGGGTTCAGGTCTCCTGTCTGTGATCATGAATCTTAAGACTACCTCTGAACTTAACTTTCCTCATATTAATAGGATGTTAATAAAATCTATACCATAGGCATTTTTTCCAAAAAATTTAATGAGATTATCTATATGAAGGACTTGGACTACAGTTAGCACACACACACACACACACACACACATAAAATGATTGTTTAAAACGATCAAACCAGAAAAATGATGCTTCACATAAACAATTTTTTCATATATCATAAATAAAATACAATAAAAAGATGTATTTTAAATCAGATTTTGTTGTTTTAATTAATTACAGCGCTTTGGGGTGCTGAGGTAAAAAGACTACTTGAGTCCAAAAATTTGAGATCAGCCTGGGCAACATAGCTGTGGTAAACTTTAGCAACGAATATAGAGTTCCATAATTTTGAATTCCATTTCCTAAGTGACCCAGAGATATTCAGCAGAAGATGGCAAGCTCATAACTAAATTCAATTTTTATTTTCTTGTATCACTCATGTAAATAAAACATCTCTCTTATGTCTTTACTTTTGGTTTGTTTTAATGTTAAGAGACATAACATGATGAGAGGAAATAAAAATTTTCAAAATGAGGAATAGAAGTTCTTGCTATGTAGACTTTTTAATTTAGGGCTAAGGGAACTGAAGGAATTCAGTTGAGGGAAAGATAGTCTGAGCAATTATAGAAGCCACTCGTTGACGACCATGTTCACATGACAGGGAGACAGCTCAAGGAGGAAATGAGGGGTGGTTACAGGAGAAAAGTACAGAAAATTTGAGCCAGTTCTCCTTTCCTCTAGTTTTCTGTTTTAAGGCTAACTTTATTGAAGTCTAATTTGTGTACAACAAAGGGCGTTTCTTAAAAATTTACAAATTGCCCGGGCGGGGTGGCTCACGCCTGTAATCCCAGCACTTTGGGAGGCTGAGGTGGGCAGATCACGAGGTCAGGACCTCGAGACCATCCTGGCTAACATGGCGAAACCCCGTCTCTACTAAAAATACAAAAACTTAGCTGGGCATGGTGGCGGGTGCCTGTAATCCCAGCTACTCGGGAGGCTGAGGCAGGAGAATCGCTTGAACCGGGGAGGCGGAGGTTGCAATGAGCTGAGATGGTGCCACTGCACTCCAGACTGGGCCACAAGAGCGAAACTCTGTCTCAAAAACAAACAAACAAACAAACAAAAATTACAAATCAATGCATTTGTGTACAACTGTGAGACCACCACCAGTCAATATAGTGGATATTTCTGTCACCCCCAAATGATTCCTTGTGCTTCTTTGTAGCCAATTCCTTCCTCCCTGATGTGCTGTAGCTACAGATTAGGCCTTGAACCTTGGAGCCCAATAACACCTCTTCGCATGTCCCTCAATAAATTTACCTGCTATTATTCCCTAGGGATTTTGTTTTTATTCAGTATATTCTTTACATTCCTGGGAAAATAAATAGAATATGTTTCATCAATAATCGTCCAGCTTTATTTAATAATTAGAATCAATTATGTAGAGGAATCAATGTTTATGATTTAAAATGTTCAATAGTAAAGCCAAAAAACCTGGTTCCTTATTCAAAATCCAAGCTGGTTGGGAGAAATATATACAGGTGGAAAAGTCCCAGGAAGATCAGTTTCTAAAAATATGAGTCATAGCTCCCTGCAGTATGGTGGGAGTAAAAGTCATTTTTATTTTCACTGCAGTGCATAAAGGGGACATCACTAAATGAATGAAAAGATGGATAGATGGATGAAAGGAGGAAGGGAGAGAAGACCACATCAAAGTCACTTAACTTGTGATAATTCAGAATATTCAGAGACTGGAAGAGAAAGAATGTCTTTGTAAGACTATACTGCCTGTTGGGCAGGAACACAGACTTAACGTTGACGAGCCTCAGGTTTTAATACCAGCTCCAAAACTAAGGTTGCTGAACTTCATTTTTGTGACTTGTAAAATGAGCAAGATGATATTGATATTGCAGACTTGACTTAATGGTTAAATTAAATCATTTGTGTTAAGAAGGTGGTACAAGAAGCCAGACAAAAAAGAACGTACACTATGATTTCATTTATACAGCTAAAAAACTGTCAAAACTAAGCTGGGGTGATGAAAGTTGGAATAGGTCCTACCTTTAAGTGGAGGATTGTTACTAGGAAGGAGCATGAGGAAGGCTTCTGGGTTGTTGATGTTTTACTGTTTTATCTGAGGAGTAGTTCACTCACTTAGTATTAGCTCCAATCTTGAAACTGGGATGCCTAATCTAGTCTTTGCTTTGCCATATAGGAACCTATATACACTTACAGAAATCCCATGATGTTCCAGGCACTGGCAAGGTCCTAGGGATGAAATTAAAGATAAGATTTGGGTTTTGTGTTGTTCATTTATAAGACTATAGTACCTTCATTTATGAAATGACAGGATCTGGTGAACTCTAAA
The DNA here is from genome assembly GCF_000001405.40 of Homo sapiens. NCBI lineage: Eukaryota > Metazoa > Chordata > Mammalia > Primates > Hominidae > Homo > Homo sapiens. Next base: position 29,617,756 of record NC_000003.12, read on the forward strand.
CTCTTCCAGCTCTAAAATTCTATGGAAAAAATCAATGAATATATTCATTTCTTCTTCCTACAAATATTTATTATGATTTAAAAACTGTGCTGTAGGTGTTGATGATGGAGTAAACAAGGCAGAGAATGTCCCTGCGCTTATCGGACTTATATCCAGGGAAGTGAAGTCATGGGAGCGTGTATGTATGTGTGTGTGTATATATATTCACTACTTAAATGATACATGCTACCTTTTTAGATAAAAGAAGTAGGGAGGCTACATCCATATGTTCATGTATGATGCTGTAAAACCACCTCAAAGATATCTCTTAGAAAATACACTGGTTGCTTGTTTGGGTAAAAGAGATAGAAGATGGGGCTATTCATAGACTACCTCAGAACATTTATCCCTATTTCAAGGATATAAATGTATTAGCTATTTAGGAAATTAAATAAAAATCTAAAAATAGCACAGAGTAGGCCGGGTGCAATGGCTCAAGCCTGTAATCCTAGCACTTTGGGAGGCGGAGGCAGGTGGAACCCCTGAGGTCAAGAGTTCAAGACCAGCCTGGCCACAATGGTGAAACCTCATCTCTACTACATCTCTACCAAAATTACAAAAATTAGCCTGGTGTGGTGGTGGGTACCTGTAATCCCAGCTACCCAGGAGGCTGAGGCAGAAGAATCGCTTGAACCCAGGAGGCAGAGGTTAGAGTGAGCCGAGATCGTACCATTGTACTACAGCCTTGGCAACAGAGCAAAAACTCTATCTCAAAAAAAGAAAGAAAAAAAAAATAGCACAGAGCAAAGCCCATTTCTCCTCCTTGTCATTTCTCAATCAGTGTGGTCCTTTGTGGGTGGGGATAGGTAATGGTATAATGATGAGCCTGCCTTGAAGTTCTTGTTCCAAAAAATCAACTTTTTGACAGAAAAAAAAAGGCTTTTTTCCCTTGTGATCCATAATATTAGTAAAAATACTTTGGCTTCCAGGGGCGTCTATGAGGAATGTCTGATAACTCAACAATTCTTTCTAAATGCCGTAATAATTTTGGAAAATACCTACCGTGCAGCCCATAGCAACTTTCTGGAATGCTGCTTTAATTTGCTTCTCTTTTTCCCTATTCCAACAAGAACAATGACAACAACAAAAATTAACTTAGAGAAGCATCTGCTGGAACAAGTGGTGATTATTTCCAAGCCCAAACAAAAGTAGGTAGGGAAAGAATTATTCAGAGAAAACATTTTTCAAGATCTTCTCCAGTGTGTGAGAGAGTATGTGAGAAGGAAAATGCACATGTGGATAAAATGTTTTCATTTGACGTCGAAAATGATAGGGAAGTGAGAGTCTGAAAACGGTTTCACAATGAGAACACATGGACACAGGGAGGGGAAAGGGAACAACACACGCCAGGGCCTGTTGTGGGGTGAGGGGAGAAGGGAGGGAACTTAGATGAAGGGTCAATAGGTGCAGCAAACCACCATGGCATAAGTATACCTATGTGACAAACCTGCATGTTCTGTACATGTATTTTATGTAAAAAAAAAAAAAAATGAATAAAGAAAACAGTTTTAGTTTAAAAAAAGAACAAAAATGCAAACAAAGAAAAACTCCTTTAAAATTTGTGATGTACTTATTAGAATTATGGATAGCTGTAAATTGCAAAAATCACAATGATAGGCATGATAGTGTAAGCTTCTTTATGGTGAGGACCCTGTTGTCAATTTCTTTTGTATCTCTCTTAGCATGGATATAGGCATGTAGTTGGGAGATCTTTTTAAGACACCAGATGGGCAATGTGGCAATAGAGAAAGCAGTACATGGAGAAGCAATATGCTCTCTGCTGAACTTGGAATAATCTCTTATCTCACCAAGCCTCAGTGTATCCATCTATACAATGGGTACAATGCTCTGATTAACCTCTGCCAGTTATAAAATATGACTCACTTGATTCAGTTGAACATTCCAAAATTTCTGTGCTGTGAGATTTGGGAACATGGATTTTTTTGCTGCTGGTCTATATTATTAATAAAGGAAAGTTTTAACTTTTATACCTCCTGTTAAAACCACTATTGGATAGGATCTAGTTTATACACCACTTACATTAAGTTGTCGAGTCTGGCACGTTCTAACAGTGAAGTTTTTTTTTTTACACGTGAGGCTGTTTGTTCTTGTCTTCCTGAGTATTTTCCTGTTGAATGTTTTATGCTCCCAAGGAACTCTGGTATGTTGAATTGTATTTATTGAAAGCTTGTAAACCCTTGATCTTAGAGAATAAAAATCGGGGAGCAGGAGAAAAAGCTTAAAAATGCTTTGAATCCTGAGAAAATATTTCTGTAAGTTAAAATAAGGGTGAATAATGGTGAGGATAGCTTACAGTTCCAGAAAACAAATGGAAAATTTTGGAGATATTAAAGGCAAGAATAAATTTAATAATTTTTTTCTTGGCTAGCATGAACTTTTATATTTTGGATTGGATCCTTTAATGCTTAGATTAACATGCCATCCTTATTTTTATTGACATATTTGTATGTGCCACTTACAATTCTAGGATGTTACAACAAATTTTTTTATACATTCCAGGTTGCATATTCTATGTAATTGGCTACTTTTCAATGACTTGTTTGCACAATTTTTGAGTCTTCACTTTAGCCCCTGATTTCTCTTTCATATATTGAAGTTTAAGCTTATATCTCACTTCTCATTGAAGTCGCCAGTAACTTTAAATCATGACTAAGAGAATCTTAGGGGCTACAATTACGATAAAACTCTTATGACATGGGTCACTGTTCTTTAATTGAGGTGGTCCACTTACTGTGTAAATGTTTTAAAAAATCAATTAGAATAATATTTATATTATCTTTATGTACTTGATTTTCATATTGGCATTTAAAAGTGTGTTTTAACTAAAATTTTATTTTGCACCAATTCCATAAGTTAACTTTGGCATCCTCTAAAGAAATTTCACTTACAGAGAAAAAAAAATGTGTCTAATTAACTTTTTCCTTAGAGTTGTTTGTTTATAAGTCATCCTAGAACTCATTCCCTGGCTATTTTGAAATTTTTTCAGCAATCTAAATTTACTAGTTTAGTCTTTTTAAAAACGTTATCTTTTTAGGGAATTGAATTTTACGGTTTTACTAATAACTGAAATACTGTGATTAACCAATTACTTTATTATTGTTTTTAATTGTGATAAAATATGCATACCAATTATTTTAATATCTGAACATATCTATTAAGACTAAGAAATAGAATATTTCTTGTTTTTAAATGAAGTGCTCTATTCCATGCCCTTAAGTCATACCTAGGAAACCCATAGCTCATAAAGGCTGCTGGAACATGCAGGCCCATGTCAGAATTAAACCAATAGAGGGTCTCTGAAACTTGAATTTTCATCTTGGTGAGTCTTCTGGGGTTATTTATTCATGTGTTCTTGCTCCAAATGTCTGCTTCTTTTTTTTTTTTGCTTTTATTGGGTGAAAGACAGCATAATAATTCTATGTATTTAAATGCAACTGATATAATACATAATGGGGCAGAACTTTAAACTCTTATGCCCTCTGAAAACATTGTAAAGGCTGGAATGAAAACGTAAATGCAGGCACTCATGTAGTTATAAAGGATGAACTTTCGAAAATTGAAACAGTCTTCTCTTCAGAAAGATGCTCAGTGATTTGTGTGCAAGATAGGGCTGGAACAAGGGACTCCTGACTATCAGGGACTCTGCAGATTATTTGTAGTTGTCTCTCTGTTGTTGATCAAATAATGAATGTAAAAGATGGTTGTTATATCTGTAGAGAGCCTCATTGTATTTTGTATTAAACCTTTCAATAAAAGTGAATAGTTTTACTTCCATTAGTTGGAAAGGACAACCTATAACTTATCAGAAGTCTCCTGACAGCATAATACCAAGTTCTAGAATGAAAATAAAATGCCTACAAATATTTGGTTTGGTTAAGATTAAAGATGCCTGGTTCAAGCATGCTACTTTGTTGTGGCAGTAAAATGTATGCACAATGCCATTTAAACAACAGAAAAAAAAGGATGAAAGAAAAAAAAAGTTTCTCAGGTAACAGAGGAAATCTGAAAAGATATCATATACCTGTAGAAAAAAGAAAAAAACCCACTTTATGGAATTAGCTCCAATCTTCAATTTGGGATGCCTAATCTAGTCTTCGCTTTTGCTGTAGGAGAATCTACATATACTTGTGGAAAACTTATACTTCAGGCACTGGCAAGGTCCTAGGGATGAAATAAAAAATAAGATTTCGCTTCTGTGTTCTTCATTTATAAGACCATAGTGCCTTCATTTATAAAATTAAAGGATCCGGTGAACTCTAAACTCTTCCAGCTCTAAAATTTCATGGAAAAAAAATCAATGAATATATTCATGTATTCCTCCTACAAATATTTATTATAATTTAGAAACTGTGCTGTAGGTATTGATTATAGAGTAAACAAGGCATAAAATGTTCCTGCCCTTATAGGGCTTACATCTGGGGAAGTGAAGACAGAGCCTGAAAAAATATCCAAATAAATATAATATAATTTTGCATTGTAAAAAATTTCGTGAAGAAAAAGAAGCACATAGGGTGATGTGATATTCCTGGAAGATCTATGTGTATTACCAGAATACAGATTGGAGGACAAGCTCTGTTCTGAGCTTGTGTTGTTGAGAGTGTGCATGGGCAATTAGTTTTTATAATATGAATCTAAATATAGTTTATAAAATAAATGCATGAAGACATTTTGAGAGACAGCCTTACATAATATACTCATGAGAATTATTCAGTAAAATAATCTTCTATCAGATGAAATGTACAATAAAATTGGCTTGTTGAACGTCATTGTCCTATATAGTGGTAGCATCTATGATGTAAAACATTGTCTAGGAGAGGACCTGAATCTTAGGTGAATAGTAAGTGCCATAAAAGTAATGCCAAACATGAAGACACAATGTGTAGTGATGGAGGGCACAGACTGTGGAGCCAGACTGCCCCAGTTCACATTCCAACTCTGCCACTGTGGAAGCTTAGGGGAGTAACTTTATTTCCTTGTGCCTCAGTGTGCTCATCTGTAAAATGGGATTAAAAAGTAGTCCCGGACAGGAGCGGTGGCTCACAGCTGTAATCCCAGTTTTGGGAGGCCAAGGCGGTTGGATCACGAGGTCAGGAGATGGAGACCATCGTGGCTAACACGGTGAAACCCCGTCTCTACTAAAAAATACAAAAAATTAGCCGGGTGTGGTGGCGGGCGCCTGTAGTCCCAGCTACTAGGGAGGCTGAGGAAGGAGAATGGCGTGAACTGGCAAGCTTGCAGTGAGCCGAGATCGTACCACTGCACTTCAGCCTGGGAGAAAGACTCCCTCTCAAAAAAAAAAAAAGGAGTCCCTATTTCATGAAGTTTCTGTGAGAATTAAAGGGGATTAAATTAACTTGGGGGGGGGGGTCTAAATTATTATTAATAGCGTATTTTAATCTATTTAATTTTAAGATGGCTATAATGTAATTAAAGCACTACTTTAAATATACGCCGAGTACTAGGCAATGAGTAAACATTATAAAAGTATAAAAGTCGGCCGGGCGCGGTGGCTCACGCCTGTAATCCCAGCACTTTGGGACGCCGAGGCAGGCGGTTCACAAGGTCAGCAGATCGAGACCATCCTGGCTAACACGGTGAAACCCCGTCTCTACTAAAAATACAAAAAATTAGCCAGGCGTGGTGGCGGGCGCCTGTAGTTCCAGCTACTCGGGAGGTTGAGGCAGGAGGATGGCGTGAACCAGGGAGATGGAGCTTTTGCAGTGAGCCGAGATCACACCACTGCACTCCAGCCTAGGCGACAGAGCAAGACTGTCTCAAAAAAAAAAAAAAAAAGGTATAAAAGTCATTTCTCTTCCTCACTACTTCCAACAATGACATTTTGAGTTACACAAACAATTCATTTTTAAAAGATTATAATTGAAAGTGTATGAATTGTGCTGAAGAAACTAAGTAAACTTCAGCTAGAGGAAAAAAATCCCAAATGCCCTTCATCATCTTACTGGACAATGGAATGCTCCCTTCATTATAGATATCAATAGACTAATAGATAATGGAAAGATAACAATGGACTATGAATGAAGTGTAACATTTTCTCAAACTTCCCAGTGGAAGCAAAAGAATTTTTAAATATATGTCTGGCAAATTAATTTTGTGGAGTATAGTTTACTAGAATTATGGGGAAAAAAAAGCAGACTGCCAGTATGGCTATTATTCTAGCTATGTGCTAAAATATATGCCTATAATAATGTTTTAATTTAACCCTAACATCCCAGGAGTTACACTGATATCGAACTTGAACTCTAAAAACTCATATTTGCGAAGACTTCCAACGTATACCTCAGGTTACCTGTAAATATGCTCTTAGGCATGTGTACATGAGTCCCAAGGAAACTTTTGCCAAAATGTGTAATTGTTTTATATGAGGGTTTTAAGAAAGCACTTTTAAATTATTTTAAAGTAGGATTACAAATTGAAGTTATTCATGATTTAATTCCCTTGGCTAGTAATATGGAAGTCTAGCTCCCCAAAACTTTGAAAAAACAAAACCCCCTGAAATTTATAAAGCAACAGTTTTTTTAAAGCTTTGTTGCTACAAAGTGAGACTGTGAGAATGAAAGTTAAAGGCCTTTGCTATTCCATCCATATTCAGTTTGGATATCCTCAAAGTAATTGAAAATTTACTTTTGAATATGCTGAAAATCGAGTCCATAAGTATCTAGTAGAATAGCTTTTGATTGGCCAGATTCTATCTCTGACTCTTACTATGCTTTAGAATTCTTTTATGAACTCTTTTTCTGATCACTGGGAAGAAGAAGGCAGTAAGAGAAAAGAGCAATATAAGAAATTGATAACTCCAAGGGCCATAGTTCGTTTATGTTTCTCATAGTTATATACGTCTTATGTTCATTTTAAAATTTTAAAACAATAAAAGGAGCACATATATGAGCATAAATAGGTATAAACATATTCTTTGTTTCCCAAAGAATTTTCAGTATATGATGATACCTTTTGAAGGAAAGGAATATAGAAGGTTCAGTGTATGACGATATCTTTTGAAGGAAAGGAATGTATCTCTTGGTCCCATCAAATTTTTTCTTGACTTACAAAATTGTTGATATAGTTTGTCTCTGTGTCCCCACCCAAATCTCATCTTGAATAGTAATCCCTATGTGTTGAGGGAGAGACCCAGTGGGAGGTGATTGGAACATGGGGGTGGGTTTTCCATGCTGTTCTCCTGACAGTGAGTGATTTCTCACAAAATCTGATGGTTGCAAAGTGTTTGGCTGTTCCCCACTCCCACCCTCTCTGTCTCCTGCCTCCACATAAGACATGCCTTGCTTCCTTTTTGCCTTCACCTCCCCAGCCCTGCAGAACTGTGGTTCATTTAAAACTCTTTCTTTATAAATTACCCAGTCTCAGGTAGTTCTCTATAGTAGTGTGAAAATGGACTAATACAATTGACTACAAATTTTTTAAAATTCTCCGTACTCAAGCAAGCTGTGGCATTACTTACCACAGTTATTTTTTTATATTTCTGTGGCATTTTTGTAACAGACCACATAGAACCAACTTAGAACAAGTGTAAGCAAAACCTTTGATCCTGTAGAAGACAATTTGATGCAAGAAGTCTTTTCTTGCCAGGCACAGTGGATCACGCCTGTAATCCCAGAACTTTGGGAGGCCGAGGCAGGTGGATCACCTGAGGTCAGGAGTTCGAGACCAGCCCGACCAAAGTGGTGAAACTCCATCTCTACTAAAAATACAAAACTAACTGGGCTGGGTGTGGTGGTGTGCACCTATAAACCTGGCTACTTGGGAGGCTGAGAGAGGAGAATCACTTGAACCTGGGAGGTGGGGGTTGCAGTGAGCTGAGATTGCGCCATTGCACTCCAGCCTGGGCAAAAAGAGTGAAACGCCATTAAAGTAAATAAATAAATAAATAAATAAATAAATAAATAAATAAAAATAATCTTTTCTTGGTGAAGCTTCTTTAGAGCCACCATCCATCAGCTTTGACAGCTTTTTGTGATCTATGGCCAGTAATCTCTGCTTAATCTATAAAGTGTATAAACTCTTCCAGAACAGCAAATGTGCTGCCCAGGGGTTAGGAAGGTCACCAAATTAGTTCATTGCTGAGATATAAGAAGACGGCCATCCTGGGGATATGCACCTCCTTTGAAGTTACTGGGAAAAGAACAGTTCCAGAATATGACTCAATTACTAATTTTAGTGGCAACCAACAAAAAGCCCTTTAAAAATATAACAGTGTGTATGTGATGGGTGCCTATGCTTAATTACATGAGCATTTGATTATAAAGAAGGAAGAATGGCTCTCAGGAAGCTGTTTTCCTGATCTGGAAACAATGCATCATGTAGTAAAATGTAAAACGGGCTTAGCAGCTCTGCACTAGCTGATAATTTGTTCTAGGACAAGTCACTTAAACTCTGCGTTTGGGAGTCATTAGTAAAATGGGGAGACCAATATTTGGCCTACCCCATTCTTAAAACTTAGTTTGTGATTCAAAGGAGAAAGAATGCAAAAAATGATAATAATAACAGGAGACTACAAAAAGTCAGGAACATCTGATTGAAAGTAAAAGCCTATGAATTTTGGCAAAACGTGATCAAGCTCTCCTAATTCTGGATATCAATATTAGCCATTCTAACCTGTGGAAGATACAATTTAAGGATAAATATTGCAGTGTGAGTGGCAAAGTGGCAATGAGTGGCCTATATCTAAATATTAGGAAATAATAATTTATCCAGAATGACCTGCAAGAAAAATTTTTGGTCAGCATATGAATAGTATTTTGCTACCATTTTTGTTTGGCAATCATTGAGCAATAAAATGGGAATATACAGATATTGTAGTGGAAACATCAATATGAGGAGTTAAAAACCACAAAGCACCTGCATATCGGCAGGATAGATATAAATGCCAATGTTTAATAAATATTACAAAGTGTAATATAGTAAATAGAACAAGGACATAGTGTTGAGATTCAGGGCCCTGAAACAAGAAGTCCTGATATCTCAGATTCATTACCAACTAAATCACTGATGATGTTACTTAATCTTTCTGTGCCTCAGTTTCTTTACATGTCCAAATGAGAACAGTAATAAAATTAAGTGAGTAAGTATATGCAAAGTGCCAAGGGCAGTTCAGAATGCAAGAAAAAGGTGGCTATCATATTATATAGAATAATAAAGCCTGGGTTGCTACCCTCGTTCTGTCACTTTTTTTCTCTGAGTCTTAGTTTCCTTATCTGAAAAATAGTAATAAGAATATCTACCTCTTTCATTACTGTGACGGATTTAATAAGATGAAGTGACTTCAGTTGCACTGTAGCTCTCAGGAACTATCCAAATGTTAGTTTAAAAAAATATTTATTGCAGCAATTGGCATTAAAGTGCTGACAAGGACATCTACCACCTCTCCCCATGGATGAACATCTCACCTAGTATAAAGTGAGTATCTCTGTCTCTCTCTCTCTCTCTTTCTCTCTCTCTTCTCTCTCTCTCTGTCTCTCTCTCTCTCTTCTGCCTCGCTAACTTTAAAGCAGAGTTTCCTAACCTCAGCACTATTGGCATTTGAGGCTGGATAAAGCCTGGTTGTAGGGGGCTGTCTTTTGCATTGTAGGATATTTAGCATAACAATCCTTGGCCTCTACCTAATAATTCCAGTGGTACAGCATTTTCCCCACCCCAGTCAGGATGTCCTAGGAGGCAAAATTGTCCCCAGTTGAGAACCACTACTCTAAAGCATTGTTTATATGTTAGCTTAGATACTACTTCCTCCAGGAAAGCATTCTGTGAATATCCCAGAAGGAATTTAATCTCTCCTATGTGCTCCTGAATGTACCCCCTTGAAATAAGTGTTTGCCTTTTAATAATGTTTACATACACATTTCCTCCTATAGACTGTGAGTTTATCTTGGTCAGGAATTGTGTCCTACTTACCATCTGTTTTCATGTGGTAAGCACTCTATGCATATTTGTGAAAAGAAGAGAGGGAGAGAAGGAGGAAGAGAGAGAGGAAGCAAGAAAGATAAGTGGTTAATCAGCTGATCTTGATACTGTCTAATGCTCCATTATGTATCTTTCAGGTCCCTCTGCTGTGTCAGATATGAGGGGGTAACTTGATTTCTAAGGAGCCAGTGTAGAGAAACCACCATGTACTCCCAAGCAGAGGCCCAGCTTCTGCAAAAGACCTGGTCCATTATTGTTTATATGGAAATCAATCCTATATTGAACAGACATATTAAATTACCGGATTAAAAACCCAATACCATCATCAGTCAGATATAAAACAGAAACTGATACTAGCCCTTGTTTTAGAAGAATGTGGAGGGAGTGATACATCTGTTATGAGAGGGAACTCTTGCACAGGTCAACTGTAGTTGGCTAATTAATGCTCAATATAAACATGAAACAGAGGGATGCTTCAGCTATACCATGAGTTCATGATTTTGTGTAAACAACAATTTAAAAAATGGGCTGAAGTCCACATTGACTGTCAATGAAATTGAAACATTTCCCTGCTAGATAAAGGGAGGGATAGAGGCTTTCCTCTTATAAAACTGGCTGTGTCAGTGATTCTCTCCTCAGATTACCTTTTCCACCTACCTCTCAGAATGGACTTCAGTGGGAGTAAACTTCAGAGGGGCCTTGTGGTTTTTATAGGGGGCTGGTACTTGCCGTATCCAACTCTTATGACTACAGAAAGTTTGAATGAGTACACCAACGTCTCACCTGAAACCCTCACATTTGAAGTGTTTAAAGGATGTGATTATTGTACTTCTTATATGCATCATTATATATGTAACTTTTACATGTACCATTATATATGTACATTATTCATGTTCATCAGTATACGTTTCATATGTTCATCATTATTTCATATAACACAAGAAAAGAAAAAACATTGTTTTTACGCTGACAGCACACTGTTTCATAACTTAAGATATTTTCATATAGTTCCTTTAGATTTATTTAGGTATAGATTTTTAAAAATCTTTTTTGTGTGCTCATAAAAAGGAAAGCATAAGCAAATTAAGGTAAATCATTCTAAACTGTTTTTCACAATTAGAATCTAATTCTAAGTGATTTTTTGACTGAGAATTGTCATTGTCCATGTGTTTTCCCTCACACAGTGTGCTCAGCTGTGTCATCAAGACCATCGTTGACACAGCATTGCTTGGAAGGATGCTCTACCGATGTCTCTGGGGTTTTCTTCCAAACCACCCATTCTTGATGTTTTGAAGTGCATATGCAGGCCATCATGATGACATAATGATTGTATCTGGTTGGTAGCTGTTTTAAGAAGAATCCTAATTTCAGAGACCATTAAAATGTGAAAAAATGTGCATTTTAGAATTGATGAAATAAGTAATTTACATCCTAATGATGGGACTATCTACTTTCTACTTTAAAGACTTGAAAGGATTCAAAGTGAAAAGTGCTGAGAATCCAGAGCCAGATGGAGCTAAAATCACATTTCTCTGCTATCTGCAGGCTATTTTAATGAGGGCAAATTATTTAACTCTTCTGTGTCTCAGTTTCTTCATTTGTGAAAGCTGCCTCAAAGGAACATTGGTGATGATAAATAAAAATAAACCTCTTTGCCCTGAGTAGTTATACAAAAATATATTCTCTTTTTAAAACAAGAGCTCAGTTCAAACTGGCATTTTCTCTGTATTTGAACATTTTATATGTAATGTTCTAAGTGGAGACTGCTAAAATTGGTAAAAATGTTATGTCTTAACAATGAATTGGTTACATTTCAAGATAATGAGCAGATTCAGATAGCATGGTTTTTAAATACAGTTTATCTAACAGGGAACTCATCCATAGTTGTCTTGTGAACTATTTTTTCTTTCTCCTATCAAGAATTTGAATTTTCTCTAAGGCCAAATGGTGAATCAGCAGCTGGTCAATAATTGATTTTATTTTATGTCCTATACCCTTTTTCAGTCCAATTTTTAAGTCAATGTTAACTCAGAAACTAATTCACAGCTTAAAATACAGTTGACCTGACAAGGCTGCTATCTATTCTAGACTAACGTGAATTTCTCAGTGTAAGCACTAATATCTTCCAGTACAAATCTTGAAAATTAAAACCAAAGGATTAGCGTTATCATTACTGATGTTAATTCTGTATTAAATTCATAGTAGGTCACAGGAAATCATCCCTTTCTCATGTTATGAAACAGAAAAAGATAGGATGTCAGAAACTAAAAACCAATATATGTTTGTTTGTTTTTTTCCTAGAAGGTGGCTGAAACTTAGTAGCCACACTCTACCTTTGCAGTTTTTATTTTTCTCTTTGAATTCTGTTGCTTCTTCCATCTTGCCAGCCCTTGAAGAATCTGGAAAAAGCATCTCATTTTCCATGGAACAAGAAATAGGTTAATAGTCCCTTTCACAAAATGTAGAGTAGGACTTTCATTGAATGCCAACTCAGTTTTGTTTTTTAATTCTGTCGTACAGCATAGAAAAGCTGGTGAATGATGTCATAGTCACTAACAGCAACTGTTCAAGTTAGGAGAATTTTAGAGAAATGGATATTGTCATTATTCATTCACAAGTGTTTTATTGTGTTATAGATTTCTATTATTCCAAATAATGAGCCATCTGAGAGGAAGAATTGGGGACCAACTCATTGTCAATTTCCCCCAGTGCCTACTACAGTGCCTGCTATACATAGGAAACTCAGTCAATTCTTGTTGATTGCCACAAAAATTAGTAAGAATTGGAAGGAAAAAGGAAGAGAGAGAAAACAAGCTCACTAGAGAAGATTCTTGAATCCTTTCTGAATCATATCAACACAGTATAGCAACTGGCTTAATCATAGATGTCATCACTGGCATTTATGGTTAGAAATATAATGTTTAAGCCCCATCCCAGGCCTTTGAATCCAAATCCTCAAGAGTAAGTCTTGGAAATCTATATTTATAATTATCACTCTTGGTGATTCTTATGTTCAAGCAAATTTTTAAAACACTGGAATACTATGATGCTTTTTAGAAAATGTTTAAGTTGGTCAAACAAGTAATGATTCATTTTAGACCAAGTTAGCATTTGAACATTTCAGACCAATGGGAATATTAGAATTTGGTGCTGGGTAGCCAATGACTGGGAAGGGAGTTTTCTTGTTTTAGGATTGGTTTCAAAACCATAACTTCACTCTTATTTCAGAGCTTTCTATTGCCCATTATTGGGCAGTAGAAAAATATTGTTTTTATTCTAAACTCAGGACCTAATATCCTCTAATGCTTAGCAAAATTTGAGTATTTTAAGAGGTATTTAGTTGGTATTAAGAGAAGTGACTCAGAAAGTCAGAAACTTTTTCTCTTTCTCCTAATTGCATTATAACTATCACTGTAAAGACAATAAATAATACAAAACTTCTTAAATAATGTGAATATATGAGCACATAAAAATAAGAACATTCCTTGAGGCTCTACTTTTTTACAGCTTTCTATTACACTATGATAAATAGATGAATAATAACCTTGCCAAGTTATATTTGTTCTTTTATTTGTCTCTAGACATGTACAATTTTGGTGCCATCATTTCATCTCTGACTGCTTTTCTGTTATCTTGAGGGTCTCAGTCAGATAAAGCATTATAAATAATAAATATTCTTGAGTCATCTGATAGCTCAATCCCAGAGGAAATAAGGCGTTCAAATTTCCATAGAAGATTTTTATTAACCTTCATATAAATATAAGTATAATTATTTTTCAATAGTTTTAGAATATTATTACTATCCTTTAGTAAGACATGTTGACACACCACAGGTCAAACACCAGAATCCCACTAGAACAAAATTTGACCCTAACCAAAATAATCACACATGTCCCCGTATTGCTGATGCTTATTGATTCATTTGTAATGAGATTTTCTACAATGAATAGCCTAGTTTAAGCATGTTTTTTTCTAGTCTTTGTAAATCACTATTTGTCTATCTGGAAACCTATTTTGTTCTGTTTGCAGAGTACCTTTCACTTGCTAATGATCTGTGCAAATTAAACAGAAAAGGGGAGGAGAGGCATGGTTAACTTTTCAAAACTTCTTTCCTCTGGGTGGATGGTAAGCAAGAAGCAATTATCCTCTGACTCTCCTCACTCCCAAAAAACTTCACAACCAAAAAGAGGAACAAGCGACACATACATGTGCATTTGCATGCCAACCAGAAGAGCAAACCAGTGTGCAGAAAGTGTGTTTACAACACTTCCTTGCAAATGAATGACCGTTAGATTAGATACTTTCCTTATTCTGTATAAACTGGTGCCTGTTGTATTTCTCTGTAGAGCTGCTTCAGTTCAGAGCCTGGGCATGTGCTTTGATGTGAGTTTTACCAATAGAATTCCATTTGAGTAGAGAAAAATACTATATTAACTAACTTTTGTGCAGATGCAGGCACAGATGATTCAAAGTGTTAGCAACTTTCTAAAAACCATCAATCATTTAAATACCCAGTATGAGAAATAAAAATTTTGATTTTTATGTAGTTATCTTTGTTCTGCATTAAATCTCTTTTGTCATTTTTCAACTTTAACAGTCCTAGGGGGAGAAGAGAGTAGGAGAACTGGGAAAGGACTTAGTGTGTGCAACTGAATCTGATTATAATTGTTTAAGATTTATTGGTTGATAATGACAAGTTGTTTTTGTACATTGAAATTCTAGAAAGTTTTAAATTCTATCTTTCATTTAAAAACTGAGAGCTACTAAATATTTGGGCATTTGAGTATCTTGGCACTTGGGAATCTTATTCCTGTCTTGATTTGTGTGGGTCGCGTTTTTGATGATAATTACAAAGAGGATTTTGTGGTGGCTTTGAAAATCCTCAGTCTTGTAAATAGCATTTTGTGATCCAAAAGCCAAGGGAAATGACTAAATGGATCTTTGTGACATTTTAAGAACACCAAAAGGTAACTTCTTTGAACGAGATTTATGAATGTAGAAAACTTAATAAGCAAAGAATGGATCTTTGTGTTTTTTCTTCCCAACATTAAATCTAAGAGGTTTTCTGTGGACAGTGCAAGAACAAGGCCCTGCAGATCCTTCCTCTGCTTATTTCCCCACACCTGATACAGTTTCTACTGGCACTTTTTAATTATTCTAAGTAACTGGCACAATGAAATGTTTTCGTTTTTATTCTAATAAGGTTTAGTATGTGCTAAAAGCAATTTTATAAAGATCTCTAAGCAAATATTGTACTGTACTTGTATACATTACACTTGAGAATGTTCCAGGCAAGTAAGTTCTAGGTTTTTGCTGTGCTTATCCTACTGAAGTATGATCCCTGCCTCTGCTGCTTTTTTCAAATACATAACCATAACTGCCTTTATCTCCATATATCAATATGCAGAAACAATAGAATGCTTGTATGGCTATCTGTGCATATCCCAAGAGAATTATTTGTACTGGGGGAAATGCAGTTGAAAAAAAGCAGGAAAATTAATAGATAGGCATAGAGCCTTATATCTTCATATATCCTCTAATAATGGTAGAATTTGGTTTTGTTTTATGATTCATCCAATAAAACTATATAATTTACTATGCATTTTAAAATTAAGAAACTTATGCAGAAAGAGCACCATGAGATATAAGAGGGGCTGTGGCATATCAGATTATTTTTATATAGTATAATATTACTGTTTCATTGTCTTGTATTTTGGAATCCAGAGTTAATGTTAGTGCTAAATGCAAGTTTACTGCTATCTTGGGGACCTGGATCTCACCTACCTATTTATCCCCAATGTACATCATCACAGAACTTTTTAGGGCTTCCAGCTTGTTTTTTCTTGGGAAACTACTGATGTGGCTAATGGGCACAAACCTGTTTCTACCCTAAAAATGCCTTGAGCCATAAACTCCAGCCCATAGTACAAGTAGAGGAAGACATCTTTGCCTACTCAAATTCCCAGAAACAGAGAGAGGAATCCACAGATGAATGCCCTGCCATGTTGTTGTAATCAGATCAAAGATCCAGCTTTTACTTTTGGCCAATTTCCTTAACAGATCAAGATTGGATACCAAGGTTTCTGACTTCCATTCCACATTTTATCTGCTGAATATTAATAATTATGAGTATATAAAGACTTCATTTAAATAACCCCACTCAATAATCTCATCTTTTTTTCTAAAAGAGCATTTAGCAAAATAGAGTCAACTAACCTGCCAATATCTTATAAAGAAATTTTATAAAGATTGGTTTAATACCTGCAGTACTAATTTTTGCTTCTGACAAAGGAAGATGTTTATATCATCAGAATAACTAAAAATAAATAATCTGATAGGTATTTTGTTGATCACCAACAGTGTTTTATCATAGTACTATGCATTGTGGGTATCCAAAAGAGGGAGAAAGATACATTCATTCCTTGATGCTGCTCTTCTTTGAGGTGGATTTTTACTACCTAGCATTTGTGAAGTACAGCATGTTGTCTCAACATTAAAATTGCTTTCATATGCAGAAACATACTATGTGCAATTGTCTGTGTTAATATGGACACATTTCTCATTTAGAAGAGAGATCATGAACTATCTTTATACACCAAGTTTACCTTCCCCAACAATTTAGTAACTTTACAGACACATGGATATTCCAGTCATATTCCCTTGTCTTTTACCTCTGTACATGGAAAATAGCTGGTTGCGAACATGGGAGCCTCTACCTGCAAGCCTTGTTTTTCTGGAAACAGCAGCCCCTCATCACTAACAAATGGCAAGTAGGTAAATAAATGCCCCTATTTTGGAATGATTTTAAGGCAGGTGTTCTATACTGTGTCTCAGAGGTCTCTAGTTTCCCACAGTGGTAACTTACTTGATAATACGCTCTTTATTGACTTTCTTCCTTTACTGAATTATTCCCCCTTTCCCATCTAGGTGTTTCCTAGAATCACTTCCCAAATAAACCACTTGTAGTTAAATCCTTATCTCAGGGTCTGTTTCTGGGGGAACCATAACCAGGACAATAACGTTTTCTAATACTTCCTATTCCTTTAGGTTAGAAAAACAGGTTCTTCCAAAGCACCACCCTTTCCTTCTCCATGTTTAGCATTTTACTCCTCACTGACACTGGCCTATCGAGCCCCATCTTTCTGAAGTACACTAGTTTGAGGCTTCTTTCTCCCAGGCCTGGAGTTCCACAGAAGTGCTCTAACTAGAAGCATTCTGCAGAAGTACTCTAAATAGAAGCATTTCTACTTCTCACTTGTATAATTTTCAGGCAATCTTACAAATCACTACCAGACAAGTTTTACTAATCTTCTATTGTATCCATGGTTTTAGCATTTATAAAACTTCAGAGGTTTCTGCATTCACTACCTTAGTAATGCCATTCAGTTTTATGGCTTTATATATTATATATATGCCACAGACTCCCAATACTTATATTTCCATATCAAATCTTTCTCTCATTCCAGTCTTTTAGATACCACTACCTACTTGACATCTGCACTTAGATGTCTGTTAGACATTTCACATTCAAAACATCAAACCTAAACCCCTAATCTCCTCAGACAAACCTGCTCTTTCTGCAGCCTTCCCCATCTCAGTTGATGGCAGTACCATCCTTCTAGTGGCTTTGGAGAGATCCTTGATTTATTCATTTGGCTCTTAAATATACCCTGACCGAATCCATTAGGAAATCCTTGTGTTCATACCTTCAAAATATATTCAGAAGCTGACCATTTCTCCTCCTCTCCACCAGTGAAACTCTGGCACAAGCCAGCATCAGCTTTCACCAGGAATGCTACATCTCCTGGTTGTTCTCCTTGCTTCAGTTTCTGCTGCCTTCTATCCTCAACACTAAAGGCAGAGACATCCTTTTAAACTGTTGGGTCACAGATCATGGCCTTCTACTGCAAAAAGCCAGCATGCGATAGATGCATGTCTCACTCGGGTAAAAGCCACAGGAACTGGGGTTACATATTGATCAAGATACACGTTTCCTATTCTCTTGAAACGTTAGGGTTTCTAGTAGCTTTTGAAGTATAATAGTTTTAAGGTATAATCCTAATTAACTGTACTTCTCAGCTCTCCTCCTCCGTCCCTTTCCACTAGAATCCATGTCCCAAATCTCCTACCTATGGGTCCAGGTGGAAGAATGGAAAAGAATCAAGCAAGGAAGAAACAGTGCCCACAGAAAGCAAAACTAAGAAATCCTGTTACAATACCATAAGGCCACTGTAGCTGCAAGGGATCCTGGGAAATGCAAATATTTAGAAGGGTCTGATGCTGTCATCAAGAATGTGTGTGTGTGTGTGTGTGTGTGTGTGTGTGTGTTTTCAGTTAGGGAGAAAGAATGTACACTGTGTAGATAAATAGTTTCTACCACAGATGGTGAAAAAATACCCATGGTTTACACTAAGTCTAGGTCTTGTCCAGTTCTGAGCATTTTAATCAGAAAAGCATTACTATACTCACTTGTGTTTATATTAAAATAAGGGCTATTTATTGCCACCAGCTCAGGAAATGACCCAGTGTGGCCGTGTAAGACAGAATTAATTTGAAGTGACTCCAGCTAAAAGTTGGCTGCCTTTTAACTTAATAACTTGAGAACTGTCAGTATCCTTTGAAGTTAATGATAGTTGTAAAGTGCAAATAAAAATTTTTCTAAAGGAAATCAAACACACTACAGCCAATAAATGGCTGTCACTAGAATGCTCTGTCACTGAAACTATTCAGGTATGTGCGAGGGGAGGGTGGAAGGCTGGTAATCTGTTTAGAATTTCATTGTTATTTTGTCTTGTTTTGTTTTGGCTTTTGGATTATAGAATGCCCAACAAGTTTTCCCCTTGGAAATGAAATTTAAGCCATTTAATGGGTTTCTAGTTGTTGGGTAGCATGTTAGAAGCAAAGTTATTTTGTATGAGCATTTGTGTTGGAAATACTTGCAATACTAGTGTCACCTCAGGCATAAATGTATTTGCGCAGCACGACTTCACATGGTAAATGAAAGCATTATTACTTGCTTGTCTTTCTGTCATGGGAGGCGGTTTTCCAAATAGGTATATGGTGCACCATGTTAATTAAGTTTTATTTTCGTTAATGAGTAAAGTAACTGGCTGAACAAAGAGTAAAAGATTTATCAGTATGGAAAGAGCAGGCAACTGTTTGTCTAAGTTATGCAAAGTAGCAAATGGGTCATCTCAACTAAGCATCAGGCAACATATCATGTATGTGTGAAATGTAACTGTTTCTAATTTCAGACCCAGGTTATTAGCAGCATGGAAGCTCCTAATGAGGCTGGAGAAAGTTTCTCACATAGGAGCATCCTGCCTTTTATTTACAATGATGCCACTCAAAATTTGTTTCAGCAGGAAGCAACACTTTCCATTTTTTTCTTGTTGCTCATTTGTGAGTTTATTTCTACTTAATTTGCTGATCCAAAGCGATGCCAGATTGACATCCCTGGGGACTGCTGTTTCCTGTTGGTGCCTGTGCAAATGAAGGCAGCAAGCAGAAGTTCTATGTTTTCTGGATTTCTTGGTGGTTTTAGGTTGCCATAGGCAGAAACTAAAAACCATATAGAAACCTTAGTTGATATGCTCTACCCACCACCACCTCCGAAAGATGCAGCAGCCAAGTTAATTTGGTTAAGGTTGGTTAAAGGGAAATGAAAGGATCCTTCCTCTTTACGTCTTTCTTAAATACAACATTTTCAGAACCCCAAACTTTGCTATAACTTGATGCTTCTAAAATAGTCTGATTACAAGACATATGAGCTTATTAAAATGTGGATTTTAAGTTTCTTATCTTGGAGATTGAGGCCTAGGTGATACCCAAGTTTCTATACTTTTAATAAGCATCTTAAGTTTCTGTTATCATCAGGCAAGTTTAAGAAGCACCTCTCTTGCATGTACAGGCAGCTTAATGGACTTTATATTAAAACACTAAGTTTAGTAATGTATTAACTTTGTAAGTCCCTCATTTCCTCATTATGGAGTATTTATTACCAGGATACATGTATAAAGCATTTAGTGCCCATAACAACATGGGCACTGGAGGAAACCATTTCTCTCTTTATCAAATAGGACTAATAGCATTAAAAGCAATAAACTTGCCTGACAACACTCAAATTATCCAAGCATTGAAAGACCCCTAAGAAGCCACTGGTAGTAGTTAGATGCCACCTTCTTTCCTCTTTGCCAATGCAAAACAAAACCAAAACCAAAATCTATTCATCTCCTTTGAACATCCATCCATTTGGAAGAATCATGGTTTGTAAAAGGATACTATTTGTCTTAAACAGCTATGTTTATTTCAATAGGATACCACATAGGTCAAGGTATGTTTGAGTGTGTTAAGCAATTTGGAAATATGTTCTTGGAAAGCACAGGAAGACACGTCCCCCTATCCCCACCAAATAAGAAGACATCAGAGCCCAAAACACAATTTTAATATATCAGAGAAGGATATGCTAATGAGTTTTCTTGTAGTAATTTTTTTTTTTTACATATTGTATCTATCTTGAAAAACATGCTAGGACAGGTTCACAAGGAATATCATCCTCTGGAATAAGAACATGTATTGAATTTCAATCCATGTCAAGGATAGATTATGAGCCTATCTTACAGTATATGATGGCTATATAGTTAAAATTATTAATCCACCAAGGCTGTAACTCACAACTCTTAATATTCTGATATTATTCTGAGAATTTCATTTAATCTCCCTGGATCATGTGGCTTATAAGATTTTCTCTCACAGCTGAAAAATTACTTGATAGTTTATTCATCACCATCTTCTGTTACTTGGCAGAGCTCAGAAACTTTTGATGAGTGTATCATGGTCACTATTTGCAGTACAATTCGCAATTCTTGCCGTCCTGGAACTACTAAAAGATAGCCTCAATCCTGAAATGCTCAGTTGCATTTTAGGTGAATGTTTTGTAAAGCATTTGAAATCTGCAAAGATCTGCAAGGAAGATACAGGCCAACACATCCCGTAATTTCTCCTACTCTAAAATTTCATCGTAGACATTACTTCACTTGAAATATTATAGGAAAGGTTGAAAAACTGTTATTCTTTAGGCATTACTGTATTAGGTATATTTTTGTTGTTGATCAGACATTGCTTCGAGCTGGAAAATTTTCTTAATGTATATCGCTGTAAATTAAGACTACATTTTTTATTTGAAATATTAGAAAATATTTTGATTCCTGTATCTGCTATAAGTGTGAATCATAATAATCCTTTCTTTAAGAGTTAAAAGTTTCTTTTATCGTATTGTATTTTGAAATCTTACAAATTTCAAATTATTTACTCTGGTTTACTTACAAAGGCACAAAAATGACATTGTAAGGAATAGTTCAATTTGAGGGAAGAGGCCTGGGTGAGGCTTTAGGCACGTTTACATGGTCTACCTTGGCTGAATTTCCAAGCGATTTAACTTAATCTCTTTCTGAAAGTTTCCAGAAATTAATAGTATTTATCTACTTTTACAAAAAGTTAGAAATGACTTTCATGTCTAAGGGAAAGGAGATGATCATATACAGGAAGGATAATTTGGAAACACTTTTTGCAAACTATGGATTTTTAGGTCCTATCCCAGACCTACCAAATCAAAATATCCAAGGGGAAATTTTTGAAAATTGTATTTTTTTTATAAACACGCCTAGTGATACTTTTATCATTCTGCAAACTTTGGAAACATCACACTAATACATCTGTAAGGTTGAATTTACTTGGCCATTACATTCTGCTTCCATAGTGTTTGTACTAAGATGAGAAAATGTTCACTGTAAAATACTGTATGGCAAAAACCAGAATATACACTATAGATGATAGATAGAAGATAGACAGAGAGAGAGAGAGAGAGAGAGAGAGAGAGAATGATCAGAATGCAGCACAGAATAAATAAAAAGTGTCACTGTAAAAGCTGGCCTTGGAAGTCCTCTTTTTGTTTAGAAAAACACTTGCATATAAATAGAGAAGCCCAGTATCTGCCTGAGAGAAGGATGAGTGTGAGACAAAGCATAACCGAAGAGCAACAGCAATTTTTACTTCCCTGGTTTTTCTTGGAAGAAGGCCAGATATTTTTTAAAGGGAAAAGAAGAGACACTGAACAAGAGATTAAAGTTCCAGGAGAAAATTGAATAACTGTTCAATGAGGTATTCAGATGACGGGGAGATATAAAAAAAAGAAGGATATCTGCTATTGAAACATAAACTTTTTGCTATAATGTGTTGTCCTGAACTCTGATATAATCCCCTCCTATGCCCTGACCATCAGGAAGCATGCTCTGGAAGGGCTTAAGAGAAAAGCCACTGCTATGTCACTATATTCTACCTACAGGTTGATACAAGGCTGAGAGAAAGGAATGCTAGCAAATCAGAATGGCATATGAGCAGATACAGATGTGTAACTATGCCAAGTATTTCCCCAGATGTACTAGGATGACTCCAGAAATCTAAAATATCTGGATAATCTCATGCAGTAAACATTTTATTGACATTTTGGTTACACACACACACACACACACACACACACACCCACACACACACGAAAGACGGAAAGAAAACAGCAAAAGGTAGAAAGTTTATCTCTGGATGTTAAAATTGAGCATATATTACCTGCATAACAATGAGGAAAATGATTAAGCTTCGGGGATCATTCTTAGACATTTTAAACAAACACAATTCTAAATTTAACAGAAGATAAGCGAAGTTTGATAATTTAAAATTCTATAGGACCAAGAGCTTGCTTCACTAGTTAATATTTAGAAACATCAATTGGTCAGTCTGTTGTAAATAAAATCCCTGGGTTCTTGAAGGATGATGTGTTACACAAAATAATTTACACTGAACTATTTGATCGTGCATAGATTCCACTGGTTCAAAGTGGAGGAAAACATTTTAATGATTTTACATTCATCTGTACAATTCTTTCTGCTATCAATCATATAGTGGTCCTTGGCATTTTTTCCTTGTTTTAAAGTAGCTTTTTACCCTATATAAAGAATAATACATATGAAACAGTATTGTATTTAACCCTAAAATATTCCATTTCTGCTGTCAGATAAACTGAGTTTGAAGGCTATCTCTACCCCTTACTCCTGTGTGACCCTGGGTAAGTTATTTACTGTCTCTACAGCTGTGTTTACCCATCTTTAAAAATGGGGATAATGATTCTTCCTACTTCATAGGGCTTTTGTGAGAATTACATGATAATACATGTAACAAACTTAGCATAGTCCTTGGCCAATTGCACAAAATAAATTAGCTATGAAATGTATTTGTTCATAATAGAAACTTCAAGAAAAATAACTAGGAAAGACATAAAAATCCTCTATAGTCTCACCTCCGAAGCAAGCGATAACTGTCATTTTGGTATCTTTTATTCTTCCTTCTTTATCTAAAGACAAATTACAAAAATGAATCTATTCATACATATTGTATTTTAATCTGATAAGTTGTGTATAAACTAAATCATTTTCCCTGTTACTAAATATTGTTCAAAAAAATTATTTTCAGTGGCCACATGCTTTCCCATTTGTAAAGCAGTATCATACTGTATTTTAAAAATATATTGCTGAGCATAATGGTTGTTTCCAAACCACCAGTATTTCAAAGAGGCTGCATTGACCATCCTTATAAGTAAATATCTCTACATATTCATAATAATTGGTTTAGAATCGATTTCTAAAGTTAGAATTGCTGAATCAAATGGTATATCTTAAATGTATATTTCATACACGTTTTAATGTACTGCTAAATTGCCTTCCAGAATGTTTGTGCCAATTATTACTTTTAGTAGTATATCAAATACTTTTTAAACAATAGATACATTCACTTTAAAAAGAAATGGCAATGACTTTTAATTTTTTAGCTTATTTTATTGAGTTTGAAAAAGATTTGGCCACTTGTTTTTTTCTCTCTTGTATACTGTATGAACATTTGAATTTAAAAAATGTATACTGCACTGCTTCTTTAATTGTCATATTCACTGAGGTAACATTTGTTGAGCATCTACTCAAGACAGGCACACTGCACAGGGTGAGAGATGTAAAGACCAGGACACTTATGCTAAAGTCAGTGGTGTCCATGAAGAGCAGAGGCACAGTGAAATTTGCCTGGTCCTTCTAGGGGCTTTGGAGATGCATATTAAACATCTGAAGCCAAGGGATTCTTCTTAGAGCTGTCCTCCCAAGAAAGAGGGAACCAAACAATGAGGAGATTTGGCAAGTCCTACCCAAAGAGAACTGACATTTCTTAGGCATTTTATGAAGAGATACATAGAACTCCAGTTCCACTTGTTAAAAGCAATAACTGCTTTCACTTACTGAACATGCACGCTGTGGCAGGCTCACTGCTGATATTTTACAACTTTCTGCGATCAGAAAGGTTATAACCCGTAGATCTGCCAATGAGTGGATTCTGACCCTGGGTGAAGTGAATGAACTAGCCCAAGAGTTTGCAATTCTAAG
Source organism: Homo sapiens (assembly GCF_000001405.40). Classification (NCBI taxonomy): domain Eukaryota; kingdom Metazoa; phylum Chordata; class Mammalia; order Primates; family Hominidae; genus Homo; species Homo sapiens. Next base: position 29,642,220 of record NC_000003.12, read on the forward strand.
TGGAAATGCTGGGATTCACCATCTGATCTGATGCTTTGCTCTGTCTTCTCTTATTTACACCCAGGTTTCTCAGCTTTCCACCTTTGTTATATTTGCATTTTGCCATACCTGCCTGTTAACCTTTTCTTAAAACAAATTGATCATCTATGTTTATTTTTGAACACTTTGTTGTTAGTTTCCTTAAAAAGGAAACTTTGTATCTCTATTATAAATAGAAAATCAGTTATATTTGCCATATAAAAATAAAATAAGTAAAAATGTATGGTTTCATGTGTACCACCAAAAAGCATTTCATCTTTCTATCCCCTTTCCCATCTCTTGCCAGAGGCCAGGCTATAACACCTGAGGAAACACTGCCCCAGTCACTGCAAACATTTAGTCACTAGGGACAGCAGAACAAGACTGTGGGAACTTGGTAAGAACCTGGGACCCTTTGTACCTTTCTTCTGTTGGTTTCTTTATTCTCATTCTCTTCTGGATGGTCTCCAGAATAACTGGGGAGACAACACTTACAGGAAAAGCGCATGTGTTCTTGTCTCAGAGTGGAAGAAAGAAGAGCCGCCGTGTTCCAGCTAGTGCTCAGAGAAGGTGCTCTACATATCTTGTTGACCTTGATTTGAGCTATAAAAGGCTGCTGACTCAGAGCATTAAAACAGAACCACTGGCTTATTCTCTGAGTAATTCAAGTCTGCCTTTCCCTCAGTCGATCCCAGAGGTGGCTAGTCAAGCCTGGCGATGTTCATTTACCATCAGAGATTAAGCCTGTCTGGCCAGGCTTTGTCTGGTAGCATTTTCTTAATCAAATATAATGACAATTTGAATAAACTCAAGTCCATTGAACATTGTTCATGTTTTATTATTAAGAAAAAATAGGCACTTTGATTCTTGGAACACTTTTTAAAAGGCTCCTCGCTGTGTCAGTCTCTGTTTGTTATTTTGGGGCATGACAGTTATCTAAAGAGAACCAGCCAGATTTAATCTGACAGCCACAGTCAGGGAAGAGCGCTACCAATCTAATTATCCAGTAATCTAGTCAGAATGGGAGTAATTCTAGGCCTTTCTCAGGCAGCTAATCACATTTCCTGTGCATTAGCAGCCACACATGGGGAGCTTTTAGGAACAAGGTTTTTGGCCTGCACGGGCTTCATGAGCCTCATAGTGGTATAATTTCTTTGTTGACTTCTTCCCCCAGAGTGGTTTCTTCAGGATTTTTCATTTTGTTCTCATTCCTACTTTTCCCCTGCATTGCCGAGGGTGTCTTAGCTTAGCTTCAAGTTCTAAGTTTGACGAGCTTCTGACTTTCCTTTCAGAATGCAGCAGAGGAGGAAGGGTACATTCACGGATCCATATGCTTATTTCTTGTGCAGGGACAAATTAAGGAGCGTAACACAGTCTGCAGGGAAAAAAGGGAGAAAAACGTGAAAGTTGTTTTCTTCAAGGAAAGCGCCGTTGTTTGTGGGCCATTTTTCATGTCATTTCTCTATCAATGTGGGTGATTTGAGGGAGGTTTCTAGAGAAAAGGCCGGAGAAAAGAGACAGTTAATGGATATTTAGTTCTGTCGTTGTCTCTGAATGTCAAGCTGTAGGTAATATTGATCTCGTCTCATTTCTGTAATCACAATTTTAACATGGAAAAAGGAAAACACACACACATTCAGGGAGTGGGAGCATTAATGAATTTCCTGCCATTTTCTTTCTCTGAAAACCTCCGTTTAGGATAATTTCATATTAGTCCTGTAAAGCAGAATGTTTTTCGAGTGCATTGGTTTCTCACACTCCAAAATTGAGGTTTCAGTGGCAGTATGCCGCTTCTACCCCCAGCTTTCAAACATTTCTCCAGCTTCTCATAATCACAGCTTGGTTAGTCTGAATCCAAACATTTGAATCTAATAGAGGGGAATTCTAGTCACTAACAGGTTTACAATATAGTAATTTTCCCCAAAGTTATCCATGATAAATGGGCTTCCCAAATAGCCTCTAGCAATCACAGCATAACGCATTAGATGGAACACTCCAAAAAAATAAAAAAAAGGAAATTTGAAATCCTGTGTTAAATTGTCGTGTTACAATTTTGAACGGGTTTCAATCACAATTTGCATCCTCTCAACTGAAATTTTTGTGGGCTTAAACAATGCTTTTATTCCAGTAATTGTGGGAGGTATATGCCACTAGGGGCTGCATAGTTTGGGTGTGCCTCCATGCACAGACAAGAACTGTTGCTGAATCATAAGTATATTTGAGCCTCGTGTCTGAAGCCTGTGGACCTAGAGCCTAACGTGTCTCAGATGGAACACGTAGACTGGTTCCAGTGCTTCTTGTTCTGTTTCTAATTATGTCGTGTCTGCATTCATTCTAGGTTTAGATCTCACAAATGCTATTGATAGAACTTTGCCTAAAAGGTTCAGTAAAACTACAAACAAACCCTAGTTTTGAACTGTCATCCAATATATTATAATAGTATATGAATTTTAGTCTTTCATTGCAGGCACTATATTGTTTGACTCTGATTGTATTGATTGCACAGGCGAAAGTAGGATTATAGCCGAAGAGTAGTTCATGGCTGACATTTTTATCGATGGTTCCATGAACCTGAATGTGTACTTCAATCCACTAAGGTCACTGATTAAAATGTTTACCCAATAAAAATTACATTTAAATATGTCAATAGTACATCAACTTACATAACATCTTTCATCTGAAAATATAACAACATATATGAGAAATTAATGGCATAGTCACTAATCCCTGTAGAAGTATTGCTTAACCATGGTTCACTTCTCACAGAATCAAAAAGAGAGAATAAAAATGGTATAGCAAAGACTTTTAATGATTCCAGCATCTATTAGGGTATCATTGTCACAAATAAAAAGAATACCAGTTCCTACATTTCTCAAGGCTATTTCTCAATACAAGTTAAAATGATTCAGGAATGCAGGAGATGCAAAAAAAGAGGCTGCATATTAAGAGCTTGTTTGAGCAATGGAACCTCTATGTATTTACAAATGTGGCACTTTTCTCTCTGCTTTAAAACTTAGATCTTGAATTACTCGAGTGATTGTGATCTGCAAATCGGTATACATTGTTGATTTCTCTGTTCAAATTAATATCTGCTGAATGAGTTGGGCTTTGTAAAAGTTCGGCTTTGTGTCTTATTCATTCTCTGCCAGGGTGTCTGGTGCTGTCCAAGGAATGTCCCAGGACAGAAGGGTCTTTGTATAAGGAACAATAATAAATTCCATTATTGCCATTTATGAATTATCAGGCTGCCTTGATCTAGTTAACTTCTGTACAAAGAGTGCTATCAACTTCAAACTTTAGTTAAGTCATCATGAGGCAATGATTCCAAGTTTTGATCCATTTTATAAGGGATCTTCCATTTTACTGTATCATTCTGAATACTGTTCATTTTCTGTCATTTTTAATTTGGTTTTTCTTTTAAAAAGTCAGCTTCTGTAACACGTTTTGACTTTGAGGCAGAGTCTACTTTGGGTTTGTGCTAATTTTTTCCTCTTAGACAATTAAAACTTTCCAAGAGGACATTTGATGTTTTGCAGCATGGATGTCATACATCCCATATTGGCATTGTGTAATGTTTTTGGTAATATTAAAATAATTGGTAGTTTAGGTGAATTACCACTGGGTCACTGGCCTTTATCACCCACCCATATAGATAGCCTTTTAAATTTATATTGTCTGTTTATGTGATTTGCCCTGGCCCATATTTGGAAATACCTACAAAGCCCTACATTACCTCTAATCTGCTTAGGCAATCTTGCTGGTTATGCATTGGTATTTTATATTGGTAACATACAAGCCTGCTATCATCTTCGATGTTCCCTTTAATCTATGCTGTCCAATAGTGTAATCATTTGGCTGTATGCCTGTTTAAATTGAAATTTAAATTCATTCACATTAAATACAAATTCAGTTCCTTAATTGTACTGGTCACAGTTTACATGCTCAATAGTTACATAAAGGTAGTGGCTTCCAGACTGGACAGTACAAGTATAGAAAATTGCTGATATTGCATAAAGTTCTGGTGGACACTGCCTTAAATGTCTGATAAACTTATCAAGGAGAATGTCTACATTGGCTTAGAGGCAGAAAACAATTGTGGCTGTACAATTTCAGGTTCAATACTAGAAACAGCAAAGTCAATAAAAGTGGCTGAGACTCTCAGAAGGTGCACACTTGTAATTGCATCTCATCATGAGTGCTTGCTGCAATTAAATGAAATCATTCAAATGTTGGTTTTATTAATTCTTTAAAAGGAACAGGGAAAATGGCCACTTGAGAGTTCTTTTTGTTTCACTACCGTTAATATGTTACCTAATGTCTCTTATAAGTATGTCTACATTTAAATACTGGTTTAAGTTTCTTAACAATTTTTATGTTTTTTTTTCATACCAAATCATTTCTATGCCATGCCAGCCAAAGGCTCATTTTTTCTCCTTTTTTTTTTTCATCCTAACTACAGTTTTCCCTTCTCATTTTTCTTCCCTTCCCTTCCCTGTCTCCTATTCCTGCGATTCTGTCTTGATGATGTCTAGGTGATAGAGGGAAAAAAGGGAGGAGAGTTTAAAATCTTTTAAAGTAGATATTCTGTTTTTGGAATCTCCCACGTGATTTGGGTAAAGTGGAGGAGTCTTTGGGGGCAAGTCAGCTATCTTGCATATGTATCTTCCTCATTCGGAATGCGTGTTAGATAAGTGCAGGATAATCTGGAGGCAAATACCAGGCTTCAGAAGCATCCTTCTCTTTTCTTTCTTTTCCCTTGAGACAGAGTCTCACTCTGTTGCCCAGGCTGAAGTGCAGTGGTGTGATCTTGGCTCACTGCAACCTCCACCTCCCAGGTTCAAGTGATTCTCGTGCCTCAGCCTCCCAAGTAGCTGGGACTACAGGCGCGTACCACCACACCGGGCTAATTTTTTGTGTTTTTAGTAGAGATGGGGTTTCACCAAGTTGGCCAGGCTGGTCTCGAACTCCTGACCTCAGGTGATCCGCCTGCCTCGGCCACCCAAAGTGCTGGGATTACAGACGTGAGCCACCGTGCACGGCCTCTTTTCTTTTTTATCAAATGCTGAAATCTGAATGCCCAGGGAGATTGGTGGCCCTTGCCAGGAAGTGTCTTAACACTTTGTGGATACTGCTGCCTGTTGTCTTTAAAAGCTGGGACTCATCAAATTAAAAACAAAAACAAAAACAAAAAAGCTACGATTCAAAGTTTTCCCATGAGACATTTACATGGCAGATGCCTAAATGTTCCATTGTCATGTTTCTAGATAGAGGTGGAAACCATAACAACTAAATATGCTGAAATAATTCAGTGTGGAAACAAATTCACAAACTAAAAGATGTTGTGTTACTCCATAGTATCTTAAGGCTTAGGATTTTCAAGAACTTGGTATGATTGGAACATATCTCTCGCAGGCTGGGTATTCAGAGCAGGAGGTAACCATCTTAAATACATGTGTAGGCAAACCTGAAAGTTTAAGATTTGGGGATTTCATAGCACTCTGATATAGGCATATGATTCCTGCCATGATGTTGTTTAACTAATGTGTGTGATAGTCACACACATTTCTGTTAAAATATAGATAAAAGTTATTAAGAGTATTTTTAAAAATCCTCAAATCTTTTGTGAATGTCCTGTCCAATCTCAATTATAAAGAATTGCATAAGAATGGTTAAGATCTACTGGGTCTACTGAATGAAAAATCATACAGAGGTGTTACTGTAACACCATATATGAATTCCTGAAAGACTTCATGTTCTGCAAAATCATGCACTAAAAATAATGAGACATGGAAACCAGTGGGATGGGCAGACCACATAAAACATATAACAATTTGTAACCTGAATATTTATAAATACATTTGCAATACAATCTTAAACCCTGATGTTGTCCCTTGCTCCTTCTGGATGTAGATGTTGGATGGCATTCAATTCTCCTAGAGACTCTTTTTATTAGATTTTTAAAAATTATATTCAATTATATTTTCATTAATCTCTTGTTCTAACATAGGGAAAATAGAAAATGTCTATTTTTTTTTTTTTTTTTTTTTTGCGACAGGGTCTCGCTGTGTCACCCAGGCTGGAGTGCAGTGGCATGAACAATAATGGCTCACTGCAGACTCTCTGTCCCAGGCTCAAGTTATCCTCCCACCTCAGACCCCCGGAGTAGCTGGGACTACAGGTGTGCGCCACTACACCTGGCTAAGTTTTGTATTTTTTGTAGAGACAGGGTTTTGCCATGTTGCCCAGGCTGGTCTTGAACTCCTGAGTTCAAGCCATTCTCCTATCTTGGCCTCCCAAAGTGCCGAGATTACAGACGTGAGCCACCACAACTGGCTAGGGGAAATGACTTTATACTTCTTAACATGAACTCACGGCTTATGTGAATTAGCTTAAAGGAAAGCAAGGAGATTCTTGAAACTTCTTGCACTAAAGGAAACATTTTGCACTAAAGGAAAACAATTCTGTAGAATTACAGTGTTTTTTTTTCCTAAACATGTCCAAATATTTTTTTATTTACTTGTAAAAAAGCTTACCCCCGTCACTTCTAGACATTAACAAACTTGAAAAAGTCTCCAAGAAACCAAGACTTCCATGTTATTCTTACATCATTCTCTTCATTTTCAAAGGCATATGAGCTAATTCATGTCACTGAAATATCCAGTACAGCAGAACAAACTCATTGTTTCCAGCTTTAGGAAAATCCCCTCAGAACCAATGCAACTTCACCACCTGTTTTGGGGATAAAGAAGGCGCCCTTAAGCCTTTTGGCCTAACTAACATGGTAACTTTGTCCTCATTCCCTGCTTCAGAATTAATATGATTTTAATAAGTATAACTTCTTTGGTCTAAGGTTTTCAAAGTCTGTTACCCCTTCATTCCATTTTTATAAGCACTACTTTTTCCCATGTTATTTTTTCTCTACTTAATTAATTTTTAATTTGCAAATTTATTTAGTTTTTGAATAGGTAACATGTTCACATGGCAATACATGAAAAGATGAGTCTCCTTCTCATCTGTGCCCATCATTAAGAAAGTTTCCCTTAAGAATCCATGGAATCTTGCTCTGCAGCTCTGGGGCACAATTTCCATTTGATGGAGTTGTACAAATGTCACGTGAATTTATCATCACATTTCAGGCTGTGTCATCAAATTCTAACACATGACATTTTAAAAAACTCATACAAGCATATTCTTACTTTTTTTAAATTTTTCACTAACAAGGCAAGCTAACTAAGTGAAGTAAATATATGATTTTTGGCCTGTGAAGGTGTGCATTACTTAGGCTCTTACAAGTCATAAGGGAAAAAGTGCTGTCATGGGTGATGGGTGCTTATTATAATCATATGTGGGAACTGAGGAAGCATAATGAACCTTCTAGGCAGCTGCAAAGTACCTCTGAGTCTCAGAGGTTCCCAATCTGAAATGTTTATCAAGTAACTGGAGAAGTTGGAGATGACACATTGTCATTCATGAAACAAGGACAAGTTTACTTGCCATATTTTCTTAACTTCCACATGAAAACATTTTTACTATCTTTTATGTATATGCATATGTTCTCCAAAGATAAAATTTTAATGTACTAGTTAGTATCCAATGTGGAGATACTCAGTATTGTCTCTCATCATACTATAATTATGTAAATGCCATCCATATCTATTGGATGCCACAAACTCCACATTAAACTGGCAAAGATCATTATAATCAAGGAGTGTCACATCGCACAAGGCCAAGTGCTCTTATTCGGAAGGACTGATTCCCTATTGGCCACGCCCCTCAGGATGCAATTGTGGTGAGCAAGTCAGGAAGATCAACATTTCAGAGACTGTCCAGAGAAGAGTGGTTTACATTGTGTTTAGTTTCACATCCTCATACAGAGATGTTACTTGATTTCATTTGAAAAGGATTGTCTGAGATATTTTCTTAAAAAGCAATATTTTACAAACAGAAAAGAAAACACCCAGAAACGAAGTGTATTTGAATTCTTTCTATGAGATGCCTAGGCAATCTTTTAAACCCAAATAAGTCAATTACTCCTTTCTTTCTTTTTTTTTTTTTTTTTTTTCTGAGACAGGGTTTTGCTCTGTCACCCAAGCTGGAGGCTGGAGTGCAGTGGCGTGATCACAACTCAATACAGCCTCAACCTCTGGGGCTCAAACAATCCTCCTTCCTCAACCTTCCAAGTTACTGTGACTACATGCCCATGTTATCACACCCAGCTAATTTTTCTGTATTTTTTAAAGACACCATGTCTCATTTTGTGGCCCATGTAGGTCTCACACTCCTGGGCTCAAATGATCCTCCTGCCTCGGCCCTCCAAAGTGCTAGGATTATAGGCATGAGGCACCACGCCTGGCCTCCTTCTTTGCTTTTTCTTTTTGAAGAGATAGGTTCATTGTGGCAGCCAAAGTGTCACTTATATGTAGTGCCTGACAAGGTACTTGCCCGGTTGACAAATGAATTGAATTAGATAAAGCAATTTAATTACTGGGTAAGACACTGCTTAAGTTATTAAAAGGCAGCACTAAAATAATCTTTCAGGTATGTTAGCTAAAAGTACCCATTTTATTAAAGCTGCATTCTTATGAGACTAATGCTTCAACCATCTATTTGTATGGAAAATCTAAGGGTCTTAACCACATTTCAGGAATTTAATTAATATCATGTTGTGTTTAGGAATGCTGGTTTATTCACTAGGGTATAAATGCAATTTATTTTACAGAGCCTGAAGTCTTTATATGTTTCTATACCCCTGGATAAATCTCAACTATTTTAGTTGTTGATTTTTTTTGATGTTGCCTTTAAAAAATCAAAACTATATTTATTACTTTATCAAACCAATAGGCCATCAAGCTGTCACATGAAAGACTAAAAGACTGACTTAATCACAGCATCTTCAGATCAACAACAAATGCTTTCCCTGCTACAGAGGCTACTGATTTCAGGACATGGGAATCAGAATAGAGGTCTTGCATAGGACTCTACCTGCCTGAGGGAATTAATACATGTAAAACATGTTCAGTGTGTTCTATCTTAATTAGAAACAGCATCTAATATTGCACTTAGAAAATTAGAGAAAACTCAAGAATACATTTTTGAAAGAAATCAGTTTGCTTTATCATGGACTGGAACTCAGGAGTGTCTAACGTGATTATTATTCTTTGAACAAGTTAAATTGGTGGATTTTGACATAATGGAAGAAAACCTTCCTCTCTCTTATCTCATGATAAATTTAAAGCTGAAAGGTCACTTGTGGTTTGTACATGCATATTCAGAATTAAGCAAAAAATTCATTTTGATTTTTATCAGTTTTCAAAATTAAGAAAACATACAAGTGTACACACATACACACACCGAAAAACCACAGTTTTTTATTGAAAGTTGGTTAGTTTTTAAGTACTGCCCATCCTGAAATAGTAATGTTTTCCCTAATCCTAAATAGAAAACTCTTTTCGTTCATTATCCATCAGTAGTACTTCAGTGATATAAATCCTATTACTACAACTTAGTTTCTCCCAGAGCAAATAGCTGAATGATTTACAACAATGGCAGTTTGGATGGTTGATAGCTTTGCAAGATCTCATCCAACTCAGCCATACATACAAGTTGTCATGCATCATATAATTTTAAATACATTCTAGAAATAAATAAATAATATAATTTCACTTACCATACTTATATTTTTCAGCCTTTGCAGAATACATGGTAGTTTTAAAACATTTTTTATCAACTTAAAACTTAACTGTAGCATACTCCAGCTTATACGCACATAAATATGTAACTATATTCTCCTCCTTCTCTTTGGATAACTACTGACCATAAAATTCTGAAGAGTAGAAAATCCACCTTTCTGATGATGGTGGCAGTCAGAAGATGTCTTTCATCCCGAACAATTTAGAAATGTAGAAATTTCAACGTGTTGGCAAATTCCCAAAGTTTTTGTAAACCTGTGAAATGTACAGAGATTAATGTGGTTATGATTTCCTCAACGGTAATTTCAATTTCAGCTGTCTGGTTTTTATACATATAAATTCTTATGTTAATAAAAACTTCTCCCTTACCTTGTATACTTGTAGGGAGGTGGGAGCTGAAGTAAAGAAAAAGTAAAAAACTCATATAAATAACAATTATTTAAGCATTATTAGGATGCTCTCCAAAGCACGTAGAACCTAGATAAACACTGAATATTAGATAAGAAAACCAATATTATTTATAATTTCCATGCCTACATTTACCCATTTAATATTTATCACAAATCAATGGTTTTAGGCCCTCCTGCTAGTGATCTTGGGGAGGAGTTGACTAAGAGGCTATAGCAGAATTGTATTTCTCACATGCATAGAATCAGAGACAAAATTAAAATTTCCCAAAGAAATTTCCTTTTGGAAGTTTCTAAATTGATCCATGCAAAAAAATAAAAATAAAGCTAAGGGTGTTTAAGCAGGCAAAATGTTTGGAATTTTGTTTCTTAAATGTCTTTAAGGTTTGTTTTTGTGACTAAAGCTCTCTAATCTCGGAAGTCTTGAAGGAATCTTTTTACCAAGCCACATGCTCTTTTGTGAATTTCTGAATTCTATGGAAATGTAAACTTCACAAGTATTGATGTTCTGCTCCCAGAAGTGTAAGGCTGACCTCTGAAGTTCAAAGTCTCTTTCAATTTCTTTGGTGTAAACATCCAAGAAGGTTAGAAGAGACAACTTTTAGAAAGCAAGGAAATGGGTAGCAGCAGATTTTATATCAATGGTAATGTAGAAATCAACTTCTATAGTCAAATTCCAAATAAGCTGATTAAGAAGAATTAACTGGAGATATTGATGGGAAAGAGAAATTGTTGGGAAAAATAAAATGAACAGCCTTGGTGAAGAATTCCATTCGTTGTTAAGATTTGCTCAGAAATTGTGGTGGTGGTGGCGCCATGGTGGAGTTTTAGATCAATACAAATTTAGCATTTAATTCTAGATCTGTTGCTTATTAGCCATTAGATCTCAGATAAGCTAATTAAAATTCTGAGTGGCATTTCCTCATCTGCAAAATTGGGATTAGTATACTTATATTGCATGGTTGTTTTAGGATTATAGGTTTTGAGTAGAAACTATTACCCTCACACCTGGAAAGAGTAAGTTAGATCTACTCTTACTTCACTTTCTTATCCTCATTGTCGTCATTATCACTGAAGATGCATAACGCTGTTTAAAGTCTGAAGGATGATACAGAACTGACGGTAAACCTCTCTGAACCATGTTTAACTGCCTAAGGCTAGACACGCAGTGATATCAGAATTAATATTGTTTTCTTTCAAATGAAGGATTCTGAGCTGTGGACCAGAGTGAGGATGTGTATTTATGGGCTTCTAGGTGGTAACTGTTCTTGTGTCTAAACCTTAATTAACATAACACTCTTTCACACGAATAAAACTTTCATTCATTATGGTTTTGGCCCATAAAAGTTGAAGTTTTTTGTTTTTGTTTTTATTTTTTCACCAAATCAGCCCTACAGCGATTCCTCCACCCCCATTAGCAAATACCGTAATATATGTCTCTAGTAATCATCCTCTCACAATTCTGCTTTTCCTAATTTTGCCGTGAGTCAAGTTTCTTGACCACAATGTTATGCTGAGGAAGATCTAATGTTTTCCATGGAGCAGAAATTGTTAGTCCTCAACTCCAAGGTCTGCCTTGTCAAGCCCTGTTTTCCGTGTCTTCATAAACCTTGTCAGGCATTTATTTATTCAGCACATATCTACTGTTCTCTGCACAAGAATTCATAAGGATCTGATGAATTATGTCCCTTCTGAGTGGAATTTATTCCCTTCTACATTTCTGCAAAACAGGAAATTGGTAGTAAGTCAATTTGAAGGTACTATTTAGCTGGCACTTCTGCCCTTTCTTTTTTAACAGCTGCCTCTATAGACAGAACGTTGAAATGAAAAGATAGGGAAAATTGGCAGAAACACTCTGCATGTAATTCCTATTTAGACAGTTTTAAACCTATTTTACAAATGATAAACCTGGAATATAGTAGGGAGAGATTTGGTGATGAAAGAATCTAGATTTCTTAACTCCTTATTAATACGTACTTTAAGTATTGGACTACAAACTTGCATATGTCACTGGTAATCATTGAACACATGTTATCATGTAGGCACTATCAAATTGGAGCCTATAATTGATGAATGAGGGATATCACTACTCATCTACAGTAAAGGGTCCTGAAATGCAGAAATATGGAACTGGTGTGACTGTATCTTTGGATATTTCAAGAGAAGCCAGAATACATGAATTGGATTCGTGTGTGTGTGTGTGTGTGTGTGTGTGTGTGTGTGTGTGTGTGTGTGTGTGTATTGGGCATGTATTTGACTTTTAAACTTTTTTTTTTTGAGAGAGTTTCATTCTGTCACTCAAGCTGGAGTGCCGTGGTGCAATCTTGGCTCACTGTATCCTCCACATCTTGAGTTCAAGTGATTCTCTCACCTCAGCCACTAGAGTAGCTGGAATACAGGCACACATCACCATGCCCAGTTAATTTTTGCGTTTTTTTTTTTTTTGTAGAGACAGAGTTTTACCATGTTGACCAGGCTGGTCTCAAACTCCTGGGCTCAAGCAATCTGCTCACCTCAGCATCCCAAAATGCTGGGATTACAGGCATGAGGCACTGCACCTGGCCAAAATATTAACAACTATTTTTAAAGGCAGTACTAGCCAAAGAAAACGTGACCTGATAGAGATTGTGACTTCAGAAGTTTAAGGTTTTACCTCCTAAACCACATGCTTCATTTCATATTGCATTTTAACTGATGCCCTTTTGTTTTATTCTGTAGCCTCTTCCCCTTACTCTTTCTTCCTCAGTGTCTTCATCTGTGAAATAGGAATAAGAACATTTATTTTTTGCCTTCAAACGACCAAGGATTGTGGTGCATGTGAAGATTAATGAGGTCATCTGGTTAAGCTCTTCTCCCTGGGTGGAAGAACAATGGCTTGTGAATACTAAGTGGCATTTGAATCATGTGTGCTTTCATGGAAAGAGAGCTGGTCCATTTAGCTCCCCGTCTGCAGGGAGTTATAAAAGAAGAAACTAGGGAGGAAGAAGCTGAAAATATTTCTTCATGACTATTTCCTCTGGTGAAGCATAAAGTAGCAATGAGAATTCTGAGATTTGTTTGCGTGATACTTTAGTCATGCACCACATAAAGATGTTTCGGTTAAGGACAAGTTACATATGTGACGGTGGTCTCATAAGATTATAATAGAAATTAAAAATTCCTATTCCTAAGTGACATCATAGTTGCCATAACATCACAGCACAATGTGTTACTCACATGTGCGTGATGATGCTGGTATAAACAAATCTATTGTGCTGCCAGTCATATGAAAGTATAGCACATACAATTGTGTATGGTACATAATGCTAATCATGATAATAAAGATTATGTTATTGGTTGACATACTTACTATCCTATATTTGTTATTTTAGAATGTACCACTTCTACTTATAAAAATAAGTTAACTATAAAACAACCTCAGGCAGGTCCTTCATGAGATATTCCAGATGAAGGCATTATTACAGAGATGATAGCTCCATGTATGTTATTGCCCCTAAAGACTTCTCGTGGAGCAGGATGTGAATGTGGAGGACAGTGATACTGAACCTGACCCTGTATATGCGTGGATTAATGTGTGTGTTTGTGTCTTTTTAACAAAACAGCTTAAAAAGCAAAAAAAAAAAAATTAGAAATGTAAAAAATAGCAGAAAGCTTATAGAATAAGGATATGAAGAAAGAAATATTTTTACAGCTATGTGATGTATTTGTGTTTTAAGGTAGGTTATTATAACAGTCAAAAAGTTTTTTTAATTAAAAAATTTATAAGGTAAAAAAGTTACAGTAAGATAAGGTTAATTTATTATTGAGGAAAGAAAATTTTAAGATAAATGAAGTGTAGCCTAAGTATACAGTAGTCTACAGCAGTGTACAACGATGTTCTAGGCCCTCACATTCATTCACCACCCAGTCACTGGCTGACCCAGAGCAAGCTCCATTCATGTACATCATTTCAAAATCTTTTATACCATGTTTTCACTGTACCCTTTTAATGTATAGATATGTTTAGATACACAAATAAGTATCATTGTGTTACTGGCCACAATATACAGTACAGTAACATGCTATACAAGTTTGTAGCCTAGAAGCAATAAGCAACACCATATAGCCCAGCTGTATAGCAGATTATGCCGTCTAGGTGTGTCTAAGTACACTCTGTGATGTCCACATAAGGATGAAATTACCTAATGATGCATGTGTTAGACCAGATCTCTGTTGTGAAGCAAAGCATAACTATAAAGACTCTGTATGCAATATAATGTAAAGAGAGCAAAACCCTCACAATGTGAGTTCATGAGTTTATACCTGTTAGCAGGTGTGTGTGGGAAATAACCTGTCTACCTAAGGTTCTGTGTAGATACCTTAGGACACAAGGACAGGTGTATGTGACCTGTCTACCTAAGGCTCTGACCCATAACCGTTTTTTATGCTCTAATCAAATTGTCTTTTTAATCACTGGACTCTCCCTCTCTCTCGTACATTAGTTAGGGTAGACTAACTACTGAAACATACCTCAACATATCATTAGATTAACCCAATAGCAGTTCATTTCTCTCTCAGATGTTTCTAGCTAGTGGGTGACATTTCATATAATGATTCAGGAAACCAAGCCTTTTCCATCCTATGGCTCCATCATCCTCTGGGCCTCCCCATTAGCTAGCAAACGCGATAAGAATGCAGTGAATTATAGGTGGAAGATGATTATGAGCGAAGTCTGAGAGTGGCACATGTGATTTTTGACTCACATTTCCTAGGCTAGAATTCAGTCACATTTCCACACACAGGAGGCTGGGAAATGTGGTAGAGCTCTGCCCTAAGAAAGGGGACCTGATTTTGGTCAGCCACAGACATTGTCAAGCATAAAGTGTTTCCAGTCATTTGCCCTCCCATTTTATAATCTACCAGGTATATGGTTAATTCATTTAACAGAAGATGCTGGAGATGGAATTTGTCATTCTGTTTACTCTGTTGCAGCTCTGCAGCTATTATACTAGCTTCTCGATTTTCATTAAATATATCTCACACTATTTTGACGGGTGCTTTTTAACCTTTCTGTTTTCTCCATATACTAACTGCATTCTCCACCTTATTACTTGAAAGGGAGATTTCTTCTCCACTGAGCATTGAAAGTGTTCAACTTTGAAAATGTTTATTGTCAGTAAGCTTTGATGGTGACAAGCATGCCTGTGACTGTCTGTGATTTCCTTAGGAATGTCCTGGTGGAACTTATTAATTCCTGGATAGAAATCTAAAAATATGTTTGTTATTTTTAGTTTTTTATTCTGAGACTCTCAAGGGAGGGGCAGGGTTCTCTTTGGAATGATGTGTAATATAACGATAAAATGATTGAATATTGTGAAATTATGGAGTGACTTTGATTAGTGTAGGCAGTCAATACTAATCAACACACACAAAGCAATACAAATGTTCTTGCTCTTTTAACTCAATGTTTTATATGATGTGACTCTTAATGATTGATAAATGATACGAAAGAAAAGATAAATACACATTCACCCAAACTGTTACTTGTCACAAGAATTGCCAACCCAAGTAGCCATGAAAAGCATAGGTTTATTTAACCTTTGACAAAACTTCTCAAACCATTCATGAAAATGGAAAGCTTCAAGGAAAATAAATGAACAAAAATATCCCCCAACGATTGTCTGTCTTTAGGCCGTAGAGTGTAGTGTTTAAGAGTTCTATAAATGGACTACCCAGGTTTAAATCCTAGGTATACCAAATGCTACCTGTAATTCTTGGCAAGTTAATTCTGAAACTTATTTTCCTGTTTTGTAAAGGGAAGATAATAAAAATAGGACCCGTGATGTCTTAGCAGGAATTAATAAAATGATGTTTGTGAAGATCTTATAACATTATGCATGGCCGGTAGAAAACACTTGATAAAGGTTAGTTGTGGTAATCACAGAGAGAAGAAAACCATCTTCTTACAGAGCAAAAGAACTTAAAACAATGCTTCTCAAAATTTTGTGGGCATAGCAGTCACCTGAGTGTCATGTTAATATGGCAGATTCTGGTTCTTTAGGCATGGCATGGAGCCTGAGATTCTGCATTTCTTACAAATTTCCAGATGATATTGATTTTGCTGGTTCGTAGACCACACTACGAATATCAATGAATTAAACTTCAGTTATAGTTATATCTTTATCTAAATCTTGGATTATCTGCTCTTTAGCTATGAATGTAATCATTCGATTCCTGGCAAATGATGAGAAGGAAAAAATTACTCTTCGTGATGCAAAATACTTGAGAAATTTCCGTAAGTAAGCAAAAGATGCTGTTGAGCTAGATGTCTGAGGAACAAAAGAAGTTATCCAAATTCTCATTCATGCCGTAATTTGGTGACAAGAATTATTATGGCCTAGGAATGTAGTTTTAAGAGCCAGTGAAGTAAGAGTAATCTGCCTCAATATTAATGAGGCTTTTTGACATTCTGATTTCTTATTTATTTCTTATTTGCTGTTTTTTGTTTGTTTGCTTGTGTGTTTGTTTGAGACGGAGTCTCGCTCTGTCAGCCAGGCTGAAATGCAGTGGCACGATCTCGGCTCACTGCAACCTCCGCCTCCCGGGTTCAAGCGATTCTACTGCCTCAGCCTCCCGAGTAGCTGGGACTACAGGCACGAGCCACCACACTAACTTTTTGTATTTTTAGTAGCGATGGGGTTTCACCGTGTTAGCCAGGATGGTCTTGATCTCCTGACCTCGTAATCTGCCCGCCTCAGCCTCCCGAAGTGCTGGGATTCGAGGCATGAGCCACAGCGCCCAGCCTTTATTCACTGTTTTTAAATAAACTTTATTGAGAAATAAGTTATATAGAATGAAATGCACATTTTAAATGTACAGAGATTTTTTTTCCAATTTTTTATATTGGTAAAATATAAGTAACATAAAATGTACCATCTTAACCATTTTTAAATGTATAGTTTAGTGGTATTAAGTGCATTCATAATGTTGTGCAACCATTAACACTATTTATATCTAGAGCCCTTTTCGTCTTTTAAAACTAAAACTCCATACCCATTGAACAATAATTCCCTATTCCCCCATTCCCCAGTCACTGGCAACAGCCATTCTATTTTCTGTCTCTGTGATTTTGACTACTTTTCATACATTATATAAATGGAATCATACAGTAAGTATCTTTTGTCGCTAATTTCATTTATTTAATGTAATATCCCCAAAGATCATGCATGTTGTAGCATACATAAGAATTTTCTTCCTATGGTTGAATACTATTACAGTATATGTATATACTACATTTCCCTTATCCATTCATCAGTCAATAGATACTTGGATTGCTTCCATGTTTTGGCTATTGTAAATAATACTGCTATGCACATGGGCATACAAAATCTCTTTGAGGCCTTGCTTTCGATTTTGGTGGGGGGGTGGTTACAGAGAGCTGGAATTACTGCATCATATGGTAATTCCATTTTTAATATTTTTGAGGAACTGCCATATTGTTTTTTACAGCAGCTGTAACACTTTACATTCTCACCAACTGTGCACCAAGGGTTCTTATTTCTCTACATCCTCATCAACACTTATTACCTTCTGTTTTCTTGATAGCAGCCATCCTAATGGGTGTGGTGAAATCTTAGTTTTGATTTGCATTTCCCTAATGGTTAGTGATGTTAAGCGTCTTTAATTTCTTTCAGTAATGTTTTATCGTTTTTATTGTGCAAGACTTTCACCTCCTTGGTTAAATTAATTCCTAAATATTTTATTTATTTTGATGCTATTGAAAATAATTTTTTTATAATTCCCTTTTCAGTGTGTTCACTATTAGTGAGAGTGGGGTATTGGAGTCTCCAACTATGATTGTGCAACTGTCTACCCCTTCAATTGTCTTTTTTTTACTTCATATATTTGATGGTCTGTTATTATGTGCATAAAAGTTCATAATCATTAATCATCTTGCTATATTAAAATTTTAGTAATATGTTCTTCGTCTCTTGTAAAATTTTTAAAATTTAGTCTATTTAGTCTGAGAGTGTAGCCACAACCACCCTTGCACTCTTTGGGATACCATTTGCATTTCTTTCATCCTTTCACTTTCTATCTGTGTCTTTGAACCTAAAATGAGTCTCTTATAGACAGCAGATAGTTGGATTATGTTTTTCAATCCATTCCACCAATCTATGTCTTTTAATTGGAGAGCTTAATTCGTTACTGATACGGAGAGACTTACTTCTGTCATTTTGCTATTTGATTTCTATATGCTGTGTAGCTTTTTTGTTGCCTCCCCAGGGTTAGCTGGGTTTTTTTTTATCTCTTCCTTTTGGTTTTTTGAATGTTGTAGTTTAAAAATATTGTCTCTGTACCAAGGATTAGCCTGATGTGTAAACCTAAATTCTTTCCAGATCTTTTCTGCACTTGCACCTTTCTCAGGGCATGTGTGGTCACTTTCTGATATTCCCTATACATGCAGTTTCTTTCAAATTTCCTAGTCTTTATTGTCAGCCTCCTATGCACAGATAAAGAGAAAAATGAAGGGAATAGGGATAAGGCACTGGAAATCATTCAGCTGGAGGGAAGGGGGCTTCCACCAATGGGAAGAAGTGCAACAGTTATGACAGATTCTTTGTCTGCACTTTTGTAATCAGAAGCAATAATCAGCAATCAGTGCACGGATACCCAGTATTTGGAGTACGTGATCCTTTTTGCCCACTCTGACTCTTACTAGCTATCTGCAGGTTGCTCCAGGAGCATGCGTACAGCTACCTGCCACGAGGATTGGGGTGGGGAATGGGTAGCTGCTATTGAGTATATGCTGGAATTTGCTGAAATTAACCACAATTTATCATCCAAGCCTTCCCCTGGAAGTTGCAAGCCTTCAACATACTTCAGAGTTACAAAAGAGTTGTATCAGACAGATTCTACCTGTGCAATTGTTGTCCAGGTGGGGAGACAAATTCTTGATTCTTCATATTCCACCTTCCCAGAATCCCCTATCTGCTGGTTGTGTATAGAATCTCTTTGAGCTGTTGCCTACCATTTTGGCATTATTCTGGCATTATTATTTCTCAATATGCTAAAGAAAAGACTAGAGATTTAAACGGTAGACAATAACTAGCCTTTAAGTTTGTATAGTATTTTTTTGCCTCCTGTTTTTGATAGATCTCATTGCACTATTTTTCAGAGCAGTGTCTTAGGATTCCTGCTAGATTATTTAATTTAGGTCACTACTGTTTCTGTTAATATCATTTATTTTTTCCCCTTAATTGTCCTTTTAACTATGTATAATCCTGCTGAATGTATGTCATTGTTGGGAGTGCTCTAATATTCAGATTTTGAATCCACTGGTCATTTCTCTTTTGAATATTCATTTTTTCTTATCTTCCTTCAAAGTACGCTTATCTTTATTTTTATGGAATTCTATAGCCAAGCCAAGACGTGGTACATGATGTACGTGATGGCTTGCAGGTAGGCTTTGAAGTCTCTCAAGAGGGTTGCCCTTCATTCTCCTTGCACCTATCCTGCTGCTGTATTTCCATAGTAAATGGCATGATGCCCCCAACTTAGTGAAGGTGGATGGTGAAGCTCCCAGAGCCTGGAAACCCAGAGCACTCACCTGATCAACATCTCAGTTCCCACTTCTTGTCACAATGTACCGCAAACATTGTGCATCCTCAGTGCACACGTTTTCAGTTTTTACAACCAACAGTCCTATTTATCATTTTATTATAATTGTCAGCTGAATGATCTATGCACATTTTGTGACAACATTGACCTTTTGGGAGGAAAAATAGTCTGTACTTAAGGGTTCATTTATAGGGGATTGTTCTGTTAAAAATACAACACATAGAGAAAAAAGAATGTGATAACTGATTATATTTAGTGATGCATGTATAAATATACATATGAAAACTTATGAAGTCATGGCTCTTTGGGAAATAAAAATGTTGAAAGAGAGCCCAGTTACACACTTTGACATCTCCTAGTTTTTCAACAGAAGAACCATTCTATATTACCTGTTTATAGACACTGAAAAGGGGGAAAGGGCATTAAGATTAACTGACAATAAATAAATGTTTAATATTTTTCGAAAATTGAGCATCACCTTATATATGTTAACTCAGTCCATTTCAACTGTATGTAGTAGAAAAAGCTCATATTCTTGTGTTACAAATATTGACAAGGAAGAAGAGGTAAGCTTTGATGCATACCTAAAGTGACCAAAAGTTAGTGACAGAGCCAACCTGTTAACAAAACCATGCTGAATTCCAACACTATGAGAAAACTGGGATTGAAAGTAAATGCTCACACCCCAAAGTGCTCTGATCATACTTACTTGATATCTCTGCTTGTCTCCAAATAATTATCTTTGAATCCTATCCACGTGATTCTACTCTCTTCTTAAACTGCCCTTCTACAGATTTCTTCTCCATGGGAAACCAGCAGTGAGAGACATGGCAGTATAGACATTTCAAGAAGAATGAGTGATAGCCACCAATGATTTGGTAATACAAAGCTTGTGCTGCCCATCTTAATATTTTATTAATATGAAAATAAATGATATAAAACATCCGTTTCTTCTAAGAGTATCTTTAGCTGTGAATATACATCTAAGACAGTTTTAATAAATATGTGGGGATTTTTGGTGTAAATGTGTTATCCAGCAAGAGGGAAGACAGTAGAATCCTTGGAGGCAGAGGTTACTGTCTGACAGAAAGTTATTTGGAGGTAAAAGTTCTATTTTTCTTGCTTGTTTGTTTGTTTGGTTGGTTGGTTGGTTTTTAAACAATGTCAGTCATACAATGCCTCTCATAGAGTAGGTACTCAAAATATATGTGTGAAATTAATGTTGCCTCTCCACAATTTCTCCTTGTGGAATAAATTTTTTTAAATGGCTTTTAGTTTTAAATCATCTTCATGAACATTTCCTGAAAGAGAGAGAGAGACAGATAGTGCTTTAATTTCTATCATCTCCTATGAAGTATACAAATGGTCAATAACCTCTAAAATTCCTTAGTAGCCTATGTTACTGTCATCCAATTATAATTTCTTGCATAACGAAGACCTTGACTCTGGATTATCAGTAATGACATTTTTGGACATGTGTGAAGAAACAGCAACTTTTTGTAGTTTTGATTAATAAAGTGGCCATGGAGATATCTTTGTGGCCTTTAATGAACTTTCTTTTCTGATTCTTCTTACAATTTGATAGCCTTCTTCCAAAAGGGAAAAATAAGCTCCTCTTGAAGCCTGGGATAATGCAATAGCATTGAGGATTAAATTGATGAATTAAAGGTAAGAGGCAATTTGGGGAGCTATAATTATACCAGTGGCCTCGAGAAGACTATACTATCTAACAGCTTCTGTTATTTTTCTGACTACACCATGGCATCACTGGGAGGCTCCTCGCAATCTACTATGATCAGACATTCGTAGATTGTTTCTTTTTTAAAAAAAAATTATATTTCAGATACAGAGAATATCATGGTTTTGGCTAACTCATATATATGGCCCTTGGAAGTAAAGTTTTGTCCATTAGTTCAAGGCCATGTTCCCAGTGTCTTGAACAGTGCCTGGAGGAGCAGGAACTCAATAGATATTTTGGATAAAGGAATGAATTAATTGCTCAATTGAAAAATGTCTATGGCTTCAATTATCTATTATTGTAAACCTTTAACAATAGAGGTATTGAAAGTTTTCTGAATACTATCATTGAATTGATATATAAGTATGAACCCCTTGAAAATAGTAAAATTATCTGGTAATCACTTCTGATCATGAATTTCACCACTTTTCAGATGGAAAGAGAATAACGTCTCTAATTTGGATCCAGAAATCTGAGATTCTGGATTTAAGGGAACTGGTGTTAAGTGCATTTGTTGATAAAAGTTAATCTTACTGGGCCAGGCACGGCGACGCATGCTTGTAATCCCAACACTTTTGGAGGCCAAGGCAGGAAGATCACAAGGTCAAGAGATCGAGACCATCCTAGCCAACATGGTGAAACCCTATCTCTACTAAAAATACAAAAATTAGCTGGGTGTGGTGGTGTGCGCCTGTAGTCCCAGCTACTCGGGAGGCTGAGGCCAGAGAATCGCTTGAACCCAGGAGGCAAAGGTTGCAGTGAGCCGAGATGGCACGACTGCACTCCATCCTAGAGACAGAGCAAGACTCTGTCTCAAAAAAAAGTAATCTTAGTGACAAGTCATTTACTATGACTTGTCATGGTTTTCCAAAGTTGAAGCAATGGTTTTTTATAAATATGGTAGATAGCCAGTCAAATGGAAATGGTATGATAAGCATTATACAAAAAAATAGAACTGAGGCAAACACCTCTGCCCAAACACCAACCTGATAGTAGGCTCAGATGATTAAAAAAAAAAAAGTACTTTATTTTTTTTAGAGCAATAGGTATTAAAGAAAGAAGTCTTTTGAAGATAGCTAAACATTTTGGATGTTAATTAAAACCCTATTCTATATGTGGGTTGAAGCATAGTTTAGGACACTTCTAGGTAAATGTGGTTTATTTCTAAACACCAAATAGAAAAGAGTTCTTAGAGGACACATTTAAGATTATTCAAGATTTCTGTACAGTGCAAGAATCCATTGCGGAAGAAAAGAAAGAGAAATTTCTTATTTAAGTTAATGGGAGGAAAAAGAAAAAAGAATATTTAAAGCCCAATAGGAATGGGAAGAATAGAAGAACTTATGAAGAATAATGTTTAGTGAAAATAACATTCTAGCTTTCTATATAATACCAGCTAAAGGAGTGTATATAATAAATAATGAAAATGCTAGTAACCAGAATTAAGCATATCCAGTCTTTTAGAAACCAATTCTTACCAGATTTCTGAAAGATAAATATTTAACTAGTTTTTCTATGTGTGGTGGACTATGTGGATTCAAACTCTTCCTTACTAATTTTACTGTTACTTTTTAAACATGAGGCTGCTGAAGAATAACCAAATTCTACATTGTCCTCAAGGAAGACACAGCCAATTATATACGATTGATTTATTTAATTTTGTCATTTTTTTCTTCTTTCATAAAAAATCAATATAGTTTGAAAATAAAATAGTTTACATAACTTAGCTTTAACTGAATGTAATATTCAATTAGATTTCACCAAATAACTATTTCAATAATTCAGCGTTCTTTTTCCTCCTCCCCTTTCCAAACACTATCTGTCTTTTCTCCTCCCAGTCAAACTAGTTAATTTGTCAGGAATCGTGTCACGAACATAAACATTCTGATAATAGTCCCTCTTTGCAAACAGAATTGATGGCAATATAAACAATTGCTCTAAGTAAGTCAGCATTTAAGTTTGCCAACATTGCCCTTTTAGGCTCTATAACTTACCGAGAACTCATTTCATTTTGAGAACAACTTATTGGTAACCAGTTAAAACTAGCTTGATCTTTTTTATTTCAAATGTTTTATATGCTCCCAGAGCAAAAAAATTAATTAATTATCACTTGCATCTGGTACAGAGGTAGGGATTCTATATGAAACTTACCAACTGTGTAATGCAGATAAAGTTTCTAATCTTAATTAAATACCAGTTCCATTATCTGAAAGTACCAGTTCATATCTAATGTTTAATAAAATTCCTTACAATGACTCCTCATCTCACTTAGGGTAAAAGCCAGTCAGAATAATCTAAAAGGCTCGTCTACAGTTAACCCTCTCCTCACCTTCTTGCTTCCTCTGTTCAATTCACTAGGGTTCTCTGCTGTCTGAAAATTTCCAAGGCACGTTGTCATATAAGAGCCCGTGTGTACTGGCATTTCCTCTGCCTGGATGGGTATTCTCCCGAATATCCATTTGCCTCCTTTATCTCTTTCAAGCATTTGTTCAAATGTCACTTGATAAGTTGACCACCCTGACCATCCTATGGAAAAATATGTCTCTGCTACTTCAGTACTTCCTATCTTTACTCCCATTTTATTTTTCATTACAGCACATATATTAAGTGCTTTACTTTTCAAATTGTCTGTTTTCAACCACTAGAATGAAAGCATGATGAAGGCAGGGATTTTTGCAATTGTTACTGCTGTATGCCCAGGGCACAAAACAGTGTCTGGCACCTAGGGAGGACCCACTATATGTTTTGATATTTGCTTAATGAATGAGTAAATGCACATTTACTGCATCTTATATTTTCACAGGGCTTTCAGACTTTTTCTTTCTGTCAGTAGAAATGTGTACTTTTGGGTTCCAGAATCTTATATGGCTAACATGTGGGTTAATGAGAAAGCTAACTCCTTTTTATACTTGAATGGAGGGAATGGCACATACATAATCAAATATACGATTTGATTATGCAAAACCAATTTTTATCATTAAACCATTCTATTAAGTTAATATTAATATAATTGAAAGCAGTATCATTTGCATCATCGGCATTAATTTCATAACTTTTTAGGAAAAGCTATATGAATCTGCCAAAAATATTTAATTTTTAAAAAATAACTGGTTACTTTGTATAGAAATAATTTTAATATTTAGCATGCTTATACAAATGGGAATGAGCTTATCACAGTTGTTAATGAGTAGCCTTCAATTTGTTAGCTTTGAAGTTCAATCATTTACGTAGCACCTACTCACCTAATTTATTAATCTACTATTAAGTTCAAGGATTATCTTGCTACCACCAAATAGGGCGAAAAAGAATAAAAACAGTTTTACTGCCCTGTCTTGTACTCAATAAGCCAATGTTTGAAATTATCTAAAAATGTAAATTAATATTTAATATTTAACCAAATTGTTTCCCTGCTGCAAAAATATCTGGGAAATAATGTTCTTGCCCTCCTTTCCCCAAATAAATTGTAAAGATAACAAATGGAAAATATTGGTGATAATTGGACAAGCTATGGCAATCTGAATGAGATGAAATATGATTTTGAATAGATTGCTACCTACTGTCAAGTTGACATTGACATAGATTGGAAAATATCCATTTTTCTTGTGTAAAGAACCATTACTTGGCTTCATTTAATTCTCGGGCATTCTCTAATCTAATCTATCCCAGTGGTATAACCATGTAGTCTCTGGACCAAACAACGTCAGTATACCCCTGAGAACTTGTTTGAAATACAAATTCTTGAACCCTACCCCAAACCTATTAATCAAAACTCTGAGAGTGGGGCCCAGTGATGAGTTTTTAAACAACTATTTCAGATAGTTCTCATGCAAATAGTTTGAGAAACACTGATTGTTCCTGTTCTGTCAATAAATATGTAGACACTATTATGTATAAGATACTATGTCTTATGCAGAACAGTAAGATGCAAAATATATGTTTCCTCCCATAGAAGAAATTATCCTGAAGATTACTATAAAGATTCTGAAGGAAAGTCTTCTGAAATGACATTCTGCTAGCAACCATGAATATTATTTGTTGAAGAAATGAAGCACTGACCCAGTCTTTCTCTGGCTTTTGTTTTATTTTTAGAAATCTCTAAGCCCATATTTATAAATTTAAATTTGGGAGATAAAAGAGTTTAAGTTTAATATAAAAACATTAGTAATCCTGTCAGGATGAAAAATCATATTCATGTACAATTGTAACACAAAACAAAATAATTCTTTTTTATCATACCTCCATAAATTTTGACTTAGAAAATCGAGTAAGAAGTAACCAATCAGAATAAGGATAGGAGATGTTCACCAAGACACTTCCTTTACTATCTTTGAACGATACAATTAATCACTGTTTCAATTTCTTTCATGTCATTCTCATTGTAAACTATATTAGCTTCTTCATGGATAGGATACATTTGATATTATATGTCAGTTGTCCAGACAGAAAAACACAAAACACTCTAGGTATTTCAGACTAAGAGCCTTTAATACAGGAATTGTTTACAAAAATGTTAGGACTGGAGGAGAAAAGAGCAAAGGATGACATAAATCAGACATTAGAAAAAAGAAATTGCTACTTCCCCTAAGGTTGGCCAACCAAAACTGAGGAGCTTGTCTTAGCAGATCTTAGGGTTACATACCTGTCTAACACTGCTGTAGGACTCTGCTACTCAGAACTGCCACCAATACCACTTTGAGAGCTGCCAAATACTACTACTGGCCTAGGCTGGCCCTGCCATTTTGGTCAGCAGTGCTAGAGCAAGCTAGCAGCTAAACTGGAACTGCAGGTTTGCTGGAACGTGTAGCTGCCTACTGATGTTGAGGACAAATCTAGAAGCCAAGAAAAAAAAAATAACACTTGCCTTTTTTCCTATCTTTCAGTATCCCACTAGTAACTCCCATTATCAGAAGTAACCAGAAGTTAGCTGGAAAAGTGTTGTTTGCAGGGTCTCGGCCCATGGAATACAAAATAATGCACAAAAGGGTGGAATGAAGCTAAAAGAAAGGAGGTACAATACTTACACAGATGTGAGGACATATTTTTAAAAAATCAGTTGGACTTCACAGAATCACAGAATTTAAGAGCTTGCCTGATCCTTGATATCCTTTTGCCTGTGCTATTTTTTGAAATTTTAATACTTTTCAGTTATATAACTGAGGTTTTGAAAGAAAATCTGAGGAATAAGTTCATTGTAAAATAGATAAAGGCAAAACTGTGTGGAAACTGATGTTGAAAGGTTAGATCCCTGCCTGTAGTGGGCACTATTGGGATGCCATTGTACCCCATCATTTTCCCCTTTGCCAGATTGACTGATGCGTTTCCCACTTAGTTGATGGAAGTGTTGGTTTCTTCTGGCTCACAGCTGCCCTGTTCTCTGGAAAATTGCCCTGGGCTGAATGGAGGTGCCCCACGCCCTCTGGGTAGGCTTGCTGCTCTGACAAAAAGCTATTCTCCTTGTCTCAAGGCAGAGCCAGCCTGTGGTGTGGAGTGTGCTCCCGAACCCTCATGGGAGAGACCAAAGCTAGACTTTACCTTAAACTATATTGTCACTTGGCTCTTCTTTCTTCCCCTTACGGCTTTACCTCACCTACTTCACTCCCTCAATAAATCACATGTCCTGAATCCTTGTCTAAGGTTCTGCTTCTAGGTACTCCAACCTAAGATGGTATCCATACTGTTTCTCCTCACTCTCAAATTTGAGCTTCACATGAGTTGCCTCATTTTACAGTAGACAATACTGAGTCACAGAAAGTCATCTATCTAAGTGCCTTGTCCAAGGTCATGTTGCTTTAAACCTAGTGTTCCAGCCCTAGATTCATTGTACCACACGGTTTTTAAGTCTCATTAAAATAAAAAAATCAGGATATTTTTGTAATTTCCCTTAAGATCCGCAAAATGAAGTCCGGAGTGACTGGTAGATAAAAATTATTGATTTAAAAACAAAGCTGTCATTGAGGTGTTAGATTAAATGACTCCTAGAAACATTGTGGGGGTTCCATGGGTGATTTTTTTCAGCCTTCACATGAGTGTACATTCTCTTCCTCATTCCACTTTCTTCCTCCTTTTTGTTGTTCATGTTCCTTTTCATGTTCAGTGCTAGTTTTGTTGTTGTTTTTTAAACCACCTGTGCTGAAGGAAGGACTGGTTTCTTACTGGGGCGACTGCACACATGAGTATGCAATAACTTTGATTCAGCTAGCAAGTGCGCTTTCATAGAATCATGCCTGGGAATCTTTCTGAATAAATCTTACACTGGTGTCCTTTGCCAAACTTCGCATTTTCAAATTGCAGGTCTTATATAAGGGCTTTCAACTTAACATTTGTCAGTTTTTGTTTTTGTTTATTAGCTTCTGATCTCTTTTAACAAAGAGATCATTCCATGTAATCATTCCTTATAATATTTGATAGGTCTTTGGTGCTAGTCAAATACTTTTCTACACAGTAAATGATGTTTAACATATTCCTACCTACATAAAAGGCTAAACGGACCCTTATTATGGGTTAAATGGCGTTCTCCCAAAATTCATGTGTTCCTTCCCCCATCTATAAATCTGACCTTATTTGGAAATAGGGTCATTGAAGATTTAATTAGTTAAGAAACTAGTAGGCTTCCAGTTCCAAGAAGGCCAAATAGGAAGAGCTCCAGTCTATAGCTCCCAGCATGAGCGACGCAGAAGACGGATGATTTCTGCATTTCCAACTCAGGTACTGGGTTCATCTCACTGGGACTTGTTGGACTGTGGGTGCAGCCCACAGAGTGTGAGCCGAAGCAGGGCAGGGCATCGCCTCACTCGGGAATCACAAGGGGTCAGGGAATTCCCTCTGCTAACCAAGGGAAGCCATGACAGATGGTTCCGGGAAAATTGGGACACTCCCACCCTAATACTGTGCTTTTCCAATGGTCTTAGCAAATGGCACACCAGGAGATTATATCTTGCACCTGGCTCAGAGGGTCCCGTGCCCACGGAGCCTTGCTCACTGCTAACACAGCAGTCCAAGATCGAACTGCAAGGCAGCAGCAAGGCTGGTGGAGGGGCGTCCTCCACTGCTGAGGCTTGAGTAGGTAAACAAAGCGGCTGGGAAGCTCCAACTGGGTGGAGCCCACCCCAGCTCAAGGAGGCCTGCCTGCCTTTGTAGACTCCACCTCTGGGGGCAGGGCATAGCTGAACAAAAGGCACAGAAACTTCTGCAGACTTAAACGCCCCTGTCTGACAGTTTTGAAGAGAGCATTGCTTCTCTGAGCACGGAGTTTGAGATCTGAGAATGGACAGACTGCCTCCTCAAGTGAGACCCTGACCCCCAAGTAGCCTAACTGGGAGACATCTCACAATAGGGGCCGACTGACACCTCACAAGGCCGAGTGCCCCTCTGAGACGAAGCTTCCAGAGGAAGGATCAGACAGCAACATTTGCTGTTCTGCAATATTTGCTGTTCTGCAGCCTCTGCTGGTGATACCCAGGCCAAGAGGGTCTGTACTGGACCTCCAGCAAACTCCAACAGACCTGCAGCTGAGGGTCCTGACTGTTAGAAGGAAAACTAACAAACAGAAAGGAATAGCATCAACGTCAACAAAAAGGACATCTACACCAAAACCCCACCTGTGGGTCACCATCATCAAAGACCAAAGGTAGCTAAAACCACAAAGATGGGGAGAAACCAGAGCAGAAAATCTGAAAATTCTAAAAATCAGAGTGCCTCTTCTCCTCCAAACGAACACAGCTCCTCGCTAGCAATAGAACAAAGCTGGACGGAGAATGACTTTGACAAGTTGACAAAAGTAGGCTTCAGAAGATCAGTAATAACAAACTTCTCCAATCTAAAGCAGGATGTTCGAACCCATCGCAAAGAAGCTAAAAACCTTGAAAAAAGATTAGACGAATGGCTAACTAGAATAAACAGCATAGAGAAGACCTTAAATGACCTGACAGAGTTGAAAACCATGGCACAAGAACTACGTGACACATGCACAAGCTTCAGTAGCTAATTCGATCAAGTGGAAGAAAGGGTATCAGTGATTGAAGATCAAATTAATGAAATGAAGCGAGAAGAGAAGTTTAGAGAAAAAAGAGTAAAAAGCAACAAACAAAGCCTCCAAGAAATATGGTACTATGTGAAGAGACCAAATCTACATCTGATTGGTGTACCTGAAAGTGACGGGGAGAATGGAACCAAGCTGGAAAACACTCTTCAGGGTATTATCCAGGAGAACTTCCCCAACCTAGCAAGGCAGGCCAACATTCAAATTAAGGAAATACATAGAACACCACAAAGATACTCCTTGAGAATCAGAGCAACCCCTAGACACATAATTGTCAGATTCACAAAGGTTGTAATGAAGGAAAATATGTTAAGGGCAGCCAGAGAGAAAGGTCAGGTTACCCATAAATGGAAGCCCATCAGACTAACAGTAGATCTCTCAACAGGAACTCTATAAGCCAGAAGAGAGTGGGGGCCGATATTCAACATTCTTAAAGAAAAGAATTTTCAACCCAGAATTTCATATCCAGCCAAACTAAGCTTCATAAGTGAAGGAGAAATAAAATTCTTTACAGACAAGCAAATGCTGAGAGATTTTATCACCACCAGGCCTGCCTTACAAGAGCTCCTAAAGGAAGCAGTAAACATGGAAAGGAATAACCGGTACCAGCCACTGCAAAAATATGCCAAATTGTAAAGACCATCAATGCTAGGAAGAAACTTCATCAACTAACAAGCAAAATAACCAGCTAACGTCATAATGACTGGATCAAATTCACACATAACAATATTAACCTTAAATATAAATGGGCGAAATGCTCCAATTAAAAGACACAGACTTGCAAATTGGATAAAGAGTCAAGACACATCAGTGTGCTATATTCAGGAGACCCATCTCATGTGCAGAGACAGACATAGGCTAAAAATAAAGATATGAAAGAAGATCTACCAAGCAAATGGAAAACAAAAAAAAGCAGGGGTTGCAATCCTAGCCTCTGATAAAACAGATTTTAAATGAACAAAGATCAAAAGAGACAAAGAAGGCCATTACATAATGTAAAGGGATCAATTCAACAAGAAGAGCTATGTCTTAATATATATGCACCCAATACAGGAGCACCCAGATTCATAAAGCAAGTCCTTAGAGACATACAAAGAGGCTTAGACTCCCACACAATAATGGGAGACTTTAACACCCCACTGTCAACATTAGACAGATCAACAAGACAGAAAGGTAACAAGGATATCCAGGCCTTGAATTCAGCTCTGCACCAAGTGGACCTAATAGACATCTACAGAACTCTCCACCCCAAATCAACAGAATATACATTCTTCTCAGCACCACATCGCACTTATTACATTCCTCAGCAAATGTAAAAGAACAGAAATTATAACAAACTGTCTCTCAGACCACAGTGAAATCAAATTAGAACTCAGGATTAAGAAACTCAATACCGCACAACTCCATGGAAACTGAACAACCTGTTCCTGAATGACTACTGGGTAAATAACGAAATGAAGGCAGAAATAAAGATGTTCTTTGAAACCAGTGAGAGCAAAGACACAACATACCAGAATCTCTGGGATACATTTGAAGCAGTGTGTAGAGAGAAATTTATAGCACTAAATGCCCACAAGAGAAAGCAGGAAAGATCTAAAATCAACACCCTAAAATCACAATTAAAAGAACTAGAGAAGCAAGAGCAAACACATTCAAAAGCTAGCAGAAGGCAACAAATAACTAAGATCAGAGCAGAACTGAAGGAAATAGAGACACAAAAAACCCTTCAAAAAATCAGTGAATCCAGGAGCTGGTTTTTTTTTTTTTAAAAGATCAACAAAATTGATAGACTGACAGCAAGACTAGTAAAGAAGAAAAGGGAGAAGAATCATATAGACGCAATAAAAAATAATAAAAGTGATATCACCACCAATCCCACAGAAATACAAACTACCATCAGAGAATACTGTAAACACCTCTATGCAAATAAACTAGAAAATCTAGAAGAAATGGATAAATTCCTGGACAAATATACCCTCCCAAGACTAAACCAGGAAGAAGTTGAATCCCTGAATAGACCAATGACAGGCTCTGAAATTGAGGCAATAGTTAATAGCCTACCAACCAAAAAAGTCCAGGACCAGACGGATTCACAGCCGAATTCTACTAGAGGTACAAAGAGGAGCTGGTACCATTCGTTCTGAAACTATACCAATCAATAGAAAAGGAGGGAATCCTCCCTAACTCATTTTATGAGGCCTGCATCATCCTGATACCAAAGCCTGGCAGAGATACAACAAAAAAAGAGAATTTTAGATCAATATGCCTGATGAACATCGATGCAAAAATCCTCAATAAAATACTGGCAAACCGAATCCAGCAGCACATCAGAAAGCTTATCCATCATGATCAAGTGGGCTTTATTCCTGGGATGTGAGGCTGGTTCAACATATGCAAATCAGTAAATGTAATCCATCATATAAACAGAACCAAAGACAAAAACCACATGATTATCTCAATAGATGCAGAAAAGGCCTTTGACAAAATTCAACAGCCCTTCATGCTAAAAACTCTCAGTAAACTAGGTATTGATGGGACATATCTCAAAATGATAAGAGCTATTTATAACAAACCCACAGCCAATATTATACTAAATGGGCAAAGATTGGAAGCATTCCCTTTGAAAACTGGCACAAGACAGGGATGCCCTCTCTCACCACTCCTATTCAACATAGTGTCGGAAGTTCTGGCCAGGGTAATCAGGCGGGAGAAAGAAAGAAAGGGTATTCAGTTAGCGAAAGAGGAAGTCAAATTGTCCCCGTTTGCAGATGACATGATTGTATATTTAGTAAATCCCATCATCTCAGCCCAAAATCTCCTTAAACTGATAAGCAACGTCAGCAGAGTCTCAGGATACAAAATCAGTGTGCAAAAATCACAAGCATTCCTATACACCAATAATAGACAGAGAGCCAAATCATGAGTGAACTCCCATTCACAATTGCTTCAAAGAGAATAAAATACATAGGAATCCAACTTACAAGGGATGTGAAGGACCTATTCAAGGAGAACTACAAACCACTGCTCCAAAAAAAAAAAAAAAAAAAAAGACACAAATGGAAGAACATTCCATGCTCATGGATAGGAAGAATCAATATTGTGAAAATGCCCATACTGCCCAAGGTAATTTATAGATTAAATGCCATCCCCATCAAGCAACCAATTACTTTCTTCACAGAATTGGAAAAAACTACTTTAAAGTTCATATAGAACCAAAAAAGAGCCTGCATTGCCAAGGCAATCCTAAGCAAAAAGAACAAAGCTGGAGGCATCACGCTACCTGACTTCAAACTATACTACAAGGCTACAGTAACAAAAACAGCATGGTACTGGTACCAAAACAGCATGGTTCTGGTACCAAAACAGAGATATAGACCAATGGAACAGAACAGAGCCCTCAGAAATAATACCACACATCTACAACCATCTGATCTTTGACAAACTTGACAAAAACAAGAAATGGGGAAAGGATTCCCTATTTAATAAATAGCGCTGGGAAAACTGGCTAGCCATATGTAGAAAGCTGAAACTGGATCCCTTCCTTACACCTTATACAACAATTAATTCCAGATGGATTAAAGACTTAAATGTTAGACTTAAAACCATAAAAATCCTAGAAGAAAACCTAGGCAGTATCATTCAGGACATAGGCATGGGCAAGGACTTCATGTCTAAAACACCAAAAGCAATGGCAAAAAAAAGCCAAAATAGACAAATGGGATCTAATTAAACTAAAGAGCTTCTGCACAGGAAAAGAAACTACCATCACAGTGAACAGGCTACTTACAGAATGGGAGAAAATTTTTGCAATCTACCTCTCTGACAAAGGGCTAATATCCAGAATCTACAAAGCACTTAAAGAAATTTACAAGAAAAAATCAAACAACCCCATCAAAAAATGGGTGAAGGATATGAATAGACACTTCTCAAAAGAAGACATTTATGCAGCCAACAGACACATGAAAAAATGCTCATCATCACTGGTCTTCAGAGAAATGCGAATCAAAACCACAATGAGATTCCATCTCATACCAGTTAGAATGACAATCATTAAAAAGTCAGGAAACAATAGGTGCTGGAGAGGATGTGGAGAAATAGCACTTTTACACTGTTGGTGGGTCTGTAAACTAGTTCAACCATTGTGGAAGACAGTGTGGTGATTCCTCAAGGATCTAGAACTAGAAATACCATTTGACCCAGTGATCCCATTACTGGGTATACTCCCAAAGGATTATAAATCATGCTGCTATAAAGACACATGCACACATATGTTTATGGTGGCACTATTCACAATAGCAAAGACTTGGAACCAACCAAGATGTCCATCACTGATAGACTGGATTAAGCAAATGTGGCACATATACACCATGGAATACTATGCAGCCATAAAAAAGGATGAGTTCATGTCCTTTGTAGGGACATGGATGAAGCTGGAAACCATCATTCTCAGCAAACTATTGCAAGGACAGAAAACCAAACACTGCATGTTCTCACTTATAGGTGGGAACTGAACAATGAGAACACTTGGACACAGGGTGGGGAGCATCACATACCGGGGCCTGTCGTGGAGTGGGGGAAGGGGGGAAGGATAGCATTAGGAGAAATACCTGATGTAAATTATGAGTTGATGGGTACAGCACACCAACATGGCACATGTATACATATGTAACAAACCTGCACGTTGTGCACATGTACCCTAGAACTTAAAGTATAATAAATAAATTTTTAAAAAAGAAATTAGTAAACTTAATTTTTCACCTGTTACGCCTCTCTTCCAGTTTCCAAATTCAATTATTCATATTACTGCTTCTACATTCAGTTTTATAAGATTTACATTTTATTAAACAACCATCATAACCAAAATTGTTCACTTTAGTTCTGTATTTAAATGCAATCAGTAGTAACTTTGAATCATTTTATATAATGACTGTGCAATCCTTAAATTCTCATATTGATATCACAGTTTTCTAGATTTTGTCAACCAGTAGCTTTTGAGAGAAATCATATGAGTGCTATATTCTAATATCTGTGCATATTTTTAAATACCTTTTAAAAAATATACATGATGATAACTTTACTGGGTGTAAAACACATGCCATTTTTTCCCCTTCAAAACTAATTGCAGCATAGTTTTGTTTTGTAATTTCTTTGCTTGCTGTATTAGTCCATTCTTGCATTGCTATGAAGAAATACTTGACACTGGGTAATTTATGAAGAAAAGAGGTTTAATTGGCACATAGTTCTGCAGGCTGTACGGGAAGCATGACAGTATCTGCTTCTGGGGAGGCCTCAGGGAGCTTTTACTCATGGTAGAAGGCAAAGCAGAAGCAGGCGTCTTACATGGCCAGAACAGGACCAAGAAAGACAGAAAGCTACACACTTTTAAACAACCATATCTCAAGAGAACTCACTCACTATACAGTACTAAGGGGGATGGTACTAAACAATTCATGAGAAACCACCCTCATAATCCAATCACCTCCCACCAAGCCCCACCTCCAACAATGGAGATTAAATTTCAACATGAGATTTGGGTGAGGACACAAATCCAAACCATATCACTTGCTTTGATGTTTGTTTTCTTCCGATGATAGTGTTGCTAAAGTGAGTAATCCTGAATTACTATCTGATCGCTAACAAGCTAGATGCCTTAATAATTTTTTCTCTGTTCTTGAAATTAAATAGTTATTGCTTGTTCTGCAACAAAATTTTTCTAAAGTTTGGTAGTCAATTTTCATATGTAGATTTAT
The DNA here is from genome assembly GCF_000001405.40 of Homo sapiens. Classification (NCBI taxonomy): domain Eukaryota; kingdom Metazoa; phylum Chordata; class Mammalia; order Primates; family Hominidae; genus Homo; species Homo sapiens. The sequence continues at coordinate 29,677,460 of NC_000003.12, forward strand.
GAAAGTCTTCATTAATTTTTTTTTAGAAATGGCTTTTTAAAATTTGAATATTTTTGTTTGGTGTTATTTTTTTGAAAGCCTGTGCACTTTATAGGTGACTCATTTTCAGGAGTATCTATTCAAACGCTCATTGCAAATTTCTCCACATTTGACATATATACTTCAACATCTGCTCTCTGAACTTGTGGCATTTTTCCAGTTTTACTGTAGACAGCCTCAGATTCTGAAATTTTTTGTCCTTTTCTTCTTTTTATTGGGTTTTCTGGAAAATAGGCCCTTTTTTCCACAGGCAGTCTAGGACTATTTTCCTGAAAATTAGATATAATGAAGGATAACCTAATAAGAGTTGTTACACTCTTGGGGTTAGTGTAATGTAATAGAAAAAGCACCAGAATGTGAGTCAGACAAGCTGAATTTTAACTAGGATTCTGTCACATACCAGCTCTGTGGCCTTGGTTAAATCACCAAATACTCTGAGCCTCAGTTTCTTTACAAAGTTTTTGTGAGAATTAAATAAAGAACCTGCATGAAATCATGAGTAAGTTACATGAGAAGTATAAATCAGAATGCTAGCGATTATTTATTTAAAATGAACTATGGGGCTAAAGAAAGTAAGGTTACTACATTAAGGAACTAGGAACCAGTCCTTCCATCATGCTCAGCTCTGGTTAGGCCTGTGCTCAAGTTCTCTGCCCCATTTGTCAATTCCTGTTAATACATGATTCATTGAAACCTTGGTTGATATAAAATATTCTAGTGACTTGGGGATGGTGGGAGATAAGAAGAGAAGGGATTTCAAAATATATGTTAAATAGGAGTTTTGCTTTCAAGTATTTACCTTTGAAAATTTGAAAATAATTGAAAATAATTCAGAGGAGATTTATATATATATTATTAGGGGTTAGGAAGTAGTTCTTACACCAAACAGTAAAGAAAAACTGATGGTATTTTTCTTTGAGGAGAAAAGTCTGAAAGAAGATTTAATATTCCATTACTTGTGATACAATGGAGATTAATAACCAACCAAGATTCTTTGTCTCCAATAATTATAGGGCAAATGAAAACTGGCTTTAGTTGCATCAGTAGTAATCTCCAGAGAGTGAAAACAGGGTCGGACATCTTTGTAAGGAAGAGTCACCCACTTGTGATCTCAGGGATTGATGCCATAATTTCCATATACAAATTTTATGGTTTGACAAAAAATATTTTGTCACCCATGAGGAGGCAGTCACCCAAGAAAGAGATAGTATAACAATTAAAAATTTGAGAGAATGAGTTACTGGAGAAGGCTACGGGATACTGGATTCTTGAAGGGGGAAGAAGTTTATATCAGGTAGAGGGGAAAGATTCAACATATGGAGTCCAGGGGCCCATCTACCCCTCCATTTTATTGAGATCCAACCCTCAGTAGGAGCTACTAGCCACTGACTGGCTATTGACTGAGATGATATAATCACCTTTCGGCACACTTTAAAAGCTGAACAAATAATTTACAGGTATCTTACATTATTTCCCAAACTTCCTGACAACCATTTAGTATGGTGGCTACATCAAAATGGTTTGAGCAAGCACTGCTCCAGATAGTCCTAGAATCACAGCTTCAGAATCACCTGGGAGCTTGTCAGAAATGAAAATTCATGGGCACCACCTAGACCTGCTAAATTAGTGTCTCTGCAAATGGAGTCCCAGCATTCTGTGTTTCCATATGCTCTCCAGATGAGTTTTATGCATGATAAAGTTTGAAAAACCACTGATATTGATTACTCTTTACTTGTGAAGAATATATATGAGCTTCTTGTATTTATTTTTCGACTCAACATATACCCATGTGCAAACAACCAAAAAGCAGAGTAAAATGGGGTTTTGCATTATCCGTCGATTTTTCTATTTTTGAGCCAATCTCTTAATAGCATTTATTAGAGTCACTTTTGCCATACAATAGATTGCCAAGATCATGATTAAGAAGCTTATTAAAATGAATTTAAAATGTTTAAATGGAAACGACCTGGAGATGTAATTGCCAAAATTTAATCAAGCATTTAATTTGTAGCTCATACCAGCCAAATGGATTTTCCTTTTTTTCAGTTCCCTGTTTGTACAAGGAAATTAAAAAGTATGGAATCACAGGCCAAGCAGTGAACCCTTGATACTGCAGTGTGCTCACTTACTCTCATTAGCCGTATTATATCATCCTACTCCTTTGGAATTTTAGTTTCCCAAGCCAGTCTAGAGGATAGATAACAATTGACTGTATATATACACAATGGGTGAGTTAATATGCTTTAGCAATAATTTATACTACTTGACTGTATATATATATATATATATTATACATAGTGTTATAAATTACTGCTAAAACATATTGACTCACCCCATCAGCATTAATAAAATAGGCTAAATATTCTGATCTTAATTCTGCTTGTTTAAAATTCCCTTGTTTTAGCATGCCTGTCTAGCTGCCCTTAAATTGCTAAACTGGGGAGAAGTGTGATTTAGAATTGGAACATATTTCATGTGAATTTGATGATGGCCACCGCTGATAAAATACCTTTGTGTTGCCTCTTCCATTCTGCCAGTGATAATAGGTTTTCACTGAGCTCTTTGCACTTGTTTTACAAAGGCTCAAGCCTTGAATACTTTGTGCCTCACAGTATCCATCATTTAGACTCTGAAATCCCCAGTGTCGATTTGACAGAACAGTCGTTTATCAGCCACGGTTTGCCAAGTCAGCATTAATGCCTATGTGGCCTGAGGAAAAAAATAAATAAGATCAGTGATGTTCTAATCAAGCTCAGACAAACATGTTTTTATACTTGCATTTGAGTGATGTTTTGCCTAACAGAAGTGCTGGGTTAAGATACATTAACTTGGGTCCCATTCTATTCTCTCTTGCTCTGGATGTGATGAGCATAGCGAGTTCTAAGCAAAATAGTGCGTGTTTTTCTCCTCTGAGTAGAGTTTTGTTGGCATTTCCTAACGCTTCTTTATGAAAAAGAAAATCAAGACTTTCCAGTAACAAGTCATTCTATCTAATTTCACTTGGTGCAAACAGTGACTGAAATATTTCTTGATTTTAATTAGAAGAAAGCAAGAGAAAGACAGACCACAAGAGTTTCATGAAGAGATAGGCATATATTGTAAAATTTCCCTAACATTTTATTATAAAATTCCCAAATACAATCAAAGATGAAAAGGAGTTTACAGTGAGCTCACTGCCTTAACTCTACAATGAACCTTTTACTATTCTTGTTTTATTATATGCCCGTCACTCTTTCATTCATCCTATTTTTTTCAATAAGGCATCTATTACAGGTATCAGTACACTTCACTTCTAAACATTCAGCATGTATATCATCAACTAGAGTTCAATGTTTCTATTTTTCCTCTTTTAGGATGGAATTTCAATACAATGAAATACAGGAATCTTAAGTATGCTGTTTAATGAGCTTTACCAAATGTATTTACCTGTGTAACTTAAAACCCTATTGGAGAAATAACATTGCTGTCACCCTGGAAATTAATTCATGTATGTATGTCTGCATTGATGCATACATACTGCTAGACCTCTGATACTTTTCTTAATTTAATAAAGAGAGTCCACTAGTACATTACAGGGTAGCTGTGGGGGCTGACATGTTCATCTCTCTGCTATCTTTCTCTACTCTCTTAATGAAAATTACATTCTGCTCAGCCTACTTGTTGGCCTATATATCCTGCACTTACTGAATGATTTCTTAAATGTTCTTCATGAAATGTTTCATTAAAATTAGTGTAAGAATGAAAAAAATGTACAAAGAGAAAGCTAATCAGCTTCTTCTCCTACCAACACCTCCAACATAAGTAAATAGCCTCATGCTGACTGATCTATAACTTTATTTTTTTTTCTTCAGCTTTTATTTTAAGTTAATGGGTACATGTGCAGCATGTGCAGGTTTGTTACGTAGGTAAATGTGTGCTCTGGTGGTTTGGATCACATATTATCCCATCACCCAAGTATTAAGCCCAGCATCCATTAGCTAGTCTTCCTTATGCTCTCCATCCCCCACACAATCCCCCCAGACAGGCCCCAGTGTGTATTGTTCCCCCTTCCATGTGTCCATGTGTTCAATCATTCAGCTCCCACTTGTAAGTGAGAACACACAGTGTTTGGTTTTCTGTTCCCGCGTTAGTTTGCTGAGGATAATGGCTTTCAACCCCATCCATGTCCCTGCAAAGGACATGATCTTCTTCCTTTTTATGGTTGCATAGTATTCCATGGTGTATATGTACCACATTTTCTTTATCCAGTCTATCATTGATGGGCATTTGGGTTGATTCCATGTCTTTGCTGTTGAGAATAGTGCTGCAATGAACACATGCATGCATGTATCTTTATAATAAAATGATTTATATTTCTTTGGGTATATACCCAGTAATGAAATTGCTGGGCAAATGGTACTTCTGCCTCTAGGTCTTTGAGGAACCACCATACTGTCTTCCACAATGGTTGAACTAAAATTTGCACTTCCACCAACAATTTAAAAGCATTCCTTTTTATCTACAACCTCACCAGCATCTGTCATTTTTTGACTTGTTAATAACAGCCATTCTGACTGGTGTGAGATAGCATCTCAATGGATCCACAACTTTCTTTGTGCTCACCAATCTTACGAAAGGATGGCTTGATGCAGGAAGGCAATTAGATGTTTGTTTGTTTGTTTGTTTTGAGTCGGAGTCTCGCTCTGATGCCAGGCTGGAGCGCAATGGTGCCATCTTGGCTCACTGTAACCTCCTACTCCCTGGTTCAAGTGGTTCTCTTGCCTCAGCCTCCTGAGTAGCTGGGATTACAGGCACACGCCACCATGTCCAGGTAATTTTTTGTTTGTTTGTTTGTTTTAGTAGAGACGGGTTTCACCATGTTGGCCAGGATGGTCTCCGTCTCCTGACCTCATGATCCGCCGGCCTTGGCCTCCCAAAGTGCGGGGATGACAGGCATGAACCACCATGCCCGGCTAGATGCTAGTTTTTAAACAAGCTCTGATTCATTGATAATGATTTTTGGCTGCTTGGGGTGCTGTGTTAGGAAGGATCCTGTCTATACTTAGTGGAAGAGTACCAAGATTTCTTACAGTTTTTGCCACAGGCAGGAGTTGAAACTGGAAAGCAAGGGAGTGGGTGGCATTCCTTTCCCATTGTAGGTTTGGGGAGCGAACTGCTGCACCTGGCAACTGAAAGGGCCAGAAGGGCACAGAGTACCACTCTATAACATTTCTATTCTGGTTCATTTTTGTGTCCTATTAAAACAGCTAATGTTTCTCTGCAACAGTGCTATTCACAAAAAGGCTGTCCAAGTAGGGTTTGGATACACAAAGTAGGAAAGAGAGAGAGAGAAGGAGATAGATTGGCAGAAACTAGCATATTCTATCATTCTAAGAATGCAAACGTGTCACCATTTGCCTTAAAGCTGATATACTCTAGGAATTACTCTTCCTATGCAAAGTGTACAATTCTAAGTGTTTAAGTATTTGGATCACTGTTACTGTGGGATAATAATGTCCAGTTCAACTTCACTGCTTTTCTCAGAGAGGCAAATAGATACTGGGTCAGTCAAGATTATTCTTAGTGTGTCGGGGGCAGAATGGTGGGGTGAAAAATCAAGCTTTGCTTTCATTTTTTACTACCCGGCTTCCTACATAACACTTCAGCAGATGTCAAGACCATTTGTTTGGTTCCTCATAGCCTCCATGTGATCTTTCTCTTCACTGCAGTGTTCCCCAGGTGTGAGTTGCTTTGCTCAAGATCATTTTCAATGACTCAATTTTCAAAGCAAATGTACACACAAGACAGTAGTATTTTCAAAAACACAGGTTATCACATTTTCCAAGGGGGATAGACAAGAGAAGGGAGGATGCCGAGAATAGAGTGTGAGTTTATTTCACATAGCAGGTCTCATAAAGATTGCATCCATAAATGTGCTGCCAAATTGAACAATAGCAGTGGGGAATAAAGGGGAGGAGGGAAGAGAGGACTCAGATGAAGGCAAAGAGAAAAAACAACTTTAGGAAAGTGTGAAGTTTAAGGAGACATGCCTATAACACTGGCTTTCTACCCAGTCTCATGCTAACTCCTGGCTAGAAATATATAGGGACACAGACACACACACACACAAACACACCACCTCCTTGAAGGAAGAAACATTTTATTTAATCAGGATTGCTAAGGAATGTTGCTGCTGATAAGGCGACAGAAAATATTTCTGGGAGTGCATTTTCGGAACTTGGGAACAGAGACAGTCTGTCTGAACCCAGCTCAACTTTTCTTTCTTATCACTTTTTAAAAGCATGTTATCTTTAAGAGCCAAATTAACTTTTCATGATATGGTTTCTCAGCAGCTGACACTTGGGCATTACAGGGCTGGACAGGAATGACTAAGCAGTTTTGTAAAATGACTATCCCCAGAGCTGCTGGCTTGCTGGTTTTGGTGTCAATCATATATTTAGGATCTTTTTTCCTGTCTAGATTTATGTAGCTCTTTAAGAATAGAATTGCTTGGTCCAGGAAAGGTGTGACTAGTATAATAAACAAAAGAAGCCACAGAGGATATTCTTGTGAGAAACCAATTAATTATTCACACCAATATGTTATAAGTACAGTTCATTTTCTCTTTTGACTATTGCATTACAAAGAATTTTCTCAATGCATTCAGGAGATATAATTAATAATACCCTAAACAGTAATTTTAATAGTTATGGTGTTGTACTGGGAGGCCTATCAACTAAAATTCAAAAATAAAATAAACACAGTCCCTACTTTTAGGAAGACAAGAGTCACTGTATTTAAATTTTTACTTTTGATGTCTTTATTATTTGTGGACACTCTGAAAAACATAAAATGTCATATTATAACAGACTTTAATGTTTTAAAATAAGTGGGATTTTCAAAAACACACAGTTCTGGAAAGGTGTATTTCTTTATGTACCTATCTATATGATAAGAAGTTTTACCACATGGCTGTATCATTTATGGAATCAATTAAAACCAACTGTGGTGGTAAAAAAATAACCTCTAGTGGACTTATTCAACTGTATATGGAATTTTATTTAGGGAGTTATGGAATGAATAGTTTTTTTCCCTGAAAGCATTGTTTTGTTAGTTTTCTGATTGTTTGATAGATAGACATAAAAATTTTCCTTATAAGTCCTTGGATATAATTTTACTTTTCACATATGATTGATCCCTTCTATTTATTTTGCCATCAGAAACCAATTTTTTAACATTGCATATTATCCAGAATTTGAATGTCACAAAATTCAAACAGGTAAAATGTAAGGTTTGTTATGTACACACACACACACACACACACACACACACACACACAGACACATACACTGAGCTAAAGAGGATGGTCTTTGTGTACAGAAAAGGATAACATTTTTTCCCTTTAGTATGTTTATTGATGAACACAAACAGAATTCTGTTTGGTTTATGTTGCATGTTTTATTGTTTCTTTTTTTAGATTTTAATTTTCCTGTTACTATGTGTGTATGTGTGTAAGTATAAGTTTTATATTTTTCAGGGGTAAAACAGTTTCCGGTAAACAATTTTTTTGTTTTGCTTTGTTTTGTTTTGTTTTGTTTTGAGACGGAGTCTTGCTCTGTCACCCAGGCGGGAGTGCAGTGGCGCGATCTCGGCTCACTGCAAGCTCCGCCTCCCGGGTTCACACCATTCTCCTGCCTCAGCCTCCCGAGTAGCTGGGACTACAGGCGCCCGCCACCACGCCCAGCTAATTTTTTTTTGTATTTTTAGTAGAGATGGGGTTTCACCATGTTAGCCAGGATGGTCTCCATCTCCTGACCTCGTGATCCGCCCGCCTCGACCTCCCAAAGTGCTGGCATTACAGGCGCGAGCTGCAGCGCCCAGCCCGGTAAACATTTTTTTTATAGAGGGAGTTTTAATACGTTCTGTATTAGTTTCTCTGTTTTTTCATTTGTATATTTGATGTGATACTCAAGTTGCTATTTAAGCTCTATTCTACCTTTTTTTGTCCCATGGGAGTCCATTCCATCCTCTAAAAAAGGGAAGAACATCAGTTCTTTAGCCATTACTTGGTGCAAAACAAGTTCCGGTTTCCTCCTTCCCTCAGGTGTGGATAAGAGCAGAAAAGTAGATACACAAAGAGGTATATACTTATTAGAAAGAAATCACTTGCTTAAACAATAGGCAGGAACTGTGCGACTCGACCTGGAACAAATAGGCATAAATAAGCAGGAAAATGTAATATTTGTTTGAGAGCTTGAAATGCAGTCTTTTAGGACATATCTAGGACATCCCTGCATCATCACTTTGGTAAGAACTTCAGTACCTTGCCTGCCAGTCATTTATATGCACGTTCCGTCACAGTTAGTCCCACCTCTCCCCACACCTTCTGCACCACTGCTGCCACCACCATCACTGTGCCTGGCAGCTGGGTGAATCAGGAAGACTTCTAACGTTAGTTTTCCCATATTTACCAACAAGTCTTCCAAAGTGGGCCCAAATTAAAGTTGTGTAACAACATCGCTTTCCCTCTCTGGATCTTCATTACTGGAGATGGAGGCAAGCACTTTACTATGGTAAGCACTTTTGACCTTAGACAGGTGGCCTAAAAGGTGGGTACCAACTAGCCTTTAGGACATATTCAGGAGGGCTTCTATACCAAGACTCTCTGGCCAACGTAGGCTAACAGTTCTTTTCCCTTGAGTTTTCATTTGCTTCATCTTAACCATATCTCTATTACTCTAATCAGTACATTCTAATAAAATTACTTGTATGTCTCTCAGTAAAAATATGGTCTTCTTGAGTCCCCCCATTTCAAAATTATTTTATTAGATCTTTTTAGGCTTACTGTGTCTCTGAAGGGCTTGGTGTATATTCATTGTTTGATAGCATATCATGGACAGTTCTGATATTTTAAACAAAAAATAGGCCGGGCATGGTGGCTCATGCCTGTAATTCCAACATTTTGGGGAAGATGAAATAGGAGAATTGCTTGAGGCCAGGAGTTTAAGACCAGCCTGGGTATCATAAGAGACCCCATCTCTGTAAAAAATAAAATTAAAAAGCCAGATGTGATTGCATGCCCCACTAGTCCCAGCTACTAGAGACGCTGAAGCCAGAGGGTTGCTTGAGTGCAGGAGTTCTAAATTACAGTGGGCTGTGATCACACTCTATCCTGGACCACACAGAAAAACCCTGTCTGTAAAAAAAATTCAAAAACAAATAATTACAAAGAATAGGAAATTAATTAAATATAAGAACCAATGATTGCTTACATTTTCATACGTCTTTCCTTATTTTCCTTTATCTTGGTACATATAAACTCTAAAATAATAGGATATAACTTAACAAATGTTTATTGTTTATTTTTTTCTTCAATTTCTATGTGTAACAAAACCTTAGGATTGTCAGAAATAAAGTCATTATTTTGTTTAAGGAGGAGGGTCCTGCTAGCCTTAGTAAACATAGCCCTTATCTTTCTTCTCTAAGATAAAATGGCAGGTACTGGCTAGATGCTGCACTCTACAAGTATATCATCAGTTTTGTTTTGCTTTCAGACTAGTACTAGGAAAGAATGAGGTCATGCATTTTGAAAGTGGGTTTTTGTGGGTTTTCTTTATGTGTGGTTTCTTTTTGAGTCAGATAAGTTTTTTTCCTTCCTTTTCAGGTCACACTTATACTTTTATGCAAAATATTCTAAGTTGTGTCAACTGAGGACATGGCTACAGATAATAGAAGTGATTTTAAAAGCCACTTAACATAAAAGGATTGTTCCAATTTCCCAGAACAGCCAGGTTTCTGTTTAATCCAACCCCTTTAGAATATAGCTTATATCTCTGATGTTCAAAGCCATGTGTTCGTCTTGAAATAATCAAAACAATAGAATCCTCAAAGAATCCAGTGCATAGGCAACATGTATTATGTTATTTAGTTAGTTTTGACAAGGTTATCTAGGCAGTTAAACATTATTATCTACAGGATTTCTTTTTCCTTCAACATGAAGACATTAAGTTCAGATTTGTAGAGCAGAGAATATCTGTTTCATATTTGACACAAGCTATCTCAATTTAATCCCCATTTTCCTTCATTAGACAAGCGAAGCTAATTATTTTGAGAAATGAATGATAAATAACTACTGATAATTAGACACAAAGGTTTTCGGGGTATGCTGTGTTGGTTCATATAGGGAATGTTCATAAAACATTATAACAGCAAAAACATTAATTTGAAGAAAAAATTTGGACCCTTCAAATTTTGCTTTCCTGTTTTCCCATTTCCATATGCTGAGAAGATACCAATATTTTCACAATTGTGACTTGCTAGACATAAGTTACGAGGGATAATAAAATAATATCCTACCTATTAGTTGTAGCAACTAGCTTCAAGGGGATTATTAGACCCATGAACTGAAGTCAAGTAGTATAGAATGATAATTACATTTATTACAGTATGCCCAGATTATAGATATTTTGATATGTCTTGCCACAAAGGACACCAGAGTCATATTATGTTTCAGTGGTACTAGAGGAAGCTGCACGAATAATTACCGTTAGTTTCATGGAACATCTAAACTGATATTATTTTCACCCAGCTCTACTCCAATTGCAAATTGCTTTTCCCAAAGCAAGAGCTAGCTTTCTCATCTTTCTGCTTGATGAAGGTAAGTTATTCAGCCCTGATTTGCCTTTTCTTCTCTTCTCTTACCTCCTGTTATTCTTAGCCAGTACCACATCCTGAAACAATGACCAATCTTCCAATGCTTTTATGTGCATTGATTTCCTATCCCCATTTTCTTGAGGGTAGAGAGATTATTTGCCTTTGCAGTGATCCAAAAAATACTTATCGCAAGTTGAAGAGCTTAATGCACTCTTGTTAATAGTTATTTTGTCAGTTTAGAAGAGGGCAAAGACAGGGGACAGTTTCTATCCACAAACTATAATCCTTCTAAAGACTTCATACACTCTCATCATCCACATCTTTCTGGAAGAGGGTAGATCCCACATTGTGAATTTAACCTCTGGTTTAGTATATAAATTTGTTTTTCGTTTTGATTAATGTAAATAGTCACATCAGGCACAAAAGTTACAGGATTTTTTTTTTTTTTTTTTTTTTTTTTTTTTTTTTTTTGAGATGGAGTCTTGCTCTGTCACCAGGCTGGAGTGCAATGGTGTGGTCTCAGCTCACTGCAACCTCCGCCTCCCAGGTTCAAGCAATTCTCTCACATCAGCCTCCTAAGTAACTGGGACTACAAGCGGATGCCATCACACCAAGCTGATTTTTGTATTTTTAGTATAGACAGGGTTTCACTCTGTTGGCCAGGCTGGTCTCGAACTCCTGACCTCGTGATCCACTCACCTCAGCCTCCCAAAGTGCTGGGATTACAGGTGTGAACCACTGTGCCTGGCCTAGGATATTTCTTGCTAAAGACTGATGGAGAGATTTTTTCTTAAAAAGGAAATCAGAGAGGTGGGAATTTGTGAAGAGATTATGATTTGGCCTTTGCATAGGACAACTTCACGATGCTGTTATCTACTAAACCTGTACCAAAATTCCTAGGGCTAATCATTTAAAAAAATACACATCTATATCTATTTCTATGTACCTATTTCTATATACCTATATAGAAATAGATATAGATATAGATATAGATATAGATATATTGGCTTCTTGCTTCCTTTAGAGCTTGTATATTTCATCAAAGTAATTTTTTTAAAGATAAACTGCTTTAGAAATTTAAACTTATTTATTATAATGCTTCTTGGATATTATCCTTGCCTTAAATTAAGCAAAATTCATAATTTCATAAAAAGATCTACATCTTTTTTCTGTCATTAATTATGTGCTCCCCATACCCATAAAGAATTAAATAAAAATTATTTGACTCTTTTTCTTTATTCATTTTTTAAAGTACATAAATGTACTTATGAAAATATGTGGTTTTAAGCTTAATTTTGTGACATACATTTTGAATATTTAAAATTGGGCTGACAAAGCAGTAGATATTCTCAGGAGTTTAATTTTACTTGTATGGCAAGAGTTGATAATTTGTGAGTTTTACAGTATTTTATTAGAGAAAGTTTACCAGGGAAGCAGAGTGGAAAATATATAAAAATGTATTCTAAACCTGCAAAATAAAGCCCTAGATAGAATTTGTTTACATGTACTGATTAATTAGAAGGCTTGCTTTGTAAGGAAGCACTATGCAAATTATTTTTTCTCAGTTATTAGTCTAAGAAAGAGACAAAAATAACTTTTATTACAAAGAAATCTCTGCTTGCATCCATATTTTACATCTTTATAAAAATGTTTTAAAAGAGAGGTATGGCCAGGAGCAGTGGCTCATGCATGTAATCCCAACACTTTGGGAGGCTGAGGCATAAGGTTCACTTAAGGCCAGGAGTTTGAGACCAGATTCAGCAACATAGCAAGATCCTATCTCTACCAAAAAAAAAAAAAAAAAAAAAAAAAAAAAAAAAAAAAAGTGAAAGAAAGGGAGATGCTATTACTGTTTCTTTCATAATCTAGCTACTGGCTAACCAAAAGAAATGAAACATTGCTGAAGGTATTGATTTTCTGGTATATGTGGAAAGTATACATTTTATTAATCACATATCTCACAATATATAGAATAATATAAATTATATTTATAAGAGATCAATAGAGATTTTTGAGAGAAAGTAAAATGACATATCTGGCCAGGCGTGGTGGCTCATGCCTATAATCACAGCACTTTGGAAGCCCGAAGTGGGAGGATTGCTTGAGCCCAGGAGTTTAAGACCAGCCTGGGCAACATGGTGAGATCTTGTGTCTACAAAAAATTCAAAAATTAGCTGGACGTGGTGGCATGTGCCTGTGGTCCCAGGTACTTGGGAAGTTGAAGAAGGAGGATTGCTTGAGCCCAGGAGTTTGAGGCTTCAGTGAGCTGTGTTCTTGACAGAATGAGACCCTGTCTCAAAAAAATGAAAAACAAATGATATATGTATATTTTTAAATTTTTCTGTTATAACTGATTCAAATTGTTCTTCACCTCTAATCAATTATCTCTAATCAATTATGTTTCTTTGTGATAACTTTGAAATGGGTTATATATTTTCATGACTCAGTTTTGACAGTATTCAAGTGCTAAATTGAATCTCTACATTCATGTTGCCAAGAGTTTTGAAAGTAATTGTTGTTAGTTAGTATACTTATCAGAAATTTTAGAGGCCCAGAATTCTCTTTCAAGTTCTGTGCTTTCCATACCAGTATTTTAGTTTTGCATTTTTGTTTTGCCTAAACAGTTTGAACTTTGTGCTCTGTCATAAACTCCTACTTTTACTTTTCTGCTTTTTGCTACAATTTGTTTATTTGGACTAGTGTTAATTTATCACCTAGAAAAGAATGTTATTTTAGGAATTTTTGTATCAGTTTAACTCATGGAACTGAAAATCTGTCTCATGTCTCAGTGCAAAAGAATGGGAATATATTTTAGATTTCATAATTAGCATGTGCTTAAGAGGGTTTTTATATTCTTTGTGTGCAATGCTTAGCAAGGTTTATACATGTTTGGAGGATTAGGTACACCTAGAAAATATAATCTACCAGAGGGAGTTCTATTATCTTATGGTTTTCAGCAAGTTTAACTCCATGGAATTGCAGACAGAAAGAGATATTGTATAAATATGCCAGTCATATTTTGACATCGCAGTCTTGTATTGACACTTTCATCAAACTGTGGGAGAACAGAGCATTTCTTGAGGTATAAGTTCTTGTAAGTATTTTGCAGAACAAAAGTTTTCTCTTCTATTTGTACTAAATCTTCTAGGCCACAAAGCGTCAAGAAGAAAATTGACTAAATAATTATGGGTTCTGTACCTTCTCCCAGAATACTTACCCTTGACCTGAGGAATAACTTTCCTTCATGGTAAGATTGACCCAAAATATGGCTTGAAATGAACTTTCTCTGCTCTAGTATTAAGAAATAATAGCACACACTCTTGGTACTTCTCTTTTCATGACTTGTTCGTGGGTTTCTGTCAACATCAATAAAGTGGTTCTTTGTAATAGCCAATCATTTGTTTAATGCATGCCTCATTTCTACTCATCTTAGAAAGAAAAGTCAAGAAGTCCCACAGAAATGCCCCAAAGGAAAAAATAAAATAAAACAAAATGGCTTAATTCATGACACTTGTGATTTATTGAGTCTTCTTTCATCTGTCATGTAAGATGTACAAGCACCAGGTTCAATTTTTATTTTTGGTTGGTTTCTCTGACAGAGACTCATAATTCTGCCCTAGAGTTAAATCTTATGGAAAAAAACACTGAAAATAAATAGCACGTTTCTTCCTCTAGATGCCATCTTTTCTCTGTCACATAACAATGCGGATTTGCTCCCAATAGTTTATGTGCATAGCTTTCAAATCTAACACTGGTAGCAATCAAACAAGTTAAGTATAAATCTTATTTATGTGTGACCCTTCTCTCTCTCTCTCTCTATTTTTTTTTTTTTTTTTTGAGATGGAGTATCCCTCTGTCGCCCAGGCTGGAGTGCAATGGCACAATCTCAGCTCACTGCAACCTCTGCCTCCTGGGATCTCGGCTCACTGCAACCTTTGCCTCCTGGATTCAAGCAATTCTCCTGCCTCAGCCTCCCAAGTAGCTGGGATTACAGATGCCTGCCACTATGCCAAGCTAACTTTTGTATTTTTAGTAGAGATGGGGTTTCACCATGTTGGTCAGTGTGGTCTCAAACTCCTAACCTCAGGTGATCCACCTGCCTTGGCCTCCCAAAGTGCTAGGATTACAGGTGTGAGCCACCGCGCCCGACCTCTATATTTTTTAAATGCCTCATGTTTCCATTTTAACTTGATCTTGCATATATAACCATTTAACCAAGCTTGCTAAGACTTAAAGAGGTATAATTTTAGCTTGTCAATATTCATTGTTTTGAGCCCTGTTTATAATGAAGTATAACAATAAGCATTATTATGCTTTAGTGAGTTGAACTTGAATATGCTTGAGTGACCTGACTTGCTCACATTAAAAACGGAACAACAGAACCGTAGAAAAAGTGGAGTAATCTCAAGATTTTCTTGTAAACGTTACATTAAGAGACTTTATTTGACAACCTAATCAAAAAACTGACCATGTGTTTTCCTCTTCCCATCATTTTCTCAGATTCCCTTTCTATCATTTTCTCTCCCATCATTTATCCTCATGATCCATAGCGATTGCAAAGCACATCGCAAATGTGAATAGCTATATTGTTCCTGCATGATAGTAATGAGTATACTGCTACCTCCAAAGGGGCTGAAAGTTAAGATAGGTCTTTTACAAAGCAGGAAACATAACCTTAAGCATAATTATAAATTATATATATAATCATGCTCTCTTTTCTTTAGGATAAGTGATTAGTGTTCAAGTTTAGTGCTTATATTTGCTTTAAAAATGTACATTGTGCTCATTTATGTTTTGGTACGGACAGATCCTTTATATGACCACTGTGCTAAATATTTTTTTAAATCACTGACTAGACATCCTGATTTATGTGTCTAGATTTATATTTCCAGAAACATACACTGTAACTTATTCTGTTTAATGGCTAAGACACTTCTGCATAATTTACATTGAGACTAAAGTGGTTTTTTACTGAGATACTTTTCTCTATGACAAACCAACATTATGATATCTGATAGAAATACAACACTCTTCTTTACATTTTTTCCCCAAATTTTAGAATGAATTAAAGACAAATACCCATCAGAAAACATTCCTTGAAAATGCATAATTGTGATGTGTGATGCTGTACAGAGCAAATTCAGACTAATACATAGACCTCAAATTCATGACTATAATTTTCTCTGGATAGTTAGAAAGATATTTTAAGGTGTTTCATGCCTGAGGAATAATGTCATTATTGAATGCATATACATACATGGATGCCTCTGAGGATGTCCTATATCTAATAAACAGCCCAAGTCATGGGCAAATATATATCTTATAAACAGGGGGATGGGAAAAGCATGCCAATTTATTTCTATTGAGCTAAAATTTAGGGTCCACATTTATTTATTGACTATGATCTTGGGTAAATGACTGAGTTTTCTTGTGTCTCAGTTTACTTATTTGTAAAATAAATCATGTTACTTCAAAAGATTATTGCAAAGATTAACTACTATTAGCATATAAGAAAGCTTAACATACTTTATTCATACAGTCATTCTTCAGTTTCATAAATGTGCCCTTCTCGGTAGAGAAATGGGTAACATCAGTGAACTAGGTTGAGACCGAAGCTGTACATAATGATAATTTCAATGATTTGATCAATAATTTCAGATTGATTTTTGTTCATCCTAAGACAAAACTTTGAATTCTCTATCTTTTCTGTTTGTCCCCTCTTAGCTAGGTTGGAAATACTACTCTTGTTTTGTTCTTTAAAGGCAAATAGTAAAATGTTTATCCATTATTTTTCAAACACTGATTACTGTAGACAGTGTCAACATGATCAGTGTTTGAGTTTTAAAGCAATAGTTGAATCAAGTTGCTTCACAGTGGTTTCTTCAAAATACCACAAAATGACAGGAACACTTACGCAGTGAACACTTGGATTTGCTTCTTGATCCTTGGTATTTGAAACATGTATGGAATGCATCCTCTGTGTCAGCCAAGACAGCCTCTGGAGAGTGAGGCAGGTTTGTGTGTTGAGGGAAGGGGGTGTGCAAGGGGGTGGCCATGGCTACATTAGTTGCCTCTGCTTCTGATATCTGTTTTTCATTACATTTTGATAGATTATGTCATCTTTTTGTCACATACATTTTCACCCAAGTCTGGAACTATATTTCTCTTTCATTTCCAACTTACATCCTCAAAATCATTCATGGAAGCCTTTGTCTATATAACAAATTTCTCTACTATTTTGAGGGAACATGTCCTATTGTAGAAAGATAAACCTTTTACAATTGTTCGTCATAAGAGGAAATCTGCTTTAAAAATATTTCATAGGGCTGTCTTACTCTTATTCCTAAAAAAAGTTATTACTGTAGAACTAGTTAGCAAGAGTTACTCTGTTCTGGGTTACTTGGGATTCACTGTTAGCAAAGACTAACAATTAGTTTGTATATCCGTATATGGATGTAGGTGGTCACAGTAATTTCCTGCTTGATTTTTTTTGAATTCCAATTAATATAGGAAGTTTCTGAATTTCTAGGTATTTCAGGATTTGCATATACTTAGAGTTCAATTATGTTTTAAACACATTATCTGTGCAAGTGACTGTCCTAAATGTTGTGGCTAAAGAGGAGGAAGCATAAAAAAATAAAAAAAATTAAAAACTGTTCTTACCCATCTCCCACCCCAGCCCCAAATTTTAAAATCTAGCAAAGTAAAAAGCTGCATGCAAATTTTTTTTTAAAAAAAAAATACAAGGCAGATTGTTTTATATTCATGTAACAATTGTCAGGCACAGGAGCCTAAGCAGACACATTCCTGGTGTGGTTATTCATAACTTAGCTAAGCAATGTCTGCTATTTATCACTGCACTTATAGGCTGGTGAGAGTCTCTCATTGCCCACTGCTGAGTCACTCACCTTTTCATTTTGAAAGCAAGTTTGGCCATTTTTTTTAAACAACACTTTTGCTCAAATAACATGAAAAATTCCAAGTCCCTTTGGAGTTTTACTCTTACTACTACTGTAGCAGTTTGTTCATATTAGGATCTCGCAGACTATCTAGAAGCAATGAATTATTATCTAGTCTTGCAAAGATCTAGTATAAGAAAGGATAAATAAAACTAACAAATTTTAAAATGGTATGAATTCAGGTTTTGTGACTTTTTCCTTATTAATAAAAAAGGATTAGTGATACTAATGCTACTGGATTTGTAGAAAGGTTAAATGTAAGAATATGGACAATTGGTTGGAGACATGGTAGGCATTCCACAAATGTAAGCTCACTGCGAACTTCTTAGAACTCTGTGTAGAGTATGTATTCCTATGTTTGTTGAGGAGGGGCATTTTAGTTAATATATAGATCCTACTTTTAATTATTATTTTCACTCTTTAAATGTTAGTTCTTCACTTCTAGAGTTGTTATTCTGTTGGCTTCTCATTTTTTCCCCTTTTTTTCTTCCAAGTGCAAAATTTTAAGTGAAATCTCAGGCAGCCCTCATTTAACAATTTCATGTGAAAAAATAACCATTGTGAACTCTCAGAGTAGTAATTACAGGAAGTTATGAAACTTTGCTAACTTTTACTAACAGATAAAGCATTTTCTTTTGATTGTTAGGAAATCGTGTGTGGACAGCACGGGAGAACACACTCTGCCTGTACACATTGCCAACTCTTGCTTCATTGAGTTTCACAAACAATCCCAAGCTTAATTTTAGCCAAAAATGTAAACCAGTTCCCACAGTAAAAGTTGTGCTAATTTCCAAGTTGATTTTTATTTCTTTTTCATTCCTCTGTTGTTTGAACTGGTCAAATTGAGCAGTGAGATGGCCAAGGGACAAAGGGTAAGGCCAGGGGGGTCACTAAACCAAGACCAGGCTCTAGGATTTCAATGTTTCTTTCTTCTTTCTTGCCGTCAGTAAAGATCCCCTAGGCATTGACATTTTAAAAACTCTCCATGTCTTCTGTTAACTCCCTTAGGATCCTGATCTCTGTAACAAAGATGGATGGTGACACTTAATTATGGACACTCACAGGCATCCAATTCAAGCAATCCTGGCTTCCAAGCCCAGATCTGCCCCTTACTAGCAGTGTGACTTCACGTGAGTTAGGCTCTCAGTTTTTTTCATCTTTAAAATGGGGATTATATTTCCTGATTATAGTAGCTGATTATAATACAGATTATGGTGCCAATCTCAGAGGTAAGATAAATGCACTTAGCATACAACATAGAACACAGTAAGTGCTGAATAAATGGTACCTGCCATTATTATTGCAAGCTAATTAAAAACGATCATTTGTACTAAATTATGTTTTATTCAAGGAAGGTAATGTCATTCCTCACCAATTAATCATTTGTTGATGAAAGGCCCTTGAGTAGCAATGTCACACACTGTATGAGAACTGGAAAGGATAGATCTTTTGTTACATCAGCCACCCTGTCTCATAGATGACTGCTGGCTCCTCTTTTCTGCACGAAGGCCAGAACATGAAAAGTTAGATATTTATAAAATTGCTCAATTCATAATATTTGAGAGTTGATGATAATTTCTGTTTTAGCTCTTGCTCCCCAAGGAGCAGATGCTTCTGGGGAGGTTCAGGAGCACGTGAAGAAACAACACTGATAGATGGCGATCGGGACAAGAGCACCTTATTAATTCAGCTACCACTGTGGGTGACTGCAGGTCAATACCCTAGGGCAACTCCAAGAGCCAGTGTAGGGTACACATCTTAGAGTCATCATACACAAGGGGTGAGGGAGCTAGGTTATTTATACACCAACCCCTGATTGACTAGTAAAATGTCTCCCCTGGTCGTTTGGGTTTTTTTTAATTTTTAATTTTTGTAGGTACCCCTAGTAGTTGTGATTTCTCCAAAACTTCTAACTTGCTACAAAGGAGGACAACAGAGATTATCCAGCCAGAGAAGTTCTTACATAAAGAAATGCAGGGCCTGTGTGCTCAGCATGGTAAGGACAAGGTAATATAAACAGGCACAAAAAGCATTTGTTTTTATTTCTTATACAGTAATATGGATCTAAGTTTGGGAAAATTTTAATGGAATCTTCCTGAACATATATTCTTAATGATACAATTGGTTTATATTAAAATTTGCTATTGAAACAAATGTAGTTTTGGTAAAGAAAAGCTATCATATACCTATGGAATTTTAGACAACTTCCTCCAAACCATTAATCTTTGCACACTTGCTTCTTAATGAGCCCATTTGCACAATCCTATTTATCATTTTACTTACATGCTTGTCCATCTCTCTGAAACGTTGGGGGAACATGACCAGAACTTCACCCGGTTTACTTTTCTTTCCATTGTTTAATCCACCTATCTGAGCTACCTTGTTTACCAATGTTACCCATGAACTGACAGGAGTTTATTTTAATCTAATATTCTGCTTTTCAAAGGAAGAAACTTATTACAGTTTGAATGTATCTTGTCCAAAATGCCTGGGACCAGAAGTGTTTCAGATGTTGAATTTCTTTGGATTTTTGAATATTTGCATATATGCAATGAGATATTCTGGGTATGGGACCCATGTCTAAACACAGAGTTTGTTTATGTTTCATATATACCTTATATACATAATCTGAAGGTAATTTTATACACTATTTGAAAGTAATTTTGGGCATGAAACAAAGTTGCGACTGTTTTTTCTGCGACCCACCACATAAGATCAGATGTGGAATTTTGCAGTTGTGCATCATTTTAGCGCTCAAAAAATTTCTGATTTTGGAGCATTGTGGATTTCAGATTTTTTATTTAGAGTTGCCTAATCTGTATACAAAAACTTTAAGTACTCTCCTGCCTGATATGCTTAGTAGTGCATTCATCTGCAGATTCTACCAACTTCTGTCCTTTTGTTATACTGCTGATAATCATTATTCC
Organism: Homo sapiens; assembly: GCF_000001405.40. NCBI lineage: Eukaryota > Metazoa > Chordata > Mammalia > Primates > Hominidae > Homo > Homo sapiens. The sequence continues at coordinate 29,698,017 of NC_000003.12, forward strand.
TCTGACATATTCCACGTGCACCTGTCTTAACAACTAAGGGGGAAAAGCAACACAAAAATCTTCATACTTGGTGCTTCATTTTATGTGAGCTCCCTGAAGGGACAGGCTTGTGGCTGTGCCTACATTCCAGTGAAATTAATGCTCCTTCTTCAGACTACTGTTATTCTATTTATAGCCACAGGACTTCAATTTTATAAGAGTCCAGAAAGTTCTGAGTAATGCACAGAATTCTACATACACAGCAAATGCAGCCATGGCAAAATGTAGTCCCTGGTGAGGGAGGCAAACAGAGAATCAACAATCCTTTGCTTTTATTGGAATAATAAAACCGGAGCAGTTTGTGTCTGAATGTGCTGTAAACCAGATTTTTTTTTTCATGTAAATTCTATAGCCAGGATATCACAGACATTGCCATGAAAGTGGTAAATGGAGAAATACAGTCTTTGGAGGAATCTTGACTTCTCAGCACTCTTTGTTTATTCATTTAAATGTGCCTATTTTTATGGATGGTGGGTCAAGATGGCGGATTCAATGAAATAGTATTTCATAACAAAATGAGCATGAAGAGAATTTGGGCATGTCTACCAAAACACGAAGGACAAGTGAGTACAATCATATATTGTTACCATCTCCCAAGTCTTCTCATTTGCTTTTTTTAAAGTATTGAAAATTCTGGAAAGACTCTGTGTGGACTATGCTATTCTTAATGTTTATTAAGGAGAGGACACTTTACATAATTTATAGAGCTTATTTTTAATTATTGTTTTGACCCATTGGATGTAATTACACATTTTTTGTTGTACGAAAAATTTATATAATTAATACTACCATATTAAAGACTATTATAAAATATTTATCACCATTTATTAGACTAATGGTAGCATACTATTCACTTTTATTCACCCAGCTTTCTTCACATAACAACATATCTTGGTGCTCCTTTATAATAACAAATGTAAACATTTTCGACAAATACATAAAGTTCCATTTTGTGAATACTTCACAGTTTAATAAACCATTTCCCAATTGATAGGCAATTGGCTTTGTTATGAAATACTATCCTAGTGAAGAGGCTTAAACATACACAAAAAATCTTTCAATAAGTACCTTCTTGAAAGAAGGTTTCAAATGTAGAGCTATTTTCATTTTTTTGAGATGAAGTACCACTCTGTTGCCCAAGCTGGAGTGCAGTGTCACAATCTCAGCTCACTGCAACTCCGCTTTCCAGGTTCAAGCAATTCTCCTGCCTCGGTCTCCGAAGTAGCTGGGACTACAGGCAAATGGCGCCAAACCCAGCTAATTTTTGTATTTTAAAGTAGAGTCAGGGTTTCATTTGGCCAGGCTAGTCTCGAACTCCTGACCTCAGGTAATCCACCTGTCTTGGCCTCCCTAAGTGCTGGTATTACAGGCGTGAGCCACCGTGCCTGTCCTGTGGAGCTATTTTCTAATGGCTAAAATTCAGAATTTGCAAAAATGAAAATGAAAATCAACTATAATTTTACCAATTTATTATTAACTCTTTCCAGCTTTTGTTCTGTTTGCACATACAACTCTAAAAGCGTAGGAAATTAGGATGTATGTAACTCATGTAGCCTTTTTTTCTCAGTTAACATTGTGACGTAAGTATTACCTATGTCAAAAATAATTCTCTATAAACATGATTTTAGTGTCCGCATAGTATGGTAATATTATAATTAACCACTTATCCATAACGTACAGACATATTACACCCCCATACATATTGCTATATTACATATAAGGGAAGATATACTGATTTGTACACTAAACCACAGTGCACATGTACCTACATTACCTGTCTGTGTAACCTCCTTCAGATTATGATTCAGTAGGTCTGAGGCAGGACAAGAAAGCCACTGCCACTTATCCTTGGATGAAACCTCAAATAGCAGGGGTATAAAGGATGATGATGGCCTATTATTTTATTTTACTTCCTTTAAGACTGAACAAAGGGACTGGATTTGTCATATTTAAATTAGATGCATTGGCACCCTAGTAGTTATATTTATTGAACTCTCTAAGAGACTTTCTAAGGTAGATGCTCGGTTTAGGCTATTTTGGCCACATCCCAAATAAAGTCACAATACTGGACTATGTGATCTCTGGATATCCTTTTTTCTGAATCCTTTGATTCCAGGAACACTTTTCTCTCACTTTTCAGTATCTGCCAGTAGATCTATTATAGATGTGTTACAGTTAAACATCAAAATATGGTGGCTCTTTGCTGTGATAAGCTAGAGAGTAATAATTTATTAGTCAAGACAGGAATAGTATGGAGTTCTTTTTCAGTCTCTTCCATATGTTGCAGAATTAACGCCAAACTGTGTACGGTCTGAATCCTTTCCATTGAGGCAGGTTGTAGAACATGAGCTTATGAGGCTCCAGAATTTTCCTGGAATACATCTTTCCTACATCTCTTGTAGAGCTCATGTTCCCAAAGTAATCATTATACAAATACTCAGCTGGCTGGCTCTAGGAATCCAAGTATAAATAGCAAATTTTACTTGCTCTCAAGGGCCTTTGAGTTTAATAGATCAGACAGGCAAGAAAATTGGTAATTATAGAACATGTATGGTAAGTACTATAGTAAGATATGAATAGGTGCAAAAGAGGGAATCCTAACTCAATTATTTCAGACTTTTTTTTTTTTTCAGGAAAGTGAAGACAAGCTATAATTAGCCAAGGAAAGTAATGGGGAGTTAGGGGAGAAGGGAATATTTTTCAGGAAAGCTTAGAGGTTCAAAAAGGATAGAGGAATTTAAAAAAAGAGAAATTAGAGAGCTGCAAGTAATCTGGTTAGAGGACACACGAGGGAGATTATAAGCATGTGTGTGTGTTCGTGTGCATGTGTACACGTATACGTTGGAGATTGGACATTGCGCTTTTTAGAAAGGTGAAGAAGTTGGAAAGGTAAGAAAGGGCCTGGACTTGAAGGGCTTTGTTAGGCTAGCTAAACCATTTGAAATTAATTCTGAGAACAATGAAGAACTGTTTAAAAGTTTTAAGTAGTACTCTGCCCGCCTTGGCCTCCCAGGAGTTCGAGACCAGCCTGGCCAACATGGTGAAACCCAGTCTCTACTAAAAATACAAAAATTAGCCGGACGTGGTGGCGGGCTCCTGTAATCCCAGCTACTTGGAAGGCTGAGGCAGGCGAATTGCTTGAACCTGGGAGGCAGAGGTTGCAGTGAGCTGAGATCGCGCCATTGCACTCCAGCCTGGGCAATAAGAGCGAGACTCTGTCTCAAAAGAAAAAAAAAAAGAAAAAAAGTTTTAAGTAGTGAATGTTACCTCCGTAAAAAACAAGCTAGGAACCAGAATGTAAGAGCTCACTCACTGCAGTCTAGAGAATGACTGTTTGGTGGCCCATGGTGAGAGGTAACAGCCTGCTGGCAGCCCTCGCTCGCCCTCGGTGCCTCCTCAGCCTCAGGGCCCACTCTGGCCGTGCTTGAGGAGCCCTTCAGCCTGCTGCTGCACTATGGGAGCCCCTCTCTGGGCTGGCAGAGGTCGGAGCCAGCTCCCTCTGCTTGTAAGGAGGTGTGGAGGGAGAGGCGCAGGTGGGAACTGGGGCTGCGCGCGTCGTTCACGGCCCTGTGTGAGTTCTGGGTGGGCGTGGGCTGGGCGGGCCCGCACTCGGAGAGGCTGGCCGGCGCCACCGGCCTTGGGCAGTGAGAGTTAGGCGGGCCAGCAGCTGCGGAGGGTGCACCTGGTCCTCTAGCAGTGCCGGCCCACTGGCACTGCGCTGGAATTCTCACCGGGCCTCAGCTGTCTCCCAGCGGGGCAGGGCTTGGGACCTGAAGCCTGCGCGCAGCCGGAGTCTCACCGAGGAGCCCCACCCCCTGCTCCACGGCGCCGCCCGGTCCCATCGACCGCCCAAAGGCTGAGGAGTGCAGGCCCTCGGTGTGGGACTGGTGGGCAGCTCTGCCCGCGGCCGTGGCGCGGGATCCACTAAGGAAAGCCAGCTGGGTTCCTGAGTCCAGTGGGGACTTGGAGAACTTTTATGTCTAGCTAAAGGTTTGTAAATATGCCAATCAGCACTCTGTGTCTAGCTCAAGGTTTGTAAACACACCAATCAGCACCCTGTGTCTAGCTCAAGGTTTGTAAATGCACCAATCAGTGCTGTGTGTCTAGCTAATCTAGTGGGACTTGGAGAACCTTTATGTCTAGCTAAAGGATTGTAAATCCACCAATCAGCACCCTGTGTCTAGCTCAAGGTTTGTAAATGCACCAATCAGTGCTCTGTGTCTAGCTAATCTAGTGTGGACTTGGAGAACTTTTGTGTCTAGCTCAGGGATTGTAAACACACCAATCAGCACCCTGTCAAAACAGACCAATCAGCTCTCTGTTAAACAGACCAATCAGGTCTCTGTAAAATGGACCAATCAGCAGGATGTGGGTGGGGCCAGATAAGGGAATGAAAGGCTGCCAGAGCTGGCAGTGGCAACCCGCCGGGGTCCTCTTTCACTCTGTGGAAGCTTTGTTCTTTTGCTCTTTGCAATAAGTCACTGCTGCTCACTTTTTGAGTCCACACCATCTTTATGAGCTGTAACTCACCACAAAGGTCTGCAGCTTCATTCCTGAGGCCAGCGAGACCACAAACCCACCAGGAGGAATGAACAACTCTGGATAGGAGGAATGAACAACTCTGGATGAGAGGAACGAACAACTCCAGATGCACCGCCTCAAGAGCTGTAACACTCACCGTGAAGGTCTGCAGTTTTACTCCTGAAGCCAGCGAGACCACGAACCCACCAGAAGGAAGAAACTCCGAACACGTCCGAACGTCAGAAGGAACAAACTCTGGACACACCACCTTTAAGAACTGTAACACTCACCGCGAGGGTCCGCGGCTTCATTCTTGAAGTCAGTGAGACCAAGAACCCACCAATTCCGGACACAATAGGAAGCTGAAAAGATTGTTGGAAGCCCTAGAGTGGTTAATGATGACTAACTTTCGTTAAGTGTTCATGTTAGCACTAGATGATATTATTAGATGTATCTAATACTGATGCAGACGATGTTTTGAGCTATTTCAAATATTACTTAACTTTCAAAGCAGCTATTTTAGGTGTGATTGTTTATTACAATAATTCTCACTTACATTTAAGTACAATGAAACACAGGCATAATTGCATTACATTTCCGAAGCCATAGAACTAGGGAGTTGTAAAAGTTTGTAGTTTGTTTCGAGGGTCCACTCACTTCACTACGGAGCTGTACTGTCTTCTCCATGGAAACTATGATGAAGACAGTAGGTATAAACCTTTTGCTTGAAGTTGATTGACATATGTACATGTGTTAATTCAATGTGTGGGGAAGAACTTGGCTGAAAGTCTAGTGAAATTGTAAGAAAACATTGTCTATAGGAAACAATTTGAAGAGATCGGTTGCCAGAAACAACTTAATGAATGCTATTTAAGGAGAACATCTGAATATCAGATGGGAACTATTACGGTTGGGAACTTTCTATCTTAGTACATGTAGGTTCACATGTGCTAACATATCTGCAATGCCCAGAGTATTTGTACAAGTAGTAGGTCTAAAGTTCTACCCTGGTAGTGCCATGTTATAACAAAGTATTTTTTATTATCTTTCCATTTCTATCAAGTTAATTGCTATTGAAGTAGGTGCAAACTCACCTGATTAGAATGGATTTAGAAGATTTAGAGCCAAAATTGATGATTCCCATTCTTATTGTGAAAGACCTGTAAAATCTTTAAATATTCATTTAATCCAGGGATCCCCAACCCTACAGGTTGTGTTACAAATGGGCCACACAGGTAGGAACTGGGCCGCACGGCTGGAGATGAGTGCTGGGCGAGTGAATGAAGCTTTCATCTGTATTTACAGCTGCTCCCAATCACCCACATTATCGCCTGCACTCCCTCCTGTCAGATCAGTGGCACCATTTGATTCTCATAGGAGCATGAACCCTGTTGTGAACTGCACATGCAAGAGGTCTAGGTTGTGTGTTCCTTATGAGAATCTAATGTCTGATGATCTGTCACTGTCTCTCATCAACCCCAGATTGGACTGTCTAGTTGCAGGAAAACAAGCTCAGGGCTCCCATTGATTCTACATTAGAGTGAGTCATATAATTATTTTATTATATATTACAATGTAATAGAAATAAACTGCACAATAAACGTAATGCGCTTGAATCATCCCAAAACCATCTCCCCACACAGGTTCATGGAAAAATTGTCTTCCACAAAACTGGTCCCTGGTGCCGTAAAGGTTGGGGACCCCTGATTTAATCTTTGCTTCTATTTCAATTACTTAAAAATGAATCAAACACATGTGTGTATTCCAGAAAGAGATTGGTATATAAAGAAGGTTTCATTGGATAAGTGTTTCCAGTGTTGAAATACAGATGCATTTTGGCCCTTACACATTTCCATTTAAATGTCTAGTTATTTTTTAAAGATAAAAACAACCTTCCAGGAGCAAGAGAAGCAACTCATTTCTATCCAATTGGGCAAATCACTTAACCTCTCAAAGTCGCAGTTGCCTCATCTGTAAAACGGTGATACTACTGCCTGTTTTATAGGATTATTGTGATAAAATACATGTAAAGTAGCAGGCATCTAGTGGGCATTCAACCAATGTTGGATCATTTATTTATATTTCTTCCTTAGCTCTGCAGTTGCATTATCATTATTTTTAAATGTTGATACTAGTTTTTGAATTGCTGTGTTGATTTCAGACTTTCTGATTGAAATAATTTAAAAAATTGTTAGATAGAAGGGAAGAATGCAGATTTTTTTGACAGGAAAAAATGTTATTGAACTTTGTTTCAACATAAAAGTTGGTAGGGTTTACCCACAAAAATACTTTTTAGAGAAAAGCCAACATGGCATTTATTAGCTTTGGCCATTGCTTGGCAAGGGGTTAGTTCTTACTTCCAAATTCATAATGTTGTCAAGATATCTTGTCACATGATCACTGGCATAATTAAACTGTTACCGCATGGTGTTCCAAGGGGAATGCTTTCTGGAGTCAGTTCCCTTGTGCATGTGATGAGGCCCTAGATTTTAGCTAGGGGCTTTTTGTTTCACCAAATAAAACGATAGCTTTCTCGCCCATGTCCACGGTGAATAACAATCCTATTACACCTTACCAACCATTACGGCCACATTGCAGGGTAAGGAGTTGAAAGACCTTCCAGCATTTGTTATCCACAGGGTGTGTCATTTAAATCCAGTATCACATAAAGCTTGAAAAATAACTTTTATGCAGAAAAATGTATATGAAGGAAACTCTCCAATTTACCTTTGGACCAGAACATGGTCTATAAAAGTGGCACATTATGCAAATGAAGTTTACTTTCTCCTCCTTTCTTTTTGCTTGTGTAATATAAAGAATCACATGTTATAGAAACTGATCCTTTTCTTTGAAGCCAGGGGCTGAGAAGTCCCTCCAGAGCATAACACAGTGCTTAAGTACTGTACTTAGGCACAGCAAGTGAAAACATAATGAAATGGAAAATGTGCTTTAAAATGAAATATAATTAATATGAACATTCACCAGGTTTATTCTTCTTGTTGTGAATGATTATAGTTTATTGATTTTACTTTTTCAGTTATTTTTAGTTATTTCCTACATTGACTCACCTGTCCACCCTCCTGCACATCTCCTCTTGTAATTATACCCTCCTATGCAACCTCAATTCACGGAGAAGCATTATCATGGCATAATTACATCACAGGGTTGTGGTGAAGAAAAACTGAGATAACATATATGATATACAAATTCATGCAAATATTAGGAATTAGTATTGGTATTCAGATTAAAGAACTAAGGTGGCACTAAGTCCATACAGTTGATGTCACTATTCACGTAACAAACTGTGGTAATATCAGGTTTGTTTACTGCCTGAAAACAAGAGAGTATAGGGTATTGGCTGAGTTTTCCCTTATTATTCAACAAAACAGCAGGTGTACCAGCAAGGGCTCTGCCTTCCCTTCTGTGGCTGTCATTCACATCAAGCTGGTTCTAGCAATTGTGAGACACTGAAGCTCCAAGGACATGTTGTCACCTGCTGAAGGCTTCCAGTCTGTTGTGACAGAATAATTGGTCCCTGGTAGAAAGGAAGCATATGCCATTAGGTGTAAGAACACTGCCACTTGATGTCAGGAAGAGAATCTGCCATTTACCTACCTTTGTCATGAAAATCCCCTTCACAAAGGCATTCTAGTCCTGACATTCATAATTACTTGCTTTCTATAGAGTAATTCCAGTGTTGTAATTTCTTGCATTGATACTTGTAGTTCCCTCCCTCTAATAAAATCTCTGAAAATCAAGCATCTATAACCCTGATTTTCTTTGCTATGCAAGGAGGGCTATGATATTGTCATGATGTCAATCCAAAGTGACACATAATCAAGACTTCCAGATCCAAGCAGGCTCAATTGCTCTGCTGCATTGTTTATTTCACAGACGGCACTGGAGCAGGAGGTGAAGAGGGGAGAGCTGTCTACCAAAGACATCTCCAAGGATCCCTTTCAGTGAAGCTTAGACTCAGGATTTGGCAGAACTCATAGTATGAAATCATGTACCCCACTACACCACTCTCTCACAAGAAACTCTTCAGGGAGAACAACGAATGACATCTTGAAACATTTTGCAGATCTTCAGGGATAAAGCCGTGAATGAAAAAGATGTTCATAGAGTCCATCACCATCATTTAAACACTCTCTATATAACAGAAGGATGCCTTAGCAAAACCACAGTATTTTTCCCAGAAACCTTTGTGCACAGGATATTTTTATTATTGCTTTTCCAAGTTACCCTAAGAATAGAATATGGTGTTAAGAGAACTGAAGTCCCCAAAGATATCTTGCATCCATTTTCTTGGAGTGGAAGGAAAGGAAATACAGACTTTTTTAAAAGATGGTTTGCTACTTATATGTTCTTGACACAATCCTGAGGTCTTAGAGAGATCACTATTGCCCCCTTTTAGGATGGCAAATTAATGGAGAGGGGTGAGCTTTGTACTTTTCAAATTCAAATGGGGTCTATACATTAATTGTCTCTGCCTTTGTGTGGGTTAAAAAATCTAAGAGACATGAAGAAACTGCTTGAAATTAATGTCTTTCATAAAAGATGACTTTTTCACATCTGGAAAATGTTCCTTTATATTCATATTTCTGTCCCCCAAAAACTATAAAATTTTATCATGTGTACTTTAGATAGATTATGCCAATGCCTATTTAGTTTCTCTTTTACAGATGATTATTGCGAGAAGTGAATTAAGATGTTTGAAATAAATCAGTCTACTTTTGTGCCTGGGTAGATTTTACTCATTGGGTTAATAAACACATTCATCGTTATAGCTAGAACATGTAGATGTAAAATCAGGGATTAATGATGTTCCATAGCTATTTTAAATTAAGAGCAATATTTTCCAGACCTGTTAATTTTGAAAATACGGTTCCATGTTAACATGATTTTTCTTAAGTGTAGCAATGGGTTATCACCGTCTTTACTATAAAAACAAACAAAACATCTGACAAGAAAAACCACCAAATAATTCTTTTGCACACACAAAAAAGCTGACAGTTTTTCTGTCTTTTCCATAAGGAAAAAGTATGCCTTGCTTTTTGTCTATCCTCTCAAAACCACAAAAGGCCAAGCTAGACACAATTCATGTTTACAGAAATCAAAGACACTTTTATTTTATGGTCCCCTGCCATTTCTCTCTGCCATGGGACAATTTCTTACTGCGTTTCTTGCCAAACGAGGGTAGGAATGGAAAGACTATCAAGTGCCAGTAAGTCCATTTGAGAAAAGACAGGTCAAGGCTTTTCATTTTAGAAAGCCTACAAAATACGGAGCAGCTTATAGTTATATGTTGTGATGCTTTCAGTGGACACTTTTATTGTGGAGTGTTTTATTGTTAAGTTTCATCGAACATCAAGTGATTGGCTCAGCCTGTGGGATGGCCCTCAAGTGTGACAGAGTCAAACATTACTGGTTACTGGTCGTAGGCCTGCCGAGGGCTGATTGCACCTTCCGTTTAGAGAGTATCATGCCTTTTGCAACAAAAAGCAAATTAAAGCCCCTGCTGATTGACAGCGATATATGCTACTTTTGTTTTTAATTATTTAACACTTGACACTCTCAGATGGTACCTTATATAAGAAGAAGACCAATTTCCAAAGCAACCTTGCTTTAGAATTGAAAAGGCAAGATAACAGATTGAAGATGACTTTCACTACTGATTATCTCTTGTTTTCATTTAAATATCAGATGAAAGGTTTAGAAGCATGCTGATTATGTTGTTAAATAGTCACTGCCCTATATCTTGAAAGATATAGTAGCCACCATTTCAGGGGCATGGCTATTTTTGGCTCTAAATGTAGGCAAGAAAATTAAGAATTACCCCAAATTATTGACTGCTGCAGATGTTCCATTTGGGAAAATAAAATAATAAATCGTGTAATTCCTACAGAGTTAGAATTAGATCTTGTAAGAAACAAATTGTTTTCTTTGCTGAAGTATTAAAAGCTGTGCAAACTTAATTTCTTTTTCATTGTCATTTCCTGGATTTGATATTCCCACCCAAGATGCTAGGAGAAGTCACCAGTGATTGGGGTGATTCTAGCAGAGGCTACTGCTCCTTGGCACTGAAGTGGGTGGCTTCAATTCGGTCGTCTCTGATGGGAAGCAGAGACTATGGGTGGGCTCCCTACACCTGTTTCTGGTAGATCTATTAGGAATCATCATAAGAAGACTATCTAACTTTGGCAGTATTGAAGGATGTGTGACACTGACATGCCATCCACACATCCCTTCAGTGAAGAACTTGTTGTCTCAGCTACTGGGAAGGCTATTGACAGACAACTGTCAATCCCTAAGGGAATTTTCTGAGTTGCAGGAAGCTAGTTGACCCAAGGTCACGCCTTCCATGGGGTAGGCCATATCCAACAACTGATCAGTGTGATTGTATTTTATGCCTGGCCGTCTCAGCCCAACTCAGTTCAATTAAGGACCACTCTAGCTCCCACTGGGGCCTGCTGAAGTCCGATCTGCGTCACAGCTTGCGTTCTCCCTTCGTTCACTCCTGCTTCCTTACGTTCCCTTTCACAGGCAATGACCCCAAAACCTCTCCTTAATACACATGACTCCCTCTAAACTCTGTCTCAGGGTTGGCTTCCCAAGGAAACCAACCTGCAGCCAACGAGTAATCAGTCCCACTTAGAATTCTTGTACTTGATTGCTTGCAATTACAGTCACATTGTAGGATTGTGACCCTGCTTTATGTTTGGTAGCTCTTGTTAGCAATGCCAGCAACTTCACGGCTGACATTAAAAGTGCAGAAATGTTCCGTGAATGAGTCTAAGAAAAGTCCCAAGCCTTCATCTTTTCACCTGGGACCAAGTATCAGCTCTTGATGGAATTGGAGAAAATGAAAAGAGTATATTCTGTTTTGTGAGAAATATGTTGGCTTTAGTGTAATGAAGCTTTTATAGTTTTTGAGTTATGTGTATGGCCTTATGAATTTTTGTCTTTTGAAAAACTTCTCTCTGATTTAAGATTCTAAAGAATTATTGCCTTCATTATCAGTACTCACTGATGCTGCCAATTCAATTATCTACAATGGAGGGCAGTGGTGTCCAATATAAACAAAAACAATGATTTATCCAGAATCTCTTATGTTTGTCCCCGAAGTACATTTTACTTGCATTTGAATGCAAAGGCCTATATAATGCACATTTAAAAACCTAACTTTTAAATAAACTGCCTGTAGATAATTGAAAAAGTCTATATTTATATTTAATTCTTCCTCTAAGAAAGCTATAATTATATATAATCATAGAGATAAAGCGTTATCTTGCACAAAAGTCTTTTTGATATTTTATCAGTCATAAAGAATATTAAAAGGAAATAGAGTAGATATAGGGTCGGTTAAGTGAAGGAATAGCTGAAAGACACTTGAGGAGAAAAAACACGTTACCATTTTTCAGATGACATTCGTAACTTTCTTGTGAAATGGAAATTAATCAAATGGAAGGAGATTATTCATGTGAGCAATTGGCATTACCTGTTCAAACTTGGTTGATACACATACGATAATTTTTAAAGAAGAAACCGTTTAGGCTATTTCCATTTTAAAAGTTCACCTCTCTATTATTGGAAGTTTTTTTGATTTGCCTTTTTGGATTTGTGAATAGAAAGAACCAGGCCTTATTAATGCATATTTTTATCTTTTTCTTTGATGGGTGATAGTCATTAAGAATGCTAAATTTAAATATTCTCCTTCTCCTCTATGTCAATAGTAAATAATAATATATCAGTAATAATCACAGCTAAACTTCATTGCATATATTCTCTGCTCAGGCACTATACTAGCACTACTACATACATTTTCTCTGTGTTTCTCCAGAAGCCTTATAAGGAAGTTCTCAGTAAACCTGTGAGAGCTAAGGCTTGAAAATTTAAGTAATTTACCAAAGGTCACACAGCTACACAGTCGCAGGCACAGCATTCGGGGTCAGGCAGCCTGACTGGCACTATACTCTTTCCAATATACTGAACGTTTATGGGTGACAGCTCTGAGTCCTCAAAAGGAATAGAATCAGCTTCAAGTGAAAACATAGTGTGTTAGTTCAGAGACTGAAAACCATAATCCGTCTCATTTCAGTGAATTCCCTTCATCCAGTTTAACTGTCAGGCCATGCATTACACCACGTGTTTTTAAACCTCTGAGATTCAGTTTAAATCATTACCATTTTCTTTAGAGGCTTTCAGAGTTATCAGGCTGCTCTTTGCATATCTTTTTATTACTTGTCACTGATTTAATGCTATACATTATGGAAATGCTTTAATTTCTGAAATTTTCAGTATAAATAATTGCTTATACAGCCATTACTATACATGCCAAGAGACATTAGTTCATCATAAAATATTTGAGCACCTACTATGTGTCAGGCACTGTTCCACGCATTAAATATACAATACAGTAGCTCCCCCCTTATTTGCACAGGATATGTTCCAAGCCCCCCAGTGGATGCCTGAAATCACAGATAGTACTTAGCCCTATGTATCCTATGTGTTTTCCTATACATACATAGCTGTGATAAAGTTTAATTTATAAATTAGGCACAATAAGAGATTAACTAATAATAAAAGAGGACAATTGTAACAATAGACTATATTAAAAGTTGTCATTGTGATCCCTCTCTCAAAAGGTCTTATTGTACTGTACCTTAGGTAACTGAAACTGTGCAAAGTGAAATCACAGATAAGAGGAGACTAGCGTAGTAAAGGAAATGGACATTGTGTCCACTTTCATGTTGTTCCTTAGACTGTTCCTGGAAATGATTTTCTCCATATTCGTTGGCTCTCTCAGCTGTTCTGAACAAATTTGGGAAGAGAGTTTCTATGGTTTGACTCTGTGGACTTGGCCTGAGTATGAATAACTGGGTCATGTTCTTGACCTCCAAGAAACTTGGAGCACAGCCTAAGAGATTGCCTGATGGATACAGTCATGAAATTTAGAACTTGAAGGGACATTAGAGACCACCTAATCCGACCATTTTAAACAGATGCAGAAACTTCAGAGCCAAGCAGGGTCAGACTACTAACCCAGGATCTCAGAATGAGCTTGTGGCAAAAGCCAGGCCAGAATCCAATTTTCTCCTTCAAGGGTCACTTTCTTCCCATGGCTCCATACACATGCTCTAATCTTTGGCACACCCTGGTCTTAACCTAGTAAATACTTTGGATAGGGTTATAATGAGGATTAGCTATTGCCTTTTGTGGTTGAGCAAACATCTGGGTCAATGCTAGTAACTGAAGAAAAGGAAAATAATAAAGCAAACCAACTACATTATTTACCAATATGAAAGTGAATGCTAGCATAACCATTAAAGGTTAAAAATTCAATGGATGACAACTGCTCATGTATCTTTGGATAGCTCATAAATAACAGAGACACTGTGCTTTTAAGTGATCACTTTGCTGCTCCTTTTTCTTCTTTATGTGATTAATTATGGTAGGAGAGCATTTTCCCCTCGAATAAAGCCTACAGCTTAAAGAATCAGACATTTCTCCCTAAGTTTGTTCTTTTGCCTCATTATATAAGAGAAAAAGGTTTTCTCTGTTTTTCCAAAATGAGATTTATAATCATCCCTAGCTGTGGTGGATGATTTTAGATCTCACCTTGACTGGGTTAAGGGATACTCAGATAGCTAGTAAAATATTATTTCTGGTTATATCTGTGAGGGTGTTTCTGGGAAAGATTTGTATTTGGTTTTTATTTTTGTTAATTTTTATTTATTATTATTATTATTTTGAGACAGGGTCTCACTCTGTCACCCAAGCTGGAGTGCAATGATGCAATCTTGGCTCACTGCAACCTCTGCTTCCCAGGCTCAAGTGATCCTCCTACGTCAGCCTCCCAAGTAGCTCGGGCTACGAATGCATGCTACCATGCCCTGATAATGTTTATAGTTTTTGTAGAGACAGAGTTTCACCATGTTGTCCAGGCTGGTCTCAAACTCCTAGGCTCAAACAATCTGCCCACCTCGGACTCCCAAAGTGCTGAGATTACAGGCAGAAGCCACTATGCCCTGCAGAGATAACATCTAAATCAGTAGACTGAGTAAAGAAGATCTGCCCTCACCAATGTGGACAGGCTTTATATAACCTGCTGGAAGACCATATAGAACAAAAAGGTGGAGAAAGGGTAAATTGGCTCCCTTCTGAAGCTGGAATATCCATCTTCTCATGTCCTTGGACATCAGAACTTCAGGTTCAAACTTCAGACTCTGAGACTGACACCAGGCACCCACTAGGTTCTCAGGCCTTTGGACTAGAAATGAAATACATCTCCAGTTTCCCACATTCTCCACCTTGCAGACAGCATATCCTGCACTTCTTTGTTTCCATAATTATGTGAGTCAGTTCCTATAATAAATCCCATTTCTTTTTCAGAGATAGAAAGAGAGAGATATCTCTTATTGGTTCTGGTTCTCAGGAGAACCTTAATATATTTTCCCTGTGAGGATGTGATTTTGGTAATATTAATTCTTCAAGACCTTCTTAGTGATTGATTATTGTGGCTAGTATCTATTATATTATATTATATATAATATACCACAGATTACATATTCCTTGTAGTATCAAACTTTAGAAAAGTGTTCAATTGCATGAAATTTCTCTTCATTTCCCCCCCATTAATGATCACTTCCATACTTTCGTAGAATATTTTCACCCTCTCTTTGTTCAGTGTTTGCCCTCTGTTCCCATATAAGGATGATTAAAACCCTTAAGCTGCTTCTCACTGAAAAGAAAGATAAGACATAATGTGCCCTTCTCTTAAACTACCTGGCATACCATTCCCAGAGTCAAAGAGAAAAGTCTGTAATGGAAACCTACAGGTAGCCTAGTACCTGGAGAAAATTATTTCTTCCTGGTTCTGTGAGTATGCCACTCACCTGGCTGGCTACATCCTGTGCTGGCTCCATTCTAGAAAAAGACTGGTCATTTCTATACCAGAAGAAAAGCAATAATATATTTATACATGCACTGATTTAGTTTTTGGCCAGGAAACTTCTCTAGTCCTGCCTCTCCACATTCTCTTCAAACATTCTAGCAACAAATATGAGTAAGAAAATGTTTTATACTTTAATGCATTCTCATATACAGTGTCTCTGCTTCCTCCAAGCATATATACTGTCCTGAGAGCAGTGGAACCATTCTATGGTGAAAAACTTTGCTAAAAATCTGTTATTGGGCCAGGTGCTGTAGCTCACATCAGTAATCCCAGCACTTTGGGAGGCCGAAGTGGGTAGATCACTTAAGTTTAGGAGTTCAAGACCAGCCTGGGCAACATGGTGAAACCCCATCTCTACAAGAAATACAAAACTTAGCCAGGCATGGTGGTGCGTGCCTGTAGTCCCAGCTACTCTGGAGGCTGAGGTGGAAGGATTGCTTAAATTCGGGAAGCAAAGGTTGCAGTGAGCCAAGATTGTACCACTGTACTCCAGCCTGGGCAACAGAGGGCGACTCTGTCTCAAAAAAACAAAAGAAAAGAAAAGAAAACAAAAAACTATTTTTAACAAATATTTATTGAGCACCCACTATAAGCCAGGATCTCTTCTAGGGGCTGGGGCCATATCAATGAACAAAGCAGGCAATAATCTAGGACCAATGAGCAGTGGTGTACATATGAAGGAATGGTTAAATTCTGAACAGTTCTGAAGGTAGAATTGAAAGATTTAATGAGTACTTTAATTTGAATTATTTCACAATTTATTTGAATATGAAATATCAAAGAGAGGAGTCAAGGATGACTTCAAGTTTTGTGGCCTATGCAACAGATGGGTTAAAGTTACCATTTATAAGACAGACCGGCTGGGAAAGAGTAAGTTGGGGATGGGATGGGACAGTATCTATGAGACATCCAAGTGGAAATGTTGAATAGACAGCCACGTATGTGAGTCTGGAGACAAGGAAAAGGACAGGATTGGAGATATGACTTACAGATGGAATTTAAAATCATGAGACTTGGTAACATAACCTTGTAGGGATCACAGGTAGGAGAAGGAAGACAGATATACATGAGAATGAATATTTAGCTGTCATCTTCCTGGAAGCACAAAGAGCAAGTGTAGTAAATTACTTTGTGTTTTTTCCCATTTAACATGTAAGGTAGGATTAGGTTGTAGAAAATAGTTTAGATATCCACAGATGCATGTGCACACATGTACACACACACACACACACACACACACACACATACTCTCAAACAATAGCTCTGAAAAGATAAAGACAATGTTGAATGGGCTGCTTTAGAAACTTGGCCTGTAATGAATATGACAGCAGTTAGCAGTTACAGACCTTGAGGTGAATCTTTTTCTCCTGGGCCTTAGTCTGATTATTTGAGTAGTGAGCTATATATTTTCCATGTCATCAAACACAAGGGGATCTTGTGTAGTTTCATCCCTCATAGATAATAGTTTTAATTTCTTGGAAAAAAATAAAAGCAACAACTTCTTGAAGATAATTCCATTCTTCTTTATGCTCCCAACTCCTATCCAATTAGTGGTTTTCTTTGAAATTATGGTTTGAAGATATTTTCCAGAAGGTGATTTCCCTGTCCTTTATGAATTGTAAAATAATTTCCTCCAGTCAGGCAAGATTTATTTCTTTAATGAACTAATGTGAAATCCAGGGGCTACCTCAGGGGTGCTCATATGTGCCAAGCATTCTGTGGGCATTTCACAAATGTCTGTACCTAATTTGCCAGCAGCTCGGTGATATTGGTATAATATGCTTCATTCATGGCTGAGAAAAGTGAGATTAGAGAGACTTAGAAACTGGTTAAGTTAGTAAAATCAGTTTTTGTAACTCAAATCCTATGCTCTTTTCTCTGTATATCATACTGCATCTTTTTTATAACTTGAACTTTTCATGCTCCCCTCCAAATTTCCGCCTTCAATTTAAGCCAAGCAGATTAAATATATCTACTGTTAGTTCCCTGGAATCAGTGCTTACTCTCTTCCAACCATGTGACTAAGCATTTAAGAGTGAATTCTATTGACAGCGTCTTCCCTTGGAGAACTCCCTTGTATGTTCAATGTGAAACCACCTTGATCTCCTTTGCCCATGAATGGCTGTTTTTCTGATTAACTTCATTTCATAGACCTGGTAACTGAGAAGTGAAAAACCAATCTCAATGTCAGAGGTAAAAGCATAGAGCCTATTCTCTAGTGACAAATCGTTTTGTTCAGGGTATACTACCTGCTGAGACATTGTAAGTGTTCAATGAGGGGATTGTCCAATTTAGTGCATCAATGCCTTATCATATTTGTGTACACTTCTTCCATGTATATGCTCATGTGACCTGCACAAATCCTAAATGGGTCTGATTAGCCTTTGATGCCTTTTCATGTTTTGTTCTGCCATATTATTTCTGGGAAGTTAGAAAAAGGGAAGAGATGTCTTAAAATATGACCTTTGAATTTCAATGACTCAAAGAGATGATGGCATAGATGGCTGTTGAGTTCAGCAAATAGATTGGCAAAGATTAAGAAGATGGGTCACACTACTATAGTAGGTGTGTGAGGAAAACGGAACTTTTACATATTGTTGATAGAGGTATAAATTTGTACAAATTTAGAGAAATACCTAAAACACATTAAATTTGTAATTCCTTTGATCTAATAATTCTACTGCTAGAAATGCATCCTTTAGATATACTTGCACAGTTACCACAATTAAGATATCTGGGCAAAGTAACTAGGTCGAAATATTTGCTTATTACCATACAATGGTGTTGAGAAGCAAAGGACACTTACATAGCATTCTAAAACAAACAACAAGTAGAATAAGCTCTGAATTGATATTAGTTATTTTGCTAATAATGCAAGTCATCGTTTCTATGTTAAAAAATTTGAAACCATAGATAAATTAGAAAAAAGAAGAAAGGAGGATATTCTTTGTGCCACCACCCATAGATAACCATTATTAAAAATTTGATGTGTTTTCCTTCAGTTCTTTTCTGTGCAAGAGTGTTATGTGCTAACTTTGTAACACTGCCATTTTCCTTTTATTAAAACTTTAAGAATCATTTTTAATAAGCTCAAGATTCCTTGTTATATATAAGTACAGTAAAACGAAACCTTCCCCTTGTGTAGGATACTTAGTTGTTTCCGGTTTTGCTCAAGTATTATAATGGAAGCAGGCAAAAAAGGCATCTACATATTCCTTTTCTATTAATTAATTGTTTCTGTCCCACTTACGCTGATAGATTCTGGGTTTGTGGAAACTTAGTTAATAGTCTAAGTCAGTGTATTCTAATTTGTTTCTTTCTTGGTAAATAATGTTTATGGCTGGTAGAGTAAGTCAGCTAGTTATAATCATTGTAGTACATGCATACGTATTACACATACAGACATATATAATACGTATTTTCTTTTTATTTTAGCAGCAGCATTTTATTTTGGCACATATATTTTGGGAGTAGCACAAGCTACATTATTGGCGGAAGTCTGGTATCCTTTAGGAGTTTGCATTCTAGAGTGACTGCCTTAGTTTGAACCTTGACTGGTAGCTATGTGATTTGAGGTAGATCCTTTACCCGCTCACAGCCTTAGTTGCCTCCTCTGCAAAATAGTGATGACAATAATACCTACATTAGGGGCTAAATATAAGTATTAAAGGTAATGCAACGCACAGTGCTCAATACATAATAAGTGCTCAATAAAGAGTTGTCACTGTTACTAGAGTTACTTGTTTCTCATTATTCACACTGTTCTTTTGATGTTGTTGTAGTTTTTGCTTTGCTTTGTTTCTTGCCACACGTTCTGTTTACTTCTAGGCAAGTATAATTTTCTCAGCTATAAATTGTATTAATCTTATGCATTCATTTCTGTAATGAGCACATTCTCCTTTCTCTTCTTCTGTCCCTTTTTCTACCCCAACTAGTGCTAAAATATGAATTGTAAACTGCTAGCATTAAAATGAAATTTTTGGCAAAACCATGAGATCCTACTTTCCTTTATATCTATATGAATTGGTATCTTTTAAACCAGAGCTACTAGATTGCTAATTTTTAAAAATCTGTTAACGTTTTTGTAGAAGGACAATTATTCAGTGTGTACAGTAATGAAGCCGTTGATCCATTAGAATTGTGCAGAAATATAGGGCTTGAACTCTTAAAATTCTCTTACTTACCTCGTAAGTAGTAAAATTCAGACTCAGTGATTCTAGTATAAACTTCAAAATGCAGTAGAAGGAGAAGCAGAAAAATGACTTAGCGGAGTGGCAAATTGATAATAACCCGTTTAGATCTCTTCATTATGCCCCGTGGCTTTTCTGCATCCTTAACATCAGATTTTGCTGCAAGCGTTTTGTATTTCTCAGGGAAAATAATTCATAAAGATCATGAATGCCCACGCTTTGTGAAGAGACCTATTGTCATTAGCAGCCAGATTCTCATGGGAAATGGAAGTCACAGGAGGACAATCATAAATGACATTTCTGATTATGTAATTTTGTAGTATACACTGACATTTGGTTTCCTATCTTTAGTATAGAGATTAAAGGATCCCTTTTTCCTGATGTTTTTCATTTTTCCTTCTGTTTAAGTTTATGAAAATATAAATCAATAATTGTAATGATAAAAATAGAAAAAATCTGAAGTAAAAGTCTCCTGTCAATCTACCTCCAGAGACAAACATTATCATTTTCCTATGTAGACTTTTTGTTCTTTCTCCATACATTCAAGTCTATATGCTTCTATATATCACATGTCTATATTACATACACTTTTAAAATGATACTGCTTTTTTTTCTTTCAAAGCAGCCCACGAGGCAAAAATTTTAGTGCATTAAGTTTATTTAGGAAGTGATCCATGAAAACAGAAGTAAAGGAATAGGGAAAATAAGATAGGGATGGGGAAAATGTTCAAAAATCATGTTCTATTAAGCAAGTTTGAGCTCCAGCAGAACTGGAGCTCAATTCTGCTGGAAACTCTGAGGAACCATGTAGAAAGCACCGAGATGAAAAGTCTGGAGCATTTATTGTTCAACTTCCATACTCCATTGGTTGGAGGTTGCCCCAGAGTGTTAACTCCCCTGCAACTTGGACTGCATGTGTGCACAGCTGAGCAACCTTCTGCAGCTTTGGAAAAAGCAGGGCAGAGAGATCCAGCACATGCTTGGTATGTAACTAGTAACAGTCTATGACTCTCTACCACAGTTCTGTTGTAATCAGGTAGGCCAAGGAGATGTGCTGCCGCATACCAGGAGCCTCTGCAATCCTGACCTGCATGCTGTTCTTCAACTAGCTTTTTAAAAAATATAACAACGTATCCCTGGATACATTTCCAAGTCAGTACATGCACACATTCTTTTTGTTTTTAATGACAGCATTCCTCCGTGAATATTAGAGTGGGCTAGCTAATCATTTAAGTGAGTACAATGCCAGCTTTTGTCTTCATTTTACTGTGTGAACATATAGGTATGCTAAATATTCCTCCATAAAACAAAGAGTGATTTTTGCTTCTCAAGCTTTTATGTACACATGAATCACCTATGGATCTTGTTAAAACGCAGATCTGATTTAGTATATCTGGGGTGGGGCCTAAGACTCTCCATTTCTAATGATTCCTCAAGTCTTATTGATCCATAAATCAGGCTTTGAGTTCATGGTTCTAAAATGAAACAACGTGAAAGAAACTTGTACGCTGTGAAAATGTTCCTTATAAAAGTCTAGAAAGTTTTCCACAAGCTAAGACATTGGACTAGGAGCTGAATCTAATTTCCAGCTATAAATTTGCTTTGAGACCTTGGGCAAGTCTTTTCTTACCTTGGTTATCACTCAGGTGCCTTGGCCATAGGTAGTATTTTATGATCCAATATGTTCATTTTTTTTACTTGCAAAGAGAATCTGCTTTTTGTCTACTCAGTTCCACGACTGTGTTGAGCCAAACTAAGGCTATAAAACCAGATTTAAGAAATTCCAGGGTTCCTGCATGTTTATATTTATAGATCATCACTACTCTTATTAGGTGAAACTAGATGAGTCAGATTGCAAAACTAGATGTTTAATGGATATATCAAACTTAAAATATTCAAAGTAGAGTTGTAGATTTCCCCCCTCACATTTGGCCCTCCATCTTCTATGATAATCAATAGTAGCTGTGGGCCAGGACGCAAAAGTCAAAACCCTGAGATCATCCTTGGACTTTCTTTTCTCAAATTCCTCAAATTCTGTGCATCAGAAAGTGTGTAGAATTTACCTGCAAAACAGATTTCTTAATCCACTTTTCTTTATAACTATCTTCACTAATATATCCAGAAGGACTCTCCTCATCCATTACAACAGCTTCCCACCTAATTGGAACTCGGCTCCATTTATTGGCCCTACATTTTCTTACAGATACATTTTTTTTTTTTTTAGGCAAATCAGATTTTGTCTTTCCCCACTTAAATTCATCAATGTCTTCTCATTGTACTTAGCATAATCCCAATTCACAGTATGTAGACCCACATGGCCCACAAGGCCCTATGTGATCTGGCCCCTGCCTACCTTTCCAAAGTCACTTCATGCCATTACCCGCTAGCTCCCTCTGTTGCACCCACATTGGCCCTTTTTATTTACCCAGGATGCAGGAAGCTCTTTTTTGCCTGAGAAACGTGGCCTTTTCACCTTCCTTGAAAATGTTTTGGATTTTATTAATTTTGTAGTACTTTTTAGTAAAACTGAAATTCATCAATCCTTTTTCTATGTAAATTGTATCATATGTAGCCATTGTAAGCATTTTCTCATTTACTTGGGAAGAAAATATAGACAGGCACCCAGTGAATGTGTACAGCCAATTAACAGGAAGAAAAGGAAAGATATTAACATTTACAAAGTGTCCATTAATCTTTACAGTAACCCTATGGTAGTAGTAGTATTCTTGTAACTGACAGTGAAATAAAAACTCAAGGAAGTGAACTTATTAGTCTGGAATGATAGGGTCTACCTATGTATGTATGTGTTTATATATATAAACATATACCTAAATAATATGTTAAATGCTTTTGGATTTGAAAGCAGATTGATCATCCATGCAAATCTCTGGCATTTTTTTGTTGTATTGGCATTGTTCTCACTAAAGTGTGTGGAAATAATTTTTAAGAATTCATGAGTTCCCTGTAAGAATCTGTGTGTGTGTGTGTGTGTGAGTGTGTGTGTGACTTTTCATTCTATGGTAATCTTTTAAAAATTATGAAAGCATATTTGAGATCATCTGGAGGATCGGTCAACGACACTGTCTGTGTCTGTATTTATATCTGTAATTATCTGGTGCCAAAGAGGCCTGCTGTCATTGTCTGGGGCTAATGAGGAAGGAAAGAGAAAAGACGCTGACTAAATAAGTAAATGATGCTTTTAAACCAAATGAAAGCTGTTACCCTGGCAAGCTACACTCAGATGAAGGTTTTATAGAAAAAGTAGTGGAAGAATCTGAATGTCATGTGGCACAAAGTATACAGCCTATGAATTTCAAAAATATTTAGTGTTGCAGCAGATACTAGCAGATTCACACTGCAAGCGGCAATTTAGATTTGGCAAAATAACATTATCTATGATACTAAATTAATATTTTAATTGAATTGTTTTGGTTATACAAGTTAGCTTTTATGAAATTTTAAAATGTATTTGGCTTAACAGTTGTACTCAAACTATAACAGAGGCATTTATGCCTCGTTACATCCTTGCACACATGTAAGGACTCTTTAATGATAAAAATACCCAAATCAACATTGGAAGCCTTATGTATATTTATATAAGATATATATGATATATGGTGATGTAATAACTATATAACAACAGAGATATAATATTAAATATGTATTTTTTTCTTTCCTCGTAAGTGGTCTAATACTAGGGTATAGCAACCTTGGCATGACAGATTCTTTCACAGGTAATTCTTTGAGTAGGAGACATTCCTGTGTGTGTAGAATGCCAGTAGCAGCCCCTACAGTGCAGTTGTTACAAAGAAAAATGTCTCCAGATGTTGCCAACAGTCCTCTGAGGGGAAAACTGCCCTGTTTCAGGGTCACGGGTCTATCCATTTCTCTAAGATAGTAACCACTGCCTTATTCCATGTTGTGGATGAGGTTGTAAACTCACAAAACTATGATGTTTCCAACTATTAATGAGGAAATAATTCTGAAAGTGCATATATAGGCAACATTATGAGAAGAAAATCTGGCAGAGTCAGGTGAGCATGGGGATAGTAGAAGAGAAATATATCTGTAATTAAAGAGAATTTATGTGGCTCTTCTTTTATTTACTATTGCCTATTGATGCCTGGAATCCAGTTTGAATGTCCATCTTCATTCTCTCTGTACACACCTAAGCAGAAATATTGCCTAAAACCTTTAGTGGAGACCATGAGCGAGTGGTATGCAAATGAACCAAACAAATAAACACTGTCCAAGGTACTGCTGAGTATGTTAATTGTGCAATATTAGGAGAAGCAGATGCTGAATTTCGTGTTTGGTATTCTTTCTGTCTCAAGGGAGGGCAGTTTGAATGCAAGACACAAAATATACACTGTCTTAAATTTCTTTTATAAGGTAAAGCACTTATGAGGAATACTTTTATATTTTTGGATTTTGGCTATCAAAATTAACAGCTTGTTTATTTTATTTTTTCAGTTTTTTCATGTTATTTTTTTGTAATTTTAAACTTGTAAAAATGTTGCAAAAATACCATAATACTTTTCACCCAAATTTTCCACGTACTAACATCTCTTACATTTGCTTTATCATTTTCTCTATTAATATATACATATTATTATTTTAAGATGTTTGAGACTAAATTTAGGACATGATGCCCTCGTATCCATAAAGAGTTTAGTTATATGTCCTAATAACAAGGTAATTCATTTACATTACAACAGTGGAATAATCAACATCAGGAAATTAACACTGGTACAATAGAAATGTCTAATCTATAGAACTGAGTTGAATTTTGCATTATTCCATAAATGTCCTTTATAATAAACAAAAAATTTTTTTAGGGGAGGGTTTGGGATCTAGGATTCAATCTAGGATCAAATGTTAGATTCGTAAGTCTCTCAGTGTCCTTTAATCTGCAATCATTCTTCTGTCTTTCTTCATCTTGACATTTTTGAAGATTATAGGCCAATTATTATGTAGAGCATCCCTACCTTAGATCTATGGGATGTTTTTCTATGATTAGGTTCGGGTTATGCCTTGCTGAAAGGAATGCCATATAGTGCTGTGATGTCCTTCTCAGTGTATCATATCGAGAGGCACAAGATACTCATTCATCCCATTCTGCTGATACTACTTTGATCACTTGTTTGCGGTGATATTTGCCAAATGTCTCCATGGAAAAGTTACAGTTTTCCATGGAGATTGATGTACATTTCCTAGTTCCTATCAGACTTTTACTCACTCTTTTTTTTTCTTTTCTTTTTTGTTTTTTGAGATGGAGTTTCACTCTTGTTGCCCAGGCTGGAGTGCAACGGCATGATCTTGGCTCACTGCAACCTCCGCCTCCCAGGTTCAAGTGATTCTCCTGCCTCATCCTCCTGAATGGCTGGGATTACAGGCGCACATCCCCACGCCTGGCTAATTTTTTGTATTTTTAGTAGAGATGGGGTTTCACCATGTTGGCTAGGCTGGTCTCAACTCCTGACCTCAGGTGATCCACCCACCTCATCCTCCCAAAGTGCTGGGATTACAGGCATGAGCCACCATGTCCAGCCTCACTCACTAGTTTTTACATACACTGATCGTTCTAGCCTAAATAAATTATTACCATTGGGGTGTCATGTGGTGATTTTGTTAACGTCAATATTCCTTCTACATTTATTAGCTTTTATTATACTTTAAGTACAGGTTTATCTTTTTCCTCTTTTGTCTAGTAATTCACTTATATAAGAAGGAACTCATAGATTGTAACTTTATCATATGTGTTAAAATCATTAATGACATTTTATATACAGATGCTCAGACAGTTTAAATAGAGCTAAGAAGGTGATCATTTATGCACTAGTTGCATTTTCCTCCTCTCCTCTCTTCTATAACATCTTAGCTAATATTGTTGTCCTATTCCATTATTAGGATAATCCAGCAGAATCTGTTGCTGTTTCGAAGGTTGGGTGCCAGTTCTGCCTTAGTGATTCATTGAGGTGGAGCTGAAAGAGCAGAAGTCACCCTCTCCTTGGAAGCCAGGAGCATTTTATTGTTTTTAACAGTGCTGAGAATGCCAGTGACTCTAAAGATGAGAAAAAAAACTCTCTTAATGAGTTTCAGCATTTTAATGTACTGCAGGTTCCCAATTGTATGAGTTTAAGAAGCTTAGCAATTCGGTATCTTCTGAATAATAGCATTTATTTTATACTGTAAATACTCCCAGGGAAGTCTGAATAACACTACAGCTTCTTCGGTGTAATAGCTTTGGTGAGCTAATTGACTTGAACAGTGGAATTGCTCCTTAAAAAAAAAAAGCCACACAGTTTTGATTAATGAGCCCAGTAATAAATCATTAATCTTTGTCGCTCACAAATGATAGGAACAGTGTTATGTTTCCCACCCTGTAATATATTTCTTGATTCTCTTGCTAATACAGTGGCCACATTTTAAGGATCTCATTATCAATTTAATATGCCTACCTCCATATAATTTAATATAACATCTAGTAAGTTTACACTTATGAGGAACACAATGGGACACATTCTAAATAGTGATAATTGTTCTGTAATTAACATGACTTATATTTACTTAGTAGCTGTCCTCTTAAAGTGTTCTAAATTTCCTTATGTAATAAAAATTGTAGAAATGATCATGATTTACTGAGCTTCTGTATTCCTGAAACTCTGCTAAATTTTTAGTATATCATAACATTGAATTTCTACAATAACCCTCTAAGGTTATTAGTATTATTATCTCCATTTTTCAGTCAAGGAAATTTGCTGAGAAGTGTTAATAACAGTTAGTGTCAGGGCCACCATGTCATTACATGTTCACAGCTCATGCCTACTCAAAGTTTTCTGGAAGCTTAAGAACAAAATCATTTTTATTAAAATGGAAGTATATAGTTATACAGTCAATCCAAATTGATGTTTGTCATTGTTTTAGGGCTTAATGTATCTCAGTGTCTTTTACATTTTAAAATTTAATTTTCATGCATATCATGTAGCTGAGACACCGTTTAAAAATAATTTAGATTGTCAAATCATCATTTTAAGGAAAATGGAATTTCAAGTTAAGGGCTATAAGAGTTAGGGGACAGATATCTAATTCTTCGTTGCCCTAATGTGTCAGCTAACAAAAAATAGCACTTTATTATTGAAATTTAGTTGTGTAACATCCACTAGTCTGAACTTTCTAAGGCAGGCAGAGATCATGTCCTATTACATCTTTGTCCTCAGAATTTAGCTCAAGGGGTGACATACACTAGAAGATGAAAAAACTATTGAATGAGTGAGTGAATGATCAAGAGCAAATATGAAAAAATAAGTGGATGATCCATTTAGTAATGTGCCCAAGTCAAGAGATGGAAATCGACAAGTGACTTTGAGTTGGATTAGTGTTGTGACCACGAGTACCTCCATTTGTTCAGGTGAGCTACTTACTGAATCACAAGACTCCTGTAGGGAGAAAACATATAACTAAGAAAAACTAAGATGTATGCATTACTTTTTCATTGATAGCCTAGGCACTCTAAGTAAAATTATTTAACTCATTGTCGAGTCACATTAAACGTAAGACTTATTTCTTTCTAACTTACGAGTTTTTTAAAAATTGCAAATAAAAATTCAAAAGCTAACAGAAGACAAGAAACAACTAAGATCACAGCAGAACTGAAGGAGATAGAGACATGAAAAATGTTTCAAAAATTCAGTGAATCCAGGAGCTGGTTTTTTGAAAAGATTAACAAAATAGAGAGACTGCTAGCTAGACTAGTAAAGAAGAAAAGAAAGAGAGAAGAATAAAATAGACACAATAAAAATAATAAAGGGGATATCACCACTGATCCCACAGAAATACAAACTACCACCAGAAAATACTATAAACACCTCTATGAAAAATCTAGAAGAAATGGATAAATTCCTGGCCACATACATCATCCCAAGACTAAACCAGGAAGAAGTCAAATACCTGAATAGACCAATAACAAGTTCTGAAATTGAGACAGTAATTAATACGCTACCAACCAAAAAAACCCCAGGACCAGATGGATTCAGAGCCGAATTCTACCAGATGTACAAAGAAGAGCTGGTGCCATTGTTTCAGAAACTATTCCAAACAATAGAAAAAGAGGGAATCCTCCCTAACTCACCCTATGAGGCCAGCATCATCCTGATAACAAAACCTGGCAGAGACACAACAAAAAAGAAAATTTCAGGCCAATACTCCTGATGAACATGGATGCGAAAATCCTCAATAAAATACTTGCAAACCGAATCTGGCAGCACATGAAAAAGCTTATCCACCACAATCAAGTTGGCTTCATCCCAGGGATGCAAGGCTGGTTCAACATATGCAAATCAATAAACATAATCCATCACATAAACAGAACTAATGACAAAAACCACATGATTATCCCAATAGATGCAGAAAACGCCTTCGATAAAATTCAACACCCCTTCATGCTAAAAACTCTCAATATACTAGGTACTGTTAGACCATATCTCAAAATAATAAGAGCTATTTATGACAAACCCGTAGCCAATATCATACCGAATGGGCAAAAGCTGGAAGCATTCCCTTTGAAAACTGGCAGAAGACAAGGATGCCCTCTCTCACCACTCCTATTCAGCATAGTATTGGAAGTTCTGGCCAGGGCAATCAGTCAAGAGAAAGAAATAAAGGGTATTCAAATGGAAAGAGAGGAAGTCAAATTGTCTCTGTTTGCAGATGACGTGATTTTATATTTAGAAAACACCATTGTCTCAGCGCAAAAACTCCTTATGCTGATAAGCAACTTGAGCAAAGTCCCAGGATGCAAAATCAATGTGCAAAAATCACAATCATTCTTATACACCAACAAGACAAGCAGAGATTCAAATCGTGAGGGAACTCCCATACACAATTGCATGGGAGAATAAAATACCTAGGAATACAACTTACAAGGGATGTGAAGGACCTCTTCAAGGAGAACTACAAACCAGTGCTCAGGGAAATAAGAGCAGACACAAACAAATGGAAAAACATTCCATGCTCATGGGTAGGAAGAATCAATATAATGAAAATGGTGAAAATGGCCATACTGCCCAAAGTAATTTATAGATTCAATGCTATTCCTGTTAAGCTACGATTGACTTTCTTTGCAAAATTAGAAAAAAAGTACTTTAAATTTCATATAGAACCAAAAAAGAGCTTGTATAGCCAAGACAATCCTAAGCAAAATGAATGAAGCTGGAGGCATCACAATACCCGACTTTAAACTACACTACAAGGCTACAGTAACCAAAACAACATGGTACTGGTACCAAAACAGATATATAGACCAGTGGAACAGAACAGAGGCCTCAGAAATAACACCACACATCTACAACCATCTGATCTTCAACAAACCTGACAAAAATAAGCAATGGGGAAAGGATTCCCTATTTAATAAATGGTGCTTGGAAAACTGGCTAGCCATATGCAGAAAACAGAATCTGGACCCCTTTCTTACACCTTATACAAAAATTAACTCATGATGGATTAAAAACTTAAATGTAAAACCCCAAGTCATAAAAACCCTAGAAGAAAACCTAGGCAATACCATTCAGGACATAGGCATGGGCAAAGACTTCATGACTAAAACACTAAAAGCAATTGCAACAAAGGCCAGAATTGACAGATTGGATCAAATCAAACTAAAGAGCTTCTGCACAGCAAAAGAAACTATCATCAGAGTGAACATGCAAACTACAGAATGGGAGAAAATTTTTGCAATCTACCTATCTGACAAAGGTCTAATATCCAGAATGTACAAGGAACTTAAATTTACAAGAAAAAAACAACCCTATCAAAAAGTAGGCAAAGGATATGAACAGACACTTCCCAAAAGAAGACATTTATGCAGCCAACAAATATTAAAAAAAGGTCATCATCACTGGTCATTAGAGAAATGCAAATCGAAACCGCAATGAGATACCATCTCATGCCAGTTAGAATGGCAGTTATTAAAAAGTCAGGAAACAACAGATGCTGACATGGCTGTGGAAAAATAGGAATGCTTTTACACTGTTGGTGGGAGTGTAAATTAGTTCAACCATTGTGGAAGACAGTGTGGCGATTCCTCAAGGATCTAGAACCAGAAATACCATTTGACCCAGCAATCGCATTACTGGGTATATACCCAAAGGATTATTAATCATGCTACTAAAAAGACACATGCACATGTATGTTTATTACAGCACTATTTACGATAGTAAAGACTTGGAACCAACCCCAATGTCCATCAATGATAGACTGGATAAAGAAAATCTGGCATATATACACCATGGAATACTATGCAGCCATAAAAAGAATGAGTTCATGTCCTTTGCGGGGACATGGATGAAGCTGGAAGCTATCATTCTCAGTAAACTCACACAAGAACAGAAAACCAAACACTGCATGTTCTCACTTATAAATGGGAGTTGAACCATGAGAAAACATGGACACGGGGAGCGGAACATCACACACTGGGGGCCTGTTGGGGCAGGGGGGTAAGGGGAGGGAGAGGATTGGGACAAATACCTAACTCATGCGAGGCTTAAAACCTAGATGACGGGTCGATAGGTGCAGCAAGCCACCATGGCTCATGTATACCTATGTAACAAACCTGCACGTTCTGCACATGTATCCCAGAACTTAAAATAACATCTAAAGAAAAATGTAAATAATGTATATGCCAAATGATGCCGGCAATCGTGATGAAAGACATTCTTTTAAAATAAAAAAATAGTTTAACCTTATTTGAACACCCTCAACTCACTGTTGCACCTCTTCTTTGCTGTTTCTCTACCAAAGTCACCAGGTTAATATAAGAAATGAAGGCAAGACAGTATCACCTAGTTAGGTTCCTTCTCCAGCTAACATGGCATTAATAAACTGATTTTCATTATGATATATACACACACAGCACACCACTTTTCTCCAAGCTAATATTAAGGATCACAGTTTACCAAAAGTTGTGCAGCCTGTTCTCTTTGGAAAGCCTCTCTTTGGAAAGACTAGGATGAAATAAATCTACTATATGCCATCCTTCACTTAGACTGACAGAATTTTAATGTATAGCAGAATTTTTTTTTAAGTGCCAATGTAGAGCTGACTGCTTCCTCTATAACACATAAAATGCATATGGCTTTACAGGGCCAGTTTTCTGTACAATTGACATTGGACAATTTAGGAATAAATGTAGATTCAAGCAAAACAGCACACAAGAGAACATTTTGTATCAAAGTTGTGGCTTTTCACTTTATGTGTTAAATATATATATATATTTTATTATACTTTAAGTTCTAGGGTACATGTGCACAACGTGCAGGTTTGTTACATACGTATACATGTGCCATGTTGGTTTGCTGCACCCATCAGCTTGTCATTTACATTAGGTATTTCTCCTAATGCTATCCCTCCCCTACCGCCCCACCCCCCAACCCCCTGACAGGCCCCAGTGTGTGATGTTGCCCGCCCTGTGTCCAAGTGATCTCATTGTTCAGTTCCCACCTATGAGTGAGAACATGCGGTGTTTGGTTTTCTGTTCCTGTGTTAGTTTGCTGAAAATGGTTTCCAGCTTCATCCATGTCCCTGAAAAGGACATGAACTCATCCTTTTTATGTCTGCATAGTATTCCATGGTGTATATGTGCCACATTTTCTTAATCCTGTCTATCATTGATGGACATTTGGGTTGATTCCAAGTCTTTGCTATTGTGAATAGTGCCGCAATAAACATACGCGTGCATGTGTCTTTATAGTAGCATGATTTATAATCTTTTGGGTATATACCCAGTAATAGGATTGCTGGATCAAATGCTATTTCTAGTTCTAGATGCTTGAGGAATCGCCACACTGTCTTCTACAATGGTTGAACTAATTTACACTCCCACCAACGGTGTAAAAGCGTTCCTATTTCTCCACATCCTCCCCAGCATCTGTTGTTTCCTGACTTTTTAATGATCACCATTCTAACTGGCATGAGATGGTATCTCATTGTGGTTTTGATTTGTATTTCTCTGATGACTAATAATGATGAGAATTTTTTAATTGGGAAAAACTACTTCAAAGTTCATATGGAACCAAAAAAGAGCCCTCATAGCCAAGACAATCCTAAGCAAAAAGAACAATTGAATTATAGAACAATAAGAAGAACAACAAAAAGAACAATAAGAATTATAACCTCAGCTTTCTCACATGTAAAATGGGGCTATCTACCTCAAGGGCTAAGGAATATAAACATAATGAATTTAAATGATTTTAAAGCATAGTATTTTTTCATATAGTAGGCAGTATAAATACTAGATAATATCATACCATAAAAAGGTAAAGGTAATGATATATATCTTACCTAACAACAAATAGTTTATATAAAATGATATTAATGTTAATCTTATATGGCAATGGATAATTTTAGTACAAGTATGTCTTATGTATTATTCATGATATACTAAAAATAGTATTTGTTGTTTATCAAAAATTTAAATTTAACAAGATGTCTTATATTTTATTGGGCAGCCTTAATATATATGACACAGTGTTTGTCAAGTGAGCTCTGTTGCATAATTCCAGGAGTCATCATTTGTGCTGTGTTCTGGGCGGGGGGCGGGGATGTCAGTAGACTACAATGAGAATGGTTGTCTTTGAGTGGAACTCAATGCCCCTAATATCTTTTACATTTCAATGGTATGTTTTTGTATGTTTACCAAAGGTGAATCTAGGTGAGCCTCAGCAAGCCTAAGCTGTCATATTCTAGGCAGAAGATATAAAAATGTTTTGCATCTGTTCTATATTTGTATGTGTTATGGTGATTATTTCAGAAGTAATTAGTAGTGTATCATAGTAAACCTATGGCTGTCTTCATGTCATTTCCACAGTTCCATAGTTGTTTGGGGCATCATAGTCTTTATCGATAAATCAGTTACAGCTTTCTATCTCAGAGTTCATAGCAGGTGGATAAAATAGACATTCCTGGGGAACCTCTTTCTGAGCAGTGAATTAAACTCTGAGATTTGTTTACAATATTGAGTAGTTCTCTATAGTTTTGTTTCCTGTTCTCATTTTTGACCATCAGGACCACGAGTACAAAACAATATATATTTGTGATATGGTAATATATTAAAATAAAACTATAGAGAGATCTCAATATTGTAAAATGTTAATTTAGCATTTTCTCACAGGAGAAACCATCACATCAGGGCTGATAACTGGTGATACTGAGCTCAAGTTCATGAGGTGTATATGGAGGGAGAAATCAAGGAAAGCCAGAGATCCAATCTGGCCACCTGTTCCAGGACCAAAGGTAACTTAAATTTAGTCATAAAGGCTGGAGATCCTCATGGAATCATTCACTGCCTAACTCAATTGAAGGCTCCTCAATTGATCTTGAAATAAAAGCCAGCCCAAGCCTTAAAGAATAGCCTAAATGATCAGTGGTTCAACACTGGGCATTGTTTCACAATCAGGTCCCTGCTGAGTTTGTTCTCCAGAATTAAACCTTCCAATTGAACTTGAGGACATGAACTCCAGTTGCTGACACTGTGCTTACATTATATCCGAAATAAGTAAATGCTTCTTTTTAAAAAAGTATTTCTTGGGGACATTGTTCTTAGTGTTTCTTATCTTAGGGAAATTGTTCTTATTTTTGTTTTGGAAGGAAAAAATTGGCAGTCACCTTCCTCTAACTGAATCACCATGCAGAACTAACAAAAGAGAAATCACCTTTTCTCTTTTAGTAGAGACAGAAGACAATTGAAAATATAGAGGCACCTTCACTGCTTAGCAAACAGGACAGAGGGCATGTTTTTAGGTACCATTTAAGGGTGAAAGCCTACTTCTTTGCAGTCCTTCTTTACTCTTCCCTTTGGTCTTTAATGCCTTACCTTGGATGTTTGCTTCTGGAGCGCCTGTCTTGAGGTAAGGCATCTTACTTTGCCTAGTCAGAGGCACTGGCTTTGTGTCCAGGGAATGCAGAAGTCCTAGTGGGAAGTTCAGAGCTGATCGTATGTCCTCATTTCTTCATAGCAATATAGATTTGACAAAACTAACACATTGTATTAGTCAGGGTTCTTCAGAGAAACAGAACCAATAGGATGTCTCTACCTCACTCCCTCTCGTGCACTCTGTCACTCTGTCTCCCTCTCTCCCCACTGCAAGTCTCTCTCTGTCCTTCTGTCCATCTCCCTCTCTTCCTCTATCCCTCCATCTTTCCCTCTGTCTCCCATTTCCCTCTCTCCCCATCTCCCCCTCTGTACCTCCGTCCCTTTACCTTAATCTCTCACTCCCTCTCTTTTTCTCTCCCTCTCTCCCTCCATCTGTCCCTCTCCTCCTCCCTCTCTGCCTTCCTTCCTCTCTCCTCCACATCACTCTATCTTACCCCTCCCCTCTTTATTGTATGAACTTGACTCATGAGATTATGGAGGCAACAAGTCCTAAGATCTTCTGTTGGCAGCTGGAGTCCTAGGAGAGCCCACATGGTTGTTCCAGTCTACAGGCTGTCAGGTTCAAGACTCAAGAAGGGCTGATATTTCAGTCACGGTCTGAAGACAGGAAAATGTAATTCCAGCTCAAAGGCAGTCAGACGGGAGGAAGTCTTTCTTAACTCTGGGGAGGATCAGCCTTTTTGTTTTATTCAAGTCTTCATCTGATTGGGTGAGGGCCACCCACATTGAGGAGAGCAATCTGTTTCACACAGTGTATCAATTTAAACGTTAAACTCATTCAAAAATAGCCCCATAGAAACACCCAGAAAATGGTTTGACCAATCTGGGCACACTGTGTCTCAGTCAAGTTGACACATAAAATTAACTATCACACAAATATATAATACTGAAGCAAGTATGGCTGAAACAGCAGGCTTCCATCAGTTCTCATCTAGAGGTGCAGTAACTATCACCAGAAAAGTGAGGACATCTTTGTTCGAATTAGTGTTAAACTAATTCCAAAATATCTGATGCCTTTAGGGCAGTTTGTTAACATGGAATGCTCTGATTCCCTGTTTTCAAAGTGAGAAAAAACATTTAGTTTTTATTATTATTAATTTTTAAATTGCTGCAGCATATAAAATAGACTGTTCCATTAAAAAAATCTTGCTCCCTTGCATCCACATTAATTTTCTTTTCTACAGGTGAGAGTCACTGAATAACGATATTTATAGGCAATCTCTAGAATTGGTGTAGTGTAGTAAAAAGTACTACATCAAGTCAAACAATATCCCTTATGATATTGCTTATTCACTTACTAACTTAAAATATAGGACCCAGTTTTCTCATTTGTATTTTTTGGAATAATAACTCTTTCCCTATCTACCTTATGAGATAGATAAAGGGCCACATGATATAAAATGACTCTGAAACATTTAAAATATTAAAAACTCTGCTCCATGTAAGGTAATATTATTATCTTTAGTCTATATATACATCTTTCTCAATGTTTTTAAAAAATATCTATAGTTGCATGCTTGCTTTAGAGTTGTTTCATACCTCTTCAGGGTATTTCTAAATGTTTTGTCACCACTGCTCAAGATAATTCATCTTGAGATAGCATTTTTTCACCCAGTAGTTAAAAAATTTCTATAAATTCGTTATACACAATTTTGTGACTTAAAAGCTCTTGGAATAATCATGGAGGTGCACGTATCTTTTTCATATAGTTATTTCCTTTTTTTTTTGGATACTTAGTAATGGGATTGCTGGGTCACATGTTAGTATTTTTAGTTTTCTGAGGACCCTCATACTGTTTTCCATAATGGCTATACTAATTTACATTCTGACTAAAAGTGTATACGAGTTCCCTTTTTTCAACGTCCTCACCAGCATTGGTTATTTTTTATTTTTTCTGATAATAGGCATTCTAATAGGGGTGAGATGATATATCATTGTGGTTTTGATTTGCATTTCCCTGATGATTAGTGATGTTGAGTATATTTCTCATATATCTGTTGGCCATTATGAATAGTTGGCAGATGAATAGTATGCAAATATTTTTGCCCATTCTGCAGGTTGTCTCCTTACTCGGTTGATTGTTTCCTTTTAGTTGGATACAGTCCCATTAGCCCGTTTTTGCTTTTGTTGCCTGTGCTTTTGAAGTCTTATCCACAAAAAATCTTTGTCCAGACCAATATCCTAAACCCTTTCCCTTATGTAGTCTTCTAGTAGTTTACAGTTTGGGGGTCTTACATTTAAGTCTTTAAGCCGTTTTGAGATTTTGAGTTGATTTTTGTATATGGTGAATTATAGGGGTCTAGTTTCATTATTCTGTATGTGGATATCCAGTTTTTATAGCACCATTTAAAAATTTAGTATGTGTACACACACACCCACACACACACACACAGTGGAATACTATTTAGTCATAAAAGAGAATAAAATTCTGTCATGCATGACAACATAGATGAGCCTGGAGGATATTATGTTAAGTGAAACAAGTCAGGCACACAGGAAGATAAATACCACATGTTCTCACTCATATGCAGGAGCTAAAAAACTTGAACTCATAGAAGCAGAGAGTAGAACTATGGTTACTAGAGGCTAGGAAGAGTAGCAGGAAGTGGGGATATGGGGCTCTTTTGATAACCAGGTACAAAATTACAGCTAGTGAGGATAAATAAGTTCTAGAGTTTTATGGCACTGTAGGATGACTATAATTAACAATAATTTATTGCATATTTTTAAATACCTAGAAGAAAGGAGCTTGAATGTTCCCAACACAAAGAAATAATAAATGTTTGAGGTTATGAATATGCTAATGACCCTGATTCAATCATTACACTTGTATTCATATATCAAAATATCACTTTGCACCACATACATTTGTACAATTATTACTGGCCAATTAAAAATGTTTTTTAAAAAGGGTTCGATAGTATATAAAGTAAGCAAGAACTAATCACTCACTGAGACCCATAGGGTGTTCCATTATGAAAAGAAATAGTAGGAATATATTCCCATAAAGCAGTTCTACTCAAAGTTTGTTACTTGATACCTATCCACAATGAAATATGTACAGAAATTGAGAGAACGCATTTAAAATCTTTTATAACAATTAACATT
Source organism: Homo sapiens (assembly GCF_000001405.40). Classification (NCBI taxonomy): domain Eukaryota; kingdom Metazoa; phylum Chordata; class Mammalia; order Primates; family Hominidae; genus Homo; species Homo sapiens. The sequence continues at coordinate 29,734,759 of NC_000003.12, forward strand.
AACATAATATCAAATGCAATATGTAATTTGGTGTCCGTTGAGTGTAATGATGAAAAGTTGGACTTGCATTTTGCATATCCTTTTATTTTATTTTCTATTAATTTATTTTTCTTATATTCTACAAATATATTGATCCATGGCATATTGGAAATAAAAACAGTTCACACTCCAGGTAGCTTAAGAAATTACTCTAAAATCTCAACTTCATGCTAGTACTGTAGCTACTTCCAGAGCATTTAAATGTCATTCCATCAAATGTGAATGTTAGCAGATTGTTGTTAAGTTTTAAAATTGTGTTCTACTAATAGCCTTTTTCAGAATTATGTTTCTATAATAGCCATAATGCATATTCAAAAACCCAGACGTAACCTTTGATCTAGATAGGGCAGTGTTTTCTTGTCCTCTACAAGTATTCATTTGCTTAGCCACCTTGAAAGGTTCTGAAGTTCTGAAATTGTCTTAAACTGCTCAAAAGCAAATGAATGACAATAAATCTGATTTTGACAGCATACATACACTAAAAACCTGAGAAAAAGGAAGTCATTTCAGAGAAAGTAAATTATTTACATATTTTTGCGTAAGATGACAGATCTGGGCTCCCATTAACAATGGAGAGGATACTTTTCTAACTTTTAATGAGCTTTTGACAAAACTAAATAATAAACCAAGAAATCCTTGTACAAATGAAAAAATGTAGAAACAGACCAAAATGGGGGAGTTACTTATAGTGACATGGACAGTTATATGTAATAGATGTATGAATTGTAGTCATATACTTTTACAATCTAATATACACTGCAAAATATTCATTCAATGACTGTGTGTAGAATACTAGCTAAGGCTAGGAACTCTTTTTTCATAGCCTTCACTCTTTGACTCAAGCTTATTGACGAATAGGCAAAAGTGAATAAAACAAGGAACTCAGATATATTTATTTTTGTCTCTATAATATTCTTTTGAACCACAACCTATTTATTAATCATTGGATTTTAAGAATAAAGTCAGTGTTGTAAATTGGCAATAACATCAGATTATCATCTATTTCTAGCCTGTTCCTCTAGCTGAGTGGCCTTGGGCAAGTCATAATCTCACCACTAGCTTCTGCTTTTTTCCATCTGTTAGATAACAAGATTGGATAAGATGCCACCTTAGGTCCATTCAGGAGATTTGGCCATAAAAATTTAAGTTAAAAAATTATAAAAAGATCTTTTTGATTGCAGTTATCTTGTGAAAAACTTTTCCGGAAAATTAAAAGGAAAGAGTTCTTTGTTTCATAGTGCCAATGAACCTTTTGAAAATGACCATCCATTTACATAAACCTGATATATAAATAAAATTGAAAGTAAAAATATAAATGTATGTACTATTTTAAAGTTTATTTTATGCATAATTTAAATTCTATTTTCAACCAATATATTCAAGACTAATACTGCATTCATTTCAAAGAACAGAATTACTTAAATAACACTCCCCAATGTCATATTCTTTCTGTGAATACAAATTAAAGAACGACACTATCCAATGTGCTACTGTCTCTGTGAATACAAATTAAAGAGTTGGCCTTGTTGTTTGAATTTGGATTCAGAAAATAGCTTACCAGGCAATCCCTTATGTACTAAGCTCTGCGTATTTATGGTACACCATTTTGAGCAGCTGCAATGCATTCAATACTCAGGGAATTTGGAAATGATTTTGAATTTGGATAAACTGGTGCACTGATGCCTGGAGAAAATTCTAAGGTCTGTACAGTACCCTGAGACAATGGCGTAGACTGTAATTATTAACCTGATCAAGGGCAAAGGGGTATTGAATATTGAGCAAATTCCAACCCATTCATAGGACTGTCATGTGCTGTGGCCCACTCATTGGTAGGCTCTGGGTTGATGAGGAACTCCAAAGCTCTGGGGCACGTATTTCTTGTATAACTTGAGTAGTTCTAGACATGTGGGACTCAGAAATCACATCATAAGAAAGTTGTTCATTTCTCAATTCTTCTTTAATTCTGATTCTTCCCAGTAAAAAGACTCAGTCTGGTGCTAGTGTGCTTCTAACACTTCCATTAATTATGAATTCCCTTTGCAACAGAGAGTGAAGCGGGAGCACCAAAGCCTTCTGCAAACAGTATCTAGCTATAATTTGAAAACATGAGTTTGTTCACTGTTTTTACAGTAACCTTCTATTTATGGCAAGTAATACTGGCCTTTTAGTTATGGTAACAACACAAAGTGTTTTTTTTTTGAGACGGACTCTCGCTGTCGCCCAGGCTGGAGTGCAGTGGCATGATCTCAGCTCACTGCAAGCTCCGCCTCCCGGGTTCACGCCATTCTCCTGCCTCAGCCTCCCGAGTAGCTGGGACTACAGGCGCCCGCCACCAGGCTGTCTAACTTTTTGTATTTTTAGTAGAGATGGGGTTTCACCATGTTAGCCAGGGTGGTCTCGACCTCCTGACCTCGTGATCCACCCGCCTCGGCCTCCCAAAGTGCTGGGATTACAGGCATGAGCCACTGCGCCCGGCCTACAAAGTTATTTTTTAAAATAGATTTATTTAAGCCCCAGAGGTATGTTTATTTAGAAAAATTTTAAAATAAGTAACAACCTATGACTGTCAAAAATTTCTAACATTTGGTGTTTCAAATAATTGAAGCTTGAGAAACATTGGACTTGTGGAAAATACACTGAGCTGGAAGATAGGAAAATTAGTCACTAAATCTAATTTTAGCCCTGTCACTAATTATTAGATTGTCCTTGGGCAAGATTGAATCTTTCATGTCTCCATTTCCTCATTATCCAGTAAGTGTAGTAATATTTGCCAAACTACTTTTGGAGCGACAATGTGAAGATTAAAATTAAATGATGAATGGTGAAATACTATGAACCTTGGAAGTTATACGTAGATAAGGTTCATTATTATGTAACTGAAATGTCCCCTTTTTTTTTATTTACCACTTCACAAAAACAAAAACAAAAACAAGATCAAAACCATTTAAAGAATAATAATATTATCTCTGTTTTTTCTCTAGGACCATTAACAGTTACTGGTGGTGATATTGATGATGGTGGTGGTGATAGTGGAGTGTGTGTGTGTGTGTGTGTGTGTGTGTGTGTGTGTGTTTATATGTATGTCTGTGACAGAGAAAGAGAGGGAGATTAACTTCACTCATTCAGTTTCTATATGTAAACTATTCCTAAATATTAAGGCTCTAGTCATCTTTTCCAGATTGATTATATTTTATTTTTGCTATTTCCCACGGTGCTAAAAAGCTTGAAAAGTAAACTGTGTTTAAAATGAAACTAATAATACATCATATTCACTCCAAGTTTTAATAAAAATATCACAATCTATCTGAATATTTAGTTGTTAAAAATACAGAAATTTAGTTGCATACAAAAATTATTTCTTGACCTGAAACAACATTTGGATTCTTGTTTATTCTACTTGTTTATTGTTTTTAAAACCGTAAATATCTAATAATATGATATCTTTTCACAAAAGATATTTTACTGTTACATAATACCATTTTCTATAGACTTCAGGATTTCTTTTTCTAATTTAATGTCTGGCTTATCCTTGAAGCTAAGGTTTTTGTTTAGTTAAAATATAATAGTTCAATTAAATATCTGGTACATTTTGATATTAATGACTAATCTGTCAAGTTTTTGACTGTTTTATTTGAGACATAAATACAACTAAGTTCTAAATTATTAATTCATTATATAAAATAGAGAAAATTGATACACACAGAAATAATGCTAGTAATTGTGGTTTGGTTTCCCATTCTATTAAGCAAAACTTATTTAAGCATTATTGGTGCTGAATTAGGAGATGATAGACATCATAATCTTATTTGTATATAAATATTTAGGCTTGGTCTAGGATGGCAATTCTCAAACTTAAGCTGTCATCAGGATCACCTGGAGGGCTTGTCAAAACACAGATTTCTTGGCCCACTCTCAGATTCTGCTTCAGTAGTTCTGTGGTGAGGCCTGAGAAATTGTGTTTCCAATAAGTTCCCAGGTGAGGCTAAGGCTAATGTTGCATTTCTGGGACTATACTTTGAGACTCGTTGGTCTAGTGGAAGGCAGTAGACCAGAGCAATAAATCCCATGGACTTTGGTGATAGGCCCAGATTTCAGCCCTGACTTTGGCACTTATGAGCTGTGTAACTTGGATAAGTTAGGGATCAATTTTGTCATCCATAAAATGGTAATTATATCTATTAAGAATATTGAATGAAATAATGCATGTTAAGTGTTTGGAACAATGCTTAGCATATTATGAACTCTCATTAAATGCAATATCAGTAACTAATTGTGATGGTAGTAAGAGTGGTAGTCATAGAAGTAGTGGTTAATGGTAATAAAAAAGAATATACACATTTGCCTTAGTTCAATTGCATTAAAAGTTTATTGGTCGGCCGGACGTGATGGCTCACACCTGTAATCCCAGCACTTTGGGAGGCCGAGGTGGGCGGATCACTAAGTCAGGAGGAGATGGAGACCATCCTGGCTAACACGGTGAAACCCCGTCTCTACTAAAAATACAAAAAATTAGCTGGGCGTGGTGGCGGGCGCCTGTAGTCCCAGCTACTCGGGAGGCTGAAGCAGGAGAATGGCGTGAACCCGGGAAGCAGAGCTTGCAGTGAGTCGAGATCGCGCCACTGCACTCCAGCCTGGGCTACAGAGCGAGACTCCGTCTCAAGAAAAAAAAAAAAAAAAAAGAAAAGTTTATTAGTCTTTCTAAGGAATGATGGATGGAGAGCTTGGCTTTCATTGATCATTTTGTCTATGATAAACATTCTGCACAAGACATCAGTAAAAAGAAGTAATGCCCCTAGTGAAAGCACTTTCAAGAGCATTTTGGAGATTATTATCTAGATTGCAGTTTAAACAAAAGTTTCTCTATTTGTACAATGTTTCTCAATACTCAGAACTTACCATATTTGTTACTTTCCTTCCCTTAGCAACAAGAGCAAGACCCAACAAACCTATACATCTCAAATCTCCCCATTTCTATGGATGAGCAGGAGCTTGAGAATATGCTGAAACCCTTTGGACATGTCATTTCCACAAGAATACTAAGAGACGCTAATGGAGTCAGCAGAGGTGTTGGCTTTGCCAGGTAAAATTCTTTCTTTGTATGTAATCGTTCTTTCCTCATTGTTCCTTTTAAATTCCATTCCTTTTTTAGTACTAGAGCCCAAAGCAATAGAATATGCAAAAAAAAAAAAAAAATTAAAAGTAGCTTATCAAATCTGTCATCCCTCTGTGTCTTTGCTTGGAGCTAAATAATTTCAATGTAATTATAAATAAACTGTGCTTGTTCAAATGTACGTAGAATGTGTTTATGTGTCTTGAGTCATAATAACATACATACTCAGTTCCCAGTCCTCTCTGTGCCTGTGGATCAACAAAATCAGATGCTGCCAATACCTGACAGAGACAATAAATGCCCAGTACCCCAAAGCAAAAGAGCCCATGTGGTGAACAAAGCATCTAAGTGTTTTTGCATTGATTTCCAAAAAAGGGTGCTAGCATTTCTCAGTAAAGAGAAAATAAAAGAAAGGAAACATTTAGAGAAACAGGAATTACTGAGAAGACCCAGCAAACTCAGAAATACAAGGGAGGTCAAGAAGCCATTTGCATTTAAGAGGCCCTGGCTATGTTTTTGATATTTTAGGCAGAACAGGGGAAAAAAAAATATTCCTTTCATTGTAAGAAAAGGAAGAGTAATTTTCATTTTAACTTTGAAGGAATGTTTACAAAAGAGGATTTCAGCCAGGAATGGAGTTTAAATAGTTGTACCTGCTGTGCTTTCATGAAAAACAAAGCTAAAGAGACCACAGAGTAAAAGAAACTGCTCAATGACAATGAAGAAAAATAAGTCTTGTCTCTATGGCTTGGTACATTTATGTGTGTCTCCAGCTGATTTATCATGGATGAATGGATGGATGTTAAGTGTTATGTGGAAGTCAGCCCATTGCAGACAAGTTTGTTCATCTAGGGCCAGGCAGGGTGGCTGACGCCTGTAATCTCAGCACTTTGGGAGGCTGAGAAGGGCAGATCACAAGGTCAGGAGTTCGAGACCAGCCTGGCCAACATAGTGAAAACCCATCTCTACTGAAAATACAAAAATTAGCCGTTGCGTGGTGGCACATGGCTGTAGTCCCAGCTACTCGGGAGGCTGAGGCAGGAGAATCACTTGAACCTGGGAGGCAGAGGTTGTGGCAAGCCGAGATCGCGCCACTATACTCCAGCCTGGGCAACACAGCGAGACTCCATCTCAAAAAAAAAAAAAAAAGAAAAACCATTCCAAACTAACTTCCGTTAACTCACTTTAGAAGATAACAAATCGTCATGTATATGTTAACTAATCTCTAACTTTATTTCCTTGGAGTTGTGGTTGTGGACCATGTGTGAAAATTCTTCTTATTCTCCATAATGTATACATAGTAAACCAGGAGACAAATGCAAGGTACATGCTTGATGATTTGAATAGAAATAAACAGAATGAAGAAAATCTCCCTGACTTGAATGTGTGCATGAGGTATTCAGGCTTTCAGGACATTGACAACTGTTGATTTTCATGGCCAAGGCAGAGCTTATGACACTACTTGGATCTCTGAATTTAGCCAATGCAGTCATTCTTATATAGTGTGCAACTAGCTATTGGAGGCCTGAGCGATGTGGGAGTTCACTGAACCAACTGTCATGTTTTACTTTACATACCATACACATTCCTTTGGTTCTTCCCCCATCCCTTGCCCTCCAAAAACTCTCCAATAAATTAGTTTCTCCTTCATTTGGACTCTTGCTGGGAAATAAATGCATTTCAAATTCATTAAGAGCACATATTTCCAAGAAGACCTACAGTGATATTTTTTTCTTTAAACAAAGGATGTGTTCGTACAAAGTATATTAGTTTCCTAGGTCTGTCATAACAAAATGTCACGGAACAGTGGCTCATACAACATGAATTTATTTTCTCACAATTTTGGAGGCTAGAAGTCAGAGGTCAAGATGTCTTTATAGCTGGCTTCTTGTGACACCTTTCTTCTTGGCTTGTAAATGGCTGTGTTCCCCTTCTGTCCTCACATGGTCTTCCTTCTGTGCATGCCTGTGTCTTAATCTCTTAAGAGCACCAAGTCATATTGCAATAGGGCCCACCCTAATGGCCTCATTTTAACTTAATTACCCCTTTAAAGGGGTAATTACAAATACAGTCACATTCTGAGGTATTGGGGGTTAGGACTTCAACATATGAGTTTTGTCGGGTACACAATTCAGTTCATAACACAAAGATTGAACTATTCATTTCTCTCCCATTTATCTTTTCTATACAATGAGAGTTTGCTTAAAATGAGGCATATTTTTCTTAAGTACAGAGTCAAGTAATATATATTCTAAAAGGCAGAACTATAATGCTGGTATATGAGATCATGAAAGAATAAAACTTACAAAGTTATTTTTCTTTAGGAACTGAGGGAGGGTGGGAATTTTACATTTTAGCTCTATTCTGAATGCAGCCTCTCTCTCTCCTCTGTTGCATTTTGCATATAGAAGCCACAGTGAGCCCTTCAATATTCAAATCTCATCATGTCAGGGTCCTGCTTACAATCCTTCAACATTTCACTTGCCAACCTCTCCAGCATCATTCTTGATATTGCTCGCCTTCCTGGCTTTGACTCTGTCTCATGTTCAGGCACAAGCTGCCCTTCTTGCCTGGTTATACTTTCCATGGCTCTTCTCCTGACTTCTGCCTGCTCATCTCTCAGGCAATGGCTTAAACATCTTTTCTTCAAAGAATTTTTCGCTGACCTCCAATCTTTGGCTTTGGACAAAGTTAGGTGCTCTTGTTATAGCTCCTATAAAAGTTTTGTTTTTTCTTTCAAATAAAATATATCACGATTACAATGAATTCATTGTTTAATTTCTGTCTTCACCAAATGGATTGTACATTTCCTTGGGTCAAGTTTTCTTTTTCTTTGTTGGATGGATGACTAGATATGTGGCTAGTGGATTTCATAATTACCGTTCTGTGAAGTTTCAGAATAGCTAAATTCATTGGTCTTTTACAACTTTGAGCTTCAAATATGAATTAGCAGTCACATTCCAATTCTGAAATTTAGGTATCTGTATTTCAGAAAGTGCCATGTGGACTGAAAAGGCAAACATAGGTTCAAGTCAAGCCACTGATTTCTTATGCCTAAGAAATAAAAATGAAGTGTGAGTCTGACTATCTTTTGAAAGAAGCCAGGAAACCAACACAGAAAAAGTATTTCGTTCTCCATGTATCTTAGATTTTAAATTTTGAGGAGCAGAATCCCATATAATTAGCCTAATTTGATGGGGTGAGAATATATTTTTAGCTGTACCATAAATAGATCTGCCCAAATTCCTACTTCCCTATAACATTGGCTGTGCATTTTCTCAAGCAATTATGGCTTTTGCCTTAACTAATTTGATCATTCACAACTTAATTCTTGCACAAATGTTTCTCCTTTTAAAAATATTATCCTGTCCCTTTTCCACTCTGCTTTTCTCATCTGAAATTTTCCCTCTGAACCACAAAACAGAGATGATTTCAGTCACCATTTTCTTGATTCTTCCAAGAATAGCACATAGCAAGTGAGAGAAATTATTGTATTACATGAGGATGTCTTGGGACAGTGGTTCTCAAAGTGTGGTTCCCAGATCAGCAGCTTCAGTGCTTCCTAAAAACTTGTTAGAAATGCAAATTTCCTGCCCCCAATCTACCGAATTAACAGTCTGGTGGTGAGGGTGTTCAGCAGTCTGTAATCTGTGTACTAACAAGCACTTTAGATGACTCTAAAAGCACTCTAAAGCTTTGCCTTAGGTCATTAGTACTTGTTCTTAGGACCACCTGAATGATCTGTTAAAACTCTGATTGCTGGGCCCACTCTTAAAGTTTCTGATCCAGTTGGCTTGGGGTGAGACTCAATTATTTGCATTTCTTTTTTTTTTTTTTAAATTTTATTATTATTATACTTTGAATTTTAGGGTACATGTGCACAATGTGCAGGTTTGTTAGATATGTATACATGTGCCATGTTGGTATGCTGCACCCATTAACTCGTCATTTAGCATTAGGTATATCTCCTAATGCTATCCCTCCCCCCTCCCCCCACCCCACAACAGTCCCCAGAGTGTGATGTTCCCCTTCCTGTGTCCATGTGTTCTCATTGTTCAATTCCCACCAATGAGTGAGAACATGCGGTGTTTGGTTTTTTGTCCTTGCAATTATTTGCATTTCTAACAAGTTTCCAGGTGATACTGACACTGCTGATATGGGAACCACCCTTTGAGAACTATTGCTTTAAAGTTGTCTGTGATTTTTCCAGGTGGAGTTGATTCCTGTTGATGCCTGATTTACATTGTTTTACTTTCTCAAAATTACTAATAAGGAACTATCCCCCTTCCTGTTCCTCAAGGGTAGAGGCCATGCCTTCTTCTTTATATCTGTCCAGTACTTAGAATATTGACACATAATTGATCTTGAGCAAATTTCTTATGATAAATAAATGAAATCACTTTAAGGTTTTGGGTTTTTTTAAATATAGCAATATGCAGAAAGACATTTGATGATAATGATAAACCAATTGTGAGATAGAGTACTGGAATATTAGAAAAATCTGTGGTAGCACCAACCCAACTGGTATTAGCTCACAAATTGTTTCTTCCTCTAGGAGTTTACAGTTCCACAGGCATTATTAAAAGAATATGCCGGCTGGGCGCGGTGGCTCACACCTGTAATCCCAGCACTTTGGGAGGCCAAGGCAGGCAGATCATGAGGTCAGGAGTTCGAGGCCAGCCTGGCCAACATAGCGAAACCTCATCGCTACTAAAAATACAAAAAAATTAGCCAGGCGTGGTGGCACGTGCCTGTAATCCGAGCTACTCGGGAGGCTGAGGCATGAGAATCGCTTGAACCTGGGAGGTAGAGGTTGCAGTGAGCTGAGATCACACCATTGCACTCCAGCCCGCACGATAGTGTAAGACTCCGTCTCGGAAAAAAAAAAAAAAAAGTGCTTATTTAATTGGGAGAATACCTAGCCAATAATTGTGTCTAGTAAATTGTTGTACATATCTCTTGAATGTATGACTGTTTCAATTCAGAAAACCTGAATAATTTTTTCAGTGGACTTCATTTTGAATGTTACTATTGGTGACTTCTAACCATCATATGTGGTCCTTAATTCATGTACAAGGGATTCCAAAATTCCTTTGACTGGAAAGAACCCCCCCGCCTCAATTATTATTTTACTTGCGACTATACATTAATCTTCTTTGATAACCATCTCTTCAAAGTAAAAGGAGTATCTTCATTTTATATTTAAAACGCTGAATTTCAAAGCATTGATTTGAATGCCAGTGGGGCGCACAGACAGCAAAATTACAGGCTTTTCAAAGTTCCAGAAGCACAAGATAGTGTCTGAAATTACAGACATTTTATTTTATTTTGTGTGTGTGTGTTTTTTTTTACTCTCTTGTAACTTAAAACAATTTTGTAAGATCCACCCCCCTCCAGGCAGCATTTTATAGCCAATTTATAAACCTCTAAAAACCGAAGTTTATGGTGGGAATGCTGACAGTCAGCCCCACTACTGCAGAGCTAGTGAATGCCAACAGAGTACCTTGCCTGCGAGGGTAAGGATCAGAGCGTAAATCATCCAGAGTCTGGAGGGCCATGACTGTGTGTTCATGTTATCCATTTCCCATTTCCAGAAACATGAGACTGATTGTCCAGCAAAAATCACATTGAGAGGGTGTTATGAGAGGCCAGTAAAGAATGACCCAAAGTGGGGAAGTGATGGGTGGGGGACAGGGGGAGCAGGGGGAGCATTCACAATTAATCCAGCTTCAACATCTGGGAACATAGAACCTCTTTAAGCAATGCATTTACTATCCCCTGGTGAGCTAAAGAGCGTGAGAGACCACTGAACAGAGAGACCTTTGTGTTTTGTAGTATTTTTTGCCCTTCCTCAATACTCTTAATCTGATTCTCATGGAGCTTTGTTTGAATGACTTCTAACATATGGGCAGCCCTGTGTTCTACCTCTCCCTACTGAATGTGCAAGTTTTCTAAATAAATAATTTAAGTTTTTCTTTCTTTTCATTAAGTAAAAAAAAAAAGATGGGTATAGGCATACAAATACTAGCCTGCTTACTAAATATCAATCAGTATAAATAGCAGGTCTTTTTTGTGTTTTCTACTAATAACTTTGAATATTATTAAAATGTTATTTATTTACCTTCTACTGCCTGATACTTCTTGTTCTCTTCTTCCATCTGCTGAAATATAATGAGACCACAGAAACAGAATAATCATATGAAAATACAGGAATTTTAAAAAATATGTTAAATAACAATACTTTATTTGAAGGCAAATATATGACTCTTTAAAATGCCCATCAAGTCTATCAAATTTTTTTAAATTGTTTGGAATTGTTTGGAGTATTGTTTTGACTGTATCTGTCTTGAATCCATCACTGCAGTAACAATTTCTCCCTCGCTATTTTGGCAATCCTTTTGCCGTTACTATTTTAAACACATGAAACCAGGAAATCAAAAGTGACTAAGGCAAATCTCTAAAGTGTAAACTTAGTGATTAGTAATCTCCAAACTACAGCTGTGTTTGTACAGAAACAGGTTACAACTGTGTTTTCTGAGATTGAAGAGAATAAAGGTTGTATGTTTCATTCTTTTTGGTAATTTTAATTCTTCTTCTAATTGCCATCAGATGTGGTCTGCTGGAGAGTATACTCCTGGACCCCCTGCAGCTTCTTCATCTTTGTTCTTCTTTTGTGTGTCTCATCTTGTTTCTTCTCCTTGCCTCTTTGTCTTTCTCTTACCATCAGAAAGTCAAAATCACAGCTGGAGAGTGATGAACATTCTATTTTCTTTTTCATATATTCAGAGCCCTGGGTTTCAAAACCCTAACTAACCAGTGAACCAACCAAACAAATAAATTGCATCAAATAACTTGTTATTCTGAAGTCTCCGAGACGGCAGTCTTGTTGTATATATGCCTTTATAAAAATCTAACAAAGGAGATACAATATATACTTTATTGCTTTATTATTATAAAATAAAAATGACCACATACGAAATAATGCCCTCTGTGAAATGCGGAGAGAGTTCTGAAAAATTATTTACCTATATAAAATGGAACTGGGGGAGCTTTGTTACCTCCAGATTAGAAATGGTGGCCATTCAGTATGCTCAGGGCTCATAACATGTCTTTGACCTGTACCTGCTGTAAACACAAAGCATGTCAAGGACTATTGGAGCATCCAGAAAAGTGGGGACATTGGAGGCAGCTAGTCTGCTTCTGGCCAATAGAAAAGTAAGAGGTGGAAATATAGCCCAATATCATTTGAGCCTCTTTTATTTAGTATATTTTCTACACTCTCAGCTTTCTGTGAATTGGGCCAATACATTTATTCTCTGTATCTCTATGGTTATAAACATGGTTCTACATGGGTCTGAAATAACTTAGCTTACATCTTAGTTCTGCACCTCTTACTTGTGTTCTTGGGGCAGTTATATAAACTCTCTGAGCCTCTTTTCCTGACATCTATCTATCTATCTATCTATCTAGGTAGGTAGGTAGGTAGATAGATAGATAGATAGATAGATAGATAGATAGATAGATAGATAGATAGATAGATAGATGTCAGGTCACTATTATCCAATACTGGCTTGGTCAATATTCCAGTAATTGTTATAGATGAAGTAATTCAGAGATGTACATACACCCACAAAAAAAATCTGCTTTTACAGACCAACATTCTACTGGATTGGGGATGATGCAGGATTTTTGCTCCTTAGTTCAACTAAATCTGGGTTCTTTTCTCATGACCAGGAAAAATTAGGCATGTGGATACACTGAAGTGTGAAAAGGGCAGAATTTATTAAGTGAAAGGAAAACTCTCAGCAAAGAAAGGGGTAGTATAGCCCTAGGTAGTATTGGAAAAGGCAACATTCGTTTGGTTAAAAGGCATTATTCAGAAAGAATCAATCAGGAAAGAGCGGGCAAACAGGGGCAGAAGTTGTCCCTCTGGGTCACAGGTTTCAGTTGGAACCAGCAGTCATGTCTTTCAGCCTTCAGGCTGTTTTAGGCTTGAAGGTGATGTTTCACCAGGGACCCTTCCCTATCTGCCTAGGTAATTTGTCTGCCTGCTGCCTCTATCAGGGAGATGACAATAAGTATGTAATAAACAAATAATCAAACATCAGATAATGAAAATATTACAAAAACACCCCAAACATAGGGGTGTAATAGAGAGTATGGGGCAATAGGAAGCAAGAGGTAAGAGAATGATGTTCTGTCTTCAGAGGGAACATTGAAACTAAAATACAAATCAGAAAGAACCAGCCAAGAAAATCTCTTAGTGGGAGTAGGGAGGCAAGAGAACAATCCTGGCAAAGAGAAAAGGAAGTAGAAAACCTAAGGTGGGGCCAAGTTTGGCATGTTTGGGAAATAGAAAGGAAACAAAATTGTGAAACATTGAGTAAGGGAAAGAGGTGTAATAGGTAATAATGTCAGCCTTAAATAATGAGATTCAGAAAATATGATTAAGTACAGAGTTTATTTGAGCTCAGAGCTTGAAGATGGCCACTCAGGAGTGTAGATTCAAGTTGCCCTGGATATACAGTCCAATTAGCAGTAGTTACAAGTGGGTCTTGAAAGGAAAAAAGAAGCAGTTTTTAAGTTTTTGCTAAGAATATACATTAAAGTAATGTATTGATTGGCTATTCATGGTTCTTTGTATCACAGATTCCAAGAACATGAAGATAATGGTAGAGGCAGCTAATTAGGAACAAAAATGCCTTTAAAAAACTACCCTGGGCATGGATGCTGTGAGGAGGGGCATGATCAAAAGTCTCCAACTCATGGCTCTCTGGGTTGGATAAATTTTGCATACCTCACATAGCTCAGCCTGATCTGAGTTTTCTCATTTCCCTCCATTTCATCAAGATGTTTTGAAGAAAGCATAGTAGATGAACTAAAAGCATTTTGACTCCTTAGTCCTATATCATAAGGAAGGTTCATTCCCAAATGGTTCTGTCCCACTCAGGTGGGCGTGTGGGGAAGGGGCAGGGGAGAGAATACATCTCAGTAAGAAATTTTAAGTGTGCCTAAAGCTGAATTGGAATGGTATCACAGGGTGGCAAAAATGAGACTTCAGCCAAATCTCAGTCAACTTATTTATATAGTTGCTGTCACTTATTGAATCATCCTGGTCTTTAGAATATTATGACTTTAATTTTCTCAGAAGCAGTAAAACAGTGAGAGATACATATTGCAAGTAAGGATTACCATTACAAAAAGAGAACATGTATTCCAAAATGAAAAAGGAAACCTGTTCCACTGGTGAGTACACTGAAAACATCCTGAAGAAAATTAAACCCTTGTCCTTTAGAGACTCATAGATAGGAAATAATTCTGGATTTAGTCTAAAATATAGGAAAATCATAAAAACTCAAAAACAGTAGTCAGTGCTGGAATCTAATAGCAGGTGTGCTATAGTTTTCTTCTGAAACATTATTTTTCTCTCTCCAGTTCCCCATGTAAACCAAGGATAATTCTTAGTCTGATCAATTTATTTGCAAAATAAGTTTTAGTAGTGCTCTTGGCCTGATTATTTGTATAAAGTGTAACAAGAATAATGAATGGCCATATAGGCTCCTTTAAGTTGGCTTTGCTAGAACTTTTTCATAAGGAATCTCAAATTAGATTTTTAAAAGCCTCTTGAGGCTAGGAAAACAAGCCAAGGATTTGCTGTCAGGTTGTGCCTGTAATACCTATATGAATTGGGTAAAGTCCTCTCTTCTTGAGGTCCCAAAATATCTTGAGGTTCCTGGACCTGTCAGAAAGTGATATTCTTTACTTATCATAAGGTCAGGAACCTTGTAAGAGAACCATGTAAAAATGTATCATGCCAGTCTTTTCCAGAGGCCTTTTATTGGGTTTCTAAAGTCAACTTCAATTCCTCAAAGCAATCTGGTCATATCTAAAAATATGCCATTCCAATAAAAGCTTTGGAAAAATTACCAGTGTTCAATGTGTCCTGATACCAAAAAACAAACACATTCTTATTGAACTTATGCAAATAACTATATTGCCATAAAACAAGAATACTCATTATTAGTTTCCATATTTTGAAGAAATCAGCTAAAGAGAAAAGTGAACATTTCAATTTTGCTTGCAAATGTATACTTTACCCCGTTGCTATAAGCTATGAATAGCTGAAAAGAAAATAAGACAAAATATAAAAGAGTCAGTAATGTTGCAAACAAAAAAGTCATAAAAATCATTTCAGTCCTCTATCAGTTCAGTAAATTGAAATAACTTTTGATTGACGTTGACTTAGCAATCTTCATTAATGTATCAGCTTTTTAATTAGAGTTCTGGCAGATTTTACTTCGTCCAAAAGTAAGATCTCTAAATTTATCAGAAATCTTTATTCAAGAATTCTTGTTGGGATTCTTTTCCACGAATTTTTTGAAGAATGGACTATAGCTGATTATAAATAACGTTTTGAGAAGACTTAAAGTAAAACGATAATTGTCTGTGGATGACAAAAAGAGTAGCCATGGTCAAAGATACAATTGACAAGAAATTTAATTATTTTTATGGCATAAAACAATGTAATATAATAATCATAATTATGTCTGATAGCATATATCAAGACATATCTGAATTTAAGAATCTCATATAATTTTGGAATACATGTTAATACATGTATACTAATATAACTCAAACCTATTTTTCTAACTTTTATTTTAAATTCAGGGGCACATGTGCAGGTTCGTTATATAGGTAAACTTGTGTCATGGGGGTTTGTTGTACAGATTACTTCATCACCCATATATTAAGCCTAGTACCCATTAGTTATTTTTCTGATCCTCTCCTTCCTCCCACCTTCCACCTTCTGAAGGGCCCCAGTGTGTGTTGTTCCCCTCTATTTGCCCATATAAACAGCATTTCTTATTTGACAATGCTTCCTATATGATTTTAACATACCAAATAAGTGTTATATGTCTCTCCTGGACTTCCAGGGGTTTCTCCTTTATGTCCAGGTTAGTACAAATTAAAAGATAATTTTAGAATTTGAAATTTAATTTTTGGAAATATGTAAAGTATTAAGGGTTTAAAACACTTGATATTGAAATTTAAAAATGTTTAAAACTCATGATCAAAATAGAATCTGAAGTCAATGCATAATAATAGTCATTTATTTTGTGAAAATGATAATTCAAAGGTTTCAGAAAGCAAAATTTTTTATTATTTGATAGGGAAGAGATTTAATACCCAATCAAGGGACCTAATAAAGACAACATGAGGGAAACTCTCCCTGCAGCTTAATTATTTTACAGTTTACTCAAAAAGTAAACAAATCTTTTACTATCTCTTATTAATACTACACAAAATTCTTGTTCTAAGGAGAAAACCAAGTTTTACTTTTAGTGTGTTATCAATACTAAAGCTAATTTTAATAAAACATTATGACCAAATCTGTCCAATCTCAATCAGCTTTGACCTCACAAAATAAGATTTCCATAAACCTTTTATAACCTTTTGTAATTTTCTATTAAAAATGATCAGTATTTTGAGAAAACCCTGTGGCAACATAGGGGCACAGACTGTGGCCTTACATCAGTGTGCTTTTGATATTAATGCTCAGTTTTTAGAAAAACATATAAATAATTTCTAATTTTAGACAACTTGAACACACACAAAATTTCTTTCCCAAGATTAATCTTCCACAAACCCTCTACAACGTGCTTAAAATGTTTTGCCACTACCTAAGCAAAAATTCTATGGATAAATACATAGGTATTTTCCTGATCAGAAGACAGCTATTTTCACTAAACCAACAATATTAAACTAGTCTTAAAGATTTACTCAAATCATGTGAACTAAAAGGCACTTGAGCTGGTTTTGAGACAGGATAGTTCCCTTGGTACCTTTGTGGGACTCACAAAGGGGCGGCTCGGTTAGGCAGCCCGCAGCACTCAAACCCCTTGTGGGAGGGTTAGCACGCAGGTGAGCTGGTGCAGGAGCCGGGGCAAGTGCCTTTGGGTGCCTGCAGGAACAAACACTGTACAGGCCCATGGCAGCGCCTAGGGGTTGCCTACGACCCCTGGAGCCCCAGAGGATGTGTGTTATGGTGTGGTCCTTTAGCTTTGTCATCCATGGATGGCTTAAGTGTTTAACAGCTCAATGGGGAGTTAGTGTGACAGCCTCTTCCCCCTCACCTCAGTTCTTGTCTGGCATCCAGGAGGAGTGAGGTCACACGAACAATTTGGAGGGTGGTGAATGCAGAGGATTTTATCGTGTGGTGGAAGTAGTTCTCAGCAGGAAGGGGAGCTGGAAGGGCAATATAGTGGGAAGATAATCTTCCCCTGGAGTTGGGCCATCTGTGGCAGAACTCTTCTATGAAATTCTGCTGTCAAGCCATCCCTCTGAAGTCAAGCTGCTTCTTTCTAATATCCAGCTGGTTCCTCTTTTCTCCTTCCCTGCCAGTGGAGCTTGGAGTTTTTATGGGTACAGGGTGGAGGGTGGGGCCGGCCAGGGTAGTTTTGGAAAAGGCAACATTTGGGTGGGAAAACAGGGATGTGAAGTTTTCATTTAGGGCATTGGTTTTGGGCTTGAGGGTGGAGCCCTCGCCGGGGAACCACCATCTTCTACCCAGTATTTCCCTGCCTCCTGTCTGTATGTAGTTTCTATTTTTCTGATAAAATATTTGATTTAACCACTTACATTTTCTTTAAGACAATTAATTGGAGGTTCTTCATATATGTTGCTAGTAAAATGTCACATACACATGCCACATTTAAACATATAGACATACAGGACACATAGAAGCAAATTTTGTATTAATAGCTTTATAAGGTTCTCCATTTGCCAGTTTGCAAATAGTTTCTTTCCTCTTTAGACTCTCAAGCCCTAAACAATTATTAGCTAGGCTATCCTAAATTTACAATCACAAAAACATGACTCTTAGGTGAAAATTTACCTCCCAAAGGCACAGAACTTAGATCTAAACACCTTTATTTACTGAGACAAAGAAGGGCATAGGTAAAGGCCCAGTCAAGATAAGATTACCAGCAAAAATATCTTAAACAAAAGTAAGGTTGGTTTTATAAACTTTAAGGCACTGTTTTTCCTGTCATAAAAGTTTCTAGTAGCTTAGGTGGAGCAAGGGAGATGCTCCTACAAATGGAGATTTCCGTTATATATGTATATTTATTTTACAAAGAGTTTCAAAATAGCCACCTAAATGCCAGAAAGTCATATTTTGGAGACCAATCTAGTCAGAAAGCTGGTATTTTCAACTTAGCTTATGTATTGATTAGATTACTAACCTCAGGGTTGAGCCCTTTAATGAATAGCAAAATGAAAGCATTTGCAGTTTTTGGGGACTAATGTTTACATATGTGAAAAACAGGCAGTGCACCTAGATATTTAAAATTGAACGATCCCACTTTTACATTGAATCCCGGGTCCCCCAGAAAAGAGAAATGCCACAAGACCGGGGTATGCAATGTTTCCACAATGCACCTCACTGCATACATTCCCTCAAGACTGGTAGGTGAGCAATGCCCATCAGCCCACTCTGTGATCAGACCACCCTCCCACAGGAGGAGTTTTATGCCTTGAGGGGAAGTGTTTCCTCCACCTTCAAGTGTTCAAACCTGTCTTTCTATCTAAACACCGGAAAAAATGAGTAGCCCCGTACATTTATAATCATTCACTGTAACTGATTTCAGCTGCTTCAGAAACCACAGTTTTTGCCAGTGACTTGTCAGCCATTGCACACACAAAATTCAAGTTGTATCTCATAGTACAGAGTAATCCCTGGTACCCTAAAAGCTAAAGAGGTCAGTTACTACTTCTAACAGCTCTTGCAAATCTTTATTATTAGACTCAGTTATGGAAGTACGATTGCCCATAATCATATTTCCTTTTTGAATGATAAAAAAGACCCAGTGAGAGGAATTTTGGTCACCCAAGAAGAATGTTTAGATTTGTCAATTGAACTGAGCTGTGAAATCTGACCAATTTTAAAGATTACAAATTTTTCACTTAAGCTGTAAGATTACACTTTTTCTTTTCAGAGAGAAACTATTTTTTCCCCGACCAAAATTTTAAATGAGATAAAAGATTGAAAAACTCTTTTTTTTTTTTTGAGACAGAGTCTCATTCTGTCACCCAGGCTACAGTGCAGTGGCACGATTTTGGCTGACTGCAACTTCTGCCTCCCAGGTTCAAGGGATCCTCTTGCCTCAGCCTCCCGAGTAGCTGAGATTACAGGCGCCCACCACCATGCCTAATTTTTGTATTTTAAATAGAGGCAGGGTTTCACCATGTTGGCCAGGCTGGTCCGAACTCCTGACCTCAAGTGATCCTCTTGCCTCAGCCTCCCAAAGTGCTGGGATCACAGGCGTGAGCCACCGTACATGGCTAAAAGATGGGAAAACTCTAAGAATTAATTCAAAATAACACTAGCTCAAAAAGAAAAAGTGAAAGTCACAAATCTGCAATCAGCAGAGACTCTAGAGAATAACAAATGGAACTCCTACCTTACAGTAGAGCTTCATTTCCAACCATGTTGTGGCAGGAATGTGTGCAGTTTCAAAAAGTGAATTGGTCTGAATGTTCAACCAAGAATGGAGCATTCAAATCTGAGGAGGGCTTACCCAGTTGACTGACCTCCGCTGACTCCAGTGAGGTCAGATGAATGAAAGTTATGCTCATATCAGGACTCCAGCTGTCAGCAAAGCAAGGGAGATCACTGAAAGTCTGTTTCAGGTCCCACCTGAGTCACCAAAATGTCAACCTTAAATAACATAAGTACAGAGATTATATGAGCTCAAAGCTTGAAGATGGCCACCCAGGAGCCTAGATTCATGTTGCCCTGAATATACAGTCCAATTAGCAATAGTTACAAGTGGGTCTTTAAAGGAAAAAAGAAGAGAAGTTGTTTATCAAGACTTTTCGTTAAGATAACATAAGCTATTAATTGGTTATTCATTGCTCTTTGTGTCACAAATGCTAGGAATATGAAGATAATGAGTGAGAAAGCTGGTCAGGAACAAAAATGCCTTAAACAATTGCCCCCAGTCATGGCTACTCAGGGGAGAGACAGCCATGACTGAAGCCCTGTACTTATGTCTCTCTGGGCCTGATAAATGTTGCATATCTCACATAGTTGACCTGCTCTGAGCTATTTTTCTTTTCTCAATAATATCTAGGAATGAAATATGGCTGTAGCTAGGAGATTGATTAAAAGTGGTAATGTATTCCAGAGTCATTAATGGTATGACTTTTCTACACCTATGCTTAATTTTCACTTTATCTCAGATTATTTATTTAAGTTTAATTTTCTGCCATTTCTTTATGAAAATTCCTTCTAGAAACATTGGTCTGGCTAAAAAAATATACTTAGATAATTATGCATCTATGTGAGTACATAGATGAGTGTCCCTACTGGGGATAATCAGGTAATCCAAGTGAAAGAAGTAGTTTCTAGATGGAGTATAAGGCAAACTTTATCTCTTACATGCTTCTTGAAACACACAGTCTTTGGGATAATTTTTTTACTCCTCTGCTGTTGATAGCTTTATGGTGTAGGCATCAAGATGCTGGCTGGAAGCAGAGTTTCACTCCAGATGATTCTACTGAAGAAAATTAAGGAGTATTTACCAAATATTTACAGAAGCAGTGTTAAGGGAACTGAGGTAAAGGCAAAGAGATGTTGATGTTCCCAGAGAGGAGCAACAGAGGGAAACGTTTACCACCCTGAGAGCTCAAGGAGCAACCACAAGGGTGTTTCCAGAGTTCATTGAGAGCCAGAGCCTCAGAGGAGGGCCTGCTTGGAAGGACTGTAGACAGGGAGAGATGCAACCCCTGCTAGACAGAAGTGCCAAAGCAGGGAGACAAAGAGGGAAAACCACTCAGATTTCTCTCTACTCTTGCCTTTTGAAGTTCTTTCTTTCAAGCTTCCATAGGCAGAACCCAATGGAAAACCAGTAAACAAAAGAACTAAGATTACACAGTCGATAGAAGGGTCACTTCCTTGGGGCATAGAGCAGGACAGAGAGGACATTTAGGAAAGGATGAGCAGAAATACACCACTCTCCCTGTATAAATTAAGTTAAATAATTTTTCTTTTCTCCTAACTATTAAAAATAAAGAATGCAAGTTCAGTGATAAACAGCACCTACTATTTTGCCTTAGGATTGGCAATTGATACAGCTTGGTAGGAATAATGGCAAAGTGGCTTCATTTAAAGAACAAAACTGCTCTTTTACTCTGTTCCATGGTTGCTGTGATGTCTTTTTTTCTGACACCAAATGTGTGGGTTTTTCTGACATCAAATACCTTATTTTTGCATATCGATTCTCTAATTCTCTGACATCAATTGGATGTCCTACAATT
The DNA here is from genome assembly GCF_000001405.40 of Homo sapiens. Taxonomy (NCBI): domain Eukaryota; kingdom Metazoa; phylum Chordata; class Mammalia; order Primates; family Hominidae; genus Homo; species Homo sapiens. Next base: position 29,756,228 of record NC_000003.12, read on the forward strand.
TAACTCAGTTTTGACACAAACTACCTGATCATCATGAGACTTCACAGGTGTAAGGGCTCAGTTCCACACCAGCTGCAAATGGAGTGCCCAGGTGTATTAGTCCATCCTCATACTTCTATGAAGAAATACCTGAGACTGAGTAATTTATAAAGAAAAAGAGGTTTCATGGACTCACAGATCCACATGGCTGGTGAGGCCTCACAATCATAGTGGAAGGCAAAGGGGGAGCAAAGGCTTGTCTTACATGGCAGTAGGCAAGAGAGTGTGTGCAGGGGAACTATCCTTTATAAAACCATCAGATCTCATCAGACTTACTCACTATCATGAGAACAGCACAGAAAAAAAACCCACCCCCATGATTCGATTACCTGCCACCAGGTCCCTCCCATGGCACATGAGAATTGTAGGAGCTACAATTCAAGATGAGATTTGGTTGGGGACACAGCAAAACCATATCACCAAGCTACCCACATTTCTTCCCAGCAACTACAAAATGTGGGAGTACCCACAACTCCCCAATTCAGGTTTAGTAACTCACTAAAATGACTCTCAAAGCACTTTATGTTTATCAGTTTATTATAAAGGATACAACTCAAATGAAAGAAATGCATATGGCCAAGCATCAGGGAAGGAGTGTGTAGCTTCTGTAGCCTCTCTGGGCTCACTACCCTCCTGGCATATATCAGTGTCTTCACCAAACTGAAAATTTCCTGAACCTTGTTGTTTAGGGATTTTTATATAGGTTTCATTAGGTAAAACCTCTGGGTTTGATTAATTAAATCATTAGCCCTTGGTGTTTGAGCTCAATCTCTGGCCCCTCTCCAGTTCTTGGAAGTCAGAGAGGGTGGGGATGAAAGTTCCAACCCACTAATCAAGTCTTAGTCTTTCTGGTGACCAGTCCCCATCCTGAAGCTACCTGAGTGACCTCATTAGCATAAACTCAGATGTGGTTAAAAATAGTCTGTTCTGAATAACAAAACATACCCCTATCACTCAGGAAATTCCAAGGGTTTTAGAAGCTGTGTGTCAGCAACCTGAGAAAAAGACTAAATATATTTTTTATTATGTCATAGTTGCCATGCAGAAAGCATGGGTTAAACTGTCCCATCTATTAAAAGGAATCACAGATTTCAATTTTCATGTGAAATCTCCCAAGTTTCAAATGTTGACAACCATTTCAAAATTTCCAAAATCTCTTTGCAGTCCAAATAAAACATACCTGTAGACTGGGTTTGGCCCATGGTTTCTAGTCTCTCATACCTGACACAGAACTTCGGAACAGGAGTTTTCAACCCTGGCTGCACACTGAAATCACCTGGGTAGCTTTGAAATCTTTGTGCCTGGGCCTCATGCCAAAACAATTAAGTCAGAATCTCCTGGGCTGGGCCCCAGAGATTGGTATTTTTAAAAGTAGTTTTCTGATAATTTTAATGTACAGTGATTTTAAAAGCTTCTTATTTTGCAATAAGTTTACCTTCACATAGAAGCCATAATGATAATATAGATTTTCTATATATTGCACACCCAGTTTCCCCCATTAACAACACCTTAAATTACCATGGCACATTTGTCAAAATTAAGAAACTGACATTGGTATATTACTATTAACTAAACTCCAGACTCTATTTGGATTTTGCCAACTTTTTTATTAACATTTTCTTTCTGTTCCAGGATCCAATCCAGTTACTATATTGTGTTTAGCTGTCCTGTCTCATCAGCCTGCTCTGATCTGCGATAATTTCTTAGACTTTGTTTGTTGGAGTAGTACTGGCCAGGTATTCTGAATGTCTCTAGATCTGAGTTTGTCAGCTGTTTTTCTCATGATAAGACCCCTAGTTTTCATGGGTTTTGGGAGAGAATACCACAGAGGTGAAACACCCTTGACATCTCATATCAGGTTATATTCCATTTTTGAAAACAACTTCTTGAAGTAATAGTGGCTGGGTAGAGTGGAGCTAGCAGGACCCATCCTACTCTTGAACAGATTGAAGTACATCAGTCAGTAGAGAAAATCAGGAGGGATGACATGAGGCCAGCAATGGAGCTGCATCTCTTGCAAATAAATAGTCTCAATTCAAAGTCATGAGACAACAGTTCTATTCCAGGCTCATCCACTAACTAGTTTTTAGGGAAGCCAATCACAGTCTTCTAGTGTTACTTTCTTCATCTGTACAATATAGAAGTTGATATCTGAGTCTTGAAATTATGTGACTCTCAAACTCTGGAATGTGTTTTCATTAGTCAAATATTGTCATCCACAGTTTCATTTCCTAAGAGGAATGTGTTGTAATGCTGAGCAAGATACCCTCAAAATTTCTGGTTTCTACAAAAGGGCATGTAAGGGAGGCCTCTCTGCTTCACTGTTTGGTACTTAAGACACTTGTATCCTAAGAATGTCAGGTGCCTGGCAGGAAGAAAACAAATTGCAAAAACTGAGAAGAAAATTCATCGCATTCATTCATCTTTGTTTCTGGAACTCACTATTTTATTCCTTCCGTTACAATGGATTAAGAAGGAAATGACATAATTTGTTTTTGAAATGTCAGAAGCAGTGCAGAGTTTAGTACTTTAAAAAATAGTTTAATGTTGACCCTGTGCATACGTAAATCTTACCAGAAATGAGGATGACTGGCTTACAACGTTAGATACTCTAAGTTGCCAATAATTTGTACAGAGCCTGTGATTGCAAAACCACAAACATTTCACAATACTGGAAACCTCTAATTAACCATAATAAATGACAGGATGGGTTTGTTTTAAATACATGGTTAATAATGCTTACTGCTTTAAGACCATAAACTGTGTGATTCTCTATGGAGGTGACAGAGGTAGGCTGCAAATGGTTTTGCAAAGTACGTTTCTACCTCTGCATGTTAAGTCTGACCCAGAACATTCTACTAATATTGGATCAGCCTCTCATCTGACGTAATTTGCCTGTGGGAATTGTATCGGCTGTTAAACTAGCTCCTCTTAGTAGCTGTTTGAAAAAAAAAAGGAAGAAGAAGCACAATTCTGTGGTGTGTTTCAAATAACTGAAGCCAGTGTCCTAGGTACTGAGACAAGAAAGAATGTCAAACAGGACCTTTAATGTGTATTTATATTTAAACATCAGACCTAACAGAAAACCCTGAAGCTTTATACAATGATTAGAGCCTTGTAAGATCCTAATTAATGTATTGTCAGGTGAATGGTTGGCCTGGCACTCAAGCTGTTCTGAGGGACGCAAGGGGTTTCAGGTACCGCCTAGGAAGAATAGATGCAGTTGTAGTGATTCAGTGGCCCATCTGAAAGGGACATATAAAGGCAGCTGTGTCTGGTGTGCTGTCTTTTCAGACTCACTTGATAATGCTAGTGTCAGTTTCAACTGAAGCGTGTGCCAGATTCCAGACAGCTTGAGCTGGCATTTCAGAGAGGTTAATTGTGAAACTTGAGAAGAAAATGGGCACATTCTTCCTAAGATGGCTATTCAAATATAGTCTCTTTCCTCCCCCCCCAGAGCTTTCTGGGTCTCAGTCTCACTTTTGTTCTGCTTCCACGTAAAATGCATGAGGAACACTGAGCCTTTTCCCCTTGGCAGCTCCTATATTGCCATCTTTGCTGGGACTGCTTTGCCTTGTTAAAATGTGCCCCGTGTATTAAAATGGAATTGTCACTGCTGGGTGGTGCAGCGTAACATGGTTTGACACTAAGCGCCGGCAGCTACAGAAAACAGACTTTTATTGCATTTATTCTTTCAGAGACGGGAGTCTCTAAAGGCTCACAGCAGACATTCACTTAGTTAAATCTGAATGAACCCAAAGTGAACAATCTACTCTGCTGTCTTTGTGTTCATAGAAACAGCCCCCATCCAGCTTGATATGGCTGTAAAACAGTGTTAAGAAAAGATGATCACACTTAGAATGCAGAAGGGAGGACTTGAGGCTTTCAAACAGAACAAAAATATTTTAAGTGGGTGGAGTGGGTTAGCCACTTGATTTTCTTTTTTAGCTTCCTCTCTATTCCCTAAAATGTATTATGTAGAATAAACACACACACACACACATACACACACACACCCCTACACACACACACACACCCCTAGTATTAGTCTTCATTTATAATTCCATGCCATTTTAAGACAAAGGATTTGATTTGTAGGACTCTTGCAAGCAAGCTTTAGATTCTTAACTGCCTTTTATCCAGATGAGTACCCAGAGAGAGATTGAACAGGGAGGGGGCTCTGAGGCATAAACTTTGCATTTTGTAGCTCTCCTGGAATAAAAATTCCATAAAGTAACATCTGTAGTAATTAAGGGCTTACATTTCCTCTCCCATTCATGTCTCTGCTAGGAGAGAAGGTTATTTTCCCAAAGAGACAATAGTGGATCCTGTGGGAAGAGAGAAAGAACAGAGTTAGAATTCTTTTCTTCCTGGAAATGGAAATTTTCTACTTAAAAAAAAAAAAAGATAAAAAAATTGAAAGACTTACAGTAAAAGGTTCCACTGGAAAGGAAACTTGAAAGAGTTAGGAAAATTGTACTTAGCTGTTCCTAAATATTTAGAATGAGGAAAGATTCCGCTTGCCTTTCTTATCCAAACATCTTCTGATATAGGGGAACTTGTGAGTGAGTAGTAAACAAAATGCTGTTTTTGTTTTTATTTTTATCTATTAAAATTGCATAAAGAGTTTTCTTTTTATTTGGACATCAAATTGATTCATTCTGAAGACTTTTTTTTTCAAAATAATACTTATGTGGATCCATTGGGTCACCTGATGATATACATACTGAGCGTTAATGTTAAGTTAGTTTCCTACACTCTCTTGTCATAGCAGGATCAGCTACTTAAATTAGGGTGAAATATGACAATGTAGATCCCTTTGTTAAAACACTGTTAAGAAGTTCAAGGTGGCAACAGCAGAACTTTAAACCAAGTGCAGGGTTGTTCTAAGTGTGGGGCTGTGTGTGAAGACATAGGCCTCATTCCTGTAAATTTAGCCCTGCTTGGCGGTAGAGATTTGTCATATCCATCGATACAGAAAGATGCACTCTCATCACATGCTTCATAAGAATGTACATCTGAAAACAAAACTTTGTCAGAGAATAATTATAGCTCAAAACTGGAACTCGTTCCTGATATTATCTTCAAACTTGTTAAACAAGTGATACAGATGCCCTGACTTCCTCTCTCAGTTAATTTTTAAGAATTTCCCGGGCAAACCTTCCACTGAGCCACATGCTTGCTCTCTCTACCACATTGTAATAAGGACGCACGCCCTCCAAGCTGCCCAGCTCAGCCCCCTGCCCTAATTACTTCGCCAAAAGCCTCTCCTAGATTCCGTGCCTCTTCTCAGCATTTCTCTCACTTCTGGGATTCCTCTCACATTTGAATTCTTATAGCTGTAATAAATATGTATAACTTACTTGACATTTGTTAGCATATTTTTTTTGTATCTTGTTTCCTTTGCCATGTAATATGGTCCTATAATATGGCCATGTAATATGGTCCTGAAATGGACATAAAATTTAGATGTAGGAAAGTTTTACAACTTGAGTTGATGGGCACCATTCCAAGAAAGCTCATATTAATAACAGCAGAAAATCCAAAATTAAACTTTGCCTTTTGAACACATTTTACACATTTCACACATTTCATACACATTCTTTCATGTGTGTGTATGCTGTTTCTTAAATGTATTTTTGCCTCTAGTATACTCTTTGGAAGACTTAATTTTCTTTTATCAGAATTAATCCTTAATTATTATCCTCCCCATCCAATTTTATAAAATAAAAAAGGCCAGATATTATCCATTATTTGGAAACTGCTACAAATATTACTGTACTTAAGATATGGTAACATTGCCAAAATTTAAATTATGTTGGTATGGCTCAAAATGTTCATGCTTTAGGTTGTATGTGAGATGCCAAAATTTGGCACAAGAATACCAGTTTAGGAATATTGATAAGATAGTATGAAAAAATAGGATATTGTCCAAAATTCAATATTGAGAAAGCATAGAACCTAAGGTTTGTGTATCTATACCTTCCTTCAACATGTAGGACCCCACCTAACTCTTTGGATGTCTTACATAAAGTGGATTTTCAATAAAAATGTCATAATGCTGACGACTACATTACTATACCAATCAGTCCTTTAGGCTGCAAGCCATGCAAATAAAACACATCTTGTCAACCTCTTTTGTGAAATCCATCAGCAGTATAGCTTAGTAGCTATAGCACAGGCTTTACTGTTGCACAGATGTCAGTTCAAATACTGACTTTTCCTCTTATTGGAAAGGTAGTTTATCTGTTTAAGCCTCAGTGACCTTATTGATATGAATGACAATAAAAAGACTTACCCATCAGGTTTGCTAATTCATCATTCAACAGACATTTGTTGAACACTTTCAATTGCCAAATATTGCTGGGTGAATTAAGATAATGCCGCAGGGTTACCTCTGAACGAGTGCTCAGAATAGAGCCCTCCACATAGACACCTTTCAAAGAGTGAATAATACTTTCTAAGCATTAATGAGTTTGTGATGTTCTCTTATCAATCTGGTCATCATGTTCATGAAAAAAGTTGGCAATTAGGGTACAATTCTCAAATCAAGTATTTCTATGGCTTTCTTGTTTTCCTTTACTTCTTAAGTTTCTTTTTCTTGACAACCATATATGACCTCTGGTTTACCTTTTTTTCCCAGAATGGAGTCTACTGAAAAATGTGAAGTGGTAATTCAACATTTTAATGGAAAATATCTGAAAACACCACCAGGCATCCCAGGTAAGAAATTCACTAATAAGTGACTGAATGATGCCGAGGCTTAAATTGCTCTTATTAGAATAAGTACATTGTAAAGCCCTTGTTGATCACTGCAGAGTTGGGGGGTTTGCTTTTCTTAATGTGTATTTTCAAATAATACTGTGTAGCAACTCATCTTTCTCAAAAGCTTTTTGGTAATTCTTCTTTTGCTTTTTGAATCTCTGCTGCTAACTTTCTAAAGTGGATTAGAAGAAAACCATAGCAAAGAATAGTTAAAGAATGATGTGCTGGAAGTGATAGAATTTTATGACTCAGCATTAATATTAAAATTCCAATTTCCAAGTTACAAAATATCCAAACAATGATATTCACAATGAATCCCACAAATTGATGCCAGCCCTGAAACATTTCTTACCAGTCCATGACAAGAAAAGCACAGAAACTGAGAGAAAGCATTTAGAAACTAGTATAGCGATTTGACAATGTCATGAAATCTCAGTGCATAATTTTCTTTTACAAAAATATCAGTTACTGACAAATTGGAAATTTTAGAAAATACTGTCTATTTATCAGAGCTAGTTTGAGAAGCCCCAATCTGGACTATCCCAGGGCATTTCACACTTCCCAAGGCAAAATTCCTAAGGTTTTATACACATTATAAAGTGTTCTAATTTTATGCTATTAAGAATTGCATTAAACATGAAATAATTGGATTTATTATGTGTATCAGAGCTACAAATGCCAGAACTTGAGGCAGTAGTGTATGTGGAAGGTTTTAATATTAACTAAGTAAAGTTTTAAATATAATTCCAATATAAAAAATTAACAATGGAATGAAGTATTAAACTAAGAAAAATTACGTAAAGATTCATCTGAATAAGGCAGTTTGGTTTATTTGTTGGTCTTTTATATACAGTTATTCTCAGAGGAGACTAAGGCGACTTCTTCCATCTTACAATATGTGACTTTAATCTTTTTAAGCTTGATTTCAATACCGTTTGCTGTATAATGCATCTACTATTTAAAACCCATCAGAGAGTTCAGAGGTTGAGCATTTTAGTTCCTTAAAATATATTGAGTTTATAGATAAGAGGAAGCATATACAAAAAGAGAAATATTTTTGTGGAGGGTTTTGTAATGACTTGCTTTTTTTAAGGGGGGATGTCAAGAATGCAGAAAGACCCTTCAGACAGACACTTGCATAATCTGAAAACCTAAAGTAGCTGATTGCTGGCTAATCAGTGAGTCAACATACAGTGAAGACTGTGCCTTGATTTGGTTAGCTTCCATGTGTAACGTTCCCTTGGGAACTGACTGCATTATGATCCAATTGGAGACATATGGTGTTGTTAAGAAAAGAGTTAGCAGTTTTCATCTCAGCATGTTAGCTGCCCTTGCATTTTAGCAGAAATACTTTTTTTTTTTTTGTATAAACAGACATTTTAAGACACTTTACTCAAATCCGTCATCGAGTAAAGGAGTTGCATTGTTTGTGGACTTTCCTCTTGTTTGTCCTATTTCATCCAACGGATACCTATTTATATAGAAGTTGTTCAAACTAGGTGTAAATTATATAATTATATAAAAATAAAAATGAGCACACTGTGTAGAAATTATGAATGATTCAAGTTTTAGCACAAGTCTCAATTTTTTGATTTGTTCAAAATATTGGTATGTCAAAAAGACGTATTGAAAGCCTTCTTGCCCTGATTGATTTGAAAGTATTTTATTTGGTTTTCCCCAATGAACATATTGCTGACTAATACAATTTAATGCTGAAGACAAAGAAAGTCACTACAAATCCCCAAATGTCTGGGCATCCTTCCAGAATATGCAGGCTATGATATTAACCTATCTAATATCATAGCTACACCCAATGGAAACATTGTGAATAGCAGGAACTTGGTTATGAGTTTTCTCACTCATTTTTATCTCCCGGGAACAAGAAAGACAAAATAATTATGTTCAGTTATAAAACTCTTAGGAGAGACAACTGTATGCTTCTGAGATTTCCACTCATCATAATAGAACTAAATACAGAATATTGATCATCATCAGTGCTTGAATCTGCTTATTTATAAATTACTTTGAAAGTTAGAGTTGAATAAAGGCTTCAAATGCTAAGTAAAGACATTTAATCTTTGATACTTAAATTAGGTGTGGAAGAAAAGAGGATATAATACAAGATATGGGTATTTTGCAAGGTAAAGTAGTAATTTGCCCTTGTTGAGTATAATTACTAAGTCATAACAGGTATAATTACAATTTGGGTATATGCTGTCTGCCTTTATTGGTCCTCATTACTTATTACCTGGAAATAGCTGAAATCTTACTTTCAGAAATGTATGTCTTAACCAATATTTGATTCCATATTTAAGACAGGGAGTAGGATATCACTATGAGCTATGGCATCAGATATTTATACTTTTTTTAAGTGGCCAATTTCCGAATCTTTTTCATTACTTTAGAGAGTGTGTCTTTGCTTGTGAATATGCTCAACTATAATTGGTGTGACCCACTGAAAACTAAAATACAATTTTTAAAATTTGAAAAATCTCAGTGTTCTGCCTTATCAAGATTTGACATATTTGAATTCAGAAGTTTGTGGTTTTATAGAACTGCACATTGATTGTTTAAATACATTGCTTTAAGGTCATGTAGATGAGGGACTCACAGGGATCCAATAATGATGACCTGAGATCCTCGGGTCTTAAGAAAGCTGTGGAAAGATTGAATATGATGTCAATCATCTTCTTCTCATACTAGGGCCCTATTGTATTAGTTTGTTTTCATGCTGCTGATAAAGACACATCCAAGACTGGGCAATTTACGAAAGAAAGAGATTTATTGGACTTACAGTTCCACGTGGCTGAGGAGGCCTCACAATCATGGTGGAAGGTGAAAGGCATGTCTCATATGACGGCAGACAAGAGAAGAGAGCTTGTGCAGGCAAACTTCCCATTTTAAAATGATCAGATCTCATGAGACTTATTCACAATCACAAGAACAGCACCGGAAAGACCTGCACCCATGATTCAATTATCTCCCACTGGGTCCCTCCCACAACACATGGGAATTCAAGATGAGATTTGGGTGGGGACACAGCCAAACTATGTTGCCTACATTTAATATAACTCTAAGCAAGTACTGAGCAATTGGTGCCATATTCATACGGTCTACGTCTCTGTTTAGGCACAGTGTGGGGAAAATGTGCCTGTGTTATTGGGCAAATATAATGGCATTTGGTTTCTGTCACTGTTGACAATGACAATTATTCTTAAAGGAGATGCAAAGCTAATTATTTTCCTGAGATGATCATCTAGTTTCCAAGTCCCCTACTATGTCATTTCTAAAAAAGAACAAGGAAAAAATCTATTTCAACCTAAAATGTTGACATTGCTCTGAATTTCAAATTCTAAAAATTTCATAGTTAAGGAAATTTGCAAGGACATGTAACACTGACCACATTTATGTTGCTGCCCCATTTCGATTTGAGCCATTGTTGGAATAATTTGCTAATTAAATATGATTCATGTTGGTATTGGGTTCTAATTCCTGACAGATAAGTGAGTTGGAAGAGAACTTTACAGATATCTTTTTGGAACACGCTTTATTTCTCTGGGCTCCTCCTATTTATTCATAAAAGATCTTTTTTTAAATGAATACATCATGGATGATTGATGTCTTTTAGCATATCCCAGAACTACCTCTGTTCATTTTAGATTATAATGTTATCCCCAGATTTTGGTTCCCTGGATCAATGAAGCTAAATATACATGCCAAAAATCAAATTATTGAGTACTAGTATACAGGAAGTTAACAAAGATCAGTCACATGTATTGCTGCTAGCAGATGAGAAGGAGAGACCAAAAGCATGTGTTAAATAGTGTCAATCGTTTGAGTGTTGTAGCCATCAGCAGAAAGAGATCATTCAGCGTTTTCTCCCTTACCTAGAGGGAAAAGAAAATACAGCATTCCATAAATGTTGCATGTCCTACATATCGATCTTGATGTTTTTCTGGACAAAATGAAGGATCATTAGTTGCTTGCCTGCCTAACCCCAGACATTTCTTTGTCCCGTAATGAATTACACAGCAATGTTGTATAGCCCCAAAGTGTTCCATTTTCAAATCTCTGGCAAAAGCAAAGGGTTAGTTCCCAGACACTTCAGGGATCTGTGGGGCATGGACTTGAAAGGCTCACTTTCAAAGAGCCCCCAGAGCAGAATGATACACCATGCGGAAAAGGTTTTCACATGTAGGGACATGTATTGATGAACAGAACATGCAGGCCGGTTTGTAAAAAAATAAATCATGTTTTGCTCCCAAACTAGACATTTGTTTTTTCCTGTAAGCACGTGCTCCTATCAGTGGAGCAATCTTTTCAGAATAAAATGGAATAACTAACTTCTGGTATGCTTTCCTTACTCTTTACATAATTGTTTCTAATCTTAATTGAACTCTAAGAAGTAAGGAAAATTTGAGAGAAAGCCTACCACATTATGGGATCTTTAAAAATTTAACAACTCTTGTGACTGACAGAACTTTGCACAAGTAGTTATGTATCAGAGGAATAATATTTTTCGAATAAATAAAGCATGGGGCTTTTTGATGCTTTGACATAGTAATTTTAGTGTTGTGTGTTGATGTAAATAACAATGTGTATGACTATGTATGTATATGAATACTTTATGGGAGCAAGCAAGGAAAAATATTTACAAAATGATTTTTTAAATGATGAACACAAATGTTTGTATAAACTTAACATTCCTGCCAGAGTAAAATATCGACAACATATTTAAATGCAATTTATCTTAAATTTATCTTATGTGATTCAAAAATCAGAATATTTAAGCAATAGATTTACAAATTTTTATCAGTGGGAAATGTTGCAGAGCTTTGCGATCTGTGTTTGCTCAATAGTAACAGTCTATTAAGTCCACAAATACAACTATAGCTGAGAAGAGGTAACAAATAAAAAATGCTATGGTATATAGTTGGGCAAAAAATATGTCTTGATTGTTCTGCTCAGGTGGCGCATTGCTTCTCTCCAAATGTTTTATCTTTGTGAAACTAAAGCATCACTTGTATAACATGCTTTGTGAACAATGTAATCCCCAATTGGGTATCATTTTAGATTTTTCACTGGAAAAATTTTTGTATTCTTAATGTTGGTGATGTCTTCAGATTATTTCTATGCATCAAACATACTTTGTTGCTTCATGATGAAGAAAACACCTTTAAAATATTATTAGTGAACTTCACAGAGCAGCTGGACAACATCATGGTCAATGGAGTCTGAGAATCTATGTGAGTCCTATGGAATTTGATATGGTCAATCAGTTTTCAACCTTTCTATGGAGCCACATCTGACATTGTGAAGGTAAAAAAGCTGTGTGCTGGTAACTGATTAGATATATAAGACAGAGAGAAGAGGTGATTAAATTTCTAAATCTTTGTATGAGAAGCTAAATAGAGAAGGAAAAAGTTTCATCTTCAAAAGAATAGAAATAATTGAAATGAGTTTTTTGACAGGGCTACATCTACTCTACCCACCTGTGATTTCGGCTGCATATGAGATGCAACCTAGAAGCATCTTACCTTATGTATCCACCTAGTTTCTTCACTTTTCCACCTCAGGACAAAATTTATAAAAGCTTGCTCAATGAGACAGACAAACGTCTTCTACAAACTTTGGGGGAGTTATCACCCCCTGGGATAGCCTCCAATCAACAGGGTATAGGAGCCAGAAGATAACATTGGGTCTCTCATCCTTTGGAAGGATAATTCTGAGTCACATTCTACAGGGTTCCTTGAGAGGTTATCTACAGTGGTCACAAGCTCAATGAGGTTTCCTTTATTAGCATTTTCCCCCTTCCCTGTCTTTTCCTTTTCTATCATCTCAGCTTCCTGACATCAGCTCCCAATTAAACTACCTTGTCCCTTGCTCTGATTTTGGGGAAAGTCAAATTCAAGTTGGGGGTTCTAGAAATTGTGTTAGGGAACTACTTTTTGATTTAAAACCTTTGGCTATAAAGGAAGGTATTCACTTCACTAAAATAGTAAAGTGAATTTCATGGCCCAAATGTACTGTTTTTATGACTTTTTGTTTTTTTAAAGAGCAGAGATTATAAATCCCATAGTAGGGTTAATGAAGGTGAACATTAGAGGTAGTAGTCAGGTAGCAAGCCAGGGTTGAAATTTAGCAAGAGAGGTATGGAAAAAGACAAGAAGGACAAGAAAAAGACAAGAACGGTGGCATGGCCAACTTGAGAACAACTGAGGACACAAAGAGTTAGATGGCTGATAAAAATGGAAAAGATTTAGGGCAGCCATAAAGCCAGTAAAGTGAAGGTGAGGTGCAGGCACAGAAAATTATCAAACAGAAGGTATTTTTTGAGGTTTTGGTCTTGGATAAATGTAGAGGTGGACATCAAATATGACATCCAATGTGTGAATGCCTACAGCTGGCTGAAGTCAAGTGAAAAAGATCTTTAGTCGAGCAGCTGGAGGCTTACGATTAGAAGGTTGGAAGGTCTTTCACTATTACCTTAAATTTTATTACTTAATGTCATACTTGCCTTGATTGCCTCTTGAAGTTCTAATCTTGGTAGGAGCAGGTTAAGTGAATAGTGACAAAGAGGGTTGTTTTTTTTCTTTATTTATCTGATTTTGAATTTTCCAAACCAGAGTATTTTTCATTTTTTGTAGCTCAAGGGCTGTATGCTTAGCTCTGTACATTCTCACTAAATACTCTTTGGAGTTGTATAGTTTCATGAATTAAATGACAATCATACATATATTTGCTTTTAATGAACTTTCTGAAGGTATGGGGAGGATGCACAGCTCTGGGTAAACAAGCATGCAACCAATTTGGGGGAAAACATTGAGGAAAATCTTAAAATATTTTTAAATGTTTTAATTAAAAATATTTCCATATCTAAATAGAGAAAGAAAGCAAGAGTGAGAGAGAGAAAAATGTTTGTAAGAATAAGAAACTTATTTGAGAAAAATTTCAGTTACATTTTGGAAAGCCTAATTTTTCTAAGACTGCTTTTCAAGGTGTATACTGAGGACCTAATTGTAGTTTCTTTAAAGAACTCATTCTTGAACAGTGCAATGATGAATTCTGTTTTCTGGCATGGCAAATGGTCTTGCCTAATTATACTGGAATAATGTCTCTAAACTTTTTGCCACTGGAGCTAGTTAAGCACAATGATTATGCAGCACTTTTGCTCCCCCTGCCACGTCTTCACATAGAAAGATAAATGTCTTGAGAAAAAACAAAAAAGAGAATTTCCAGTCTCTATTATATCCCTTTTGGCATAATATTGTTGCTCATTTCTGCCTAGAGAAAGTACCACATTAACATATTATTTCTCTTATAATATTATATAACATACTCTGTAATTTTTAATCAATAAGATATGGTTAATGCTTTCTTGACCATATTTTTTCTATAGTTACATATGAAGCACCAATAAGTAGCAGCATAATGTGTCTGGAGTTTCCATTTGGTTCCAGAATTTGATTGATTAAAGTAGTTGTAATTTCATGGGATAGAGAAAAGGGATGAGGAGGTTTTCTATACATCTCCAAAATCATGAACCACCTTCATAACTTATTTCTAAAATACTGACTCCATTCAGGTCTGCACGAATTTCTGGACTGAAAATTTCACATAAAAACTTACAAAATAAATAATAAAACACTAATTTTGCTTCTAAGACCATGTTGGGCTTTGCCTTCTGTCAGCATCACTAATGAGTAGCTAAACCATTTAGTGTCTGTCCGGATGAGTCCTATTAGGAAGCTGAGGGTTGAGTGGCTTAAGACCAATTAACACACAAGCCAGGGAAACCAAATTGAATAATTAAGTTCTTAGTGCATTTCAGAATCTAGAATCTCATTTAATAGGATTGATTTAAGAACACATTCTAACCAATTTTTGTATGAATGGATAGTATTCTGAATTAAATACTTGCAACTCTCTCCTTGTAACCATCAAAAAGCCTGCTATACATACACCTCATCATTTATGATCTAATTTTTAGAATGATCTAATTTTTAGAATGAAAAGTCTGCAAAACATAAGAAAATATTTTAAGAGAAATGTGAATGAAAACAGTAGGCAAGCTCTGAACTAGCCATTATGTGTTTATCTTACTAGCTGCTTCCTCTTATTTCTTACGTCTTTCAGCCCTGAATGATGAATCAATTATTTGAGTAATATTTTAGTTATTTTTCAGTACAAAAAATAAATCTTTCATAGGAAATTGGCATGCTTATGAAGGTTCATTTGTCCCATTAGACTGTAGGTTTTTCTGAGAAAGAACTTTGATGTTTATCTCTCCCATCTTCCTTAAACAATTCAAACCCTTTGAAAACAAGGACTGCACCTTACTGTTTCTTCCAAACATCTAGCCCAATGCCTGGCACAGAACAATACCAATATCATTTGTTAAATAAATAAGCAAATACCTAGTTGTGGTAGACAGAATAATGGTCCTCTAAAGATCTGTAAATCCTAATCCCCAGAACCTGTAAATATGTTAGGTTACATGAAAAAGAGTAATTAAGGTTACAGCAAAAATTAAGGTTGCAGCTGGAATTAAGGTTGCTAATAAACAGACCTTAAAATAGGAAAATTATTGTGTTAGTTTGTTCTCGCATTGATATAAAGAACTACCTGAGGCTGGGTAATTTATAAAAAAGAGAAGTTTAGTTGGCTCCTGGTTCCACAGGGTGTATAGGAAGTGTGGCTGGAGAAGACTCAGGAAACTTACATCAGGGCGGAATGTAAAGGGGAAGCAGGCATGACCTACATGGCTGGTGCAGGAGGAAGAGAGTGAAGGAGGAGGTGCTACACACTTTTTGACAACCAGATCTTGTGAGAACTCATTATCACGAGAATAGCAGGGAGGAAATCTGCCCCCATGATCCAGTCACCTCCCACTAGGCCCCTCCTCCAACACTGAGGATTACAATTTGACATGAGATTTGGGTGGAGACACAAATCCAATCCATTCCCATTACCATGGTTTATCTGGGTGGGCCCAGTGTAATTAGAAGCATCCTCAAAAGTGGAGGAGAACGGTAGAAGAGGAGGTCAGAGTGATGCAGTGTGCAAAGAATTAACCCAACATTGCCGGCCTTGAAGACAGGAGGCAGCCTTTGGAAGCTGAAAAAGGCAAAGACTTGGATTTCCCCCCTAGAGCCTCCAGAAATAAACTTAGCCTTGCTGACACCTTGATTTTAGCCCAGTGAGATCTGTGTTAGACTTCTGACCTATACAACTGTGAGATAATAAGTTTATGTTGTTTTATGCCTCTAAGTCTTAGATGATTTTTTCTAGCAACAACGGAAAGCTAATATACTAGTATAGAACTTGTATTCACCGACTATCATCCAGACTATTCCTATATTACATTATTAAATAGTCTCTGAAAAACTCTCATAGTTTCTCCTGATTTTTACCTTCTTTGTGAGTTTTTATTGAAGAAAAATCATATTCAGTGATGCTTGTTAAAGCACAGTAAGAGTTTTTTTCAGCACCATCACAATAGTTACAGGCACCACTGCAATGGAGTCTCTTACAGTGGAGATGAGAGATTGGGCTCACCTCCGAATGCAGCATAGACAAGTGGAAATTTACAGCCGAGGAGCAGCATAGGAGGTCGGTGGTTGGAAAATTACCAAGAGGAAGCATCAGGGGTAGGATTCTTTCTGAAGACAGGCCAGGGTAATCAGACGTCACCTAGAAGAAAGTTCAGTAAGCTGACTAAAGTAAGGCCAAATAAAGAATCATCTCAGAATCATTAGAGTTGCTTGTGTGTTAAATAGAAAAAAAAATCTTGTTAGTTATTTTAACTTCACAGTTTCTTTATAACTGCTCATAAGCACATATTACTATAGAAGACTGTTCAGCATCTGAAACAAGAAGCTTTGGGAAGTCCTTATATCTTAGAGCACATTGTTTTTTATTCAAAGAAATAAAATATGAACTTAAACTATCTGACACCATAAGTATGCCAGGAAAATAATCCTAATTGCTAATCTAAATTCATGTAAATGTGTATCTCTTGGGTCTCAACCTTAATACTTGCTTTCAATAATTCCTATTCTTGAAAAGTTATTAGGGCCTAGAAAAACAGAATGGAGCTCCTCGAGGTTATAATCAACTTTAAGTTTTAGATGATTATATCTCAAGCATAGACCATGCTCACACCCCTACTCATTGTCCCATGAAACGGGGATTGTCCTAAAGCTCTAAATGCCCTAAATCTTTCATCTGAAAGCTTAGTTTTGAGACACACATTAAAAATTTAGAGGTGGTGAATATGCATACTTATTATATATTTAGAAAGATAGATAATGCTTATGATAAAATAATTTTAAAAATTAAGTGCATTTTCAAAAATGTGTTTCTTAGCCAAAGTTATTACACATTCCATATTATTCCTATAGCAAGATTGGGAGGCTGTACATATGAAAACATAACCATTTTCTATTGAACTGAGTGTGAGACACATTTTGGACCAGAGGTTTATATCAAACAGTTGCACTAGTTGACCCGCTGAGATGCCCTAAAGAAAAAGAACTCAAGAATTTAAGTTGATTTCCAGCTGTTTGTTATTAGAGCAAATGTTAGTGCTCCCGGAGTGTTTGCCCGTGGCCATCAACCAGCACCTGCATCTCTTTCATTAGGTAGACTGCCCTTAGGCTGCAGCAGCCTGTTTTGCCTGTGAGCAGTGAGAGTCAGAAGTACTTGGGAATTTACATCCCCATTCGGGGCCATCCATAAACAGTGATTGACAGCTGTTGGAGTATCAATATCCCAGTTCTTCTGCTTCTGATGAGAATACCCTGTGTATGATGTATACTATCTCTATAGCTTTCCTGAAGGATTCAAACAGTTACAGTTTGTGGGGCTGTCTAACACCACATCCTTGCTTGACTCCTTCACTTCCTGGTCCCAATTCCCAAGTCCCTTACTGGCTTTCCCTGAAAATACTTCCTAAGAATTCATGTTCACAAGCAACCTTGTTTCAAAGTCTGTTTCTGGTGAACCCAAACTAAGGTATTATATTCATACAGACACTAAATTTGTTATTCTATGATCTATTATTTTCATTAATGTTTTGAGTTTTACAGTCTCATCTGTAAAATGTACTCAAGTTAACTGAATCCCTCAGGATAGATTGAGGGAGGTTTCAAAAGTGAATATAAAATTCCTCAAATTCCCTCACTTCACTGGAAATAGACATACTAGACACTCTAAGTAAGGCAGCACTTGTTTATAGGTAGCTGGCTTCTTTATAAAAGGGATACACCATTTAAATGTTGATAAAGTGTGTGTAACAGCAGATAAAACCGTGATCAGGTCTCCTGTGAGTGAGCAATCACCGGCCGATTATCACTGAGCTAATCACAATATGTCTTAATAAAGGTCCATTCAAAAGAATGAAAATTGTATCCATATATAAGACAAAGGGGTTTTAAAATAAAAAAATCTTAGCAAAGTGTACAAAAGCACTGAAGAAAAATATTGAAACTAATATGTTTTTACACATAATCATTTTAAGATGGTATAGTGAGCTTGATACAAAGGGTGTTACAGAGACCGCTGGAGGTTCCTAAGATCCTTTCTGGTGGTCTACAAGGTCAAAAATATTTTTATCATAATACGAATTCATTATTTGCCTTTTTCACTCTGATTCTCTCATGAATGTAAAGTGGAGTTTTCCAGGGGCTACATGATTTGAGATGTGGCAAAAGCTGGAATATGGAAGCAAATGTTAGAATCCAGCTGTCTTTTATTAAGCCAGAAATTACAAAGCCACTCTTCTCTTTTTTATTCTGTTTTTGAAAATAGTGTTTTTAAATAAAAGTGTATGATTTATGTCAATATGTAACAGGACTATTATTATTTTAAAATAAATAAACATCTAAATTTTTTTATTTTATGTTTTAATGGTGTCAATAAATATAACGTGTCTAAACAAGTTTTGGGGGATCTTCAATAATTTTTCAGAGTGTAAAGAGGCCCTGAGACAAAAACAAAAAACAAACATAGAAAACAGCCGATATAGAGTCAAATTCAAGCCCTTCATCTTAGAAAAGATGAAGAAAGATAACCAAGATAAAGGCGAAGTTTAAAATACGCTCTCACTTTTTTTGGTCTTATTTTGAGAACCTACGTATGTTCTAGGAAGCTAGTTTTAATGGAGCAATTAAAAAATAAATTTCAATTAAATGAGTTCTACCAGTTTTTTTTTATTTTTTTATTTTTTATTTATTTTTTTTTTTTGGTAAACAAGCATTCAGGCGCCTAATCTATAGTGAGTGTTTTGTTTTATTTTTTTAAATGCAGAGGCAATGGTTAGTCTTCTGAACATTTGCATTCTCATTTTCATTAGCAAATAGCATATTGTTTGACAGAATATGTGAATGTTGTATTAAGACAATGTATTTAAGCAGCGTGTGTGGCATGCTGCAATTGTGGGAATGGAATTATGTGAATTTGTGAGTAGCATGCGAATGAGTCTGCCCACAATTTAGGGAGAGTTTAAGACTAATATCTAAGAGCCAGAAAGCTAACCACAGATGCCACATGGGAGCTGTGTTATCATCATAAGAACTATTCTGTGTTGCTTCTTTTAGTCGCTGCTAATTTCAGATAATGTTCATCTTACATCTGGACTTCACCAGTGTGAGTGCTATTCACCATGTGGGACATATCTTAAGTACGTACGACCTTCCAGGTTTGCTAGTTGTAGTACATGATAATAATAAAAATGATAATAATATATTTAAACACTAGCATGCAACTAATTGAACACTGTATATTATTAGTGTTCACATAAAATCTTAAAAAAATTTCAGAAATAGTAAAGTCTCCTATTGTAGAGTCACATAATCATGATTTCATTAAGCTTATTGCATCTTTACCTAATTTGAATGATCTCTAAGGAAAGTAATTCTCTAGTCATCTTTTGTAACTAGTTGTAATTTTATCTGAATGAATCCATGTAATAGATAAAATAATTTAAGATAAAATTCTCATATAATTTATTTTTAAAGGACGCAACTCAATATTTGCTTACATCATTTAACAGCCCCTTCATTTCTTGCATCCCAAAGACAAGCATTTTACATCTTTGCTACACCTATATGATGTTAAAGAAAAGAGCGCCATTCGTCCAGCTTATGATATGCTTTCTATGAGATCCTCACGGCCAGGATCCCCTTTGCCCTTTATGAATTTAATTTCTGGAAGAACATATGCTACAGAGAATACCACCTTTGCCTTTGGAATCAGATGGACTTTGGTTTGACTTATGCTGCTGTCTCTTTTTTACGTTTTAACTTGAACAAGTTATTTAGCGTCTTGCCAGGTTCCTCATAGAACCTAATTGTTCCGCACCCATTAACTCGTCATTTAACATTAGGTATATCTCCTAATGCTATCCCTCCAACATGGTACATGTATACATATGTAACAAGCCTGCATGTTGTGTACATGTACCCTAAAACTTAAAGTATAGTAAAAAAAACCTAATTGTCCCATTTGATGTTAACAATATCTCCTTTACAAGTGTTTCTAGAATTAACTGAGAGATTTTCTATAGCCCCACAAAGAATTCTGGCAAGAAATGGTAGATAGTATTAGTAGCATTATTAGTGGCATCTGTTAGCCTCATGAGAATTATTTCATCAACATCCACCTTCTAGGCTAGAAGTATAATTTAATAGTTGACGTCTCTGAATGACATCATTGATGAGCATTATCTGGTACATGGGGTATATAAGGTACACATCCTTTGCAACTAGGTAAGGACTACCCTTCCATTTTGAGCCTTATGTACAGCTCATTCTAGAATGGTATCCATTAAATTATACATGTCCATGTTAGAGGTTGACAGTTTTCTGAGATAATTGGAAAGAGTATAGCATCAAAGAAATATTTACCTTGAATTTGCTCTGGTAATTCTCAGATTCATAAACAGTGGTCCCATTTATTATGGGACCATGGCAGCTGTGTTAATGTAGTCATACACAAATTTGTATGATCCCAAACTTCTTGTAAAGTTTTCCCAGCATATCATTGCACCTCTAGTTCCCAGGGCCTGCATTCCCCTCATTCCACTCTTATTTCCCAAAGAAATTCTGTTCAACTACAATACTTTTCATGCAGATTTTCCTGATTTCCAACTTCCCTTTCCTTAACTCTCACTGTACGGCATTAAATGCTTTTCTCCTATACTGGGTGTCTATTTGTGACATGTAGCCTCATTTAACAACTGTTGTATGCTTATCTTATCCCACTGGATGGCAGAATTATGCCTTTGTTATTCTTTTATCTCCTCCAATACCTACCATTTGAACATACGATGTTTGATATAGACACACTAAATTGAATTTAAAATAGTCGAGCATATTATTCTAGTGTGATTTCCTAATATTGCCTTAATTCTCTCTTAATGCGTTTTATTAGTAAATGCTTATAAAGTGAATGCAGAAACCATCAACTATGATGATTCCACATAGAAATATATGACATAATACTTTTTTTGGTACATTTTAAAACACTTAAACCTCAAAAACCTTCTTTCAAATGGAAGACAATGTTTAAAAGCACAAGAACCCTTTTCATTTTTATAAAGATTAAATTATCTTTCCATTCTGCTTCCTGCTTTCTATTGCTACTTTCTCCAGATTAATTTTTTTAAAGAGTATTGACCTATGGACATTAAACACAAAAGGAATATAAAATAAATGCGTTGGAATACCAAACATCCTGTTGGTTGTTACAATTCTACAACAACAATTAGATTTTTTTTTCTAATTAAAATCATTTGAAATCACAGTTTTTGTCTTCTCAGAGGTTTCTCTTTTCCCAAAGTTTCCTTCAGGTCCTGTCCTTGTAGTACATTGGGGTTGTAGTGGCCTGTGCCACCAGGAGAATGGATTCATTAACCTTTACATTGATTTGAAGTGTCGTTCAAATAAATACTTATACTCTTTTTCTCTGATGGCTTAGTGAAGTCCTTTATCAATAGCACTGATATCTCCCCTTGACCTTTGCCTCCTGTTCATTCAGAAAATTTCCATCAGGCTGTTTTATTTACATTTGCAATCTCTTGCTACCTCAGTTAAGTTTGGCACAGAAATGTATTAGTCCTGGATCCAACAGAATTATTTTACACTCTATATTCTTTTGGCTTCTGCAGAGAAGAAAATTTCTTTCTTTGAATTTCATTTTTTAATTTCAGGGTTTAAACATTTCCTGCTTTCTGCATATGTGTCTTTTTGTATTTTGTCTGCCTGTTTCTCTTGTTCTCTTGTGACTCTCTGTATATGATTATTTCAATTTCACTTCTTCACACCAATATCTACTAAAAGATATAGTTAGAGCCAGGAAATGTTTCTGATCCCCTGTTCCCAATCTTATCAATAAACTTTTTTTTTTTTTTGTGCAAGGGGATTGGGGAATTACTATGTGCCAAATGTTGTATTTAGTATTTTACAGATTTTTAAATTTATTTCTCAAACACCCTTAGGGAAAAAGAAACTGTTCCATCTTGCAGATGAGGAGGCTGCATTTTATATTATGTGTATAAATTGCTTTGATGCATACATACTAGTAATGACAGTAGTAAATGGGCTGATTGACCCCAGGATTTAATTCTGTCACCTTATTAGATATGTGACCATGAGCAGTTACTTAACCCCTTTGTTCCTCAATTTCCCCTTTGGTAAAATGGGAATAACTATAGTCTCTTCTGTACTAGTGTTGCAAGATTGGCTATGGATTAAATACATTAAACTACATAGAGCAATTGGAATGTTTCTGGTAAATACTAAGTGTTACTTAGGTGTTAACATTGTACTGCTATGTCATAGGTCTTTTCTTTGATGGAGAGGGGATACACTATAGGAGAAAATATCAGCAAGAAATTGAGTGTCACTTCCCTCCATTACCAAACTTGGAGGACCAACCTTCTTCCCTACATGATACATAGAATGAATATTAATATCCTGTATTGGGTTAAATACATCATTTCTTTAGTCTGGTCAAAGATTCCTCCTTGAGATTCAGTTTCATACTTCAACACTCATTCTAATTTTCAGAATGGAAATATTGGGCCATCCCTTTGACCCAAGCCATGAACTTGGTTTTAACACTGATTTTTAATAAGTGGTTCTTTTGTTTTAAAGGAAAGGTAGCCTATTTATAGAAACTCCCTTTAGAGAAACAATCTTTCTTTGAAAACTAAGCTGTAAAATGATGTTCTTTTGTATGTGTGTGTGTGTATATATATGTAAACATATATATATACATACATGTATGTATATAAAGCATAAGAGCTATGTCTAGAAGAAAAGGCACACTATTAAAAAGCTCCAATTAGAGGAATGTCAGACCCATATTTTCTCCATCTGTATAGTATCCTTTCTTTGAATGGGCCAAAGAAGCCATGGACACTGAGTGAGATCTGATAATGCTTTTTATTCCTTGAATTTCTGAGATGCTGAAGAGAAAGTGTCTTGCTATCAGTATTGTTTCTAGGGTTGAAAAGTACCTCTTAAAAAAACAATTACCACAGGTATTTAATTCAAAAGACCTGAACAGAGTTCCTTCTGTGGTTACAAGGAAGCTGCAAATTTTGAAGTCATATAAAAAAGTCACATCTACTGGGATAAAAATAATCTCAGCAATCCTAGATTAAGATGAAATATATATATATATATATAAACAACCCCAAATTTTAATAACATAGTAGAAGATACAATAGGTTACTGATCGAAGGCACAAAAAGATTGTATACTTTAGACCCTAGCTTTTCTTATGATACTTTGATGTCCTTTACACTTGTAGACATTTGAGTAAGCTTTTTTTTTTAATTCAATAAACAAATATCTTTGAATAACTGGTAGACATAGAAATACATTTTCAGTGTAAGGGTTAAGCACATAACGGAATAATTATAATAAAGGAAGTAATAATGGGGGTAAAAAGGAGGGATTGATAAACCCTGCATGGAGGAAAGGAATCAAGGAATATTCTGGAGAAGCATCCATTTTTACTGAAATTCAAAGATAAAGATGAAAGGTATTTCCAAGCAGAAATAGGTTGATGCTTTTTGAAACATATTGATATAGTTCAAGTTTAATCCTATATGCTTGACTTTAAATTGATGAGAACTAGTTTTTGCTGAAAATAAACAGGATGAGGGAACCAGATATGCCCCTGAGCGCTTTGAATTGATTATAACTAGATGGAGCTGGTTTGGTCTAGTTAGGTTTGATTTGAAACTGCTTGAGTTAAGTTTTATTCAGTCAGATAACAAAAAAAAAAAAATTTGAGTGAATCTTATGGTTTGACTACATGCTTTCTATATTGAGAATATTAAACATTTGTCCATTGCATTTGTCATTCATGCTTTCCCTTGATTGCTCTTTAACTTTTACTTCTATTTCTTAAAAATAATAGTTTACTTTTTATGTGAAATAAACTTCTCCAATGTGTCTTTTAAAAAAATCACCTTAAATGTAAGAGATTTCATTAATATTCATTTCTGTATCTTTTGCTTTTTCTCTAAATTTAACTCTTTAGTATATTTGGTATCAAATAACTATCTAAATTGAATATTTTCCCAAAAACCAGTATCCTATCTGCACTTAAAAATTAATCTATTCTTTTCACATTCTTTGATATCACCTTTTCCTATAATACATGCTTATACCACTTACTTACCTGTAATATGTGTGCTTGCTTTGTGCAAGAATTTACAAATCCTTATAATACATCTTATCTCACAGAACAAGTCCCTGCTCTAAATTTTTCTTCCAGTTTGATTTTTTATTGTTTAGCTGTTCTTGCTGTTTTCATTATCCAGATCTACTTCAAAATTATTTTGTCACTTTTTTTCCAAAATATAAAGATATATTCTTAAGATACTATGTTAAAATATAGAACAGTTCTTGTTTTATTTTATTTTATTTTATTATACTTTAAGTTTTAGGGTACATGTGCACAATGTGCAGGTTTGTTACATATGTATACATGTGCCATGTTAGTGTGCTGCACCCATTAACTCGTCATTTAGCATTAGGTATGTCTCCTAATGCTATCCCTCCCCCCTCCCCCGAGAATAGTTCTTAAAATCTCCCCTTTTCTTCCCCATTGTGTTCTTATAATCTCCCTTTCGCTTCCCCATTGTGGTCAAGCCCTCCCTCCCACCCTTAATCATTGGAAACCATTTCTTTGTTTTCTATCCTTGTAGTTTTCTCTTTTCCAGAATGTTTATGTAAATGAAATCAAACAATGTATAGCCTTCTAAGTCTGCCTTCCTTCACTTAGCATAAGGTATTTACAATTCACCCACATGGTTATATGTATCATTAGTTTGTTCCATTTTATTGCTCAGCAGTATTTCATTAAATGGTTTTATACCGCATTTTATTCTCCAGCTGAATATTTTGATTGCTATTAGTTTTTGGAAATTGAATATGATAAAATGCCCACTTTTAGTGCTAAATCAATGTTTTATAAAAATTTTGGTATTATTAATCAGGGTTAGCTCCTGAATATTATGAAATACCTGAGAAACTCATTGTCTAATCCTTGATTGCTTGCTAATGCTACCTCTTATATAACTAAATTTTAAAAGTTGAAATTGGATCACTGCTGCAGGCTCCCTGAGACACCAAAAAACCGTGAGTCTGCTTGCTTTCTCAGTGGGGAGGCTAGTGGTCTAGGGCAAGTTATCAGCCCTGGTCACTGGCTGCCTGGAAATAGACTCAGTGCTGTTGTGGGGGCACAGTGGGAGTGAGACTGGCCTTTAGTACCGTGGGCTGTGTGGGAGAGGGTTGAGGCCTGTGACTACCGGCTTTCCCCCACTTCCCTGGTGACCTGTATGGCTCAGCATAGGCAGCCACAATCCCCCCGGGAATATAACTCCATAAGATTGGGAGCCATATCCTCATCCCCCACAGCAGCTGCAGCTAGTCTCACCCAAGGAAAGACTGAACTCAGACATGCTTATCCCTGCCCCCCACCTGGTGGTCTTTCTCTACCCACCCTCGGAGTCGAAGACAAAGGTCATAATCTCTTGGGATCTCTATGGCCCTGCACACTGCCTGAGAAGCCTGAATACTTAACCAGGTGTCCCTAGGGCAAGTTTGTATCCTTATAGGACCATAGCTGACGCGCTCTTGAAAGCTCCACCTCCTACCTGGAGGCCAACCAACACAAAACCAGTGCACTAAACAAAAACACAAGCAAGGACCCTCACAGAGTCCACTTCACTCCCCTGCTACCTCCACCAAAGCAGGTGCTGGTATCCAGAGCTACAAGACCTGAAGATGGATCATATCACAAGACTCTTTGCAGACACTCCCCAGTACTAGCTCAGAGCCTGGGAGCTCCGCTGGGTGGCTAGATCCAGGAGAGCAATAACAATCACTACATTTGGCTCTCAGGAAGCCCCATTCCTAGGGGTAGGAGGAGAACACCACATCAAGGGAGCATCCCGTGGGACAAAAGAATCTGAACAACAGCCATTGAATCCCAGATCTTACCTCTTACATAGTCTACCCAAATGAGAAGCAACCAGAAAAACAATTTTGGTAATATGACAAAACAAGCTTCTTTAACACCCCCAAAAGATCATGTCAGTTCACCAGCAATGAATCCAAAACAAGACAAAATCTCTGAATTGCCAAAAAAAGAATTCAGAAGGTTGATTATTAAGCTAATCAAGGAGGCACCAGAGAAAGGTGAAGTCCAACTTAAAGAAATCAAAAACACGTTACAGGATATGAAAGAAAATTCTTCAGTGACACAGACAGCATAAATAAAAACCAATAACAAATTCTGGAAATCAAGGACACACTTAGAGAAATGCAAAATGCACTAGAAAGTCTCAGCAATAGAATCAACCAAGTAGAAGAAAGAAATTCAGAGCTTGAAGACTGGGCTTTCGAATTAACCCAATCCATCAAAGACAAAGAAAAAAGAATTTAAAAAAAAGAACAAAGCCTTTCAGAAGTTTGGGACTATGTTAAATGAGAATATGTTAAATGTCCAAACCTAAGAATAATTGGCGTTCCTGAGGAAGAAGAGAAACCTAAAAGTTTTGAAAACACATTTGAGGGAATAATCCAGGAAAACTTTCTGGACTTGCTAGAGATCTAGACCCCCCAAATGCAAGAAACTCAAAGAACACCTGGAAAATTAATCACAAAAAGATCATCACCTAGGCACATTGTCATCGGGTTATCTAAAGTCAAGACAAAGGAAAGAATCTTAAGAGCTGAGAGGCAAAAACATCAGGTAACCTATAAAGGAAAACCTATCAGATTAACAGCAGATTTCTCAGCAGAAATCCTACCCGCTAGAAGGGATTGGGGTCCTATTTTTAGCATCCTTAAACAAAACAATTATCAGCCAAGAATTTTGTATCCAGCAAAATTAAGCTTTGTAAATGAAAGATACAGTCTTTTCCAGACAAACAAATGCTGAGAGAATTTGCTACTACCAAGCCAGCACTACAATAACTGTTAAAGGGAGCTCTAAATCTTGAAATAAACCCCTCAAAAATACACCAAAATAGAACCTCCATAAAGCATAAACCTCACAGGACCTATATAACAATAACACAATTAAAAAAAAGTATTTAGTCAACAAATAGTAAGATGAATAGGATAGTACCTCACATCCCAATACTAACATTGAATGTAAGTGGCCTAAATGGTCCACTTAAAAGATACAGAATGGCAGAATGGATAAAGATTCACCAGCCAAGTTTCTACTGTCTTCAGGAGACTCATCTAACATATAAGGCCTCACATAAACTTAAGGTAAAGGGATGGAAAATTATGTTCCATGCAAATGGACACCAAAAGTGAGCAGGAGTAGCTATGCTTACATCAGATGAAACAAACTTTAAAGCAGCAGCAGTTAAAAAAGACAAAGAAGGACATTATATAATGACAGAAGGACTAGTCCAACAGGAAAATATCACAATTTTAAATGTATATGTACCTAACACTAAAGCTCCCAAATTTATAAAACGATTACTACTAGATCTAAGACATGAGATAGAAGGCAACACAATAATAGTGGGGACTTTAATACTCCACTGACAGCACTAGACAGGTCATCAAGACAGAAAGTCAACAAAGAAACAATGGACTTAAACTATACCCTACAACACATGGATTTAACAGATATTTTCAGAACATTCTACCGAACAACTGCAGAATATACATTCTATTCATCAGCACATGGAGCATTCTCCAAGATAGACCACAAAGCAAGTCTCAATACATTTAAGAAAATTGAAATTATATCAAGTATTCTCTCAGACCACAGTGGAATAAAGTTGGAAATCAACTACAAAAGGAACGCTCAAAACCATGCAATTACATGGATATTAAATCACCTGCTCCTGAATGATCACGGGGTCAACAATGAAATCAAGAGGAAAATTTAAAAATTCTTTGAACTGAACAATAATAGTAACACAACCTATCAAAACCTCTGGGATACACTAAAAGTGGTGCTAAGAGGAAAGTTCATAGCATTAAATGCCTACATCAAAAAGTCTGAAGGAGCACAAATAGACAATCTAAGGTCACACCTTACAGAACTGGAGAAACAATAACGATTCAAACCCACGCCCAACAGAAGAAAATACGTAACAAAGATCAGAGCAGAACTAAATGAATTTGAAACAAAAAATATAAAAAGATAAATAAAACAAAAAGCTCATTTTTTGAAACGATAAATAAAATTGATAGACCGTTAGCAAAATTAACCAAGAAAAGAAGAGAGCAAATCCAAATAACCTCATTAAGAAACAAAATGGGAGATATTACAACTGATACCAAAGAAATACAAAAGATTATTCAAGGCTACAGGAACACCTTTACATGCATAAACTGGAAAACCTAGAGGAGATGGATACATTTCTGAAAATATACAACCCTCCTAGATTAAACCAGGAAGATATAGAATCTCTGAACAAGCAGTGAGATTGAAATGGTAATTTTAAAATTGCCACCAAAAAAAGACCAGGACCACATGGATTCACAGCTGAATTTTATCAGACATTCAAGGAAGAATTGGTGCCAGTCCTATTGACACTATTCCAAAAGATAAAGAGGGGATCTTCCCTAAATCAATCTATAAAGCCAGTATCACCCTAATACCAAAACCAGGGAAGAACATAGCAAAAAAAGAAAACTACAGACCAGTATTCTTGATGAACATAAATGCAAAAATCCTCAACAAAATACTAGTGAACTGAATCCAACAGCTTATCAAAAAGATAATCCACCATTATCAAGTGGGTTTCATACCAGGGATGTAAGGATGGTTTAACGTATGCAATCTAAAAATTCAATGCAATTCTTATCTTAATACCATATTATTCTTTACAGAACTAGAAAAAACAATCCTAAAATTCATATGGAACAAAACAAGAGCCCACTAGCCAAAGCAAGACTAAGCAAAAAGAACAAATCTGGAGGCATCACATTACGTGACTTCATACTGTACTATAAACATAGTATAACATAACATAGTATCATATAAACAGAATTAAAAGCAAAAATCACATGATCATCTCAATAGATGCAGAAAAAGCATTTGACAAAATCCAGCATTTCTTTATGATTAAACCCTCAGCAAAATTGTCATAGAGGGACATACCTTAACATAATAAAAGCCGTCTATGACAAACCCACAGCCAACATTATACTGAACAGAGAAAAGTTGAAAGGATTCCCCTGAGAACTGGAACAAGAGAAGGACTCCCAGTTTCACCACTTCTGTTGAACATAGTACTGGAAGTCTTAGCCAGAACAATCAAACAAGAGAAAGAAATAAAGGCCATCAAAATAGATAAATAGGAAGTCAAACTGTCACTGTTTGCTGAAGATATGATCGTATACCTAGAAAACCCTAAAGACTCACCCAAAGAGCTGCTAGAACTGATAAAATAATTCAGCAAAATTTCAGCATACAAAATTAATGTACACAAATCTGTAGCTCTGGTATACATCAACAGTGAGAAGCTGAAAATCAAATGAAGAACTCAACCCCTTTCACAATAGCTGCAAAAAAAAAAAAAAAACTTAGAAATGTACCTAAGAACATGAAACACTTCTACAAGGAAAGCTACAAAACACTGCTGAAAGAAATCATAGACAACACAAACAAATGGAAATACATCCCATGCTCGTGGATGGGTAGAATCAGTGTTGTGAAAATGACCATACTGCCAAAGGCCATGTAAAAATTCAGTGCAATTCCCATCTTAATACCACCATTATTCTTCACAGAACCAGAAAAAAAATAAAAAAATCCTAAAATTCATATGGAACCAAAACAGAGCCCATTAGCTAAAGCAAGACTAAACAAAAAGAACAAATCTGGAGGCATCACATTAGGTGACTTCAAACTATACTACAAGGCCATAGTCACAAAAACAGCATGGTACTGGGATAAAAATAGGCGCATAGACCAATGGAACAGAATGGAGAACCCAGAAATAAGCCAAATACTTACAACCAACTGATCTTCAACAAAGCAATGAAAACATAAAATGGGGAAAGGCCACCCTATTCACAAATGGTGCTGGCATAATTGGCAAGCCACATGTAGAAGAATGAAACTGGATCCTCATCTCTTCCTTAATCAAAAATCAACTCGAGATGGATCAAAGACTTAGATATAAGAGCTGAAACCATAAAGATTCTAGAAGATAACATCAGAAAAACCTTTCTAGACATTGGCTTAGGCAAGTACTTTATGACCAAGAACCCAAAAGCAAATGCAACAAAAATAAAAATAAATAGATGGGATTTAATTAAACTAAAAAGCTTCTGCACAGGAAAAGAAATAATGAGCAGAGTTAACAGACAACCCACAGAGTGGGAGAAAATCTTCATACATCTGAAAAAGGACTAATATCCAGAATCTAAAATAATTCAAATCAGCAAGAAAGAAACAAACAACCCCATCAAAAAGTGGCCTAAGGACATGAATAGACAATTCTCAAAAGAAGATATACAAATGGCCAACAAGCAAATGGAAAAATGCTCAACATCACTAATTATCAGTGAAATGCAAACTGAAACCACAACATGATACCACCTCACTCCTACAAGAATGGCCATAATCAAAAACATAAAAAAAAAAATAGATGTTGGTGTGGGTTTGGTAAAAAGGGAACACTTTTACATTGTAGGTGGGAATGTAAACTAGTGCAACCAGTATGGAAAAAAGTGTGGAGATTCCTTAAAGAACTAAAAGTAGATGTACCATTTGATTTAGCAATCCCCCTACTACATATTTACCCAGAGGAAAAGAAGTCATTACACAAAAAAAATACTTGCACATGCCTGTTTATAGCAGCAAAATTTTCAATTGCAAAAATATGGAACCAGCCCAAATGCCCACCAATCAATGAGTAGATAAAGAAAATGTGGTATATATACGCTGTGGACTACAACTCAGCCATAAAAAGGAATGAAATAATGGCATTTGCAGCAATGCCATTGCAATTGCAGGATGGAATTGGAGACTATTATTCTAAGTAACTCAGGAATGGAAAACCAAACATTGTATATTCTCATATGTGGGAGCTAAGCTATGAGGATGCAAAGGCATAAGAATTATACATTGGACTTTGGGGACTCAGGGAAAAAGGGTTGGTGGTGGCAAGAAATAAAAGGCCACACACTGAGTACAGCATATGCTGCTAGGGTCATGGGTGCACCAAAATCTCAGAAATCATCATTAAAGAACTTATTCATGTAACCAAACACCATCTGTTACCCCAAAACCTACTGAAATTAAAAAAAATTAAAAATTAAAGTAAAATAAAATATTTAGCCATTTATTTTTCCTGGGAAATTTTAAACTTCATTATGATGGATTCTTCTAATGTACATTTGATTTATTTTATATTTTGAGTTGGTAATATGTGCAGTTATTTAAAAATTCAAGAACTTCACAGTGAAAAATACTTTCTCTTTCTTTCCTGTGACACAGTCACCCAAGTTTCTCCCTAGAAAAGCTATTGTCAACATTCCCTGTGTCCAGAGGCTGCTCCTGAATCCCAAACGTATGTTTATATTTTCACTCCAACAGTGGCAAGTACCCACCCTTCTCTAAATCTTGTCTTTTTTTTTCACTTAGCAATGTACTTTGGAGTTCATTTTTTTTTTTTTTTGGAAAAAAATGGTAATTAAAAATTTGTAATTTTAATGGTAATTAAAATCCCAGGCTGGAGTGCAGTGGCGCCAGCTTGGCTCACTGCAACCTCCGCCTCCCTGGTTCAAGTGATTCTCCTGCCCCACCCTCTCGAGTAGCTGGTAATACAGGCATGTGCCACCACGTCCGGCTAACTTTTTGTATTTTTAGTAGAGACGGGGTTTCATTGTGTTATCCAGGATTGTCTGGATCTCCTGACCTTGTGATCTGCCTGCCTCAGCCTCCCAAAGTGCAGGGATTACAGGCATGAGCCACTCTGCCAGGCCTGGAGTTCATTCTTAAGGGTACAAGAAAAGCTGTCACATTACTTTTGATGACCATATAGTATTCCATTGAACATATGTACAATATTTTTTATTTAAATGTTCAAACGTTTCCTTACTTACAGAGATCTAGGTTGTTTACAATCTTTATTTATTGTGAACAATATAAAAATGAAAAGTAAATGTCTGTATCTTTTTTCTCATTGATACAAGCTTATCTACAAGAAAATATATAAACTGTACTTGCTAGGTAATATAGTATATGCTTATTTAATTTTGATAACTTTTGCCAAATTATTTTCCTCATAGGTTATCCTAAGTCACACCCACACTAGCCAGTGTGAAAAGTCCTGTATCCCAACACCTTGGCCAATACAATGGTTATGAATCTTTTTCCTAGCTAATATAATAGGTGAAAAGTTTACCACATTGTAGTCTTAATAATAATAAGAGAAATGTGAGCTAAGATTGAACATTTTTGATGTGCTTAGACCTTTAATACTTCCTGTTCTTGAACTCTCTTGTTCATATTCTTTGCCCATTTTTTCAACTGAATTGGGCCTTTTAAAAATTAATTCCCAAGAACTTTATCACATGAAAGTTGATGTTTGTAAGTTATTTATCTTGACTTCATTCATGATGTATTTTTTTTGCCATTTAGATTTTTTAAAATAATGTCCTTTAAAAACTTGAATGGCAAAAGAGAAACATAATGAATGGTGATAGACGTATTTATCCTTTTTAAAAATCTGAATATCTCATATATATATAATGCCCATACTGAGAATATTAAAATGTAACTGATTTTTTCTCTAGTAATTTTTATTAAAAAATATTAATTTTTTGAAGCCATCTAGAATTTATTTTAGCATTAGTTGTAAGATGGAGAAACCAACTTTAATTTAAATTTTTAAAATTTCCTGATGGTTAATTAGTCAGTTGTTCTACTATTGAATAATACATTCTTTGCATAGAATCCAAATGTTACATTTTCTTCCATTAAATCACCATGTATATTTTTTATTTTCCTGAAATTTCAATTGTCTTAATTGACTTACTAGTCAAATCATGTGTTATTAATGTACATCTTTGATAATTAGTATTTTACATAATGTTTGACTATTTGAGGGAGTCATTCCCACCACCACCCATCATTCCTCTTCTTTTAAATAATATTTCTGGCTTTTTTGCTTATCTATTTTACAATAACTTTAAAATTTATATTTTACCTGCCCCCTGCATATATGGGCATTTTATGATTTGTGCATCCTTAATTCGAAGTGAGAGGAACATATGATTTTCTGGAGGAAACTTTCAACTTTGAATGCTTGTGACCAAAGGAAAACTATGACATCATCTGGCAGCCATTTCAAATTATAGCCAGATGTTCTAAAATGGTTTCTTACTACCCCAGAAGTGTGGCTTTAAGTCACTTCCACTTCACAGGCATTGCTATCAATTTTCTATCTCTCACAACTCAAAATCTTAAAGACAAAAGGTGTTATATCATCTTATAACTTTCTGAATTTTTACAGGTGATTTTAGCTAAGACAATCCAAACATCTGGAGATCCCTCTCCATTTTTCTTTGATGTTAAACACATTTTTACAGAAGTAAATACAGCTCTCTTCTGCACTGACATAGAGAAAATACTTTTTGCTCAATATTTCAAGGACGACTTTAAAAATCTATTCTAAAATATAGGTAAAAAAGTAGCATATGAAATTTAAAACATTATATTAAAACAAGATATAATTGCACTATAAAGGTTAAATCTCATATTTAGCGCTCACATGATATCACTCAATTTTGTGAGGCGTCTTTTGTAAAGTATAGTAGGCCATTATGAGTATTTGGTTACATAATTCATTTTCACTTAATGTAGATAGTATTAATATATTTTGTGTGGTTCGGTTCTATGAATTTTCAAAGAGCATGATTCATTCATGGGTAATCAGTAACCCATAGTCCTTGTATAGTCATTAGAATATCCTGTCTTGATGGTTTTCTGTGAATATCAACGCTCTCAGAAGTATGCCATTGGGACTAAGCCTACATAGATGTCAGAGATTCTCTAAAATGACCCAGCCAATACTCCCTCCACCTTTCATTTCTCTGGTATTGTGACTTACTAAGTGTTTTACAGGAAGAAATTAAACATTCAGGAAAGTGTGTTAATTTTCAAAAAGACTCCTTTTTTGTGTCTGCCCTCATTTTCTTGCTTTTTGAGTCAGTTATCGGGATTTTGAAGTTTAAAATGCTGAGATTTTTAAAGTTTCAATCGAAAAGTATTCATACTTTGACATTGAATAAAATTTCCCAGTTAGCATGATCTTTAAAATACAAATTTGATTTACATTTACATTTCAAAGCTTTTAATTCTTTTTGGTGAATGTCCCCTGATACTGCACTCTGCAGACCCATTCTATTTGTTTAGCTTTGGCTTCTCCCCTGCCTTGAGTGTTAAATTTGGTGGGAGATGGGCAAGGAAATCAGAGTGAACCCTCACATCTCAGCTCTGATAGAAGGTGCACCTATTCCTCTATACCAGTATGTTTAAGAAGTCTTGTAACACATCTTGCTTTTAGAAATCCATTTATTTTTGTTTTTGTTTTTGTTTTTTAAAGAGGTTCTCATACATAAGTGGGGTGAACAGGTGAATAACATTGATTTCTTTAGAAGACAGGTATTATGTAAATACTGCCTTGTAGAAATGCATTTCCATTTCCTGCATTGATCTCATCTTAAAGCCTTGCAGTCAATCCTATTTTTTATGTGTTGCTGTTTTAATAGAAATTCCATGTTCCACAATGAAAGTAACTGACCAAAGATGTTGAAATGATGTTTAAAAGCCTCTTATCTATCATCTTTGGAATTTCAGGATATCATTAAAAAACAAAAGCAACAAATGATAAAAAGAACAAACAGTGGTGTGCTTTAGCTGATATTCATTATTCAAATAGCTTCTCAATGTTTTTTTCGTCTATTTTTCTTTCCTTCTAGAAAATTCCTTTTTGAAAGATGGCTTTGAACTCGGACCAGTCTATAAGGAATAGATTTTACTGTTTATCATTAGGAGGAGAGGATTTTTTTACCTTACACATAGTGTGGTTGAACCGATCATTAAGTGACTAAAACTCTCCTCTATCCCTAAACTTTATCCTATTCAACTAGGAAAACCAAGACAGGACCTCTTCCTCTTGTAGAACATCCTGACAGCGTTCACTAAAAGCTAGTTTGTGTATATCTCAGTAGAGATTTCCATCAACAAAGCAGTGACAATATCTGCCAAAGGATTTTGCATTTGTATTGCAACTTCATGAGCATAAAATAAAAAAAACTTGAATTGCCACTATCATATAATGGTTATTCTTATATGTAATCATTATTACCAACTTATTTATTTTTCTAAAATCACATTTTATTTTTTAATGAAATATAATGAAAAATCTTAATCTCCAAATTTGTTTTTTAAATTATATTGTAGTTTATCACATGTTTTTAAGTTAACCAGAAACATCTATGATCTTGACCTTTAAATCATTTATTAAAATAAAAACATAGGTGCCTGGGACCAGAATTCATTTTTATAAAATCACAACTGTTCACTATATAACACTATGATTTCTTTTTGTGTTTCTGATATTTTCCTATCTAAAAGTGACATAGGGTTAAAAAGGAGAGAAAGTGGATGTAGAACAATATCCAAACATTGGTTCCCTGCTTCAGTCCATAATTGTCATTCATTTTTTATTGCCTCAATTCCAGTTATCAAAAGGTAGGTACTAATCCAAACTGCATTTCACCTCCTAGCAAAGGAGTTAAAATATGTCTTATTGTTCTCCATGTTCTGTATGAAGTTCTTACTTTGAAATGCAGGGCCCTTCATTCTTTGGCTTAATCCTCTGAAACTCACTGAATTTTCTAGCCTTGTCATCTACCAAAATGTGCACATATTGTTGTACCTTGGGCTGTCTTAAAAAAAGACATCATGAACTCTGGAGCCAGACTATCTAGATCAGAATCCCACCTGTACCACTTACTAGCTGTATGACCTGGGGCAAGTGACTTAACCTCTCTTTGACTCAGCATTCTCATCTATATAATAAGAACAATTAAAGTATCTGACAGGAGAATCAAAGCCTGGCCAAATGAAACAGGAAAAGAGGGAGCAAAAATGCTGTTTATTTTTCTGCTTAATCATTTACTCCTTCATTAAATAATCATTTATACCTCAACAACTTCCAGTTTTAACAAAAATAGATTTGAGTTTACTTAATCACAGATAAAATAAAACATATGGATAAATGGAACCAAAGCAAAGCAATAAAGAAAAATAGTGAGAAGGAACATTAAACTTTTGGTAGAGCGTGGACATGACATCCAAGTTAAGACCTGAAATGAACTATAATTGAAATTCCTTGAAGGAAAAGCTGGCCAGGTGTGGTGGCTCTCACCTTTAATCCCAGCGCTTTGGGAGGCCAAGGGGGTGGATCACTTGAGGTCAGGAGTTCAAGAGCAGTCTGGCCAATGTGGTGAAACCCTGTCTCTACTAAAAATACAAAAAATTAGCTGGGTGTGCACCTATAATCCCAGTTACTTGGGAGGCTGAGGCAGGAGAATTGCTTGAACCCGGGAGGTGGAGGTTGCAGTGAGCCCAGATTGCACCACTGCACTTCAGTCTGGGCAATGGAGTGAGACTCCATCTCAAAAAAAAAAAGAAAAAGGAAAAGAAAAAGAAAAGCAGAAAGAGAAACCTAGTAAGTTACATAATTCAGCCTAAAAGTTAGAATGTTAGCTTCTGGGGAAGTTAAGACCGTCATAATTTTTTTTTCCACTTCTGTATACTAAGAACCTGAATGATTCTTAGATAACAATTTGGATTTATTTAATATTTATTAAGTGAATTATGAAATCAGTGAATAATAAAAAAGCATGTCACATTTTCTATTGCTAAAAAAGTAATTTTATATAACATCCATTTCTCCAAATAATATCCTCTCTAATTTAAGATGGATAATGATGCCTGATCTTATTTAAGAAATGTATTCTATTTTGAAGAGCTTAATAAAAATAATTTTGACTCATTATAAACATGGCCAACTCCAACTCTCTTTTAGCCAGTTGTATCTTTAACTAAGCTGGTAATCAGATGAGAATCATGTGCACATTGCATTCTATGAAGCTTAGCTTCACTGATGTGGCTTACACGCTGTTTCAGAGATGTATGGTCATTCTTTGGTCCTTTCTAGTGTATGTGGAATCCCGTTTGATATAGTTTGGATATTTGTATCCTCCAAATCTCTAGTTGAAATGTAATTCCCATTGCTGGAGGTGGAGCTTGGTGGGAGGTGTTTGGGTCATGGAAGTGGCTCTCTCATGAATCGCTTGGTGCTACCCTAACAATAATAAATGAGTTCTCACTCTAAGTTGGCATAAATCTGGTTGGTTAGAAGGCATCTGCCTCCTCACTCTCTTGCTCCTATTCTTGCCATGTGACGTGCCTGCTTCCCCTTCGTCTTCTGCCATGATTGTAAGTTTCCTGAGGCCCTCACCAGAAGCAGTTGCTAGAACTAGGCTGGTGCAGCCTGGAGGACCTTGAGCCAATTAAACCTCTTTTCTTATAAATTGCCCAGCCTCAGGTATTTCTTTACAGTAATGCATAAACAACCTACTACACCATTGGACCCTGAGATTTTGCTGATGGACTGTTCCTACTGAGGCAATTCCTCTCAATTGTTCCTTAGCTCTCTCCCCAGGGAAGCATCTTAAAACCACATGATGGCGGGGCACGGTGGCTCACGCCTGTAATCCCAGCACTTTGGGAGGCTGAGGCAGGTGGATCATGAGGTCAGGAGATCGAGACCATCCTGGCTAACATGGTGAAACCCCGTCTCTACTAAAAATACAAAAAATTAGCCAGGCATGGTGGCGGGCGCCTGTAGTCCCAGCTACTCGGGAGGCTGAGGCAGGAGAATGGCGTGAACCCGGGAGGCTGAGCTTACAGTGAGCTGAGATTGCGCCACTGCACTCCAGCATGGGCGACAGAGCAAGACTCCATCTCAAAAAATAAACAAACAACAACAACAACAAAAACACATGATATGGGCCTTGAATCATGAATGTAAATGGGTGTTCAGGCACATGACTTTATAACAATTTGAGACTGTAAGTGAATCATGGACCTATGAAGCACTACTCGTCTCTGAAGAGATCTTTGACTGCCTTGAATCCTCAAGTTTAGGAGATTCATTTTGTGAATGTACACATGGTCATGTGCCCGGTACACAGCTATCCACAGGTGATAAAGAGCAGGACACAGG
Organism: Homo sapiens; assembly: GCF_000001405.40. Taxonomy (NCBI): domain Eukaryota; kingdom Metazoa; phylum Chordata; class Mammalia; order Primates; family Hominidae; genus Homo; species Homo sapiens. The sequence continues at coordinate 29,794,845 of NC_000003.12, forward strand.
GCAAAACAATTTGCTAAAGGGTTGGGAGAAATAACCTAATAAATTCAATTTCTTTCTCGCAGGCCTCCCTTTAAAAAGCATGTATCTTATGGTAGCATAACTCTATGCTTCCCATTCTCAACTCATCAGTACTATTTTTTGAAGTTGTAGGTTGTTGGTTGACATGGGCATTTTTAATTTTGTTATTACCAGACCCCATCAGATTCCCTAGGCGTCATGTGTGTTATCATAGGAAATACTTCTCTACTTGCCTCTTCCATTATGTCAGCTGTTGTTTGATGGGGATTAGGAAAGGGCACAAGAAGGAAGCTGAACAAAACTGCACGGCTGGTACCTTTCTCTGTCTTTTGTAAGTGCTTGTTAGCAATCCAGGATTTCCTGGGAAAGGACAGAAATCACAGATGTGTATATATGCTCTCACAGAAAGTGGAAGCCAGTAACCCTGGGAAATTCGTGCTCAACTTTGGAAGTGTATCAGAGATATACTCCACCTCTGAAAACCTCCAGGCTGAGTATATATTTAAAATGTATCTTTGCATTTTTCAGGTTAACTACATACGTGACTAGCAAGACAAAATACAGCATTATTTTCTTTTCATGATATAACTGGATAACTAATTGATTTGTTTACTAATTAATTTCCATTTCCCCACACCAGAGCATCAACTTTATGAAATCCAGAATGCAGTTTTGTTCATTGTTATATCTCTAGCCTAAAACTGTATATCACACATAAGCTCAACAAATGTTTGTTGAATTAATTAATTGATAAATGGTAGTAGAATTAGATTCTAATCCATAATACAGAAATATAACCTTGAGTAGATTTCTTAAAATATCTTAGACTCATCTTTCTCCTCTGTAAACTGGGAGGAAGGAGGGAAGAGGGACAACAAGATGACTTGTAAAAAGGTCCATTCCAATTCCAGAATTCTATGCATTGTTAGCAGGAAGGAATATTAGGCTGACCCATCAATTCACTGATTAATTGAAAAATAGGAATTAATGGAATTTTACCAAAGGGAATTAAATGGATTTAGTAGCTGCAATGTACCAGCCTATTTTGAATAAAACACAGTTCCTATGCTGGTTGATTCCAGAGGGGTAGGAAATGGATATGAACAAATCATATAATTCTCTATGATACAAGAACAAAGGATGACCAGTGTATAAGGATACCTCAGAGGTATTGTGGGTTCAGTTCCAGACTACTGCAATAAAGCAAATATCACAAGAAAGTGAATCTCAATAATATTTTGGTTTCCCAGTGCATGTAAAAGCTATGTGTACACCATACTGTAGCGTATTAAGTGAGCAATAGCATTGTGCCTAAAAACATGTATATTGGGCTTCAAGTAATCCTCCTTTCTCTGCCTCCCAAAGTACTGAGATTACAGGCCTGAGCCACCGTGCCCACCCCCATGCTCCACTTCTAATTCTAGTTCTCTTGCTATTTTTACCACATCTTCAGAGACTTCCTTCACTGAAGTCTTGAACCCTTTAATGTCATCCAGGAGTGTTTAAACACCTTCCTCCAAACTCCTGTTAATATGGACATTTTGATCTTCTCTCATAAATGACAAATGTTATTAATGGCATCTAGAATGATGAATTCCTTCCAGAAGGGTTTAAATGTAATTTTCCAAGATCTATCAGAGGAATCACTATCTATGACAGCTATAGCATTATGAAATATATTTCTAAAACTATAAGACTTGAAAGTAGAAATTACTCTTGATCCATGGGCTACAGAATGGATGTTGTGTTAGCAGGCCTGAAAACAACATTAATCTTCTTGTACATCTCCATCAATGCTCTTGGGTGACCCAGGTGCATAATCAATGAGAAGTAATATTTTGAAAGGAATCTTTTTTTTTTTTTTTTTGGAGATGGAGTCTTGCTCTGTCACCCAGGCTGGAGTGAAATGGCATGATCTCAGCTCACTGCAACCTCCACCTCCTGGGTTCAAGCGATTCTCCTGCCTCGGCCTCCAGAGTAGCTGGGACTATAGGCACACCCCACCACACCTGGCTAATTTTTTGTACTTTTAATAGAGATGAGGTTTCACCATGTTGACCAGGATGGTCTCGATCTCCTGACCTCATGATCTGCCCGCCTCAGTCACCCGAAGTGCTGGGATTACAGGCGTGAGCCACCGAGCCCGGCCACAATGGCTTTTACTTAGTCACCATTCCATTAGCCCCTAATGAGACAGTCAGCCTGTCCTTTGAAGTTTTGAGGCCAGGCATTGTCTTCTCCTCTGTCTGGGAAAGTCCTAGATGGCATCTTCTTCCAATATAAGGATACTTCATCTATATTGAAAATCTATTGTTTAGTGTAGCCACCTTCATAAACTATCTTAGCTAGATCTTCCAGATAACTTGCTGCAGCTTCTGCATCAGCACTTGTTTCTTCACTTTGCAGTTTTATGTTATGGAAACAGCTTCTTTCCTTAAACCTCATGAACCAGACTCTGCTAGCTTCCAACTTTTTTTCTGCAGCTTTCTCTCACCTCTCGTAGCCTTCATAGAGTTGAAGAGAGTTAAGATCTTGCTCTGGACTAAGCTTTGGCATTAAGAAATGTAGCTAGTTTGATCTTCTATCCAGACCACTAAAACTTTCTCCAGATCAGCAATAAGGTGGTTTTGCTTTCTTATCATTCATGTGTTCACTGCAGTTGCATTTTCAATTTTCATCAAGGACTTTTCTTTTGCATTCACAGCTTGGCTAACTGGTAAAAAGGCCTAGCTTTCAGACTATCCCGACTTTTGACATGCCTTCCAGACTAAGCCGAATTATTTCTGGCTAATATTTGCTAGAGGGAAGTGTATATTTAAAGCTGTGAGGGTATTTATAATGAATAATGATAATATTATTCCTTCTAGGCATAATAGGGATGGTATTAGGTGTGATCGATAGGTTAATACTCCCAGAAGTGATATAGTAAATGCTAATACAATGTTTATGTAAATAGAGGGCATTTGGTAGGTATGGGTATCATAATCTAATGAGTTGAAATCATTTATTTTTGCTTAAACTACTTACCAATTCAGCTTTCAGGTTTCAAGTGAAAGACACGCAATTCTTTCTTTCACCTGAACAACTTAGAGGTCATTGTAGGGTTGTTAATTGGCCTAATTTCAATATTGTTGTATCTCAGGAAATGGTGAGGCCTGAGGACAAAGAAAGAGATGGGGAACATCTGGCCAGGAAAAGAGTCAGAACATACGTTTATCAATTCAGTTTGCTGTCTTAAATGGGTGCTGTTCATGGTGCCACAAAACTATTAACAATAGTAACATCAAAGAATATAGATCATAGATTACCATCACAGATAAAATAATAATAAAGCTTGAAATATTGTGAGAATGACCAAGGTATGACACAGAGGAAGGAAGGAAGGACAGAAGAAAAGGGAAGGGAAGGGAAGGGAAGGGAAGGGAAGAGAAGGGAAGGGAGGGGAAGGGAGGGGAAGGGAAGGGAGGGGAGGGGAGGGGAGGGGAGGAGAGGGGAGGGGAGGGAATGGAGAGGAAGGAGGGGAAGAAAGGAAAGAAAAGGAGAAAAAGAGAAAGGGAGAAAGAAAGAGAAGGAGAAAGGGGTGACAAAGTGGCAGGGAGAAAGGAAGGAAAGAAGAGGCAGAAGGCTGTGTCAAAATTGTCCTGAAATCAGTTTTGTCTCTTCTTTTAATTTATTGGCAAACAAACCAACACAGCAACTAACTCTATAGCATATACAGAATGGAATAGGAGGTGTTTCCTAGAATTGGAAATGTGCTAACACTGTTGTTGTTGGCATGTTATGCTTTTCACCAAAGAATTTAGCAAAAATTTTAAGAAGGTTAAGTTTTATAGAACCCTCACCTTAGCCTATTTGAAACTAAGCTGACCAGATGACATAGTGATGCAATTTGGTGTCTATATCCATAATAACCACATCTGTCAAATGTGTATTGTCCGATATTGTTGCAACAGTAGAATTTTTGATGACTCTCTGGATTTAATTCATGCATCATTTGGATCTTCGAGATCATTTTATACACCCAAGTTCTTTTTGCAACATCAATTGTAATGATTTGTACCCTCTGGTTTTTTTTTTTTTTTTTTTGTAATCACAAGGGATTGTACAATGTAATCTTAATGTTGAGGATATGAAGTTATTTTTTCTTCAACCTCTTTAAATATTAGCAACTATTTCACAGATGGTCTTTTCTTAAGCGATGTCATTGATTTACCAGTGAGAGCAGCCAAATCTCACTTGGGAAATAATGGTCAATGCCTCTCAGTCATCCATAAATGGAGTTGACCTAATGCTAAACTAAGCTACAAGGTAAGAGGGCCATTGAAGAAATTTCTAACACAGATGGTCAAATCAATTCAAATATTACACAATCCTCTATCTTCCTCCACCAAATCATCAAAGTTTCCAAACTGTCAAGCCTTTCACTTTTTTCTGAGTTGTCTGAGTGACAGGATATGCTTGAGATTTCCCACATTTCAAAACTTGTCTTTAAATGCAATTTCTTCATGCATGATGAATAATCAAATATTTACACCTAATAAACATTCCCTACAACTTTTTTTTAGCACAACAAAATACACTATGGTAATACTATTCTCCTTAATGCCAATGGCACAACAACAAAAACGAAATCCTGGAAGGAAAGACTTTTACTCCAAGTCAATTTAAAACTTCCTTATTCATTTTAAATATTTCACTGCATTAATTTTTCAAAGCAACAAAACAAATATTCATCAAGTGAAACTAAGCATGACCCCCCTCAGATAGGTACATCTGTTGCTTTCCTGCTGTATCCCTGAATAATTCATTTTAATACATTTAAAGTATACACTTCATTAAAACAAGCTACAGTCATTTACATATAAAATGTACATTGATGAAAACAAAAATGAAAGCTGTTAGAAAGCTGATCCTAAAATTTTGTTACTCCTTGTGATTTATATCTAGCTGTCTCTGTCTATTTCCTCCTACAATGATGGTATAAAGGCATCTCCACATCCTCTGGCCCATTGGGAGCTTTAGTTATATCAGCAAATAGGTGGGAAAAGTTAGCTGGTATATTTTGATACTCTTTTCCCACAGCCTTTGTTCATCATGGACAACTTCATCAAGATTTATCGTCACTGTTTGTCCATTTTAGCTCCCTCTGCTCACATCACATAATAGATGTACCATGTATACTGAATGGCATTTAGGAATCAAAGCCAACACAGAGAATACTAATCAGTTTTAACTTCTTGAAAATTAATCAATTTGTGCTGGTCTGATACAGTGCAGGGAAAAATATTCAGTTTTATTCACTCCCTGCCCTTTTGAACTCTGTTAACTGATTATCTAAATGGTTTTCAGAAAGGCCTTAATTTTTTTTTTTTACCATTATAGCATTTCCCCCTCCTCCATTTTTATGGTTATGTCTTAAGTCAGGAAGGGAGAGGAGGGAAGGGGTGGAGACAAAGGGAGGGATGAGAGGAAAGAGTTTAGCAGTTAAAGACACATTATTAAGTATTCCCTTTAAATAAACTTGCTTTCTATAAATATGTTATTGGAAAAAAGTATTCATATGTCTTACAGATAAAGTTTGAATGACATAGAATCAAATATAAAATAATTTATGAGATATTTTCTACGTAATACTTTATCAAAATATTTGACAATTGTCACTATTGCTACTTATTAGAAAAAAGGCTATACATCATAAAATCATCAAATTTCAAAGGTTATGTACAAGAACTATGCTATTACACATATTTTTATATTAATAACTAATCATAGCAATGCAATTTTAAAACTCTGTGGTATTTTTCTTTCTGAGGATCCAGAACAATTTCTGTTTATTCAATAGTGCACTTTTTTTGGAAAAGTAAAGTGTAAAAACAAAGCAAAACAAAACCTTTTCTTTTAATGGTGACTGGCTGACATCTTACTTTATAGAAACTAGTCTCTGAGAACACACATTTTTTTTCCATATCACAGTATTTTGCTCTTTTATAGGATTTCTCAAATTTTCCCAGTTCATGTGACCCTTTTGTCAGGAGAAAAATTACCTGAAACTACATACCTAGTATCTCACTGCTTGCTTCCCCACCTGTTCCCTTCCCTCACAAGGACATGAGCTCAAGTGTGCATGCGTGCACACACGCATGCACACACACACACACACACACCTGTAAACGGAATGAATAAAGTGGGTCATAATAGTTGTACTACTGAAAGTCAGTGTAAGTTAATATGCTACTATAGGCTAGTATGAAGAAGTTTTACATTATTTATTTAAAGCCATATCAGAAGCCAAAACTGTAATGTTTCTTATGTTGACACAGCAATGGGGGTCAGTTCCAGGTTACTAGGAGACTCCATTGTGGTTTAACTATGTTACTAGTACCAAACTTGAAGAATCATTGCTTTTTTTCTTTTTTTTTTTTTGAGACAAAGTCTTGCTCTGTTGCCCAGGCTGGAATGCAGTGGTGTGATCTCTGCTCACTGCAACCTCTGCCTCCTGGGCTCAAGCGATTCTCCTGCCTCAGCCTCCTGAGTAGCTAGGGTTACAGGCACCCACCACCACACCTAACTAATTTTTGTATTTTTAGTAGAGATGGCATTTCACCATATTGGCCAGGCTGGTCTCGAACTCCTGCCCTCAAATGATCTGCCCGCCTCGGCCTCCCAAAGTGCTGGGATTACAGGCATGAGCACCTGACCAGAATCATTCCTCTTAATCTTAGCTTCCTGGCTTGAGAAGGAAAATCCAAATATTTCATTTATTTTTTCTTCCTCATTTATGAGCTAAGTTTTTCTCTGCCATAAAAGGAAAAACATTCTAAGGCAAATTCCTTCTCACTGTATTTTTTTTATGACACACAGTAAAATATGGTCGCCTTCTAGAAATTTCTGCTCTTTTTCTCATGTCTTACAAAGCATAAGTGGGAAGATTCTAGGCCTTAAAGACTGGCCTGGGTTCAAATTATACCACTTCTCTTTACCAGCTCTTTCATCTTAATTTCCTCATCCATAAAATCAGGCCATTCATACCTATATTTTGGGGTTGTTGTGAGAATTACAGCATATTTGTATATTCAATAAATGGGAGCTGCTATCATATTTATTGACTTTTAGGATTAAATTGTCCACAGCTTCCAACATCTCTTTTTCTTCCTTTGAAACTCCCAAACTATCATTTGAGAGACCATATGTATTTTGGATATTTCACATCATGAATGTTTAGTCCTGGAAAGTTTGCTTATTTTCTCTGGTGTTTTTGTACCTGTAACACTCTTGCTCTACTGTTAAAACCTGACAGCAAGCCTGAGTATAAACCAGGAGCCCTTAGGAATATCAGATTAAGGATCAGCCCAGGAATCTACTTTATGGGCTATTTGCTCACGTACTGCTATTTATCTATCTGACCGGGCAGTGACAAAGTCAATACCACCAACCACAGCCTTTCTTCTACAGATTCTTAGAAGGCTTTCTACTGTTCTCGTATTATATGAACAGCAAAGTTGACCTTTAGTCCAAGGGTATGGATAAATATATCTATTGTGTGTATAACATAACCCCAGTTCTCACAGCAGAAAGAAAAATATGCCCGATTATTTGATTGTTTTGATAGTGGTGTTTTAAAAGTTCTAGACTAGCACAATACTTACTGAAATATAACCCATGATCATTTTAACATGCATCGTCCAAAGAACATTGTTTGCTCCTGACAAATAGCATGTGCCCACGTGTCAATGAAATAAAGCAATAGTTATTTTAGCTTATATGCCCACTCAATTTGTTTATGCCCTATTTATAACATGCTACTTATTTTACTTTTAGTCTAAAGCCTTGCATGTCAATATCTAGTTAGAAGTAAGTTTGGCTGCGGGTAAAATTCTGACAGAGAAGAGGGACAGGTGATTGGTGGCCTAGTAGAGTTAGGGCAGTCTGATATAAATGAAAAAATTAACTAGCATCCGGTGTAGTTGTAACATTTATAAAATGGGAGTGTGTATATTCATACATTTTATCCTTATTATAAGACCCTTTCTGCCCTTAAGATGCAGCACTCTGAATGGTGAATACTAAAAACACAGACTCTTGATCGAGGTGAGGGAGTTGGAAGAGGCAGGACAAGAAAGGACGTTGACTTTCTGAAAATGGGACGAACGGCTTTATCTGAAAGCCCTAGTACTATAGCTCTCTGATGGGATCCTATTTGATACTCACAGCCCGTTAAGGCAAAAGAGTAATGTCCTTCTTGGGCAAATGAAGAAGCTGAGGCTCAGGGAGAATAAATGACATAGCCAAGATCTTGGCAAATCCCTTTCCCTTTTCACTAGTTATATGGAATCAGAAAACTTAAGTTTTAGTTTTATTCTGCCACTTTCTTAGGGACTTCAAATCAGTATTTTCACCTGCATAATGTATGATAATAACCCGCGGCTATGCTTATATTTCCTGGGTTATTTTTTAGATTGAAATTAAGTGGTGACTCTGAAGATGCTTCATGAAAATTTCAAAGTACTGAATAAATATAAAACATTATCTAAATGGCAAAATAGAATACCCAGCTTCTGCCCATCCCCATCACAGCATAATATAAATAGTTTCTATTAAGAGGAGATGTGTGGACAAAGGGGTGTTAAAGACAAAAGCTAAAATTCATTGGAATATCTATCACCTACCTTAATATAGTCACAGTTTGCAAACTGGTTGTCTTTAGTGTTTAATAGAATAGAGCCAAAAGATATATTTTATCAACACACATTTTATATATGTGTAATATAACACTATATATTATATGTATACTGTTATATGTAATATAACATTAGATATGTAAAATGTATGCATATAATGTGTGATGAAATATATAGACACACATACACACACACATTTGAACACTCTCAAGCTACAGAAAAATTGAAAGTGAAGAATAAGAAACATATTTTTAAATCACCTGAGAGCAAGTTACTGGTATGGTATATTCTCAAGAAACTGCAATTATTGTAATTATTGTCAAATGAGTAATTATAAAGAATTTAATCACATTTAATTTGGCAATATTTTATGCATCCAGAGTGCAAAGTAGGCTATTTCATTCTTCTATCTGTATTTTTTTCTAAACTGCTTCTGATATTTTATAAAAATCATACAAAATCATTAGAGAACACCTAATCCAAATCCAGCATCACAGATAAGGAAATTTATACCAAGTTAAGTCATTTTCCCTGGACTACCAGGTTTCATGTAAATCACTTTATACAAGCAGATTTGACAAAACTTGGTATTTTAACTGCTGCTCTCAAAAAAATGTAAGACTGAAATTATTTGTGTTCTTTTTCTTCAAAGTGGTCTAGGCATATTCATGTTTGCTATAAAACTAAAAGAAAAAAATGCTGACAAATGAAATATATACATAAATGTCAGTGTAGAAGCCATTGGTTTAGAAGATCATTTTTAATTGATTAGGGAAATTAACAGAGGAAAACAGAATCACAAAATAGGCCCAAATAATTTATAATTAGCTCTATAATATATAGACTTATATTCTATTTGCTTTAATGTTTTTTGAATACATGCCAAGTAACTCAGAGGTACCTTGAGCTTGGCAAATGGCAAAAAAGAACCCTTTATGTATTTTAAGATGGATAACAGAGGCTAAAAATTATATACACTATGTGCCAATCATTGAGATTCAACTCTACTTTTTTAATACTCTTAAGAAATGATAAAATCTGATTTTATGACACAAAGCCTATACTTCTAACACTCTGAGCTCTGTATGTTTTTAAAAAATGCTGCCATATCTTACTATTTATTTCTGGAAACCAGAAATAGGCTAGTCGTTCTTGGAAATTTCACTCTATTTCTAATTTCTTCCTTGTCAAAAAGTCAGTTTGTTCACATTCAGAGCATAAATGAAACCTCAATTTGCATAATGCCTTAAATAAATGTCAAAATGAATCTGTGATTTTTTCTGATGTATAAATAAAGATACTAGTTGCTTTAAACGGTTTAATCAATAACACAGCTTACCACAGTTTACCATGCTTTCTGGGCAAAGAATCTGCGTGTACGTGTGTGTGTGTGTGTGTGTGTGTGTGTGTGTGTGTGGCAAAATTCTGTTGAAATTCCCAGTGATATGTACTGAATGAGTTTAATTCCCTATTCTGAAACTACTACTACTAGTATTTTTTAAATTATCTGTTCTGTGTTTGAATAAGGTTAGATTTCTAAGTTTAATCATGCATTGCATAACAACCTCTTGGTTAATGATGGACTGTGTATATGATGGCGGTCTCATCGTATTATAATGGAGCTGAAACATTTCTATTGTCTACTAACACTGAAGTCATCCTAATGTCCTAGCACAATGCTCTGCTTACATGTTATTGGTGATGCTGGGTAAACAAATCTACTGCACTTCCAGTCATATAAAAGTATAGCAATACAATTATGTACAGTCCATAATACTTGATCATGATAATAAATGACTGCATTAATGGTTTATATATTTTCTATACTATACTTTTTATGGTTATTTGAGAGTGTACTCTTTGTACTTATAGAATAAAAAGTAATTGTAAATAGCCTCAGGCAAGTCTTTCAGGAAGTATTTCAGAAGAAGTCATTGTTATCATAGGAGATGACAGCTCTGTGTATGTTACTGGCCCTGAAGATCTTCCAGTTGGACAAGACGTGGAGAGCAAAGACAGTAATGTTGATGATCCTGACCCTGTGTAGGCCTAGGGTAATATGCATATTTGTGTCTTAGTTTTTAACAGAAAAGTTTAAACAGTATAAATACTAATTTTAAAAATAGAAAACCACTTATGGAATAAGGATATTAAGAAAATTTTTTTGTACAGCTGTACAATGTGTTTGTGTTTTAAGCTAAATGTGATTACTAAAGAGTCAAAATTTAAAAAGATTAAGTTTATAAACTAAAAAAGTTACAGTGAGCTAAGTTTATTGTTAAAGAGAGAAAAATATGTTTTATAAATTAAATGCAGCCTAAGTATACAGTAGTATACAGTAATGTTCTAAGCCTTCACATTCACTCACCACGCACTCACTGACTAACCTGGAACAACTTTCAGTTTTGCAAGCTGCATTCCTGGTAAGTACCCTATACAGGGGTGCCATTTTTAATACTTTGTAACATATTTTTGCTGTACTGTTTTGTGTTTTCCACACTAATTTTTGTTCAAAATATTTGAGAAGAATGAAAAGTAGCTTGTTCTTTTTCATTCCAGAGCATAATTGATTTTTAAAAACCTATTTGATGCATGAACCATATTTCCCTTCTCAGAGAACTCGAAACCTACAGGTAAAACAAGAACCTCAGAAAAAGAACCCAGACAAAAAGTAAAAATAGTTTAAAAGAACAGAAATCATTTTGACCACTCATTTATTTATTATTGTTTTTATGTCACTATGTCACTGTGCAAGTATTTCAAATCAGCTAAATGACAAAATGCTTCAGCTATGAGCTCTCCCCTTGATTGTCTAAGCCAATGAAAACACAGACACAGGTAGCCTGATCTGATAATCTAAAAGTTAAGCACAAAACTGTTTTTGAAATGTACCATATTTTGTGCAATATTGTGCTGCAAATTTAGGATTATTTTGCACTTCCTATTGACCATATCAACTGACAGAGTTTTGATGGATAGTGAAGAAAGCCAGCACAATTTTTAAATCTGCTTGGGTAAGCCTCACACTCAAAGACGAGCACAGAGTCTACAAGTAAAATGTAAATTTTATGTAGCAAAGAAAACTAGGAAGATAAAGGTTGCTTTAGTCTCTTCACTATGTCTGTTCATAGAATCCGGCCTATTATATCATGGCTCATTTATAATTATTACAAGGTGATGGCAGGTTTCTGGACTGTGGTAAATTCTCTCTCACTTTATTCAGGTATGTCATGAATTCTATTTCTTACAGCACCTACTGAATATTATTCGTTGAGTCTGGAATGTTGATCAAGGAGCTATGCTTTTAACGTCTATTACTTTTCACCAATTAACTATTTGCAGTTGCTTTTTCAAAAAGGATTGGGATTCTTTTGCCATATAGTGGCAATGGATTTTTTCCAATATTATAAACGTCTGAGTCCTGAACATCTGTATTTACTTTCAAATGTCACAACTCATCTACTTTGACTATATGCATTATTAATCTGTAAGATGGTTGCCTGTGAAAATATATGCTTCAATTTACAAATAGACAATTAAGCAGGAAATCTTTTAGAAATAGAGAAAAAACATGACGGGGCTGTAACAGGTTCAAAGGAAAAAGAAAACAAGTGCAAATACCTGTAACAAAATAGTAAGAACATAAAACTGTCAGTATCAAGATTGCTTTTCACATTGCAACATGACAAAAATGTCACTGTCTCACTAACTAAGCAACTGTCTTTTTCTTCTCTGCATAAATCTAGCCTCTAAGCTTTCCCAAATCTTTTTCAGAATGAAGCAGAAATTCTCATACATTAATAAACAAAATAAAATCAAACATTGTATATGATTACTGCCAAGACAGAACATCTTATTGGAAGACGATTTTGCACTGTGTATTAAAATTTAAAATATGCATAACCTATTGACCCAACAATCTTATATGCAGGGTTCTGTCCCACAGAAATAATAGCATGCATACATACAGATATTTGTACAAAGATATTCACTGCAGTATTGTTAGTAATATAAAAAACTGGTATTATAACTCAAGTGTCTTTCAATGAGCAAATGATTTTTAAAACTTTTCAGTGTACAATGCAGTACTACACAGACATTTAAAAAGAAATGAGATGGCAATATGGTGACTTGGAAAGATGTTCCACAGCACATTGTTATGTAAAACAAGCAAGTGTAGATCATGAGATGAAGCTCAATCTCATTGTAAAAATAAAATACCAAAAAAATAAAAAAGTACTATGTGAAGGGGTGTGTGTGTGTGTGTGTGCAATATCTAACTATATTTGGGCAATGGAAAAATAGTAATTTCATCTTCTAAATTCTAATTGTTTTCTTCCTCTTTTTTCCTCCAGCTTAACCTGAAATTTCAATTTTTTCCCTTCATAAGTGAAATTGTCTTTGTATATGCAAAACCAAGCACAGTTTTCTAATTTAATGTTAACAAAATTTGAGTCAAAGCTGTGGTAACCCACATACCACATTGATTGGGTGGATTACTTCTCCAACACCAGGTTTACTGTAGTAATCCATGGTTTATGGCATTTAACTCTCATTAAAGCACAGTTAACAGGTACCCATTCAGTTATCACCATGCTTCAGGATCACACGCTACTTGGGACCATTTTTGTTGTTCATTTTTTTTTGTTAGCTATGTCAGCAGATAATATTCGTATTTCAATACCTCTGTAGCTGAGCATCAAAGCTGCATAACTTCTACAGCCTTTCTCCTTCCTGCTATTTGCTCACTGACCTTTTACAAATTTAATTATTTATACCCAATTTGGCTTCTTCTCTTTTTCTTTTTGCCTATTAATGTATCTAATGTAGAATTGATATTGTGAACCACACAATGGAATGTGCTGTAGGAAATCTCTCACCTTCTAAAGCCAAGTGACAAATGAAAAGGAAAATGCCAAAGGATTTTGCAATTTGAAACAGAGTGCTAAAATAAGGATGCATTGCTGAGGTTATGGTGTAACACATTCATTTCCTCCCTGGCGGGAAGAATTTTACACAATACCTGGATCAGATCTTCTGATCAGATATTTAGTAAAGCACCCAAGAATGCTACTGATTTAATCCAACATCACTCTAAGAATGGGCTAAATAATTTAACGTCTGGGTAATTTAACGCCTGGTTAAACTCTTAAAACATTACTATATGCTTCATCCTGTCACCTGCTTGATTATCACTTATACTTGTTCAATTGTTTTAAGAATTATAAATTATAAAGAGACAAAAGAATAGGAAAAGCCTTAGAAATGCGTAGGATCTGTCCATTGGATACCATGGCTTGAAAAGAATTATAATGATAATAGCAATCCTGATATTTTAATAAAGTTTAGACTTACTTTAAAAGATATTGTAGGAACTTCTACTGCATTATGTTCAATTAAGGACATTAAGGAAAAACAGTCAGTGAGGAAACATTGATCCAAAATGTAATTTGTCACAGTGATGGAAAAGACATCTAAATGTATATTCTCCTTATTTTTCCTTAAATATGAAATTATCCAAATATCTAGTTAGTACTGATTTGCGTTTATTTCATAACAGTCAATGGAGAAAACAAAATAAAACTTAAATCACAAAAGATTGTTGTGATCTCAGATTTTAAGAGTTTAATGACATGTTATAAGAAATTAATAATTTATCTAAAAATCCTTTTTCGAAAGTTCATTGGAGAATTTCATTCTTGTTATTTTGCTGTCCTTATTATAATAAGGACTACAACTACATAGAAATGATTTGAAGTGCTAGTTATGTTTTCATTGACAGCACTATGATCAGTGGGAAAAAAAAAAAAAGATCCTGTTAAAATACCTAAGTCTTACTTTTGTTTCTTTAATCATGGGCACCCTTTATGTGTGTGCATGTTAAACCAGATTAGCATTTGCGCATGCACATGTATGTATATCTTTTTATTTTAGGTGAGACAATAAATCACTGATATATTAGTAACGGGGCCTTCAACTATGTCAATACTTCTGCCAATGCCAATTTTCATTACTAATATTAAATTTTATCATATATTTGATTGATAAATGTTTGTTTTTTGTTTGCCTTAATAGAAGGCAAACAGTTTATTTCAGAGCTTACATCTTTTGCTCTTGCAAGGCTGTCACTATCTTCTCACAGATTTTTTTTTAGGAATTAGGAGAAAGTACCTGTTTCTGAGCAATCCTCTCAAAAGTCTGATGACTATGATGATTAACAGTACAGACTGATATTTCCTGTGAAGGCAGCAGTTTAGGCCGAAATGCTTTCTAATGTATGAAGAAAATAACTTTCAGTTTAGGAATTTTAGAGGAAGGAAAAAAATCACTTAAGCAGCATCTGTTTCAAGTAAAAATTCTGTTGCTACCACCCCACCATCATGGTCCTTAAATTTTCTTTTCATTGATTAGATGTTTTCAAATTTTGTTTTACTTCATTTTACTATTATATTGATCCGGTGTTTTAAGGAATTTGCTTGCATTCTTATCAAGGAAGCATCGTTTTCAATTTAAATAGGTCATTATGGTTAGAAATCTAAAGAAATAGCATAGTTCATTATAGTATACGCTTTGTTAATAGAAGTAATTATTTTCATCCTTATTATAATTTGACACAATGTTTCCTTTAAAAAACAGTGATCTTAGAAAATACTTTAGGTGGATAAGAACAAGAGACATGATGAGTAATATCTAATTAGAGGTAGGTGACCTTTTAAGCTCTAACAACATTCTCTACATCTCCAGTTATAAATTTTTATTTCTAACTTAAGAAATTAAACTAATTATGTATTATGGAGGGAATATTAGATCCTTATATGTCAGTGCAGCTTATTTCTAATTAATGGATGGTTGAAATCTTCAAACTACCTTGGACCTATTTGGCATTTGAGGAATCTCCTTTCAGATGACATTTCAAATGCACATATAAACACACGTACACATATGCATATGTGTGCATAGAATTGATATTGTGAACCACACAATGGAATGTGCTGTAGGAAATCTCTCACCTTCTAAAGCCAAGTGACAAATGAAAAGGAAAATGCCAAAGGATTTTGCAATTTGAAACAGAGTGCTAAAATAAGGATGCATTGATGAGGTTATGGTGTAACACATTCATGGTGTAACACATGTATACATATATGTGTATGTGTGTTTCCATACATTTTTATTCTAAGACAAATACCATAGTAATAATTAAAGTAATTATATTTCTCTTAACACTCTTGAAAGCTTTTTTCCAAGTAACAGGTTCATGATATACTGAGCTATTTTTTGTTACATTTTGTTTTTACAACATACTAATATTGATTTATTTGTTAGACACCAATAGAAAACGCACCAAAGTAATAACAAAGTCTCTCCTAGTAGAGAAGCCTATTACTTACTTTTGATGTATGTATATTTTCCCAAACTCATTTCTTTGGTAATGAACATTGTCTCCATAAAATTGCATTATCGAATAGTTTGTGGAGGACTACTGTTGTGGCATCTGATCCCAGCATAATTCTTTCTCTCTTTTAAGTCTAAATTTAAGTCTAAATCCTGTGGTACTGGTGTTGGGGTAAAAAAGAAGGAAGAAAGGAAAATATTTTCAGTCCCTGGGAACATGAGGGCATTTTTTTCTCTCTCAGGTGGTGTAATCTTCAGGTAATCGCTGAAGACTGGGGCTCTCCTTGGGGCTCTCTAGTGTGGTCTTTTGGAGCTGCTCCACTTCACAGTTCCATGACCTGCAAGAGTCATCTCCAGATCCACCTGTACTGGCTCAGCTACCATCCTGGGGCACGCCTGGAAGCCCACACGGCCTCTGGCAGCTGTCCAGTAAGCAGCCTTCTTAACTGCTGTACAGCAGGACAGTCTAGACTGGCTCTCTTCTGTGATGCTCACTACATTTATTCTACAAATATTTTGAACACCTTCTATAAGCTGGGTTCTATTCTAGGTTCTTGAGATTCATTAGTGCAAAGCCACAAAAAACCCTTGCTCTCATGGAGTCTACATTCTAAGGTCTCATAGGAAACACATGTAACTTTACCATGCTGAAGAGAAGGCATGAGGCTGCTTCAAAACTTGTTCCCTCTCCCCCATTATTCCCTCCAGTTTTTTTCTCTCCTGCTAAATTATACATTGCTCAGATAATCAAATGCCCACACTAAGCAGATGTCCAACTAGTGATTCAGATCTCTGTGTCTGCTTCTCAAAGGTACCCCTAAATCTTTTGTCCATTAGGATAAAGATGAGTGACCTCAAAAATGTTCTTTTTTTCTCACTTCCCCAGACTTCCTGCATTGATTTGGAGTTAGGTTGAGGAGCTAACCATGGTTGCTGGTGATTGCTGAGGGTATGCTCTGCCGTTTCTTAGGAAGTTGTGGAAGATATTGGTCTTTTTGTGAATATGTATGACACTATTCATTTCCTCCCCAGATTTGGGCTCTACATGTCAATCCCTGTGGAATTGAAAAAGTCATGATACTTTGTTGTAAGTCCATATATTATGATAGAAATAGACATAAGATGTTAAAGTGGGACTTCTTAAAGTGGGGTTTCAAGTTCCACTGAGATATTGACAGGACAGTTAGGATCCAAAGTGAGTGTGAGTCAGATGTCCTCCCCTCCCTAACATGTGGAATTACAGTGAAAATTGTTCCAAGAATGTGATAAAATTTTTGGATACAAGCCCCTTAGATAAATTAAAAATATAAGAATAGGTCATAGAGAAAAGAGAAGGGAGGGATTGGTTAAAAGATATCTTGGGAGAGAGCCATTACCCTGCTACAAATCGTTCCCCTCCCACCACCTCCCCTCCTACCTTTGAGGAAAGGCTTAGTGGGAAAGTTTTAAAGAGACCGTCATTGAGTGCTTTGATATGTTTGTTCTCCTGTTGGAAGATTCTAGGTATTGGTACTTGACTTAGATTCAAAAAAGCTAAAAGCACCGGTGAACTAAGATCTAACTTGCTCTGCCCAGTTTCCCAAAATCTAGAGGGTCAGGTAAGAGCTGACCAACTGTTTTGGTTGCAAAAGCAGGAGATTGCTGCTGTGTTGGGATCCAGTCTGCCCATCTAAAACTTGGAATGGAAGGCATATTTAAAGCTAGGTTAGATTCAAAGGTTTGACTATTACTTGGAATTTGCATTTGAAGTATTAAGATGGAAAATAGTTTTATTGCCAAAAGTGAGAAAGAGTTTTTCTTTTTTCTGAGAGTAATCAGGAAAGTCTAGAGCATGTATTTGCCGATGCCTTCTGGGTGATGGAAAGACGATGTCTCCTACTTCATGAATAAAGTTCAATGAGATGGTAGAACATATAAATAAATTGCATTGTCATTATACTTTGCTTATTGATTTTTCAGCTTACTAATCATATGTGCATCTGTGTATGCATATCACAGATGTACAACGCACACACATATGCATATATAAAATATTATATATTATATATTGCTGTAGTACCTGTTATTTTCATCCAGTAGTGTATCATGAACTTCTTTACATAAATATATGCATTTTAATGTTTCATTTGTCATGATATTTAACTAATACCCTTTTATTAGACATAAATGATGTTTCCGGTTTTCTATATTAAGAATAAGGCTGTGAGAAACATACCTGTGGCTACACCTTTTCATAGGCCCTTAACTAATTGCTTAGGATAAATTTCTTAAGGCCATTCTTTTTTTCAATATTTTATGGGTCATCATACATGCCTAAGTCATAATGTGGTAAATATTTTACAACCAATCCTGGAACATTTTATTCATATAAAAATAGCATTTCCATAAGATTCTTGGCAAAATAGCTCCAAAAAGGCATGAGTTAGGATGTTTTACTAAGAAAGTACTGATGCCTGATAAAACTATGATGTGCTGTACAGAGCTTCAAAATTGGTATCTCTTTTGGCTTAGGATTGACTTGGCGATGCGGGCTCTTTTTTGGTTCCATATGAACTTTAAAGTAGTTTTTTCCAATTCTGTGAAGAAAGTCATTGGTAGCTTGATGGGGATGGCATTGCATCTGTAAATTACCTTGGGCAGTATGGCCATTTTCACGATATTGATTCTTCCTACCCATGAGCATGGAATGTTCTTCCATTTGTTTCTATCCTCTTTTTTTTCGTTGAGCCGTGGTTTGTAGTTCTCCTTGAAGAGGTCCTTCACATCCCTTATAAGTTGGATTCCTAGGTATTTTACTCTCTTTGAAGCAATTGTGAATGGGAGTTCACTCATGATTTGGCTCTCTGTTTGTCTGTTGTTGGTGTATAAGAATGCTTGTGATTTTTGTACATTGATTTTGTATCCTGAGACTTTGCTGAATTTGCTTATCCGCTTAAGGAGATTTTGGGCTGAGACAATGGGGTTTTCTAGATATACAATCATGTCGTCTGCAAACAGGGACAATTTGACTTCCTCTTTTCCTAATTGAATACCCTTTATTTCCTTCTCCTGCCTAATTGCCCTGGCCAGAACTTCCAACATTATGTTGAATAGGAGTGGTGAGAGAGGGCATCCCTGTCTTGTGCCAGTTTTCAAAGGGAATGCTTCCAGTTTTTGTCCATTCAGTATGATAATGGCTGTGGGTTTGTCATAGATAGCTCTTATTATTTTGAGATACATCCCATCAATACCTAATTTATTGAGAGTTTTTAGCATGAAGGGCTGTTGAATTTTGTCAAAGGCCTTTTCTGCATCTATTGAGATAATCATGTGGTTTTTGTCTTTGGTTCTGTTTATATGCTGGATTACATTTATTGATTTGCGTGTATTGAACCAGCCTTGCATCCCAGGGATGAAGCCCACTCGATCATGGTGGATAAGCCTTTTGATGTGCTGCTGGATTCGGTTTCCCAGTATTTTATTGAGGATTTTTGCATCGATGTTCATCAAGGATATTGGTCTAAAATTCTCTTTTTTGGTTGTGTCTCTGCCAGGCTTTGGTATCAGGATGATGCTGGCCTCATAAAATGAGTTAGGGAGGATTCCCTCTTTTTCTATTGATTGAAATAGTTTCAGAAGGAATGGTACCAGTTCCTCCTTGTACCTCTGGTAGAATTCGGCTGTGAATCCATCTGGTCCTGGACTCTTTTTGGTTGGTAAGCTACTGATTATTGCCACAATTTCAGCTCCTGTTATTGGTCTATTCAGAGATTCAACTTCTTCCTGGTTTAGTCTTGGGAGAGTGTATGTGTTGAGGAATTTATCCACGTGCACATTGTGCACATGTACCCTAAAACTTAAAGTATAATAATAATAAATTTAAAAAAAATTGGTATCTCATTTTCCATCTTTTATGGACCACTTTCTAGGGAACAGTAAGAGCCTGGAAAATAACTAATGCTAATTTAGGAAGACAGATATTTAACACATGGCCCTCTCATCTGCTCTTCCTTGCCATATATAAAGTTACAGAATGAGTGTTTCCTTGAAAAATCTAAGAGGATGCATCTCTTGGAGGAACTGATGTTTGGAAAAAGACATCCTGAGGAGGAGGGGAACAACACCACTGTAATGACAAAGAAGTCTATCCAGGCACAATTGATTGAACATTAGCTTACCTTCATTTTCTTTCTCCCTAACACACTCTGAAGGGACCTGGTGTCTCATCTTCAACTGCAGCACAAGATAAGAGCACATTTAGTTGCCACTTTACTTTAGATGCAGGAACCAGCATTGACCCTGGTCATTTAAGATCATTCCTACATTTCTAGGTTTCTTATCTGCACTCGAGCTTCCATGCACACCCAAAACCTTAGATATCACCCATGTCAAATACCCTGCAGCAATTATTATTTATAGTCACCTCTTTTAGAACTTCGAAGACTTAAAACCATAGTTATATCTCATTTTATTTTCTCTTAGCTTTCACATTTCACCCTAGGAAACAATATACTATAATGTTTAAGAGTATGGGCTCTGGAGTAACATCTGGTTAGAAGTTGAAGGCAATCCCTCTATACCTCAGTTTGTTCTTTTTTATAATAGGGTTAAAATTAAAATTAGGAACAGGGGGTTGTCAACAAGTGGGTAAAGAAAATGTGGTATATATACACCATGGAATAATACTCAGTCATAAAAAGGAATGAAATAATGTCTTTTGCAGCAACTCGAATGCAGCTGGAGGCGATTATTCTAAGTGAAGTAACTCAGGAATGGAAAACCAAATATCCTTTGTTCTCACTTATAAGTGGGAGCTAAGCTATGAGGATGCAAAGGCATAAAAATGATATAATGGACTTCGAGGACTCAAGGAGGGAGAAGGGTGGGAGGGGGTAAGGGATAAAAGACTACACATTGGGTATAGTGTACACTGCTTGGGTGATGGGTGCACCAAAATCTCAGAAATCACCACTGAAGAACTTATCCATGTAACCGAAAAGCACCTGTACTCCAAAAACTATTGAAATAAAAATAAAAAGGAAAAAAAAAAGAAGAGAGGGTTATGAGTATTGAATTGAGTAGTATATTAGCTGTTACTGTAGCAATTATTGGCTACTTGCCATATCTCAGTAAACATTAATTTTTAGTAATTTCATAGTCCAGTTTGGTGGATGTATAGGGAGTATGGATTCTAATTCACACCTACATGCTGAAATTCAGACCTTTCTGACATATGGTTTGACCTCTTTAAGGGCCTCTCAGTCTTTTACTGGACCCTCTTCTTTCCAGTTAACAGACAAAGGAAGAGACAAAACACAGAAGACTGCCCGATTAGCAAAGCCAAAAAGTCATGTGCATCCCCCTGTGCGCGCACACACAGACACACACAGACACACACAGACACACACACACACACACACACACACACACACACACACATTTCACTGGACAGACCTCCATCATATGACCCACTCCCCTACATGCAGGTGAGCTGGGAAATGTAATCTGGTTGTATGCCCAAGAGAAACACAACACAGATGTTGGTGAACATTTCAGCAAGCCTCTGCTGTTATTATCATTTGGATATAAAACCAACTTTTTTTTTGTTAATTGGCACAACCTCTAAGCATTCTTCCTTTGATTGTTATTTGCTCTGTTGAAGTTCAATGCAGCCAAGCCCAGAAATCAAAGGTTCTTCTGGTGCTTAGAAACCCTTTAATATAAATATATTATTATCGAGGCTTATAATGTGAAGTTCTTTACATTTTTGCATAAAAAGTGACCCATAGAAAATAGTCATTTTCAAACACAGAAAACTTTTGTGAGTCAAAACAGTTGGCACAGAGTACTTAAGACATGCTTGATCCCAACTGGCACCTAAGTAGATAAAAACAAATAGGTTGGGTGTGGTGGCTCACGACTGTAATTCCAGCACTTTGGGAGACCCAGGAGGGTGGATCACGAGGTCAGGAGTTCGAGACCAGCCTGGCCAACATGGTGATACCCCGTCTCTACTAAAGATACAAAAAATTAGCCGGGCATGGTGGTGCACACCCGTAATCCCAGCTACATGGGAGGCTGAGGCAAGAGAATCGCTTGAACCCTGGAGGCAGAGGTTGCCGTGAGCCGAGATCGAACCACTGCACTCCAGCCTGGATGACAGAAGGAGACTCCGTCTCAAAAAATAAATAAGGAAAAAAGTATATATAAAATGCCTCTAATTAGTTATCTGTTATTCTTTCTAAAAATTAAAATGGGTTGCATTTCCAAATTTTCTTTTCTTTTTTTTTTTTTGAGGCAAAGTCTCACTCTGTCACCCAGGCTGGAGTGCAATGGCACAATCTTGGCTCACTGCAAACTCCTCTCACTGCAACCACCACCACCTGGGTTCAAGCGATTCTCCTGTCTCAGTGTCCCGAGTAACTGGGATTACAGGCGTCCACCACCACGCCTGGCTAATTTTTTGTATTTTTAATAGAGACAGGTTTTTACCATGTTGGCCAGGCTGATCTCAAACTCCTGACCTCAGGTGATCTGCTCGCCTCAGCCTCCCAAAGTGCTGGGATTTCAGGCATGAGCCACTGCACACAGCCACATTTCCAAATTTTCTAAAGGCACATTTTGAAAGACATAAATTGAATTTAGTAATTGCATGTTTTCTTAAAATTTGATTATTTCTGATTGAATCTGAAAGTAGAAGTCAACATGCATTTGGGAAAGAAAATATCAGAAAAAGGAAATGCTTTTGCTCAGCATGCTTAATATAGAAAGTAGGTTTATTAATACAATGTCACCTTCCATTTTGGAAGATTATATTACTAGTGGAAACTTTGCCTTTGTGGGCTGATAGGGAAAAATGATAAACCATTTGAAATAATTTTTGAAAAGAAATAGAATATTATAAAAAAAACAAGCAGAAGGAGCCATTGTAGTTTCAACAGTCTACTTCAGTAGCCCTTCTACAGTTAATCTATTATTGAACCACCAAATATAATCATGCATTCATTCATTTGTTCCATCGTTTATTGAAGATTGATTGCCACCTGCTATATGCTATACTCTATGTTAGGTCAGATGTTTTTATAACAAATTGTCCTTAACACTATGTTCAATGTTTCAGCAATCTTCTAATTTAGATTTACATATACAAAGATATATAAATGAATATAGGTATAATGAGAAAGATATATAATTAACCAGTGTTACATTCGACATTGTGTTGTCTAAATGACACATGAGAAGCTTATTTAATATTCAAATTCTATATTTTTCACTGAAAATCTTAACTTCAATCAATAACTAGTAAATGACCTAAGAAGTTGTGTAACTTTTCTCTTCTACTGACAGTATACCGCATTGTTTTTTCTCCTTTCATTTAGTTACTATTTTAAAATTTTTCTTCTTTAATAAGTAAAATACAATTCTATTTTTTTTCAAAACTGTGAGACGATGTTTTTTTACATTTTTTGTCCATGTGTGTATTTTTTCTATTAGTTCTCAATAATTTATATAATTTTTTTAGTTGTCGTTTGATATTGCTTGACCCCACTGAGAGAATTTCTCAATAATTCAGGCTTGATACATTGTTATGAACAATGTCTTTATAAAATGTTTTATTGTTGATTATGATAATCTTTAAACACAAATGTTGTGAAAAGTTTTATATATTTATGAATACTATAAAACTTCCAATGCGACCTTGATTTCCTCCACGGAGACTGAATTGGGATAAGAAAAACACTTATTTGCTATGCACCATTTATTAGTCAACCAACATACCATAACTATTGGTTAATTTCTTCAAGCATCCCATTTTATTAGTAAAATAATAATCAGTATGCCTTTTATTTACTTCATGTCCCTGAAAATATATAATGTGACTCCTTATTTGGCCTAATGTTGAATAAGCATAAATTAGTTATGTTGAACTCAGTAATTCAATGAAAGTTATTATCTCCATGGTAGCTGCTTTTGCCTTTCTCAAAAGCATGAATGCTAAGTTTTACTATGAAAACCCACATAACTAAAATGCAAAGAAGTGGACTCTAAAATTGCATGAAATAGTTCTTAAAAAGTAGTTTTCTAGACCCAGGAAATTTTAGTAAAATTAAGAAAAACAATACATTCCATTGCCACCCAACAAGATAAAAAAGATGTCAGGGACTTTTATTATGTTCTAGACTCATGATGTTAAGTGAAACATCAAGTGTTCTATTCTTTTCATCCGTCAACAGAGGTAGCCAACTACTCTCCTGAAGTAGTGTGTATCCTGCCCTTGCAGGTTGTTATTTCATTCCATATCCATAGCCGTGTATTACAGAAGTCTGCAAACTTTTACTTAAAGGGCCAACTAGTAAATATTTTAGGTTTTGTGGGTCATAACCTCTCTATGACAGCTACTCAACTCTTCTCTGGTGGCAATAAAAAGCAGCCATAAACAAGGTGTAAATAAATAGAGGTGGCTGTATTCCAAGAAAACTTTATTTACATAAACAGATAACAGACCAGATTTGGACCACAAGCCATAGTTTACCAATTCTTCATGTGTTGTATTAGCAAGGGTATTTTTAAATTTTTTAAATAGCATCAAAATGTATTTTAGCAAATTTTTAATTGAATATCATGGTTTTGAGATTTACAGATGGATCTAGCCTCTTCATTTCACATGCTATGTCAAATCATTTATTTATCTAATCTTTTAATTATGGGCAGTTATTTAATCCCCCATTTTTTCACAGTTATCAGCAATGCAGCAATGGTTGTTCTTCAACTTCTCTTTCTGTGTATATATGCAAAAGATTCTCTGTGGTACTGTATTGACTGACATTCAGGGTACTTATCAGATTTTCTATGTCTAAATTAGCAGGCTCAAAAGACATTTTCTAGTATATGAAAATCAAGGATAGCTGAGATCAGCTAACTTTTTTGGTGAATATAGACTGAATTAAAGTGTCGAAGCCACTGTTTTTATAATCTACTCCTTATATAAAACATTAAGTGAGGCCAGGTGCAGTGGCCCATTTCTGTAAACCCAGCACTTTGGAAGGCCAGTGCAGGTGGATCACTTGAGTCCAGGAGTTTGAGGCCTGCCTGGCCAACATGGCGATACCCTGTCTCTACTAAAAATACAAAAATTAGCTGGGTGTGGTGGTGCATGCCTGTAGTCCCAGCTACTCAGGATGCTGAGACATCGCTTGAACCTGGGAGGTGGAGATTGCAATGAGCTGAGATCGAGACACTGCACTGCAGCCTGGGTAACAGAGTGAGACTTCTTCTCAAAAAAAAAAAAAAAAAAAAAAAAAAAAAAAAAAAAAAAAAAAAAAAAAAAAAATTAGGTGGCAGAAATGGTAAATTTAAATACTATGATCTATTTATTTAACTGAAATGTTGCCAAAAAATAGACTTTATTTTTGAAGGTGACAATTGAATCCTTTCTGATTGTAAAACACAGGCTTTTTCTATTAGAGGATTGATAGATTTGATCTATTAATTAGATCAAATCCTCTATTAGAGGATTGAATCTATTTGATAGATTCCATGTTAATTTTTCTGGTACTTCAATCAAATGCCATTTTATATGCTTTAACTTTGTTTTTATTTTCCTCTTGCACTCAAACCAGCTAATTCAAAGGATAGTGTTCATTTTATTCAAACTTAGCTATTTATAAACTCAGAATACAAGTATCCCCTTTTGCCCTAAGATATTTTCTGTCACTAATTAGGTTTTGCTTTGCAAGATTATATCATTCAAAGTCCTTTTCCTGTTACTCAGGTAAACTGTCATTGGATAGACAGTTCAAAGTGTTACTTTGTAAACTAATTAATGCACGTGGTGCTACAAAATTCCAAGAATACAAGAAAGTCCACAATAAAAAGTAATTCTCCCTGGGCATGGTAGCAGGTGCCTAAAACCCAGCTACTCCAGAGACCAGAGACTGAGGTGGTGGGAGGATTGCTTGAGCCCAGAAGATTGCGACCAACCTGGGCAACAAAGCAAGATCCCGTCTCAATAAACAAACCAACCTTGCTCCAGTTTCCCTCCTGGGAAGCAACCATTGTTATCAGATTCTTCAACCCTCTACTAGAGATACTGATTGCCTAGAATGGTCCTGTTTTATGACTGGAATACACTGGCTTCCTATAGAAGTGCAAATGTGAATCCAAGTTCATATATCCCCTTGCTGTTTTTCTGCCCAAATGGAATTCATTATCCAAACAGCCAAGTATACATATCTGTCAATATGATACATTTTTAGAGTAAGTTTTCATATAAGCATCCAGATACAATTTGATTTTTCTTTTATTTATCTAAAATTTTGCTTGGGTTATGAAGTTTCTTGATTTATTTTCTACAACTTTCCCTACTTTCCATTGTCCCAGCATTTTGTATTTAGCTCTTTAATTCATAATCATGGACTCTATCTTGAGTAAGCTCCTGGACCTCCTGATTATTTTAGTCTTATTTCAGGCTTATTTCTACACCTGGAAATAGTCTACAATGCTACTGGACAGGAATCAGGGTTTTTTACATGACTCCCAAAACAAAGTGGGACAGTAGTCACTTAATACTGAGTTATACAAGCAAAGCTGACAAGCATAGGCTTATAAAGAAACCATATAAAATTAGGCACCATTTCTGCCTTCCACTAACTCATGTTTTTGCAATCACAAACTAAGCAAACTACCTGTGAGGAACTACAACACTTTTTATATTATGAAGCCAGAATATTGGAATGGTTTCCTATACAATTATTCTCTGGAAAGTACAACGAATAATTCCAGGAGATCTGAATCATAGGAACTTTTTAATATTTAAGAAGCCGAAATGTAGGCTAACAACCAAGTCTCATTCTAGGTTTTTGATATCAGAGTACCAGAAGAAAATATGTTTTCAGAATATCATTAAGTTCCTGCCTTTGTTTCTTTGTGCTTGCTTCTAGCCACATCAGATTCTGATGGAAAGTGTATCCATTTTTTCTTTCTGTCATTAGAAAACAGAAATCTGAAAAGAAGTGACCAGGAATAAAATACATCTGGCTCTTCTTCTCAAAATTCAACTAAGTCACTAATTCCTAGGGAGCATTATTTTTTCATCATATGTTCATTAATTGGGTCATTACTTCAAACTCAAATATATGATTTTAATTTTTCAAACTGCACAAGGATGGTAATCCTAAAACACTGAGCTAAAGCTTTCTTGTGTGCTTTTCATCACAGTGGCAGGTGCTTCTCTTTTTTTCACATTTGCTCCAACACACTTCATCCTTCAGAACACTCTGTGTCATTCACCACTTCCTGAGTCTGAGTGTGTGACTGCAAGTATTTGAGAACTTTATTTCTCACTTCCTTCAGACCAGTGAATGCCTAATTTTAAACAGACTATTTCTACCAGTTTCCCAGTTTAATCTCTGTTGCCATGATTAAGTAGTCCAAAACATTCTTCAATGATGTCTAAGGCTTTGGAATTTAAAAGTAAATTGCTTCTGGGAAAAACAAATCAAACTTGCATTGCAGACCTAAAGAAAGTGCATTAAAACATATTACACTGCACTTTCTTGGTGGAATAAATGGATAGTCACAGTAATGTTTCTTCTAGCAATGTCAGATTTGGAGACACTTCGATTATTTTGGCTTTCGATTGAGTTTCTCTCCAACACTCCACTCTCTATTTGATGTGTCTACATATTTCAATGTATCCAATGACAATTTATGCCATAAATTATTGGCTATATAGGGCCAAAAATTCAGAGTAGAAAGGTAAAGCAATATACTAGAGAGAGTGCATGGAGATGATATGGATTTGATTTGATTTCCCATTACTGATTTGCTGTGTGACATTGGGCAACCTTAGCAGGCCTTCATTAATATCGCTGTTCATGTCTACCTATGATGGTGTCATGGCTGCCATATTACATTTGAGGTATCTTTTCTGGTGGAAGGTGGTAGGGTTAGTGGTAAGAAATATTCTAAAATCCTCCAGTGTTTCATAAGCACATTGCACATTCTATTTTAAAAAGTTTGAAAGGAATGCTTAGTAAAATGTGATACTTGGAGGATTTCATTGTAATTTGTTGCTTAGTTCAGGAAAGTAAATACCTCACTTTTTCTAGCATTGAGGAGATAATGAATATTTACATTTTTAAATTCACATTTAAAATTTGTGTTGCAGCTTAACTTTAAAAATTACTTTTATTAAAGTTTAACATTGTGTATAGAGGGAAAAATCTGCATACTATAAATATACAGTAAGACACATTTTCACAAGCTGAACACAGTCCTATACCCCCCACCCAATGACCTCTTCATTTTCTTCCCCAGTCGTTACCCCTCCAACTACCATGGATAACCACTATCTTGACTTTTAACAAAATAAATGGGTTTTATCTCTTTGGTACTTTATATAATTTGGAAAATTCTGTACTCTTTTATGCCTAACTTATTTCACTCAGAAATATGTTTGTGAGATTCACCCATACTAATTCTGGTAGATGTAGATTATTCATTCTCATAGCTGTGTAGTATCACTTTGAGTGAATATATCACAGTCTGTTGAAAGACATTTAGGTCATTTCTAACATTCGTCCATTACTAACAATGCTACTATAAAACATTTTAAAATAGCATAGTGCAATAGAACTTCCTACAATGACAGAAATATTCTTAATATGTACCACCAAATATGGTGGCTTTTAGCTGCATGTGGCTTTTGACCTCTGGAAATGTGTGGCTAGTGTGGCTGAGGAAATAAACTTTTAATTTCAGCTAATTTTTATTAAGTAGTCATATATGGTTAGTGGCTACTATATTAGACAGTACAGTTCTAGCACATGTCTTTAGGTGAACACATGTGCTTATTTGAGAATAGTTATTTTACATGTAGGAATGAAATGAAACTGTTGGGAATTGTTATTTTATACCTAGGAATGAAATTGCTTGGTCATAAGGTATGCAAATATACCTCTAATAGATTTTACCAGAAAGTTTTCTACCAGAGGGGTTTAGTCATGCTTATCTTTATTCCCTTCAGCAACACATGAGAGTTCCAGTTTCTCCACATTCTTGATAATACTTGACATTTTCTATTTAAAAAGGAAATTTAGCCATTAATGGCTTTACTTTTTAGGTGCCTCCATAATCTCCCCACATCCATTCTTGGTTACATTTAAACTAGTTGCTATGGTCTTAATGTTTATGTCCCCCCACCCCCACCCCACCCCACGCCAAATTCATGTGTTGAAATCCTAACCTCCAAGGTAATGGTATTAAGATGCAGTGCCTTTGGAAGGTGAATTGGACATGAGGGTGGAGCATGCATGAATGGGATTAATGTCCTTATGAAAGAGTTCTGAGGGAGCTTATTTGCCTTTCCCCCATGTGATGACCCTGTGAGATGGTGCCATCTGTGAGAAAGTGGGCCTCATCAGACACTGAATCTGCTACTGCCTCCATCTTGGACTTCCTAGCCTCAATAACCACAATAAATAAATTTCTGTTGTTTATAAGCCACCCAGCTTATTGTTATAGCAGCCAAAATGGACTAAGACAATAGTCTTCACAAAAGAGTCACATCTTTTAAAAAATACAAATCAGATCACAACTCCTTTGTGTAAATCTGTTCTCAACTTCCCATTGTTTTTCCTATAAAATCCAGATCCTAATCAAGGTGAGTTATGTTCACCAATTTTTTCTTTATTATAACCACTTCACAGCAATTGCAGCATTAGAAATTTTATCTCTGATGGAAGTTAATATCAACACATCTACTGATGGTGAGGGTTATATGTGTACAAACTTGGAAATTAGTTTCCAGTTGTAAACCTATATAACAAATTCCAATGAAATCTAGCTCAGAAACCATACAAGAAAAAAGCACACTAATTTAAAAAAGGTAATGCTTTATTTGTTTTCATAAATATAGCTACTGATTGCTAGTGAACCAAGAAACTAAAAATTTACATCAAATAATGTATGATTATTTTTATACAGAGCATTTTTTTATCATCACTTGGGTTTTTCTGAAATTCAATTATTAATCTTTTATTCAATTGGAAGATAGTAAATGAGGACATTATTCATTGCCCCAAAGTCTTCAAACTGTTCTTAAAATTAGGGTAAACTATATCATCATTCTTTTTTTTTTTTTTTGACAGTTTCGCTATTGTTGCCCAGGCTGGAGTGCAGTGGTGTGATCTCAGCTCACTGTAACCTCTACCTCGCAGCTTCAAGCAATTCTCCTGCCTCAGCCTCCCAAGTAGCTGGGATTACATGCACCCACCACCACACCTGGCTAATTTTTTGTATTTTTAGTAGAGACAGGGTTTCACCATGTTGGCCAGACCGGTCTTGAACTCCTGACCTCAGGTTATCCACCTGCCTCATCCTCCCAATGTGCTGGGATTACAGGTGTGAGCCACTGTGCCCAGCAGTTATTCATTTTTTATGTGTTGTACATGAGAGATACTAACTGGTTAATATTGTTCAGCTGTTTCCCCACCCAAATCTCATCTTGAATTTTAGCTCCCCTAATCCCCATGTGTTGTGGGAGGGACCTGGTGAGAGGTAATTGAATTATGGGGGTGGGTTTTCCCATGCTATTCTTGTGATAGTGAATAAGTCTCACTAGATCTGATGGTTTTATAATGGGGAGTTCCCCTGCACGGGCTCTCTTGCCTGCCGCCATGTAAGACATGACTTTGCTTCTCCTTTGCCATCTGCCATGCTTGTGAGAGACTTCCCCAGCCATGTGGAACTGTGAGTCAATTAAACCTCTTTCCTTTATAAATTACCCAGTCTTGGGTATGTCTTTATTAGCAGTGTGAGAACAGACTAATACACTGGTTAAGAAATTGCTTCCCCAAAATTCAAATCCCAGCTCTGCCACTCATTTGCAAGACCTAGGTCATTTACTTAGCTATTCTAAGATTAGGCACTAATGTTAACTAATTATTAATGATATTAATAATCAAATCTATTTCAAGGAATTCTGAGAATAAATAAGAAAGTGTTTAGAAAGCACTACGTCTTCTACATGTAGTAAACATCCAGTGTTTCTTTTTATGTTATTTTGCATTTTCTTATTCTTATACTTGTCATGATAATAAATGATTCCTTTGAAAGCTTTTGAAAGATAAATGCTCTTTTTCCATTTTGGTATGAGTCGATAGGGTCATTAAGTCTCCAAGTGGCTTGTCAGTGTTATATACTGATGGCATGTATATCAATGATTAGATGGCTATGAAAATGAATTTTAGTTTTAGTTATTACTATAGATATTTTAATTTGCATTAATAACATTACTTAAAATGCTGCTTGCAACTTATGCCTTTATAAGCTGTGAGTCTCCTATAGCAATTGTTCACTATAAAATCTCATGCTTCCTCCCATGCAGACTTTACACACTGTATTTTTTATCAGAAATATCCTTTTTTATGTATTTCTACAAGATGAAATTCAGTATATCCTTCAGTGCCACATTAATTATGCCTCTTCCATGAAGACTTCTCTTCTTATCGCCATCTATTAGGATCTCTCCCTAATTTAACGTATAACTCTTGTGTTATTTTTACCTTTTGACTGTATATTCTGGTTAGCTACTGTATTAGTCTTCTATTGGTGTAACAAACTACCACAAACTGGGTGGCTTAAAACAACATAATCTTAATATCTGACAATTCCTTAGGTTAAAAGCCTGAAATGGCTCTCACAGGGCTGTCACCAGGGCTGCATTCTTTTCTGGATGCTCCAGGAGATAATCTAATTACTTAACTTTTTCAGTTTCTTGAAATCACCTACATTTCTTAGATCATAGCCCTGGATCAATATTTCTCCTTGGATCACCTCCATGTTGCCCATTTTGGTGGCTTACTTATATTTTAATGCTTATTTGAGTGTGCAATCCTTTCACTTTTCTAAAATTTATTTTTCTCTACTATACAATAGAAATAGTCACAAGAATTAGAAGTTAGTGGGGAAAAATTGTAAATGATAAAATGATGACAAGACACATTTCTAGAGTACCAAGATGGGTCACACACACACATCTTTACCAAGTTGTTTGGTTGTACAAGCCTTGAAAGAGGGGCAAAGGGGGAACTGAGTGATTTAAGAATCACAGAATTTGGAATTAGAATAGACCTCCAGTATAGCTACCTACATTCCAGCAAGTTAACTATTGTGTTTATTTATGAGAGGTTAAGTGCCTGATCTGAGATGATACCTCTGCTATATGGTCATGGGGGCTAGAACCTAGCTATCCTTTTTGAATTGCTAAAGAACCCTCCATACAGTAACAGATTTCAGAAGCCCCTGTACTTCCCCTAGAAGACACTTATGGATGCATTCTAATTTGAGCTGCCATCAGTTAGGTTTAGCAGAAATAATTTTCAGCAAAGACAACAAATAGGTTAATGAAATTTTTGAATGCAATGGTTCTTTCAGGGCCATATGAATGTGAGGATGGTGATCCCTGTGTCAATGGTCAATCGCTTTCTTGTGAAAATTATCGCCTTGTTTTCCCTCATATCTATATTACTTTGAAGAAATATCCTGGCATTATAAAAGTTTTTGATCTCCAGGATTTTTTCATTTTATCTAATCTTTCTCCTTTGTTTCACAAAGAAGATTAACCAGTTATTCATATCTCCTGACTCGTTTGTTGCTAACTGAACCAGGGCTGAAACTCTGAATTCTGACTTACAATCAGAGACTGTCCCTCAATTCCATGTTGTGTTACCTCTATTAGAGTAACCTGAGTAAGCTTCTTAGAACCAGAAACACAGGTAATACATTATTTAAATATCACACTGCCTCTTGCATGTAGCAGGAACAAGTAAGTTACCTAAGAAAAACAATGAATGAATCCAAACAGCCTATTGACAAGGTAATCCATAGAACTGAGAGTCAGCAAGATGGCAGGCTACATAAAACAGACCAAAAAGATGATAGAAATGAAATAATAAGATTGTGTCTCTGTTAAATTTGTGGATCACAGTAAATGCTTCACTAATGGTAACCTCATAGCATCCAGACACAGTGAGTCATTTCTCTGGTTCCCCCTTGTTTTTACCCTTGATTTCTCAAGAGTAGCTCAGTTCATATATTTTTGCTTCAGTAAGACCATTGACTTTGTGTGTGTGTATATGTTTGTGTGTGTGTATGTGTGTGTGTGTGAGAGAGAGAGAGAGACAGAGAGAATGGAGGAACAGCATAGCACAGAACTGTTCAGCTACCAACCTAAATCTATTAGCCGTGCTGTCCTGGAAATCACTTTTCAGCCACACAAAATTTCACTGGCCCTATATCCCAAGGAGCCCTGAGTTGCCACTATACCGTAGACTCCTCTCTCCGTCTGGTGGCTCTTTCCTTCCCCTTTTTTAGATATATACCTTCAACTTGAACCTTTTTGTTAGTATTATATTATTCTTTATTTTGTTTTAACATAAAGGGGCCACTGGACAATATTTGTTCAGATCACTTATGTGTACTGCTCAGTTGATATGCACATTTACTCTTCTGAAACTGTTTAGCATTAAGTAACTTAGAACATAAAAAACAATGCAACAAGCATATTATCTTCTATTTTTTCCCAAATCCTTTGTGATGTAAGAGGACAGAACACATATATACATATCTTTTCTACAAATGGATTATCAACATTGTTCTCAACATTACCTAGTTCCTTAAATAAGAAATATATATTTTAAAATTTGTATGGCATTCAAAGAGTTACAATTATGAATTTCACATTTCTCTAGATGGGTATTAAACAATCTTTGGCAGATCACAGACTAAGAAAGGTAACAGATGTTGGATTGGAAACTGTACAGTCTAGAGATGGAAAATTAATTTGTAAAAAAGTAGTGATTTTTTTTTCCACTGTGTGTGTTTTAAATGGCCTTAGCAAAGCAGAATGGAAATATTTGCATTCCTGGCAATCAATTTGCATACTTAAGCATTTGTTTTTGTTCCCATTCTAAAGATAACTGTGTGTTCAGTAATAACCCATATAGTAGAAAGAAGGGTGAAGAAATGTGTGTCTTTGGCATCCAGCCTGCTGTTAGCGAGTGACTTTCTTTCTTTCTTTCTTTCTTTCTTTCTTTCTTTCTTTCTTTCTTTCTTTCTTTCTTTCTTTCTTTCTTTTGTTTTGTTTTTTGAGACAGAGTCTCACTCTGTCACCCAGGCTGGAGTATAATGGCACGATCTTGGCTCACTGCAACCTCTGCCTCCCAGGTTCAAGCGATTCTCCTGCCTTTGCCTCCCGAGTAGCTGAGACTACAGGGGCATGCCACCATGCCCAGCTAATTTTTGTAATTTTAGTAGAGACAGGGTTTCGCCATATTGGTCAGGCTGGTCTTGAACTCATGACCTCAGGTAATCCACCCGCCTTGGCCTCCCCAAGTGCTGGGATTACAGGCGTGAGCCACCGCACCCAGCAACAAGTGAGTTTCTTAGTCTACAATGTTCACTTGGAATTTCTTTACTCATGTCTTGATGTAAAACTCGCTGAACATACTGCTATTATAAAAATAGATATATTTTCCATCTCTCTGGTGGCATTTCTTCTCTTCCTCTCACCTAACTTAAATCTTCTATTTCGCTTCTCCAGAGCTCCCAACACAACAGTCTTCTTTTATCTTCAATACGTAGTGGAATATTGTGAAATAGCTGAAGCAGAATGGGGGAGGAGACAGTGGGGAATTTTTTAAAAAACTGTTTTACCCAACCATTGAGCATATACTTTTTAAAATATTTATATTCTGCCTAGAGTTGATGCTGATGAAACCTTGAGTCTGACAAAGATTTTATAAAAATTCCTATCACATTCCCTATTTCAATGTCAGGCAATAAGTCAGAATGCAGGTATGACAATGTTTTTCAATGGTCTTACAGCAGACTAGAAAGCACCATCAAGAGGAGAATGCCTCTGCTAAGAGGAATTATCTATTTACACTGCATTGCAGTCCCATTTCTCATGCATAGATCTGTAGCATATTTGGCTAAAACTTGCAGAATTATTATGTCGCTTCCTGTCCCTCTATCCCTACTCACTACTTTGTTCAAGGGAATTAATAAAAAAAAAAATTGCCTTATTTTGGAGCTGTTTGCGAAAGTCTTGTTATTTCAGTTAAAGAGAACACTATTTTGTTAGCAAGCCATTCTGTTTCTTTGGGCTACATTTCTATATACTTATCAGCTAATTATATAGTGCAGATATTTTTAGTGGGAGGTAGTCTTTTTTTTTTGTCCACTTGTGACTTCTGCCTTGAGACATTTTTGATAAAATTGTGCTGGGGTCAAGTTGAAAAGGAATGTTTTCCTACATTAAAAATTTTAATTTTAAAGCAATTTGACTAAACATATCGGTGATCATAAAAATAAAGTCAAGGTTTAATTCAAAACAGAACATTTTAGTTTGTGTATAGAAAAACTTTATTTTGGAGCAGATATCAAGGAGACAACCAACAGAATACCGTCTTCAACTCTTCGTTTGTTCACAAATAAACTCAATAGATTAAAACTTATGGTAGTGAAGTTGCAGGGCAGGCTGTTACCAGCACGGTAAAACAAAAGAAAGAAATCTCAAAATACGTGCCCTTTTGATTGTGGTTATGCATAAAGCTTTGACAGAGTAAAATACATAGAATGGGTGTGTATGTAATATAGAGATACAGGCCTGGAAAGCTGCCTAGAGACTTTCCGTTGATGATAATTTTAGTACTTAACTAAAAACCATGGTTTTTTGACTCTTTCATTTTTATTTCTGTAAATTTAACTTCTACTCAGACAGTAGAAGTTTTATTCTCTTTTATTTTATTCTGGTGAATGCATCAAATACAAAAGCAAGTTGTTTAGCTCACAAATTGCAATTCAGATCCTTTGCCCCTTGTGCATTCATTTCCAGTGATGTTTTTAACACCATTTGATCTTAAACACCCAACAGAAAATAGAAGCACAGGGTGCTACACTGTTACCTCAATGAGTGTGGACAAGTAAGAATTAAAGTGACCTTAGATTCCAGATTTCTGTGTCCTTCCTTAAAGAAGGGATATACAGAGGTGCTAAGTTGATTTATACTAAGTTAAAGCCATTTCAGTAATGCAATGACCTTGTACCAATAAATGTTTAAGTATCTAGTTCTTCAGGGATCTGAGAAATAAATATCATATTTAAAATAACAGATCTTCTTTGAGAACTTTTGACTGCCTGAAACTTTACTCAGGGTGGATTTTAAACAACTTTCATATACATAGGAATGAAAGTATGGCTACTATATGCTTTTTACTTTAACTCTTATTACAGGTTGAATAGTGCCAAAGATGAATGAGTATATTTGTTTGCTCATAATATGCCAATCGAATTCTCCTTTTGAGGACTGAGTAGAAGTTAAGAGTGTGAGTTACAGCCCTGCTTTTCTTTTTAAAGTTACCTTGGTCATTGTCCCACATGGTGGGGCCCATTTACCTCTCAGTGTTCTTGGCTACAAAATAAAAATGAAGGAAAAAATAATGTGTGAAGCATTTTTGAGCTCTAAAAATTCTGAATTTATGTCTCAAAAATAATACTAAATGACCCATAATTCAAGATAAATGTACACAGTAAGAATTTTTAATATAAGGAAATGTAAAACCCAAGAAAAGGAGAATAAAATAATTATATGAAAACTCAACCATATAGTTACTGTAATTAATTATTATAAATCACTCGATACTTGCTGACATGGAAGTTAAAACAAATATTTCAAAATTCATCAAATACTTTTACCAAAGAAAAGCAGAAATGTTTGGCAAATCTGTTATAGGAGTTTTCTTCATAATTTTATGTAAGGACCTGGTTTACCAAAAGCTGTTAGATTGATTTTTCCTCTTGTTTTTCTAAGATTTTAAGTTCTATAGGATTTGTTAATAGTGTTAACACATTTTTTATTCACCCTCAATTTCTGAGGGTAGACATTTACCTTAAATAAAAAAAAATAACATGGGAGAATTGATATAATAAGATACAGTTTTTATATAAGATAAAGGTTATCTCAAATCAGCTTTGGTGTGTGATCATCATAAGCTTAGTAGGGCTTAAATGACTTGTTCCATTGTAGTACTGTCCTCTTTTCCTTTATTTCTCTCTACACTATTCCTTTGTGTTTTAAAAAATTATTGAACCTGCTGTAAAATAGAAATAGTAACAAAATATACATCACAAGATGTTTGTAAAGATTTAATGAGATAATGCACATAATGTATTTAATACTTTTACTAGACAAATGTTCTTAAAAATGCAATCAGTACATTTATACTGAAAGAAAGACACATACAAAGAGAGAGGTGGAAGGAGAAAGGACTTGTGGTCCCTTTTTGTTTGATGGAAACTCTTTCTCTTATACCAAACTGATGTCTAGGCAATAAATCTATAAAGCACTAATAATTAGAGCAAGATGCTGGAACAGAAACATACTACCATAATATCCCACAAAAGCACTGATTTTGATAAGTACCAATGGATGAGAGTACCTTTGTGGGAGCCTGGGCATCTAGCAGAAAAGTCCCAGTACACTGTTGGAGCAAAAGGTATCCAAGGATAGACGTATTGAAGGGAATAAGAACGGTTTCACTTTACCCATGTCACCCCTTTACCGGGCATAGCTCAGTGACAAGAGAGGCTCCCTCAGCCTGCAATTTTTCCCATACGTAAAAACAAGCAAGTAGTTAGTAAGTGTCCAGTTCCCCTAGCTGTATGGGATGCTGCCCAAGACATCCACTTCTTTCTAACCCCACCCAGGATACTGAGGTAATTAGCATGACTGAGTGGTTGGAAGAAACTGGGAACAGGAAACGGAGGCTATAGACCCTACTAACCACTCTACAGACTCCCTGAGGAAGTCCACCCATGAACTACTTAGGAGGCCTTGCCTGTGGATCCTCCTCAACTAGCTCATGGGCACCACAAGTGTGCCATGCACCTCAAGCCCCCTCCAAGCCAGCTCCCTTAATATACCACTATGGACAGCAAGAGCAAGTGTCTCACTCAGACACCAAGCATGACTCTGCAAGATTGAGAGAAGGCATATGAACTTGAGCATTTCTGGGCACGGCCACAGAGAACACAAATGGGAGGTTCTCAGAACCTGTCCTGGCTTTGTGGGATCGAGAGACAGCATACAGTCTTAAGAATTCCTCCCTAAGAGGGAACAAGTGGCATGGAGCAGATGTATCCATGGAAAATGTCTAAGAGTACTAGCTGAATCTAAGAGAGCTCAGAATCTCTGGCTGGGTTGATTGGTGAAGGATTAAAACTGAAGGAGATAACTGCTTCTTCAAATGAGAATACAGTAATGTAAGACTTCAAAGAACATTAAATAATCAAGAAATATGATACCATCAAAGGAGTACAATAATATTCCAATAATGAGCCTATCAAAAAAATTAAGATCTATAAATTGCCTGGCAAATTGCCTTCAAAAGAATTGTTTTAAGGGAACAATTCATTAAGTGAATTGAATGTGCTACAAGAAAACACAGAAAAGCAACTAAATGATATCAGAAAAAAATACACGAGCAAAATAAAAAGTTCAATAAAGATTTAGAAATTATGAGCGAAACCAACAGAAATTCTGGAGCTGAAGAATGCATGAATAAAATGAAAATTGCAATAGAGTGTCATCAGCTGCCTTCATCAAACAGAAATGATCTGTGAACTTGAAGATATATCATTTGAAAATATTCCATCAGAGATAAAAAAGAAAAAAACAGTGAAAACAAATGAACAAAACCTACAACATTTATGGAACAATATCAAGAAAGCAAACGGTCACTGTATGGGAGCTCCAGAAGAAGAGACAGAAAAGGAACAGAATTCTTATTTAAAGAAATAATGGCTGAAATATTTCCAAATCTGGCGAGAGATGTGAACATCCAGGTATATGAAGATCAAAAGCCTCCAAACGGACTTCCCCAAAGAAGACTCACTACGACACATTAAAATCAAATTGTCAAAAATCAAAGACAAAGAGAATTTTGAAAGCGCCAAGAAAAAAAACATGCTTATCACATATAAGAGAACCTGCATTAGACTATCAGACAAGAAATAGGTTTTTGTCAGCAAAAACCTTGCAGGCCAGCACAGGGTAGAATGATGTAGTCAAAGTGCTGGAAAAAAATTACAAAACAAAAATAGATTACCTGGCAAAGCTGTCCTTCAGAAATCGAGAGATAAAGACTTTCCCAGACAAGAATAAATAAATAAATAAAAGTTGAGGAAGTTCACCACCATTATACTTGCCTTACAAGAAATGGTAAAGGGAGTTCTGCAAGCTGAAAGCATGTTAATTAGTAACATGAAAACAAACAAAAGTATAAAACTCACCAGTAAAAGTAAATATATAAGCAAATTCATAATACTCTAATATTGTAATGGTAGTGTGTTAATTACTTATGACTCTAGTATAAAGGTTAAAGAACAAAAGTATTTAAAATAACTATAGCTATAATAACCTGTTAATAGATGAACAATATAAAATGATGTAAGTCGTAACAATAAAAACTTAAAATGGGGTGGGCAGCAGTGTAAAATTTGTGTATGCAATTGTAACAATAAAAACTTAGAATTGGGTGGGCAGCAGTGTAAAATTTGTGTGTGCGATTAAAGTAATACACGTAAAATAGATTGTTATAACTAAAGGATGTACTATGTAAGCCTAAAGGTAATCATGAAGCAAACTCTTATAGTAGATACACAAAAAATAAAGAGAAATAAATCAAAGCGTACCACTATAGAAAAGCATCAGTTCACAAAGGAAGATAGCAAGAAAGAAGAAAGAATCAAAGGATCTACAAAACGGACAGAAAACAATTGACAAAAGGGCAATAGTAAGTCTTTACCTATTCATAATTTGTTTAAAGGTAACTGAATTAAAATTTCCAATCAAAATATACACAGAGTGGCCAAATGGATTAAAACAAGATGCAACTAAATACTACTGTCCAAAAACTCACTTCAGCTTTAAGGAAATTCGTAGACTGAAAGTACAGGGGTGGAAAAAGATAGTCCATGCAAGCTGAAACCAAAAAGAGCAGGAGTAGTTATATTTCTATCAGACAAAATGGACTTTTAAGTAAAAACTGGAAAAAAGAAACAATAAAGGTCACTGTATAATGGTAAAGTAGTCAATTCATCAAGAGGACATAACAATTGTAAATTTATATGCACCCACTATTAAAGCACCTAAATGTATTAAGCAAATATTAACAGAGCTAAATGCAGAAATAGAGAGCAATGCAATAATAGTAGGGAACTTCAATACCCAACTCTCAATAACGAATAGATCGTCCAGACGGAAATCAATAAGAAAACATTGGACTTTAACTACATTTTAGAACAAATGAACCTAGCAGACATACAAAAGACTCCATCCAAAAGCAACTGAATGCATATTCTTCTCAAGCATACACAAAGCATTCTCCTGAATAGATCATATGTTAATCCACAAAACAATTGTTAAGTTTTAAAAGATTGTAATCATATTAAGCATATTTCTGACCCACAGTAGTATAAAACTAGAGATCAATAACAGGAAGTATACTGGAAAATTTACAAATATGTGAAAATTAAACAACACATTTCTGAAAAACCAATGGGTCAAAAAAATTAAAAGATAATTAAAAAAATATTGAGCCAAAAGAAAATGGAAACACAACATACAAAAACACATGGGATGCAGCAAAATCATTTCTAAGGGAAAAGTTTAGAGTGATAAATTCCTATGTGAAAAACAAAGAGACATCTCAAATAAACAACCTAACTTTACATTTCAATGAACTAGAAACATAACAAACTAAGCCCAAATTTAGCAAAAGGAAGGAGATAATAAAGATCAAGGAAGAAATAAAATTTGAGAAGAGGAAACCAATAGAAAAGATCCACAAAACTAAGAATTACTTTTTTTTAAAAAAAGGTAAACAAAATTGGCAAACCTTCACTACACTAAGGAAAAAAATACAGATTTAAATAAATATGATCAGAAATAAAAGAGGAGAAATTAGAACAGACACCACAAAAATAAAAGTATCATAAGAGGCTAATATAAACAATTATATGGCAACAAATTAGACTGCCTAGAATAGAAAAATTCCTAGAAACAAACAACCTACAAAGTCTGAATCATGATGAAACAGAA
Source organism: Homo sapiens (assembly GCF_000001405.40). Classification (NCBI taxonomy): domain Eukaryota; kingdom Metazoa; phylum Chordata; class Mammalia; order Primates; family Hominidae; genus Homo; species Homo sapiens. The sequence continues at coordinate 29,836,077 of NC_000003.12, forward strand.
AATCTGAATAGACCAATAACAATTACAGAGATTCAATCATTAATGTAAAATCTCTCATAAAAGAAAAACCTATGACCTAATGGCTTCACTGGTGAATTATATCAAACATTTCAAGAATAATTAATAGCTATTATTTTCAAACTCTTTCAAAAAATTAAAGAGGATGATGTATGTCCAAACTCATTTTACTAGGCTGGCATTACTCTAATAAAGCCAGACAAGGACACCATGAGAACAGAAAATTTCAGGTCAATATCTCTGATAAACATAGATGTAAAACTCTTCAACAAAATACTAGTGAACCAAATTTAACAGCACATTAAATGGATCATACACTATGATCAAGTGGTATGTATCACTGGGGTGCAAGCCAAACACAGAAGAACATATACCGCAGCACCTCACTTAAACATGGAATCTAGAAAAGTTGAACTCATAGAAACAGAGCACAGAAGGATCGTTACCAGGGGTATAGAAATGGGGAAAATGGGTAGATGTTGATCAAAGGGAACAAACTTGTTAGTATAAGATTAATAAGTTCTGGAGACTTTATGTACATACGGTGACTATAGTTGATAATAATATATTGGATACTTGAAATTTGCTGAGAATGTAGATTTTTCATATCCTTACAACACACACAATAAAATGTAACTATGTGAGAGATATGCATGTTAATTAGCTTGACTGTGGTAACCATTTCACTATATATATATATATATATATCTGAAAACATCACATTGTACACCTTAAATATATACAATTTTTACTTGTTAATTATGCCTCAGTAAAGCTGGGGTGGGGAGAAAACCTCTAATGTTTAACTTAAGTACAGGACAAAAAACTAGCCTATACATTTTGGTCTGGACAATTTGCCCATCTTTGTCCTCTCATGACCTCCAGATGGTGACCTTACTATTCAGTGGATGCAGAAGCAAGATAGATGACCTTTCAAGTTTAGTCTTTGCCATAATGCCTAACCCAGTCTAAATGGTGCTGCACTCAAATGATAGTTTTGATAACAGTGTTACATGGGGTCAATCATCATTTTTGCAAACGACTTGAGTAATTTTTTTTCTTGATACTTAAATGATAGTTCCAACACAGGTGATTCTCCTCCAAAACCATAATGAGTATGAGTCTGTTGAATAAATGTATACCTATACTTTAGTGAGCATAGAATAATATTTTTAAACTCTTTATATTGTTGTTTATTACTATTTCTTAAAACCTTATACGTAGTCTAGTTTTACTGTGGATTATTTTCCTTGTGTCCTGGGATTGATATTTAATTTCTTTGCTTTTCTTCACACTTTAGTTATAATTGTTATACATTTAGAACATTTAATCTGGATTTTTGTACCATTCAGTAAAAGTAGTCAAACTTCCCAAACTTTAGCCCTGTTTTCTCCTTACCCATAAGCTAGGAATCAATATCAGAATCAGAGATAAAAGTTTGTACCCCCTCCCCGTCTGTATTGAGCTGCTCATGCATTTAAATAATTCCATTAATTAATGGTAACAGTAACTTTGGACATAAAGATCAAATTAGCAGATATATATAATGAACATATATATATAATGAACATATATATATATATATATATATATATATATATATATATATATATGCTTATTAGCTTAACTGTGAACCCTGATGAGGAATGTGGTATGATTTGTTGATTTTATGCCTTAATGATCATGTGTTCTGGCTGCCTGAGTCATTTTCTTTTAAATGATGTATTTGTGCATTCCTTCATACTTCCAGAGTTCTTCTAAGTTATAAACACAGAAAAATGCTACAGAGCCCTGGTACTGCATTCCACATGTTTCCTTATGATGTGTGAAAGGTGTCGAATTGTCATTTTCTAAGCTTATGTTACAGAGTAGGTTTTTGGTAGCTGTAAGTCTAATTATTCCTTCTGAATATTTAAATACTGAAATAGGCCACTTAAAAAAAAATAAGACTGGGGAGGTGTGGTGGGTCATGCCTGTAATCCCACTACTTTGGGAGGCCAAAATGGGAGGATCACTGGGAGGACTGTTGAACCTGAGTTCACAACCAGCCTGGGCAACATAGTGAGACCTCATCTCTACAAAAAAAAAAAAAAAAAAAGCCAGCTGTGATGGTGTGCACCTGAAATCCCACCTACTGAGGAGGCCAGGGTGGGAGAATTACTTGAGCTTGAGAGGTGGAGGCTGCAGTGAGACATGAGTGTGCCATTGTACTCTAGCCTGGGTGATAGAGTGAGACCCTGTCCAAAAATAAATAAAATAAATAAATAAAACCAATACTTTCTACTACAAATATATTCATTATTCATTCATAACGCTTTGATTATGATGAGAACACTTGTCTTAAGTGACAATATGTTCTTCAATGTTATGTTAATTTCGGCCCACCTGAATAGGATATTTCAAAGAAAAGTATTAAAATGGAAAATCTTAAGTCTAATTGATAATAATAAGAAACATATTACCTTGTGAACGTCCCACTTTGTCACAGTGTTTTGATTTATTTTATGCCATAAGACCATCTGAGACATTTGTCGCACATTTAACGCTGGAGGGTTTTAAGTGATGGATATTTGCTAAGTCTGATTTAGTCAATTATTTACTTCAAACTGGCAATTTATTAATCTTTCTTTTATGCAGCAATAACATTTATTTACTGGAAAAACTGAATGCAAATAGTGTATGTGTCCATTAGTATCAAGTTTATATTTCTATTGTCAACTGGAATATTTTTGTTTAGTATGACAATCTGGAAAACAGGTTGATAAATTCTGTGAGATTGGGTCACCGTTAGGTAGCTCTCACAATATAGATATGATCAAAGATGAGTATTTGAAATTCACTAGTTTATGTTAATGAACATTCTTATAGAGGCTGCCAGGGGGACAGCTTCTATTGGAATTACCTTTTGTGAATCCTCCTCATTACGGGGTAAGTTCTTACTAAAGTGAATAATTATCTTTCATTCCAGAACTACAGTGTCAGGCATAATGAGTGGATTGTTAATACATTTTTCAAGGTAGCGCCAGTCTTCATCTGTAGCCATTAATTTGGTGACAGCCAATAATTATTTTAACTGGCCCCTGATGCTGAAATGCACAGATTGTTTTCTTCCTGTGTGGTGCAGGGAACACTTCTAAATTTCTGAGAGGTTTCTGTCACTTCCCAAAGAATTTCCTGACAGCAGTGACATTTGGTCTAATCATTTATTCCCTCAGTTTCATGACTTCCCTGCGGTGGCTCTCATAGTCAGGAAAGCTTCTGTTGTTTTGGAACCACAGCTACAAACATCTGCTGCCAATATTTTGCTTAAAGTGTTGCAACTTTCCTTAAAAAAGGAGACCCCCTTCTTTTTATGCTTTTAGTTATTTTCCTTAAAATAATGTTAAACTCTTAAGAAGTTTCATAGAGGTGGACATCTAAAATTATTAATGAGGAAGCTTTTAAAGATAGAACTGGAATTTGATTATCAATAGTCCTCAGGAAAAAAAGAGAAAATAATAATAAAATAATAATTAGAATAATATTGAAATGTTTATAAAATGTTATCTAAAAAATAATAAAAATGAACTCATTTTTACTTTATAAATGACTCAGTTATAATAAAAACTACTCAGAACAAACACACCAAAATGATAATAGTCATTGGTCTCAGCAGTAGAGATACAGATTTCTTCTTTGTGTTCTGTACTTTGCAAATATTATAAAATAGTTATTACTTAGAAAAAATTGTTTGAAATGCTAAAATAATGGACATCTACTAAACACGAAATACAAAAAAATTGCCAAAACATAATATCTTCAAAGATTTTCAATATATAATCTTACTATAAAAATTTTATCTATAACATTTATACCAGTTACCTATCACTATTGAATATACTTTGAAGATTATGCAGGAATATTTCTTAATTCTCTATAGTTTCCATTTGTCTGAGGGTTTTTTCCTTATTCCTATCCTTCTCCCTTTCTCTTTCTCCTCTATATCTGCACTTTTAATATGAAACTGTAAGGAAAAGAAAATTAGATTGGAGATCTCTATGGGGCAACAGCATATCGGCTGAGTTCAGCATTTCAAATTTTTGTTCTCAGGTCTCCTTTACACTCTTATGATTATCAAGAACACCAAAAACTTTTTGTTTATGTTGGTTATACACATCAACATTTGTCATATTAGAAATTTAAAATGACAATTAAAAGTTACATTAAAAATGTACTTAAAAGACAATAAAAGCATTGAAAATCAATTAAAACAACATTTTATTAAAAACAACCATATTTTCTAAACAAATGAAAGTATTTGTGAGAAGGGTGGGCTTATTTTACATTTTTGAAGATTTCTTTAATGTTTGACATAATAAAACACGGCTAAATTTTCTTAAATCCTTCTGCATTTCCTATATCACATATCATGTAGACTCTAAAAGAACTTCATTCTACCTGTTAAGAATGAGGATTTTTGAAAGAGTAAAAGAAGACCAATAACATCTTAGTAGTTTTATGGAAAAATTTTGACTTTGTGAACCACTCGAAATGGTCTCAGAGATACCTGAAGGTCCTCAGACCACACTTTGAGAACTGCTGGCATATGATAGATATATTTTATTTTTGTACCTAGACAGCATTCCATTTTAATGAATGTACCATATTTATATAAACTGCTCTGCAAATGAATGAATATTTGTATTGCTTTCAGGTTTTTTTTCTATTACAATGTTGCAATGAATGTCCCTATAAAATATATTTGCTCCCATGCATGGATTTATGTATATGATGGACACTTAAGAGTGAAGTCCAGGGTTAAAAGTTATGCATATTTTAAAGTATGATGTATTGACCTCCTAAGAAAAAGATTCTGTAAATGTTTAATTTCACCAAAACAATACAAACTCTTGTTTCCTAGCTCTTCAAAATACTAGGAAAGTATAAATTTATATGCTCTGCCAAGGTAAAAGTTAGACAGTGTCATGATATTGTTTTATGATTTTCCTCTTTACTAATGAGTTTGATCATTTTTCATTCATGTATTGTTCAATTATATCTCTTTCATCATTTACCTGTGGTTCCAGTTTTTTTATTATTTTTCTCTTGGGTTGTGTATTTTTATGTATTGACCTGTTGACACTCTGTATATTAACCAAATTAGCCCTCGATTTGTTGTGTGCCTCACAAATTTTTTTCTTAATCAGTACATTTAATATTTTCAGTAGACCATTCTCAATATAATGACTTGGAATGTTAGTAATGTACACATTTCATAGACTATGCCTCTTTTCTACGTTTTTTATTATTTCAGGAATAGTAAAATTAGAGGAATTGAATAAACAAAACTATTTTAAAACTTGTCAATTAAGTTTGTTCAGAATACGATTTGTTTCCCAGTATTAACTCTGGACATCCAGATATAGACAGGCTATAAGCTTCTGATTACATGACCAGTGTAGCTAGTTTAGATTCACCTTCACAGAGTATGTCTACCATGTACTGCACCTTATTTGATATAATTTAATAGCTCAATAGGTATTAGCTGAATGAATGAATAACAATAATTAGTAGTGACATTAATTAAACACTCCTTTTCTCCACCTCTGTTTACTGGAAATAATGCTTTTAGATATAGAGATCTTTTGAGACTATTCTGTGGTTTCAAAAAGCTCATCAGGAAATGATGTTTTCTATAATTGGAGTAATCTATCAAAATAGATGAATTCTAAAATTATAATAATTCCTGAAATTGTCCTGAGGCAAAATTTGTTCTACTTTCATAAGTGTTTCCATTTTCTTGTTAGGAAGAAGAGACACAATCTGAAAACCAAGTCTAATTTTCCCATAGGTGTAAAAGAGAAGACCTTAGTAATTACTTGTCTTTTTCATCCAGCCACTTAGTGTCTTTTCTTATTTTTGCTAATGACTGCAAAAAATGAAGATCTCCACAAGGAGAAAATGTTCTCCCCTTAGAATGGCTGTTCTTAGACTTGAGTTACACTTTTACCATCATCTAATTTTTGCAATATTTTACATCTTTGCCCAGTAAAATGAGGTTCCTAAGTTAAAAGATTTTTGAGCATATTATTTTGAAGTTGCTGTTTTCAGTGCACCATTCACATTATTGTCATTATTAATTGCATTCTGGGACCAAATCTATTTTGAAAAATGTTTTTCTTGCATCTTGGATAAACTGAATAAGCAAAGAAAGCTACTCCTGAAACTTGTCATTAAAGTTTTCTTTAGAATACAATTCATTCATCAGTACTAACTGTGAGCATCCAGATATAGACAGGACATAAACATTTGAATATGTGGCCATGTAACTAATTTGAGCTCACCTTTTTAGAGTGTTTCTACCGCACACAAGACCTTATATGAAACGATTTAATGGCTCAATAAACGTTTATTGAATGAATGAATAACAGTAATTACTATTATTATTATCTACAACAATACTTGCAAGTCTTCTGTCTTTTTGCCTTTTCTTTCATTTCTTTTTCCCCAGTGATAGGCTAGATAATTGCATCCCAGAGATGTCCATGTCGTAATCTCCAGAACGTGTGAATATCTTGCCTTACTTAGGAGGTGTGATTAAGTTAAGAATCTTTAGATGGGAAGATTACCCTGATTCTTTCAGATGAACCAAGTGTAATTGTTAGGATCGTTATAAGAGGGAAACAAGAAGATCAGAGTTAGCAGTAGATGTGATGATGAAAAGAGAGATTATAGTGATGTGAGGAAGGGGCTGCAAGCCAATGAATGTAACAGCTTCTAGAACCTGAAAAGGCAAGGAAGTATATGCTTGCCTAAAGCCTCCAGAAGGAACAGGGCCCTACTGATATTTTAATTTCAGAATTCTGACCTCCACAAAAGTAAGAGAATAGATTTGTATTGCTTTAAGCCACTGAGTTTGTAGAAATTTGTTACAACAGCCATAGGAAACTAATATACTTCTTTTACTCCAATTTCTTTCTGTATTCCATGCCATTAGATATTGCCTCCAGAATCAAGCATCTATGATAGTGCTTAGCACTTAAATTGGATGATACATTTAAGTTCAACCCTTGTGTCATAGTGGATTGGATTTTACTCTTTATAAAATGTATATTGTGAACTTCTATTAACTCAAGGTCTTTTCTGTTTTTGTCACGAGAACGTAAATACATTCAAATGAAAATATGCTGCATATTTTTAGAAGACAAATTTTCCTTGAACTTGATCCTTATAGAACTTAACTCTGTTTACTGGAAAGTAATATTAGAGTTTAAAATCTAGAGATAGCGGATCATATAGATAAGCAATGCAGGATTTCAGTGATTTCTATGGTCACCAGTACAGGTGTGATCTTAAAACATCGACACTATTGAACTGAATTCATAGGTATGTATTTAGCTTGCATTTGTTTATTCCAGTAGCCACTGAGGTGTATTTCTTTGTTTATAATCTATAATCAAAATCCTTTGCTATGACATACAAAAAATGTATCGAGCCACGGACGTTGACCAGGGTTTTCTTCCTTCATTAGTTGAAAATGAACTGTATCTGCTATTGTTTATCTGGGGAATAAAGAGCCAAATGTTAAAAGTTGCCTTCAGCTAGGAGCAGTGCCTCACACCTGTAATCCCAACACTTTGGGAGGCCAGGAGGGGTAGATAGCTTGAGCCCAGGGGACCAGCCTGGGCAACATAGCAAAACCCCATCTCTACTAAAAATACAAAAATTAGCCAGGCATTGTGATATGCATCTGTAGTACCAGCTACCCGGGAGGCTGAGGCACAAGAATCACTTGAACCGGGAAGCGGGCAGAGGTTGCAGTGAGCCGAGATTGCTCCACTGCACTCCAGCCTGGGAGACAGAATGAGACTCTTTCTCAAAGAAAAAAAAAAAAAGGTTGCTTTCAGTTAGTCTGTTCACAGTATAATTTTACATCTGGGGGATAAGAAAAACTGTTGACTGAAACATTTTCTACATTTTTTCTTTGGTTCATATTAAAATATGTAGTTTTACATTATTTGCTTTTGGTAGAAGTTCTGTCTCTATCAAGAAGAGTGGAAGAGTGCAAATAGATGTACAAATTCCTTGGTTATATAAATATTATTCTAATTGTAAAATAACTGAACATTTTTACTGAGGTGTGCTGAGAAAGCTCTTTGTTTTTTTGTTGTGTTTTGTTTTGTTTTGTTTTGTTTGTGCCTATAATCTGTTCCCATGGGGACCTGCACAATCCATGATTCTGATAAAATGAAGAGCAGTGGAGAGTTACAACTTATAAAGCAGTTATGACTAGGCTAGTCAATAAAGTCTCAAAATCAGCTATTAGAGTACGGTATTTAAGGTTTGTTAGAGAACACAGAGTATGGAAACATTGCCATTAACTAATGTGTAATTTGGTCACATTTCCTGATAAGATAATAAGACTTTTTGCTTTCCTCTAATCTAAACTTTCTCCAGGAAGTTATGCAACATAAAGCACTATGATTAATATTGCCACTGAATAATGTAAATGTATTTTCTCAAAAGAAATGAATCCCATTAATGGGACTGAACACAGTCTTCAGTGGAAGGTTCAGATTTTTGATTCAAACAATCCAGCATTTCCATCCATTTACTAATTATATGATTTGAGTAAGTTATTTCAAATCACTAAGACTTATTTATATAATCCATGAAATGCAAGTAATACTGTACCTTTACTGAAGAAGTTAAGGAATTAAATGAGGTATTGTATCTGCATTAGTCTAAATAAGATAGATCATATTGTGGTAATAAGTAATTCTTCAAATCTTAGTGGCTTAACACTTAAAAAGTGTCATTCTTTGTTCATATTAGAAAGTTAAGATGTTGTTGGCTCTGCTGCACAGTTATTCAGAATCTTGTGAAAAGGAGACCACACCATCTATAGAAATTGCAGCCTCTGAGGACATGATAGCAGGAGATCAGAGATGAAAGGAGAACACCAGCCTTCAAGGCTTAGCTCAGAAGTAACACTTGTCACATTTGGTAGTTTATAGGCCATGGAGGCTCATGTTTATAAGGAAAGACTGGGAACATGGATATTGGTAAGCACAGTCCTTCCTACAACATCTAAAATGCTTAGCAAGATGCCTGGCTCATAAAATACCTCAGTAAATGTTGTCTTTTTCACCATCGCTATTATTATTTTAGAGGGAGTGCAAGTTGGTAGTTAAGAGTCTGCCACTAACTCCATGACTTTAGGCAAACTTTTAAAACTTTCTGAATCTCCATTGTAAAAATAGGTCTCCCCTCATAAGACTGTTATAGTGACCAAATGAAATAAAGTGCTGCCATTTAGTAAGCCCTCTAAAAATATGGTAGTTTCATTGCTATCATGCATTTATATTCATTTTATCTATCAATTGGTTAAACCCAATTAAATGCCTACATATGTGTGTTTTTATTATAACAGTGTTGAGATTTCCTCATTTTTATTAATATGTATAAACTAATAAAACATTGATTTTCCTATTTGTGACAAATATATTACAATTATTAATCATTCATTTGATAGGTATTTATTAGGTGTCTACTGTTTTCTAGAGGTAACAGATAAACAATGGACAAAATACATGAGGTTTTGCTCTCATAATATTTGAATTCTGGAGCAGTGAAGAGTAAATGAGGCAAAAATCAACAACATAAAAATAAACTGTAATTTCAGGTTCGAATAATTCCTATGAATTTATTTTAAAAAGGAGGATTTGGTTAAGACTGACTGGTTAAGACTTACATTTTGATAGTCAGAAATGCCTTTTCTGAAGAAGCAGTGTTTCAGCTGAGATATGAATGATGTAAAGATATTTGAGAGGAAAGATTTCCTTTCTGGCAGAGGGAATTCCAAGTGCAAAGGTTCCAAAGCAAGAACACTGTAACTAGTTCAAATGTAATTAAAGCAAAAGTGAGCAACAGTCAAGAGTTGTTAGAAATGAGACTGTAAAGATAAGTAGTGACCTTTTTGTCTATGAAAAAAAGTTTGATTTTTTTTTTTCGATATTTGATGTGGAACTATTCAAGGTTTTCAAACAGGAAAGGGATGTGATCTGATTTTTGCTTTGAAAGATCATTCTGACTATGTATGGAAGAATGATCTTTATAAAGAATGGTTCCTTTATAAAAGGGACCATTGCAGAATTCCAAAAAGAGATGGTGGTAATTTTGAATGAATTATTTGGTGGGGGGATATGGATAGAAGTGGAAGATTTGGGATATATTTTGAAGGTAGAGTTAATATATTTTGAATAAGGTAGGTAAGAGTTTAGAGCTGAAAGAGGACTAGATTTAGGGCTTCAGCCACTGGGTGGATGGTACTGTGATGAAGGCTGGGGAAAGAATGGGCTCTTTATGGGATATCAAGAGACATACTTTGCATCTGTTATTTCCAGATACCTCTTAAACATTTAACTGACTGTCAGTCACATGCAAATCTTTTGGCCTTTCAAATAATACAATAATTTTAGTTTAGATTATGCCTATTTTTGAATGACTGCTTGTTATGAATGCTATTCAGCGATGTGATGACTCAATATATTTTCTTTTAGGTGCTCTGCTGCAAGAAAGTTTAAAGCATCTTAGTTTAGAAGCTCATAAATACTCTCTAAAAAAATGTGATAGAATTTACAAAGATAAGCTTATAAATCTAGGAAGATACATTTTACTTCAGAGTCAAAAACAAAACAAAAAAATTTCATTGACAATTCATCCAACGCCCAAATGAATTGATTAGCCAAGAACAAAGAGGAATTTTTACTAATAATAGGTTTGTATAGCTTCCTTGTTTTAAAAAGAACTATGTTGTGGGTTTTTTTCTTCCCCTAATGAAATAAAATATTAGAGTGAAATTTTTAATTAGTTAAGTAGTTTGTTGCATTCTACCACATCCATGACCATCTGATATAGTACCCAGGAAGAAGTCAAAGATGCAAGGCGCCATATCGCATGATACACGATAACAAGGTAATGAAGAGTAAATACATTTGTCATTTCAGGGAAGTTATTTACATGACACAGCCTTGGGAAAGCCTGCTTGGGAGACATAAATGAATGAAGCTTTTTAGATTGATGAATTAAGTGTGCCTTTTTTGTTTTCAATAATGTCCAATAAAATAGTTTATATTGAGCAAGAGGTCTTCTTTTCTGATCTAAGACATAATGTTGTACAAGAGGTACATTGTGTGGATACTTAATATGATGCACATTTGTTTACATATAACTTCTGCAAGGAGATATTAACTCCCAAGTTCTGGAATCTTTCTTTGTGCTTACTAGTTATGACTTTGTAACCCAGGGTCAGAGTTCCAATTTCAGCACACAAAGCCCTTGCCTTTGGCAGCTAAAGGCCTGTTATTATGGGCAAAGATTAAAATTACCCTAGGCCAAGATCTATAATTTTCTATATTAAGTCTTGAGTCAGTGCCACAATGCAAGTAAAGTGAAGTATCAATAACTCATTTAAAATTATTTTTCTCATGAAGCAGGCAGACTAGTCATTCTGTTAAATCCAGTAAAGGGCATAAGGGATAAATCTGGGCCACTCCAATTTTGTGTTTTATTTTTTTTTTTTTATTTTTTATTTTTTTGAGACGGAGTCTCCCTCTGTCGCCCAGGCTGGAGTGCAGTGGCGCGATCTCGGCTCACTGCAGGCTCCGCCTTCCGGGTTCACGCCATTCTCCTGCCTCAGCCTCCCAAGTAGCTGGGACTACAGGCGCTCGCCGTCACGCCCGGCTAATTTTCTTGTGTTTTTAGTAGAGACGGGGTGTCACCGTGTTAACCAGGATAGTCTCCATCTCCTGACCTCGTGATCCGCCCGCCTCGGCCTTCCAAAGTGCTGGGATTACAGGCGTCAATTTTGTGTTTTAAATGAAACACTGTGAACCTATACAAGGGGATGTGGTCTTTCCCCTTTGTATTTTGTGTAGGGCTGGAACACTCATTCTCAATACAAAATAGAGCCAACTCTTTGTTCACCTTTTTTCTAGGTATCCCCCTAAGTCTCTGAATGAAGGAATTGATTGTTGTATTGTTTCTCAGTTTCTGTTGGACATTTAAAGAGAGAGGGTAGCAGTGCTCACAGAAGTTCTTCCCTTCAAAGGCAGCCTATGTGAGGTTTCACACAGCAGTCAGCCAGCGCACCTGGACAGTCAGGCATAGATGCATTTACAGGATCTTTCTCCAATCTGCCATAAGTCATTTTTCTTCCTATGCCTGTGCTGTATGAACTATGCCATTTAGCGGCCACGTGCTCCCTTACTCCTTTATAATTCACATTTAGCGTCAATCCAGAGGTCTCTATTTTGTCTTTTCTTTCACTTGAAGCTTATGTATATAGTTATGATATGCTTTACATTTTGTCCAGGGATAACTATAGTTTCTAGGGCAACTATAAAACTTGGGGAATCCAACAAAAAAGTCCAGGGGGTTAAACAATAATCTAAGCCTTTTATTTGTAAATCTTTGCATATCTGTGAATTGCTTTAAAATGCTTCAGCCAAAAAGGGCAGGGATGCTGAATCAGACAATATGGACAAACCATGAATGCCTATGGAAACTACATGGTGAGAATATGGAGATTCATTATACTATTCCCTCTGCATCTGTGTGTTTGAAAATTTCCATATAGAGAAATTATTTTTAAAAAATAAATATGTGAAAGCAACCATCCAGGGATGATTGAGCAGGTTTTTTGTTTGTTTTTAAACAGACTTGTAAGAGGTTTTTTTTGTTGTTATTAATAAGTTAGGCTCAAAAACATATGGGGACAAACTAAAACCTACATAAAGAGAAAAAGAAAACAATGCTACCATTTTTGGACATTGCTCAATTTCACATTGTGAATGCTAGAATTTGCTCCTTGAAGTGCAATTGGAATCATTTTCTAGATCTTTTGTAAAATCACAAAGGATATTTTTGTGTTTATTAATATCTTTGCAGCCCCTTAGAGACCTTGACATTTTTTTCTTTAATACTACTAAAATAATATCAGATATACACTCAGGTCTATTCCATTTTTGAATATTGTCTTTCACACATACTTATGCACATACAAATACACCACTCCTCCCCCTCCACCAAAGGAATGTGTGTGTGTGTGTGTGTGTGTGTGTGTGTGTGTGTGTATTTCACATATAAAAGCAGGCCAATGTTGAGCGTAGTGGCTCCCACCTGTAATCCCAGGACTTTAGGAGGCCCAGGCGGGTGGATCATAAGGTCAGGAGTTCAAGACCAGCCTGGCCAAAATGGTGAAACCCCATCTCTACTAAAAATATAAAAATTAACCGGGCACAGTGGCAGGTGCCTTTAATCCCAGCTGCTTGAGAGGCTAAGGCAGGAGAATTGCTTGAACTTGGGAGGCGGAGGTTGCAGTGAGCCGAGATCACACCACTGCACTCCAGCCTGGGTGACAGAGTGAGACTCTGTCTCAACTTAAAAAAGAAAAAAAAAAAAAAAGCAGGCCAACTAAAGGTTTGTTTTTGTCAACTGTAGTATTTGGGTTAATCAGGTAATGCTGCACATTCTCTTTCAAATTTAGATTTTTATATGGTAACTTGTTTGATATAGTTATCAAACAAATGGGGAAGGTCCAATAATGTTAAAAGAACAAAATCAACAAACATCAGTGAAGAACTTGATTTGCAGAAATATTTTAACAGCAAGAAGCATTCTACAGTTCATTTCCATTTTGATGGCCATTTTAATAACAATGCTGAATGAGAATGCATCTCACCTATGTAACAGAAAATTTCCTTGATTCCATTTCATTTAAGGTTTTAGGAGTATCAGCTCAGACACTGGAGGAGTAATCAATAAACATGCCAATTATGTCAGAGAAAAATTATGAATGCCTGAATATTTGCAGCCTTATTTCTTTCTTTCTTTACAAAGAATATGCCTACCTGCCTTTTGCACTTCTGGTAAAGATACGAGGTAGGCAGACGTGAAGATTTGCAAAGAACTGGGACAGACTGGCAACCTTCCCTTTTGGAAGGCTTCTAGCAAGAGATTAGACTGGATCTTAGAGGACAAAGCATGGGGGTACAAAGACAAGTTTCTGTGGAGACTGAGAAGTAATCCTGGGGAGGAGGGGATACGCAGAAAAAGTGAAAAACACAGAGAGAAAAGAGCTTATTAATGGGAACTTCTTGCTGTTCTGTTAGTTTCTTTAAGCTCCTAGGGTAGACTGAATAACTTTTTAATGCTTCTTAATTGTTTCTCTTTATACTTGACTTCTTGATGAGACAGGACCATGAAGGAGGCCATCTTTATTGAGGTTACATAACCTTCAATATATTCAATCTACTTCATTAATATTCACTGAAGTTACAAGAAAGAATGCCCACAAAAGAATCTCTTTATTTTCCTACTGTCATCCCTTCTTCCACTGAGACTCTGATATTTTTTGAAATTACATGTTTTTTTAGTTTTTTGGGCTCCTTTGAGTATAATTGAAGGAAATTTCTATCCTGTTCTCCATTTTCGCTAGGAAATTGGGAGCTACATGTGTAAGGATAATGTTTATTGATTCTTAGAATGAAGGATCTTAGATTATCTCTCCTCCAACATCCTCTTTTAAATATGAAAACATGTAGGGATTTGCTATCTTTACAAACAAATAAAACCCAGATCTTTAGGTTTGGTAATGGAAGTACCTCTGTTTGATTAGGAACAGCTAGACCTTGAATTCTGATTCTCATCCCTTGAGTTGCACCTTTCTCCTCAGGCATCCTGCTAGCCTTTAGAGGTCGCTGTCACTCTAGCAGGAAAGGGATCGAGAAAGGATCCCTACTAGTTCACTGGTCTCCTCTCCCATCACCCTCCCCCTTTTTCATTCATTGCCATTTTTCCAAAGAGCTGAGTACACACTAACCTCAAGACATTTTGTACTTCTAACCTTTTGCCTACAACACTTTTCTTCCTCATATTTCCAAAGATTGCTCCCTCCTTTCTTTTAGAACTTCACTGAGATCTTTCCAGATTACTGCATCTATTACTTCCTCTTCTGTCAGTCTCTGCTCCTTACATTACCTTATCTTTTTTTAGCACTTCACAATTGAAGTTTTATTTATATGTTTACTTGTCTTTTGGCTGTCCCTTTTACTAAAGTATAATTTCCATGACAGCAACATTCCTTAGTCTAGTTATATGGGATTTAGAATAATGCCTGGAACATAGTAAGTGCTCAATAGTTGTGAATGAATGAATGTTCTTCTGTTACTGTTGAGCACAGGCTGCAATCACTGAAGATTCTGGTAAATAAGGAGGTGGGGATCGTTTGATCCAGGAAACAGTATGGAATGAACTATGGAATATCAAGACCCGGGATTATATACTGGTTCTGACACTTATTAGCTGGGTATACTTAATTTACTTAAACTCTCTCATCTTTAGGACTTTTTCCATCTCAAAAGGGGTTTCAACTCAAAAACAGGTAGTTTGGTGGAATAAAAGTGAACACATTAAAGCATCTACCACAATATCAAACATGAAGGAAGCTTCATTTAAAAATTGATAACTATGCAATTTGCCTTTTAAAAGTTAATCTGCTTCTTAGAATTTATAATTCATATCAGATCTTAAATTGCAATTTACTTTCTATTTTTATATATACCAAGCAGGGCCACATTCTGGTAAATCTGTTCTAATATTTTGAAAAAGGCAGGGGATTCTCCCTCCTGACCACATAAAGCCAGTTTCCTTAGAATTAAATTTTCCTGTGAGGAACAGAACTAGAAAAAACTATTTTAAGATGCATGTGTAACTAAAAAAGAACACGAATAGCCAAGACAATCCTAAGCAAAAAGAACAAAGTGGAGGAATCATACTACCTGACTTCAAACTATACTACATAGCTACAGTAACCAAAACAGCATGGTACTGGTACAAAAACAGACACATAGGCCAATGGGACAGAACAGAGTCCAGAAATAAGGCCACACACTTACAACTATCTAATCTTCAACAAAGCTGACAAAAACAAGCAATGGGAAAAGGACTCCCTATTCAATAAATGATGTTTTGATAACTAGCTTAGCCGTATGCAGAAAATTGAAACTGAACCCCTTCCTTACACCATATACAAAAATTAACTCCAGATGGATTAAAGACTTAAAGGTACAACCTCGAAGACAACCTAGGAAATGCCATTGTGGAAATAGGAATGGGCAAAGATTTCATGATGAAGATGCTAAAAGCAATTGCAACAAAAGCAAAAGTTGACAAATGGGATCTAATTTAAAATTAAGAGCTTCTGCCCAGCAAAAGAGACAATCAACAGAGTAAACAGACAACCTACAGAATAGGAGAAAATATTATAAACTGTGCATCTGACAAAGGTCTAATATTGAGCATCTTTAAGAAACTTAAACAAATTTACAAGACTAAAACAACCCCATTAACAAGTGGGCAAAGGACATGAATAGATCCTTTTCAAAAGAAGACATACATCTAGCCAATTCAAACATATGAAAAAAAGCTCATCATCACTGATCTTTAGAGAAATGCAAATTAAAACCACAATGAGATATTATCTCACACCAGTCAGAATGGCCATTACTAAAAAGTCAAAATACAGCAGATGCTGGCAAGGTGGCAGAGAAAAGGGAACACATAAACTGTTGGTAGGAGTGTAAGTTAGTTCAACTATTGTGGAAAACAGTGTGGCAATTCTTCAAAGACCTACGAATAGAAATACCATTCAACCCAGCAATCCCATTCCTAGGTATATACCCAAAGGAGTATAAATTGTTCTATTATAAAGAAGCATGAATTTGTATGTTCATTGCAGCACTATTCAAAATAGCAAAGTCATGGAATCAACCTAAATGCCCATCAATGACAGATTAGATAACAAAAATGTGGTACAGATACATCATGGAATACTATGCAGCCATAAACAAGAAAAGATCATGTCCTTTTCAGGAACATGGATGGAGCTGGAGGTTATTATCCTTAGAAAAGTAATGCAGGAACAGAAAATCAAATACCACATGTTCTCACTTATAAGTGGGGGCTAAATGATAAGAACACATGGACACATAGAGAGGAACAACACACTGTGGCCTCTCAGAGAGTGGAGGGTGGGAGGAGGGAGAGGATTAGGAAAAATAACTAATGGCTACTAGGCTTAATACCTGGATGATGAAATAATCTGCACAACCAACCCCCATGACACAAGTTTACCTATGTAACAAAGCTGCACATGTACCCCTGACCTTAAAATAAAAATTAAATTTAAAAAACTTAAAATTGGTAACTATGTAATTTTCCTTTAACAAGTTCATCTGCTTTTTAGAAATTAAAATTCATATTGTATCTTAAGCTACAATTTACTTTCTTTTTTTTTTTTTTTTTTTTTTGCAGTTGCAAGATTTAATAGAGTGAAAACAGAGCTCCCATACAAAGGGAGAGGACCCAAAGTGGGTAGCCGTTGCCAGCTGGAATGACTGGGTTTATATCCTGATCATTGTCCCTCCCCCTGTGCTCTCAGGCGACAGATGATTGGCTACTTCTTTACTTCCTGTTTTTCCCTAATTAGCATTTTAATGAGCTCTCTTTACTACCTGATTGGTCGGGTGTAAGCTAAGTTACAAGCCCCGTGTTTAGAGGTGGATGTGGTCACCTTCCCAGCCAGGCTTAGGGATTCTTAGTCAGCCTAGGAAATCCAGCTAGTCCTGTCTCTCATCACCTGGGAGCTTTGGCTCTTTGGGTGGTTCTAAACAGCATCAAGGTTGAGACCAAGGTTATCTTTGGGGTCTCCACCCCCTGAAACCTGCCCCTACTTGCTAGTTCCTGCCAGGGAGACCTGGGTGATCAGCTTCCCTCAAAGCCCAGGGCAGAAGCATTCTGGTAGCCCCAGGTGCCTAGAGACTGGCAGAAGGGAGACACTTATGAGTCACTCCTCCACTTCTTCCAGAGACCATACTGTTTTGTTTGTTTGTTTGTTTTTTGAAAGTGTCAAAAAGTCGTGAGAACAAAGCATCCCCTCTGTGCTGTGAGTCTGGGAATCTGGAATAGAAACAGAAGTTCTCATCCCCAGGGACACCTTTCCTGGCACTGCTCCCCAGCCTCCTCCCAGCTCCAGGCTGAGAAGGGCGTCCCTCCCCGCGTCCCTGCAGCAGCCAGCACTGAGGTCGGCCTCCACCCCAGCCACAGTGTGCTGCCATGTTGTGTTTCCGGGCCTGTCCCCGATGTCAAATCCTAGAGGCTAGGCCTCTTACAATTTACTTTCTAACTATTTGTATATATAACAAGCAGGGGCAAATCTGGCACATCTGTTCTCAAATTTTGAAAAAGGAAAGGGGTTCTTCCTCCTGTCCACATAAAGCCAGTTTCTTCAGAATCAAATTCTCATGTGAGGAACCAGGTAATTAATTCTAGATTTGAGACACCTTCAGGAGACCTTCTCTCTACTCCGCTAAAGGTCTCAGGATATGTCCGTTACTAAATTAGGAACAGTTCACCAACTCTGGTTGGAGAATTGTTTCATTTCATGGTCGTAGAGAAAGGAAGGTTGACTTGATTGTTAGCTAACTTTCTTCGAGATAATCCAAAATGGAAAAAGTAAAGAATGGTTTTACTTTGCCCTTTGTATTACCTGGCAAATTTGACAGGGTCTCTCATGGGCATTGTCTACAAGAGTGAAACAAATGAGAGAGCTTTATAGTAATGTAGCATATTTAGGTCCTTTCACAAAGTCAACCCTTGTTAAACAGATCATAATTCATATAAAAAGAAAGCTCTCCTTCTTACCAGTTTAAGTTTTATAGTCCAAAATAGAGCCTTTGAACTCTCTTCAATTCTAAAATGCATCACTGTGATGCCTGCAATTGACTGTACTATTTCTATGCTGGAAATAAAATGAGAGGCATAGCTCCAGGAAAATGGCCCTAAAAATAATAATTTTTGCATGTGCCTCAATAATGTTAATAATATCTAACATTTGTTTTGTGTCTTTCCATGGTTCATAAAAGTTATTCCCCTGTTTACCTTACATAATGCTGCAAGTTACTCCCAATCTTTTATTCATTCAACAGATATTTACTACATGCTACTCTATGCCAGATTTGGGATTGAGTGTTCAGTGTAAGGTCATATAATTCTGTTAGTTAGGGAAATTTTACATTGCTGGTCCGCTTTTACAATGAGTAAGTGGTGAAACTGAGTTGTGAAAATTAAGTCTATTATCAGTAAAAAGATCATATATATCAAATCCTTGACTATCCTTAATTTGTGAAAACTACATCAAATATGACTTTTTCCTATAAGGAAAGCTTTTACAGATTCCTAGATGGTTAAATTTAATTGCTTCTACATGTTTTATATCTAATCATTATATGCCAAAAATACACATTATGTTCAATACAAAATATTTACTTCTTTGATTATGATTATTTTTAGGTAAAAAAATGAATATGCTGCCAAGCTGCAATTACTATATTTAGAATATGTACAACTTGTGACTAGCCAAATTTGCAATGATCTTTTAGAAAATAGGGGAAAGATTTCCAGTGCCTATTTTAGGTAAGAAAGCCTTCCTGAGAGACTTATTAAATATTAAATGCTTTATTAAGAAATTTAGAGACTCTTTATGCAGATATTTTAAAAGCCTGACAGATATATCCAATGTCGGACTGAATTAAGTTCAATCTTGGCTTATTCAGCTGAGAGGGTGCTTTGCTGTTGTGGAGCCATAGGACAGTTGTCAGGGTGCCTTCCACGCTGGAAAATACATAAGCTTGCTAAAATTGTGCAGGTGCATGCATGTGTGCATGTATGTGTATAATCTACTGCATTCTAGGAACTACATTATACTTGGGGGATACAAAGATAAATAATGCAGAGACCCTATACTCGAGAGACATTTAAATTGTTAAAAAAAGGCATATAAATAAATGAGTGAGCTGAGGTGTTCCACAGATACCAAATTAGAAGTGTATATAATAGACTCACACAAGAATAAATGAAATTGATTTATAATTTAAAAAATATTTAATGTCTGCTTTGCTATCAGAAAGAATATTCTTTAAGAACTAGGACTTTTTCTATTTTATTCATTACTTAGTCTTTCATGAATAGCACAACACCTGATATATAGCCCCATGTTCCCAATGAATTTTGAATGAATTTCAGGCAAGGGTGAATAAATAAGTTGAATGAATGTATTAAAAATTAATTAATAATAAGTTATTTTATGGGAATTTGGTGGGGTGGGAAAAGCGGTCAGGAAATATTTTATGAAAGTGATTAAGCAGGAAAAGAGAGAAGCCAGTTCAGAAAGAAGGAGCAGCGTAAGCAGATCTGGGAGATTGTGAAAGGTCTCAGCCCTTTTTGAGAAGTACTGTATGTGGAAAGTGAGATGCACACATTTAGATCATGACATTGGATGGCCTTTTGTGTTAAGGAGTTTGGACGTTATCCGATAGGTGGGCATGTGGGTGATTAAAGTAAAATTTACACTTTAGAAAGGTCTATTGACAATTTGAATCCATATAAGATACCTTTAGTGCTCACTCCCAGTGGAAAAATTGGTACCTATCTAAGAAAAATATGAATTTCTGGACAGCTATTCAACCTTCTCCTGGGGTAGTCTAGCACTAAACTAGTTTATCACTTTGTTTCTATAGCACAGAAGGGTGGGTATTGTATTTTATAGTCATTTCTATGCATTGTTTTTACACTAAACATCTTCATAGGCGACGTCGTTGCCAAGTTATTTATTTATTTTTATGATTGCTTAGATTGATTTATCCATAGATGTTTACAGCACAAATGGTCTTTAACATCTCCTTGAAAAACTCAGTTTCTAGGACCTGGATTAAATTTATATTGTATTGATTAGTATGTGATTCAACTTACATGACAGCACTCTTCAAATTGTCACAATTTCAGTACCTTGACTCTTGAATTAGAAAAAATACCATCTCAGGTCATTACACCTGTAAATCTTTTACCTACTGAAAGCAAGGTTTTCATTCTAGCTGATGCCTCCAGCCTTGTTAACTCATACCTGCATTGTAACATAGAGCTTTCACTTTGAAACCAGAATTGTATTTATTTCTACTAACTGAGTTCACTGCATCCTGGGAATTCTTTCAGCCTCTAGCACAGGAAATATATGCTTAGGAACAGCATGAAGGAAATTGAGATGTGTTTTCTTGACCTGAGTTGGAGTTCAGTCTAAGGGTGCGTATGTATTTGCTTCCTTGTTGGAGAATCCTAAGTGAATGCTCTACTAGAAAGGATCCTGATGTTTTACATTAAAAGATTCCTCCCTATCTACCCCCACCCCCACCCCCACGGGGCCCCGATTTGTTTTTTCCTAGGGTGGTTAACATGAGTTTCACTTGAAATCAGAGTTACACCTGGGATTATGACTTGGAATTCTTTCTTGTTATTACTTTTTTTTCTTTTTCAAGTAGGTTGGCTAATTATATTTACTTGTGGAAATGTGGGGACTCTATGCTTTTTTTGTTAAAAAAAAAAAAAAAAAGGTTGTGCCCCTGCTCTCCAACTACATTTCATTATAGAAGTAATATTAAGAAGTTATTTTGTCTGTCTACATTTATTTAATAATTTGATCACAGGATATTGACATGTGTATTACCCTCAGCCACTCTGCAGGACCAGTGAGGTAGACACTAGGCAATGGTGAATAGGGCCCAGCTCCTGACCTCAATCAGACGAGATCGGGCGCGTTCAGGGTGGTATGGCTGTAGACATCCTGACCTCAATCAAATCAAATTCTCATAGTAGTGGAGAGGAACATGGGAATGCATTATGGAAAGTTAATGACATTTAGCTCATCCCCTATTGATGAACATCTATAAATTATGATACATCATAATTATGCCACAATACTAAGCAGCATTTCATTTATGTGTGCTAATATGGAAAATTCTTCATATATAATTAAGGTAAACAAACAAAACCAACATACTAAGCAAAACTACCATCTTTGAAATTAAGAAAAAGAACTAAATAAACAAATTGGTAGATGTATATAGTTATGCATTTTTGAAAGAAATCATAAAAAGTGGTGGATTTAAAAGAGGTATTTTTATTTTTAACCTTTCTATAGTTTGAATTTACTAATTTTTTACATGTCCTTTTTCCATTTTTTAATTCATTTTTAATATCAAAGGGGTATCTGCACTGTAAGATTATAGTGATATTTTTCTTCCTTGTACCTCTTTCTAATAAAAAATTTCATCTTATATGTAGTACATAGTAATCTATAAATATAAAATACAGTATGCAAAGAGCTGTCTCAGAGGAAAGTGCAATACTCTGGAGCCAAGGAGGAGGGAGGAATGAGGCAGGATCAGAAACAGTTCATCCTGGTCAATAAATAAGATTCTTCTAATTTCAAAGGTGCTTCATCTTAGTAACTTTTTCCTTGGTGCTTTGCCTTTTAGCCACACAAGTTTCGCTAGTCTGTTGCTACATCAACCAACTGATATTTCTTGGAAGTGCTGGTACTTTCCAATTTCTTGGTGTCAAAACATTGCCTTCATTCAGCACCAATAATGTTCCAGCCTTTTCCCCAAAAAGTGAACTAAATTTAACTGTCAGTGAAAACTTTATGTCCCGTCTACTTGAAACATTAACTTTTTCCACTTGAAACAATAGCGTTACATTATTCCCCTTATGGGGCATGGTTGTTCCTTTTAGAACCATCTTTTTATATAGGGAAGGAATTATCAGAGAATTGTTACAATTTTTTTAAATGATGGTGTTTTAATCTTTAAAACAGAGAGGAGATCTTGAGATCACTATTTAGGCCGTAATACAATTTGTCAAAAGGTGATTTCCTCTATGTTGTTTCTAGTCAAATAGCTGTTCTCTGCTTTTATCGTCACTGTGGGGCATTTTCTTTCTTGTAAGGCTATTTCACATAGCACAGAATTATATATAAAACCAAATATAAGCAGTAATCCATTACTGAGGGATAAAATTAGGCATGTGCATGAAAATTACATTTTTTCAACGTATGCTATTTTTTATTTATTTCCTCTTTTTAGTGTATATTCCCTCACCAGTTTTTGGCCTAAAGGATAGGCGTAAACATGAGCCTGACACTTATAAATATAATCCAGGTGATTTGTTTATTATTTTAAAACAAGCCATTATTAGAGGGGCAGCATACATTCTTTTAGGAGAACTAACTGGTTTCCTAGCTTTCGGTTTTAATTCTAACCTGGCCCAGAGAACCACTGTAATTATATTTTTGTGAGTACTCAATCTTTTTGCCCCATTCCAAAATGATAAAGTCAGTCATAAGAACTGCTCAAACTTCATTCCCTATTCCTGCTGATGGTAAAGAGGGTAGAAAGTAAGCAGTTGGAGAAAGCGTTCACTTAGATATCAAAAGAACTGATTGTAACTTTGCCACCAACTACCACAAATTAGCAAGCAATTCGTTAAACTTTTATTTTTATTTTCCTTACTGACAAAATCAAGAGTTTGAATTAAGAAAATTGTATAGTTATATGGCAGACAGGATCTATACGCCATTCAGCATGGGATTTTATTACAACTAAGAATTACATACCTAGCTACGCCTTGCTTGTTATTGTACACAAAACATAATTAAATACTAAACAGGATGCTAAGAGTCAAAAGAAAATGTAACCAAATAGCTTCCTTTGCCATATGCAGGTTTTCTAACTCCAAAATATAATAATTCTGTGTTGTAACCTTCAAGTAATTTTTGCCATGTAAATTGTGGTTGAAATTGAAAGCTTGCCAGCTCTATATCTAGAAATACATACATACATACACACATATGCATGGGGGCACACACACACACACATACACACATACACACTCTGGTAGGCATCAGAAGTCTATCATGCATAGGGCACATGTGGAAAAGAAAGTGGACGTTTCCTAACAAAACCTTTTGCAAACATTTCAGAGGACTTATTCTGCAAGACCTTCCTGGATATGACAAACAAAATAGTGTTTTGGGATAAGTGAAAATGATTAAAGGCATGGGTTCCAGCATACAGTTAGCTTCAGACACTTATTTCTAGCATTTTTCCATAAATATTTTTTGTTCCAAATCAGTATAAACTACTTCTGTCTGCATTTGGAAGGACTGTGGAGTGTTGGAGCAAGTACAAAAGCAGTTCTAAGTTTTTGTTGCAAGGCTACCAGTTCTCAACATCAGGTCTAGATGGCCCCAGACGTTCTTAAAGCATTTTGACTAAATCTTAGCATTGCATCCACTTTCCTAATTTATATTTTCATTTAACAAACATTTGATTAAAACTTGTTTTTATCCAGAGTAAGTGACCGTTGACTTGTTTTCCATGTGCTAGTTCATAATTTGGCAGTTGGCATGGGGTGGGAGGTGGGGCATATATGCAAACCATTGTTTTAAAACTCTGTGGAATTGGATGTGATTTCTAAGCTAAAGGACATTCTATGACTGTAGTGCTGGAGGTTGACATCCATTCCATGCTCTACGAATGCCTATCTATGTCTCTATTATAGCAGCCATTGTAATCTTGAGTTTTCCTTTTACTTGGCTTTCTCCCCTTCTAGACTGTGACCACTTTGCCAGGAGCAAAGTTTAGAGTAGTGCCAGTATTAGTTGGTATTGAATACATGTGGGTCAAAAAATAAATAAAAGATGGACTGTGTTAAAATGCTCCTGAGTTTCATTATCATCCTTCTATTAGTATCATGTTTTCATCCATTAGTATGAACAGCTTTTTAATGTACAAGTCACCCAGAATATCACACGAATAGTTTAGGAAGGAGGTTTCATTTGTTTCTTTTCTTTTCTTTTTTTGAGGCAGAGCCTCGCTCTGTTGCCCAGGCTGGAATGCAGTGAGCTCTCTTGCAGTGAGCTCCGCCTCCCCGGTTCACGCCATTCTCCTGCCTCAGCCTCCCGAGTAGCTGCAACTACAGGCGCCCGCCACCACGCCCGGCTAATTTTTTGTATTTTTAGTAGAGACGGGGTTTCACCGTGTTAGCCAGGATGTTCTCGATCTTCTGACCTCGTGATCATTTGTTTCATTTTTTCAATTGAGAAATAATTTACAACCTCAAAATTTTTCTTTAAAGGTAGCTCCTGGATCAAAAATTTATAACATTTTAACTTTTAGTTTTTGAGATTCTTTTTTAAAGTCCTTTATTTTGTCTACTCTTATACTAAGATTTTATAAACTCACCTTGAATAAACTGCTTCTGTTGTCGTTAGCTTTTCTTCTCCATCCAGCTCCTCCCACTCTTATTTTTTCCTGAAGATTTGGAACCTATCTGAAATGAGGAATTTTTAAATTTAAGAGTTAAAGTACCAGACCAGTAATGTTATAGCAATAAAGAAATATTTAAAACCATCACCACAGTCCAATACAAACACTAGAATAACTTAAATAAATTGAATGTTAAAATTAAAAGTGGTCAGCTTCTGTAAGGAAAGCAGGAATTCTGCTGTCGATATCTTAGATGTCAATATCTTCTCATCAATAGCATATTAAAGAACATTTTAGTGACTTATCAAACTGCACGTATTTTAAATTGTAAACAGAAAATCAAAATACATTCTCATACCTTAATTTTGATAAGCAAAATCTTTGTCATTGTTTTGTTTGCTTGCTTAAAACACCAAATCCTATAAGCCATCTGATCATTATATCAGTTTATGCATTGTATGTTGCATGTTTAATACAAAGTTTGGAAGACTAGAAATACTCCACTAAGCAAGCAAACAGTAATTACTCCTTTATAATTACTGTGCAACTTTATTGCCATGTGTTGTTATAATTATATTTTAAATACTCCCCATTTGCATCATAGACCATAATGTCTTCTAGCACATTAAAGTCTGTGGCTTATAATGGCATCCCACTTCCACAAAGACCTCTTCTTCATTTAGTCTCTATTTTAACTACTGTTAAAAGAGACTACATGAAAGTAATTGGCACCATAATCCTACAGTAAGGAAATTGTAAGCAATATACTATTTCTGTGCTACTGAAGTCTCTAATTATTCAGAGTATTTCATGTTTAACATTTAATATGCATTCCTCTTTCAGTTATGGAGCCAGTCATAACCAAAACAGTTCTTCTCAAATCTTAACATACACAGAAATCACCTGGGGATCTGGTTAAAATATAGATTTTGATATAGTTGGTCTGGAAACGGGCCCAAGAGTCTACATTTCTAACAAGCTCCCAGGTGATGAGTCCAGTGCTGCTGGGTTCATTGACCTTACTGTGAGTAACATCACTTTCATGTATTATCTATAACTAAGTGCAAAATGCTGTTAAGTGTGCACACACACATACACATTGCACACATACATACACACGGCAAACTTCACTCCAACCTCTCCTATGATCAGTTTCTACCCTCAGACCTAGAAATAAATTAATCCTGTCAAAGGATTTATTTAACACAAAGAGAAACAGCATTCAACCTGTGAAAGCTGGCCAAATACACACTAGATAATATCACTCTGAGCTGGGAGTCAAAGAGGGCTTCCTTGTCATTTGCCAGATGGAGGGGTGTGTGTGTGCATGTGTGGTGGGGGCAGTTCGGAAAAGAAATTCCAGGCAGGGAGGAACTGCCCTTAGAAGTGACGAGAGTGAAATTAGCTAAGTGTGGCGGCGTGTGCCTATAGTCCCAGATACTCAGGAGGATGAGGCAGGAGAATCACTTGAACCCAGGAGGCGCAGGCTGAAGTGAGCTGAGATCCAAGATCAAGCCACTGCACTCCAGCCTGGGAGACAGAGCAAGTCTCTGTCTCAAAAAAGAAAAAAGAAAAAAAAAAAAAAGGAAGTGACAGAGTGTAAACTATTCAGGGATGGAAGGATACTAATAAAGATATGATGAAGGGGAAAAATTCTTATTTTCTAATCAAAGAATTTGGATTTTATCTTAAAGGTATTTAGGAATTACCTAAGAACAAGACGATTATGTGAATTTTAGTTCACCTATTCTACTAATGTTTTCTCTGCCACTCTCAATGAAATATTTCTCTTTAGGAAATTAATCTGAATTTGACTCCTGAAATTTAAGGATAATATGGAAATATATTCATTGTTTTTGAAATAGCACATTTGAAAATGTACTTGGACACAGGAAGGGGAACATCAAACACCGGAGCCTGTTGTGGGGTGGGGGGAGAGGGGGAGGGATAGCATTAGGAGATACACCTAATGTAAATGACGAGTTAATGGGTGCAGCACACCAACATGGCACATGTATACATATGTATACATATGTAACAAACCTGCACATTGTGCACATGTACCCTAGAACTTAAAGTATAATAATAAAAAGAAAATGTATTTCTGGAATTTTTTTAAATGTATCTAGTAAAACATTGTGGCTGTATCTGTCTTCCATTATAATCATCTTAAAATTAACAGTATATAATCATCTTAAAATTAATAGAATCAGATGTTTTAACTTAGCAATGTCAGTAAATATAAATAGGTCATTATCAATATTCATAGCCTAACTGCTTATACAGATCCCCCAAATATCAGGGTGGCTAAATTTTTAGACCTTTAAAAAAATTGTAAAATTTATGAAGACAGTGCACAAAGAGATCTTAGTTGAAAGCTAAGAAAATCTCACCCTATGACTTTTAAATTTTCTCTTAGTGTTAAAAACAACTATTTGAAAGTTCTCTTTACAATAAGGGAAAATGTTAAGGTAGGCTTAAAATCCAGAATCTCATACTCTTTATATATTTGATCCTTGGCAATCTAGAACATTGTTATTTGGTAATATTTGTTTAAGGGATACCTCTGCTAAATGTTTTTATGCCAGTCGGTAGAAGAAATATTAGTGTAAATAACTCATTTAGAGAATTTTATTTTATTTATTTAATACAAATGTTTAAATAAGGGAATTGGGAAAGACCTGCCTTTTTGGAATGTAATTATAGATACGTAATTGTTTTAGGGAGAGGTAACAAAAGGTAGAGATGGTCTCTTTTAATGAGGAAAGATTTTCTGGAACTTAGCTTTAGCAACAGTAATTATTTAACATTTTAATATGGGATCTGGAAAAGGGAAACCCCAGTGAAATCTATTACTATGTAGATGGCTCAATAGTTTTTCTAGTAGTAAAATACAACCCTGATGGATTTAAACTGCCAGCAGAACTTTTGCAATTGAGTGGCAAGGTAATAGTAATAGTACTAATGATCAGAAACAACAGCAAAGGAACAGAGAGCATTCATCATAGGCAATTGGAGGTTAACGCAGATAATAATAACATAACATGCATC
This sequence comes from Homo sapiens, assembly GCF_000001405.40. Lineage (NCBI taxonomy): Eukaryota > Metazoa > Chordata > Mammalia > Primates > Hominidae > Homo > Homo sapiens. Next base: position 29,864,345 of record NC_000003.12, read on the forward strand.
ATACCTAGGAGATAATGAAAGCCAAATTCTGGCAATGACTCAGGAAAGGGACCTAGTGCTGTAGTGGCCAGATGACCCAATGACAAGCTATAGCAAACAAGAACCATTTTAGAAACACAGATCTTTTCCATCAACACATCTTTTTGTTGTTGTTGTTGTTGAAGATAGTTGCAAGTTCTGTATGTTGACGAAGCCTCTATGGAGTTAAAATGGAACAGAACTGATGAAAATAAAGCTTAAACGTTCCAAACTCTCTGACACTGACACATGACCGGGTTTCACAGTTGGGAACTGGGAAGTGGCTGACAGAGATTCTAATCAGTAATAATCTTTGCAGCAAACAGATTCAGTATTTATTTAGATATAATACATTCTTTAAAAAAAACTTTCACAATAGCTCTATGAAGTATTTAACATTATTTCCCCATTTTATACATAAGAAAAATGAGTCACAGAAATGTAAAAGAAAGGAAGGAAGGAAGGGAAGGGAAGGGAAGGGAAGGGAAAGGGAAGGGGAAGGGGAAGAGAAGGAGGGAGGGAGGAAGGAGGGAAGGAAGGAGGAAGAGAGAGAGAGGAAGGAAGGAAGAGAGAGAGAGGAAGGAGGGAAGGAAGGAAGAAAGGAAGGAAGGGAGGGAGGGAGGAAGGAAGGAAGGGAAGGGAAAGGAAGGGGAAGGGGAAGGAGAAGGAGGGAGGGAGGAAGGAGGGAAGGAAGGAAGGAAGAGAGAGACGAAGGAAGGAAGAAAGGAAGGGAGGGAGGGAGGGAGGAAGGAAGGAAGGAAGGAAGGAAGGAAATTTGCCTAGTATTTTGTAGCTAGCAAGTAAGGGAGCCAGACTTCAAACCCAGGAAGCTGGCACCCTTAACAATTAAGTGCCCCCAAAGTATGTGTTAAAGCCTATGGAAATATGAGCCTATAGAAACTACCTAAAGAGAAGTCATACTCTAGACTATTAGAACCAGGGACTATCCTATAAACCTTATAAGAACCATTGTTAGGGGACCATAAACAACCCTGCTTCAAAGAGTAGAAATATGTTTCATAAAAGCCATTACCCAAAGACGTATAAAAGGTAAAACTTAAATAAAAATAGATTACCATTTACAACTTGGAAAAGAAACCCAGAATTTTCTGTAGCCACTGGTCAATGTGTTCTTACAGCCGTAAGGCAGAATAAAAATCTGGAAATTATCAGAGAAGGTTTTAAGAACAAAATAAGCAAGTTGGTCTCTTTTTAAATATAAATCTGACATTAACAGAAGCCTTATGATATTAAGGGAAAACTGGTATGGGAACTAAGGAAGGGAGTGAAAACATGCTCCTCACCTATGAATTAGACATCCAAGAGGACAATCAAGTTCGATCTCATGCCATATTGGGTCACTGATGGCCCATCATGCATGGACTGTAGGACTCACAAATAAATCTGGACACAAAAGTTCTTATGTATGGGCCAATTCTGCTTATATGGACACAGTGCAAACAGGTACGACAAGATATTTTCTTCCTCAAGGATGATACCTAGCAGATAAAGACTGATTTCTAATTCAGTATTGTTACAACTGCAGGTGTGTGACCCGTAGCGAGCCACTAAACCATTCTGAATCTCACTTCCTTCACTGGTAAAATAGGGAAAAATATTAGTTGCCTCATAGAGTTGTAGTAAAGATTAAATGAATGATCTATGTAAAATGGAAGTGCTTGATAAACTTTAGTCTATTATTAACACCAAATACTAAAAAAAAAAAAAAAAAAAAAATTCCTCTTCTTGGATAACATTCCTTGGTTAAAAAAAGACTATATTTGAGTAGAAAGAAGCTTCTGACTGTTAAGGGTGATGGATATGTTCATTATCTTGACAATGGTGATGGTCACATAGGCATATGCATATATCAACACTGACAAATTGTATATTGGGAATATGTACAGTTTATTTTATGTCAGTTGACTCAATAAAGCTGTTAAAAACAAACAACAAAAACTTACCTGTGGGTGTAATGTGTGTGTCTGTGAATGTAGTTGCTAGGAAAATTTCTTACCTAACAGAGGCACACAAAGCTGCCATCCCTCCTCACAAGAAATTGGAACCAGTTTCTTTACAGCAAGAAATGTAAGGTGCTTCTAGATTTACCTTTTGTGAGAAATTTGTACCACTGACAGTGATGAACTCATATGTCAGCATGACCATCCCATTTTAATACCTGTATGTACCTGAATCTTTAAAATGGCAAGAGAGAAAATATAGAGCAGGATGAGTTTACATGTGATATAAATACATAGTTTTGGAATCTCACAGGAAATTATGTTACTCAGAGAATATTGGGATGCAATGATTGCATTTAGCATTTAGGTTTTTCATCTGGAATCAGAATTTACAGTACTTATAACATAAAGAATTAGGAATCAGAATTTACAGTACTTCTAACATAAAGGCAGTGACTATCTACAGATATTCCATGATGCAGTCTCTCTTGTGTGATTTTCCTGGCTTCACCCAAGTCACTGAAGTCAGAGGCTCATCAGAGCAGTCAGTGTGAAAAACCACTTGTGTTCAGTGAGGCAATGATATTTATTGAATGCTCTCTCTATACAGAACTGTGTGCTCTGTATAGGGCAGAAATGACATTTTGTTTCTTATTTCTCTTGGTCAATGGTGACCCCTGTCTCTTTGAGTCATTCCCTCCAGTACTGATAAACAGAGTTGCTGCTAATAGTGAGCTAAAAGGATTTGACAAAATATGACTCCCCCTTAGAGCCAAATGATTTTCAAATATTTATTTTTAGGTACCTGTTTGATTGTACTCTTTTTCCACTGTTGATTTTGGAAACAATTTTGAAATTCTCATTAATTCCTTAAAAATGTTTAACTTTACCCAGATAAGTAAATGCAAGGAATCTAGCTGGGGTGGGAATGGGGGAGAATGGGTGTTGGGGAAGTTGTCAGTTATCTATTAAGACAATAATGCCACATATCAATTGTAACATCTTAGTGGCATGAAACAATAAAGATTTCTTTAGCTTACACATTGGTGTGGTGGGCTCAGTTTATATCACCTAGGCTTATATATTTTTTTCTGTTGTGAACTGCAAGTTAACTCTGTACCACTACCGATCTTGGATGTGCGGGTTCACATGTCTGGGTGGTGGCTGGCATTGGATGATCTAGTATGGCCTTGGCTGGAATGTTAGCATGTTAAGGATGACGTACCTTTATTCGCATCTCATCCTCCAGCAGGCTAACCTGGGCATGTTCACATATCCATGCAGAGGAGCAAAAGAAGCAACTCTCAATACTTAAACCCATTTCAAGCTCCTGGTCATGTCTCATTTGCTAACATCCCATTGGCCAAAGCAATCACATGGGGTCAGACCTAGAGTCAGAATGAGAGGGCTCCACAATATTATATAGCAAGAGGCAAGGACACAGGAATTGGTCAAGAATTAGGGCCTTTAGTATCATTAATCTTTAGTAAAACATACTTTTCCTAATGAGTAACAGTTGTGCAGGGTGGTCATTTTGGTTTTCAGACTGTAAACTGACAAATTAATATTTGGTTAATTCAAGCAGATAAACTAAGAAATTAACCTTCCCAGCCATATTAATGTATTAAAAAAGTTTGTCAGGCCACTTTGGCTTTCATTTTATTCATTCATTTAAAAATATATTTATTGTGATAACAAGCAGCAATTTTCCAGTCAAGCAGGGATGTGAAGGAGAACATCAGTTCTCAAAGAATAATTTTGCCCTGTTGGGTTTTAAAAGATTGTCATTTTCCAATGTAATTGTTGGAAGAGAAGTTCAGACATCAGTTTTGGTCACTTTCTCTTGGGAAATACATTTACCTGAGTCATGTAGGACCACATCAAGCAATCTGGGACTCACAAGTTATAGCCATATCCTTTGGCTATATTTTTATCATGTGGGTTCACTTAACATTATAATAATTGTTCTCCCTGGGATTCTGACTAGATTTTACTGGAAAATTGGAGTGAAGAGTGTTGGGTGGAGCATCAGCTTCTAGCCATTTAGAAATTACAGGGGACTAATTTTTTAAAAGCTAATTTGATTGCAGTTAGCAAAATGTCTCTCTTTTGAGAAAGAAGCTCCTAATCATCTTTCCAAAATTGAATCCTTCAGTTTCTACAGTGCAAACACGGTTGCTTTGAGGAAGAAATATTTATCCACATATAAATACCGATTATGAACACGTTTCTGACATTACTGGAAGGGTCGGTGCTTGCCTCTTTACTTCTAAAACAAATTCACATTCTGCTTCAACTGATTATTTTTTCAACAATATTTGTTATATTCTTTTATGATCTGCCAGTACTTTTTTGAAGCCCAGTTAGTTAGAACAGCGGCCAACAGAGCTGAGACTAAAAGGGGGCCAAATATCTCTTCAGAAGCAAGATGTTACTTCAAAAGATACTCATTACAAAGCACTACTGTGACTCACATAATCACTTAGTTTTTAAGGGGGAGTTGTTAATGTAGAATTGGTTTCTTATCTTCCCAGCCCCCAGTGAGCCTTTGCTGTGCAAATTCGCTGATGGAGGACAAAAGAAGCGACAGAATCAAAGCAAATATACCCAGAATGGGAGGCCTTGGCCCAGGGAAGGAGAGGTGAGTCCTGACTGATAACATTTGCTCTGAAATTTGGCAGTAGATATCCCTCAGAAGGTGGCAAGGCAGACGTATGGTGCCATGATGAAATTGGGTCCCATGGAACACCCAATGTCTTCAAAGGGGCAAATGAGCAGACCCATGTTAATGTGTTCTAGATGAAATTATTGAGGAGTAGAGGATTTCAAATTTAACCTCAGTTCTGCACTACAGCAAGTCTTCTGTCTTTAACCAAACTCAAACCTGAAAGGAACTCACTGAAATACTTATCTACAAAGAATTGATTTCTATTTGTGTAATAGCTATAAAATGAGGGTATAATTACTTAACAAAATATTTTCAGTGAAATCAATAGGGAAAGTTGAATGTTTGTGTTTTGAAACAGGCAGACAAAATTTGGCTGTTTTTCATTCTGTTATTGAGATGATTTACTTGCACATGTATGTATATTTATGCATATTCCCATATGTTCATAAATGTTTTGATATCTGTTTATATATGTATATACACACACACACACACATATATAAAATAAGATATTGTCTTGGTCAAAAAAGAGGGAGAAAAGTTGATACATACAGCATTTTGCTTTTCACAAGGAGAAGGAAAAGCACTGAACAGCTCACTATCCATTTACCCTCAATACAAACTGGTAAAAAAGCCAGTTTATGGATCCAGTGCCACTTAGGAATGGGTTCTTTTTGTTACTTTTTTGTAAGAAGACAAGGAAAAGGTGACTGAGCTTCCATGAGGTCTTTTCATTATTTGTGAAATGGAATAGAGTTGTTTGAATGACTTGAAAAAATGCTATTTTGTACCAAGGCCATACTTTCAAGAGAAGAGCTTTATTTAGTATTTCATTCAAAGCACCTACTTCATCCATTTATCATTTAAGAAGCATTGTACTTGATGTAGCATTTTACACTTTCAATACTGACAGAACAGTGGTAAAGAAGAAAGGAAGCTGGAATTTTTCTCAGCAAATCCTTTAGCCTTTTTTCAGTTTCTGTTTCTAAGACCATTGTTTGCTTTGAGTGTTTCCATGCAGGTCTCAAAACCCCTCTTAAAGGTTATAGTTATGTTCAAGTACTATATAAACTGTAACTCATTACATTAAGACATGAAAAACAGAATCATCACTGAGCATCAAAAGCTAATAAAAAAGATAAAGAGTTTTAATATTCTCAACTTTAGAAAGGCAGTGGGTATTACGTTCTAAAAAGGAGGTGGAGGGGGTGATCCATGTGTTTTTAGCATGGAGTCCAGTGCATCAGCAGATAACCCTATTGGCCTCAGAAGACAACTGATGCCTGATAGCACTCATTATCACATGTCCCCTACCAAACACCCATTATCTAAAAAGACTCATTTGACATTTTAAAATTTGGTTGGATAAAATGCCTGCTGATTAGAGATATCTTTGGGTCACAGACTATCATCACAAAGCCCCAAGACTCAATTAGCAACTTGGCATTAATGACAGAAGATTCAGTTTCTGTCTCCTTAAGGAACTATAATATTACCTTCATACAATAGATGGCAATTGCAGCAAGACACTTCCTCTCACTGTACATTTCTTGAAAATGGAATCAATAAAGACAAAATGTAGAGAGTTACAGCTGCCACCTGGCTACTGTATATAGAATCTAAGACTTTGCTTCAAAGCATGAAAAATGCTATATGTACTATGATGTGGAAGCACTGTGGAGTTGAGTTTAGGACCCAGAGCACCTTATAATTTAAACGTAGGTTTTAAAGGTATATTCCTAATCTTTGTTTTCAAAAGTTGATTTTTAAGAGCTATAAATTTTCCTGTTGATCTATGAAAATCAAGGGACCATGATAAAATTTATCTGTGACCAATAAAATATATTTCAAATATATATACACATTGAGAGAAGATAGATTAGGCAGAGAGATAGCATGCCCTAGAAATATGCTTATCAAATTTTTTGGTTTGGGGATGCACATATTAATTTGTACACTTTGATTGTGGTCTTAGAAGTAAATACCCAAAGAATGTTGGATAACTGTGTGCCCATCACTTTATATTTTTTGCTTCCATTTCCCCCTTGCATTTTACTTGCTAAAGTATATTAGCAAGTTGATAAAGTTGTCATGATACACATTAATCCTATATAAGCAATATTTAATTAATTTTATATGCCAGGAAATTCTGGTTACTGTATTTGATTCTAAGACACATGTTTTTGTTGTTGCTGTTTTCCACACTTTAAAGCTTCTGAAATTGGTTCTCTTAGACTAAGTGGTATTTTACAAGATAATATGCATTTTCTCCTGTTAATCACTTGAGGGCACTACCTACATTGTCGGGTTAAGGTCTTTGACCACACTGGTTTCATAAATAAAAGCACTAACCAAAGCCAGGATCTGGGTCAGATTCTTAAGGGAGGGTTTTTTGTTTGTTTGTTTGTTTGTTTGACCCCTTCCTTCATTCAGTGTCATGACTGAGACAAGTAACTTTCTTTGGTGTCTGTTTTTAATGTGTAGTTTTGTTTTTCATTTACCATTATACTAAGGTTGGCAAACCAACTTTATAAAGAGATCATTTGGGGTGTTTGTTTTTGCTTGTTTGTTTGTTTTGATATATGAAACAATGGTACACCTTTGAATCCTTTTCTTAGATAAAATGAAAGATGGTAGTTTAGATTATGCTGCTGTGGAATTGAAGATAATAGCACAGACTGAGGCTAATGTTTACTTTTCCTCTCTCCTAAAAGATGAGTAAAAATGGTCATGTGAAAGGGATTTCTGACGAAATTCTTAGGATACAAAACCAATAGATTACAAGTATTTTAGAAGTACCATGCGCATGCCAATTGATAGACTAATTAAAATTTTAATTTACTGTTTAAAGCTGTTTTTTCCTCATGGCATTTTGATAAAAATTTTATTAGCAAAGTTTGGCTAAATGCACTTCTTTATGAAAAAATCTAATACAGAAAACTTCATACACAGAAATTAGTATAAATTAGCAAGATTTTGAAATATAAATATATGCTAGTGGCCATGTTCTACATAAGTGAAAAATGCAGGAATATTTTAAAATTATTAACTAATCTTTCAAGAGACAATTGGAACTCTGAATAAAATGATCGAGGGATGGGGGCTATTAGGCTCTTCTTCCTTGGTGTTCTACAGTTCTTATTGTTTTATTTCCTTAAGTAGCTGTTCTCAAACTCTTGGTCTCTGGATCCCTTTATACTCTTAAAAATTATTACTTACAACAAAATAAATAATAACAGAAATTAACTCATCATGTGCTAATAAAAACAGTATATTTTATTAAAATATATTTTTTAAAACAAAGGCAATTTTTTGAGAAAAGTGGTGGACTTTTCTATTTTTACAAATCGCTTTAATGTCTGGCTCAGTAAAAAATGGCCAGATTTGTGCATGTACTTCAGCATTCTCTCTTTTTCTATACTCTGTCTTGCTTTAAACATGTAGAGAAAAATCTACCTTCATCTAGATAAGTCATTTAAAAAGGGAGAACCCTATAGATCTTCTAATACGATCTTAGGAATTCTTGGTCTTCAGGCCACACTTTGAGAACCACTGTCCTAAAGAAGCTGAAGCCAAGGGCAAGGCTGATGTTCACTTCCATATACTAGAAGGACCATGCAACTTGTTGGTATATTAAAATATATCTTATCATTTGGTAAATAGACACTGCCCCTAGGCCATCAGTGCAACTCCACTTCCCCTTCCTCCCCGGTGCCTCCTCCAGGAGCATCATGATCCAGCAAGAATGGGGTACTGGCTGGCACAGCAGGATTTTTATACATGATGTAAGGGAGGGGTCCAGCTTCAATTTTCTGCATATGGTGAGCCAGTTATCCCAACACCATTTATTGAATAGGGGGTCTTTTCCCCATTGCTTTTGTCAGTTTTGTTGAAGATCAAATAGTCATAGGTATGCAACCTTGTTTCTGGGCTCTCTATTCTGTTCCGTTGGTCTATGTGCCTATGTGTTTTTGTAGCAGCACCATGCTCTTTTGGTTACTATAGCCCCGTGGTATAGTTTGAAGTCAGGTAACATGATGCCTCCAACTTTGTTCTTTCTGCTTAGGATTGCCTTGGCTATTCAGGCTCTTTTTTTGTTCCATATGAATTTTAAAATAGTTTTTTTCTAGTTCTGTGAATAATGTCATTAGTAGTTTGATAGGAATAGCATTGAAATTGCTTTGGGCAGTATGACCATTTTAATGATATTGAGTCTTCCTATCCATGAATATGGGATATTTTTCTATCTGTTTGTGTCTTCTGTGATTTCTTTGCATAGTGTTTTGTAATTCTCATCATAGAGACCTTTCACCTCCCTAGTTAGCTGTATTTCTAGGTATTTTATTCTTTTTGTGGCAATCGTGAATGGGATTGCCTTCCTGATTTGGCTCTCGACTTGGCTGCAGTTGGTCTATAGGAATGCTAGTGATTTTTGTACGTTGATTTTGTATCCTGAAACTCTGCTGAGGTTGTTTATCAGCTGAAGGAGCTTTTGGGCTGAGACTATGGGATTTTTTTAGATGTAGAATCATGTTGTCTGCAAACAGGGATAGTTTGACTTATCTTCCTATTTGGATGCCCTTTATTTCTTTCTCTTGCCTGATTGCTCTGGCTAGGACTTCCAATACTGTGTTGAATAGAAGTGTTGAGAGAGGGCATCCTTGTCTGGTACTGGTTTTTGAGACGAATGCTTCTGGCTTTTGCCCATTCAGTATGATGTTGACTATGGGTTTTTCATAAATGGCTCTTATTATTTTGAGCTATGTTCCTTCAAAACCTTGTTTATTGAGAGTTTTTAAGATGAAGCAATGTTGAAATTTATTGAAATTCTTTTCTGTATCATTTGAGATAATCAAGTGTTTTTTGTCTTTAGTTCTGTTTATGTGATTAATTGCATTTATTAATTGTCATGTGTTGAACCAACCCTGCATGCCAGTGATGAAGCCTACTTGATCATGGCCTTTTTTACAGCATTTGGCTGTCACTAGCTGTTATTAATGCTAATGTAAAGTATGTGCTTTTGGGCATTCTTAGAAGTGAGGGACAGAAGACACACTCCGTAAAATAGCCCCCTTGTCTTTAGTTGAATCTGCTCTTAATGGTGCATCCAGCTCATTAAACATTTGACCAGTCACCAGTCAGCATACTTATAAATATGAAAACTTGACAATGCAGTCTGGGAACACAACATTTCTATTAGCTTTGAAGGCATATGGGGTGCAATTGAATTTTATAATACTGAAGAGTGGAAACTTGACATTTCAGAGACATAGAATTAAACCACTGGAGATAAAAATAAGGAGAAACTGAAGCACAATTCCTAGAAAATAGTATATCTAAAGAATTATTTGGAAAACCTGGTAATACCGTCTAGGCTTAGAATATCTTAGATCATTTTCCAAGGTAAGGGCATCATCTACATAGTTTATCACTATTTTCTTTGTTTATACCACAGTGCTTGGCAATTCGTTGTCCAAATTTTTATGTTTAAGATGACCTTGAAAAAAATTAAGATATGTCTACCAACACTGCCAGGTTCTGCAAATAGTCTTTTTAACCTTAAACTGAAGGAGATTATTTACATATGTGATCTTGAAAAGAGTTTTTGGCCATTATGATGCATGTTAGCACTTGCAAGTTGGTTTTCGTAATTAGCACACCAGATATGGTTGTATTTATTTTATGTGCTTTATCTGCAATTTAGAGAGCAAGCTCAAGGTTAATGGAACTTCTAGTCTTAAAATAAACCTTTTTTTTGGCACAAGAATTTGAATTCTCAATAATTCAGCATGAAAACTTTCTTATTTAGTTAAGTGTTCTATTTTAAAGGTACTAAGCCCAATATTTACTAACCTATGATCACTAAGGATAAAAGGTAAGTCATGTAAATCCCTGTACTAGTGTAAGTTTGGATTAATGTAATTGGTGATGAGCTTCAGTCCTCTGCCTAGCCTATGTTCTCAAGGAATAGGGCAGTATAACATACTTAGGTTCTTAGGGCGGGGTTGGCAGTGGGAAATTTAGGAAGGGCTTAAGGCTGGGAAGATTACAGCAAGTAATTACAAGTGGAAAAGTTGGCAGGAAATATCCATGTACCATGATTGGGTCTCCTGACCCATTCTCCATGGATCAAGACAACTATATGTGGCACCTACCAACTGGGAGATTTCTGGAGTTGTTGGTAGTGTCCTGGCCATCCCAGCCTGCCACAAGATTCAGAATTACCCCCACTAATGTTTAAGCAACAGTTTACAACCTCCAGGTAACATCAAACTATAACTGGAACCTGAAAGAATATGGGTCAATTAGCCAAATTCCTGGAACTCTCCTCTATCTAGCTGCCCAGGCTCATCTTAGTAGCAATCTCAAAGTTGTATATTTTTCATCCTACTTAACCATGTTATGGTGGGGTTTAACAGTATAGGTACTACATCATTGACTATAAGACACCATTGATTAAAGATGAAATATTACTTTAAACACCACTAATAAAAGAAAAGGAACTTGACATACTATAAAATGCTATCAATTATCATTTAAATCCCAATTTCACAGATATTAAAATGTGAAAAAAAAAACCTGCATCTTGGAATCTATGAAATTCAGCCATTTAAATTGAGATAAAAACAGATGAACCTACATAAAATATGGTAACACTGTTTTGTCTTTTTTATGGTATCAATTAAGGATTAATTTAACTTTGGTTTTAATGACAAACTCAGATTAAAACTTTTTTTTCCAAGATTTTGAGATCTTTAGATAGCTATATTATATTATACTTTTCTTCTGCTTCTCGTTTAGCCTAGCATTTTCTGTGCCATAGTCTTTCTCAGGCTTCCAGTCTTAGTTCTGATGGCATCTTTCTATCTTGTCCTTCTTTATTGCCATATAGGGAAAAATTCTGCCTGATAGCACTACGTTAGCAAAAGCCAAAAAGAAGAAAGACTGTGACGATATAGTGCATGTAAATAACAATATTAAGACCCCTTTGATGTTCTTTTCTCAAACATAAAGAAGTTAATTTTCTCTGTTCTCTGACCATTTAGCTACATTTAAAGGATAAATCCCCTGCATGTTATTGGCTTGATTTTTGAAAAACTTCTTGAAGCTGTCAAAAGGACTTTTAATAGTTTTTCTCTTATCCTGATTCTAGGCCAGTAATTTCATGAAGAAGGGCCTCCAGGTTTTCAGCTTATTCTAATTCCTCCTAGGTTCCTGCCTGTAATTTGGTTTGAGCCCACATCATCAGGAAGGTCTCTTAGCAATCTCAGTAATAAGCTTGCTTCCCTCTATCTCTTTGACCAATCAAAGGCTAAAAAAAATTATCTTTAGAAGTTCAGCTAAGTCAAGCTGCAGCTTTTCCAAAGTAAATTTTACTAACAAAATAGGAAAAAAAAAGCTTCAAAATATTTTCAAATAAAAATTAAAAGTTCAAATTCAAACATTTCTTTAGGTGAATTATTCATGTATTAATTCATTTAGCTAACATTTATAGAGCCTCTGCAATGTCCCAAACACTGGGCTAGAAAGAGGCGATATCAAGATGAGCATGACTAGCTGGGAGACACACATGGCAAAGCATGGTCATATTAGCTTCCACCATGGGTCATGGGAGGAGGACAAAGGCAATAGTTAATGCCTTCAGTGGCACCTGGAGAAAGAGCTGGCTTTAAGAGGCTATGACATCTTATCTGAGGCTGAAAGAATAGAATAGAAATATTCCCACAGAAAGTAATGGAGAATTTCCAGCCAAAAACCACCCCTGCGAAGGCCCAGGGGTAATGCTCCAGGGCAAGGCGAGTGTATGTCTGAGTTTGGTAAAGGGTGAAGTCTAGAGGTGAAAAAAAAAAGATGTGGAGACCAACAGGTACAAAGGCACTTGATCATGAGATTTCTATGGGCCAGATTTTATCTTAAGGTAACAGGATGCTGCTGAAAGGAGGACCATAATGTGGTCAGATTTGCCTCTCACAAGAGCAATCCTCATAACACAATGGTGTGACTGATGGATTGGAAAGAGGTTTTGAGCAAATATAGGAGAAGATATTATACCAACATATACTCATAAACACCGAAACAAGAGATGATAACTTGTAAGAAGGCAGTAATCATGCATTGAACTTACTAGTTAAACTTGATGATATGTGTCTGGAATTCAGGATACAAACTTGACTTTGAGACAAACATTTGGGAATCACCAGGAAATAAATAATAGTTGGGATAAGAAAGTGAATGTCACCACTGTATTGCAGTAAAGGAGAGAGATAAAACCCTGGCCCCCTGAGCACTCTGGCATCTCATAGGCAGTTGGGTCAAGTAACACTAAAGAAGAAATTGCTTTCTGAGAGGTCAGAACAAAAATAAGGGGAGAGGATCACAGAAACCAAAGAAGAAAAATACACTGGTCAAATGATGCAAATGAATGTAATTATTATTTGGAATCAAAGTATTCCTTGGATTCAGAAATTATGAAAATTTAAAGAGTATAGTGAGGACCATTTCACAGGTTGCTTGCAGCCTTTTGTAGAACCATTAGCCCAGATTTTACTGTCTTATCTCAGACTGCATAGACCTTGGGAATTTCCCTATTTATGATCTTATTTGTAGTTCATCTTCTCTTCAAGAGAGCAAATAACTGCACAGTAGCCTAAGGAGCATCCCTTTAGCAGGTGAGAGCAGATAACTACTGTACAGGGTTGACTGCCTCTCCTGGTAGAAACAAACCATTCAGTAGTCTCCTGACTGTGCCGGAGTTGTTCCCCGGTAAAATTCTACCACTTGACTCTTATGAAGGTCAGAAGGTGATCTGCTCATATCCCCTTTCAGCAAGTGAACTAATAAATTGCCCTCAGTTTTGCTCTAGGCATATTTTTTCCGAGAATAGTTTCTCCCTTGACAGGAAGAAGGTTAAAAACTCTTTCTCTGGCCAAAATATTGGCTTAATGTTGGCCATCTAGTACCGTGGTCCTCATCATTCTTGGCATTAGGAACTGGTTTTGTAGAAGATAAGTTTTCCGTTGACAGGGGTGTTGGGGAGGGGGTTGGTTTCAGGGTGAAGCTCTTCCACCTCAGATCGTCAGGCATTAGTTAGATTCTCAAAAGGAGTGTGCAACCTAGATCCCTGTAATGTGCAGTTCACAATAGGGTTCCCAATCCAATGAGAATCGAATGCCCCTCTGAAATGACAGGAAGCGGATCTCAGGCGGTAGTGCTCGCTTGCCTGCTGCTCACCTCCTGCTGTGCAGCCCGGTTCCTAACAGGCCATGGATGGCTACTGGTTTGCGGCCCCAGGGTTGGAGACCCCTGATCTAGTAGGTTTCTGATCATTGATGATTTTTATTGGTTTCTCTGAATATCTTAGTTATATACACTTTTAGTATCACATAGGAGACCCTCAATTTCTCAGCCAGGGTGTAGCCATTTGAATTTCTGAATTCTTAGTGGTTTCCACTACTAGAAACACTATATCATTTCCCCTGAATTTTCTTTCTTTATTACTGACCTCCTGCCCATTCTCACCTTGACCCTTCTGGTTGTAGCAATCCCATTCTGTCCTACTTTTGTATTCTACTGACCCAGCAAAGCTAAATGCACCCTGACATTTTCAAGCTTACTTCTGAATCAGGCCTCTGACCTACATTACTTTCATAAATGATATGCCCTTTTTTCCCTCTTAAAAATTTTAAGACAAGTCATAGAAGACATAATATGCTTTATAAATTAAAGGATCCCCTCACCCCACATTATGGAAATAGTATTACAAAGAACTTTTAAAACTCAAAAGTCATGCCTGTAATTCCAGTGCTTTGGGAGGCAAAAGCAGGAGGATCACTTGAGGCCAGGAGTTTGAAAACAACTTGGGTAACACAGTGAGACCCCATCTCTACAAAAAAAAATTTAAATAAAATTAGCTGGGCTTAATGGTGCACACCAGTAGTCCCAGCTACTGAGGAGGCTGAGGCAGGAGGATTGCTAGAGCCCAGGAGTTTGAAGTTACAGTGAGCTATACTGTACTCCAACCTGGGCAACAGAGTGAGAACCTGTGTCTAAAATATTTAAAGTAAAAATAAAAATAAGTCAAAACAATGCATGAAAGGCAAAAAAAAAAGTTATTGTTATACTACGCCAGTATTTTAACATTTTGTTGAAATTCATTTTTAGTTTTATTTCCAGTCAGAGATATTTAAAATATTTGCTTTCAACACATATTGTACACATAATTTTGTATCGTGACTTGTTCACTAAAGGTTTCTAAGTAGAAATACTAGCAAATAAATATGAGCAAAGTTAAGTGAAATTTTACTTCAGTAGCAGTACCTAGATGTTTATGTCATCATAATTTTAAGCCCCTTTTTATACATAATTTTTAATTAACTTATTTTTTATTGAATTTTTAATCTTAACAAGTGAACAGTTGTAAATATTGTTAAAATTGGCTGCAAGAAATAAACACTTTAAATATAACATCCAGAAAACAATATTATATTTGTGTGTATTAGCTTCTTGGACTCAACTTGTGCTAATTCAGTATACAATATTTAATAAAATATTCAACATTTTCTATACATTTATTAAAGTGTTGTTTTAATTATGATTGTAGAAGACTATAAATCTTTATAATTATTTGTTTGTAATTTACCCAATTATGTATCAGGCCAGACCTCAAGAAAAGGAGAAATATTAGGCTAAAATATCAATGTTTTATTTGTCCAGGAACTTCAGTCTGTATCAGTTTGTATAAATTTTGCTGCCCCCAATTTTTTGATCCCCATTTATCTTGCAGTCTAAAAATACTTTCAACAATGGTTAAAAAAAAAAAATAATTCAGGCCATCATCATTTTGGCTTTGTTACAGTCAATGATTCTCTGCTCCTCAACTAAGACCAAGCATTGCAGTCTAGGTAATCTTTCTGAAGTAGCAATGCCTGGTTCCTAATGTGTACTCTTTAAGCAGTATTTCCACAATTATTACCTCTTGATATAATGTAATCATTTACAGTTAAGAATATCAAATAACTATCTCCTAAGTCAACTGATTTGTCTCAATGAATTTATTAAAAATAAAGATGCATTTGTTAATAATAAAAATCCCCTAATTATTCCAATATACCATTGAAAATCTTTTCTTCTAAAATATTTAGCTCCTATAGTAAAAATCCTGTCTGGAAGATCTAAAGTGTCCTATTTTGGCTGAAATACTAAATTAAAACTTAACTGTTGTTGAAAAATGACAAAAATACCCCACTTTATTTTAAATAAACTATGAATGTCTCTATTACACAAACAATGGAAACCTGAAAAATGGAAAATATTTCTGAATCTAATAACTCCTTTTTGAAAATAAGTGACAATTAAACATCACTTTTCTACATACATGGTGTGACATTTTCATTTTGTTCCAAGGTATTTTACTTTTTGTGTGATTCTTGAGTTTGTAAACATGCCATAATATTTAGTGATTGTATAATGATGATTTCATGGTCCTAGCTTAGTATAAAGGTAGCTCAACAGAGCAGCAAAATCAATTTCCTTTTTTCCTTTGTGGAAAGAGACAAAAGGAAATTGAATGCAAAGTTTGCATTAAGACCATATTAGAATTATGACTCAACAATCTATTACACATGAAGTGGAAACCAGGTGTATCCAAGTGTTAGTTATTGTGCTATTATATTCAGCCAATGGGTTAAGTTCAAACAACCCTTTGCTTAACCCATGCCATGTTGTTACCCACAATGTTCCAAATGCATATGACCTGACACTATCTCTTGTTGTCTCCTCTTGCCAAAGGTACTCAGAGGCAGGACTGTCCCTAGGCAAAATCGTGAAGTAGGTGAATCTTGTATTCATTCCCGACCCTTTTGCAATGAAAATCTCACCTTAGATTCTCTCCACCTCCCTCTCCCAAGGTACCTACTCTAGTTACTCATTCCTCTGGATTTACCCTCTGTTTTCCAGGGAGCTCATGCTAACTCCTGTTCCCCAATCACTCTTTAAGTATATAATGTCCCCGCTCTGAAATACTCAGTAGCTCCCCCAAGAGGAGCTGGGCAATCAAGATCCTCCATCCTTACCTTTTGAGTCTTATTTCCCACTCTCCCCTTTACATGTTCTACTGAAAACAGCTCACTCACCTTTCCATTTTTATTTACACACCTTTTTCCATAGTACTCCTTTTTGCCTGAGCTGGCCTTGACCTCTCATCTCCATCTGTGGAAATTCTCCTCATCTTTCAGGGCTCTGCTCAGCTGTACTTCCCTACATGCCTTATCTGATCACCCCCAGCCTCTCTCATCTGCACCCCATCCATACCACTCATATGGCACTTAACACATATTGCTTTGTATTATAATATTTATGTATGTGTCTTGTCTCCAGGCACTGTGCTGGGCGCTTTACAAACGTAATCTCTTTTAAATTTCACAACAATCTGATGAGGTAGGTATTATTAAACCATTTAAAAATTGAGGAAACTCAGGCTCAAATAGGTTAAATAATTTGCCCAAAGTCACACTGCTACAAAGTAACAGAGCTAGAACTTGAACTCAGGTCTGTCTTATTTCAAAACATGATTTCCACTGTACCCTACTGATGTCAATTCCTTTCCATCTTCTGAAAGATAGGATGGGGGTTTAAGATGAAGAAGGAGGTCAACATAGATTTTTTCCTTAACAAATGTGTGTTGAAGAAAGACAGTTTATTGATAATTACTGTATTCCTAGCTAGAATTGATTGGTTAGCTAGAATCTATGAGGAATTCAAGTAAAATGCAAGAAAAAATTCTTAAGTGGCCAGAACAAACAAGCATGGCATAAAAAGAATGTTCAAGACAGTTTGTAATTCAGGAGGGGCTAGATAGCATTGGTCTCTTTGAGCACCGTAGGAAAATAAGTACAAGGAAAAAGAAATAAATGTGCAGTTGACTAGGGAAGGCTTCCTATAAGTCCCCAGGACTTAAACAATTTGAGATAATTAGTAGACTGAATATATGACTATCATCCTAAATCTCTCATGCACTAATAATATCTCGATTGAATGTAAAGCCCACCTGTTTTATTCTGCCTGCAGTGCCGCATCTTGGATAAATTAGGGGAGAGAAGCTTAGTGTTCCTAAGAGGGAAATCTAATTCCAAATGGACAGCTTTTACGACTGCCCTTTCCTGTGCCTGAGACCAGAGAGTTTCAGCTAAGTCCTAGACAGCTCCATTCTGTGTTCAGCCTAAGGCCAACCTCCAGCCAGTCATGTGGCAGAGCCTTCATCCTGGGAAGAATTTAAACTTAGAATCTTTGTTCATCTTGACACCACTATCTTCTTGCCTCTCCCATGGCAAAAAAACAAAAACCTTTTTTCTTTTCTGCTGTCGTATTCTATTCTCATTTCTCAGTCCCCCAGCTTGTCATATTATCAGTTGCATATTTCTTTAACATGAATGAGATTCATAAATTTAAAGAGGTCATGCAGTTATCATTAAACATGTGTTCTCAGTGCACCTCTGTTAACTTCTGACAGTCATTTCAATTCTGTTTGCAAACTCCGTTTCAATTTATGTATGCTCCCTTTATACCAATTCCATTCACATGTGACTCTACACTTTTGTTCCTCATACCAATCTTCATAATAATTTAAAATTTAGTATTTATGGAAATACTGCATGCAATCTAAGCTTGAAAGCAGCAGGCTATACTGTACATCAGGCCCTCTGTTAGAAGATTGAGAATTTTCATGTCAATTATAAGCTAAATTTGAGGATTTCAATGAGCCCAACAAGAAAACCATCCTCAACCACAATGGAAAAATAAAAAAACTCAAACAGGCAAGGTATTTTGTTTTCTTTAAAATGTCTATGGTTTCTTATCCTTTACAAAACTCTTCATAGCTCATCCACTTTTTTTCTAACTTTTTATTTTGAAGAATTTATAGACTCACAGGAAGTTACAAAATAAATGTACAGTGATGTCCTGTTTACCTTTTACTAAGTTTCTCCCAATTGTTATATTTTAAGTAATTATAGTACACTATCAAAGCCAGGACATTGATGTTGATCTAATTCAGTTTTAAATTCGAAAAAAGAAAAAAAAATCTACCCTAAAGATAACTTACTTGAACAGTTTTAAATTCCATTCAACATTGTAAGCATTGTAAGTATTAACCATGCTGACAGTCCTGGTAAACAAAGGATGGTATGCCCATATGGCCACAGAGAAACTTTCCCCATATTGTTGGATATTGATACTCAGGTCTAATTTAATTCTTGGGCCAATGTCATAGCTGAGGAATGGAAAGGAGCCCATATCAGAAGACTTGGGTTGAAATCTGGTTCTGCCTCCAAATGTGTGACCTTGAGCAAGTCACTTGACCTTTCCAAGCTTCAGTGTCTTCATCTATAAAATGGAGAAAATACTCCTCCTGCCTACTTCATAGGATTGTTGTGAGGATCAAATGTGATGATGTACATGAAGGAACAAGGTAGACTGTGAATCAGCACTCATGAAGTTTATATTCTTTTCAGAAACTATATCCAGTTATAGAGAAGTGTACTTTTTCAGAGGTGGTCTTATTCCTAAAAACAAAACATAACTACCTCCTTATTAGCCATGTGTTCTAGAATTTTCTTCATATGTAAATGACCTCCCCTTTCTATCACTCTTGTTAAGATAAGAAATAGCAATATATCAAACAAGCACTCTGGACTCATTACCTACAAACCCCTTAGGCATATGGTCTATTTTTAAATAAATACTTTTTTAAACATTTTCTTCTTTAAGATTGAATGCATTTTTAGTAGCTTTTATTTTTATCCTAACTGCAGGATTCGTTCTTACTTTTTTATCATGCCATGAGATGTACAATAGGTGTTCTTGACAATAGTGTGAAATTATAACAATGTGAGGTTAGACAGTGGATGTTTTAAGAAGTAAAAATGGAAATCATCCAAGCTGCATTGTTTCTTGGTATGTCTGAATATATAATATAAACTCCCAACTCACTGGTATATTCTGGTTTGTGGATAGTAAAAATGCTAGTCTTGGCAGTAAGCATAGAGATATACATAGGAGAAAATAAACTTAGATCATGGAAAGTAATGATAAGAGTCTTTGTGTGTACTAAATGTTTTGGGCACCACAATAAAAACGTTAAGATTTGTTTTCTTCCCTCTTCATCCTATATACAGGCTGGCATGGCTTTGACCTATGACCCCACAGCTGCCATACAGAATGGGTAAGTAGATCACATTTTCTCTATTTTAATTGTGAATAGATCTTTGAGCTCTGAATCAACATCAAAGAAAAATGTTAAAATTTGTTTTGCTTTTGTTTTACATCCTTAAACACAAAGTTTAAACCAAGCATTTTTCATCATTATAGTTTTTTTCATCCTATAAATTATTCTGACCTCCCATTCTCACAATGCCTCTGCCCACATTAAACCCTGTTCTCTCTCTCTCTCTCTCTCTCTCTCTCTCTCTCTCTCTCTCTCTCTCCCCCCCCGCTCCCTCCCTCCCTCCCTCTTTCTCTGTCTTTGGAGAACAGGTAAAGCTAGGCTGAGAGAATAATAACTCTAGAGTTAGCTTTCAAACACTTTTTGGTGTGTGCCCAAGTCAATTTATTCTTTCTTTCTGGTGATCAGGGGAATGGTAATGGAGGAAAGTCAAGTTGGTAACTCAGGTGATTGCATCTTCATTTTCATAAGCATCTGGAAATTTGTATCCACCTACTTAGAACAAGTCATATAGCTTAAACTTCCTCCTCTGAAAAACAAGTGTGAAACTACATGGTGTGGCAACTCTAAAATTCTGTGACTTCTAAATATCTTTCATTGAAACTTTCTTCTTACTTCCTAATGTCTTTGCTTAGGCTGTCTTGTAATTGACAATAATTATTCTTTGGTTGGTTGCTTATTTCCTGTCACTGTCTTTTATTTTGGAATTCTCCAAGGCTTTCAGTTGTCTGTCTTTCAGTCTCATTATAAAAGCCTCATTGAAGATCAACATAGAGGGTAGAATGAATTAAACTTCATTTTCTATTTTGTCAGTTGCCTCTAAAGAAAATCTGTGGGATATTGAAAGTATTTAAATAATTACCTCTTATTCTTATATTATTCATTCAGGCAGTCATATAGTCAGTCATTCAACAAACATCCAGTAAGTATCCCAGGCACAATGCTATGTTCTATAGATTTAAAAAAACAATGTATGATATGAGACCCTTTCCTTCAAGAGGCTCACAATCTACTCGTCCATGAAAAAGTAAACATTAATGGTAGACTAGGGTAGGAGTATAGTCCTTTGTCCTTGGGTTGATTAAAATTTCCCTCTAGAAGTGAAAATTAAGGATATCTTTTCATATATCCAATAGGCATTTACTTATTTCCAACAAAATTCTATAAACTGGGTGTGTAGAAAGAAGTAAAGATATGGAGAAGAAAGTCCTCTAGAATTATATTACGTAGTTGGAGATAAATAATTAACTCACAAAGGAAAAAATAAGGCATTATATATTAAGTGATAGTGACTGAAAATAGATGTTATAATGGAAAGGAATGACATTTATTGAACACATATTTTGTGCAAAGTACTTTGTAATTTAGTGGCACATGGTTTCAAATGAATACATGTGATTACAATTATAAATTTATATTGGAAATTTATACAAAGGAAAATAGAAACAATAGTTCAAAAAATACCTGTATGTCCAGTAATTGGATTCAATAAATATTCATATTTTATAATATTTTACATGCATGCATATGTATGCACATGTGTGTAATATATACATATGTATCTACCTATCTAGAGTATGTATTATGTATGTATATACATATCTACCTGTCTATAGTATTTATCTATGTATCTACTTGTGAAAAGTACCTTGTTGCCCAAGGCTCTATGCCAAGGATTGGGGATGCAGCAGTGACCCAGACATAACTTGTTTTTGCATTTATGAAACTTACATTGTTAAGGATAGAAATAAAATAAAAATTAGCTTTTATATATAATTATGTAGTCAATTATTAAAATTGTGTTTAGCATTTTTAATTAAAAAGATAGTTTTTGCTGGACCATATCAAAGTAAAATTTAAACATCATAATATTTCTAACTTCTTACATCTTCGAAAATAAAGACATTAGTCACATGATAAAAATGTCATCACAAAAAATAAAATCAGTAGTAATTTCAAAATATCATCTACTATCCAGATTATTTTTCAACTTTGCTCAGTTGCCCCAAAATGTATTTTACAGCTGGATGATTCCGAAGCAAAATCAAAAAGTCATATCAAAATAGCTTATATGGATTATTTCATTTATTTATTATATTCTTTTGGGTGAGTGTTAATATCCCATTTACAGATAAGAAAATGAGGCCATGTAGTCCGAGGTAGAGCTGGGAATCGAATGCCAGTCTGTAACACTAAATAGAGCCTGCTGTCTTTGTCCAGCTAGGACAAAGGGAAGGCTATATGGAAGCAATGAGATTTGGCATAGATTATCCAGGATGACTTAGTTTATCAAGGATAGACATAGGGAAAGATGCTTATGGAGAAAGTGGACTGCTATGAATGGAAGTGGAATTTGTAGAGATTAACAAGCCAACAAGTTTTACTGGGGTGAAAGTTTCTTGTGAAGGAATTTTATAAGTTTAAAAAGTTTTTTTGTTGTCAGATTTGGAAGTTCAAGTATTTGGTTTTTACTTCATAAGCCTGGGGAGTAATTATTATTTTTTTTTTTAGCAACAGAGTGGTGTAATATAAATAATGAAGACTATATTGGAGCAGGAAAATCCTCTTAGTAGGAAGCATCATTAAGAGGATATTAAAATAGTACAGTTATAGAAGTGTGAGAGTTTGTTCTGGAGTGGCCAATGTATGAATGGAAGAAAGAAACCAAAAGGAGAGACAACCTGAAGAAACTTTTCAATCATGCATTAAGCAAGTGGCCATCAAAGAATCCTACATTCAGGGTTCTCCATCAAGGGCTGGGGACATACTGGTGAATAAGACACACCCAGTCTTTACTCATCTACATAGTAGCAAAGGAAATCAACATTAAAAGTATTTTATTACTTATATACCATAAGCACCCATTGGTGAACTGCAGGGTGTTATGAATTGTCTAGTCTTGCTTGAGTGGTTAAAACTTCTCTAAACAAGCGATTCCTTGAGCTGAGCTCTGACAACATGTAATGACCGACCGAAACTGGATGTTATATTTGATGGCAAAAGAGAGAAACAAAAGTGACCCTGTACCATCAGCAGAAAGACAAGGAAATAAAGTGAAGAAAGATGATGATATGGTTAGGCTTTGTGTCCCCACCCAAATCTCATCTCTAATTGTCATCCTCATAATCCCCATGTGTCAAGAGAGAAACCAGGTGGAGGTAATAGAATCATGAGGGTGGTTTCCCCCATGCTATTCTCATGATAGTGAGTTCTCACAAGATCTGATGGTTTTATAAGAGGCTCATCCCCCTTTGCTTGGCACTGATTCCTTCCTGCTGCCTTGTGGAGAAGGTATCTTGCTTCCCCTTCACCTTCTGCCATGACTGTACATTTCCTGAGGCCTCCCCAACCGTGCTGAACTGTGAGTCAATTAAACCTCTATTCCTTTATAAATTACCCAGTTTCAGGCAGTTCTTTATAGTGGTATGAAAACAGACTAATGTAGATGATATGCTCAATTTCAAACATGCCTGATTAATGTCTCACTAAGACTCACTAAGTCTCACTAAAACAAACTAAGACTCATTAAGACAAAAAAAGATCAAGAGTCAGTGGTAAATGTGGAACTGAAGTTAGGGAATGATAACTTGTTATGCATGATTTTAATCAGTCATTCTCTAATGCGCAATTTAAAATTCTACAAAGACATAATTTCCCAAATACTCACCCTTAATTGTTACAAATCGACATAGAAAATAAATCGAGGTTTCAACTGCTAATCTGAGAAATCAAAGGTGAACTTTGGGCAGTGCAATTTTCAAGGCAGTGAGGACAGCCTAGAACACAGTGAGCATTTCTCTTTTTTTCTCAAAATCTCCACCTCATATTTCAGGTTACCACTCCTGGACCCTATTGGAGTTGCTGCAGGTACATCCGTTAACCTTAAATCACCTGAAATATGAAATGTCTTTATTTATACCTTATATTAACAATATAACATTGTATCCTTTAAACTATTTGAACAGTTGCAAAAATGGTTCACCCTCTGCCACTACCCACTTAGACATTTACAACAATGAATATTTTCCTCAAGAAACACATTTTAGTTAAGAAGCTAAAGATATCCAAATCAAGAGATTTTATATACTATTATATTATCTCATATTATATTATCTAATCTCATATCTCTAATATCATGTAATAAATAATTTTAGTCCATTGAAATTGGGCATATTATCTTTCCTCACTTTATTTTCTTGTCTTGCTGCTAATGGTAGCACCAGTCCCTCTCTTCAGTACTTCCTGTGCACCAAATAATCCTACCCACTTTTACTAATCTTACTCTGGTCTTTTCTCACTTTCTTTCTTCTCTCTAGTTGCTCTCGTCTACCTCTCTTGCTTTCTGGAAAGTAAGACTCCCAAGTCTATACTTCAAGTGTGTAACTAGCTTCAGAGATCAATGACCTGTGGTTCTAGCTTACTAGGTACTGCTACTATGTCATTGTCCCAAACTGAGGTCATTATCCTCATCAATATTTTGTAATACAAACTACACAAATTCAAACAAAACGCACATATCAAATTTTGTTTTCCTCTGTTTTAAATTCTCTAAATCCATTTAGGTTATGATCTCCACTCCTCAGGACTCTTTCTTATCCTACATTCTTCACAATAAAACTAGTCATTAAGATGTGCAATCTGTATCCGATGTATATCTTCAACCTAGCCCTTCCTCCGTGCCACTGGTTGAATTTATTCATTACCATTTCCTACCTACACTAAGCTTTTTACTCCCTTTAATATACCTCCCCCCACGAACAATTTTCACATTAATTTTTGAATAATTTTTAAGCAAATGTAACTACAGAAATCACCTACCTACCTGGTTTAAAGTATTACGTGGCCTTTACTAACTACAGAACAACACTCAAACTTCCCCAGATAGTACGAACAGAACTTCATAATTTGGTTACTGCAACTGAACTGGACCGTCTGTGATTCTTGGAACATCCCATGCTACTTTGTACTTCTGTGTCTTGTTGAACGTGGAATTCTGTCTGCCTGAGTTCCCATATGGTAAAACTCACTCCCCATGGCCCCACCACCACACACATACACATGCACACACACCATATAGATATGGGTATCAGTAACTACGTAATAATATACTTTTTAAAAATATTGTTTTCATTTCAAGAACATCATTAAATCATACCAGGCAGAGCTAGTTATGCTATTAGTCATAAGAAAAACAGTTTAAGCAATGGTTAAGAGTGAAAACTTCAGAATCATCCTGCCCAGGGATGCATCCAAACTCTGTCATTTACCAGATGTGCAATTATGGACCCATTGTCCATACTTTAGTTTCTTCCTCTGTGAAATAAAGATAATAATATCAGTACCTTTCATAAGACTTTGTAAAGATTAAAGGAACCTGGTGTGGTACAAGATAATCATCAGTGTAAATGTTGACATTATTGTTGCCCTATGTTTGGCCTTTCCATGATAAGTTTGACAATTAGTCTTTTTTATTGTGTACTTCTTGATACCCATATCTATAATAGTTCCCTGCTAGAATATAACTCAATGAAGACAGGCACCATATCTTATTCATTTTCATAGACTGTTTAACCCAGTATTGTGAATGCTAAATCAGGACTAGGAAATGTGACAGATGACATCTGCTTGGCTCCAGCAAGTTGACATCAGGGAAACCATCCTCCTCCCCAGCCATCAAGTCAGTCTGTCCCCATGTAACATCTTAACCTAATTCTCCTAAAATATTACCTCTAGTTTCACCCAAAGCAGCCAAACTACCCATGAGTTTCTCTGTCCTGAGTGAAAGATGGAATTTTGGAAGGCTTGGACTATGCATTGTGTTGTTGGCAACAAGGAGATAGAAATTTTACATTCAGAAATTAAAGAAATAGGAGGATTATAGCTAATTGATCTTATTTATTTGATACTTCTTTATAGAAATTATGTTTAAACTGTTTTGCTTATCTTTGGTTTCATTACCTTTATATGGTAACATTCCCAGTAGTAGGACACCAGTAGAACAACCATTTCTATGCATGTGAGATGTCACACAAATATATACTGTTTCTTGAGTTAACATTGGGACATGCCTTTTAGAGGTGTGGAAGCTGATTTAAACAACTTACTCAACATACCAAGGAGCCTAACATAAGTGTCCATAATAAAGTATATTATTCCTCATTCGCATTGCTCTATGCAATTTAGCCGTCAAATATAACTCAGAGATAAGTAACCTAACAGAAAGATAAATATTACTGTAGAGAAGAGCCTGGTCCCATTTTACATAGAACACAGGGTATCCAAAGATGTAGTTGCAGCTTACTCCAATCCAGTTATTATTGTTCAACGTTGCTTAATGCTGATTCACTTGAGGTCAATAAGCTTAACAATTTTTTTCAACTTTCTATCTATAGTACAGTCTAAAATTAGAAAAAAGAAAATGCTCACGTCATATTAGGAACAATGGACATATATACAATTGTAATAGGAGATAGAATACAAAACTATTGCGATTAAACCACAAAGTACTATAAGATATATGTATATATTAACTTTTATATGTATAAAATGTTTCTGAAGGAGTACACAAGAAAGCATGATGGTGATTCTCTGGGAAGGGCCAACACAGTAGTGGGAAATAGGGTGAGACGGAAACTTATCTTTCACCGTTTACGTTTTTATTTATTTTTTTTTCAAAAAGAAAAATAAAGCAAATTATTTCCATAGGACCGTGGAGGAGAGGCAGTTGTGTTCTGATGAGGAATTGGGAAGGCTTCTTGCTAGTGCAGTGACATGAGCTTTTCCTCTTGGAGAGGTGCCACATCCTAGCTAAATGACATATTTTGTGATCCTATGGAATCCTGTAACAGTAAACTAAGCCATAGGGCTTTTTTAGTATCTTAAGCAAGTATGTGTCTGAGTTGTAGCTAGTAGGTTAAATTGTGTAAAGAGTTAAACGGTCTGTATCTCATAACCTTCACATTAATACAGAAACATGACACTGAAATAAAGGCCCCCGAAGTTAGCTTGATTGTTAGCTAAGGAAGAACAAACAGTTCATAACTACACCATGGTGAATCTGTGCTGTTTGCATTTAGGCAGTAGAAAATGTCAGTTCTGTCATCTGCCTGAATCTATCCAAGTTATCACTTAAAAATTAGATCAATATCACTTTTCTCTAGGACTCTGAAGGGTAGAGAGAAGAAGCATCTGTGTCACAACAGAAAAGTAAAAATCGTAGTACTTTTTACTGTAGGCTAACTTACAAGAATAAAAATGTCCATTCTCTTAGAGCTATGTGGTAAAACTCTAATTTGTTTTTACTATTGCCCTATTGCTCTTTTAGCAATCCAATATGAAATTCCATCCCTTTGAAAGATGAGCAGGGGAGGTGGGAAATATTCCCTCCCATATTCAAAATCTCATCTTTCCTGTGCCCTTTTCATTGGGAGTTGCTGTATAAAAGCCTCTTGGATTGTTTTTATTTGAATAAAATATATTCTTGGGGGAGACGTGAAAAAGAATGTTTTCTATAGCATTGGTTTGCTGGCTGCTTTATGTGGGCATTTGGTATTAAGCAATATGGAAACCTTATCTTATTACACTAGGAAAGGAATCTAATGTGAAGGATACGTTGGTATTACAATAAAAATGACCAATACCTTATTAATCTTGTACTATTGTTTTACCCTGAGGATAGTATTTATGGTTCCAGCCCTAACAATATTGCCTGTGGACATGAAACACAAGCCAGTGCTGTTTATTTCAATATGTAAATAGGATTTGCTTTTTGTACAGTAAAAAAAATTAAACCCTGGGGTTATTGATATATTAATGTTATTTTTATTGTCAGTGAAATAAGATTTTACCATATTACTACTGACCGCCAAATCCCCTGAAGATGACTTTTCTGCAGGCAAAATAATGTCCTATTAGTGACCTAGATTTGCATTTTCTGGATTTCTGGAGGACGGTTGCCTTTAATGCCAAAGAACCAAGTGATTCTTTGCATTTCTTGAAAATACTAAGTGTTTCAAAGGCTAGCTTAGACTTCCGTGGATCACACTTAGTTAACGTCTCTTAGCCACTTTGCATTTAATATTTTGTTCATGTGAAAGAAACCCCAGAAGTAACTAGCTCATGTGCTTCAGCAAGGTGTCTCAATCTTCATGCTACTACCGTTCAGGACTCGATAATGTTTGTATAGGAGCTGTTCTATGCATTGTAGCATGTTTAGCAGCATCCCAGGCCTTTATCCACTAGATGCCGGTAGCTCCCCCCTCTCCTCCAGTTGCGATAACAAAAAATGTCTCCAGACATTGCCAAATGTCTGCTGGAGAGCAAAATCACCTGTGGCTTAGAACCACTGGGTTCAGTGTAAAAGAGGCACTTGGTATATACATAATGCTGTGAATCTTGGTGAAGAAGTAAACTTTTTTAACAGGAAAATAACTTGTTAAGCAACTCATTCCCATTTTCTGTAACAACATTTGCAAGGCATAATGCATAATGCATATATTACCAAATACAAAAAACATAAATTCATATGTTTAGAATTACCTTATTTTGTTATTCTGCCTAGAAAGTTCCCCAGTAGCATGACATCTCTGCTTGAAGTATGTATGTATGTATGTATGTATGTATGTATGTATGTATGTATTTATTTATTTATTTATTTATTTTTAATGTGATGCCTGTGTGAAAATGTTTTCAAACCCTGACCATGGCAGGGACTGAAAAAAAGCTAAGAGATTTGGAAACACATTCTGCAGTTCCCTCCTTGGAGTCTGGCCTTGTGTATTTTCTTTAGATAGGTACCTCTAAGCCTCAGATGCAACAGTAGCCTCTCCTGTCATGGTTTAAGCAGGGGTTTCCTGTAAATTCATCTGGTGTATGTTTGGACTTGAGAAGAGCTTATTTCAGAATACCAGAATTAGGAGATCAAGACGGTATGCCGATTCTGTTCTTCCCAGAACATTTTCAGTTCTAAATGACTCTCTGACTTGAGTGGCAGTATTGGAATTTGCTGGGAAGTATGAAATGTAATTCTTGTTTGATGGATAGGATTAGAGCAGATAGGACAAAAATGCATTAAATTTTCCCCCAAGGGTTCCTTTTGCTAGTATCCGTTTACTTGGCTGCTTTCTTTATGTTTCTGTTCTCTGTTTTCCCCATAGAATTTCCTGTAAACTTTGCCTGTCAATCCAATCTTTATTGCTTTCATTTTTAATACTCCAATTGGCGCATTTTACAAAGTCGACCAGCCACGCTAAAATGTAATGTGTGGTTTGCTTTGTCTGTATAAGAGGCTGAACCTGGATTTCTACCAGAAGTTAAACCACTGCATGGCATATGAGGAAGACTGTTTATTGAGTGGCCTTGGGTGCCTCACGTGTCATTATGAGCCCCAAATACTGTTCACTGCCTTACAAATAAGATCTGTCAAATATAAGACCTAGAAGGAATTTTCAAATGCAAACCTTGATTTTTCATAGAAAAGGACTGTCTTTTTTCTAGTTTCTAATGCCCCTGCATGCTTAGAAATTTGGTATATTATTTAAGCTTCCACTTAGCATTTAATATGTGATATTGGACCATCTTCTCTGGGCTCTCATTCCTCAGCTTCCTACCTCTTTCAGGGACCCTTCTCCTATGGTCCTGCCACCCTGGTATTGATCTTCCTGTATGGTAATCACTACTGAATTCCATAAGCTGCTCTGCATTTATTCATTCATTCATTCAACATAGAGTTATCAAGTATCTACTATCTCCCAGGCTCTGTTCTAGGCAACAATACTGATATACACTCAACCCCCTTGGAGCTGACATTCTAGAATGAGAAATGTCAATAAATACATTGTATTCGTCAGTTCAGGCTGCCATAACAAAGTGGCTTGATTGATTTGGTGGCTTAAACACAAAAATTTATCTTTCCTCAGTTCTGAATGGTAGAAATTCAAGATCAATGTAGCCGATTCTGGTAAAGGCTCTCTTCCCCTGATTGTAGATGGCTGCCATCTTTTTCATTTGTTTGTTTGTTTGTTTGTTTTTTGAGAAAAGGTCTCACTCTTGCCCAGGCTGGAGTGCAGTAGCACATTCATGGCTCACTGTAGCCTCAATCTCCTGGACTTAAATGATCTTCCCACTTCACCTCCCAAGTAGAAGGGAATACAGACATGCACCACCATGCCCAGCTAATTTTTGTATTTTTGTAGAGATGGGGTCTCACCATGTTGTTCAGACTGGTCTCAAACTCCTGGGGCTACCATCTTGTTATGTCCTTATATGGCCTTTCCTCAGTGTGTGCGTGTGAGAGAGCCTGAGTGAGCTGTCTGAAGTATCTTCTTAAAAGAACACTAATCCTATTTCATTAAGGCCCCACGCTTATGTCCTCATTTAACCCCAATTACTTCCTTAGACACCCCATCTCCAAAGACAACCACAGTAGGGGTTAGAGCTTCAGCAGGTAAATTTAGGGGGTCACAAACATTCAGTCCATAACATATAAAAATAATTTTTTAAATTACCACTTCAGATAGTGATAAGAGAACTATACAAATATATCAAGAGAAAAGGATAGAAAACAATTGGGACAGACATGGCAGTTGCTAATTTAGCTACAATCCTCTCTGAAAAAGGGACAGTTGAGTGAGACCAGAAATGAAGAAGAGACAGCCTTATTAAACTTTGGAGAAGTGAGCATTTTAGGTAGAGAGAATTTCAAGTTCAGTGTAGAGATGAGAGTGAGAATGATGAGATCAGGACAGAAGAAAGTCAGTTTGGTTCAATCCTAGTCAGCTATGGAGAAAGGGTTAAGAAAACAGTATCACAGAAGTAGGCAATAGCCTGATTGTGCTAGCCAGTGCAAAGAGTGAACATTTGTTCACATTGCAATGGAAAGCCTATGGAGAGCTTTAGGCTGATTAATACACAAATACAGTACAATTTAAGTGACTAAATAGAGAAACTCAAAGGGGTATTTTAGAGTGTTATTCGTCTTTGTTAGACAAAGTAAATGTTCAATAATTTTTTAAAATGGAAAGATGAATGTTTTCTTACATAGTAATTATCTTTTTTAAAAAAATCAGATTTATTAGATGTAATTTACATACAGTATATTCACTCTCTTTAGTGTACAGTTCTATGATTCTGACAAACACATACAATCATGTAACCACCACCACAATCAAGATGTAGAACAGGTATCTCCCCTCCTCAAATTCCCTCGTGCTCATTTGGAATCAACCCCTTCCTCCACCCCGCTATAGTTTTGCCTTTTCCCTAGTGTGATATAAATGAAATTATATAGTACATACCCTTTTGAGTCTGACGTCTTCCATTTAGCAAAATTTACTTGAGATTCATCATGTTGAATGTTTCAGTAGTTATTTTCTTTTTATTGCTAAGTTGTGTTCCATTGTATTGATGTGCCACAGTTTATTAATTCAGAGGAAGGACATTTGGGTTGTTTCCAGTTTGGGGCAAGCATGAATAAAGTCTGTATAAACATTTGGATTAAAGTTTTTCCATAAACAAAAGTTTTTATTTAATTTTGGTTAGTATGGAGCATTGCTGGGCCATAGGGAAAGTGTATGTTTAACTTTAAAAGAAACTGCAAAGCTGTTTTCCAAAATGGGTGTAATGTTTTGCTTTCCCACTAACATTGAATGAGAATTCCACTTTCTCTGCATCCTTGTCAGCTGTTAGTATTGTCTTTAAAAAAAAAAACAACTTTGTATTTTCTCTTTTTGTCATTATATCAGGTGTATAGTCAGTGGCTTCTTTTAAACGTCACAACTATAAATTTAAGGGTCTGGTGAGTATGGATAGTAAGAATGTAATGTATGATGGGATAATTTTTTTCATCCACACTATTTTTTTTTACCCAAAAGAGTATGATCTTATCAAATCATTGTTAAGAGTTAAAGTACATTTAAGACTATAATTTAAGTACATTTAAGACTATATTTTTGCTTGAAGACTTTTACAGAAAATAAGCTTAAAGAATTTATTCCTTGAATCCTGACAACCTTGAATTCTAGTCCTCCCATATTTAATGGGAGTCTCATGGGATGCTTTCTTAGAAAGACAACTCATGAAAATCTCTATTTAAAATATCACTGACCCCTGAGGTTGGATGAAGTCTTTGTCCCATAAATTCCAAGCTCAGTCATACTATTAAAAAAAAAACAAAACATAGTAATTGAGTTTTGCTAAAAATCCAATAAAGCAAAAGAATTATACCATTATTTCTCACATGCATTTTTCCAACCTATCCTCACATCGCTGACATACTCCATCTCAGGCAACCTGGTTTTGTCTGTTCTGTGGCTCGCCACTCTAACCTTTTGCTTACCAGTAAGACATA
Organism: Homo sapiens; assembly: GCF_000001405.40. NCBI lineage: Eukaryota > Metazoa > Chordata > Mammalia > Primates > Hominidae > Homo > Homo sapiens. The sequence goes on from NC_000003.12 coordinate 29,896,555, forward strand.
GGGGAAACACAATTTAAATTCTGCTGAAGGATTTGAGCATTCAGTAACTCATCGACTCTACAGTATAGTCTGAGCAGAAATGGACATTTCACTGATTTTCACATCCAGAAGCTACCCTTTAATAGATCTCCAGGAGAATCATCCCTCCTCTGATTTGTGAATTCCTGATCTTGTAGCATTCTACAGTTGTTCAATGAGAGGCTCTGGAGGACTAGAAAATTCAGTGCTTTTTACAGAGTCTATAGGAGCCTATCACATAGGTTCAGTGTCTCTGCCAGTGCCTTGACTTAATCCAGAAAACATTCCCATTCCAACCTCGATACAAATTGTCCTGTTGCTTCTCTTTTCATGGAGAAAGTATTTTCTGCATGAGGGCATGGACCTATGCCTAACACAAAATATCCATAACTTTCTAGGAACTGGTCTTTATTTCCTGACAGAAGACATAGATGCAATTCCTGTATTTGTAACATCAGTCACTTTTGTAAAGCTTGGTGCTTTCATTTTGTCTTTCTTTCAAAGCCTTTTAAACAACACTCATGGCTTTTCTCCTCCTGCTAGTGGGAGGCAGTATTAAACTTATCTGGCATAAGAAAGATTTTGTGCAGCTAATTTTATCAGATGACTCCAAGTCATTTCATTCGGAGCTACTTATTTCTCTTAGTGGAATCAAATAATGTAAATCTCCTAGACGTTCTTGTTAATGGTTGGTGGAAAAACGTGCGGGTGGAAATATGTCTTTCCCATAGGTACTTGATAGCATTTGATTAGAGGCCAGGCATGTAGCAGCTTCGTGAATCTTCCTTTTTGTTTTCTGTTTGCAGATTTTATTCTTCACCGTACAGTATTGCAACCAACCGCATGATTCCACAGACATCTATCACGCCATTCATTGCTGCTTCCCCTGTCTCCACATACCAGGTATGTCCAATTTACCTGCACCTTAGGAGATATCTTTCTTGCAGTAATACAGTATTTAGAGGCAAAAAGGACACAGTAGAATGAAAAGAAAAAAATTCTCATACACTTTAATCACATCTTAATGTAATAATACTCAAGTTATGAGTTAGCCTATACTTTCAAGAGCCTGTTTGCATCAATTCACTGGATAATAAAATCCACTATGCTTTTCATTCTTCCTGCTGAGTTTTCATGATTATGCTACTGTCCAACCAACCTTAATACAGCTCTCTCACCACTGGGAAATTATTTTGTTTGTTGTCTGTTACTTTGTTTGTTCATGTTCCCTATTGTGTCTTTTCTAAAAGCACATTTCTAGCAATTCCTTCACTCACTCCAGGATATTTTATCACTGTCATCTCATTTTGTCATGGTTGTCCTGGTAAAGCTACACAGATAGATGTTAAATCATACTTCCCAAGAAACAGAAGAAATTATCAAAGTGGTAAAAAGTTGTTCGTATTCCCTGCTCTTATTTCATTCTCAGTTCCAGAGAGACCAAAAGAGACCTCAGGGGTTCCGCATGTTGGAATGCTGGAAAGTCTGAGACTCAATGTGTGTCCTCAACTAGATATTATAGCCAGTTAATTCCAAGTACATAGGTCGATTAAAATAGTCACACTTCTCCCTCAAACAATACTCCTTGTTTTATTCCTCTGAGTTATTACGTATGTGATATTAATCTCCTCTCTACCTAATATTGTTCTTCAAACAGTTCTTCCAATTCTAATTAGAAAACGCCTATATATATGCTGCACGTAGAAAGTGTCTAGTGTCATTTCTTAAAAGTTTGGAGGGAGAAAGAGAAAGAGAGAATGCAAGCGTGTGTATGCATGTGCTTCTTGAATTTTGCAGCTGGTGGGGGTGGATGTTATATAATGAGTAAAACTGTAATGATACTGATACTATTAATTCAGTGAAGTTTTGCCTTGTTCAGTCACTATATACTTCATTTCAGGATATCCCAGCTGTCAGAGAATCAAACTTAAGACTATGTGCACTTTTCCTTAACTGATTCCCCCCAAAGCAGATCATTTTCTTTCTTTTTCTGCACTCAGATTCTTGAAACATATCCGTGGGCAAATGGAATAGATTTTCATTTGAATTACATTAGAGGGTCTCTGAATGGCTGATTTCTTAATTGCCTTTCCTTGGCATGAGGCTATGTGCAGGTTCTGTTCAGTTTTTGTTCTTCCTGCAGGCCTGCCTGGTTGTAATGTGCGTGTGTGTGTGTGTGTGTGTGTGTGTGTGTGTTTCCTTTTTTTTTCTAATCTTGGCCTCTGTTCCAGCCAAGACCACCCATTAAGCCACAGTGTAGAGCACTTTGGTGACATGAATAAAATATTCACTGAAGAGTGATTTTACTTGGGAGGGCTCATAAGTGGAATTTAACTCTAGCTCCCTTTTCTCAAAAGAAGAGATTACAGCAATGATCGATGTTGTTGATTCTCACCTTTCACCAGGTTTTTTCAATCCAAAGTGTTTTGGCAATTCTGTGTGTGTGAGTATATAAAAAAAATCTTCTGAGTTCTCCACGTGACATTCAGCTTATACAGGCTGACTTTTTCATTTGTCTGACACATGGTACATTTAAGAATAGTTGGCTGGCTGACATACTCATTTTTATGTGTTATACCAATTACCATGAGCGAAAATAATTACAAACTTGCTTAACTTGGGTTAAACCTAAATAACTGCCCCAAATTTTTGGTTTATCTCTTTAGCTCTTACCACAACTTTTACCACTTGGACATATTTCTAAAATGGGATCACTTGAGCATTTGAAGTTACAACTGATGACAGAAAAAGAGAAAGTCTTAGCAGTCAACTCTTGCTTCCTTCATTACTTGCCAGGACATCCCTGAAAGCTGATCTTCAAATGGTCTCTGAGGCCTCCTAAAACTTTAGCGTTCAACATCAACCTCAAAATATGCTCCAAGACCCAGCCTGGGCCATGTGGGCACTGAAGTCAGCTCCACTGATAGGGGAAGTTGCTTTACCTTTTACCTTGTTTCAGGGACCAATTTAATCAAGTCCAAGAATTCCCTTTTTACCCTTGGTTTTGAGCACGAATTAACTGTAAAGTCAGGTGGACTCCACTTTCTTATGACCTAGTGTGACTCCACTGAACACAAGAACCAAGTTCTCTCTATGATTGCTTTGTGCTAATAAATGCTGTTTGATGCATAGGTCCAGAGTACTTCATGGATGCCTCATCCGCCATACGTTATGCAACCAACAGTAAGTGTTCTCAGTCACCTGAGGCTAATATTTCTATTATCCAAGTACAAGCTTTTGGAATGCATAGAAGCTTTGGGGTAAAGCTTTTGTTATAATATGTAACTCGTTCAGGCAGCCATATTCTCCAGATAAAAAGCTGTTCCTGAAATTCTACAAAAGCATGTACAATAGATAGCTAGAGATCAACATAGACATAGAATCAGATAAAGAGAGAGGGTGAAAAAGCAAGAGAGTGAGAGAGAGAGAGAGAGTGCCTGGAAACTTTATTAGAAGAAATAGCAATCAACCATTCAAGCTGAGTCTACCATTTCTTATGCATGAGGAATTTCTGCTTTATGCAGGAACTCAGAACTCCGGACAATTAAATTTATTCTACAAGGAAACTCTTTGTTTCCCTTCTCTTTCTGATATGCTTTTCTTTCTTTGGCCACAGTCTGATATGCCTTAGGGACAATTTGGAGTATCATAGACAAGTTTTGACTTGAAGCAATATATTTCAAATATGAAGGTAGTTGTCTGCTAATAGATGAATTTATATAGATAGATGGCAAGGTGTGTAAATATTTTCATGTTAATTAACTATAGCAGTTTTCTTTTTCTATAGTGGAAATTTTCTCTCTGCAAAATATTCAAATTCTCTTTTTTACTTGCTAGATTTCCCATTTTATGGCACAATATTACATCAATTCCAAGTGAAAAGTATGACGTATTACATTAGAATCTAGACTGAAGGCTAATGATTGCATTTATCTTTGCCTAAGTCTTCCAGGGTTTCTAGCTCTATAGAAGTGCGAGATAGAGATTTCAATAGCAACACACTCATGAGGGTGTGAGGCAGGGGAAAGAGCCCTAGACTGGAAGTTGTGTGACAAGGTCTCTGGTGACTCTTCTGGGTATGCTCTCTGTGCATTTGTTTCCTTTTCTGACACTATATACTTAATAGTGCTTTTGTGAGGATCAAATGAGAGATCACATGTAAAAGACAATGTAAAAAAGTATACATGCTATGCATTATTATTATCATTGTCCTCATTATTATTGAATGTGTTCATTATACAAGGAAGAAGCAGTGCTAAATTTTAACCCCTTTAGAAGATAAATGTAAGTAAGTTAGTATACATTAAACACCAGGGAGCTAAATACGCAGACATCCATTTCCTGAACTCAGAAAATTAGAGAATCTGGCTTTCATATCTGAGCAGGGTCCATTTTATTTTTTTAAATAAGGAACTTTTCATGTTGCTCCAAACATTTTGATAGTTTTTTATTTAAAGAATAAAATATATGTAGTTTACCACAGCAGAACTTTGTACCATATTTTGCAAATCCCTTTATTTACTATTATTTACACACCTTGAGGGCTTTCTGAGTTCATCTAGTCTATGTTCTATAAATCATACCACTATGCAACAAATCCAGGCTACACTTTTCTGTCCAAGTCATAAGGTAAAATTCAGTTTGTGCTGCCAAAGCAATACATAGCATAGCAAAGACTGAGCCAACGGAGGAAAAGGAAAGAAGTCCTGCCAAGTTCTCAAAAGGAGACTTTCTGGAAGGAAACAACCACCTTCTAAAAAATGTGTTCATCCGTAAAGCACTAATACTAACTTAGTCCTCATACTGAGTTTTAACACCATCTCTTTGTGGCCAAAAGGAGTGCACATCTGGCAAAATCTGAATATTTTACCAGATGTCAAACTATGTAAGATTCTTCAGTACTTCCAGATCTATTAGGGGCAGGGAAGATGGTTGTATGGGACTTTATTTCAGCTGTCACTCAGGACTTTTACAAAGCTTTTCACACACCTCCTTTTCCACCCCAGTACAGCTTCAGCCTCGTGTTCGCATGTATTATTTCTGTGTGTGTATTATTAGTGTGTGTGTACATGTGTGTGTGTACTTTAATTTGTCCTTTTAGATTTTCCTTGCTGTGGCTACTACTCAGAGCTGATATCGTATCACCTCCCATGACTAAATTATGCATCGTGCTTGAGCTTAGGCCACTAGGTTTAAATGTAATGTTTATGGCTGGGGTGGATTCCTGGAAAAATAGAAGTGGCTGGGCCACACACCACTTTGCTATCTTTTAGATGGAGAAAAGGGCAAAACAGTATCATGGAAACACAGAGTTTGTACCATCAATCATTTCCCTGTAATAATCTTGTTGGCTGTCCATATTACATAAGTAACTTTACCCAACTGGCTTTAATTTTATCATCAAAGTGAGGTTAAGTCACCCTATGATACTAAAATATAAAAATATTCAAGCCATCTTAGACAACAAATCAAAAAACCTGAATCTGAGAAGAATTAATGAGGAACTTGATGATTAACAACATGGATTCTTGGTTGAGCTCATTAGGACAGGAAACCCATTTTAGCAAGGGGGTATTGAGCTATTTACATAAACTTTCTGAGCCACAGTTTCTCATCTGTAACATGGACATAATAATACCCAAATAATTATGTTTTGTTCATTAAATGAAATAAGGCATTAAAGCTCTTAAAATAATTTCTGGAAAAGAGCACTCAATAAATTATTATTATTTAATTATATTAGTAGACTTCTCATTATGCTTTAAATTATCCCAGTTTTATCAAATGAGTGTTGTTATAAGCAGAAAGTTGAAAGTAAGCAACTTTGTTGAGAATCATCTATTTCTACCACATTCATAGTGCTAATTACCTTACTTTGCTAATGAGTTTGGTGGAGAAACTCTGTGGCTATAAACAAGACAAATTGCTTACATTGGTACTTATTTCACTTACTTTCTAAACATTCAACACCTAAAACTTAAAAAAAAATGCCCATTGAGAATCTCCTTTTTTCAGTAACTGGAGACTACCTTACAAATAAATTCAAGGTGTCAAAATCTATGTCTCAAATATATTGCCCATAATTCCAATTTGCTTGCAACTTTTCTTCTCTGTCACATTTTCTCTTTCCTCACTTTATGATAATTTCATGCATGAGGTTTCATTGTACAGGAATATACCTCCCCTATCACCAAGCGTGTACACTGATTCCTGAGTTGGAGCCAGATGTATTGCCTAGGCTAGAAGCCCTTCGGGTTCTCTCTCAGGCTTGACTTAAAGGGCTCTAATGTCTCAATCTGGTTTGTATCTGAAAACAGTGCTTCCGTAAAGTTCTAAAGTAGAGCGCAATGACCTTGATCTCTTTGCTAAGGAGGATGAATGGGTAAACTGGAGGGGCAACAACTGGTAAGAGAGAAATGAAATGGCACAGAGAACTAAAGGGAACAGTAAAGGCATGAAAGAAGAATAGAAAACATAAGCATATAATTTCTAAAGTTTGCCATTTAAGTTTGTTTCTTTGTACATTTAATTTTCTAAGTAATGTGCTTGTAGATTTAGAAAAAAAATACTCTGGGAAGAAAGGATAGATGTCTCTTTGCATGGATTATAATTCTGATGTTTTGGAAAGAAAAGAGATTTCTGTTACTGGACCCTGGGAACTTATTGGATCTCCTGGAAAGCTGTCAAACCCCACGTAGAGAATCAAGAGCATTTCTGTTTGCCTTTTGTTATTGTTCACCTGAATAGACTCTGAGAAGACAGCACTGTTAGACTAAATTAGGAATTCCCTTTTTTCTGAGAAGTAAAAATGCTGACTTTGTCAATGTAGTTGGTTATTTGCTTCTGCTTCTCAGCACAGACGTCTATACTGCATGCTGAAATCTCACCATTGCACTAACAGAATTTTAATAGTTGATGGATTGCACCAAATACCTACTCTACAGAGCAGTATGTTACATTGCAATGTCATATGAATACACAGTTGAAATTGCTGTGTTCCAATACATTGGATATTTTGTTACATCTGTTATTACTGACAAGGAGAAAAGATGATAATTTTCAAGAGGAAGCAGAGTTCCACTTTCTTAAACTTTATTTAAGCTCATTTGAAGCATAAATCTTCTGTTCTTGATATGGGTAGTGTTATATCATCTCAAGGAGAAAGGTCAGCTTTCATTTTGACTTAATTACAAATTGGTTATCTAATTACAGTATTCTAAGAAATGCAAGATGCCCTTATTGAATCAATACATGATTTGTTGCCATGGCAACAAATGGCAAAAAAGTTGCAAGCAAATAAAAAATTATAATCGTTATGATTAATGAACCCTGAGTTTTCAGCTAAAGAGAAAATATAAACTTCTTCTTTACAACCAGGCTGTTTAAGAAGCCCCAGAATACTTAATTTGGTCATTCTTTGCCCTTAAACATGTAAGGCCTAAGGCCTAGTTTTAGAGTTGTGTCCTTCAATTTTGTAGGTGTGTGTTTTGAGAAGGCATTATCACCAAATTTGCCCTAATTACTGTAGAAAATAGTCCTGGCTTTGCTACCGTTAAATATAACTTCAAAATTTTACGGTAATTTTTCAAATATAATCTCAGCAACTTTAGTAAAATAACTTTAAACAATGAAATGCAAGGCTTATAATTCAAAAGAAGTGTATAGAGTATAAAAGATTTTCCACCTAGGATCCCTTCATTCATCATTTCTATTCTCCGGAAATACACATTGTAAACAAAATCAGATATTTCTATCCAGTCAATTTTATATGCATATGAAATTATATATTTGCATGTGTGTAAATGTGTATTTTTAATATAGAAACAATATTACTCTACAAATGTTGTATTATGATTTGCTTTATTTTTCCTCAATAATAAAATGTTCTGGATGTCAATAAATATGAGCCATATATAGATCTATATCAATTTTGCTAACAGCTCCATTGTCACTACTGTATAAATGCACCAAAAGGTGTACTTTCTTGAAAACTCAAGACAGTAATATTACACCCTAGTGAGAAAACGTCTGTCAGATAAGTTGCTGACACAAAAGATATTTACATTTTAAAATTTGATATACATTATTTTCAAATTGCCTTTTAGATAGCAGTTTTTCTTTCTCCATAACCTCAATTAAAAGCAGGTAATCTCAAGTTTTAAATATTTTGTTAATGTGGTAAATGTCTCACTCATATTTTATTTTCATTTCTGAATCCTATGAGTTGAGTTGATTTTCACGTGTTTATTGACTAATTTTGTTTTCTTTATCTCTGAACTTCAAGTTGGTTTGCTTTGCTTAGTTTTCTTTTGAGGTACTGATCTTTTCTTATTTATAAAAGATCTTATTACAGTTAGTAAGTTTATAGTGTCATAGATAATTTAAATATTATCTCAGTTGACTTTAAATTTTAATTGTATATTTGTCATGCAGATTTTTGGTATTTATGTATTCAAATGTATCAGTCTTTCTTTTAGAACAAGGGTCAGCAAACTTTTTCCGTAAAAAGCCAAACAGTAAATATTTTCTGTTTTGTGAGCTATATGGTCTGTGTCACACCTACTCAATTCTATGGTTTATTGTGAAAGCATCCATAGACAATACATAATGAATGGGTGTGCCTTGAGTTCCAATAAAACTATATTTACAGAAATAGGTATGGCCACATTTGACTCACAGCCTATATTTTGACAACCCCAGCTTTAGAGCATCTGTATTCCATGCAAAATACCTTAATCACTATAGATTTAAAATGCCATATGTTTTCTTACTATGCTTATAGTAAATTTTGTTTAAAAATGTTGTTACCTTTGAAGTTTATTTTATAGCATGAGATGAGATTAAGATTCAAAATTTCATTTTTTTGATTTTTTTTCCCCCAAACATGGAACCAATTGCCATAACAAATTTTACCAAAGAAACCCTCTATATTTCGTCCTCTGGCATAAATTTTATGCCAATATTTATCACATAATAAAATCTTTTTATCTTTGTATCTGTTTTCCAAATGCTCTTCTGTCCTGCTTCTCTATTTCCTTTGAGCATTGCTCTATTTTGACTACTATAACTGACAATACCTTAATCAGAGGTGTCCAATATTTTGGCTTCCCTGGGCCACATTGGAAGAAAAATTGTCTTAGGCCACACATAACATACACTAAAACTAATGATAGCTGATGAGCTAAAATAAATAAATAAGTCTTATAATATTTTAAGAAAGATCGTGAATTTGTGTGGGGTCACATTCAAAGCCGTTGTGGGCTGCATGCAGCCAGTGGGCCACATGTTGGGGAAACTTGCCTTATAAACTGATAGGAAATGTCCACAATATTTTTTTCATTGTTTCTCAAAAATTTTTCTAGCTATTTTACATTTTCAGATGAACTTTAATGCATTTTATGAAGTTAAAAATGTACTAAAATTTCAAATTATATATTGACTTATGGGAAATTTAAGAATATGACATATTTACAACATTGAATTTTTCTATACAAGAAAAAGAACTTTTCGTCTACCCAAGAATTCTTTTATGTATTTTGGATCACTTAATAGAGTATCAGGTTTCCGCCATATGTATTCTATACATTGCTTAATGTTTTCCTGGCATCTTAGTATTTTTGTTATTATATGTTTTAGTTTTTTGCTGTGGCTATAACAAAGTAGCACAGACTGTGTAATTTATAAAGAAAATAAGTCTATATAGCTCACAATTCTGGAGGATGGAAAGTCCAAGAGCTTGATACAGGCAGCTGGTGAGGGCCATCTTGTTATGTCATAACATGGCAGAAGACATCACCTGGCAAGAAGGCAAAAACAAGAGAGCCAGAGAGAGCTTCCTTTTCTAACAAAGCTATTCCCACAAATCTAATTCCATGGCAACATTAATCCATTCATGAGGACACAGCTGACATTAATCCATTCATGAGGACACAACACTTATTTCTAATGTGTAAGTTTTGTAACACATGAAATAAATATTCTTCGGCATTGCAATTATAAAAATTTTATTATATTTTCTCATTGATCACTTTGGTGTATAAAAATGTATATACTAATTTTATTCATTTAATTTTAAAAATCTATTAATTGTTCAAAAGTATTGCTGAAATTTAGAATATATACATAAGTTAAAATATGCATATAAAATACCCATTTCCTCTTACCCAAAGATTAGTACAGTTAATATCTAATGTTACATGTTTCCAGATGTTTTTCTGTATTTATATCAATATCTACCAACTTATCTACATCTACAAACATGCATGCATACAATATACCCATTATATATATCATATGTATGTGTATATACCATTTACCAAAATGATATCAGTCAAATGACATCACACAATATGTGCTATTTTCAGTGAATATTTTCCATTTTTCCCAGTTGAGAAATTTTTTATCATCTCTCATCAAATTTTCCCAATTGAGCAAAAATGTTATTTACACTGGTTTACCCAATCCAGGAAGCAATCAGTGACCACATATTATATTTGGTTATTGGGTCATTTAAGGCTCTTTTAATCTGGCAGTCTTTTTTCCCTTCCTGTTCATGGTTAGCTGTCCTGCCATGTATCCCACTCTTGCAAAATGTTTGGTTGATTCTTCATGATGCTGTTTAGCCTTTTCTTCTATCTCATATATGAAACAATTTTTGTAACCAGCTATCTTTCTGAATTCCCTCATTGTTTTCAATCGAATATTTAATTCATTCTCAGCTTTTCCAGGTCATCAAAAATAATATAATTTTCCACCTGATTTTAAATCTTTATATTTCATAATTCATTTTCTGGCCAAATGGCTTTGGAATGTATCCTTTGACTTATTTCTTATCATAATGGATATGCCACTATGAATTATTTTTTAATTTAGGTGTAGATGTTGAACTTAATCAAAGTTTTTTTGAAACTATTGATATTATTTTCCTTTTGCCAATTTTATTGTATTAATATATTTGTAATTAATTGTATCATAATTTTTAATATTTTCCTAAGGTAGAATCATTCTGCCATCAACTCCATTTGGTTATGATATATCCCTGTTAAAAATATACTTCCGGATTATACTTGTGAATAGTTTATTATCTTGGCATCAGTTTTTATTAATAAAATTAGTAAGCTATTTTTGTCAGGTTTGAATATTCAATTAACAAAGGCTTTATAAAGTTAATTTGGAATAATTCCTTTTTCTCTAATTGCAGAAACAATTTTAAATAGCATTAAAAAAATCTCTTTTTGGAGATTATAAAATCTTCATACCCAAGACTATCTTAGTTTTGGGGAAGAGATGCATTTATTTTACCAAATCCAGTTTAAAAAATAATCTATTACTCCAGTCAGACATGTTCTCAGGAGGCTAAAACTTTATAATCTATTTAAGAATTTGTTAAGGTTGGCCCGGTGTGGTGACTCAAGCCTGTAACCCCAGCACTTGGAGAGGCCAAGGCAGGCAGATTGCTTGAACTCGGGAGTTTGAGACCAGCCTGGGGCAACATGGCAAAACCTTGTCCCTACAAAAAATACAAAAAAATTAGCCAGGCATGGTGGTGCATGCCTATAGTCCCAGCTACTTGGGAAGCTGAGGTGGGAGGATTGTTTGAGGATAGAAGCTCAAGGCTACAGTAAGCCAAGATCACACCACTGTACTCCAGCCTGAGCAACAAAACAAGACCTTGTCTCAAAAAAAAAAACAAACAAACAGAATTTGTTAATACCATGTATGATCATGATCATGAAGAACTCTGACTGTTGCATAGTTGATAGTCATGTTGCTGAATGATCAAATCAATTGGATTGTGAAATGCCACGGTCTTAACAAAATTAGCATTATCTTTTGCTCCATGACTAGTTGTTGATAATTAGATCATAGGCCATATAGTTCTTAAGTTAAATGTAGTACAAAGTAAAAATAATCAGTTGCCAACTGCCTAATAAGGAATTTTTAGGTATGAGCAAGTTGTAAATCAATAATTTGTAATTTTTAAGAATGTATAGAGTTTTTAATGCCCTTGATTGTCATAAAACTTGAGGAATATTTTCCTCACATGCTCGCTTGATTCAGTCTTTCTTTCCCTTAGCCCTTAGCTATACCAATCATTGACTCCTCGTCTTATAACATTGAGAAACTTGGGTTCAATGAAAAAAATCAACAAATAATAAAAACAAATATTCTTGAGCATCAAATATGTGCATGATATTTTTCTAGATATTATTGGAAATGGAGGAGAGAAAATAAGAAATAATTTGTCCTCAAGACTTGAAATATAATTGTAGAAAAACATTATATGCTCAGGATAATTTAATTGAAAAGGTACAGTTGAAAATTTGTCAAAATTTTAGTAATTATATAACCTAAAAAATAAAGAAGCCTCTGTGAACAGTTAAGGACAGAGAAGAACAATGACATAAAGATGACCTTAAAGGATGGGTGATGTTTGTGGGGCTAAAATGAAAAAAGAGAACATTTTAAGTGAAAATAATACACAAAAAGTATGGGAGGAGAGTCTCAAGTTATTTCAAAGGGGACTACGGGGGGAGCAAATAGCCTGCCTTAAGTGAAATGTTTATATTAGAGAACGAGGGAAATATTTGGTTGGAAAGTTAAATTGCTACGTATTGAAGTACAACTTTCACGCAGTCAAATCTGGCAGACTTTCCTACACATTTTTTATTAGCTTGACAATCCCAGTACTATTGTTCAGAATTTAAGTTTACTTTGAAAAATGTAAAACAGAAAGAGTAAGTTATGTCACTGATGTGTGCGTAAAAGTAATAATATGCAGTGGAGTAATGTATGAATCAATTATAAATAGAAAAAAATAAATTCTGCTACATTATGAAATGCCATTGTGCAAAGTCTTTGTATATAAAGTCATTTTATATTCCTAAATAATTTTGGAGGTAATGTTTATCTTCCAAGTAGAGTTCCTGAAGGCTTCCTGCTGTCTGAGATCCCTGCCTCCTAAGCACAGGAGTGTCTAGGGGCAGTGGTGAGTCTAGAATCTTTTGAAATACAAAAAATATGCTTTAATACATTTTTTAAATTCTCAGATAATGGTGGTTGGAAGCTGCCAAGTGCTAGGCACCAACACATCTCCAGAGTACATAGGGATGCATCTATTAATAGATGGCCACTGTTTCTATACCCAGTAACGTAAAAATTGTCCCAACTGAAGTATTCTAGCTCTGTTACTGTGGGAGTATGCGGGGCATGTGTGTGGTATGTGTGCATGTGGCCTACCTTTCTGCATGTGGTTTTCTGTTATTTTACTAACAACCTTTAAAATGAAAGACTAGCTCAAGACATAATGTATCACTTTTTAGAACAGCAGGCACAGCATTCTGGACATGACACAATTGACAGCTGCTAAGAAGAAAAATTTCAATCATACATGATCTCCAGTGTGTCCTTGGATAGTATTTAGAATTTCTTCATTACTTCATCATTAGTAAAGCAGAGTATCACAGCTTTGCCAGTTCCTTCATAAAGATGTAGATGATGTTACTTCCTTAATAGCTATTTAACATATTAAATATAATTCAAATAGAAATAATGTTAAATATCCAATCTATTAAATTCTTATTTCCTAAAGAAAGAAAATATGCAGCTAAAATAAAGTCCTTGTCAGACTTTCTAGAAAACAGCAAGTTACCAGGGCGACAATCATATAGAGGTAGGGTAGATCATTTACTTTATAAATGTTACCAGGGTAACAGAAACTACTCGTGGAAATCACTGAAGGATTTAGGATGAGAGTACAGATAGACCATGGAACTATTTGTTCTTTCATAGCACATTGGAACAAAATGTCCAAACATATTTAAAACTTTTAACACTTATGTGAAGTATTTGGGTATTCATTAAATAGATGATCAGAAACGGGTTCACATATTGAGAGTATTCTCAAATGTGAAGAGTACATCTCAAATGTAAATCAAAAGATATTATTTTTGATTTCTTACTGCTCAGTATGTCATTGGGATACTTTATTTTACTCTGAATTTTGACTTTGCTAGATTAGTTCTAGAGAACCTAGTTATTTCTACCTAGGTGCTATGTCTGCAATTTAGGATCATGGTTAATGGTGTTGATTAGCATGAGGCTTGAGTTTTATAGGTCAACCAATTAGGGTGTAGGAGGGAGGGAAGTGGTTAATGGAGAGAAAGGGAAAAACTATACATATACATATATATGTATACGTATATGTATATAATTTTCATGTGTGTGTTTGTGTATGGCGTGTACGGATTAATCAGGTTTGCTTAAAGAATTATGGAGTTTAGAGTTAGATTTTTCAAAATGATAACACAAATACAAGTAAAATGCCTTTAAACTTTTCTACTGCCTAAGAAGAAGCTTACCAAAGATAGGAATTAAACGTACATTTTTCTCCCTGTTTTAGAACAATTGGTTTCCCTCCCAATAAGACTCTGTCAGAAAACAAATAATTCTAATATGTTCATCTATGGTTAACAGTTAAGGTATGTGCAAAGTCTATAAGCAGTAAAGAGGAGGAAGTTACTCACTGTGGAGGGAGTAGAGGAATAAGAACAAGGCTTCACAGAGGAGGTAACTCCTGAACTTGGTTTTGAAAACTAAAAGGAGTTTTTTAGACCAACAAGTGTTGGGTGTCAGGCAGGAAGGGTGCTCTGAGCAAAGTGATCAGTAGATTGTAGGCAGGGTTTTGGTCCTATTCACCATGTGCTGCAGCTGGTGAACATCTAAGAGAAAGCAAGGTATTTTTACAGGCTACCAGGTGCCTCTAACACTGGGGCATATGCATGACATTTGTGTGCCCTTCAACAGTTCTGCCACAGAAGGTATCACTTAATCATGATTAGGGCTGTTGTCCTATATTCCATTAAACATGGCATCTTCTCCTAGAGTTCCGTTTGCATTTCTAGGCAAAGCCTCCTCACCAATATCCGATGTGCCCTTTCACAAGTTCTCCACTCAGAGTTGAGTGTAATATGCAGAGAATGTTATTGATATTACTTGGGTATCATAAAGTAATCATTATAGCCTCTGCACAAGGCTAATTAGTCCTAATTATCTGAATACCCCAGGTGAAAGTGAGATTTCTACTCCCCTCAGAACCCCAAGAATGCGTAGTGTCTCATCATTTGACTGTCAACAAATGCTTCGTTGCTAAGTTATTCAAACAATAAAGTAAGATGATAGAGATTCTAAGAAAAAATACCAGAACTTATATGTCTACATGAGTTTCTTTTTTCTATGTGATGAAATTACTTTGGGAGGCCTTTTCCATTGATGCCATCTTAGACTAGGACATTTTAAAAATTTATTCTTTGGGAATAATTTTCAGAGATAATTTATTAATCATACAAGTAAAACAAGTTCATCAGGTTATATTCACATGATAGAAAAATGGAGAAACACATACATAATAGCTAGATAGATAGATAGATAGATAAATAGATGATAGAATGGGTGGATAGATGATGAATGAATGGATGGAGGGAAGGATGGATGCAGGGATGCGGATGGATGAATGGATGGATGGGTGGTCAGACAGACAGAATATAGGTAATAGATATCCTGGGACATGACACTAGTTCTTCTTTCCCAACTACAGTATAATTTTATTATTTGAGAGTTTATTCCATATAGTTCGCAATATTTCTCCCGTTCTATTTTGTTCTAAATAAATATTTGATAATAAGTTACACTTTATAGACTATTTCTGCATTGGCAAATATTAAGACACAAGCTTCCAGGTGCCGTTAGACAAGGATACTGACAAAGGTTTCTGAGAAAATTAAAGACGTGCATCTTCTCTGAAATCAAACCCAACTTATTAGGGAAAATGATGCTAATATTAAATTTGTCTTTGTAAGTTTGATCATTAAATATTGTCATTGTCAGTAAGGAGGTGTGTTAAAAACAATTTAGGAAAATTTCTCTTATGTTCATAATGTAGTATTCTAATTCCTTTTCAGTTGCAGATTTGTTTATATCAGCTGAAACAACTGTGTTATTCAGCGTAGTGTCTTAATTGGCAGTTACATCTGTAGAGAGAAACATTTTCTTGTGGACATTTCTTTTATTAACTCTCAATAAAAGCCAAGCACATGTTAACTTTCAATTTTCTGAAGAAATGTATAGGGCAACTACATTAATATTCTTCAGGTATGTAAGTTTCTTATAACCTATCTTGATATAAGAATGACTCAGTAAATCCAATTGGCTGACATGTGGCTTATTTGGTGTTTATTTAGTCTGAGCCAGGATGTTATTAAATTTATACCATCTGATTTATAGTTTCACCTAGGTACAGGCTATTTTACCTCTCATGGAAAAGATGGCAAGATTGTTCAGTTTGTGCCAGAATTTTCCTTAATAAATGTCTTCAAAGCTCTCACAGGAGCCCAAGCATGTACACAGTTGGGATCTAGTAGTTCTGTGCTGTTGAGTGCTTGAGAGGCAAATTTCATCTAAAATATTGAGGGCAGGCATAAGACCTCTTGGCTATCATCACTAGGTGGCTCATAAAGTACTCATGATTTTAACAGTACTAGACTCTGATGCACTTGCCAAGATGAATCAGGTGTAAAATGTACTCCGTGGCAGCAAACGGAACTGATAGAATAGAACTATTTGATGTGGACCATGAGAATTTAAAAGTATCTGCATAAATTGATGATTTGGCATCAGATAAAGCTGATATCAAACCATTCTATCTTACAATAATTACTCAATATGTTCAGCAGACTCTGAAATCTGCACTTGAGAAATGACAGAAAAACTATATCATCAGCAGAGAAAACATCTTCTTGCTGACCTAGGAAGGCATACAAATAGTTCAGTTGGCGTCACACTGTTTATGCATAATATTTTACAAATTAGGGTGGTACTTGTTCCCTTTTATATCACTTAACATAAGTATAATTTCATTGCACATAACTGAGGAGAAATAGTAGAAACAAGCTGAGAAAACTGAAAGCAAATTCCAAGAAAGAGGATTAGTCCTCATCTATGTTAAAAAGAACATTGTGCTCTTGGCTTTATTTTCTTATTTAGCATAGAGAAAATCAAGCTAATTATCAACTTGGGTTCTGAATAATAACCTTAAAACTTCTATTGAGAAGAGAAACCTTTTATCAAAGAGTTATTCTTAAACGGTTCTTAATCAATACACATTAGAACCATTTCTGCATAACAATGTTGTATATTAAAAATCAATTCTTACTTTCCGATAAAGGCTTTTATCTTGTCTTGTATCTCTAAGTATTTTCAATCAATACTGAAAAAATCATTATGCTTCCAAGTTTGTGTTACATGATACATGTCTAAATACTCAGATTCTGATATCACACTCCAAAATAATCTAACTTTCTGAGATGCATATATGAAATTTATTTCAAGGAAGTGTTTATATTATACATGGCATGAACTGATGAATGATTGATGGATACTACATACACATTACTGTCCATATATGCTGAAAGCTGACCTCCATTATAGATATTATTTAACCAAAAGACTGACATATACATATAATACAAATGTGTGTTTATATGAGGTTATTCAGAGTTACATTTAAAGACTGAACACTGTTGAGATTTGTGGTATTAATTAGTAAGGAAGAGAATATGGTGGATGCATGGGTCAAAACTGACTCAGGAAATTTCAGCCTAGGTGGCTAGGTAGAAAGTGGGGTCCTTAAACTGAATTAGGATGTGTAAGAGAAGGCATAAGTTGAGGATCAGGGATATATAGTTCCTTTTGGGCATGTTGACTTTTCAAGGCCAGATAAAGATTTTCAATATGTACCTCCAAATACAGGTTTGCCACCCAAGAAGGGTAGTAATAAACTTATGAGTCATTTATTCCTGCTGGAGAGAATAGATGAGATTTCTAGCAATTCGCTCACTTTTCATAGTAATTACCATGCTTGATCTATGCAATAGCTAGTGTTGTGCATACGCTGAGGTTACCTTAAATTTACTAGTCTTATATGTACTAAATTAAATGCTTGCATATGCCCCTTACAAGCAAGATTGTTTAGCAACCCAATTATGCTTTTTCTTATACCTATACTGTTATGGCTAATTATGTATTGTATTACATATGTCTTTTTGAATTAATCAAATGTATATGCACTTGATGTTTCCTCTTAGGGAACTGACCACAGTGATAAGTTAGGAAAATAGAGATACTTCAAATTAGAAGAAATCTTAGGAGCCCCCAATGAAGTCTAGCAGTTGATGTAAAGGTTTCAGAAATTGTCCTGTGTATCCATGAAAAGCTGTTTCATTTCCATTTTGCAAACATTTCAGGAAACTTTTTTTTATTAAATTGTATTTCTTCCATAGCCACTAGCCCAGCTAGTGGAAGAACAACAAAATTGGAAAAGCACAGCAACAAGCCTCTGCCTAGTAAAAACCAAGAAAGCAATAAACCTTTGCCAAGCCTATAAGAAAAATTTAAAAGTCCACCGTTTATTTATCTTGTTGTTTAGATATATCTGTCTCATTGTTAAGTCATTGTGAATGCAGGGATTTATAAACCCTACACTATTATCACTGGAGGGTTCCCACTGCTTTTAGAATAGAGTGTTCCTAAAAAAAAAAAAATCCATTTCTTTTACTTTATTGACAAGAATAGATTATTTCAGGCTTTGCTGGATAATCCCATCTTTGGCCTTTGGGGCTTTAAACCGTGTTTTTCTCTAACGTTCTGGTTGATGCTGGTAATGAGAACCAGTTTTACTGATCATAGAAGTATGAGCTCAGAGTGACTCACTAATTCCAATGTGTTTCCAATGGCCAACTTGAAAAAGCTACATAGGGGGATGTGAGAGCTAAATTACTGAAGACCATCATGTTTTCCTGTGGGGTTTTTCCATGCCCTGAATATGTTATACATGCTTTTTGTTGGTGTTTTCTTCTCTGTTCTATTTGACATTTTAAAGAGCAGAAGTTTAAAGTAAGTTTCTTAAGAATCCGTAACAGTATGCCCGTATCTCCAGACAAATGTTTACAAATTGGATTGTGGCTCAAAGATTTAACTTTCCTTCATGTCTTTTTCTAAATACAAAGTTCAAACCGAAATTGTCAAGAGTGAGGATTCATTGACAGACAATCAGCAGGAGGTCCTTTTAGTGGAATATTACCTGTGATACAAAAGGATTAAACATTTCAAATATAAACCTTTAATCTGTGCTATCTAATTACTGACATCTGAACCAGTATCAAGGAATTTGTCACTTTTTCACTTTTGTAATTCTAACAAAGAAAAGAAGCAAGAAACGTAATTCTGCATCTGGAAAAAACTTCTAAT
Source organism: Homo sapiens (assembly GCF_000001405.40). Classification (NCBI taxonomy): domain Eukaryota; kingdom Metazoa; phylum Chordata; class Mammalia; order Primates; family Hominidae; genus Homo; species Homo sapiens. Next base: position 29,915,875 of record NC_000003.12, read on the forward strand.
GCAAAAGCATGTAGCTTTAGTCTTTTCTCTTGAGATGGACTAGGATATGTTCCCTGTATTTCTGATTTGTAAAGATTCAGCAAGGCAGCTCTGTTACTGCAATCACCCTTGCTTATGAAGTTATGTAGACAGTCCCATGTAAATCAGAATGGTCCAACCATTTGATCCTGTCCATTTCTATTACACATGGTCAGGCATATGATGAGAAATGTTCTGGCTAACACAATTTCATCTTATAACTGTCCTAGAAAATGAAATAAATTGTTACAGCATTGGTTTCCTAGCAGAGCCAAAATTATGCAAGGAGGAAAGCCCTTCTACTTTTCCTCATATCCCTGTACTCTCTCTGATAAATCTTTCTCTCTTTCCCCCTCTCCATTTACTTTTGGTGCTATACAGATTCAATTTATTAGACAATTACTAAATTACCTCATATTATTGCTTAAAGTGTATCTTCTCTTCTTTAATTTGTTAAGTTTAATAATCTCCAGTGAATATCCATTAAAGAGCATATGCTTTTTCCCCCATTTTGAATTGTTAAAAGTCATTAGAACTAGGATTTTGAGCCAATCTGAAATCAGCTAGATATTCCTTGTATTGCTTTTTTTAGAAAACTTACTTATTGACTGTTCAGGGGAAGGACATATTTGTCCTAAAGCAGGCTGTTAATTATCATGAAAACTTACCTATTGGCTGTTCAGGGGAAGCACATATTTGTCCTAAAGCAGGCTCTTAATTATCACATCAGTCTAGCCAATATTGTGATGGAATACTGAAAGTAAAGGAGAACCAAAAATATGTGGGTTGTATTTCCAGAAAAATATATGTTATAAGAGAATACGAAACATGTGGATTGTATTTCCAGAAAAAAATGTATGTGTATTTGAAAATTAAAGATTCCTTAGGGGAAGAAAAACTTGTTTTAAATTTTATTAATCTCAAGGTATTTAAAAATCCTCTGAAAGAATTTTAAAGGCTGCAAATTATAATTATCATGTAATTAATTAATTCCTGAAATGTTTTTAGCAGAATCAAGAACATTTCTGTTGCCTGGACCTTGGAAGAATGACAGCAATGAAAAAGTTCATATTATTTGCCAGTGTTTTTCCCTTAACACTGAAAATGTTAAATTGCTCTATAGTTAGTGACTTATTGGAAAAACGAAACCAGAGTCATTCATTCCTCTATTCATTCAACATACATTTTTTGGGTGTCTGCTATGTGCCAGGCACTGCCATTCTATATTCAGTTAGAATACAAAACCAAACCAAAAAAAGATCCTCTCTTCATGGAATGTATCTTCCAGCAGGGGAAAAATAATTTAAAAACTAAAAATGCTATGGCAAATGATGTTAAATATTTGGAGCCAGATTTTGGTAAAAATAGCAAGCAGGTGTAATTTGTCTTTTAGAACCCCAGCCATTATTTTCAACATCTTTTCTTCCCACTTGGCGATGTCCTTCCTTCAAGACGCTTAGATGTTCCAAAAGGTCATTCTTTCTCTCTTTTGCTTTTTCATTTAAACAACATTTAAAGAGAACCCACTATGTACCAGATATGTGCTGCACCATATTCAGAGATTTAATGCAGTATAAATTATGTATAGTCCCTGTCTTTATGAAACTTCCAGTGTATTGGGGAAGAGAGAAATCAAATCAGTATTTTAAGGAATAAGAAATTAAACTGGCCATACATTCTATTAAAGAAAGATTCATGGGACTCTAATCTCATGCATGTGTGTGTGTGTGCATGCATTTGGTGGGATTCTCTTAGAGAGGGTCATGGGAGGCAGAAAACAACCGTCAACTCCCACTAAACTAATAGTGGATGCTTCTCCCAAAACCTCTCCTGAAAAATTTGATCTGGTTATTAGCATCTTGGGGTAAATGAAGTTATCAGTAGACTTAAGTGTGTGCAATATTTTTCCTATTACTTTGTAACAAAACGTTTGTGAACCTTCTAGAAAATTCCAGGCATCAGCAAGAAGTTCATTGGTCTTTTAGGTTTGGAGTCTTCTATGCTTTGGAATAATGTCCTCCTTATTCAGATTACAGAGAAGTCCTTCACTCTGCATTTTCATGAGGCAATTATATAATATTGTATATACTATCACAAAAGATTAACCTGAATATAACAGGATAATGTATTTATGGATGAAGGAAGTGAAGCTCAGAGAGGTTAATTGTCATCACTAATATCACACAAGTTGGTGGCAGAGCTGGGACAGGTATGTTTCAATTCAGTTAACACCAACTCTATTTCATTATATCTGGCTTGATTTTTTTCATTAAATTTTGATATGTCAGGTTATATAATTTAACCTAGAGTAAATCAAGTTGGCAGATTAATAAAAAATTATTATTGGATTCTTCTGTATATGAAAGACAAAATATTAGTATGTTATCTATGTCCTTTAATGCCAATCACATTAGCATATGAAGTAAGATATTTTTTAATATTTTAGCAATCCTATCATTATATCTTAAGTGGAAAGGAGTTTTATGATTTAGCTAAAAGCTTTGATTTTGACAGACTTGTTCATCCAAATACTATCATAATTTAATTCTTTGTGTCCTAAGGTTAGTTAAAACCTTTGATCTGACAGGCACATGCATCCAAATGTACCGTAATTTAATTCTTTTTGTCTCAAAGTTATGTTATGTTGGGTGATATGTCTGAGGTAAATATGCCTTATTTTTAATGTTCATAATCACTGAATAAGACCCACCTTAATGTTATAAATATTGTAGCGCTATTTCAGGTTATCAGATTAATGATACTGTTTGCACTTTATAAAAAGTAGATTAGATAACTATGAGAAAATTCTATGTAAGTATCTAAAACTATATGCTAACATTCTTTTCAATTTCTACACGTAAGATAGTTTATTGTTGCAGCATATAATTAATTTTGAGCATTATACAACATTTTTATTTAATTTTTTAAGATGAGACTTTTTTTCAAAACCCTACATATTAAGTCTAAAAGATCAAAGAACTCTGAATCAAACCCAAATTGAATAGTTTCTTCTAAAGTAATAATATTTTGTCATTTTCCTTATATTAGATATTATCTACTTGTAAAACTAAAAAGTTATAAAAACAAGCAAAAAGCTTTATCTTTTTTCTTTTTATATATGCTTGAATTATTTTTAAAATGAGAAAACAATTTTTAATAAAGGTGGAACATTTCCTACTCTTTTAAAGAGTTTTTCCTGATTAAATTTTAAAACTACTTAGGAAATTTTGCTTATAATCCTGCATTTATGTAATGGCATTGAGAATAATTTGCCAAACACAGACCTTATAATACTACAGAAACAAATCCAGAGAGCTTTACTGACCAGCTACTGACTCACTAAATGAAAGAAAAAGACCATTCCCATTGAAAAATAATATCAATATTGAATTATCCATCCATGGCATGGGGGAATACAGCATCTCTTCCAGGAAGTCAGAGATGGACAGGTAAAATGAAGAGCCAGAAAAAGAATTTCTCATAAAAGAAAGTAGAGAAATTAAGCTTTCCTGGAGGAGAAATGCAGCTGTTCGAGCTGTGGAATTTCAATGCATGCAGACCTCACATCTATCTCATATATAGGTGTGTATACACTCGCTTCATGTGAACTTTGTGAAGTCAATCATTGCTCCATTTGCTAATCCCAGTTTCAATTTTTGTCAGCTGTCCCTCTATATTTTCAGTGTAAATCCCTGTCTCTTTGTAATTATAACCAAAACATACATGTGTTTAATCACCTCTCTATCTTGGACAATTTTTGTTTTAATACTTGGGATGCCTTCATGGTGTAGGCCTAGGGAATCCTGCCTTGAACTACATTCAAGGGGCAGGAATTCTAGCTGCGGATTCCATTTCCCTGTAAAATTATGCAGCCCTGGCTGCATAATGCTGTCACTGCCTGAAGCAGCTGCTCCTGCTGCTTTCAGCATTGTACATTGTCAACTTTTCTGTCACTTCATTCACAAACTTTGCTCCCACATTGTTCACATAATCATCTCTTTGCTTCTTCCTACACCCAGATTTTAAGGAAAATAATTATGAAATAATTTGGTAGATATAATATGATTTTAGAGTAGTAACTCCAGAACTCTTTAGAAAAGCCAGTTGTTCCCTTATTGATCTCTCTACTTTTTTTTTAACGTACTTAGGAAAAAATTGTCGCATGACTATTTACCGCAGGTCTGACTCAAGGGAAAGGTCATGCATGGCAGTAATAAGAAGCAAGATCCTCACAGACATGCTGAAAATTAGCCACATGGGGTTATAATCAAACCAGATCAAGAAAGGTGACTGAGACCAAATAAAATGAAATGTGAATTGTCATTCACTTTTGCTGGTAAGTTTTGAAATTTGAAATTGACCAGCAAATTTCCTACTCCTCTTGTGTCTATAAACTGAAAAACTGGGAAGTTCATTTATTCTTTGACTACTAGTAATTTTGTAGTATGAGTAAATTGGAAAGTATGATTACTGTTCTTCACAATGTAAAGGTTTAAAAGAATGCCAAACTAAGCACTGCATTTTATTGTTGTTTTCCAAAGCCACAGGTAAATAAAAAGTTTTCTGTTTTTCTGAAATTTTTGCATACTACTACTTTCATCCAAAAAACAATGTCCTAAATAGATGATTTAACCATGTGAGTTCACACTATAGCTGTGTCACTAGGATGGGGTGAAATCATCATTTCATATTTGGATATATCCTTGGAATATAATTTTTTTTAACTTTGACAACTAATTTCCTGATTCGTTAAAGTCCCTAATGAATATACATAAAATAGTTAACTTAAATACCTCAGATAGGCAGGTCATGGTGGCTGATGCCTGTAATCCCAGCACTTTGGAAGGTGGAGGCAGGCAGATCTCGAGGTCAGGAGATCGAGACCATCCTGGCTAACATGGCGAAACCCCGTCTCTACTAAAAATACAAAAAATTAGCCAGGTGTGGTGGCACGTGGTCTCAAAAAAAAAAAAAAAAAAACCTCAGATATGATTATAAACCAGTGAAGCTTTAATATTTTTAATTAAGTTTGAATTGTGTACATTTGGGGGTGCCGTGTAAAAAATACATTTTAAAAGGAAGGTCTTATACCGAGGCCATTGGATATTAATATTTGTTGGGTCTAGCCTATGAAGAAATCATGGAATTATAATTTGACTTTTTGTTTTGGTTTGCTGTTGTTGTTTTGAGATGGAGTTTCACTCTTGTTGCTCAGGCTGGAGTGCAGTGGCGTGATCTCAGCTCACTGTAACCTCTCCCTCCCAGGTTCAAGTGATTCTCCTGCCTCAGCCTCCCAAGTAGCTGGGATTACAGGCGCCCGCCACCACGCCTGGCTAATTTTTTGTTTTTTTAATAGAGACAGGGTTTCTCCATGTTGACCAGGCTGGTCAGGAACTCCTGACCTCAAGTGATCTGCCTGCCTCAGCCTCCCAAACTGCTGGGATTACAGACATCGAGCCGCAGCACCTGGTTTAGTTTTTTTTAACCCTTTATAAAATACCCACTATAGTCAGAATAGCCACTCAGAATATGTGGGTTAGCTGAATTTGCTATCCCATTGCCATACAAATTCTAAAAGCTATCAACTGACAGACTGTTTGGCAGGGGGGTGGGGGGGCTGGGGGTGCAGCAAAAATAGTCAGGAGGAATGACACAATAAAATATTACCAATCAATTAACCAGTGAGTTGACAACTGGCCTTGATCAGAGCTAAGGAGAAAGAGGGCTCTCCCTATAATGAGCTGTGATTAACAACAGGAATTACCGAAATGTAATTATAGCCAACTCTTCAGAGATGAGCCATCCATGCCTTGAGACTTCAGGGTCTCAGTAAAGATAGAGGTATTTTTGTTCTTGATTACTAAGATAACAATTGAGCCATGTTTTTAGATGCAATCCGGTGTGTCTACAAGCCTTCATCATATTTTAGAGTTATTTCCTTCCTACAGTATGTTTTTCAGCTTGATACTCAGTGATCTCAGGCTTATTCCTGGGGACCCAGAGCCTCCTGCTGAAGCAAAACATCCAGGCTTGCTCAACATAGACAGTCCCTTAACTTACAGTGGGAGATGCAAGTCTTGTGGCTCAACTGTGACTCTAGGAGTTGAGTGGTAGTAGCATCACCCAGTGAAAATTTCAGACTAAAAAAAAGACAGAAAATGACATGGCATCTCCAATAATGTTTACTTTTGTGGAAAATTGTAATCTCCTTGATTACTTTATATTGCATTTGTGAAACTTACTCTATTATAGCTTGTTAAAGTTATTTAACTGTAATTTATCTCTCAGTTATTTCACAGCAAGATATAACAGAGGCCGGGCACGGTGGCTCACGCCTGTAATCCCAGCACTTTGGGAGGCCGAGGCGGGTGGATCATGAGGTCAGGAGATCGAGACCATCCTGGCTAACAAGGTGAAACCCCGTCTCTACTAAAAATACAAAAAATTAGCCGGGCGCGGTGGCGGGCGCCTGTAGTCCCAGCTACTCGGGAGGCTGAGGCAGGAGAATGGCGTGAACCCGGGAAGCGGAGCTTTCAGTGAGCCGAGATTGCGCCACTGCAGTCCGCAGTCCGGCCTGGGCGACAGAGCGAGACTCCGTCTCAAAAAAAAAAAAAAAAAAAAAGAAAAAAGATAGAAACTCAGCATTCGTGAATGGATGAATTAATGAATATTCTTTATTCTAAACACTGTACAGTACCAAAATATCTTTTAAAAAGTTATGAAGGCTCTAACATTGCAGACGGTTTGGCATATATACTATAATTTGAGTACCCCCTCAGTATTTCAAGTTGACACAATTCTTACTACTAAAAGTATTGCTTTATCAATTTCAAGCCAGCTAAGATAGACTTCTTTAAAAACAGATCAATTTTTGTTTCTAAAAATATATCCTAATATCAGGGTATTATTCTACCACAGAGAATTCACATTGATTGTCTATCCATTTAAAACAATATAGTTATAGTCTTTTCACAGTATTTCAAAGACTTGGATAAGCTGGCGGTGTAAACATTTCCTCGTGGGAACTTTATAAAATGAAAAGAAAATAAATGATTGATGCATACTCAAACTAATTGAAGTGGTACTGAGTCAACCAGATGTTTTCACCTGAATCATGCCCACAGATGCTATTGCTTCATTATCCCTTAATCTAGGGATTACCTCCATTGGCTAACTCGATGACCTGTGAGGGTTTCAAATAAGATTGCCTCTCCCTTGTAACATACATCATAAAGAGAGCTTGTTTAGAGGCAGCCTACCTCCGCCCTGAACATGTTTTCAAGGAAGTGATCAGGGCTGTTTGTTTTTCTTGCTGTTGGATGTGGTCTTCAGTGAAGTCACAGGAATGGAATGAGAGTGGCCACAGTTGACAATGGAGCTATTTCCACAGCTGGCTGCAAAGAGTGGGCAGTCCATCACAGATAAACTAGCACATGGGGATAGATGATATAAAACATCTGTCACAATAGGGATAAGCAAAAACAACGTGCCTTTGAAGATTGTGTTTTAATGATGAGGTGGGGGGTTCTGTCTCTATAATAGGAATGAAAGATGTGTTGTTGGTGGGCAGATGGCTTCAGGCTTGCTCTTGCATGAAATAAAGCAAAAGTATGTGTTAAAAATCTCTGACAGTTGTCAAGTCACCTGATTTTGCTGACCGTTCATTTCCTTGCCTATCCCATGTGTAATCTATGAGAAAAGAAAGGGAGTGCTAGGAAAAAATAATGGCAGAAAAAAAAAACTGGTTCTGAATAATTTTCTTTTGGATAACTTTAATACATCAGTATAATTTTAACTGGAGGCTGAGAGGTCAGAAAACGTGTTTTTGCAATAAGTTTCTTTAATATATTTGCATCCCCATGTTTTTTTTTATAGAAGTTTTGTAAGGTAATATAAAAATGCTATGTCACCAAGGCCACATAATGATAAATATTTCAAATGTGAATACCAATTAGTAGACATAAAGTCCTATTTGTTCCTGTTAAAGGAGCAGTGAGGAAAAATAAAGACATCTTAATAAACTATTTTTGATGTAATTATAATAGTTTGGTTTCCCACCCCATCTGCCTTTGAAAATAAATTAAAAACAATAAAATTCACATACAGTTTTATTTCATATAGTTGCTATAGAAAAAGAAATCTTTGCAACAGACAAACTGATTGCAAATAAATGCCGAATATTCTTGCACAATACAATTCTATATATACCCTGTTACATGACCAAAGGGTACCACTGTCACTGCTGTCCCCCAAACCATTCCACTCTGCTCTGGTAAGGAAATGGTTGCCATTGCTGCACACTGAAATTTTGCTACTTTTGCCACAACCCCACCGGAAAAATGGATGTCACATTCCTTGCTCATTTATTATTTTAATCTGTCTTTCAACTCTAATTCCCTTGCAGGTGCTTTTGATTAGCAGAAGTCACAAATCTATATCTAGCAGCAAAAGGGTGTAGGAAATGTTTTTAGAAGGGTTTTCTTTTCTTTTTTCTTTTTTCTTTTTTTTCAATTCTACATTGAAGAGGTAGGATTCACACTGGGGGAAACTAATGACATCTGAAGAGAGTATTAAAAAATAAATTTCTACATCCATGAATGGCAGAGGTACACCACAAGAAGCAACTGGACTGGTCAAAATAAGAGATCTTAAAGAAAGAGCAGTGCCAGGCATGGTGGCTCACGCCTGTAATCCCAGCACTTTGGGAGGCCAGGGGGCGGATCACCTGAGGTCGGGAGTTCAAGACCATCCTGATCAACATGGAAAAACTCCGTCTCTACTAAAAATGCAAAATTAGCCAGGTGTGGTGGTGCATGCCTATAATCCCAGCTACTCAAGAGGCTGAGGCAGGAGAATCGCTTGAACCTGGGAGGCGGAGATTGCAGTGAGCCAAGATCACATCATTGCATTCCAGCCTGGGCAACAAGAGCGAAACTCCATCTCAGGAAAAAAAGAAAAAAAAAAAAAGAGAGAGAGAGAGAACAGATTTAAAGGAATTTGTGATGTTCTGACAAGACTTGACTCCTGACTGAGTTTTATGGCTGATGAGGGAGAAGGAAACGATCAAGATGACTTAGGAGTTTCTTTGTTATTCTGAGAATCGAGCAGAGAAGAAAGAATACTCTGAGAATGAAAGAGGAAGACAGCATTCAGAGCGGGACATAGTAGTTTTGAGGTACATGGGATTCGGTCAGTAGTTGGAAATTTGGATCATGAATTCAGAAGAAACACCAAGGCAAGAAAGACTTTTTTAAAACTTTAATTTTTAAACTAATTATAGCACTTTTGATTAATCAAGTCTTAACAAGCGGGAATATTTTGGAATTTTACTTCTAACACCTTATTTTTATGGTATGTATATTGAGCTAACCAAAATATTTCGCTGCTGTCTCTTACTATTCTATGCGGCATATACCATCTCTTCTAATGCTTGGCTGTCATAGCTATTTCTAACTCACTGGTTAAGCAGATGACGTTATTTGGAAAGAATGGAGGTTTCAGTGTGAAGGTTGCCATGAAAATATGTCATAGGAAAAGAAAGGGAATTTTTTTGTTAAAGGAGATTTTATGGGTAAAGGCAGAAATCGTATGGAGATGATTGAGGAACTATACTAAATATCAGTGGCTGTCATTTATAACAAGGAGTTATATTAATATTACTAATATTATTCCAAGCTATCTGGCTCTCAAGCAAGAACAAACAAAGGACTTAACAAAATGATTGAGAGTCAAACCAAGAATCTTTTTAGAAGCAATGTAATAGAAAATTCACTCAGAGCCCTGGCAGACCAAATGCAGAGCTAAGCTTTCCAAAGTTTATCGTGAATATAACTCACCTGGGGCAGGCTCTAATTTAGTGGGGCTGGGGTTCACCTGAGATTCTGTACTAAGCTCCCTGATGATAGTATCCAGTCCCAGGCCATACGTTAAGAAACAAGGTAGTAGAGTTTAAGAACATTCTATTAAACTAAAAAAAATGTTAAAATTAATCATATAGTATTACTGCTTAGGAGAAATGGCAATAAAATCTAAGCGGAATAAAACATGTAACTAAGTTTCTTGCACAAATCCTGAAACAAATAGGACACTGAAGGATAACAAGATAAAGCTGTCTTTTATCTCATCTGGACAGTTTTAAATATATTAATTGAAATCTTGAAGGCCTCAGAATGTAACTTGTTTGGATGCTAATATATAAGTTTTAACCTTAGAATATGTCTGTTACACCAGGACATATTTTATCTCAGCATTAGACCACAGAACATGTCATCAATAGGGTATATACTGAGTTTGAAGCATGTTAGCAATAATAATACTAATAGAAAGTGTGCTTTAAAAGGAGTAAATTAGTTCTTTAATAGGGTCGTGACTTCACACCTGTATCCTTAGATCTAGTTAAGTTTCCAGCCCTAACCAGGCAAATTCCTAAAAATATCTTAAAGGAGAAAAATATTCTCTGAGGGACCACAAAATAAAGTGCTTTTTGCAGCAAATTGCAGGACAAGGAATAGCTACTTTCTTAGTAATAGCCAAAAATTGAGGTGCCTTGTGACATATTTAGGCAACTTGCACTATAAACAATGGCCATAAGTAAGATAACAGGCAGCTATTTCTCTTGATCGCCCCTGTGGTTTGAGCAATGATTTTCCAGGCCCATTTGCCAATAGGATCTTACAAGACCTTGAAAAGGATTTGCAAGCAGGTCTTTCAGTCTATTTGTCAGTAAGGAGAAGTTTTTAATGAGAAGTTTTATGACAGCTCACAGTCCTGAGTCCTAGTTAAACCCAGATAAACATTTTACCAGACAAAAGATGAGGTCCATAAATATTCAGACGTCTTCTGGGAACCCTGTTTGCCTTATCATTTGGAAGAAGGCTGGCCTGAGTACTGCATCCGATGTGTGCTTGAAACTTCTGTAAGTTGAAAATGTGTTTGGAGGTATACAAAGTGATTGCTGTACAAATGAATAAAGCATTTCTTATCACATGACAAGGTTTGACAAGAATCTCAGGCAGATATATGGCTACTAAAACAGTTCATGGCATAGCAAAGTCCTAATTTAAAAAACCTTAACCTACATTTGTGGCAGTACACATTGGCTGTAATATGTACAGAACATCTTGCAGCATTTAACTGAGCATAAATAATTCTTCCATAGAATGGAAATCATGTCGTGAACTCCAATGTTAAACTTCCTTGGGTGGGGTGTGGCTCTCAGAAGCCCTGGGATTTTCATACTAAATAATGAGAAGGTCAAGCTGGCAGTGGTCAGACTGAGATACTGTCAAAGAAAAGCAGAGGAAGTGTATGAATGGATCTTTTACGTCCATCTTTTTGGCCAGAGAATGCTTCTGGTATTTCCATTGAATCTTCTTGTCCAGTTTGAGCAAGGAGCTGCTGTTATTGTTTCACATACCATTAAAGTCATCAGAGACCTGCTGGTGAGCAAGTGCCATTCACTCACTCAGTCCATTAGCACCACTAACTAAGCATCTGTTTTATGACAGACACTGTGCTGGGCTCAGAACCATTAAAAAAGAAATATATAAGGTATTGCTAATGATACCAGTGAACTTAGGATTCAGGGAAGAAATAAAGTTTGATCATGATCAAAGTGTGTGCAAAATGTTATGGGAGAAGAGAGGAGCAAGTGACCGGTAGCCTGGGTCAGTCATAGGAGTTATTCCCCAGAATTTAGTATTTGATAAGAATTTTAGAAGACACATATAAACTGCTGTAGAAGCCTAGCGTTGCAGGCCAAGACAGCAAGGGTAAGAGGTAAGACGGACAAGAGAATGATGAGGAATACAGTGTGGTGGAAAGAGAGGCTTCATGTGCATGGGCTGGGGATCAGGCTAGAAAGGTAAATTGAAAGCTGTGTGATCCTCGTAGATTATGTGTGCTATGCTAACAAGGCCATCCCAGACCTACCTGTAGAAGCCTCTTTTTGACAGAGATAATGCTGAAACAGAGTAGAAAGCACATGCTCTTGGGCAGCCCTACAACTCATTCACTCTAACTGGTTTCTGAATAAGACAAGCAGGAATAGAAAAATGTCTTGTCCTGTCACTGAACTGTCCTATCTACTCTTACACTCCTCCAACACATTTAATGTAGAATAGCCATTGACTTAACAGTACCAGTGTCTTAAAAAGGACATTTCCACTATGAAAAACTAACGCAGCTCTAGGTTGCACTTTGGGAAAGGAGGTCATTTAACACTGTTTCCCTTATAACCCCACTTAGAACAAAAAATAAGGAGAAACTGGTCTGCTCCTCTTCAAATTTTATATATATATATATATATATATATATATATACACACACACACACACACACACACATATATATGTATATATGCATACATATACATATTGTTTTTAAGGTAGAAAAAATTAGGAACTAATCTCAATATTTCAAATATAATTTTTTATTATGAAATATATTTGGTGGGTAGAGATCAATGGTTTTCTTTCTAAAAAAAGTATAGAAGGAGCTGAAATATATTTGATTAATCAATTCATTTTTAAGTGTCATAGCTTTATAGTCTTTTGTCTTTGATTTTTTTTGTCTTGTGCTGTTTTTGATTCCTTTAAATAAATTTTGGAGTGTGCAATACATCTGTATAGGAAAGCTATATACCATGGGGGCCCTGCAAAGCAAAGACTAAGGACTATGGTTATGCCACTAATTTTTTCACACAAATAGTCTCATTTTTTCACATTATCTACACCACAACACATGTATTTTTATGTAAACTACAGCAGTTTACATGTGTCCTCTAAAATTCTTATCAAATACCACATTCTGGGGAATAACTCCTATGAATGAACCAGACTACTGGTCACTTGCTCCTCTCTTCTCCCATAACATATTTGAACCAGGCTACTGGTCACTTGCTCCTCTCTTCTCTCATAACATATTTGAACCAGGCTACTGGTCACTTGCTCCTCTCTTCTCCCATAACATATTTGTGAGTGGTAGACACCCCCAGCTGAAAGCTACTCATTAGTTATGCGATTGGAATCAGAAGCTGATGAACACAAGTTCACCCTTTGTCATTGAAGCTCTAAGGTCCTTCTGAAGTGGCCTGGGATCTTTCTCTAAACAATTAATATTTCCATTGACTCAGCAGTTATGATCTCCTTAAGTAGAAAAATAAGAGGAAAAAATATAGTAACCCATCTGTGTAAGAAATTTATAATCTTAAGATCAATTCTGTAATCAAGTGTACAAGTTTAATGACAAAATAATTAAGTGTCCTATTGCATATTCAGTCAACAAAATCCCTTTGACCGTAGAGTCCTCAAAATCTCAAATTTTCAACTCTCCCTCAATAATGCAATATATTTAAAAGCCACTTTGCTCTATTAGGATTCTAAAGAAGCTACTGAAAACACCAAAAGCTACTGATAAACTTGTTTCTGTAGTTTTAGGCACAAACGTCTAAAGGATTAAAATAAAGCATTATTGAGAATCCTAATTATCTATGTACCTGCTTTGGTAAGAAATACTTCAATATGACATATTTACTTTATATTCTCATTCAAAATGACACTATTATATTAATAGGTACTTAACCAATAATTGAAACCATTATTCACAGTTGAATAGGCGTAGTACATAATTAGGATTCTTTTAAAGGGATTTCCATGGCTAAAACTAATTTGGCTTTAGTGTCTATTAATATTATAACTTTAAAAAAAAATACTTCCAGTTACTAGTTACTGAATCAAAAATCAACTTGAAATTAAAAGTGTGATTAAGAGTACAAGGAAAAAAATGCTATGTTTATAATTAATAGATATTCTGTTATTGGGAAATCTATGTACATGTACATATCTCTTCTACCTTTATCATATAGCAGTGGAAAATGTCTTACTTCTAAACATTATACCCCTAGCCCATAGCTATATATCTCCATATAGTAGTCCAAATATCATGCCAATTAGTCTAATCCTGTCCAAGCATAGGAAAGAGAAACCCAGCTCTAGTTTGCCCCATTTCCAAAATAAATAGCAAAATAAGTTAGCACTCAAAAATAATGATAAAGCCATTGGAAGTCATGTAATAGTCCTGTTTTCTTTCATTGCACAATTATGGAATTTGGGAAATTGGTGTATATTATAACCATAATCTTGCCATAGATCTAAAATGTGCTATTAGTTGTCGGGAACAGACTGTAGATGAATACTTTGTGTCACTTTTCTTTCTTTCTTTTTTTTTTTTTTTTTTTTGAGATGGAGTCTCGCTCTGTCTCCCAGGCTGGAGTGCAGTGGCATGATCTTGGCTCACTGCAAGCTCCGCCTCCCGGGTTCACGCCATTCTCCTGCCTCAGCCTCCGAAGTAGCTGGGACTACAGGCGCCTACCACCACGCCTGGCTAATTTTTTCTATTTTTTAGTAGAGACGGGGTTTCACCGTGTTAGCCAGGATGGTCTCGATCTCCTGACCTCGTGATCCGCCCGCCTCGGCCTCCCAAAGTGCTGGGATTACAGGCGTGAGCCACTGCGCCCGGCCTACTTTGTGTCATTTTTCTAGTTACTGCCTTTCAAATTCTTCCTCACTTTGTATAAATGGAGCTTATGGATATATGTATATATGGACCAGGGTTTCTGAACCCTAGCACTAATCCTGGGTTTGCTGGATAATTATTTGTCGTGGGGAACTGTTCTCTGTGTTGCAGGATGTATAGCAACATCAATAACCACTACCCCCTAGGTGCTAATAGCACACCTCGGCAGTTATGATAACCAAAAATGTTACCAGACATTGCAAAATCACTCCTGGTTGAGAACAAATGAAATATGTACATATACAAATACTTTTTATTCTAATATATATATATATATTTATATGTCTCATATAGCATTAGTCAAACTTTTTTCATCAAGCAAATCTTGGATTTCATCTTTAAGGGGATGGTGGTTGAAGATGTCATTAATGCGCATGTGTGAGTTGAACTATGGTTTTAAAACTGAACTGCCCCTTGGGAGAACAAGTTTTCTCAAGAATTTTGTAATGATCCATTTTAACGAGCAATCTCAAAATAACATTTCTAACTAACTACTTTTTGATTAGAAGTTTTATTCTTTCATCATTCTTTCGGTGAACTCTTATAAAGCATATATTATATACCTCACACTATAAACAGCACTATAGACACTAGACAGTGGTGAACAAAACAACATAATTTCAACCCTTTCAGAATAAACAATCAAAATGAGAAATATTAGTAAATATTTACAGTTTGTCATTGAACTGAAAAATGAGTGGTACTGATATATAAAATTAATTTACAAAAACTGTTTTGAGTACTTACTGCATGCAATTCCTATTTATAGAGATTACAAAAGTTGTATAAACATAATGTCTTCCCTCTTGAAAGATGTAACGTGGAAAGAAACAAGTAGACAATAATAAAGGGGAAGGAGGTATTAAGTGCTAAAGTGAAGTTCTAGGGGCAGTGTGGCTTCTGGCTTACCATGTAATTCATCATTTCCCATACCTCCAGCATTTGTCAAATCCTTCCAAAATGCTTACAAAGTTAAAGGCTACCACCTTTGCCACATCTTTTGAATTTCAAACATAATTTTTTAAAGTTGGACTGCACTACTACGTTGGTTGGAAATTTATCAAGGTAGATAAGGATTAATGATTGTTTCTAAGAATTAGAGACATTTCTTACTCCTTTTGTTTCTTCTCCCCACAAAAGCCTTTCTTAAACCCTGAACCCTCATCAAAACAAAACAAAACAAAACAAAACAGTTGACATCAACAAATGAAAGAAATTAGACATCCCTACATATACTACAAGACAAGGAATGTTGCATGCTAATACTGCAGAACACTGCATTTGGACAGCTATTCCTCAAGCTACCTTCATGCCATTTATATTATGAGATCTCTGTTGCTATTAGGTATTTGTTCTAGGAATATTAAAAACTGGCAAAAATCAGACATGAATAAAAGAATAATGAAATAGTGACTTAAAACCACCTTTTTAAAATTCATATATAGTTTTGTGTGAATAACTATAGGCAATCGTATAATACAAATCACAGACATTTTGACTTGAGGCATTTAGATAAGACAGCAGAAAAAAAGGGATGCTGTTTTTTTAATTTTCACTTATCCAAATAATTTTATTTTTGTTTTTCCATTTCTATGAGTTCAAATGCAAGGCTACTAAGATTCCAAATATGAAGGATTCCCAATGTGTTATAATAGAAGCCAAACTGATCAAATTGAAGCATGTCAGGTCATCACACTTATTCAGTGATTATATGGTGTGATTATTCAGATAATATTTCTAGGTCAGCCCATCAAAAATGCAGGCTTAGCCCCTTTGAATGTTTTTAACAAGATATAATGTGATTATCACATAAAAGACCATGGCCTGTAAAAAGACTGGATTCAAACAAATAAATGAGAAACAGCGTACATAAAATAAAGCCACTTGTTTGCCTGTAAGAACTGTAACACTGGCTTTATACGATAGCAGTTTTTAGACAGAGCATACTTCTTAAACTTTAGAGTATATCAGAATCACCTGGAGAGCTTGTTAAAATACAGATTTCAAGGCCTAATCCCAGAGAGTCTAATTTTTGTCTACTGCTGCTACTGATCCACAAACCATAGTTGGGGTGGCACTGACCTAGAATACTATCACAGGAATATTAATGCAGCTAGTTCTTCTTATTGTGGTTCATCTTCTGGGATTAATATAGGTGCTAAAACAGCTATGTGTGCTCTAGATGGTAGAGAAGCCACACATGCTTTTCCCTGATTTGCCAATGGTTTTGTATTTCAGTTGGGAAATTAAAATATTGAACTTTCAAAGACTTCAAATTTCTTTCAAACATTGGCAGAAGGTTAACAACACAGATGCTTTTCTGGCCTTAGGTCAGATATATTTACGCCACACATGATGATCTTTGGAAACTTTACCCAAATTACTGTTGAAAATTGTTTATTTCAGAACTAGGGCAACCAGATCCACCCTTTGTCTCTTGAGTGGGAGCAGCTTTGTTTTGCAAAGGCAGTGGCTAAAAAGGACCAGACCTTTCCATCAGCTGTTTGGTCATTGTATTTTTTAGTGGAATTATAGCATTGTACAATATTTTTCTTTGCAGCCCAAACATTGAGCAAAGCCAGACATCCAGAGATGCTAAAATGAAAAATCTGTTTCTTCTTGCTTTGCCACTTGCCAGGTGAACTCTGTCAGACACCACATCCTATACATCTCAAGTAAACAAAATTATGCTTAATGTGTTGGCAACATCTGTCACAAACACTCTTCAGCCTATGGCTTAAATATATTAAGTTGGAGTGGATTTGACAGTGTATTTAATAAGTCAAAGTTACGGTTGTGGATACTGGCTTTGCCATGCTAACCATAAGGCTTTTCTTTTCTTCTTTTGTATTTATTTATTTATGTCATATACAATACAAAAGAGATTCTGTAGTTTTAAATAAGCAAAGTGGCTGGCAAACTCCCCCTTTGCTGTAGGTAACCAACACTAAACCTCTCTAAGTTGTCTGTCCCAGACAAAGTATCATTAAGAAAATTCATTTCTCCCAGGAGTTCCTATTAGTTACTTCCAGTTTACTCCCTGACTGTACATTTCTTCCATTCCCTTAAGATTAAAAAATTTGTATTCTTAATAATTTGTAGGATTGTTTTCACTGAATGTTTTTATTGAATGCAAACAAGACTCTAGATTCTTACATATCCTTCCCCAAGAATCCTTATTTTATTTTTTATTTATGTGCAATAACTGATCTGCTTAGAAAGAACTGTTCATTTATGTGCAGTAACTGGTCTCCTTACATTATTTTCCACTCTGTGCCTAGTGTTGCTATTTACAATTCCAATTAATGATAAATCCCTTCTTACTTTTCCCTTTGATTGTCAGGTTTCTGGTTTATACACAGAAGCAACACTCACTCTATGACATCTGTAATCAAATGAGTCCCCAAATACTGCTTTCAATGAAAAGATTCTGAAAGAGACCAGACAATTCTTCCAAAATTAATTCCAAGTGCAGGCATTCGATCCTTCTCATCATGCATGAATTTTGATTGTTCTGTCACATGCTCACCTACCTCATCTGCATATTGCCTTTAAAAAAAACACACCCCTGGGGAATGAGACAACCTCCAGGGTATTGAGAAGAAAGTATCCTTACCAAACGCAGTTTGGTTTTTATCTCTGATTTACATGAATGATCCTTTTTGTGGCTAGAGCAAGCTGTTTAGAATTGAGGGGTTTCTGGGATTGTGACAGTTTAGCTGCATGTTGGAATGTCTAAGGGCAAATATTCTAAAAAGATAACCTGTCTTGAGTTCAAGAAGAGAATCGAAGTCTTGCAGCTGCTAAGCATTAGAATGTTGTCAAAGTACCACTTTTTGGTTGAAAAAAAAAAATGCTTCAGGACTTCCATCTTAACTCTGAGGTTATTCTATAATTTATCCCTAGGTGATTTAAGAAGAACCCTTGTTCTTCTTAAAGTGTTTACTTCTGGTCTGGCACAACAAATACCTGAAATGAAGGCCAGTAAGTATTTTTTAAAAAAGGAAAACAATAAAGATGGTTTTGTTAAAAAGATTCAGGCAGCAGAAAGAAAAGTGATGTGTCTCTGAATTATAATTAAGTAAAAGCTTATCTTATGTTTCTCATTTAAGAGGCATCCTGATGAATGACAATGCACAGAAGCATCGAGAAATTCAAACAACACAAATGCACAATTGTGTATATTTACAAGCTACAGACCTTTAAAATAACAGACATGTTTTCTGATTGATTCCTACTGAAAAGCCTAAATGTCTTTGTGAACAAAGCTGGCCCTGTATATCAAGCATTTCCAAATATTTGGCTCAATTTCTATTATCTCTGAAAATTAATGGGGAGGAGCCCACAGAGAAGGCAGAGTGATAGCCTGATCTTTTTCACAGATATAGTCAGGAAGTTGAATTTCGATAATACCAGGAAGAATTGCTTAGTTTGAGCAAAAGCATTTTAGGAAACGCGCAGTGGGTAATTAGTTTGGGTGCCGAGATCTGGCCATCTACATGCATCTGTCCAGTGAGAAAAATAATGTTTAGGGAAATAATTTATTCAGATACATAATCATTTGATCATAACTGAGTATTTAAATGGGTTGTTATAAAATATGTTTCTACTTTTATCACAATCTTTAAATAAACATTGAAATTATATACTCTCAAAGATTCCATCCAATTCAAGCTTTTTAAGTTTGTTTTTTAAAAATATTTTTCCTTCTCCAAGTTAATTACTGCAAGGAAAGTAGCAGGGTAGAGAAAGAGAAATGGAAGGATAAAATGACTTAGCTCCATTCTTCACTCACCATATGACACTTTGCATATGGATGGAAGTTTTTTAAAATGTCTGTAATTTCTTTTATCCCCAACAATGATAATAAATCAAAAGACATATTCTAGACATCCACTTTTCTTAACATCTGATTTAAAAGTTGACACTTTTATTTTTAAAAAAAAATTGTGGATGGACATAAAAATTTGACCAGCTCTAACAGAGTTTGGTATTCTGTCTTGTGTCTAAAATATAGATAGATAGAAAACAGGTCAAAAGGTTAGGAGGAAAACAAATGGGAAATAGTAATTTCGATTTTTAGATTATCAATGATAGATTTTAATATGTCCTTCAAAGAGATCCAGTTCAGAAACCCATGTGGGCCAGCATTATCCCTCTTAGTGGTAGATTGTATTGGGGTGACTAAGAATTATGTATGTATTAATAAGTAATAGATAAATGACATAAACCAAGTCTTATCAAATAACAAGAAAATTAGAGAATTTCCACTAATGTTCATATGTTTCAGTCAGAGAAGTTTATATTTAGAACAGTGGGCAAGAGGATATAGATGATTTTCAATACATTCTACCTCAAAAAATGAAAATGTAAGTGACATATTTTAGACACATCACAGGTAAATTACCTCAGAAGAAAGGAAGATGTTAATGCCATCTATTCAGACAAGCACAAAATGACATGAATGGACATAAAAATTATATACAGTTGAATTTAGCCTTTTTAGTAAAAAAGTAAAAACATTTGATGTTCACACATTTACAATTTACAGTGTTTATTTGTAAGAAGTCTCCTTCCTTGTAGGATATATTTTCAAATGGACATTGTATATGCTTGTAGGGTGCTGTGATTACACCAACCATGGACCATCCCATGTCAATGCAGCCAGCCAACATGATGGGCCCACTGACACAGCAGATGAATCACCTTTCGTTGGGCACAACAGGAACGGTGAGTTGAAGAGATTGTTTTGTTTCCTTGAACTTTTTTGATCAGATGTGATATTCTCCATTTTTACTGGCATTATCAGTGAAACTGTGTCTGTACCATATTCGTTGACTAACACATCTTTCAGGTTTCAGTATGAATAAGCTGCATTCTGCATGTATGTTCAGTTCCAGGGCACATGTACTCACAGTGGCAAGGCTAAAGTTCTATTGTGTCATTCAGTTACTTCTTGTTTTTTATGGTACAATGTACCAGATGTAATGTCTGTTTTTGGAAAGGTGTCCTTTTTGTATGCACCTGCAAATCTAGACCCTTTGACTTAATATACTCAATCCTGGTTTTCTCTTCCCAGCTGCTTACCAGCTCAGCTACTATATTATTAGCAGGTTATACACAACTGAGGGGCCAGATCTATGACTGATACTATTAAATCAATAAAGAGTAATTGAGGTATAATCGAGTTCTTTTAATCCTTCTTTCTGATATGTTGATATGGATGATGTTGAAAAGAAGGAAGGGAACCTAATGTGCTTGATTTTTTCTTATAGGTTGTGATATTTTTGACTAGTCATCTTTCTCCTCAGAGAACAAAAGTGTGCTGAAAAATGCCTATTGCAGCCTGGATTTTGTATCAATGAGGCATTTTAAATCATAAGAAAAACTTTGTTTGATTTTTTTAAAAGATAATTCCCCAAATGTTCAAGGAGGCAAAAGCCTAATACAATCTAGAATACTGAAACTTCATTAGTTGCCATTACAGAGAACAATGAAACCATGAAACCTAACCACTCATGTGACACCTTCAGTAACAGTTTTATTTTCGTAAATGTTAGTGCAGATAATCTTGTCATTTAACAAAACATAGAAATAAAAATATGTTTTCTTTTGACTGAGGCAGCTTAAATATTGAAGAAAGAGCACTGGACTAGGAGTCAGAAATCCTAGATATAAAACTTGCGTAAGCCCTGTAGTTTCTGTCAATTTTTGGGAAAATAATATCTCTAGTCTGAATTTTTTCTCTATCTAGTTGAAGTATTAAACTTGATCATATATGGGTCCCTTTGAATATTCAATTCTGTATTTTTAAGCCTATATGTCTTACAGTTACCACCTCTGTGATTCTTCAATTATGCTGACTCATTCTCCAAATATCTATGTACAATATGCACACTAGTTGTGTATCAGGAATTTTACCCTATAGCAATGGCTTGCTTGCCAAATAAATCTTGTTGACTCATGGGCTTTTAAGAATATAAGAAGTTACTGGCATGTCCACTGAGAACTCACTAATCTGTCCTAAATAGGAAGAAAGTCAATATAATTTAATGGAAAGAGCCACATTCTTTCAATAAAGAAATTTTAGTTTTAGTAACATAAACAAAGTGCCTATCACTAAGATCTCAGTTGCAGAACCTGTAAAAAGCAGTCGATGGTAACTTACCTGTCTGAATGCTTGGGCTGGATCAAATGATCTCTTAGGTTTCTCACCTACACTTTTAGAAATCGTGTCTAAGATATATTTAACTATATGCTGTGGTACAGCTAATTTTCATCATGGAGATAGAGCTTGAAGACAATATTTTATTGCTTTTATCAAAGAATTATTTGTAATTATTTTGTGCGTTACTAATAAGCAGGTCCTAGGAATAGTATCAGAAGGCCTGCAGTTTCTTATTTTTATTAATATATTGTAGATTTCCCTCCATATCAGCCTTCGTGTCCTTCAGTGATCATAAATTCTGAATAAGTGATGTAATGTAATTTTACCGTATTGAATAACAATCTGGAATCTGATTAAAGAGACAATTATAATGCAAAACATAGAAACTCTTTAAAATTTTTACTCATTTGGTTCAAAAGTAAAGCCAACTGACTTGCTAAAATTTAAGTTTGCAAACTAGTAGAAATATAAGAGCTAGTTAACTAAGCATATGACTGAATCCTTTAGGGAATTAAAAAAATAAGCTAAAAGACACAGAACAGACTCAGAATTAAAATAGTTATTGATTCAATAACATATATTATGATTTTGTATTTGAGCATTCCAACAAGAACACATTTGTAAGGGACCATGACTTTTAGGCAGCTGGTGATAGCCAAATGATTCAGTAATAATATATAACATTCTCTTTCTTAGAGAGTAAAAGTTTTAAGCATATGATTTATTATTAATACCAAATTTCCACTAGCTTTTTTCTTTTCACCCTTTACATTTGTTCTAAATAATGCTTAGATACATTATAAGATTTGCATTACCTGATGTTATGGAAAAGTGTAAAATTTAGTAAGGTTTAGAAGAGGTAGAGAGAAAACAGAATTACTTTGTTGATTCGTTTAACAAAATATAATTAAGTGTGGTTGGTGTCCAGAATATTGTTATATTGTTTTCTTAGACTGTCACTCTAATTCTTCGATATGCCTTCATAGATTCATTTTATCTGAATTTTGATTGGCATTTGGAGTGACTATTATCCAGTTGAGGTTGATTTTGGAAAATCAGATTTTTCTACCTTATTGCATCTTTCCAACATTTTCATTGATGGGGAAGGAATCCTGGCATCATGGAAAGATCAGTTGGCTTTGTTTTTAAACTTGAGTTCAAAACCTGACTTTGTTCCCTTATTAGCTCTGCATGTTTAGGCAGGTTACTTAACCTCTCAGAACTTTCTCATTTTACAAAGTGGGAAAAATAATGCTTACATCCCAGAGATGTTGTGAGTGTTAATGAAATGACAATATGCAGCATATCTTATACAGTGTGATACCCAGTATGTGCTTCTCAAATGAGCTGCTCATACCCTTCACCTCCAGTGGCTTCTAACTGGTGGGAGTCTAGTTTAGGTAGCCAGAAGTGATGTAACACACAGTAAAATCCATGGTATAAATCACTTACCTGCACTATTTCACTTGATATAAATAATTTCTTTAACGTCTCCATTTCTTTGGCTGCTAACATTCTCTTTTAAGGTAGCAAATTCAAAAGCCTGTAGAGTCCAGCCAAGTCATATTAATGAATGAAGTGGATCAAGTTCAAACAAAAACCCTTGGAAATATATAATCAATTTTTAAATATTTGCCTATATCATAAACATACTCATACTATATAAACATATATGACATTGGAGATTATATTTTAGAGAAGATGTATTTTCCATGCAATAATAATACTATCTCTGCCTGAGTTTTGGGCAAATAGAAGTGAGAGGTGGTGCCTTTGGCAGCCTGAAATATGGATGCCTTGTCTGAAGAGGACAGCCACTATTCCATTGGTAGTACAGCTGTTGTGATGGCTATTGCCACATGGACATACAGACCCAGGGTGGTCTCACTTTCCAACTTTTAAAGATAAGCTGAATTCTTGAATTTTGATTTGAAATTTCTCCATATTTAAATATTGGGTCCAGTTTGTCCCAAGAACTCCCAGTTTGTGACTCCTGCCCAAGGTTTTTCTGGTTCTCCTCAGACCTCTCTGGCCATTCCTTCTTCTCTTCCTGCACAGATTGGTAAGCCAGAGCTTCATTTTTAACATACTTATGCCACATGATTTTCGTAAGCAATCTCATTCAGTCTCATGGTTTTAAACCCTGGCTTCCACGTTGACTCCTAAATCTCAGTCCCCAATACTAACCTCATCTAATAATTTCAGACTCATTTATCCAACTACTTGCTACATATCTCCATGGAAATCTCCCTCAGACATCTCAAAGTCACCATGACCCAAACTAATCTCATGAGCTTTCCAGAACTTTCTTCTAACTGAAACCTGTTCCTCTTGTGTGTTTCTGCTCCCTGTTTCCCTGCAAGCTAATGACATGACCATTTTCCCTGTAGTCAAACCATACATCTAAGACCCAATCAAGACCCTTTCCTTCTCCCTCACCACCATACACAATTACTTTTCAAGTCCCACTGATTTTCTCTCATAGACATTGGTCAAATACATTCTTTCTTCTACATTTCTGGAGTCTCTGCCCTGGGACTCATTTGATAAACTGTAATAGTTTCCTAACCGTTCTTCCTGCTTTCAATTTCAATTTGCTCCAATCCATTCTCTACCCTGTTGTCACAGGTAGTCAATCTAAAACTATCTGACGTCTCTCTCCTAACTGAAACATTTCAGAGGATTTCAGACATCTGAGCCCACAGAAATTCTGCAAAACAAGGTGTGAACAGTGACAAGTCAAGATTAAGATTAAGATAGGATTCTAAACTCTAGAAACAGATGGGTTCCAAGGGCAGAGCAGAGAGCTATCCAGTGAATAATCTAGAGTAGGAAGTGATCAGGGCTGACGGAAGTTGTAGCTATATTGGAATTTGCCATTTTTAGAAGGGGGATCTTGAACACTGGCTTAGTCCCACTCTTCCTTTTAAAGTCCCTGGCTAAAGGAATTGTATTGGGCCAAAACCTCTTTTTCCTTTTCATGAAAGAAGATATATTCATCTCCCATGACCTCAAATTTTGAAATGAATGCCATGTAGTTTAATTAACCTTTCTCTACAATTTGCCACCTCAAATGTTTATTGTTCAATTCTCTATTTTAAGCTAGACAGAATCTGCAGGCCTCAAAAAAAAAAAAAGTGCATCTTATGCAAGCAGTGTAACTGTTTTATTTCAGGGGTCTGCTGACCCTGAAGGATTTTCCTAGCTTTTCTACTTTTGTTTATTTTTTTGTCACAGCATTCCCTTGATGGAACCAAAGCCCCATTATCCATAACTTCTTATCACTTTATTGTAAGCTTTAGCAGAAACCACTGGAGATTTTACTGTGTTATGAGAACCTCCAAGTTGCATGACAATCTTGTTTTACAAGTTTCTTATCTCCTTTTCATTTGTTCAGTTGCTGGTCACCAGTGGCTTACAATGTCACCAGAATCTGTTGGAAGAAATAAAAAGTTTTTGTTCTGCAGGTTTTGTATCTGCAGTTTGGTTTGTGTTCTCCAAGCCACTGATGATTTGTGATATCATCGATTTCCACAGTGTAACCATAGTCACTCACAAAAATAACCTTGTAATTGTACTCCATTTGTCCCCACAGTTCTCTAGCATTTTTCAGTCACACCACTCCTTCACTGCTCTGAAATTTTGATAGTATCAGGTGAAAATCCTCAATTATTCAGTTTGTTTAGACATTGTTCTTTTTTCTGTTATTAGGTATGAATATAAATATTAAGACAGAGTTTTAAAAAGCTAACAGGATGTTAAATGGACTCTGATTCAGGAAGCAGTATCATAAATGGTAATGGGTACATCTAAAATAGTTTTTTAGGAAAAAATATTAATTAAAACACTCAAATACAAAACAGAAAATATATCTAAAAAGGTAATAGTTTAAAAAAATTGGTTTAGTCTTACTTTAAAATGAAAGACCTTTGAAGGGAGTCTTATAAACAATAAATGAGCTGGCATTAAGTGTAAGTCTAGTAGTACGAGTGTGTATTTGTAAATATTACACTTTTGTTGTTTAAAAAAATGAATTCTGAATTCAAATAAATTACCGACATAGTAAAAAAGCCTCAATAGATAAAATGCCAAAGAACATGAACAGATAGTTGATAAAAGAGTAAATAGAATGCCAAGGAACATGTACAAAAATTGTAATGAAAGAAACAGAAACAGTAATTAAATATACATGTACATATATCCCATCAAATAAAGCTATCAAAATGCAGTACAAATTGCTAATGAAGGTGTAGGAAAATAAGCATTCTCTAGCACTGATTGCTTGATGATAGGAATCTAAATTTGTATAAGTACCAGTTGGATAGCAAGGTAGTCAGTCGAGATACTTCAAAACATTTATACTGACTGACCAAGAAGTTATAGTTTTGAGAAGCTGGTCTATGGAAATATTCTAAAATAACAGAAAAATAATTATACCTCAAAAATATTTGACACGGTGTTCTTTATAATGTCTAACAAAGAAGAATAATTAAATATGCCATAATCCATCCATAAACCAGAATGTAATGCAGCATGAAATCGTAAGAGAAATAATTGGGAAAAAGTTTATTTATAATGTCAAATTTGAAAAAATGGAAGTAAGGCAGGCTGTAGTGGTTCATGCCTGTTATCACAGCACTTTGGGAAGCTGAGGCAGGAGGATTGCTTGAGGTCAGGAGTTGGAGACCAGCCTAGATAACATAACAAGACCCCATCACAATAAAAAAAATTGAAAATTAGCTAGGCATTACATTATTGTGTGCCCTGTAGTCCAACTACTGAGGAGGCAGAAGCAGGAAGATCAACTAAGCCCAGGAGTTTGAGGTTACAGTGAGCTATGATTGTGCCACTGCACTTCAGCCTGAATGATGGAGTGAAACCCTGTCGAAAGAGAAAGAGAGAGAAAGAGAAAGAAAAAAGGAAGGAAAGATGTAAATTTGCATGTGTGGAGTTCAGTATCAACTCTAAAGAAGTATTATAAGGCTAAAGAGAAATATAAAACAAGTGTGGCTATTTCCAGGTGATGGGATTAGGAGTAATGTCTATTTTAATCATTATGCTTTTCTACATTATCCAGCTATTCAGCAATAAACATTATTGGCTTTTATTATTTATTTTAAAATGTCATAAGTATATTCTTGGAAAATGTCTAGTAGCATGGTCCAATAATTAACTTTTTTTTTTTTTTTTGGTTTGGAGTGGAAATGTGTGATTGCAATTTTTCAAAAGGTACTAGGAGTTACTACTATTATTTAAAAAATTGGAAAAACTTTTAAAATGATTCTAATTATTCTAGATTTGGGGATTATAATCAACTCAGTAGTTCAGGTATCTGTTGCAAGAAACAAAATAACTCATGTGTCTGGTTTATTTGCATTTGAATCTTTTGATCATGTTTGCTTTTGTTGCTCAAAGTGCCTTGCAATGTTCAAGTTCTAATCTGTCTTCTCACATGCCATTTACTCAGGAGAGAGTGATTAAAATTGACCTTTTGTGGCAAGGAGATGAAAGTGAGAAATACGTGATAGTCCAAAAGTTGTCACATGGGTGGAAAAAGAAAATTTGGGATTTTTGCTTTTAATAAAGGTCATATAAATGGAATAAGAGTCACACAAGAGGACCTATTTAACCATGTGTTGGCAGTTGATTTGAATCTAAACAATATCAAGTTTCTTTTAGAGTTTACCCCTCCAAGGGGAGTGGGGACAAAATTAGAATTTTCCATTTTTAGAAGGGGACCCTAGGCCTATGCCATATTCCAATCTCCTTTTTAAGATCCCTGGCTAAAGAAATTGCAGTGAGCCAAAAGCTCTTTTTTCATCTTTAAAAAATCAGATATATTTTGTGCCATGTAACCCCTAATTTTGAAATGATTGCCATGTAGTTTAATTAAGCTTTATCTAGAATTTGACACCTTCAATGCTAGGAGACTTGGGATAAAGATAACCGTCACGTTCAATAGATTCTGTTCTGTGTATCTCTGCTCCCACAGTTACAACACATAAAGCTTTTTGGCCTTGAGGTGAAAGCACCTTCCGCTCTGCCTCACTGACAACCACTGGGATCAGAGCTAGAGCTGAGTAATAAATAATGAAATTTTGCCTTCAAAATGTGTTAGCCTCCATAGAATATGAGAATGTACAAATTTTTTATTTTTCTCTTTTAAATTTTAGTTCTTTCTTTTGTTCTCCAGGACTTTGTTTCGTATCATGCTCTGGGCCCCCTCTAAATGGGCTGCCTTGTAGAACTCTTTTGTCAGCCAGAGAGGGCAAAAATTTTATATTGATTCCCTAAGGGAGGTACCAAACAGGCTGTGGAAGATGACAGTGTTTCAGGAAAAACTGTACTGTCCCAGCAAGTCTAATGGGACCTAATAACATGTACAGTATTGTGGTAATAGGGACCATGGTATCAAATGCAAATGAGGAATCCTAATGCCTTTACTGCTCTAAGGCAGGGTGGGTCAGGCAACCATATGACACACAGCGGACTCTTCCACGTGTTAGGGCTGATTCTATTTTATTTTCTTTTGTACTTCATTGCATTCTTTCTCATGCTCTTTTCATTCAAAGATTCAATCCCAAGACAGGATTATGATACTCCACCAGCTGTTGTGTCAGGTAGGAAAATTCTAATTCTTTTAAGACTGGATTGGAGGGGAGAGATGGAGGTTGCCTGGTTTTTTCCCAAACTCTTTAAAGCAGTGATTCTCAACAGAGGTGGGTGCAGGAAATTTGAATTCCAGTTTGCAAGGGGGCATGTGTAGTTCAGAAACATAAACTTAATATTATAATTCAGTTATATATCTGGAAAATAAATGTGTTGCATTTTAAATAGAAAGTAAAAACTCAAAACCATTTTATCTGTCAAGGATACACAGAAGATAGAGTCTGTGTTCTGTGTATCAGTGATTCTCAGTGTTAGACACAGTCATCAAATTCCTGAAAAGTGGGAAAATAATTTTATGTATAGCAAAAGACGGCACAGATTAATAAAAAATAGTTTGAGAAGCACTGCTTTAGAGACCAGAATTCTTCTAAATTGGAAAATCATCCCATTTGCTTGCTCAGCACCCTGCATAGGGTCTGACACATAGTAGGTACTCAATATAATTGTTTGTTGAATGAATCTAAACTTCAAATTTGTTCCCAAAACGATTCTTTTGGATATTGAAAGAAAAGCTGCCATTATTCTATTTATACAAAAAAGTGGCAGAGGTTGATTTGAAAATATGTTAGTGTCTTGAGGGTTTTAACTAGCAATATTTCAGTTGTTTCATAAAATTTAGTAGTGCAGTTTGTAATAGGATATGTCTATGTAAAGAGGTGGATTTTTATTTTGAACTGCACAGATCTTCTTGTGCTTTCATTTTGATTTTGAATTTTGATTTATTGCAAAGAGAAAAATGGGCACAATTTTTTATTTCAGTTAATTTTTTAATTAAATAAAATACTGGCAATCTGAAGAGGAGGAATTCTTTGATTCTTTGACATGTCAGACAGCAAGGTCATAAAATACAAAGAGAAACATGCATTAGAAAGACAGAAGAAGAAACAAAGGTCAGAAATAGACTCAAAGACCCCATGGAGCAGTTGAATCTGTCAACCTGCTGGTGGTTTTCAAGCAGGGGAAATCTTGCTTTTGGCCACCCGTTTGCTTGACCCAGCATCTGAAGGGTAATTCTTTTTTAATTTCTTATAGCCTTGTTTAGTTATGTTCCTGGCTGAATACTCATCTTTAAAGTTCAATTAATAATGTCCCATTGAGGAAGAATACGTTAGCATTTGGCCGCGAAGTCATTTCGGTCCTCTTTAAGGTCTCTACAATAAATTGCCACTACTGAAAATATCACTTAGTTTTTCCCAAAGTGTATTTCCTGTCATATCTTAACATGCCAATTTCATTTAGGATTTAGGGCCCCTGGGAAGAGACTATATTTCATACATGGTACTTTTGTTTAACAAGATACATCTACTCTTGGTAATTTACCAATATTCATAAAAATAAAAGACACAAACTAGAACTTACCTTCAACTGGGTTTCCTGATTTTACTTTCAAGAACATAATGAAGAAAGCAAGCAAATCATTAAAAGTACTTATCAGATATCAGTCATAGGTCAGGCTCTACGTAAGTCAATTGAGGCAGAAGATCTGGCTGACAATCTAGGCTCAGGAGTTCTCACCTGATTGCATACACAGGGCCACTGAAAGTTCTAGAGCAGATAAATTACTTGATAAAAGCAATGCTTTAAGAAACTGAATCTGAAAGTTTTGTGTGGTCTTGAGCAAGAAGACATAAAAATCACATGGAACAGTTAAAAAGATTAGATATGACATATTGTATTTATAATAAAAAGTAGTCCTAGGTTCCCAGCAGTGGAGTATGAAGGAAGGGACCCAATATAGAGT
The DNA here is from genome assembly GCF_000001405.40 of Homo sapiens. Lineage (NCBI taxonomy): Eukaryota > Metazoa > Chordata > Mammalia > Primates > Hominidae > Homo > Homo sapiens. The sequence continues at coordinate 29,946,045 of NC_000003.12, forward strand.
TAATATGAAAAATAACATTTTGGGAGATTTCACAGTTATTTTCCCCTTGTAAGATTTAATTGGTAGTTTGACATAAGTTTCACAGACTTCTTTGGTCTACGTCTAAATAGAAATAGACTTGCCTTTCCAAAATGCTTGTTAATTGGCTGGTAGGACAACTTCAATGACTTTTGAGAAATTGAATCTGCTTTTCTCAATCCTTGGCCACATCAGGAAAGTGAAACAGGCAATAGCATTGTAATATCTCCTTCCCAAATCTTCCAATATGTCAATATTGGACAAAACAAATAACTCTTTGCCAGTGTAGAATCCAACTAAATTGTTTTAATTGATTGTAGTCGAGATATCTGCTTGACAATTTACAGATACATAACTTAATTTCATTCAATCAATATTTCAACATTTATTGAACAACTTCTGAGTGGTAGACACTACACAAAAGTACTGGGGATACAAAGATGAGCAGAAAATAGACCCCTGATTAAAATATTATGGTATAATATTAGACCATTATAACATTAATAGCAACATTTATTTGTGTTGTCGTGATGTGAAATGCATAAAGTATAGAGAATCAAGAATCTAGAAAGAATATTTGAAATCCTCAGGAAGACAAATACTGTTTGGTTTTCTGTGTAATATTAAGTGACATCATCTTCTGAGAGTGAGTGAGAGAAGGCACATAGTAAGGATTTAAGAAGAACAGAGATTTGGAAAACTATGGCATGAGAAGGCCTATGAACAATCCATAGAATTTTGAGGGGTAGTAGTGGGGGTTCATTTGAAGCTATGGACTATGTATTTGTGTGATTAATCTGTGAGAATGTTTGATTTTCTGCGGTCATGATTAGTAGCCAAGAAGGCAGACAGGCAAATTAATGCAGGGTTAATATTTACTAGGTGAAGTGAGGAAAAGGATAGTGTGCAATTATGATATTGGCAAGAAAGTAGTTGAGTGGCAAACTGTGGGTTTAAGGAAGAATAAAGAAGGAAGAAAAAAGAAGGCAGTGGTGGATGAGAGATAGAAAACAAAATATACAGATTAGCAGTTTCAATGAGATGTACTAACTACAATGTATTTTACTAACTACAATGTAGTTAGCAAAATACTTGGATTTAAGATTTTGGATAATGAACTATTTCTTGGCAAAGTTTGAATCATGGGAGCAGGTGGCCACAGTGGACTTGAGGTGAAAGTGACAGAAGTTAAGGGAGTTCATTAATGTGAACATAAAAAGTGACTAATGAAGTGGGGGTATCTTGCATATTTTAGTTTTGTTTTCTTCGTTCTTTGCCATTAATAAATTATACATGGCTCAAGAATATTTTACTTAGGAAGAGTCTGAGTTACATATTTAAGCTTCAACAATGAATATGTCTTAAAAATAATAATAATCTGGGAAGAAAGAGTTAAAGCAGAAATGGTGATGTTCAAAAGAAAGAAGGAAGCTTGGGAAACAAAAGCATCTCTGATTTATTTCCCTGGAGTCACCTCTTGTTGCCTACATCTCTGCTAGGCCTTACCTAGCTCATTTCAAGGAGGGAAGACAGAAGGCTGAAACTGCCCTCTACATTTTCACACCAAAGCAGGAATCTATTCTCCTTTTAGTATTTCTTTTCCATAACAACTATAACTCCTTTAAAAATCCTCCTCTCTTAAGCAAATGTTAATGAAAAAATATGTAAAGGCATAGTAAAATGCCATTTTCTATACATGGTTGGGTTTTATGAAACACCTATGAAAACCGAAGATAATTTGTAGTCAAATTTTTATTTCAGTTGTTTTGAGCTTAATTTCCTTGAATGACATCAGCATGAAATCAAGCAGAAGACTACTATCACTAGAGAACTAAAGTAGAATCAAAATCTGTCCTCTTTTTCTAAAAAGCTTTGAGTTCAGAATTTGAACCTAGGTTTGAAAAAAATTTTTTTTTAAAAAAGAAAAGAAAAACGGGGCCTGAAAAATACACTGAAAAGAACCTGTAGAACTTGTGGAGCATATTTTCATTCTTTGCTCTAACCTTTTATGCACCAGCTGAAACAGGCTGAAATAATAAGTGTTATCAGTACAACTTCATGATGAGATTTCACAGAAAAAGTTTGCATAAATCACAATATACTGGTCCAATAAGAAATTTTTAAATGTCTGATTTCTAACCATGGAGTTGTGCTCTACGAATAAAGTTCTTCATTGGAGTACATGATGCAATTAAGACAAAATTCACTGTTATAAACAGCATGCACTTTCTCACATTGTTTTTGTTTCAGCAATCTAAGTTTGCATTGGAAAGCCTCATTAATTTGGAATTTGTGATGTCCAAGCAAAGATTTAATTGAAGCCTATTTCTTATGCTGCATCTTAGGTGAGAATTGCTGTGTGAAACTATCCTCTATCATCCAGAGGAGGGAAAGGCAGAGTATTTTAGCTGCTTCAAAGAACAAGGAGAACAAGACCATCTTTCAAGCTCTAAGCAACATTTGTTTTCATAGATACCATGAGCTAATTACAAATAATTTCCATCTTTTAATTAAAAATTAAGTTCATTAGTACCTCCAATTAGCAACAATTAGCCATTAAATTGTTTTTATTGTAAAAGACCTGACACATTGTTATGTGTTCCCACAAGCCACACGTGAAAATCAGTTTCATTTTTTGGCTCAAATACCGTGCATTTATGTTGACTACAAAACTATCTTTCTTTACATGAGTTAATTGATTTTTTCTTTGTAATAAGTTCTTAGAGACTTTGCTTTACTTATTCTTCATTTATTCAACTAATATTTACAGAGTACCTACAGTGCTACAAAAAACTAAGGGTAGGTCCATTTCTTGCCCCCAAAGAACAAAGATTCTAACAGAGTAAAAGGTTATAAAGAAATGTCATGTAACATAGTATATGACAGACATCACAGGAGTGGTCTGCAGAGCAGGACTCTGTACATGATATGTGCGCAAGTATTTGACAAAAATAGGCATGTGAATGCTGAGTTATTGTGTTCCTGCTGGTGCATTTATTTTGTTCGCTAAATTATAAAAATTGAATCATTAAGAATTTTCCTATGGGACCATAATTGTTATTTATGTATTAAAATAGGCAACTAGATTGGACTAGTATATAAATATCACTGTTATTTAGCCCAGGTTGTTTTTTGGTTTTTGTTTTGTTTTGTTTTCAGAGGATGGGATAGGTGGGTGTAAAATTCTATGCCTCATCTTCTAATCCAGCAAGCATTTCCTGTAAAGTTCCAGATAGTAAATATTTTAGGCTTTGCAAGCCATACAGTCTGTGTCATAACTATTCAACTCTGCCACTGTAGCATGAAAGCAGACACAAGCCACGTGCAAATAAGTGAGCATGGCTATATTTCATTAAAGCTTTATATGCAAAAATAGGCAGCAAGCAGAATTTGGTCTGTGTGCTATAGTTTGCCTACCCCTGCTCTCTCTAATCAATTTATTTTTATAGGTATTCCAAACTAAATACTGTCACTGATATTCTTTATAATACATCTGAAGTGACCTTCCCTTAAAATTCGCATTTTTGAGCTTTTTTATTTCATAAAAGACAGAAATATCAGAAAATCTGAGATGGTAGACATTGAGATGGAGGTTGAGAAAAACATGTATTAGTGTTTTAGTGTGTACAGAATAATTGATTATAATAGTGATATATTAAAACCCTTTAAGAATATTTTTATTTTTTATATATTTTTTTAATATTTTCATTATATATTGGTCTTTTAGGACTTATAGCAGCAACAGGGGATCATCAAAACCAGGAAAATCAAACATATATTCTGTTTATTATCCTCTTGGCAGCCTTTAGAATCCTATACTTTTAGAAATTTAGAGAAAAGATGAGAAATATATCATCCCAAAAGATTTGTAGTAAAATATATTTGACATCTTTGTCACACCACCTGCAGCGGTTTCTGTTACTGTTGTGATTGTTGATTAGTGTCCACTGATATTACTCTTGACCTGCCAGTATTTTAGCTATTCTATTTCCCCCTGGGTAACTGCTTCCCTGAGTACTGTGTGCTGCTTTGCCATCCGATTATAAGGGAAAGCTTTCCTGGTCTTGTCTAAAAGCCGAACACTACACAGGGTAAGCCTGGGATGGCTGGAGATATGACTACCCTCTGTGGCAAGGACAGAGAAAAACGACGCTTAGTGATGCAGCACACACATCAAATCAAAAGGCAGCCTCTCAAAATGCTTTCTGCAGTAGAATTTTTCAGTGAGTGGCAGCAACTGACTTAAAGCATCCCGCAGCAGCAGCACACAGCATCACTTAGTGCCTCAGTCATCTACAAAAGGGCAGAGCCTACATAATACGCAGCAGAGCACTTTCAAGACAACAATGGACTTTAAAGTAAGCTAATTGCGTGTGCAGGAATCAGCACATCTGGTACTGAAATCACTTGGTTCCGTTTTTAAATCAACAGCACAAAGTGGGCACTTGAGGCGCCTGTCAGAGAATATAGTCAGGAATTGACTATGTATGATTCAGCCCTTGCCAGAGGCATGCGAGAGACATCTGATTCTGGAGAGATACTGCCTAATAAACATGTTAACAGTTCTCTAGACCCTATGTTAAATTAGTTAATCAGAATGCAAAATGCCCGAACCATAAAATTGGACATCCCTATTGAAATGTTTTCTCTCAGTTAAAATTTTAACATTTTAACCTCTTCTTTGAGAAGCAATATATTACACGAACATTTAAACAATGTTACCAGCCTTTTGAGATGCCACAGCAAACCAAATTGTCTGTTATTTTACCCAATGTCTTTTATATAAAGAAGCAAATGATTAATAGATCCTTGAGTTCAGTGTCTCAGCAAGTATCTCTCTCCAGATGAATGAATATACTTATTTTTAACTAACAATGTAAAATACCCAGCTTAATCTATTTTCCCTTAGCCTTGGTTATCAGGATAGTTGGAATTAGATGGAGTACATTGCAAATGTTCCTGGTAGCATGTTCTCTCTATTGCTCTTAACTGTTTGTTGATTTGCTGGTATTTTTAATTGTGCTTCTTAATGCAGTGCTTAATTTTGTAAATCTTCCACAAATTCAACTTGGAAGTACAAAGCTTCTAATTCCTTTATTAAAAAATAAATGAAGAAATACTATTGGGCTAATGGGAAGTTTGTGTGCTAAACATCTTAGGAGAAGGACAAAATGAAAGACGATTTTGATTGTGTGTTGATCTTATCTAAAAATTTACCACCAGACACTGTTTGTTTTCATTCTCACACATGCAGTTTTAAACAGGAAAAAGTATGGTAGAAAAAATCAAAATGATTTTTAGAATTCACAGGATGTATGTGATTTCTGAGTCATATTATTTAATAATTATTTAACAATTAGAGTTACTTAAATTTTCTGAAGCTTAGCTTTTCTCTCCTTAAGAGTAGAGAGTATATAATCTATTCATTACCCTTTATATATACACAACAATAAAAGGATTAATTGAAAGGATATGTCCAAAGTACCTAGTAAGGGCGTGACTCATGATCGATATTAAATAATTGAAGCTTCCTTTCTGCTTCCTTTCTTTGGATTCAGGAAAGTGTGTTAGGACTTTTTGAAGTATCATTAATCTTATATTTGCTATGTTAGATTAACTTATCCAAAGAAAGGAGTCTTTTTAAATAGTTTCCAAACTCAATATCTAAAAATAAAAGAAATAGTAAGAGAGTTAATTATATTATCTTTCTTATTGGCCAAACTATTATGATATTACTAGGTGAATTAATATAAATATAAATATTTAATAACATGAAAAAGAATGTTCATAATGCACAGTGAAAAGATGACAAAAGTGAACAATCATTATGATTTTGAGGCCTAAAACATACACATGAAAAAATCTAGAAAAGAATGCATAAAATTATTATCATATGTGTTTTCAATTTCTATTTCTAAACTTCTTGAAATGTTGCTTTGCTACACTTATAACTTATTAAAACTTTAATAACAGTCTTTGAAATGGCAACAGTTTTAAGGAGACATTTATGTACCAGAAAAACATGACTGTGTGAAAATGAAAATAAAGATGATGATAATGAGTGTGGTGATTATATGCATGATAGCAGTAGCAGGGGTAACCTCTAACATTTTCCCCACCTCTACTCATCACATCTCAACGTTATGGCATTTAGAGCAAGATTAAAAGAGACATTATATCTCTATATAGAATTGGCAGAATTTTTGAGTGATTCTATAACCTAAATTCATTAAATTTTATGTAAATCCATTTTCCACCTACCAGAAGATCAATATTTCCATAACCAATAGTTAATGCCACTTTTCGTATTGAAATCACATTTCAAATGATATATTATGTTTCTTGCATGCAGCAGTTGGAACAACCTAAAATCTTCCCAGTTTATATTATGTGAGACATCAAGGCTCTTGTGGTTTACAGAACTGATATGACATATTTGAAAGGGGACGGTATATAATACACTTTTAATTACATATTATGTCTAACTTCTGCAACTTAGACTACTACTATATACACATTTTTTTTACTTTTCTGCTTAAAATGAAATCTGCTGTTGATTTGTTTCCCTGAGCTGTAATTACAAAATACTTATACTTACCCAATCAAGCTGATATAACTTCTAAGTGCTTTTGCCACCCAAGATATTGTTTATTCTTCCTTCCTTTCTACCACTAAGTTTTATTTATTTTGATCATGTGGAATATATCAGTATATTATTTTTTATCAGGGAACTTTATGTGCCTGCTCTGAGTCTAGCAGTTTGCCCAAGAGACTCAGATACGGGAATGCACAGGACTCCAGATCCAGGAAATATGAATTTTATTCATAATTGAGCAGTTACATTAGCAAATAAAATATGAAGATTTGGTAAAAATTATTGAGATTCTTGAGATACTTGTTCTGGAGGGTTGAAGCCTACTAGCCAAAGAAAACCAAGGATCAACTATAGTCAAACATAGTTAAGTTCATTAGCTTGCTGAAACAAGGGAAAATATATACCAGTTGAACTGTGGAGCATCTCAGAAAAGGAAGTCTGGAAGGGCTTATTACAGAATTAGAGCTTGTGCAATATGACTTTGGGAAGGGTGTGAAGAAGTGACCATTTATTCCACATTGAGTGATACCTGGAAATGAGGGGCAATTGAATGATTGTGTGTCTTAAGTGTTATTTAGTAGTTGGGAAGAAGAAAGAAGGGCTCGAGCTGTCATTGGCAAAGATGCAGCCGTCATTAATGTTAGACAGAAAAAGGAGATGTTTGATTGTTTAGGTTTGCAGAATGTACCTGTCTCTCTTTTGTCCACCACAGTCCTTGAGTGGCCTTGTCTGAAAATTGTTGATAATCTTCGAAAATTGTTTAGTTGGGAATGCTATGACCTTGCAAATAGCTTCCAGCTAATTAAAGGTTATTTGAAAGATTTCCATAAATTCTTTCCTTATCTCAAGGGCAATTATAATATTGCCTAACAAAAATATAGCAGAATATTAAATGTCCTTGGTGAAATATAAATGCAAACATGAGAGAGGGTAAATAGTGTTTTATTCATCACATAGTATGTATTCATCACATACATACTATGTTCTAGGCACTGTTCTTAGTGCTCTACGTGAATTGATTTGTAACATTTGATTGTCACAATCATTCCGCAGGGAGTTTCTTTGTCCTCTGCAAATTCGTTCTTTATAAGCTCAGCTGGACCCACACTCATATTTATGCTCCTTCAGCTGTTTTAACCTTTTTCACCTTTTTAAGTTCCAAACACGAGTCTTCCCATTTATGCTAAAAAATGACTCTTTCTTTATGAGAAGATCAGTACCACATTTTATCCGATCTTCAAATGTTTGTTTCTTCATTTTTCCCTTCTTCCTATCTTCCTCTTTTGTCAAGCCATAGTCCTCTTTTTGTCAATGTTAACCCCTCCTTGTATGTTCTTGATTTCATCTGCCTCAATTTGTTTTTATGGTCTTATAGCATTGATTGCCCTCTATCCCAGATGCACCTTATTCAATATATATTTATTCAATGATGATTTTTCCTATGCTTAATGAAATGTGTAGATCCTTCTTGCCTCAAGATTCTCATGGTGCTGGTCTTATGACACCTTGCTTTTCTTCATTTTTTTCTCAGTGGCATCATGTGCTTCCTCACTTTTAACTGTTATATAGATGACCTCCAAATCTATATTGCTAAATCCTATCATCTATTTTGCTTTTCATGCCAAAGTTTCCAACTACTTCCTAGATATCCCCTATCCACTCTTACCTGGCCCATTTATAGTTCAAACTTCTTGTTCACAATTTCAAATGTCTCATAATCTTGCTTCTCAATCCAGTTTCTTCTGCAGACTTCCCTAGGGTTCAAGCAAACCTCTATAAGCATTCTTTATCTAAGCCAAGATGTTTTAAGTGTAGCTACAAGTTTAAGATTGTTAGAGTCTTTGACAGTAGCTTAGAGTATAGCTCTTCTCTTTGGGGTGAGAACCATATGATTTAATATTATACTAAGCTTAGAGTAGGACAGGAAATCTTTTACCAATTGGTGAGTTATTTTTCTTTCAGCCAATGGTGCTTAAAACCTCAGAGGTGTTTTGGTGCACTCTATGCCACATGCAATCTTCCTTTTTCATGTAGATCCTATTTCTACAATGTATTTTGAATCTGCTATACCCATTCCATTCTATTACCCAGGTCCAGGCTGGGTTCTTATTACATTCTAGTTTTATTATTTGAGTGTTGTTTTGGTGTCAACACCTAGCACTTCTCTTTCCTATTCATCCTTCACACACATTCTTGAATAAATTTTGAGATTAACATTTAAAAAATTTTATCTTCAAGAATATGTTAATAGAACAATTAGGAGTTACCTTAGTAGATAATTATCCCTACCATCTGATCACTGCCAGAAAGTAGGATACAGATCAGATTTCTGAATCTAAAGTCATCTTTTCTAACAGCAGCCCTCTAACTCATAACCAGTATATACCAGAAATGTTACACTACTTAAAGCTGTAGTTAGCTTATGGAGATTGTTCTACAAGGAGGCAGGTATAACAACTATGTCATACCACAGAACCACAGTATGGTGATAGCTGCTCACTGGCCTCTGCTTGAGAGGAGACCTAAAATTTCTCTGACAGAAATATTGCCCTTCCTGCAGCTAACATCGAAGTGAAGGGGTATGTGTCTTGAAAGGAGTCAGCGGGTTCTCATTCTTCTTCGCTTCTTCCATTTGAGTCTATCATCCAATGCCGATTTCAGCTGATAGTTTAAACATATGGTCCTGTGTGTAACCAGCAGCAAAGAAAGCTACATTCCAAGTACTTTTTAAGAAACATAACAATTTCAAAGTCACTGCCACTCATACCTTTCAGAACCTTGACTAAGAGAAATGATATTTTTGGAGAAATATTTGGATCTTATGCAGTATATCCATTTTCCTTGGATATTCTAAGTTAGATCCTTGGATTAAGCTAAAAAAAAGCTGTTTTACCTGGATGACTGCATTCCACTGGACCCGTGAAACAGCTCTTCATGAAGTATGCCTTGGCACAGTACCATTTGTTTATGTGTGAAGGACACTATAATAAATAGACCTTGGAAACTTGCTTTGCTATATTAAGGCTGTTGTTCATTAGACCACACAGTGTCTGCTCCTTTCAGACTCACAGGAGAAACATCTGTCTTCCTTCCATATTGGGAATCATTCTTCAATGCACCTAGCTTATTTTCTTACCTAATGGACACAGTGACTTGTATAAATCATTGCTAACTAACTCTGGTAACATTTTAATAGCATTTATTTAATTAGCCTGTTTGCTCACTTCATCTTACTCTCTTTCCCTTCACCTGATTTTTCTCACTTATTTGACACTGCAATATTTTATACAACCTTGAAAGCTGCCTTAAATAGTTTTGGGAAGCAAGGTGGACTATAATTAAATAAATTCTGGAAATGGAAATGACTAGTGTATTATTTTTATCTGTCAAGAGCCACAACTCAAATACTACAAGAATTGAGAAGAACTTATCAACCTTGTGTTCAAGGCCTGCCACAGTATAATCTTCAAGCTACTTTCCCAACTAGTTTTCTTTCTGTCTGCTTCACGACTCTTCTTTCACTAGTCACAGTTCTTTGTAAGATGTGTTTAATGGTGAGTGCTTGCTTTCTTTGCTCATGCTCACTTTCCACCTGGAATTTCTTCCCTGCCACACCTGCCATCTCTGTGGATCAAATCTTGTGAGTTTTTCTGATTTTCACACTTTATTTTGAAAACTCTCAAAGTTTTCTGTTACCACCTGATGAATTCCACCTTCTATGAGATATTTGCACATTCCTCGCTATCTTCTCTCCAACCTACCTTTAGATTATAAGTTCCTGGAGGTTTGGAGATCAAGGGCTCTGCCATTCCTTTTATCCCTTGTGGTATTAAAGCTCAAATTTTTGATCTAAATAAGTCTTTAAGTAAGAACTCTCCCTCAATTATATACTTCAATGTTGGCTTTTACTCTTAATAAATGTGGAGAGAAAAAGTGGGGGAGGTAATACTAGGCTAGTCAGATGCCTGAATTTTCTCTCACAGTTCTAAAATTTAAAAGTATCTCTTCCAGAAAGTTACTCTAGGTAACTGCCATCCTTTGGCAGGACTAGCACAATATCCATCTAACTGGTCGGACTGATTCAAGCCTTCTTTCCATTCAATTCATTTTCTCTACAGCCCCAGAGCCACGTTTCTGAAACAAACAGGACATGTTTGAAATCCTTTTGCAGCTTTCAGGACATAATCCTCAGTCCTTAGCCTGTGCAACAAGGCCCTTCATGATCCTGATGCCTCCTTTTTCACATTCATCTGTTACTACTTCTGTTCTCCCGCCATAATGAACTGCTTTCAGTTTCTGGGATGGGCCAAGCCTGCAGGGTCTTTGCATAAGTGGGAGTAGATAAACATGAGCAAATCCTCATCTAGAATGTGTTTCCTTTACTCTTCAACCTGCTAATGCTGGCTTGTTTCACAGCAATTGTCTCAAATGTTTTCTTCTTCTTGGAAGGTTGCCTTATCCTTTTGTCTTGTCTTAGAGTTTTCTCTCCCCTTAGGTGTCTGGGAATACCTTTATTGTAACATTTAGCACACTGAATCACCATTTCCAGTTTAATTATCATTTCTCCCCTCTAGAGTAAAGGCTATAAACTCTTAGAGCAGAGACTATTCATATTTACCTTATTTCTCCATAATCCAGCAACATCTGGCCCATGGTAGGTGTTTATTAAATATTCATTGATTGAATAAATGATACCTATATGTAAAAATGCTGATTCGTTAGACACACATTCTACATAATCCTAACTTTCTCCTCAAAAGATTAAAATAGCAAGAGGAAAACAGACTCAGAATTCCCAAGAAGTCTGGAAATGTGAATGAACAACTAAGTGCAGAGAGCTTTCTGAAGGGGATAGGAAAGACTCATGACAAGAAAATGGAGTTGGGAGGATGTCAAAGGATTTGGAGACAGTAGAATAATTGGAAAATGATGCTTATATGAAATAATTTAAGATATTGGTGGAAATGTACAATGTGTCTATTAGAAATATGAATGCCCTTCAGCAATGTTGCTTATCTGAAAGGTTTCATTTTCTTATTTTCCCTAGATAGCCATCATATTCATTTATCTTACTAACATCCTCATAATTGATTCCCCAGTGTCACCTTGTAAAAGTACTTTTATACTCTTTTCATCGCCAAGATACCTCACACGTACACCATTGCAAACATACACTGGTCCCAATGACATCGCATCTTTGCTTTATTTTTATTTTTTTAAATAGATTCTTCAATAGCCTATGTTATGCCTTTTACAGATTCTCTGGACACACATCAGGTGCCTCACCATCATTGTTAATGGCAATCAGAGCAAGTAATGTCTTTTAGTTCTTTTTCATTAATGAAATGGAATAGCACCATATTCAGTCTGTTAGTGATACACTATTACATCGAGAGCTTACTGAAGAAATGCAGCCAGCCTGTGTACATAGGGCTGGTTTTCCTTAGATGTGATTTTCAGCCATGAACAAACAAGGCACCCTTTCATCTAGCAGAAAAGTTTGCTGTCTTCCCCTCTTTCTTTCTCATTTGTTTTGTCCTATTTTTTTCCTGACAGTCTGCAAGAAATATAATGTTTTCTAAATGACATTGAAAATTCTTGCAGATTAGGTATTCAAAGGGATAAAATATCAATTAATCTTTTGAAAGCCTTTCTTTTTTGTTGTTCCTGTCTTTGGATTTCAGTTTCTTGAATTCCTTACTCTCAAAGAAATGTTTTTCCTCTTGATTTTTCTCATTATAAAACTGGATATAAATGTAAAGTAAGCAGTCATTCTAGGTATTTTTTAAATTCCTTTAGCATTCATGCAGAAAAAAAAACTCTGCTGTTATTTTAATCCCTTTAGGAAAGTATGTTTGATTGATGCCCTCGAACTTGGCTAGTTGAGGCAAAATCTGAGAGTTTTTTTTTAATCCTCTAAACTCAATTGAATTATATTGCCTTAGCTTATACTTTATAAGGTGCCCGTTAGCTTTAAAACTCACACTACCGGCATTTGTGCTTGTCAACCAAGCCATTTAGACTTTAAGTTCATTTGAAGAATTAAATTAATGTGATGCTAAAGCGTCTATTTGTGTATAGGTCCCAGTTCCTAAAATAACTTTTCTTAGCAGTCTCACCAAGAGTGAAATGCTGTTAGTGGGCTAAAGGAAAGTATATCAACTTCACAGGCCTTATTCTAGAATCAGTAATTTGTGTGTTAAAAAATGAGTATTAAAGTAGGCAGTACAGCTGATGCATTCTTGTTAAATAAAGCATGAAAGTTCAGCTTTTGTGTTCATTTCTGCAGTGAGTTCCCTTTACTACCCCTTTTTCACCATAGTTCATTCCTGAATGGCCAGACATAATGAGAAGATACAAGAATTCGACTGCTCAATAGAAGTACCTCATCCCATCTTAATGCTGAGCAGGCAGCATATGGTGAAAGAATGAATACAAGTTTTGAACAAGATGAGCATTTAAATCCCAGCTCTTGCATGGACTGTATGTATGGGTTCTCTGAAGCTGTCTTACCATCTGTAAAGAAGATAATGACAATACTCACAGAGATATACTATGAGAGTTAGATGAGATATTGGCATAGTCATAATAGATACTCAATCTTTCCCACATCACAGGATTCCAAGCTTTTGACTTAGCATGTTCAATTTTTTAAAGCAATAGTTCTCAAACTGTGATCCCAGTCTAGCAGCACAGCATCTCCTGAGAGCTTGTTAGACATACAGATTCTCAGGCCTTGACCCAGATCTACTGAACCCAAAAGGGTTGGGCAGGGGGTGAGGGTGGAGGTGGAACCATCTTATTTTTAAAAAGCCTCCAGGTGACTCTGGTGCATGATTCTGATGGTGAGTTTGAGAACCACTTAAGCCAATCAGCAAATCACAAACATTGGCTGTGTGTGAATGGGGAAAGGATAAAATGATTAAAACAGTGGGAGGTATATAAGTTCATTTTCATGATGCTGCGAAGAATTACTCAAGACTGAGTAATGTGTAAAGGAAAGAGGTTTAATTGACTTACAGTTCTGCAGGGCTCGGGAGGCCTCAGGAAACTTACAATCGTGGTGGAAGGGGAAGCAAACACATCCTTATTCACATGGCAGCAGCAAGGAGAAGTGCCAAGCAAAGTGGGAAAAGCCCCTTATAAAACCATCAGATCTCCTGAGAACTCACTATCACAAGAACAGCATAGAGGAACTGCCCCATGATTCAATTGTCTCCCACCAGATCCTTCCTGCAACATGGGATTATGGGAACTACAATTCAAGATGAGATTTGGGTGGGGACATACCCAAACCATATTATTTCACCCCGGCCCCTCCCAAATCTCATGTCCTTACCTTTCAAAACACAATCATGCCTTTCCAACAGTCCTCCAAAGTCTTAGCTCATTCCAGCGTTAACCCAAAAGTCCAAATCCAAAGTCTCATCAGAGACAAGGGAAATTCCTTCCACCTATGAGCCTGTAAAATCAAAGGCAAGTTAGTTACTTCCTAGATACAATGTGAGTACAGGAATTGGATAAATATACTTATTCCAAATGGGAGAAATTAGCCAAACCAAAGGGACTACAGACCCCATGAAAGTTCAAAATCCAGTGGGGCAGTCAAATCTCAAAGCTCCAAAATGATCTCCTTTGACTCCATGTCTCACATCCAGGGATGTGGTACAAGAGGTGGGCTCCCATGGCCTTGGGCAGCTTTGCCCCTGTGGCTTTGCAGGGAACAGCTCCCCTCCCAATTGCTTTCACAGGCTGGAATTGAGTGCCTGTGGCTTTTCCAGGTACACAGTGCAAGCTGTTGGTGGATCTACCATTCTGGGATCTGGAAGACAGTGTCCCTCTTTTCACAGCTCCAGTAGGCAGTGCCCCAGGGGGGACTCTGTGTGGGAACTCGCACCCCACATTTCCCTTCCACACTGCCCTAGCAGAAGTTCTCCATGAGAGTTCTCTGTCCCTGCAGCAAACTTCTGCTTGGACATCCAGATTTTTCCATACATCCTCTGAAATCTAGGCAGAGATTCTCAAACCTCAATTCTTGACTTGTGTGCACCTGCAGGCTCAACACCACGTGGAAGCTGCCAAGGCTTGGGGCTTGCACTCTCTGAAGCCATAGCCCAAGCCGTACCTTGGCCCCTTTCTAGCCATGGCTGGAGCAGCTAACACAGAAGTCACTAAGTCCTAGGCTGCACACAGTGAAGGGACCCTGGGCCTGGTTCAGGAGACTATTTTTCCTCCTTAGCCTCTGGTCCTGTGATGAGAGGGGCTGCTATGTAGACCTCTGACATGCCCTGGAGACATTTTTCCCATTGTCTTGGTGATTAACAGTTGGCTCCTCATTACTTATGCAATTTTCTGCAGCCAGCTTGAATTTCTCCCTGAAAATGGGTTTTTCTTTCCTATAGCATTGTCAAGATGCAAATTTTCCAAACTTTTATGCTGTGTCACCTCTTGAATATTTTGTGGCCTAGAAATTTCTTCCACCAGATACCGTAAATCATCTCTCTTAAGTTCAAAGTTCCACAGATCTCTAGGGCGGGGGCAAAATGCCTCCAGTCTCTTTGCTAAAGCATGGCAAGAGTCACCTTTGTTCTAGTTCCCAAGAAATTTCTTATCTCCGTCTGAGACCACCTCAGCCTGGACTTCATTGTCCATATCACTATCAGCATTTTGGTAAAAACCATCCAACAAGTCTCTAGGAAGTTTCAAAGTTTCCCACATCTTCCTGTCTTCTTCTGAACCCTCCAAACTGTTCCAACCTCTACGTGTTACCCAGTTCCAGAGTTGCTTCCACATTTTCAGGTATCTTTACAGCAGCACCCCACTACACAGTACCAATTTACTATACTAGTCTGTTCTCATGCTGCTATGAAGAACTTCATGAGACTGGGTAATTTATAAAGGAAAAAGGTTTAATTCACTCACAGTTCTGCAGGACTGGGGAGGCCTCGGGAAACTTACAACAATCATGGTGGAAGGTGAAGGAAATATATCCTTCTTCACATGGTGGAAGGAAGAAGTGCCAAGCAAAGAAGGAAATAACCCCTTATAAAACCATTAGATCTCATGAGAACTCACTCACTATCCTGAGAACAGCATGGAGGTAGCTGCCCCCATGATTCAATTACTTCCCACCAGGTCCTTCCCACAACATGTGAGGATTATGGGAACTACAATTCAAGATGAGATTTGGGTGGGGACACAGCAAAATCTAATCAGGAGGGAGTTAAACTGACAGTAGACATTTTAGTCTTGTGTAGAATGTTAATTTTTCTTTATCAGTCAAACTCCTTCCTTCCAGAATTATACATATATATGTATAATATATATTAATATATATAATATATATATTATATATTTTTATATATATTTTGTATGTATAATATATTATATATGTGTATATATAATATATTATTATATATTGTATATATAATAAGATATATATACATATCTTTCTTTTATGATTTCCTTCCTTTTGCATGACTTTTTTTGAAGACTGACATAATTTCACTTAGGTTGGAAATGAGTGTATTGGTCCCCTTGGAGAAAAATAAATAAATCCCTATTTGAGTTTATCCAGTACAATAAAAACTATCAGGATAAAATGATATAAGTAGGAAGTCCTAGAAAAAATGAAATCCAATGATCAGTACCTTCGCATAGTATGTGTATCCGCTATGGAATAGTTGGTTATAACTTTTAGAATTCTAGAGGTCTAAAACCAGCATGATAGCTCATTCCTCATCTCTTGGTCTGAAGAGGAGGGAGGCACAATTGTTTATAAACATAACGGCACTGAGGTGGGGTGTATGGGTATGAAATCCTAGTGTTTCTACATGGTTACTTTATATAGGTTTTACTGAGTTAAAGCTCTGTTTTTAATATGGGTCAAGACTCATATATATATATATATAATACCATACCAACAAGCCCTGCATCCCTAGCATGATCCTTTGAACCTCTAGTAATTAGGGCAGTAACTAAATTGGCCCTTTTTATTTTCCACTGGTGTCAATACCAGCTAAGAGGATTACATCTTGCTTGGATATTAAGACTCTTTTCATAACTGAAAGCATCTAATCCTGATTATTCACTGTTTGTATTTATAAAATATATAAAACTAGAAATAAATCTCTCAACTGAGGCCCAAATGTCACAGTCAAATTAACCTTCCTTGACTACTGATTCACTTTGACTCACAGCTAATGAGGACAGCTCCTTTTTTTTTTCTTCTATTTTTCTCTCAGTGCCTGTAGAATAAATCCTACATAGAACTGGAAATAGATTTTATTGTGCATATATTTACTTATCTCCTGTGCCCTTCACATTGCTTCCAGTTCTGTATCCCCTGTGCCCTTCACAATTGCTTCCAGTTACTTTGGAGATTTTTTTTTTTTTCTGTTTTACTTTCCTGTTCAGAATGCAAGATAAAATCCCATGGAAAAATGATCAAAATGCAAAGTACTCAACACAAAATTATAACTTAAATTTGATTTATCTTTTGGTCATATAGATTTCCTTAGGGAACATATTTAAACATCATTTCCCAAACATTCCCTAGAGTAAGAGATCTGAAATTTTGTAGCCTAGTAAAATCACCATGTGAGCATTAAATGCCCGAATGCCCAGGTTACAGTCCAGGCCAATTAAATCAGCATATCCGTGGGTGGATCCAAGCATCAGTAGTTTATTAAATCTTCCCAGGTGATTACAATGTAAAGCCAAGTTTGAAAGTTTGAAAGGATCCTAAAGGATTCCTCTCAGTCTTATGAGATATTAGTGTTGTACTTAAACAAAAAACGTATAAGATTTACCACCTTTGGGAAATGTAGCAGACTGTTTTTGTCTTCTTACAAACACTTAAGAGAATCACAATGAACATTTTCACATTGGCTAAGCTCGGTGTCTCATGCCTGTAATCCCAGCACTGTGGGAGGCCAAGGCAGGTGGATCACTTGAAGTCAGGAGTTTGAGACCAGCCTGGGTAACATGGTGAACCCCCATCTCCACTAAAAATACAAAAATTAATTGGGTGTGGTGGCGCGTGCTTATAATCCCAGCTACTTGGAGGCTGAGGTGGGAGAATCATCTGAACCCTGGAGGCAGATGTTGCAGTGAGCCAAGATCCCACCACCGTACTCCAGGCTAGGTGACAGAACCAGGCTGCCCCCTCCAAAAAAAAAAAAAAAAAGTGTATTAAAGGCTGAGTACATAAAGGAAGAAAATGGATGTAAAGAATGAAGGAGGACAAGAGAAAAAGTAACTCACACCTCCAAGAAAAACTGAAAACCTATTTAGCTTGGCTTATTTCATCATATTTCAAATTTGTTTGCTCAGATTTCATTGTATGTAGAACACCTGTAAAAATTTTATTGGAACACATCTTCCATAGAATATAATTCAGAAAATATGGATTAAAAGGAATCCACCACGAAGTGTGTTTCTGAAATGCTTATTAAAAACCCAGTTATATCAGATCTTCCTATACTTTGTTGTCATTTTTGATATTTAAAATAGTGTGTGAAGTATAACATAAGACTTCAGAAATTATGTGAAGTATCTAATAGAAATAGGGTATTTGGATCACAAGCACCATGTGAAATTTAGTTTTAAAAAGTCAGTCTCCAAAAATTAACAGAAGAATTAAATGAATGGTATGTAGAGGACTCCAACGTTTATTAACACTGGAAAGGGAAATCCAATCAGGTAAGAAAGTAGAGTGGTATGATAGCAGAAATACAGTGCCAGGATACATTAGATCTAGTGGCATGTGCAGGATAAGCTTAAACAAACTGGTTAGTCTGGGACTATCCAATATCCCATTTCTATTATACTCATTCACCATTTTATATTCTCTTCTCCCGGGCTTTTCTAAAAACTTTCTTTTTCTGAACTTTATACCTCTGGAGGCTATCTAATCAGTTGTTGTCTACAGTTTCTTCTTTCCTTCATGAAAACTAACTGGTAACCTTTCCTCGGGAGTCTCCCAACTCCTTCTTGGGGGCCAATTGTATGGTAAAATACTAATTTCTGAATGCATTAACATTTCTTTTTAATTTTCTTAATTTTATTTTATTTTTCCATAAGTTATTGGAGTACAGGTGGTATTTGGTTACATGAGTAAGTTCTTTAGTGGTGATTTGTGAAATTTTGGTGCACCCATCACCCTAGCAGTATACACTGCACCATATTTGTAGTCTTTTATTCCTCACTCCCCTCCCACTCTTCCCCCTTTGTCCCCAAAGTCAATTATATCATTCTTATGCCTTTTTGTCCTCATAGCTTAGCTCCCACACATCAGTGAGAACATAACATGTTTGATTTTCCATTCCTGAGTACCTCACTTAGAATAATAGTCTCCAATCTCATCCAGGTCACTGCAAATGCTGTTAATTCATTCATTTTTATGGTTGAGTAGTATTCTATCATATATACATACCACAGTTTTTTTATCCGCTTTGTTGATTGATGGGCATTTGGGTTGGTTCCATGATTTTGCAGTTGTGAATTGTGCTGCTATAAACAAGCATATGCAAGTATATTTTTTGAATAATAATAATTATTTTTTTCCTCTGGGTAGATAACCAGTAGTGGGATTGCTGGATCAAATGGTAGTTCTACTTTTAGTTCTTCAAGGAATATCCACACTGTTTTCCATAGCAGCTTTACTAGTTTACATTCCCACCAGCAGTTTAGAAGTGTTCCCTGATTACTGCACCCATACCAACAGCTACTGGTTTTTTTTATTTTTTGATTATGGCCATTCTTGCAAGAGTAAGGTGGTATCGCATTGTGGTTTTGATTTGCATTTCCCTGATCATTAGTGATTTTGAGCATTTTTTCACATGTTTGTTGGCCATTTGTATATCTTCTTTTGAGAATTGTCTATTCACGTCCTTGGCCCACTTTTTGATGGGATTGTTTGGTTTTTTCTTACTGATTTGTCTGAGTTAACTGTAGATTCTGGATATCGGTCCTTTGTCAGATGTATAGATTGTGAAGATTTTCTCCCGTTCTGTGGGTTTTCTGTTTACTCTGCTGACTGTTCCTTTTTCTGTACAAAAGCATCTTAGTTTAATTAAGCCCAAAAAACTTTATCTTTGTTTTTATTGCATTTGCTTTTGGGTTGTTGGTCATGAAATCCTTGCCTAAGCCAATGTCTCGAAGGGTTTTTCCAATATTCTTCCAGAATTTTTATAATTTCAGGTCTTAGGTTTAAGTGCTTAATGCATCTTGAGTTGATTTTTGTATAAGGTGAGAGATGAGGATCCAGTTTCATTCTCCTACATGTGGCTACCAATTATCCCAGCACCATTTGTTGAAAAGGGTGTCCTTTTTCCACTTTTATGTTTTTGTTTGCTTTGTCAAAGATCAGTTGGCTGTAAGTATTTGGGTTTATTTTTTGAGTTCTCTATTCTGTTCCATTGGTCTATGTGCCTATTTTTATATCAGTACCATGCTGTTTTGATGACTACGGCCTTATAGTTTAAAATCAGGTGGTGCGATACCTCCAGATTTGTTATTTTTGCTTTGGCTATATGGGCTCTTTCTTGGTTCCATATGAATTTTAGAATTGTTTTTTCTAACTCTGTGAAAATGATGGTGGTATTCTGATGGGGATTTTGTGGAATTTGAATACTGCTTTTGGCAGTATGGTCATTTTCACAATATTGATTCTACCCATCCATGAGCATGGGATGTGTTTCCATTTGTGTCGTCTATGATTACTTTCAGAAATATTTTGTAGTTTTGCTTGTAGAGGTCTTTCAACTCCTTTGTTAGGTATATTCCTAAGTATTTTTTTTCAGCTAGGGGTTGAGTTCTCGATTTGATTCTCCACTTGGTCACTGTTGGTGTATAGAAGAGCTACTGATTTTTGTACATTAACCTTGTATCCAGAAACTGCTGAATTCTTTGATCAGTTCTAGGAGTTTTCTGGAGGAGTCCTTAGGGTTTTCAAGGTAAATAATCATATTCTCAGCAAACGGACAGTTTGACTTCTTCTTTACTGATTTGGATGCCCTTTATTTATTTCTCTTGTCTGATTGCTCTGGCTAGGACTTCCAGTACTATGTTAAAGAGGAGTGGTGACAGTGGGCATCCTTGTCTTGTTCCAGTTCTCAGAGGGAATGCTTTCAGCTTTTCCCCATTCAGTGTTATGTTGGCTCTGGGTTTGTCATATATGGCTTTTATTACATTAAGGTATGTCCCTTGTATGCCAATTTTGCTGAGGGTTTTAATCATAAAGGGATGCTGGATTTTGTCAAATGCTTTTTCTGCATCTATTCAGATGACCACGATTTTTGTTTTTAGTTCTGTTTATGTGGTGTATCACACTTATTGACTTGTGTATGTTAAACCATCCCTGCATCTCTGGTAGGAAACCCACTTGATCATGGTGGATTATCTTCTCATTTTGTTGTTGGATTTGGTTAGCTATTATTTTGCTAAGGATTTTAGCATCTATGTTCATCAAGGATATCAGTCTGTAGTTGTCTTTTTGGCTTGTGTCCTTTCCTGGTTTTGGTATTAGCGGGTGATGCTGTCTTCATGGAATGAATTAGGGAGGTTCCTTCTTTCTCTATCTTGTGGAATAGTGTCAAAAGGATTGGTACCAATTCTTCTTTGAATGTCTAGTAGAAATCTTCTATGAATCCGTCTGGTCCTGGATTTGTTTTTGTTTTTATTTTTGTTTTTGAGACAGTCTCTGGCCTCACTGCAACCTCTGCCTCCCGAGTTCAAGTGCTTCTCCTGCCTCAGCCTCCTGAGTAGCTTGGAATACAGGTGTGTGTCACCATGTCCGGCTAATTTTTTGTATTTTTAGTAGAGACGGGATTTCACCATGTTAGCCAGGATGGTCTTGATCTCCTGACCTCGTGATTTGCCTGCCTCAGCCTCCCAAAGTGCTGGGATTACAGGCGTGAGCCACTGTGCCCGGCCTGGACTTTTTGTTGTTGTTGGTAATTTTTTAATTACTGTTTCAATCTTGCTGCTTGTTATCGGTCTGTTCAGGGCATCTAATTCTTCCTGATTTAAGCTAGGAGGGTTGTATTTTTCCAGAAATTTATCCGTCTTTTCTAGGTTTTCTAGTTTATGTGTGTAAATGTGTTCACAGTAGCCTTGAATTATCTTTTGTATTTCAGTGGTGTCAGTTGTAATACTGTTTCATTTCTTAGTGAGGTTATTTGGATTTTCTCTCTTCTTTTCTTGGTTAATCTTACTAATGTCCTGTTAATTTTATTTATCTTTTCAAAGAACCAGATTTTTGTTTCATTTATCTTGTGTATTTTTGTGTTTTGTTTTAATTTCATTTAGTTCTGCTCTGATCTTGGTTATTTTCTTTCTTCTGCTAGGTTTGGGTTTAGTTTGTTCTTGTTTCTCTAGTTCTGTAAAGTGTGACCATAGAATGTCAGTTTGTGCTATTTCAGACTCTTTGATGTAGGCATTTAGGGCTTGATCTTTCCTCTTAGCACCACCTTAGCTGTATCCCAGAGGTTTTGATATCCCAGAGGGCAGGACTCACTCCCACGGCTGCCCACCCGGCCTGCCCCCGTAACAGTCTGTTTCCAGGTGGAGGGCGAGACAGGCTTGAAAACTTGCCCGAGGCTTTCTGCCTCCCAGCTGCAAAGGAAAAGGGCTTTAGATCTTCCCCTGCCTGTGAAGTCCGCTAGCCAGATTCATGCCCTCCCCTGAGTTCTGGCCGGGGGTTTCTCTCCCCATTCAAATTGTTACAAATTTCAGATAGAGAATTCCTTCTCCCAGTGGAGTTTTAGCTCCTGCCCCTCTGGCCACCCTCCTGCTGGATCCCTGTGGTGCCAGGCAGGAATGGGCTGCTTGAGGACCCGGTGAGCTCCCAGGGCCTTTCTGCTGCTTCCTCTATCCCTGTATTTCACTCAGCTCGGCTCTCTTAACTTGACTCAGCTCCAGGTAAAGTCGGAAACTTCTCCCACAAACAGACCTTCAGCTTCTCCAGTGGGGGTGTGTGCTCAGGAGAGGAGGGTGTCCCGTTCCCACTTCCTCAGTTGGGGCACTCACAGTATTTAGGGTGCTTCCTGGGTCCTGCAGGAGCAGTCCGCTTCCTTCAGAGGGTCTGTGGATCCTCTCAGGATTGCTGGTTTGTTCTTGCAGTCGATCTAGAGCTAAAATTCACAGTGCAAGCCTCCGCATGCTGCTCTGTCCGGAGCTGCAATCTAGTTCTGCCTTCCGTCCACCATGATACCTGAATGCGTTAACATTTGACCCTAGTGATGGAATTTCACACGCTGTGATGGATATTTAATTGTAAGACAGACGCAGAGTGATGGTGGTCATTCTCCATATAGCTGTCCTAAGAGATCTCAAAAACTTCTGCTTAATTAGAGTCTCTTAATCATGAAAAGTTTTGAGTTATCATAGACAGTGGTGAAAATAATTAAAGTAATTAGGCAAATTGGATTTGGATAAACATTTTAAATGGATAGTCAAATATCAATGTTGGAGAAGGTTCTATTGGCAACTGAGTCTGATTGACAGGAAAAAGGAAGATTAAATGCCTAATAGACAAGGCTCTAAGATTATCCCTGGTCTGATAACGATTTTGGATAATTCTACCAGAGTTGACAATGTTGTGTATTTCTTTTTAACTGATTTCGTCTCTTGCTTAATTTACCCTTCTAAATTCATATGATCTCCCCAACCACAAAGAACAGTTAAACACCCAGCACAAAATGGTTTAATTTTAAAAGAAATTGATTGATTCATGTATATAAAAAGCCAATAGCAAGAGCTGCCTCAAATGATATCACTACATGTTTTTTTCTTTATATTCATTTGCATTTGTCTTCACATTCCATATTCTCACATCTGACAAATCTATGTCCTCTCTATCATGGTAACAGAGTCGCTGACCCATAAGCTTACACTACACCATGCTAGGGAAGAGAATAGGTCATTTCCAGGTGTCTCTGTATGGAAAAGAGAATGTTTTCCTTTCCAGTAGCTTAAGTAAACATCAAGTTTCATTGGCTCTGTTAGGGCTATTTTCATTTATTTCTGAACAAATGATCAGGATACACTAACTGTAGAGCCAATCACATTGTAACTACATGGTAGTGAAATGGGGGTCATAGGATTTTCAAAAGAAATGTGGATTATCATCAAGAATAGGAAATGAATGCTGAGTTGTAAGAAAAAAATGCAAATAGAAGTTCACCCTTGTCATCATTCTTCATATCCTTCTGTCTATAGTGTACAACTTTTGATTGATTTTTACTTTTGACCTTAAGTCATTGATCCCTCTTTTAAAAATCTGTCTTGTTTTATAAATATCCTTGAGACAAGACTTAAGAGTATTTTTAGGAAATTCAAACCTACATATTTTTATTTTCTATAAGTGTGTATGAAATTCATTAAAGAGGATGTTCGTTTATATCCACCACTTTAAAACTTACAGCAGTTTAAATATAATTGGTTTTCAGTAAAAATTGTATATAATGTAGGAAACATGACTTCATTGGGCAAAACTCTAGAAAAATATGTAGTTAACATTTTTGGGAAAAACTGTCCGTAGTAGCCTGTGAGTTAGTGAAGGAGTGTCCCCAGGCCCTAAACAGAAACTAATGTTTTCTAGGATATAGCATTCAAGGACCAAGAAACTAGGTGAGACCAGATCAAGAAAATTAGGAGATAAAAATGAAGAGTAATATGATATCTGTATTGCTTTTTCTTTTTGTTTGATTTTGGCTGCCTTCTTCTTTGCTACCACCCAATAATGAGCACTTCTGGTTTGCTTATCTATTTATTTCATTAGTTTTATTTTTTTTCGAAGCTAATTCTTACACGCCTCTCTTAATGTTCAGACCCTTTATATCTTATTTTTTCCAGTGAATGGGAGATATTAAGATTTGTCCTTTTGAGTTGATTATATCCAATTTATTTTCTTTGTTTGAGAATGTAACTGAGATATCACTGGGTCTCTCAATATTTTGAAACCAGATGATTGTCTAAAATCCTCAATCCCATACCCTTTAGAAGTCCAAAGCTTTATGCAACATGTATTTGAGTTTTCAAGGGCATTAATAATCACTTTTATTTGCTCTCTTTATTCTAGGTTGATTTTGATGTAAAATTTAATCTTTTTTCAATTTTCTCATAAAAATCCCACTCAGAGTCACATTAATGAAGATTTGGGATGTGTTCAGGAATCGAAACATATTGTTCGTTCCAATAACTTCAACTTGAATATAAAGCTACATCTCTGTGGTTTAAATGCCTTTTAATAGCTTCACCAAAGTGGAATTTCAGGCCCATACCACTCATGGGCTCCTCTCTCCTCCGTCTTCCCGCCAGCTTCTTCAGGTTTTCTCTCTTCCCATCTTTCTTAGAAACACAAGATGCTCCCATTCCCCGCTTTATAACTGCCTCCTCTCTTGGACTCACTTCTCCAGCTCCTCCAGTGTCTTCTCTCTTCCCATCTTTCTTAGAAAGACAAGATTATCCCATTCCCCGCTTTATAACTGCCTCCTCTCTTGGACTCACTTGTCCACCCTGGCCCACTACTCATCTCTTCTCACCTCCTCAAAACTACATTATTTCATTACCAATGATTTCAGCCTTGGCCTCACTTCAGAATGCCTTTTAACAGAGTACTCCACAGCCCCATGTTGTCAAGAGCTTCCTATGATGGAAGATCTTACTTATACATTTGGTATCCTGCTTCTTTTTGTCCTAATACACTTGTTTGTTTGTTTGTTTGTTTTTCATTTTAAGTTGTTTCATAAGTGGCTCCAGTTTCTTCTCAAATATGTTAGGTATAGGGGAATTTTTTTACTGGTTCAGAATTCCTTTTCTCTTAATTTTAATATTTTTCCTTTAATTCTCACCCTTAATTATTCAATTTAAAAAAAGAAGCCTGCTTTTTTAACGGACTTTATTCTCCTTTAATTTTTTATGTTCTCCTTGAAAACCTTAAGCTTTTTACCCAGAGTGCTTAATTATTCATTCACTCACTCATTCATTCATTCACTCAACAAATATATATTAACTACCAACCATAACGAATTAGGCATGGTCTTTCTAGTTTACCTGGTTTGACTGCTAAGAGCTTTAGCAGAGGTACAGAGAAAAAGCTGTTAGATGTCATAAGAGGTAGTTACCATTTCCCAATGGGGGACTGAAGCAAGGCAACATACAGGAATTTAGCATTTGGACTCAGATTGAGAGACAGGTTTTGGATTTGTGTTGTAGGTGGATTAAAAAAAAAGTTTGAACACAGTGGAAACAAAAAAGGCCAGAAGGAGGAGGTTAGCAAGAAAATGCTCTTAACTGTGAGCAAGTGGATTTTGGAATAGCCAAACATAATTGAGATGATGTAGGTCACAATGATTTTAAGAATTGAATGGGAGTGGAATAAAATTTACCCCACAATTACATACTTTGCTTCTTCATTGCTTGACGGTTATCATCAAACTAACTATTCTTCAATTCCTTTGGCAAGGAGTGGAATCTGGACTCTGGCACCAGAGGGTCGATTTCCTTCCAGTTCTCCTTTCTATTTTTTTTTTGCTTTTGTTTCTTTACTTTGAACTCCTCACAGTCTTGGAAAAAAGAGGGCTTGCAGAGACTTTTTCATTTTGTTTTTATATTGCCCAAATTGTACTCACATGGATAGAGTAGTACCATTTAATTGTTTCCCTCTAAATATGCACAGTTCCCAGAGGTATTTTAATCAGATAGCTTTATGCCCTGTTGTTTGCAGTTTCCAACTTTTTGTTTTCTATTACTTTCTGTTTATTTAGAATGTTGCTGCCTCTTCTTTTCTTCTCTCCATTTTCTCCCTGTCTTCATTTGCTCACCACCCATCTTGGATCAACCTCTAATATGAATATTCAAAATAGTTGAGTAAGTCAAGTTCTGTCTCTGAAAATCTCTTGACTAAAAAAACAGATTAAAAAATAATATCACTGACCCTTTTAGAGGCTGAGCTCTGTTTCAGAAAACATTAAGGAATGCCTTCAACATTTTCTCTTGTTTAGTTGCATCATTTACTTGAGTCCACTGGGATGATTGGCATTCACGATGTGTGGGCTGGAGACCATCAAAAGGAAATGTTTTGTGTGGAAATGGAATTTACTCTGTGTGTGGCAGTTTGAATAAGTTCCCTTTCTCTTTGGCTAAAGCATCTTTACCAAGCCCAATCTAATGCATTAGTCACAGAACTTAAATAGAAAACAACAAAGCTTCCAGGCACATTGAGGATTTCTTCGTTCCTTTGTCTTTTTGATGAAGTCCCTCAGTTCTTTCATTTCCAAAATAAAGAAGCAAGCCTAGTCGACAGACAAAATTAAATGAACCTAAAGAGGCTAAGGACATTAGTTGTTTATGTGTTCATATTAGTTTCTGGAAGAACTAACTAGATAATAGATCAGTCAGGCCAGTTAAACTAATTTCTTGATTATTTCAAATTTAAAGACTGATAATAAATGTTGGTTTGACCTTAACAGACTCTCTTATTTAAGGAGGTCACCACTTTACAGGCACTTTTAAATTCTTTATTATTTACAAACCAGACTAATATGGCAAAAAGAAAACAGAATGTTAAGGAACACTGAAGAGGGTATGAGCAGACAAGAAATTCAAATGTGAAATAGAAACACTAAGAAGAAAGTAGTAACAATACGAAAGATCCAATTTGCAGGAATTTGATTATCTACTTGGTTCCTGGGTACTATGGTGAATGTAATATTGGCAATGATAAATAATACCTAAAATTAAATAGCTTTATATATGTAAGATTAACAAGGAGAAATGAGTTCTCCAGGATACCCAATGTATTAGTAACTCAACCAGTTTTTTCTGGGTTTTATCATGTCCTATTACCCAGTCTATGCTTTATTGCCATAGTATATGGCTTCTCAACATAATACTTGGCATATAATAGGGATTTAAACGTTTCTGACTGAATGTTCCTAGTAAGTGAATTAGGTGTGTGTATCCTTTATTGGAATTTAACAAAACAACACTTTGGCCTCTCAATTTCCTGAGCTCCTCACTTCTGGTGACCTTTCTCTATTCTATCCTAGAATTTATCTTTAGCAATTACTGTGCTCACTCTAAATCTCAATTTTAAGCACTCAGTTTCACACATATCACATTCTGATGACCACCTCCTTCTTTCCACACACTTCTTTCATGACCCTATGGCAACAGTTCTTTGACACTGCTAAGCCTGCTTTTCTGTTTATTGTTGCCCCCTCTTTCAGTACTTTTCCCTCTTCATTTTCTCACATCCATCTCTAACTTAGATTCCATAGTAAAAGATAGTAATCACTGTCTTTCCTGTGCTTCACCTACCCTGGCTAACTCTTCTTCCATCATCTTCTTCCAGTAAAACTTGGATCTCACTTGTATTCCATTCTCAGACTGCTCCATTCTTTTGAACAGCTGGATATGGCTAGAGTAAAATGCCACTATGTTGACGGTCTTTACCTTGATTTTGTAACCATAAGACTTAAATGTTACCTCAACACTTCCTAGAAATCTTATTACATAACCCTGGTCCATTCACTCTCCTGCTCTTCAAGACAACCATTTTATACCTTCTTTCTCACTGCCAAGCCCACCACCTTTCATTTTCACCTCACATCTTGCTTCATATATAGAAATGATGAAAAGAGAACGTTGGTACCTTACAAATCTCCCAATCTTTTCACATCTGAATCTATTAATTGTATCCTTTTGAATGAATAAATTGCCCCTGTTCTTATCTAAAGTCATTATTTTTTGTTTTCTGTCAGTTTTTTAAAAGCTCTTTTATTGAAGTATAACACATGTACAGAAAAAATACACAATTCACAAATTTACAGCTCAATAAATTTTACAAAGTGTAAACATTCATGGATCCATCATCCACATCAACATATAAAAGGGTCTTATCACAGAAACCTCCCTTATATTCCTGCCCCTTTTATAATCCCCACAAAAGTATAAAAAAATCCTAATTTCCATTGCCATAAATTTGTCTTATTTTTAAGCTTTAAGAAAAATGGAATAATACAGTGTAAAACCTTTTATGTCTGCCTTCTTTAATTCAACATTGTATCTGTGAGACCCATCCATATTTATAGAGCACTTTGTTTCTCATTGTTTTATATTTTATATATAAAATACGTTTATATATTTTATATATAAAATACGTTTATATATTTATATTTTTATATATAAAATACGTTTCTATATTTATATATTTTATATATAAAATACGTTTCTATATTTATATATTTTATATATAAAATACGTTTCTATATTTATATATTTTATATATAAAATACGTTTCTATATTTATATATTTTATATATAAAATACGTTTCTATATTTATTTTATATATAAAATACGTTTCTATATTTATATATTTTATATATAAAATATGTTTCTATATATATTTTATATATAAAATACATTTCTATATTTATATATTTTATATATAAAATACGTTTATATATTTATATATTTTATATATGCTTTATATTTTATATACTTTACTGTAGATGAAATTTAGGTGACTTCCAGCTTAGAATCATTATAAATAATTTTACTTTAAATATGTTATACTTATCTTTTGGTGTATATTTGTAAGAATTTCTGTTGATACATACATAGGAGTGTGATTGCTTGGTCATGAGTTCTGCAAATGTTCTGCTTAATTGACAATGCCAAACAATTTTACAATTTAAACTCCCACTAGCAGTATATAGGAGTTCCTATTGTCCACATCCTTACCAACACTTGGTATTGTGAGCCTTTTTCATTTTTGCCAGTCTGGTTGGAGTAGGGTGTTATATCATAATATTTTTAACTTGCATTTTTCTAATGACCAGTGAGTGAGATCAATCATGTTTTAATATGCATATTATCGTTTACATCAACTATATATATAAATTTTTCATTGTCTTGTTTTTTAATAAAATTTTTAGAGATCATTGAATATTCACATGCAGTTCTAAGAAATCATATAGTGAGATCCCTTGTAGTCTCTCTATTCTGTTCCATTAGTCTATTTTTCTATTCTTGCAATATGACACTAAGCACACTATCTTAATTACTGTGACTTTTCAGTAACTATTGATATCTAGTAGTATACATGCTTCAACTTTGATTTTTTGCCTGCAGAAATTTCTTCCACATTCTAAGTCCTTTGTATTTCCATATAAATTTTAGAATGGGCTTGTTTATTTCTACTAAGAAATCTGCTTGAATTTCAATGGGGATTGCAATTTGTAAGGAAAATTTACACTTTAAGAGGACTGAGTCTTCTAATTGAGGAATGTGGCATATCTCTGAATATATTTAGGTCTTATTTAATTTCTTTCATCAAGATTTTCTAATTTGTAATATAGAAGTTTTCATTGCCTTCTCTCATATTTCTAGTTATTTTGGTTTTTGATGATATATATATATGTAGTATTTAATTTTCATTTTAATTTTCTCTTGTTGACTTATAGAGATACAATTTTGTATGCCACTAGCAAATGACCCTCACTCCCGAATACAATAATTCTCTGTATTTCTTTTTTAATAGTTTAATGCACAGTTATCTGTGGGTTATGTTTAGTGATATTCTGGGAGACTGAATGGAATAATATACCTGTCAAGCCCACTAACTGGCCTTCTTCCTTCTTTAAGTACTTTCACTCCCAGTAGAAGTATATCCTGCTCTGTATTCACCTCCTGGATGATCATTTCATCATTTATAACTGTCTACTTTGTTATTTCTATATTAGTACCTTAAGCAAATAGCCTCCTTTATATACTAAAACTAATATAAAGCATTATGAATGCATACACTGTTACTAGTCTGGATAGAGATCTAGTTCATTATCCATTATACATTCCACTGACAGAAGTAGAAAGAATATAGGAAGAACTGAACAGTAGGGGTCCAGGTAGGAGTCCATCCTTTCCATGCCCTAGTAGGGACACTCGACGCTCAAGGAAAATATCTCAAGATCTCCTCCTCTCTGTGCATGGTCTCTCATCCCTTGAGTGACATGATGACATATAAAACATTCTTAGAATTTCACTTGAGGCAGATATTACTAATTAATTAATCAAAGCAAGCATGTGAAATGGTATCAATTTGCCAAACCAGGTTCAGACATTGTGCCTCAATTCAGAAATAATAGAATTATGCAAATCTAAAAATGTGACCCTCAAAAGTGTGGAATACCTCTGCTTGAGGTAATACCGCTCCTCTCCTTCAGCTACTCACTCAACTCTGACAAATCGTAACTCAGTTTACTCCCTATATCCCCAAGCTTTCTTTGTTAAAAGAAATTTTGAACTACTTGCTTTTGAAAGTAACTCACATGGCATGCTCTTAGCATCATCTAGCACAAGCTTTGTTTTCTTCTGTTCAACTTCCTTTCAGAGGTGCATTTTTACAACTTCCCTCTATTGTTCTCATTGACTTTCCGGGTTTGATGCGACCTGAAAAACTCTCCTTTCTGAAATTCGTTAACCAGCTTCATCAGTTTTATAGCAAGGACTGGAAGCACCAATTTAAAATTTAAATGGTACAATGATAACTTCAAATTAGTTTGATCAATTATTTTAGGAAATTCCAAAAACTGAAATTTCAAATATTGAAATGCAGGAACTTCCTTGCCCCTCCCTGGCTCTATAAATAATTAAAATAAAAAGTTTCCTCACAGGAAATATATAAAATATGTTTGTTTTGTTTTGCTTTAGTGGAGGAAAAGAGTGTAAATCTAGAACTAATAATTTGGGGTTTTCTTTGTTTGTTTCCACAGAAATAATCAATGATTCCACACTAATAGAAACCATTTGTCCCAACTGAAATAGGCAAAAACACGGTTCTGTTCCAATTTTACAATTTTTTTTTGTTTCTTCACACAACACCGTGGTGATGCAGTGTCTAGACTTTTTGGAACAAGGCATGGAGTCTGGAATTTATTCTGTGGGTTTGAAAATGGTTATTCAGTGCTCCTACACATTCACATGTGAAAATCTAATGATTTCATAATAGGTAAAAACCATCAAGCTGTTTACCAAATACATATATATTCATTAATGCTATAAGTTCAAGCTGCTACTTATAGCATTGGTGAATATACAAGGAAATATTGTATGGATTAATATATGTCATCTCATTGTGCCGTGGTCCCCATTAACCCCTATATCTGAAATATGCAAAATAAAAAACTTGTGTTCATGAAATAATTATTGCAGATATTTTCTAGCTTTTGTGAGGCTCTAGTAAAAAAAAAAAAGCTTAAGAATATACATCTATTCTTGTGGTTTCAATAAGTAATCTGTGAGAATTTATCAAGTTAAAAGGGCAGAATTGATATCACAGGTCGTTCTCTTAGTCCTCTGCCATTTATTAGCTGGATAAAATGAAAGCAGTCTCTGAGGCACCCAGATTTAACCAGTGTTTGTGCAGGCTGTATTATTAAGTCTGACTGTAGTTCATCTGTGCTCTGAAGAAAATCAAACTATGTGCTTGCAGAGAAAGTTCAGAGTTATTTGTCACCAATTACCTAAAGCTGGGAGTTGAGCTTACACATAGCTATGGCCAATTCCTGTAAATACTTGTTCCTAATTTCACAAGACTGTCACTTCCTGAGGATTTACCTTAGAAAGTGTATGTCTACCACAGAAGAACTGTAATACAAAAATGTTTACCCAGAGATAATAGTCTTAAGGGACATAAAACTCCATAGCAT
Source organism: Homo sapiens (assembly GCF_000001405.40). Lineage (NCBI taxonomy): Eukaryota > Metazoa > Chordata > Mammalia > Primates > Hominidae > Homo > Homo sapiens. The sequence goes on from NC_000003.12 coordinate 29,978,377, forward strand.
TGATTAGTTTAAAATAACCTGTTCTTAATTTTCAAACAAGTATTTCAAGTTCTGTTAGGTTTTCTGTGACAAAAAAAAAGCAAGCAGAAAGATTTTTTTTCATTAAAAGATACACACACATACAACACATTGAACTGAGCTAATCTCAATTATACTATTAAATCTCTACTGGTTATTTTAAGAAAAGAAACATAAAAGTAAGTTACCAAGTATTTAAGGTAGCTCGCCTGGAAGAAAATTAGGTTGTCTGAATATAAAGTGAAGGTTAAAAAAAATGGAAAAAACAAAAAAAAACTAAAATTATCAATCAATGGCATGTTTCTATATTTCTTACTTAAATTATTAAAGGCCATTAAAACAAGTTAATACCTATATTACATAAAAATGATCAGAAGGAAGATCTTAAGACCTTATTTACTTCAAAAATAATGAAGTAGACTGAAAAGTGTGCTGAATACTAGGTCAGAAGAACTGGGGGCTGGGCGTGGGGGCTCACACCTGTAATCTCAGCATTTTGGGAGGCAGAGGCCAGAGGATACTTGAGGCCAGAAGTTCAAGACCAGTCTGGGCAAGACCCTGTCTCTACAAAAATAAAAGTAAAAAAGCATATCTAGGCATGGTGGTGCATGCATGTAGTCCCAGCTACTTGGGAGGGTGAGGCGGGAGGATCACTTGAGCCCAGGAGTTTGAGGTTACAGTGAGCTATGATTGTACCACTGTACTCCAGCCTGGGCCACATGAGCAAGACTGCCTCTAAAACAAAAAGAAACGAGAAGGAAAGAAACAACAACAACAACAACAACAACAATGACAAAACTGGAGTTTATCCTCGTTATATAAGAACCTATATTTCTCCATCTGTAAAATAGGTAAAGCATTTTGCTTGACTCAGTGTTGCTCTGAAGAGAAGTTGATTGTGAATTGCATGACAGGCAGTTCAGTTTTGGTCATGTTGACAACTTTATTGAATGTCATGAAAGAAGTAAAGATACTCTGATTCAGTTTTACTAAAACAAAATGCAGATGGAGTTTTAAATAAGTGTCATTTGAAGAAGTTTAGCTAAGATTCACCTAAAATGCTACTTTATTATTAAGTTCTGGGATACATGTGCAGGTTTGTTACATAGGTATACACGTGCCATGGTGGTTTGCTGCATCCATCAACCCGTCATCTACATTAGGTATTTCTCCTAATGCTATCCCTTCCCTAGCCCCCCACCACCTGACAGGCTGCAGTGTGTGATGTTCCCCTCCCTGGGCTCATGTGTTCTCATTGTTCAACTCCCACTTATGAGTGAGAATATGCAGTGTTTGGTTTTCTGTTCCTGTGTTAGTTTGCTGAGAATGATGGTTTCCAGCTTTATCCATGTCCCTGCAAAGGACATGAACTCATTCTTTTTATGGCTGCATAGTATTCCATGGTGTATATGTGCCACATTTTCTTTATCCAGTCTATCATTGAAGGGCGTTTGGGTTGGTTCCAAGTCTTTGCTATTGTGAACAGTGCTGCAATAAACATATGTGTGCATGTGTCTTTACAGTAGAAAGATTTATAATCCTTTAGGTATATACCCAGTAATGGGATTGCTGGGTCAAATTGTATTTCTGGTTCTAGATCCCTGAGGAATTGCCACACTGTCTTCCGCAATGGTAGAACTAATTTACACTTCCATCAACAGTGTAAAGTGTTCCTATTTCTCCACATCCTCTCTAGCATCTGTTGTTTCATGAGTTGTTAATGATCCCCAGTCTAACTGGTGTGAGATGGTATGTCACTGTGGTTTTGATTTGCATTTCTCTAATGATCAGTGATGATGAGCTTTTTTTTCATATGTTTGTTGGCCACACAAATGTCTTCTTTTGAGAAGTGTCTGTTCATATCCTTCACCCACTTTTTGATAAGGTTGTCTTTCTCTTGTAAATGTGTGTAAGTTACTTGTAGATTCTGGATATTAGCCCTTTGTCAGATGGATAGACTGCAAAAATTTGCTCGCATTCTGTAGGTCGCGTGTTCACTCTGATGATAGTTTCTTTTGCTGTGCAGAAACTCTTTAGTTTAATTAGATTCCATTTGTCAATTTTGGCTTTTGTTGCCATTGCTTTTGGTGTTTTAGTCTTGAAGTCTTTGCCTATGCCTATGTCCTGGATGATACTGCCTAGGTTTTCTTCTAAGGTTTTTAAGGTTTTATGTCTTACATTTAAGTCTTTAATCCATCTTGAGTTAATTTTTGTATAAGGTGTAAGGAGGGGGTCCAGTTTCAGTTTTCTGCCTATGGCTAGCCAGTTTTCCTAACACCACTTATTAAATAGGGAATCCTTTCCCCATTGCTTGTTTTTGTCAGGTTTGTCGAAGATAGATGGTTGTAGATGTATGGCATATTTCTGAGGCCTCTGTTCTTTTCCCTTGGTCTATGTATCTGTTTTGGTACCAGTACTGTGCTGTTTTGGTTACTGTAGCCTTATAGTATAGTTTGAAGTCAGGTATTGTGATGCCTCCAGCTTTGTTCTTTTTGCTTAGGATTGTCTTGGCTATGCAGGCTCTTTTTTTGTTCTATATGAAATTTAAAGTAGTTTTTTCTAATTCTGTGAAGAAAGTCAGTGGTAGCTTAATGGGAATAGCATTGAATCTATAAATTACTTTGGGCAATATGGCTATTTTCATGATATTGATTCTTCCTATCCATGAGCATGGAATGTTTTTTTCCATTTGTTTTTGTCCTCTCTTATTTCCTTGAGCAGTGGTTCATAGTTCTCCTTGAAATGATCCTTCACATCCCTTGTCAGTTGTATTCCTAGGTATTTTATTCTCTTTGTAGCAATTGTGAATAGGAGTTCACTCATGATTTGGCTCTCTGTCTATTATTGGTGTATAGAAATGCTTGTGATTTTTTCACATTGATTTTGTATCCTGAGACTGTGCTGAAGTTGCTCAACAGCTTAAGGAGATTTTGGGCTGAGACGGTGGGGTTTTCTAAATATACAATCATGTCATCTGCAAACAGAGACAATTGGACTTCCTCTCTTCCTATTTGAATGCCATTTATTTCTTTCTCTTGCCTGATTGACCTGGCCAGAACTTCCAATACTATGTTGAATAGGAGTGGTGAGAGAGGGCATCCTTGTCTTGTGCTTGTTTTCAAAGGGAGTGCTTCCAGCTTTTGCCCATTCAGTATGACATTGAGTGTAGGTTTGTCATAAATAGCTCTTATTATTTTGATACGTTCCATCAATATCTAGTTTATTGAGGGTTTTTAGCATGAAGGGCTATTGAATTTTGTTGAAGGCCTTTTCTGCATCTATCGAGATAATCATGTGGTTTTTGTCATTGGTCCTGTTTATGTGATGGACTACATTTATTGATTTCTATATGTTGAAGCAGCCTTGCATCCCAGGGATGTAGCTGATTTGATCATAATGATAAGCTTTTTGATGTGCTGCTGGATTCAGTTTGCCAGTATTTTATTGAGGATTTTTGCATTGATGTTCATCAGGGATATTGGCCTGAAATTTTCTTTGTGTGTGTCTCTGCCAGGTTTTGGTATCGGGGTGATGCCGGCCTCATAAAATGAGTTAGGGAGGATTCCCTCTTTTTCTATTGTTTGGAATAGTTTCAGAAGGAATGGTACCAGCTCCTCTTTGTACCTCTGGTAGAATTCGGCCATGAATCCATCTGCTCCTGGGCTTTTTTTGTTGGTAGGCTATCAATTACTGCCTCAGTTTCAGAACTTGTTATTGGTCTATTCAGGGATTCGACTTCTTCCTGGTTTAGTCTTGGGAGGGTGTATGTGTCCAGTAGTTTATCCATTTCTTCTAGATTTTCTAGTTTATTTGCATAGAGGTGTTTATAGTATTATCTGATTGTAGTTTGTGTTTCTGTGAGATCAGTGGTGATATCCCCTTTATTATTTTTTATGGTGTCTATATGATTCTTCTCTGTTTTCTTATTAGTCTGGCTAATAGTCTATTTTGTTAATCTTTTCAAAAAACCAGCTCCTGGATTCATTGATTTTTTGAAGGGTTTTTAATGTCTCTATCTCCTTCAGTTCTGCTCTCATCTTATTTATTTCTTGTCTTCTGCTAGCTTTTTAATTTGTTTGCTCTTGCTTCTCTAGTTCTTTCAATTGTGACGTTAGGGTGTCGATTTTAGATCTTTCCTGCTTTCTCCAGTGGGCATTTAGTGCTATCAATTTCCCTCTAAACACTGCTTTAGCTGTGTCCCAGAGATTCTGGTACGTTGTGTCTGTTCTCATTGGTTCAAAGAAGTTACTTATTTCTGCCTTCATTTCATTATTTACCCAGTAGTCATTCAGGAGAAGGTTGTTCATTTTCCACGTAGTTGTGCAGTTTTGAGTGAGTTTCTTCATCCTGAGTTCTAATTTGATTGCACTGTGGTCTGAGAGACTGTTTGTTTTGATTTCCATTCTTTTGCATTTGCTGAGGAGTGTTCCAATTATGTGGTCAATTTTAGAGTAAGTGAGATGTGGTGCTGAGAAGAATGTATATTCTGTTGATTTGGTGTGGAGAGTTCTGTAGATGTCTATTAGGTCTACTTGGTCCAGAGCTGAGTTCAAGTCCTGAATATCCTTGTTAATTTTCTGTCTCATTGATCTGTCTAATATTGACAGTGGAGTATTAAAGTGTCCCGCTATTATGGTGTGGGAGTCTAAGTCTCTTTGTAGGTCTCTAAGAACTTGCTTTAGTAATCTGGGTGCTCATGTATTGGGTGCATATATATTTAGGATAATTAGCTCTTCTTGTTGTATTGATCCCTTTACCACTATGTAATGCCCTTCTTTGTCTTTTTTTATCTTTGTTGTTTTAAAGTCTGTTTTATCAGAGACTAGGATTGCAACCCCCGCCCCCTTTTTTTTTTTTGCTTTCTATTTGCTTGGTAAACATTCCTCCATTCCTTTATTTTGAGCCTATGTGTGTCTTTGCATGTGAGATGGGTCTCCTGAATACAGCACACCAATGGGTCTTACTCTTTATCCAATTTGCCAGTCTGTGTCTTTTAATTGGGGCATTTAGCTCATTTACATTTAAGGTTAATATGGTTATGTGTGAATTTGATCCTGTCATTATGATGCTAGCTGGTTATTTTGCCCATTAGTTGATGCAGTTTTTTCATAGTGTCCATGGTCTTTACAATTTGATATATTTTTGCAGTGGCTGGTGCCAGTTTTTCCTTTCCATATTTAGTATTTCCTTCAGGAGCTCTTGTAAGGCAGGCTCGGTGGTGATGAAATCTCTCAGCATTTGCTTGTCTGTAAAGGATTTTATTTCTCCTTTGCTTATGAAGCTTAGTTTGGCTGGATATGAAATTCTGGGTAGAAAATTCTTTTAAGAACGTTGAATATTTGCCACCATTCTCTTCTGGCTTGTAGGGTTTCTTCAGAGAGATCCACTGTTAGTCTGATGGGCTTCCCTTTGTGGATAACATGACCTTTCTTTCTGGCTGCCCTTAACATTTTTTCTTTCATTTCAACCTTGGTGAATCTGATGAATATGTGTCTTGGGGTTGCTCTTCTTGAGGAGTATATTGTGGTGTTCTCTGTATTTCCTGAATTTGAATGTTGGCCTGTCTTGCTAGGTTGGGGAAGTTCTCCTGGATAATATCCTGAAGAGCGTTTTCCAACTTGGTTCCATTCTCCCTGTCACTTTCCAGTACACCAGTCAAACGTAGGTTTGGTCTTTTCACATACTCCCATATTTCTTGGAGGCTTTGTTCATTCTTTTTCATTCTTTTTTCTCTAATCTTGTCTTCATGCTTTATTTCATTAAGTTGATCTTCAATCTCTCATATCCTTTCTTCCACTTGATCAATTTGGCTAATGATACTTGTCTATGCTTCATGAAGTTCTCATGCTGTGTTTTTCAGCTCCATCAGGTCATATATGTTCTTTTTTAAACGGGTTATTCTAGTCAGCAATTCCTCTAGCCTTTTTTCAAGTTTCTTAGCTTCCTTTCATTGGGTTAGAACATGCTCCTTTAGCTCAGAGGAGTTTGCTATTACTCACCTTCTGAAGCCCACTTCTGTCAATTCATCAAACTCATTCTCTGTCCAGTTTTGTTCTCTCACTGGCGAGAAGTTGTGATCCTTTCAAGGAGAAGAGGCATTCTGGTTTTTGGAATTTTCAGCCTTTTTGCACTGGTTTTTTCTCATCTTCATGGATTTATCTACCTTTAGTCTTTGATGCTGGTGACCTTCAGATGGGTTTTTTGTATGGATGTCCTTTTTGTTGATGTTGACGCTATTCCTTTCTGTTAGTTTTCCTTCTAACAGTCAAGCCCCTCTGCTGCAGGTCTGCTGGAGTTTGCTGGAGGTCCACTCCAGACCCTCTTTGCCTGGGTATGACCAGCAGAGGCTGCAGAACAGCAAATATTGCTGCCTGTTCCTTCCTCTGGAAGCTTCGTCCCAGAGGGGCACCCACCAGATGCCTGTATGAGGTGTCTGCCAGTCAGGAGGCATGAGGGTCAGGGGCCCACTTGAGGAGGCAGTCTGTCAGGGACCCACTTGAGGGACCCACTTGAGGAGGCAAAGCTCAAGCGCTGTGCTGGAAGATCTGCTGCTCTCTTCAGAGCCAGCAGGCAGGAACATTTGTCTGCTGAAGCTGCGCCCACAGCCACTCATACCCACAGGTGCTCTGTCCCAGGGAGATGGGTGTTTTATCTACAACCCCTAACTGGGGCTGCTGCCTTTCTTTCAGAGATGCCCTGCCCAGAGATGAGGAATCTAGAAAGGCAGTCTGACTATAGTGGCTTTGCCACCCAGTTTGAACATCTCAGCAGCTTTGTTTACACTGTGAGGGGAAAACAGCCTGCTCAAGCCTCAGTAAGGGCAGACACCCCTCCCCACACCAAGCGCCAGCATCCCAAGTGGACTTCAGACTGCTGTGCTGGCAGCAAGAATTTCATGCCAGTGGATCTTAGCTTGCTGGGCTCCGTAGAGGTGGCACCCTGGCTTCAGCCCCTTTTCCAAGGGAGTGAATGGTTTGTCTCACTGGCATTCCAGGTGCCACTGGGGTATGAAAAAAAAAAGCTGCATCTAGCAGCCCAAATAGCTGCCCGGTTTTGTGCTTGAAACCCAGGGCCCTAGTGGTGTAGGCACCCAAGAGAATCTCCTGTTTTGCCAGTTGTGAAGACTGTGAGAAAAGGCATAGTATCTGGGCCAGAATGCATGTTCCTTACCGCACAGTCCCTCACGGCTTCCCTTGGCTAGGAGAGGGAGTTATCCAACCCCTTGTGCTTCCCAGGTGAGGCGATACCCTACGCTGCTTCGGCTCACCCTCCTTGGGCTGCACCCACTATCTAACCAATCCCAATGAGATGAGCCAGGTACCTCAGTTGGAAATGCAGAAGTCACCCGCCTTCTGCATTGATCTTGCTGGGAGATGCAGACCAGAGCTGTTCCTATTCATCCGTCTTGCCAACTACCCCCAATGCTTATTAACCATACTACCTAGGAACTCCAGTTTGGCAAGGAAAGTCTAAATAATGGAATAGATACTCATGTGAACTAGTGAACATTGCTGTATATGGCCACAAGTCATGTTTCTAATGACCTCTAATTCACAGAATTTCTTCTTAGAGATGTAGAGAGTGGAGTGGGGATGGACCAGAGTAGTATTCTACAGAGGGTGCCAGTGACATCCTCTTATGCAAAGGATACACATACTAACTTACTGGGCAAGTTGCAAAGTTTAGAATTACTAACTTTAGAATAGGAAATACTCAAATAGGTAAGGATTTGTCCTTTTACTAGTATATAGTAAACCTTGGAAACCCATGACCAAAGGGCAGAACATGAGCCACAAATCTATCAATTCTGAACTTAATTAAATTCATGGTTGATAAAAATATATTCTCACTTGCTATAAATCTGCTAGATTTTTGAGATTCAATTAAAGAAACATTTTCCAGAATATATTTCTTAGAGTAGTAGTTTTAAGCAAAACTAATTAATGATACCAAAATCAAAACAAAAGTTTTAGAAATACTAGTTTATCACCTTTAATAGGCTTCTTCTGTAAAACACGATTTCTCAGTTTAATCATATGTCAATATCAAGAAGAGGATATATCAGGCAGCATTGCTGAAATACATTGGAACACAGAAAGCTTTACTCTCAGTATAGCTAGTGTTCCAAGGAATATATTGTAAAAAGGGCTAAATTAAAGGATATTTAGAACCTATATAGCAGAGGCAAATTACCTATCTGAAATGTCCAGGGAACTGTTATCTACAACATACTCTATAGAGTAATCTTGTTGAAAAGGCAGATGCTGGCTGGGCACAGTAGCTCACACCTGTAATCCTAGCACTCTGGGAGGCTGAGGCAGGTGGATCACTTGAGGCCAAGAGTTCAGGACCAGCTTGGCCAATATGGCAAAACCCTGTCTCTACTAAAAATACAAAAATTAACCAGGTGTGGTGGCACACACCTGTACTCTCAGCTACTGGGGAAGCTGAGGCATGAGAATCGCTTGAACCCTGGAGGCAGAGCTTGCAGTGAGCCAAGATCACGCCCCTGCACTCCATTCTGGGCAACAGAATGAAACCCAGTTTGAAAAGAGGAGGAAAACAACAACAACAAAGAAAAAGAAAAGATGGACTAGTGTTCAGATGCTTTCCTTGATTCAGAATCAGCATGCCTCTTAAATACTGAATATACTAAGATACACAAAACAGTAATTTAGCTTTTTCATATTGATACATGAACTTAGTATTTGATCTCAGCAAATTTAGTAAAATAATCAGGAGCTTTTGATTTGCCACAAAAAATCATTCCTCTAAACTTTATGAATTGAGAAAACTTGTCTTTATTTGATGATTCCAGTTTTGATGTTTTGTGTTATTGGTGAAGTTCAGAAACTCAGAAACATAGTTGATTCCATAGAAAATTCAATTCTTGAAGAGTAGAACTTTGAAGGTGCAGGATGAATATGTGTGTTATGAATATGGGTCATACTTTATGCTTATGTAACTGAACATGTAGTTTTACTGGGGCTCCCTTTCTTCATTGCAAAAATACAACTTATCCTCAATACATAATTTATTGACTACTACAACTTAGCAAAAAATGATTTGGCTTCATTATTCATCCCGATAAGAAAAATCTGGTGAATTAAAGGTATTGGAAAGGAAATTTTAACACTGATATGAGAATGAAATGGGAGAAGGGAACAATAGAGACTTCAATATTATCTGTAATACTCCATTTTTTTATATTTAAAAAAGTGATGCAAAAATGAAAAAATGACATTTGCCAATAATGCCAATGTATCACATAACTATTACATTACTTTGCTGCTTTTTTAAATTCAAAAAATAAATATTACTAACCATTTATATGATCATTCATTCAACAAGTACTTGTTGAGAGCCTACTATGTGATAGGTGCTAGCAATAAAAGAGAGTAAAAAAGAGACATCATCCCCAACTCTCCTGGAGTTTGTGTTTAGATGTGAAATGTGAAATGTTTGAGATCTTATTTAGAATAGAATGTGTAAAAGGACAAAGTGAGGAAATGGGGGTGAATTAACTCATATTGATAATTAAGAGGTAGGGCTACTGTGGGTACTTAATCAGCAAGCAAAGGCCTTTCAATACAGAGAGGAGCTGCCTTATTTTTAGTGAAAATTGAGCTGGGAAAAAATACACACTGGCTATGGGCCCCATAGCTAAAGCAGTCTCCTGTGGTATTTAATAATTTTCTCACTGGTTGCAGCTCAAAGTTCACATGCATTTTTCTTTGATTCTCTCTAGTATATGACTGCTGCTGCTCCTATGCAAGGGACCTACATTCCTCAGTACACGCCTGTGCCTCCGACAGCTGTTTCTATTGAAGTAAGTCTACCCCTGTCTAATAAAGAGGTTAGAAGAAATAAATCTCAGTCACATATACTGTAGTCCCCCATAACCATAGGAATCCTCACTTGCAATTTTTGTGCTACTCTAAAATATGACATTGTAAATTCAGTGTATGAAAGTATAAACATTTACTTGAATGTGGCTGTGTTTTGCTTTGCACATGAAATGAGCTCATCTGCTATGGAGGCACGACGGGAGTCTCTTTCATATTTAGAGAAAATTCCAGAGGCCAAATCACAACTCCATCAAATTTTAATCACAAATACTTCTTATAAAAGGAAAAAAGTTTGCAACTATGTGAATGAACTAATTCTCTAATGCCTTGTTCCTCAAAGAGTGGTTCCTAGACCAGCATCATTGGTATCCCTTGAGAGCTTGTTAGAAATGCAGACTTGCTGGGCATGATGGCATGCACCTGTAATCCTTGCTACTTGAGATGCTGAGACAGGAGGATCTCTTGAGACCAGAAGTTCGAGACCAGCCTGGGTCAAACAGTCAAACAGTGAGACCCTGTCAGAAGGAAGATCAGAAGGAAGAAAAGGAAAAAAAAAGAAATGTAGACTTTTAGGTACTATCCAGACCTACTGCATCTGAATTTGCATTTTAAGATGATCACTCAGTGATCCAAATGCACATTAAAATTTGAGAGACACTGGACTAATGCACTGGTTCTCAAATTTTCTGCACATTTGAATTATTTTGAGAGCTTTAAAAATATTGATTCCTGAGTCCTATCCCCAGAGATTATGATTTATTTGTCTGGAGTATAGACTGAACATCATATTTTTAAAAGATCTTAGATGATTCTAATACGTACCAAAGACTAGAAACCATTGCTCTAGGCCATGAACCTGCACAGGTTTACAGCTTCTTACAGACAAGAAAGAAGTTGTACAACTCTTATTGCTGTAGATATCATGAATGATGATGTCAGCTTGTCCTTAATGGAAGCTTTGCTGCTTTCATTCTCTCTTTCCATTGGGATAAATCTATGCCCTCTACACATCATTTTACTGGACAGGGCCATAAACTACATAGAAATGGAGAGGGCATAGAGCTATGCAGATGGTGGTAAAACACTTAGGTACCTATATTCTTCTTTCTGGTTCTAGCCATTACTGTTTTATTGCCCTTCTTTCCCCTCTCCTGATGCACAGGTGCATTATGGTCACCGTGCATTCCTTCTCAGCAGCTGGGAATCCCCTGCAGCTGATGTCTTTGCTACTCCATTTGTTGGCAAGCAACTACTGTGTTGGTACCACTCCACATAAAAATTCACCAAGACTCCCAATCTCTGAGATTGAGGGAAACCTTTACGGACTAAATTGGATCTTCTAAAATGTTTCCTGGTTTTGGTGTGTGACAAATGTTTGTTCATACCAAGGTTTAGGAAATCCAGATGTTTAACAGGGCACTGATGGAAATCAAGGAGTTCCAATGTTTAAATCTTTCATGTGTTCTAGACCTATAGGTCTCAAAGAATGTGTCATCTTAAACAGTTTTAATTGTCTTTTCAGAATTGCAAGAATATATGATTAAATTTCATGTTCTTTGGTATATTTAGCTTTCAAAAAGCACCTATGCGATAAGAAAATTAAAAATCTGGACATTCTAGGCAGTTTAAGTGTAAACTTCTGCCACATATTTTCATTTCTCTGTGTACACCAAAGACAAATACTTATCTACAAAATTTGACCATTTTGATGATTATTATGAGACATTTGACAGCGTGGCTTATTGGAAACAGTCTAATTATATTTAGGGATTAAAAGAAATATTTCATTGATAAAAATATAAATATACTCTGATATATTGCCTTGAACCAGTGATTATAAGGAAAAGCATTAATTCATTCTCTATGTGAAAACACTCATTGAACATTTATCAATATCTATAAAGGTGGGAGGTTTCAAAAAATAAATAATACCAAATAGTAAATTAGGAAAGAAAAGATTGAATAGAGAGACTTTTCAAATTCTAAAGAAGAAATTTAGGGAATTTCAGCGACAGAATTAACCAAGAACTTCTGAAATTTGACATCACTGCAGGTATCCAGGACTACAAATAAAACCAGGAAAATTTATCAGGATAGGTGCTCTTCTTAGGCCTACTAACAACCAAATAAAATCACCTATGCCTCTCTGGATTCCAAAAATATATTCCTGATTGTGACCAATTCCGGAAATCCACTCTTGCCAGCATCTGTGAGAAACAAAAAAAAAAAAAAAAAAAAAAATAGGGTGAAGGAAAAGCAAACCAAAATTAAGGACAAGTTTTGTTGTTGTTTTCTTAAAACTTCTTGATGACTTTCAGTTCATATACCAGAAAACAAAACAAATCAAATCAAATTACTGGAGAGAAAAATCTACTTAATAGCATCCTTTAAAAGATTTCCAAACTTTGATGTATATTTTTATTAAGGTCACTTTCCATTGTTATCCCAAATGGTATAGACATGATACAGTGAAATATGCCAGGAAAATGTTTGGACATACAAGTTTGTATAGGAATCCTGAATGAGGATAAATTGGCATTTATTGTGGATAAATGTGCAAACCTGGTTTAAAAGTTCCAAGTATAGGCAAAATTATTTTCTGACCACTTAACTACTCCAACAACTTCTAATGGCAAGGCTTCTTGGTGTCACATTAGGATGAATTACTTAGCCCTTATCTAAATGTGCTCTCTGGGTTTCCTCTGAGTACTTATTGTGACTTCATGTAGCTGAGGGTATCTCTACTTAAGCCAAATAGAAGAGGGGTACTTACAGCCTATCTAGAGAGGGCCCTTCACTGAAGCAAGTAAGGCTTTTATGTTCTTATTTGCCTCCTTAGGGTGTTGTTGCTGATACCTCTCCCCAGACAGTGGCACCTTCATCCCAGGACACCAGTGGTCAGCAGCAACAGATAGCAGTGGACACATCCAACGAACATGCACCTGCATATTCTTACCAACAGTCTAAGTAAGTCTGGGCTGTGCTAAGCTCTTTTCCTCAAGATCAGCCATCTTGACATCACTCTCTCATGTTGTATGTGTTAGCTTTTGCTGAAATATAAACCATCCCAAACTTAGCAACAGGCATTTATTTAGCTCATGATTATGTGGGTTTGAAATTTGGGCTAACTTTGGGTGGATGGTTCTTCTGATCTTGACAGGAATCAAACATCTAGGAACAGCTGCTGATTATCTATGCATCTCTGCTTCTGGGTGTTGCTAGCTGTTGGATGTGTGATGGAAGTGACTAGGCCATATGTTTCTGATCCTCCAGCAGGCTAATTCACATGGAAGTCTCAGAATTTCAAGAATAGTAAAGAGCAAGCCCAAATGTACAAGCACTCTTAATTCTGTTTATTACTAATTTTCTACTGTCTCATTAGCCAAAGCAAGTCACTTGGCCAAACAGTCAATGTAGCAGTTCACTTTGAAAAAGCTTGATATAGAGAGAGGCACTGCAGCCATTAAAAAAAAAAGCTACCATATTTATTATTGGAAAAATTATAATATTCCTACCTGAAACTGAATAGAGTCTCAGTCTCCTCACTCTTAAAGGAAGACAGTAACACTCCCCCTTGTAGGGTTACTTTGAATACACAGTTAAATGTCGATGAAAAAGGGTATTGTAAGATATGAAGCAATATAAAATATGGTCTTATTCAGGAATAAAATGGCAAGGATTTTCAGAATTACTCTTGAAAATCCTTAAATCACTCATAATGCAAAGTACATTTGGCTTTGTGTTGAGTAAACATTTGGCAAACTTTGGTAAAGTTTGAGGGCTGTTTATTGAAACCAAAAGAATTTAGAAAAGTAAAGTCTTCATACAAGTGTCTTGGCATGCAAACTATTCAACTTTGTAGATAGCAATAAAATCCCTGATGAATAGAGAATCCCCCGACAATCCTGCCTGTCTACAGAGTGCTGCTCCGTTATTTAAAATAATTTTTCTTATTAAAGAAAAAAAATATTCTGATATTTGTTAAAACATTAAGAAATAATTTATTTATTAGGTTGGTACAAAAGTAATTGCGGTTTTTGCCATTAAAAACCATAGGTATTAGGCCGGGCGCAGTGGCTCACGCCTGTAATCCCAGCACTATGGGAGGCCGAGGCGGGCGGATCACGAGGTCAGGAGATAGAGACCATCCTGGCTAACACGGTGAAACCCCGTCTCTACTAAAAATACAAAAAACTTAGCTGGGCATGGTGGCGGGTGCCTGTAGTCCCACCTACTCTGGGGTCGGGGTGGGGGGCTGAGGCAGGAGAATGGCGTGAACCCGGGAGGCGGAGCAGCTTGCGGTGAGCAGAGATTGTGCCACTGCACTCCAGCCTGGGTGACAGAGCAAGACTCCGTCTCAAAAAAAAAGAACTATAGGTATTAAAATTATTGCAATAGGGGAAGAGAGAGCATGCTCAGTTCAGAACACAGCAAAGACAGCTGGGGATCTGTAGCCAACAAGCCGAGTGAGGGGGTCAGTGAGTGGGGAATTACTGCTAACCTAAATTGACAGGATTTTTGCTGAAGGCAGATCAAGGAATGATAAGATCAAATGTAGGGGATGAGAAAATTGATCAGATATTGAGGGTGGTCATATCAACGATAGGCTATTCTCTTTAAACTGACTTAGCAAGATTCTTGCTAAAACTAGGCTATAAAGAACTGGCAAGAATGGGGGCAAAAGTCTACGCCTACTCAAGAAGGGGACTCAGTAGCCTGACTAAAAGTTGAGCAAGAAGAGAATCTGTCACTTTTTAACTTCAGTATACATTAAGAGATTTGTTTGTTAGATTCATCAAAGCAGTAAACTCTATTATGTGTGGTTTAGGTCTAAAGTCAGTTTTACAAATTAAATTTGCTCAGAATATGACTTAAACTTACAAATGTAAGGTATTATTATGATTGCCATTATTAATAGCAATAATGACTTTCAGAAAAGATTGTTACTGAGTAAAGCCATATGTTATTGTTAATTTAATTGACATAGCCTGTGTGAATCACTTTTATGTGCAAAACTAATACTGTGGTAGACTCTGAAACTCCAGTCCAAGCATATTGAAATTTTTTTTCAGCCTGGTCAACGGGTTATATGTGGGGAAAGGAGCAGATATTGGCTATGTATAAAGCATAGCAAGAGACATTGATTGGTGGGAGATGAGAAATACTGTGGGTAATGGGAAATTTTATGTGACCATTTGACTGAGCCACAGGGTACCCATATATTTGGCAAAACAATATTTCTGGGTATGTCTGTGAGGGTGATTTTGGATGAGGTTAATATTTGAATCAGTTAAAGCAGATTCCACCCCCCACTGTGGGAGGCTTCCATCCAATCAGTTAGTTGAACCCCTGAATAGAGCAAAAAGATTGAACCTCTCATGAATGAAGAAGAAGGAACTCCTGTTACTTGACTGCTAGAGCTAGGACATTGGTCTTTTCCTGCCTTTGAACTTAAACAAAAATATTGGTTCTTCTTAGATCTTGAGCCTGCCAGCTATAGAACTAGAATTTACATCAACTCTTTCAGTTCTCAGACTTTCAGACTCAAACTAGAATTACACTGTTGGCTCTCCTGGGTCTCCAGTCTGCCAGCTGCAGATCATTGTAGATCATGGGACTTCTCAATCTTAATAATTGTGCAAGTCAATTTCTTATTTTAAAAAATCTCTGTATCGGGGGGAGGAACCAAGATGGCCGAATAGGAACAGCTCCAGTCTACAGCTCCCAGTGTGAGCGACGCAGAAGATGGGTGATTTCTGCATTTCCATCTGATGTACCGGGTTCATCTCACTAGGGAGTGCCAGACTGGGCGCAGGTCAGTGGGTGCATGCACCGTGCGCAAGCCGAAGCAGGGCGAGGCATTGCCTCACTTGGGAAGCGCAAGGGGTCAGGGAGTTCCCTTTCTGAGTCAAAGAAAGGGGTGACGGACGGCACCTGGAAAATCGGGTCACTCCCACCCAAATACTGCACTTTTCCCACGGGCTTAAAAAATGGCGCACCACAAGATTATATCCCGCACCTGGCTCGGAGGGTCCTACCCCCACGGAGTCTCGCTGATTGCTAGCACAGCAGTCTGAGATCAAACTGCAAGGCGGCAGTGAGGCTGGGGGAGGGGCACCCGCCATTGCCCAGGCTTGATTAGGTAAACAAAGCATCCCGGAAGCTCCAACTGGGTGGAGCCCACCACAGCTCAAGGAGGCCTGCCTGCCTCTGTAGGCTCCACCTCTGGGGACAGGGCACAGACAAACAAAAAGACAGCAGTAACCTCTGCAGACTTAAATGTCTCTGTCTGACAGCTTTGAAGAGAGCAGTGGTTCTCCCAGCACGCAGCTGGAGATCTGAGAATGGGCAGACTGCCTCCTCAAGTGGGTCCCTGACCCCCGAGCAGCCTAACTGGGAGGCACCCCCCAGCAGGGGCACACTGACACCTCACACGGCAGGGTATTCCAACAGACCTGCAGCTGAGGATCCTCTCTGTTAGAAGGAAAACTAACAAACAGAAAGGACATCCACACCAAAAACCCATCTGTACATCACCATCATCAAAGACCAAAAGTAGATAAAACCACAAAGATGGGGAAAAAACAGAACAGGAAAACTGGAAACTCTAAAACGCAGAGTGCCTCTCCTCCTCCAAAGGAACGCAGTTCCTCACCAGCAACGGAACAAAGCTGGATGGAGAATGACTTTGACGAGCTGAGAGAAGAAGGCTTCAGAAGATCAAATTACTCTGAGCTATGGGAGGACATTCAAACCAAAGGCAAAGAAGTCAAAAACTTTGAAACAAATTTAGAAGAATGTATAACTAGAATAACCAATACAGGGAAGTGCTTAAAGGAGCTGATGGAGCTGAAAACCAAGGCTCAAGAACTACGTGAAGAATGCAGAAGCCTCAGGAGCCGATGCGATCAACTGGAAGAAAGGGGATCAGCAATGGAAGATGAAATGAAGCGAGAAGGGAAGTTTAGAGAAAAAAGAATAAAAAGAAATGAGCAAAGCCTCCAAGAAATATGGGACTATGTGAAAAGACCAAATCTACATCTGATTGGTGTACCTGAAAGTGATGGGGAGAATGGAACCAAGTTGGAAAACACTCTGCAGGATATTATCCAGGAGAACTTCCCCCATCTAGCAAGGCAGGCCAACGTTCAGATTCAGGAAATACAGAGAACGCCACAAAGATACTCCTCGAGAAGAGCAACTCCAAGACACATAATTGTCAGATTCACCAAAGTTGAAATGAAGGGAAAAATGTTAAGGGCAGCCAGAGAGAAAGGTCGGGTTACCCTCAAAGGGAAGCCCATCAGACTAACAGCGGATCTCTCAGCAGAAACTCTACTACAAGCCAGAAGAGAGTGGGGGCCAATATTCAACATTCTTAAAGAAAAGAATTTTCAATCCAGAATTTCATATCCAGCCAAACTAAGCTTCATAAGTGAAGGAGAAATAAAATCCTTTACAAACAAGCAAGTGTTGAGAGATTTTGTCACCACCAGGCCTGCCTTACAAGAGCTCCTAAAGGAAGCACTAAACATGGAAAGGAACAACCGGTACCAGCCACTGCAAAATCATGCCAAAATGTAAAGACCATCAAGACTAGGAAGAAACTGCATCAACTAATGAGCAAAATAACCAGCTAACATCATAATGACAGGATCAAATTCACACATAACAATATTAACTTTAAATGTAAATGGACTAAATGCTCCAATTAAAAGACACAGACTGGCAAATTGGATCAAGAGTCAAGACCCATCAGTGTGCTGTATTCAGGAAACCCATCTCACTTGCAGAGACACACATAGGCTCAAAATAAAAGGATGGAAGAAGATCTACCAAGCCAATGGAAAACAAAAAAAGGCAGGGGTTGCAATCCTAGTCTCTGATAAAACAGACTTTAAACCAACAAAGATCAAAAGAGACAAAGAAGGCCATTACATAATGGTAAAGGGATCAATTCAACAAGAAGAGCTAACTATCCTAAATATATATGCACCCAATACAGGAGCACCAAGATTCATAAAGCAAGTCCTTAGTGACCTACAAAGAGACTTAGACTCCCACACATTAATAATGGGAGACTTTAACACCCCACTGTCAACATTAGACAGATCAACGAGACAGAAAGTCAACAAGGATACCCAGGAATTGAACTCAGCTCTGCACCAAGCGGACCTAATAGACACCTACAGAACTCTCCACCCCAAATCAACAGAATATACATTTTTTTCAGCACCACACCACACCTATTCCAAAATTGACCACATACTTGGAAGTAAAGCTCTCCTCAGCAAATGTAAAAGAACAGAAATTATAACAAACTATCTCTCAGACCACAGTGCAATCAAACTAGAACTCAGGATTAAGAATCTCACTCAAAACTGCTCAACTACATGGAAACTGAACAACCTGCTCCTGAATGACTACTGGGTACATAACGAAATGAAGGCAGAAATAAAGATGTTCTTTGAACCAACAAGAACAAAGACACAACATACCAGAATCTCTGGGACACATTCAAAGCAGTGTGTAGAGGGAAATTTATAGCACTAAATGCCCACAAGAGAAAGCAGGAAAGATCTAAAATTGACACCCTAATATCACAATTAAAAGAACTAGAAAAGCAAGAGCAAACACATTCAAAAGCTAGCAGAAGGCAAGAAATAACTAAAATCAGAGCAGAACTGAGGGAAATAGAGACACAAAAAACCCTTCAAAAAATTAATGAATCCAGGAGCTGGTTTTTTGAAAAGATCAAAAAAATTGATAGACCGCTAGCAAGACTAATAAAGAAAAAAAGAGAGAAGAATCAAATAGACGCAATAAAAAATGATAAAGGGGATATCACCACCGATCCCACAGAAATACAAACTACCATCAGAGAATACTACAAACACCTCTACGCAAATAAACTAGAAAATCTAGAAGAAATGGATAAATTCCTGGACACATACACTCTCTCAAGACTAAACCAGGAAGAAGTTGAATCTCTGAATAGACCAATAACAGGAACTGAAATTGTGGCAATAATCAATAGCTTACCAACCAAAAAGAGTCCAGGATCACATGGATTCACAGCCGAATTCTACCAGAGGTACAAGGAGGAACTGGTACCATTCCTTCTGAAACTATTCCAATCAACAGAAAAAGAGGGAATCCTCCCTAACTCATTTTATGAGGGCAGCATCATTCTGATACCAAAGCCGGGCAGAGACACAACAAAAAAAGAGAATTTGAGACCGATATCCTTGATGAACATTGATGCAAAAATCCTCAATAAAATACTGGCAAAACGAATCCAGCAGCACATCAAAAAGCTTATCCACCATGATCAAGTGGGCTTCATCCCTGGGAGGCAAGGCTGGTTCAATATACGCAAATCAATAAATGTAATCCAGCATATAAACAGAGCCAAAGACAAAAACCACATGATTATCTCAATAGATGCAGAAAAAGCCTTTGACAAAATTCAACAACCCTTCATGCTAAAAACTCTTAATAAATTAGGTATCGATGGGACGTATTTCAAAATAATAAGAGCTATCTATGACAAACCCACAGCCAATATCATACTGAATGGGCAAAAACTGGAAGCATTCCCTTTGAAAACTGGCACAAGACAGGGATGCCCTCTCTCACCACTCCTATTCAACATTGTGTTGGAAGTTCTGGCCAGGGCAATCAGCCAGGAGAAAGAAATAAAGGGTATTCAATTAGGAAAAGAGGAAGTCAAATTGTCCCTGTTTGCAGATGACATGATTGTATATCTAGAAAACCCCATCATCTCAGCCCCAAATCTCCTTAAGCTGATAAGCAACTTCAGCAAAGTCTCAGGATACAAAATCAATGTACAAAAATCACAAGAACTCTTATACACCAATAACAGACAAACAGCCAAATCATGAGTGAACTCCCATTCACAATTGCTTCAAAGAGAATAAAATACCTAGGAATCCAACTTACAAGAGATGTGAAGGACCTCTTCAAGGAGAACTACAAACCACTGCTCAATGAAATAAAAGAGGATACAAACAAATGGAAGAACATTCCATGCTCATGGGTAGGAAGAATCAATATCGTGAAATTGGCCATACTGCCCAAGGTAATTGATAGATTCAATGCCATCCCCATCAAGCTACCAATGACTTTCTTCACAGAATTGGAAAAAACTACTTTAAAGTTCATATGGAACCAAAAAAGAGCCCACATCGCCAAGTCAATCCTAAGCCAAAAGAACAAAGCTGGAGGCATCACGCTACCTGACTTCAAACTATACTACAAGGTTACAGTAACCAAAGCAGCATGGTACTGGTACCAAAACAGAGATACAGACCAATGGAACAGAACAGAGCCCTCAGAAATAATGCCGCATATCTACAACTATCTAATCTTTGACAAACCTGACAAAAACAAGCAATGGGGAAAGGATTCCCTATTGAATAAATGGTGCTGGGAAAACTGGCTAGCCATATGTAGAAAGCTGAAACTGGATCCCTTCCTTACACCTTATACAAAAATTAATTCAAGATGGATGGATTAAAGACTTAAATGTTAGACCTAAAACCATAAAAACTCTAGAAGAAAACCTGGGCAATACCATTCAGGACATAGGCATGGGCAAGGACTTCATGTCTAAAACACCAAAAGCAATGGCAACAAAAGCCAAAATTGACAAATGGGATCTAATTAAACTAAAGAGCTTCTGCACAGCAAAAGAAACTACCATCAGAGTGAACAGGCAACCTACAGAATGGGAGAAAATTTTCGCAACCTACTCATCTGACAAAGGGCTAATATCCAGAATCTACAATGAACTCAAACTAGAAAAAAACAAAAAACCCCATCAAAAAGTGGGCAAAGAATATGATCAGACACTTCTCAAAAGAAGACATTTATGCAGCCACAAGACACATGAAAAAATGCTCATCATCACTGGCCATCAGAGAAATGCAAATCAAAACCACAATGAGATATCATGTTACACCAGTTAGAATGGCAATCATTAAAAAGTCAGGAAACAACAGGTGCTGGAGAGGATGTGGAGAAATAGGAACACTTTGACACTGTTGGTGGGACTGTAAACTAGTTCAAACATTGTAGAAGTCAGTGTGGTGATTCCTCAGGGATCTAGAACTAGAAATACCATTTGACCCAGCCATCCCATTACTGGGTATATACCCAAAGGATTATAAATCATGCTGCTATAAAGGCACATGCACATGTATGTTTATAGCGGCACTATTCACAATAGCAAAGACTTGGAACCAACCTAAATGTCCAAATAGTCTGGATTAAGAAAATGTGGCACATATACACCATGGAATACTATGCAGCCACAAAAAATGATGAGTTCATGTCCTTTGTAGGGACATGGATGAAACTGGAAACCATCATTCCCAGCAAACTATCACAAGGACAAAAAACCAAATACTGCATGTTCTCACTCATAGGTGGGAATTGAACAATGAGAACACATGGACACAGGAAGGGGAACATCACACACCGGGGACTGTTGTGGGGTGGGGGGAGTGGGGAGGGATAACATTAGGAGATATACCTAATGCTAAATGATGAGTTAATGGGTGCAGCACACCAACATGGCACATGTGTACATATGTAACAAACCTGCACATTGTGCACCTGTACCCTAAAACTTAAAGTATAATAATAATAAAATAATAATTTAAAAAAAGACCTAAAACCATAAAAACCCTAGAAGAAAATCAGGACATAGGCATGGGCAAAGACTTCATGCCTAAAACACCAAAAGCAACAGCAAAAAGAAGCCAAACTAGACAAATGGGATCTAATTAAACTAAAGAACTTCTGCACAGCAAAAGAAACTATCATCAGGGTGAACAGGCAACGTACAGAATGGGAGAAAATGTTTGCAATCTACCCATCTGACAAAGGTCTAATATCCAGAATCTACAAAGAACTTGAACAAATTTACAAGAAAAAAACAACCCCATCAAAAAGTAAACAAAGGATATGAACAGACACTTCTCAAAAGAAGACATTTATGCAGCCAACAAACATGAAAAAAAGCTCATCACCACTGATTATCAGAGAAATGCAAATCAAAACCACAATGAGATACCATTTCATGCCAGTTAGAATGGCAATCATTAAAAAGTCAGGAAACAACAGATGCTGGAGAGGATATGGAGAAATAGGAATACTTTTACACTGTTGGTGGGAGTGTAAATTAGTTCAACCATTGTGGAAGACAGTGTGGTGATTCCTCAAGGATCTAGAACCAGAAATACCATTTGACCCAGCAATCCCATTACTGGGTATATACCCAAAGGATTATAAATCATTCTACTATAAAGACACATGCCCACGAATGTTTACTGTGGCACTGTTCACAATAGCAAAGAGTTGGAACCAACCCAAATGCCCATTAATGATAGACTTGATAAAGAAAATGTGGCATATATACACCATGGAATACCATGCAGTCATAAAAAGGATGAGTTCATGTCCTTTGTAGGGACATGGATGAAACTGGAAACCATCATTCTCAGCAAACTAACACAAGAACAGAAAACCAAACACTGCATATTCTCACTCATAAGTGGGAGTTGAACAGTGAGAACATGGACATCGGGGGTGGGCGCATCACATACTGGGGCCTGTCAGGGAGTGGGGGACTAAGGAAGGGATAATATTAGGATAAATACCTAATGTAGTTGATGGGTTGATGGGTACAGCAAATCACCATGGCATGTGTGTATACCTATGTAACAAACCTGCACGTTCTGCATATGTATCCCAGAACTTAAAGTATAATAAAAAAAAGAAAAGAAAAATTAAATTATTAAAGAAGTCTAACAGTTTCATCTACAATTTGTAATTTAGATACCTATGTAATTCTTTCAAGGACAATTTTTTTAAATATTCATGGCTTTCTTTATGGGTTCCCTAACCACTTCTTTAAGTTTACCTGTGAGTAATCCAGTAGAGGGAATATACTGTGACATTTTTCCACACTCTGGATCACAGAATCCCACTTTTTACATAGCATTACATGAAGCTAGTCTGTCAGGAATTATTCTGGAAAATATTGCTTCATTTGGCTATCTCTGAGACTTCCTCCTCCTCTAAAATAGATTTCTAAGATTATCGTTTGTTACGTTCCAATATATTCACTGTGCCTTTTTTTTGAGGGTGGAGGAGTGAGGAGAGGATTCAAAATGACTCTGTATTCTTAAATTCAGTGAAATTCCTACTCTACCATATTTACTCTGACTTTAGAAGGCCCTCATCTCAACCCTGGTATTGCAAGTTCTTTTTATACTTCAAATCTTCTCTGGCTAACTGAACTGCCATGAATACCAAATTTCTATACATTGTCAGTATATCAATGATGAGCAAATTATGTCCTTCACATTTGTGAGTAATACAACATTCTATGTATTATAATATATTGTAATAATACATTGTATGTGCACTGTTTTACCGTTTGCAATTGATTTCCATACTCATTATTTCTTCACATGAATTCCTGTTTTCAAGTTATTTCTTTTTATTTTATTTCTTATTTTATTATTTATTTTATTTATTTATTTTATTTCTAAAATGTCCAACTTAAAATGTTCTTGTTGCCAAAGATCCCAGCCTAAAAAAAATTAAAACCCTTCTGTTTTTAGGAATTTCAGTGCAATCCATAAGTATTATGTAAATGTGCACATTCACATTTATTCTAGGACAGAGGAGATCGGCAGGAGTGAATTCAGTTCTTTGAAATGGCAAGATCCTTTTTACTTCAAACTTCAGCCAGCAAATATGAAGTTGTAAAGTACTACCATCTATTTGCCATCATTTGTTTTCATGTGGCAATGGGACCATTTTAAAGACCAAGCAAATTATGGGAGAGGGCTATTGGAAACATTTGTGTACAGTTATAAAACCTAAAGTAGTTCCAGCCTAGCTCATAAATATATCAATGCTTTTGAGACCAGTGAATATCAAGTACTTGAGCTTGATGGGTCAGGTATTCTATGCACTGTAGTCCACTGAATAAGACATCATTCACTGAGCAGCTGCTAAAGAGATTCATGGTGTTTTAGGCATTTTTGGTTCAGTACACAATAATACCAGAGTAGAAGATGGGAGTGAGAACAAAGAACAGACTCTCCCCCAACACACACACACATACACACACAACTATATAACCAAGAAAAAAAATTGTTCCCTTAGTAATATAGATTTTTAGACATAAATGGAGTAAGTCTATAGTTTGCAAAGCTAGAGACAGTTAAAATATAAACCATGGTTCCCATGACTACCACTAATAAAATTTTTTCTTATTGTTGCTACTGTATGAAAATTGTAATTGCTTTACTTCTTAGAAGATATCTCACTTTCTCATATAACACAGTAATATATTTTTAGGGACTTAACCTATTGATAAAAATTGAATATTCGATCTCTCAACTAGTTGCTTTCCTCACATGATTTTAGGAAGAAATTAATCAGGTTCCTAATTGCCGTAGCTGGCTCACATGATGGCTTTTTGCAAATCAGGAAACTATGTCCTTTCCAGGCCATCTCAAGCTAAACAATACACAGTTTAAAACACTGTGAATTGGGGTTACAGCTTTCCTGCAGGGTACATACCTTGGGGAGCAGACGATGGGCTGAAATTTAGCCCCCACTCCCTCAATCATACATCTTATATAGTAAACAATCTGTAAAACTATACATAGTAACACTGAGTCAAATTTACTAAATTAAGCAACTGTGCATCAGAAGAACTTGCATAACTTTTTGCTGGCATCCAATACCCTGAGCAAAGAGGCCTTCAGCTAAATGTAACTTACAGAGATAATATAGAGGTCCTTCTTTCTATAGCACCACTCTGAAGTTATTTTACAAACTTCTAATCTGTGGGCAAAAAAGCTAAGAGTAAAGTCATCCTGCTGGAAGGTTAACCTTGCAACATAGAAGGGGCAGTAGCAGAAGTCTTTATTTGACATGAGCTAAGCAAAGTGGCATATAGTAAAATGATATTTTTCTAGTTAAACACCTATTGTGTATATACCACTCTGCCTAAAGGGTAAAGGGTAGAAGTAAAATATAGTTCCTGCTCTCACAAATTTATAATCTTGACAGGGGGAATGAACAAGAAAGTAGAGAAGGGGAAGAGGAAAAGAGAATAAAACTGCATTGGCCTCTTAACTGTCTCACTTATTTCCTCAGGCAATAAGCCTTATGTAAATGTACGTGATGAATACCATGAGATAACATACAACCCAGTTATTTTGGGTGCATAGTAAAGAATCTCATATTTGTTGCTGGAATTAGTGATGATTCCTATAGTAGTTTTGAAGGAACAGAATTACTCAAAGGATCTGTAAGGAGCTATAACATAAGCTATTACCCTTGATTTTTAATGTAAACAAACTCTCTGGCCCAAATCTGTATTTAAATGAAAGTGGCAGAATTTGACAATCTCATAGACTCAGTATGATTTTATGATGCTTTTGTGACTATGTTACATTGAAAGCTTGGTATCTTTTAAAGCTGCCTCATTGGAAAAGGGCACAGAAGGTGATTTCAAAGTTACTTTAATTTAATGACCACTCTTATTCAATTGTTTTCACAGACCATAAACAGGACTGAAGAATGTCTGTCTGAATCTTTGCCTTGAATGAAGAAACTTCATTGAACAAGAAGTTGGCTTCCAGTTTGCACAGACGTCAATGGAATGCATTTTTTTGTTGTTGTTGTTGTTTTTTTTTTAGTGTTATACCTTACCCAATGAAAGCAAAGTTTTTATGTGCTG
Source organism: Homo sapiens (assembly GCF_000001405.40). Classification (NCBI taxonomy): domain Eukaryota; kingdom Metazoa; phylum Chordata; class Mammalia; order Primates; family Hominidae; genus Homo; species Homo sapiens. The sequence goes on from NC_000003.12 coordinate 30,004,036, forward strand.
TGCAAATGGTCTTCATGTGGTCTGACAATTTATTTTTGCCATCATTTTTTTAATTAAAGAAAAAATTTCCAGAAGAGGAAAAAAAAACTACAAAAAACAAAACATTGAAGGTTGATATTTTATGTGGAAGAACATTTGAATTGAATTCAGAATTTTTCTGAAGGTGTAGATACTTTTTTTTTTTTTTTAACAGAAAACCTGATGTCAAGAGGTGGGCAATAGAAATGGAAACAAATTGTCTTCCTCAATAATTAAGCTACTTTCTCTTTTTCCCTTCTTGTTTTAATCTAGTGGGTTTTTTATTTTATTTTTTCTTAGAAATATGTAGGTAAGGTTTATCTTGAATCTTAATTGCCTTAATTTTAAGGACGTCAAAGGCTCTCGAGGCAAGCTGTCAACGTCTTGTTGAAAACAAAAATCAAGAAAGAATTGAAATACTGTGCCGGCTTTCACTGGCACAGAAGTTTAAGACTATGAGTTTTTAGGGTGAAGAAAAAACTGTACAGTTTAAATGAAAATGTTTTTCTTCATTTGAAGAAAATTTGTTGATAAACCATGGCAACTGCAAGAATTGGAAAAATGCTGGGACTTTTCATGAACTTTGTCTTAAGTGTTGACATGAATCATTCTAAAAGGCTAAAACATTTTACAGTAAAGTTATTAAGGTTGGTTTAAAAACAACTGCATTAGAAATAATGCGTGTTTGGGGGGCAGAATGCAGATTTTTTTAATTTACAAAGCGTGATCGCTAGCAAAAGCATTAGTGCTTTTTATCTGCAGTCTTTTTTATGAGCTTTACAAAGTTTTTAGTCAGCTTTGCTTGTCACATTGCAAAACCTAGCTTAAGAGCATTAAAAAAAAAAACTTAAGTAGATAGGAGCTTATGGTCAAAAAGTGCAAAAAAAAAAACAAAAAAAAAGCAATAGATAGAGAAATTGTTGACAATTTCTGTAGTCTTTCCTAGTTGTGATCAAATTCAGCCTATGGATGGCCTATTTTATACCAAAGATGAAGTGACACCCTATTACAGTCCAGAAGATAGAGGTTGTTTTCGTTTCTTTTCTTTTTAAAAAAAAAAAAATTTATTTGACCGACATGGCCGGACCAGTTCTTTCTTTGTTGTTTGTTTAAACTACCTTCCACTGGTGTTTTACATAGTGCAAAAAAAAAAAGAGGGTGGGGGGAGTTGTCTCTCTTTTCTTTAAATGTGTATTCATTGATAGCAGAAGCTTGTACCTGCTGTGTTTAGCAGTTTCAGCATGAAGAGTTCTGGATATGAACTGATTCATAGAGCCAAGTGGCTTTAAATTCTGTGAGCTTTTCTGGTTTCTCACTAGCTGTCTTGAATAGTGAAACCTGTATTGATGGCCACTAGTAAACCAAGATGCTTATTTAACAGGTGGAATATTCTTTATATGAAATTTCAGCTAAAGACACTTTCTGGACCTGGTCTGAAAGGTCATTTGTCAAAAAAGCTTAGGGATATTCTGTGAAATGGTGAGTGGTCTCCTGGAAAGGTCTCATTGTATTTGAACAATAGTCTTCCCTCTAAATTACAACACCTCTGGGTTTTGTCTTTACACCTCTGTCTTTGTCATCACCTACCATGAATAGTCACCTTGGTTTTGCAAATGGGGAGGGGGTATCATCTTTTTGCCTGTTTTCACTGTATTTTTGTATATTGGTGTTGCCGAAAGAACTTTTTCTTTCAGTTTAATTCTTTGAGGCATGTAGGACCAATAAGATTGAGAATTCTATTGGTGGAATTTAGGGAAGTCCTTAAAATGCTAGTTGACAATCAAGGAACAGTATGATTTATATCAATAAGAACCAAAAGAATTAGGTTTGATCAATCATTTAAGCCAAGGAGGAATACTTGCATTTAGAACAATGCAAAACTTTGTCTAAAATGAATTAAATTGACCCACCTGTAAAATATATCTACATTTTTAATTCATGAGATGATATGTGTTCAACCTTTACAGTTTTACCTGAAATTAAGGACAATGGAATAGAATTTGTTAAGTGAACCATTCACTAGATTGCTTTCTGAATGAATCCTTTGAATCAAATAGGTGAAACTCTTTTCAAAAACTAAGTCAGTCACAGGAGCCTGTCTTAGTCCAAAAGAAGCAGGGAAATGTATTTAAGTGTACTATAAAACAGGGTAGGCTTTTTAAAAACTAAAAAGTTTTAAAGGTAAATCATATTCCCATTAGGTCAACATGAGTAATAAGGTTGACTCATGTGAAATTGTCAATATTCTACTATTTCTGTAAACTCTGGTTCTCTTATTTGCAACCCCATGCACTGGAAGCCCAAATCAGAGAATGACTCCATATATTTATGGTCACATTGGAGACAAAAGTGTATCCAAGAAAATGTAGTGTGCGTTATAGAGAAATTCCAACTGGTCACACTCACCATTATGGTTTTTCATGCTTTAGAGAAAATGCTAGATTTATACTGTCTTTTGTTCCATCCTTCAGCTTCCCATGCATTATAAAGGTGGCACTTAAGTTTTTATCTTTGAAAAGTGGGCCCCAAAGTTTTTTGGGGTACAAAAAGACATGTATGAGAACCATATTTTCTGTTTCTCTTTTTCACTCTCTAAACTCTTTTTGTATAAATAAGGATTATCCTGGGCATAATTCATTTGAATATGAAACCAACATACTTTCTTTCATTTTTGTGAAAAAATAACCAAAAACATGTATTAATGTGATACAAAGAAAGTCTCATTCACACAATCAACAATGAGGCTAAGAGGTAGCTACCATGTGGCTAATGAATGTGCCTAGGTAACTTCCTGTTTCTATTCAAAACTGCTGCTTTATTTGTACATTCAGAAATATTTTTTTCAACTATGAAATTTCAATATCAATTTTTTAAGCCAGTTTCTGCAAAAGGAAATGACCTGTCATTTGATGTGTTCATGTGTGTTTTGTGTTTGGATAGTTTATATCATGCCATTCTATAAAATGTATGTTTTCAAACCAAAAAGAAAAAAAATAGAAGGAAAACAACGGCACATACTCAAATTTGCCCTGCTTTGTCTGTTGTCTTACCTAAGACTTGTTTTGAAGAGCCAAGTCTGGGAGAGAAAAAAAAGCATCAACAGGTAAGCAGCATTACATTGTGTGGTAATAAACCAAAATAAGTTTTCAATATATACAGACAACAGAATTCAAATTTAATCAACAAAATATATTGTAGTGATTTGTTTGTTTGTTTGTTTGAGACGGAGTCTCGCTCTGTCGCCCATCCTAACTAGGACTATAATCTTTTTTTTTTTCTTTAAGTTGAAGTTAATTTTCTGTGCATTCTGGTCCACCAGATTTTCAAGCATTTATTTGGATGTTTCCATTTTTCCTTTTGACTTTAATAGCCAAGACTTAGCTTAAACATCAGGAAACAAACTAAAGCCACAATCCAAATGAGAGAAACACTGTCTCGTCTAAACTCTAGTTTCATGGTCAGTGCAACAGTGAGTTTTCTTTTAATAATGGTATGGTATTGTCAAGGGAGGCAAAGTGTTCATGGTAACTTGGAGCTCCCCAATACATGGCCATGTCTTCTAAAGACAACGTAATGAGCCCAAGTGAACTGAAGGTCATACTGGCAGGTGCTGATGACAGTTTGTCCTTGAATGCTGACATGTCTTGAATATTGCAAATGTCATAATACTCTTTTAAAACAGTCCTCTACCTGACTCTAGTTTTGCGAGGATTAGTTTGTTTCCTTGGTAGATTTCAACATTTCAGAATGTTACCTCCAAATTTCACTTGAATTACTTCCTCCTGTGACCTTAGCAGATCTGTCACATTTGAAAGCATATGACTCACTTCCACCCCCTTCTAATGAAAAACTGCATGGTGTTAAAAGCACTCTCATTAGAAATATAAGGCTGAGAACTGAAGAAGGCTGTTTAAAGCAGGAATTTCACTTTATTTTACTATGCCTAAAAATACATCTTTGGACCCCTTGCAAAGTGCTTTAAAAGTACTTTCAATTTATGCATGACTCCAAAAAAGTAATTTTTTTTTCCCAAAAAAACCTCTTTATTTAAATAATTGGGATATTTGCTAAATACCTATTTTTTTTTACAGTGGCCTAAAACCCCTATTAATGAAAAGTGAAATTTGATTTAATTAGGACTCTTGCAGTCATCTTCACGACTGAGGAGAAGTTTCAATAGGCTGTCTAGACATTATGATGTTAATAGGAGATTAAAATACATTTGGCAATTCATTTTCATTCTTAATTTGAGTGCATGAACCACTGCAGATGAGCTGATAAGCAGAAATTCTCAAGTGGGTTTCACTAATAAATGTTTTTTTATATGATTTGAAATCAAGTAAAGGGACAATGTTTATGTACGTGTATAACAACATTCAGCACATTTGAGGAATCACACACTATAATAAAGCTTAAACCTGTCATAGAACCTTGATCTATATTACTTTGTCTTCAGTAAAAAGTGAAGGATGAGATTTTGTCTTTCATGTTATTGTAGCTGGCATGCTTCAAAATTTTGAGCTTACTGGGACTGACAGCCTCTCACTTCAATCTGAGGGATTGACAGAATTTAAACAGGCTCATTGATTCTGTACACTCTACCCTTCCTGTGGCAAGTGATAATGGGATTTCATTAATGAATCAATTTGTTTTACAAATGACATCCACTGTGGCATTGGAAGACAGTTGGGTCTGACTCAAGTTTAACATTTCTTACCAAACATTCTTAAGTATGAAATTGGTCCTTTAATCCAAATGCTCTTGGTCATGGCTGTCCTTTGCGGATTACATAGCATTCAGGAAAGTACAAAAACTAAACACTAAATCCCCAACTGGCCCCAAAGACCTTTTATGATGTGAGAGACAAGAGTTCACCCCAGATTAATTTCTTTTATCATTGGCTTTATACTCTAACATATAGATACTCTCTATAGCAAAAAAGGGATGAATGGCTTTCAATATTCATTTCTGTTTATTTTTGTGAGGGAAAATAATATATCAAGAAAATTTTCTTCCACTTAGAAAGCTTTAAAGCTGAAGTAGAGGTGCAGTCAAGCTTGGATCTGCAGGAAGAACCACTAGGCCACTGAGTCATACTTGAGCTTTTCTTACTACTGCCCCAATTTCTAAATTGTGCATAAATACAATCACTCTCAATTTTTGAAGGGCTAATTATCTACTTTGTGGGTGTGTTTTGTTTTTTCTTTTCAGCGTGTAGGGCTTGGGCTCTGTTTCCTTTTATTAGCATGTCACCTGAGGGTGGAACAAACAATTGGAAATAAAATTTGATTATTTTATTTCTTATAAAGTATTAATTTCTTAAGGGGGTTTGAAATCATTGGTAAAATTAATATCAGTACATTATATGTCATAAATTTTGATTATCTATAATGTCTTTTCTTATCTACCACAAATAATTGAGAGTTGGCTAAATTCTTGCAGAATATATGGGAAAAAAATCATAGCAAAGAATTCAGCTTCCCTCAAAAGAAAGCTATTTTTGTTTCCTTCACTCCACTAAATTTGAACCAGTAGCACGGATCAACACGACTTCTGCAATGAGAGTATAACGGTAGCTCTTGGTACAGTCATATTCATATTTTTAAATCTTTCTTTGACCAAAACTATTGCATTGTTTTCATTACATTTTGACTGCGTTACTTATTAAGGCCGAATGACTTTGACACCCCCGTGGATTATTTTTATGATCACATCAAATTTAAACAATGTCCAAAGTGTAACTTTAATGTTATATTTTGTTTCAAACCCTCTGGTCTAAGATTATTGAGAAAGATGTTTTTTCCTCCTCCCTCAAATATGTTATCTCTTCATATATAAAAAAATAAGTTATTCCATGCTTTTCAGGAACTGTAAAAATTATTTCAAAAAGATATTTGAAAAAGTTTTCTCTATTCTGGACACAAATGCTTCCATTTATTTCAAAAGA